>NC_000005.10:127609807-128859807 GCF_000001405.40 Homo sapiens | reverse complement strand
AAAATTAATCTTCCACAAAGTCAACAAAAACAAGCAATAGAGAAAGGACTCCCTACTCAATAAATGCTCCTGGGATAACTGGCTAGCCATATGCAGAAGATTGAAACTGTACCCCTTCCTTACACCATATACAAAAATTAACTCAAGATGGATTAAAGACTTAAATGTAAAACCCAAAACTATAAAAACCCTTGAAGATAACCTAAGAAATACCATTCTGGACACAGGAATGGGCAAAGATTTCATGACAAAAATGCCAAAAGCAATTTCAACAAAAGCAAAAATTGACAAATGGGACCTAACTAAACAAAAGATCTTTTATGCAGCAAAAGAAACTATCAACAGAGTAAACAGACAACCTACAGAATGGGAGAAAATATTTGCAAACTATGCATCTGTCAAAGGTTTAATACCCAGAATCCATAAGGAACTTACATTTACAAGAGAAAAAAAAACCTTATCAAAATGTGGGCAAAGGACATTAATAGACACTTGTCAAAAGACATACTTGCAGCCAAAAAGCATATGAAAAAAAGCTCAATATCATTGAGCCCCAGATAGGAGGGGCACCTCTCTCTTTCTTACACCTAGGATTTGCAATGCAAATTAAAGAAATGCAAATTAAAACCACAGTGAGTTACTCTCTCACACAAGCCAGAATGGCTATTATTAAAATGTCAAAAAATAAGAGATGCAGGCGAGATTGTGGAGAAAAAGAAATGCTTATACACTGTTGATGGGAGTGTAAATTAGTTCAGCTATTATGGAAAACAGTGTGGTGATTCCTCAAAGATCTAAAAATAAAACTACCATTCAACCTAGCAATCCCATACTGGGTATATACCCAAATGAATAAAATTGTTCTATCATAAAGACACATGCATCCATATGTTCATTGCAGCACTATTTACAATAACAAAGATATGGGATCAACCTAAATGCCTATCAATGCTGAACTGGATAAAGAAAATGTGGTACACATACACTATGGAATACTATGCAGCCATAAAAAAGAATGAGATCATGTCCTTTGCAGGGACATGGATAGAGCTAGAGGCCATTATCCTTAGCCAACTAATGAAGGAACAGAAAACCAAATACTGCATGTTCTCACTTTTAAGTGGGAGCTAAGTCATGAGAACACATGGACATATAGAAGGGAACAACACACACTGGGCCCTATTGGAGGGTGGAGGGTGGGAGGAGGGAGAGGATCAGGAAAGATAATTAATGAGTACTAGGCTTAATACCTGAGTGAACAAATAATCTGTATAACAAACCCCATGACACAAGTTTACCTGTATAACAAACCTGAACATGTACTCCTGAACTTAAAATAAAAGCTAAAAAAAAAAATGATTTTAATAACCTCTAACATGTTTCTCCTCTTTTATCATAAAGATCATACAACAGTATTAACAATACTTGGAAGTTATGCAAATGTTACTTGCAACTGGTCCTCCCAAACAAAACATGTGTATTCATCTCCAGTAGTCATCCATAGATGTTTGTCTCCTTGTATCACTGTAATTAGAGCACATGTGTTTATCAGAACCATTTTCCTGGTCGCTCCATAGTCTTCATAATTATCCTTATACTGGCTGCCTGGTATCTCATGAGGTACATCATCTTTCCTTCCCTTACTGCTAGCTACTTTGATTCTTTAATTTTTATCCTGTTATAAAAATAAAATAAGGTTTTATGCTTCTTTTTAAAAATTAACATCTGGGCCAGGCACGGTGGCTCATGCCTGTATCCCAGCACTTTGGGAGGCCGAGGTGGGTGGATCACCTGAGGTCAGGAGTTTGAGACCAGCCTGGCCAACATGGAGAAACCCCGTCTCTACTAAAAATACAAAATTAGCTGGGCACGGTGGCGCATGCCTGTAATCTCAGCTACTTGGGAGGCTGAGGCAGGAGAATCGCTTGAACCTGGAGGCTGAGGTTGCAATGAGCCGAGATCACGCTATTGCACACCAGCCTGGGCAACAAGAGCAAAACTTTGTCTCAAAAAAAAAAAAAAGAGTTAACGTCTGTTAGATTGGATTCCCAGAAATGGCTTTACTGGAAACTTATTATTTTCTCTATGGCATCATCAGAAGTCTTAAGTTGCCTAATATTATGGTCTACCTTCAGTAGATAGGTAAATCTGCTGAGTTTACCGAGCAAAATTTATCAAACCTGTACCACCAGGTCTCACTCTATTTTAAGACTGATGACCCCATGAAACAACCGAGAGCCATATTGGGACTGCTGAAGAGGCTGCAGAAAGTGGCCACTTCTAATTTGAGAGACTCTAAAAAATATTGATTAGCTTCTCTCTTAATCTTAGAGGTGAGGATGTGTGAAGGAAGCAAGGACGACAGGAGGCAGATAGAGGTGGACAGCAGTCTTATCTGTCTTTCCTCCCTGGCTCAGGCTTCATGGAAAGTTTTTTAAAGGAACTGAAAGTGTGTGTGTCTTAGGGAAAATATCCATCTCATGTTTATAAAAGATCACTCTGGTAAGCTCTTGGCAAGCCTGAAGGATCATAGCTGTCATCTTTGCCTATTCTTCATAGTCTGGAGAAAATGAATGATGATAATGTTACTCATCTACAAAAGTTCAGTTTTCTCCATAAACACAGCTGTGTTGTGAATTAAGCAAAGTCAATATGTGAAAACTTAGATTGACTGAAAAATAAACTGAAGATGATTATTTGTACCATAAAAGAATTCTGTACCATAAAAAAGAGTCATCATGGAATTATTTTGAATTGTGAGGTCCATTAATGATCCTGCAATGCAATTCTGTTTATTAAAGATGTGATTAGCAGGCAACTTTCTAAGGCCTCATCAGCTGCATAGAGAAAGGTATAATCACACTGACAGTTCTACCTTCTCTTTTGAGAAGGATTTTGTTTATTTTTCCAAAGACAAATCAGTTTTCTGTGATTATTTTATCATTGAGATATGAACTTATATATAAACTAATTTCCCCTTAAATTGACTTTAGAATAGGAAAACAAGTTCTATTATTTCAAGGCTAGTTAAAATACTTTTGCCTAAATGACCACTTTATTCTAGAAAAAAATAATGGAGACATTAGTAAGGATATGGTTTTTAATCACATCATCTGTTTCCAACATAGCCTTGAATCTAAAGGATTAATGTACACTCCACCTTGGAATGGAGAATAGTGGTATTAAAAGTGGACTCTAGGGTCAGAAAGACTTGAAGGATTTCGCCACTTTACAGTATATGTTATATTTCATCTCTCAGAAGTCAGCTTATATATATGTAATTATGCTCCAGACTAATAAGTGAATTTAAAGCTAGCAAAAGTCAGGAAATGGAAGCAGGTAATGAGCAGTGAAAGGGAATATAGGAACATTCACATCCCCACTGCACAATGTAGGAGGAGTTATCAACAGATATTGTTAAACATGGCTTGGACAAAAGGAATGATCATTTAAAGTTCCAAAGGGTTAAAGAAAAACAGAATAGCTAAAAATAATAGTGTACTTATCAAAAATTAGAAGTAAAAGAGAGAAATGGGGGTTTTAACATAAATGTACTAAGTCCTTATCTCCTATAGCAAAGGAGTCCTCAAGATAAAATGTCTACATTTGTAAAATCAAGAAGAAATAGCATCATGAAGTAGCATCACAAGTCAACTTGCTAATGAAACCACTCAAATAACTGAAACAGAGGTAGCTAAAAGGGATTCTTTTGAGAAGCAGAAATGGGGCAAGAAAGGATGGTGTGCACCACAGTGGTTTTCAACAACTTTCAGCTCTTTACTTCTGGACTTACAAAAAAATCATGTATGTGTTTTTATTTGATTTTAACAAAAACATTGCATGTATACACACACACACACACACACACACACACACAGTCACACCAGAACCTTCAACGACTCAGATCTTGACCAAAAAAATGCAAACTTCTTAGAATGATCACAGGGTTATCTATGGTCTAGAGATGGGTTACCTGCCTAATAATATCTTTCACCAGTTTCCATTGTCTGCCTGCGATCCAACCATATTGAGCAGCTCACACCTCCTCCAGACTTGTATTTTTCTCTTGTCCCTCAATATCCCTGCGTGGTCTTCTGCTTCTTATTTGTCCATTTGCTCTCCCATCCATTCCCCAACTTTTCCCAGCTCTCTTCAGTAGCACTGGGAGCTGACCCGTGCAAAACACATTCTTTAGACTCCTTTACTTGGGCACTGGGAGGCAGGGATGAAAAACTGGTATGCAGAAAGAAGACAGAAATCAGGGGATTTTCCCCTCATCTGTGCTACAGGTAGCTTCCCAGGCAATACTGCATGTTCTCTCTGGTTCCAGCTCCCATCTGGGCACACACTTTTATAGCTCTGTTCCCACATGGCAGCCCCAGATGCCCTTGCTCCTCACAGGTACAATCATCTCTTCTTTTTATCTCTCCAAGCTTAGGGAGCCTGAGTGGTTTCCTGGAGGTGCTAACCTCTGAATTTCTTCACCTTTTGCTGTGTGCCCTATCAACTCTTCCAGCACCTTTGCAGCTTTGTTATAAATCCCTCATCTTGAACTACACAGTGTGAGTTCCATTTCCCTGACTGGACCCAGACTGATAGAGCTGGTTAGCTTTATTTGCCCATGAAGACTAAGGTCTGGGGTCACCACCTGCAGGAAATCTCTTTGGTCTGGGTCAGTAGCCCTTCCTCTGCCACCTAGGGCCCTCTGTGATCAGCACTCTCAGTTTCACACTGCATTGTACTTGTTTCTGTGGTCTATCTCCCTAGAGGAATGTGGATTTCTCAAGAATAAAGACTGTTGTATTTGACTGTGTCTTTTGTATGGAACTCTACTGGGCTCAGTGAGCACCCGGTAAATATTTGTTGAATGATAATATTAGAAATATGGAAAATTTTCTTTTGAAATTGACAGGAGAGTTGCCAGTCCTTAGATGGAATCCTAAGGTATTTCTTATGAATGTCTTTTATAGTATTGTCTAAATAGAACTGCATCTTCCACCTACCAGTGCCTTTCACCTGTTTTCCACAACGACACCCAGTAAAATACACACTTTATACAGAGACTCAGTATTAATAGCAGTATTTTAAATTAAGCTTTTGGTTCGATAATATGTACATATACACACAAGATCTGGTGTTTTCTACCTTAGTCTTCTAAACTGAGTTCTGTCCTATTTTGTTTAAGAAATTACTAGTTGCAGCCCACTAAATCAATTTCATGACAATCTAATGGTTCACAAATTGTTAGTTGGAAAGTCTGCCTTAGGTAGTAAAGATGGATTTTACTAACACAGGTCTTCAATGATGCAGAAAAATTGTCTCTTCTATTTTTTTAAATTTGTGCCCTCAAATATATTACAGATGCCTGAAATCCCACTGCACAGTTTTAGTGCCATATGTTAAAGATTAAACACCTAACAATGATAATAATAATAACAATTACAATGCTCCTTGAAAGTTGTAACACTATAAGATGTTATCAGACACACTTGAATATATATATAAATGAGTTTTAGATATTTCTCTAAGGGTAAGATTTGATGAATAGACAAGAGAAGAGTGCTGAACACCTGAAGAGAAAGGAGAAAGGTTTCCTAATTTGGATATATATACACAAAAAACTTTAAACACTTAGACTTAATACAGCTTCTCCACTTATACCTCAAGCATTTGATTGAAGAGTTTATGTATGTTAAATTGAAATTTTAATCAACAGGAACTCATGTACCTATTGAGATACATACTTACAAGGCTGATTGTTAATCCATTGAATTCTGTCTTGCAAAAAGTCTGAAAATGTTCATAATCTTGACTTGGAAGTTGCACAAAACAGGCTGCAAAGAAATCGAAATATTATGGTTTCACTGATCAAATATTTTGGACCAGGCTCACTATCAGAATATCCTCAGTAGATTTACATTGCCCCGATCCATTAATCTTTCCTAGTGTACAGATAATTTCTTTTCTTATTAGATATTCATGCAAAGATGCAAAATATTTTTCCCTAGATAAGTAACAAAAGACCATCACTGAGCCATCTGTGAACAATTTCACATCTGAAGTGTATAATCAAGGTCGGGAACAAAAATACATAATGAATGGTTCAAGTCAAAGTATACATCCTGAACAAAGAGGTAGATGTGATCCAAAGCAAAAGAAATGTTGCATTCTTTCCTTCTGCTTCAGTTTTTAGAGACTGTCAACTTACGGTTTGATTGATTGGGGTGGGGAAAGCAGGTGAGAACTTTCACATACAATTATTTTATTTGTACATTTTTAAAAAATAGGTATATGTACTTCTATCAAGCTATTGTTTGGTATTATTAAAGGACCTTGTATGTGGTCTATAGCAGAGCAGGAAAAATAAATTTATTGGGCCAGACAAAACAATGCTAGAGAAACCTGAGTTTTGGTCTAGCCTGCATATGTAACATCCCTCATATTTGCTGGAGGGTAGTCTATTTAAAGAGAACAGAGTAGAGAGAAAGGAATAGTGACAAGAATGAAAGAGAAAGGGAGATCACCATGAACATCTATTTATAGGGTTAAGTGTCTTTCTTTGGGGAATTTAGATCTTACCAAAAATATGTAGCATTATATTATGAACCAGGTCCTATTTAGAGCCTAGGTTTCTTGCTGATTGGTAATTTGTTCTTAAAATGGATACTATTATGGGTTGAATTGTGTTCCCTAAAACCTCATATGTTGAAGTCATAACCCCCAGTACCTCTGAATGTTACCTCATTTGGAAATAGGGTAATCGTAGACATAATCAGTTAAGTTAAAGTGAGATTATACTGGAGTAGGGTGGGCTTCTAATCCAATATGATTGTTATCCTAATCAAAAGGGGAAATTTAGACACAGAAACAGACATGTACAGAGGAGAGATGATGTGAAGAGCACAGGAAGAAAATGGCCATCTACAAGTTAATAAGAGAGATCTGGAACAGATCCTTTTTACACAGTCTCCGTAAGGAACCAACACTACCGACAACTTGATTTCGAACTTCTAGCCTCCAGAACTGCAAGACAATGATTTTCTGTTGTTGAAGCTACCAGTTTTCTGTACTTTTAAAAAATTTTCTTTTTTAATTTTTACAATTTTTATGGGTACATAGTAGGTGTGTATATTTATGGGGCACATGAGATGTTTTGATACAAGCATGCAATGTGAAGTAAGCGCATAACGGAGAATGGGGTATCTATCCCCTCGAGCATTTATCCTTTGAGTTACAAACAATCCAATTACACTCTGTAAGTTATTTTAAAATATACGCTTTAGTTATTATTGACTATAGTCACCCAATTGTGCTATCAAGTAGTAGGTCTTATTCATTTTTTCTATTTTTTTGTACCAATTAACCATCCCAACCTCCCTCCCTCCAATCCCCCACTATCCTTCCCCACCTCTGGTAACCATACTTCTACTCTCTATGTCCATGACATCAGTTGTTTTGATTTTTAGATCCCACAAATAAGTGAGAACATGTACTATTTGTCTTTCTGTGTCTGACTTATTTCACTTAACATAATGATCTCTAGTTGCATCCATGTTGTTGCAAATGACTGGATCTCATTCTTTTTTATGCCTGAATAGTACTCCATGGTGTGTTAAGTACCACCTTTTTTTATCCGTTCATCTGTTGATGGACACTTAGGTTGCTTCCAAATCTTAACTATTGTGAACAGTGCTGCAACAAGCATAGGAGTTCAGCTATCTCTTAGATATACTGATTTCCTTTCTTTTGGGTATATACCCAGCTGTGGGATTGCTGGATCACATGATAGTTCAACTTTTAGTTTTTTGAGGAACCTCCAAACTGTTTTCCATAGTGGTTGTACTAATTTAGATTCCTACCAATTGTGTATAAGGGTTCCCTTTTCTCCACATCCTTGCCAGCATGAGTTATTGCCTGTCTTTTGGATATAAGCCATTTTAACTGGGGTGAGATGATATCTCATTGTACTTTTGATATGCATTTCTCTGATGATCATTGATGCTGAGAACTTTTTTACATGCCTGTTTGCCATATGTATGTCTTTTTTTTTTTTTTTTTTTGAGAAATGGCTATTCAAATCTTCTGACCATTTTTTGATTGGATTATTAGACTTTTTCCTATAGAGTTGTTTGAGTTCATTATATATTCTGGTTATTAATCCCTTGTCAGATGGGTAGTTTGTAAATATTTTCTCCCATTCTGTGGGTTATCTCTTCACTTTGTTCATTGTTTCCTTTGCTGTGCAGAAGATTTTTAACTTGGTGTAATCCCATTTGTCCATTTTTGCTTTGGTTGTCTGTGCTTGTGGGTTAATGCTCAAGAAAATCTTTCCTCAGACTAATGTCCTGGAGATTTTTCCCCAATGTTTTCTTTTAGTTGCTTTGTAGTTTGAGGTCTTAGATTTAAGTCTTTAACCCATTTTGATTTGATTTTTGTATATGGTGAAAGATAGGGGTCTAGTTTCATTCTTCCGCATATGGATATCCACTTTTCTCAGCACCATTTATTGAAGACACTGTGTTTTCCCCAGTGTATGTTCTTGGCACCTTTGTGAAAAATGAGTTTGCTGTAGGTGTGTGGATTTGTTTCTGGGTTCTCTATTCTGTTGCATTGGTCTATGTGTCTTTTTTTTATGCCAGTATCATGCTGTCTTGTTTACTATAGCTCTGTAGTATAATTTGAAGTCAGGCAATATGATTCCTCCAGTTTTGTTCTTTTTTCTGGGGATAGCTTTGGCTACTCTGAGTCTTTTGTGGTTCCATATAAACTTTTTTGCTATTTGTGTGAAGAATATCATTGGTATTTTGATAGGGATTGAATTGAATTTGTAGATTGCTTTGGGTAATATGGACATTTTAACAATATCAATTCTTCCAATCCATGAACATGGAATATTTTTCTATTTTTTGTGTGTCCTATTCAATTTCTTTCATCAGTGTTCTATCGTTTCCATTGTAGAGATCTTTCACTTCCTAGATTAATTTCATTCATAGATATTTTATTTTATGTATGACTATTTTTTATTTCTTTTTCACATTGTTCAGTGTTGGCTTATAAAAATGCTACTAAGTTTTGTATGTTGATTTTGTACCCTGCAAATTTACTGATTTGTTTATCAGTTCTAATAGTTTTCCTGTGGAGTCTTTAAGTTTTTCCAAATATGAGATCATATCATCTGCAAACAAGGATAATTTGACTTTGTTATCTCCAATTTGGATGCCCTTTATATCTTTCTCTTGTCTGATTGCTCTAGGTAGGATTTTCAGTACTGTGTTGAATAATAGTGGTGACAGTGGGCCATCCTTGTTCTGTTCCAGATCTTAGAGGAAAGGCTTTCAGTTTGTCCTCATTCAATATGATACTAGCTGTGGATGGGTCATATATGGCTTTTATTATATTGAGGTATGTTTCTTCTATATTCAGTTTTTTTGAGGATTTTTATCATGAAGGATGGTGAATTTTATCAAATGATTTTTCAGCACCAATTGAAGTGATAATATGGTTTTTATTTTTCATTTTGTTGACATAATGTATCACATTGATTGATGTGCATATGTTGAACCATCCTTGCATTCCAGGGATAAATTCCACTTGGGCATGATGAATGATCTTTCTAATGTATTGTTGAATTTGTTTTGCTAGTACTTTGTTGAGGATTTTTGCATCAATAATTATCAGTGATACTGGCCTGTAGTTTTCTATTTTTGATATGTCTTTGTCTGGTTTTGGAATTAGGGTAATACTGGCCTTGTAGAATGACTTTGGAAGTATTCCCTCCTCATTTGTTTTTTGGAATAGTTTCAGTAGAATTGGTATTAAGTCATCTTTAAATTTTTGGTAAAATTCAGCCATGAAGCCATCAGGTCCAGGGTTTTTTTTACTAAGGAGACTTTTCATTATGGCTTTGATCTTGTTACTTGTTATTGGTCTGTTCAGGTTTTGGATTTCTTCCTGATTCAATCTTGGTAGGTTGTATGGATCTAGGAATTTGTCCATTTATTCTGGATTTTCTGATTTATTGGCATATAGTTGCTCATAGTAGCCACTAATGATCCTTTGAATTTCCACAGTATCACTTGTAATGTCTCTTTTTTTATTTCTGATTTCATTTATTTGGAGCTTCTGTCATTTTTTCTTAGTTAGTCTGGCTAAAGGTTGGTCAATTTTGTTCGTCTTTTCAAAAAACCAACTTTTTGTTTCATTGATCTTTTTTTTTTTTATTTCAATTTCAGTTATTTCTGCTCTGATCTTTACTATTTCATTTATTATCCTAATTTGTTTGGTTTGTTCTTTCTTTTCTTGTTCTTTAAGATGCATCATTAGATTGTTCATTTGAAGTTTTTTCTCTTTTTTGATGTAGGCACTTATAGCTATAAACTTCCCTTAGTACTTCTTTGGCTGTATCCCATAGATTTGGTATGTTGTGTTTCCATTATCATTTGCTTAAAGAAACTTTCTATTTCCTTGTTAATTTCTTCATTGACCCACTGGTCATTCAGGAACATATTGTTTAATTTCCGTAACTTTGTAAAGTTTCCAAAATTTTGCTTGTTACTAATTTCTAATTTTATTCTATTGTGGTCAGAGATAATGTTGGATATTATTTCAACGTTTTGAATGTCTTAAGACTTGTTTTGTAAACTAACATATGGTCCGTCCTTGAGAATGATCCATGTGCTGAAGAAAATAATGTGTATTCTGCAGGTCTTCAATGAAATTTTCTGTAAATATCTACTAGATCCATTTGGTCTATAGCGCAGATTAAATCTGATGTTTCTTTGTTTATTTTCTGTCTGGAAGATCTGTCCAAGGTTCAAAATGGGGTGTTGAAGTCTCCAACATCTATCTTATGGAGATACTGGAATCTCTCTCTAATAATATTTCCTTTATATATCTGGATGTTCCCATGGTGAGTGCATATATATAAATATATTTGTTTAAACTTGTTACATCCTCTTGCTGAATTGACCCCTTTATCATTATATAGAGACCTTCTTTGTCCCTTCTCATGGTGGTTGTCTTGAAATACATTTTGTCTGATATAAGTATACTGACTCCTGCTCTTTTTTGGCTTCATTGGCATGGAATATCTTTTTATGTCCCTTTATTTTCAGTCTATTAGTGTCTTTATAGGTGAAGTCTGCTTCTAATAGGCAACAGATCAATGGGTCTTGGTTTTTCACCCATTCAACCAGTCTATGTCATTTGATTGGAGAGTTTAGTCCATTTATATTCAATGTTATAATTGATGAGTAAGAACTTATTCCTGCCATTTTGTTATTTGTTTTCTGGTTGTCTTATCGTCTTCTCTTCCTTGTTTCTTTCCTTCCTGTCTTACTCTAGTGAAGGTGACTTCCTCTGGTGATATACTTTCATTAATTGCTTTTTATTTTTTGTGTATTCATTGTATTTTTTTTGTTTGAGGTTACCATGAGGCTTGCAAATACTATCTTATAATCCATTATTTTAACCTGATAACAACTTAACACTGTTGGGATAAACAAACAAAAAAGCAAAAAGAAAACTAACAAGAACTCTATGACTTAACTTTGTCCCTGTGCTTTTTAACTTTTTGTTGTTTCTATTTATATCTTATTGTACTGGCTATGTCTCAAAAAATTGTTGTAGTTGCTATTTTTGATTGGTTCATCATTAGTCTTTCTACTTAGGATAAGAGTAGTTTACACACTAAAGTTACAGTGTTATAATATTCTGTTTTTCTGTGTATTTACTATTTACCAGTGAGTTTCGCACTTTCAGGTGATTATTTATTGCTCATTAATGTTCTTTTCTTTCTGATTGAAGTAATCTCCTTAACATTTCTTGTACGACAGGCCTGGCATTGATGAAATCTCTCAGCTTTTGTTTGTCTGGGAAAGTCTTAATCAAGGATAAGACTTCATATTTTAAGAATATTTTTACCAGTTATACCATTCTAGGGTAAAAGTTATTTTTTTTTCAGCATTAAATATGCCATATCACTCTCTTTCTGGCCTGTACGGTTTTCACTAAAAAGTCTCCTGCCAGATGCTTTGGCTCTCCATTATACATTACTTGTTTATTTTCTCTTCCTACTTTTAGGATTTTTTCTTTATCCTTGACCTTTGGGAGTTTGATTATTAAATGCCTTGCAGTAGTCTTTTTGGGTTACATCCACTTGGTCTTCTACAACTTTCTTGTATTTGGATATTGATATCTTTCTTTAGATTTTAGAAGCTCTCTATTATTATCCCTTTGAATAATTTTTCTACCCCTAACTCTTTCTCTGCCTCCTTTTTGAGGCCAGTAACTCTTAGATTTGCGCTTTTGAGGCTATTTTCCAGATCCCGTAGGTGTGCTTTGTTTTGATTTTTTATTCTTTTTTCTTCCATCTCCTCTGGCTGTGTATTTTCAAATAGCCTGTCTTCAAGTTCGCTAATTCTTTCTTCTACTTGATCAATTCTGCTGTAAAGAACTCTGATGCATTCTTCAGTAAGCCAATTGCATTTTTCAGCTCCAGAATTTTTAATTCTTTATAATTATTTTAATGTCTTTGTTAAACTTATCTGATAGAGTTCTGAATTCCTTCTCTAGGTTATCTTGAATTTCTTTGAGTTTCCTCAAAACAGCTGTTTTGAATTATGTGACTTAAATGTCACATAACTCTGTTTCTCCAGGATTGGTCCCTAATGCATTATTTAGTTCATTTGGTGAGGCCATGTTTTCCTGGATGGCTTTGATGCTAGCAGATGTTCTTCAGTGTCTGGGCATAGAAGAGTTAGGCATTTATTGTAGTCTTCACTGTCAGGGCTGATTTGTAGCTGTCCTTCTTAGGGAGACTTTCTAGATATTCAGAAGGACTCGAGTGTTATAATCTAAGCTTTATCTACTTTAGGGGGCACCCAAGCCCACTAACACTGTGGTTCTTGCAGACTCATAGAGGTACCACCTTGATGATCTGGATTATCAGGCACAAACTCTTGTTCTGTTTTTTTACTTTCTCCCAAACATACAGCGACTTTTTCTCTGTTCTGAGCCACCTAAAGCTGGGGGTGGAGTGACACAAGCACCCCTGTGACCACCATTACTATGACTGTGCTGGGTCAAACCTGAAGCCAGCACAGCACTGGGTGTCACCCAAGGCCTGCTGTAACCACTCCCTGACTACTGCCTATGTTTACTCAAGGCCCTGGGGCTCTACAATCAGCAGGTGGCAAAGCCAGCCAGGTTTGTGTCCTTCCCTTCAGGATGGAGAGGTCCCCCAGGCCCTGGATGGGTCCAGCAGTGCTGTCTGGGAGTCAGGGACTAGAGTCAAAACACTTAGAAGTCCACCTTGTGTTCTATTGTGCTGCTGCTAAGCTGGCATTCAAACCACAAGATGCAGTTAGCAGGCGATGAATACTCCCAGGACAGGGCCCTTCCCTTCTGGCCCAGAGTGTGTCTAGAAATGTCACCTGGGAGCTGGGCCTCGAACGTCGGCCTCACAACTCTGATTGATGCCCTATCCTGCTATGGCTGACCTGGTATCCTAGATGTAAGAAAAAGTCCTCCCAACTCTTCCCACTCCTCTCCTGAAGTGAAAGGAAGGGGTCTCTTTTGGAGCCACAAGCTATGCAGCCTGGGATTAAAGGAGGAATGATGCCAACACTCCCTTGACTGCCCCAGCTGGTGTCGCAGTATGTCGCATGCACCCCCAGTTCACTGTCTCTGGTCCTAGTTCAGCACTAGGACTTGCCCTAGAGTTGCAGTCCTTATGGCCTAGCCTTTCAAGTTTAGTTGGAGACACAATGTGCTATAGCTCTTGGTGGCAAGGTTTGCAGGCACTCAAGTTGAGACCACTGGGATCCACGATTCCCTTCTGGCTAGGGCTGCTGTTAATTATCCCTCTGTGGGTGGGCGTCACCTGAGTTAGCTCTGATTTTTCTTTCTGCTGTAACAGAACAACACTGAGTTCAGTGCCTCACAATTGCTGTGTTCTCACTCTCCCAGCATCCAGAGATGCTCTCTGCACCATACAGCTGCTGGCGGGGTGGGGGAGGGGTGGCATCACCAATTCAGGACTGTTTTTTCTATCTGCAGAGCATCTTTCAGTGATATGAAGTTAAAACCAGGTACTATGAGTGCTCACCTGATTTTTGGTTCTTGTGAAGGTGCTTTTTCTGTGTAGACATTTGTGCGGATGGCCATCAAAGGAGCTTGCTATTCTGCCATCTTGCTCCACTTCACCTCTGTACTTTACTAAGGCAGCCCTAGAAAACCAATAGAGATACTAAGGTGGATGTTCATTAACTCGCTAAATATTTAGATGGTCTATAACACTCTAAGCACTGCACTAAAACAGGCATAGAATGATGAGATGCCTCAGCCCCTGTTCTCAAGGAACTCATGGCCAGAGTTTAGTGGTCAAAAGCAAACAGAATATCTCTTTTTATCACAATATTTGAGGTCAAGTAGAGGACAAACATCATTGTCCCACTTGTAAAGATAAAGAATAAAGGAAGGGAGTTTAAGTGACTTTTGAAACAGAACATCACAAAGGTGGATTGAACTTTTCTCAATTTACCAAGGAAAAAATAGTTTCATTTATAAGTTAAGGGTAAGGGACAGTGAGAGTAGAAAGCCTCTTTTTAAGCTAGGGGTCATTTTACATATTACATAATGTGTGAAACATTGAAGTCTAAACATTTGTCTCACTCTGCCATTCTCATACTCCAACCTCATTTATATCTATTTGTTCCTCTCTTTACTGGTAGTGTGCTTGTAAGATATTATGATGGTGGGCTCAACAACAACGGGGATAAGAACAGAATTGCATTGCATAACTATGAAGAAGACCCTAGTATGATGATCATTAAAAAGTATTTTAGGTGCAGAGAACATATAGTATTGAATTATTTCTTTAAGTAATTGGATTATTTGCCACTTTTACTCTCAGCTGTGAGAAATAATCGGCAGTGTTTGAAATGACACCATCTCTGCAGGACTGTCAATAATTATATAGGCTGTCTGGTGATTTTGCCAAGTTTTATGATGATTCCCATGAAGACAAATACAAGATTCATATTAAAGGGATGTTTTATGCTGTGCAAAAATTGACCCTGAATGACCTTTAATATAAACAGTTAGGGTATGGTATGGACTCCAAAAAAATCTCTCTGCTTTATTGTAAATGTATGCTAACATAAACGACACTATAAGATACTAGCATTAGGATAGCAATTTGATTTGTGTGTCTTTCAAGCACCCTTTTTCTTTTTGTAGAACATATCAAATACTTATTTATCCATTAGAGGGCAGTCTTCCACAAATTTTAATTCTGACATCACTTGGAAAATTTAAATGGTCAATTTACTGACACAATAGTCTCTCAAAAGCCTTAGAATTTTTTCATTATTTCAAAAATTATTTATTCATAATTTTGAAGACACTACACATTAAGTCTTCATATAGAATGTAAATTCCAAGAGCACATTACATATGTTTGTTCATTTATGTGGTATTTGTGGTAAGTGATCACAAATGTACAAAATATTTGCACCATTAAGCTGATACTGATAAGGCTATGTAATAAAATGTTAAGGCTTCAATTATTTTTTGGGCTTTGGAAACTCTTTCTTGTCTTCAGATTTTTACTGGTCCATCTAAATATTTTATCTTTTTTTATTTTTCTGTATTCTAGGCACAGAGAGAGCAGCCTACAACTCTCTGTAGTACAGTATTATCAAACCAAAGAAAACTAATGCATAAGGAAGGTTCTAGAAGGAAACATTCACTGATGTAGTGATGACCTCCAGACAGAAGTATGTTTAAGGAAAGGTAAAGGAAAACTTGCACTATTAGCTTTCCATATTTTTGTAGTTTGAATTTGATATAACAAGAATATGTTTGTATAAAATGATGAACCGAGTGGCATCTTTCATTTCAAAAATGTTATTACTTCAGTTAAACCTTATAGCTCTCTTTTCATCCCAAAGAAATTGTTATAAAGGTATTTTTGAGGGAAACATTCTGTATACAATCACAGATATTGGATTTAGAAGCAGAAGACAAAGAATAAAATAAATGTTGGCATTTGGGAATTTTTACTATTGGTATTGTTAAGTAGTTTGGGGGATTTTACAATTTAAAGATAGTAAGTCTCCAGTGAACAAAGATTTTCACCATTCCTAGTTCTACAAAAAAGTGTTTTTTAACCTATAATAAATTTAATACTTGGAACAGAAAATATTACAGAAATAAGAAAAACTTTACAACATAAAATTAAAGGCAAAAACTTTGACTTTTTACTCCAAGTAGAAGTTCATATGCAGATAGTTATTCAGTACTTATTCTAGATACTCAATTAAAAAGGAATTCAATTAAATAGGAACAATGATTGATTTCTGCAAGCTCCTTAATTCCATGAGGTAAATTCAAAGCACATATCCTGTCTACTCCATTGTTATGCCCTTCACCACTTCCCAAATCTTTCCACATTTTATTCATGCCCACAACCATCTTAGTTTTTGATTAGGCTTTAGGAGATGCACTAATAGGCACATCTAACCATCTGATATTTTCGCTTTCCAGATTCTATTCATGAACTTGAAAGCTGGGGGATCTTTTTTAATGACTGGAAGTAAAGAGGAGCATATGCTTTCTGAGAAGTTTCCTTTTCTAACTGAATGATTTGGTCCTCCAGACTTCTGTCTGTAATAGGGCTGAAAGAGCAAGTTCCCAAAAGTTAAGCTATCTCTGGTCAAAGACCTCAGTTATTTGGAGCATTTACAAATGGTAGCCTGGATTACTTCTAAGAAATTAATAAATAGAATATAATTCTTTTTCATATTTGTAGAGTCATCCAACAATATTAACTTCACTCTCTACTCATGTCTCAAATCTATGAGTAATGTACACTTTGTTTGTTGGGACAGAACTGGTGAGTGAAAATGGCCAAAAGGGAAATCTGTGGCTTGGGAAATTCTGTGAGTTTGATGGCTTAATAGCAGTATGAGATAACAAGTCTAGACTATATAAATTGAAATGCTATTATATGCTTTAAAACAATGGGAAGATCTGGAAAATGCATTTACCTAATTCATTTCATGCCTGTGCAAATACCAGAAAACTTATCTGCAGGATAAATGCAAATCGTAACACTCATGCATTATTATCATTATTTCCGAACGTTTGATCCTCAAAATTAATTAATTCACCCCATTAGTTTGTCTTTTTAAGCCCACAAACAACAGTCTTTAGTTTCTTCTTAATTAGGTTGGCTGGTGTGAATTGAGCCAGTTGAGTGCTGGTGTTATCCACTCAGCTGACCTGAGTTTGATATCAAAACTGTGCCAGAGTTGGGTGAGTTTCTCAAGAAAAATAAATACCTTACTTTCTGCCAGGCCACAAGGTGGGGCATTAAGAATATGTTGACATATTACATCTTGAGAAATGTACAAAAACCTAAGAACTGAGCAAGAAGAGGAAACTGAGGCCTTTTGGGGTTGACAGGTCATTGGGCTCCCTCCAATGTTCCCACTCCCACAGAACTTTTTCAAACCATGACCACTCTCAAGTTCTCCTAGTCTTGCCAGCTCTCACTCAAAGAAAATGGCCTCTCCTGTTGCTTCCTTGGGAACAGTTTTGTTGGCATGAACTCCCTCAAGTTGTCTCCTTTCCCGCTACAAACTTAACCTTATGTTTTCTAAGTCTCATCTCCTTTTTCAAAAGGAGGCCTGCCTCCACCATTTCTCTAGTCTCTCAGTATGTGATCTTCATCCCATCCTCTTCTATCCAATTACTCCTTCAGAACCTTGTTTCATCAATTATTATCCTACTTTCCCTTAACACAAGATCATATTCAAATTTTTTGCTTCAAACAAATCCCCAAACTTTCCTTGGTCACCCATATTCTTTAAAAATTGTCATCAACACATAAACATCTTACCTCTTTAAAAATCTTCTTGAGTAAGTAGCCTACATTTCCATTCTGTTATCTTGACTTCAATCTACCACCACCAGCTATGATCTTATTACTCCTGAATTTTTAATGGAAAATTACCCTTGTAATGTTTCCAATGCATAGTTGAATCAGTCCGTTCAACACTTGAAATTTCTGCAGTATCTGACCCTGACCATACCTGAAATTATGTCTGTGAATGAGTCTGTGACATCACACTCCTGCCTATTTCTCAGACTTTTTCTTTAATGGTTCCTATTTTTCTCCCAATATAGTAAACTTTAGGGTACATCAGAAGCACCTGGAACATAGGTTGCTAGATTCCAACCAAAAGTTTCTGGTTCACTAAGTCTCGGGTAGGGCCTGATAATTTGCATTTTGATTCTGATGCTGCTAGTCTAAGAGGCCCACATGTTGAGAACCACTGCTTGAAACAGATATATTCAAATTTTTTAATCTGCTTTGCTTCTATTTTATACTTTTAATTAAGAGAAACTACCTATTTCCATGCTTCATCTGTTACTTGTATAAGAATGATGCCTCCCAACTCTATGTGAAAGGCCCAATCATATCCTCTCCTAAACTCCTCACCCAGGTTGCCTACTACCTCTGCTTAAATTATAGGGACCCTCAGAATCAACATGCCCAGTATGGTACACGTTGTGTCCTACATCCCAAATGGGCTTCTCCATTTGTGCACTTATTCCTACGTATCATAGGCATCAACCCACCTGCACAAGGCAAAAAACTTGGAGTCAGCTAGACTTCCCTGGCCCTCAATCCTTTTCACCTCACATGTAATGATTCACAAGTTTTTCTTGCAAAACATGTAATGGTTACAGATAGAATCCTGTCAATTCTACCTCCAATATATTCCTCAGCTTGGGTTTTCTCCAGTTTTTCTTGTTTACTATATCACAAATGCATTCTACTTTGATTCTCTGCTTTCATTATCTCCCATCCTGTTCTAAAATTCATCTTTGTAAAATTAATATCAGATCATGTCATTTACCCCTTATTCAAAAACAAAACTTTTAATGACTCTGTATTATCTACAGTATAGAGATACAGTGACTTAGTATGACATTCAATATTCTTGATAATCTAGCCCCCACCTAACTTCATCTTATGGTTTTCCCTCTTGCTTCCTGATTTATGGTTATGCCTGACCACTACCACATCCAGAATCAATCACATAGAGTTCATTCATGTCTATATGCATGCTGGATTCTTTCCTTCTGCATGTCATCCCAATTCACCAGCATTCACCTGTCTTCTGACTCTCAGCACAATTAACTGCTTTCTCTTAGACTCTCATGCCATTTTATCCATATATCTTTTAGAGTTCATTCCACCTGGTATTATGGGCCTTTGTACATACATCAGGCTACATTGCCAGGTTAAAACTCCTTGAAGGTCTGAACTGTACATCAGTTATGTTTGTATCCATAGTGTACAGCACAGTTCTTGGCAGACTGAAGGCTTGCAAGAAATATTTAGTTGAATTGAAGCTCTGTAGTCAAAAAAACTTCATAAATTGGATAGGCAAATACCCATGAGACCTGGATTTCTAGCCAATGTGGCTGGTACTTGGATTTCCATTTCTCTTTCCACAGCATTCCCAGAGCTGGAGTAAATGCTCAAGTGCCACGGGGGTGCCCTAACTTGGATTTCCTAGTGATTAGCTCCAAGAGCATGTTCTAAACTAGTTTTGTATATTGTATTTCCTGAAGCCCTAACTCTTCAACTTCGTTTTGTCTGTTGAGATAGAACACCTGCCTGTGCTATTATGGTAGAGCCATGACGGACCATCTCTTGTGTAGTTCATAATTCTACCATAAAGACAATGTTAGCCTACCATTTACATTTCTCAAGTGACTCCACCTATCTGTGCCTCAGTCTCCTCACTTCTAAAACTGGTGTAACAACAACCTCTACCTCATAGTCTCTGGCCTGGGCTTCTCACCTAGACTCCCTGGATTCATTCTCTCCCTCTACCATTTGTGAATATTTAAATGAGTTAATTTAGATATTAAATATTAAACGAGTAAATGTATATTAGGTACTCAATAAATAGTAGGTATTTATTGTAACTATGTAAATAGTAACTATGTTAGATCTATTTTGAAACTATTCGAAGAACCAATAGCACAGAACTCCAAATATTAAAGTTTCCAGGGTGTGGACACTTTATGTTACAGTGTCTATATTTTATCTATAATCCAAGCTTACCCAACCCATGACCCAGGCACCACATGCATCTCAGATGGCTTTGAATGTGGCCCAACACAAATTTGTAAACTTTCTTAAAACGTTAAAAGACTTTTTTTGCAATTTGTTTTTTAGCTCATCAGCCATCATTAGTGTTAGCATATTTTACGTGTGACCAAAGACAATTCTTCTTTCAATGTGGCCCAAGGAAGCCAAAAGATTGAACACCCCTAATTATCATTAGAGATACAAAATTATTTTTAACAATTGGACCTGGAATCTCTGAAAATGTCTTTCAGCTCTTTAAATACTAAAAATGTGCCTTATTTGTCTTATATAAACTGACTTTCTATCCTGTACTGTTTGCTGGTACATTTCTATATACCACATACAAGAGCAACATGCTTGTATCACTTTGCAATTCCCATAATGGATATGGGGATAGCAAATGTTAATATAAGGAAAACTATGTTGGATCTTTTTTTTTCTCCTTATTAATAAAAATTGTGTTTCTCTTTAACCCACAAACATATTAAATTATCCTCTAGGAAAGAAAAACTAAAAGTAATTTAACATCGAAATCTAAAATCACTCAAACTCCTTTATCCACCCCACACAGAGCTCTTAGCGAAAATATTTTCCTATTGAAAACTTAATTTTATTCTCCATTTAGAAAATATTCAGTCATTCTTGTAGCATTCCTGGGTCTTAAGAGAGATAATTCCAAAACCCTATCCTCACTTCACCCACTGAAATTTAAGACTTAAAAGGGAATCTGAGACATCAAGAGGTTAAATGGCTTTCTCAGGACCACACACTATGTTAGGGTCATAGCTGAGGTTACAAACTGCAAGTTTTTCCATTTCTTTCTTAAGTGTTTCACAGGGCAAGCCTTCCTCTCTATTTATTTAGGTGTAGTAACTGTATTGGTCACAAGTGAGGGTTCACAGTGTGACAATCAGATATTTGAAGGATGACCTTTTAAGAAAGCATTTTGTGCCCTTTGTTTAAAGTAACACAGATACTCTCAAAATAAATCTTACTGTCCATTTGTCTAGATCTGGAAGTTTGTGTATGTCAACATAGCAGGTAACGAGCTTTGGGACATATGGACTTCTTGTTTGGTCCTTTGGGAAAATCCCTTTCTCGTGGCCATCTTGTTTTACAGTTTTGTAAGAAACCTACATTATATCTCCAAATCACATCTTGGAAAATACCTATTTACTGTTACAGAATACAACATTTGTGATATAACGAACTAGCCAGTAGCTTCCTTAGACAGGAATGTACAATTAAGTAGGTCATGCAGTGATCAACTCCATGGTGTATCATTCCCATCATAGTCTATATGAATGGTGCCCTCTGGAGTTGCCCAATGCATGACATATGTGGCCACAAACCATGGTGTTGTTTTGTTTGTTTGTTTGTTTGTTTTTGTGAAGCTGAAGGTTATCTTTATGCAATTTCCAGCTATGTCTTTGTGCTTAGCCTATGAAAGATAAAAGTACTGATTGATATTAGCCAACAAAAATGTTTAAGAAAATGTTATATAATATATAGAAGCAATTCAAATTTGCTCCTGGGTTGTTGTTTTTTTTCTTATTCTGCCTCATCTTTTATTTATCTTTTTTTTTATAATCCATTTTCTCTCTTTTCTTTTCTACTAGCACCACATCTCCATTTTGTCACTGGAGTCCTCTGTTATTTTATTATTTGTTTTTTCTTTTACTTTTCTCCCACAATTTAAAGTGGGGGGTGATGTGCCTGTATCTTATCGTAGTTCTTAATAACGAATATAGGGGTAGCAAATAATAATACGCCGAGCACAATGTTGAATTTATTTTACTCCTTATTAATAAAAATCTTATTTCTCCTTAAGCCATGAGCATATTAAATTGTCACTTGGGTAACTTAATTTTTACTTGGATTTAACTATTATGGCTCTCCCCAGCAAGTTCCTTCCTCCTTCTCTAATCCCTTTAAATTTACTTTATTACTAGTTTATCCTTGGAGTCATATAAGAGTATGAAACATCAAACCAGGGTGACATGTTTCGAGTTCCAGTGGTTCTGGATAAGTGATTCTGTGACTATGTGTCTAGATGTCCTGCAGCTTCAACTTAAAATAATGAAAGAGGTAGGTCAAAAAATTCCCAGTGCCTCTCACAATTTTGCAGATTTGTACTCATTGAATTCTCTTCTTTTTTACAAACTGCTACACAGCAAACTATTTGTGATTTAAGGAAATGCTGTCTGATATGCACTGGCTTCTCAATTCTACTTTGACCAATAATCTAAGTTATAGTAAGCACTTCAGGTTAGCCCTATAAAATTATAAGAAATGACCATTCTCCAGAAAAGCTGTGTGGTAAGCTAAAATATGAGCTGACGCTAGTCAGTGACAAAGGAGTCCAATTCCATTATCATCATCATCATCATCATCATCATTATTCTCAGCATTTTTCCTTTTCTTACTAGCTATCACATATGACTTAAGCTAAGTTTATCTCCTAATCCGTAAAATGAAGATGATATATAATGCACAGGATTTGTAAAAGACTGAAATGAAACAACATACATGATTGCATTGACACTGGGTAAGCATTCAACATATTTTAGCATTCCTTCAGTGCTTTTGACAACTCAAAGTAAAAAACAAAACAAAACAAAAATACCTAACACACAGATCAAAGTATTTTGAGGGACTAAAGTTAAACAATATTAGCTTTACTAAGGGGTGTGACTTATCTCCGGAGTCAAAAGTCATAGCATGATTTAATTGATTCATTAGTTGGCAGTCAGTCCAAAGATCTTTGAGAAGCTGGGGATACACTTCGTTCTGAGTGACACCTGAAATCGCTACCATGCTGCACAATGTGAAGCCCTGTTCCATGTCTGCCCAGCATGTGACATAGTGTCTGCAGGGTGTCTAGGGTTCTCTGGCAGGACTTAAAAATTGGCATGGAAACAGTAGTAAGCGTGAATGTGCGTGCCTAAACAAGTCTTGTATCTATTTCTCAAAATATTCTGAGATAGTCTGTAAGAGCAGTTGAAGTTCTTCTCAAAATGAATGATAGTTCAAGACATATTTAAAAAGTAATTTGTTTCACTTGTTGAGCAAATGCAAAGGATCGCCTGACAAAAAAGTCACAGATTACAAACAAAAAATTTAGGAAAGCAATCTGCTTTACAGATTTCCAAGGAAATAAATAACTCATAGGTTAAGTGTAAATCTATTGAACAAACAATTTTGAAGGGTTTTAACTCCTCTTGTTGACCTTAGATAAAATAATCACTTAGATGTCCTGACATAGCAATGATAAAATAAGAATCATTTTTAAAAACTAGGTGTTAAAGTTTGAGAGAACATGCTTTAGGAACATTCCATTATTTAACTCACTGTGTGTGAGGCCGTGTCTAATAAAAAGTATATCCCTATATCAATTCCTCTTCTTTCTGTTGCAATTAGCACTCCAGCCATGTCCAAGTGTCTTTAAAAATAAAGGGAATTATCTTGGCCTATCTTAATGAAAAGTGTTCAGGCTTCAGGTTTGATCTGTTAGCTCAATGATATCACCAAAAATCTGGTTTCTCTCCCCCCATTTATAGGCTCATATTTCTTGGTGGTGGCTTCATTCTCAGGTTGGGTACCCCTTGTGGACTTCTAGAGAAGTATTGACTAAAAGCTCTGTGTGATTTAAAGAAATGCTGTCTAATAAAAAGCTCCTGATGTTAAATACTTCCTCATTCATTTCCAGTGTAAAATGAGAATGTCTACTTCCCAGATCCCTCAATCTCAAATCCCCACATTGAGTCTCCCAGCCCTCATTGGCCTGGTTTGTGTATGTGCCTACCCCTGAACCATTACAGTCAGGAATATGAATTATGAGGATTGGTCTAAGTCAGTCTGGACTAAATAGAGTTAGGAGTATGGCATATCCTTGGCAAACTACACAGTTAGGAAATTCAGAGCAAAGGCAAGAAAGAGGGAGTGGAAAAGGATGAGGTGAACGTAAACCACAAATATCTACCATAGTGATTCCCCCAAGCTTTTTAGAATCTAGTGAGGCCAATGAAAGAAAAGAAAGCTAATAATGCTAGACCTCTTTTATCTGAAAAATGAATAGTTCTTTAGACTATCCTGGTTAGAAGAGGCACTTTGAATCTCAATATTGTCATCATTCATGTAGGATTTAAAATAAAGACTTTCTGGATCTTTCTCACTTGCCCTATGTACCTTGAGTTTCTTAGGCCCTGGGAAGAGTATGTTCTGACTCTGAATTGAAAGATCAAGTTCCATTCAATCAGTCACCCTCCCTAAGAGACAGGGGAGTGGAAGTAATCAGTCAACAAATGATTTTGTAGGATATAAATACATTACCTGTAAACTCGTATTTTTTACCATATAGATGGATTTTCTATTATTTATATATAACAAATAACAATAATATAACCTGCCCTGCTCTTTTCCTCATAATTTAGAAATGATCTTGTTCCATCCTTAAATGTAATTAATTGCTTTTCAGAAAATGACTCATATGATTTACTCACTTTAAGCCTTCTTTCATTAATTCACTCAATGGATACTCTTTGAGTATATATGATAATCTAATACCACAATTATACCAGAGTTTATTGCTGCTACACCCTGCTACTCTCACACACCCAAAAGAAGAGAGTGAGGCACAGAAAGGTAATGTTGTGTTTGTTGTGTTATTTAAACCATTTATACTGTCCATATCCAGACTTGAATTCTAAAATACAAAAAAATGTAAAGAAAATTGAGGAGACAAAAAGGATGCTTTCAATTAGGTTGGATTTTTTTCTTTTGTATTTTGTTTATTTGTTTACCCTATGGCCCACATTTTTCCAGTTCTTTTCATAATTCATCACAAATGCATTACTTAAAAAAATTTAAAGTTTTTTATTATATTCTACCCAAAGTTCCACATTCATATTTTCTGTTCCCCTGCTCCCATAGCAATTTAGGATTTCAGGGAGGAAAAGAGATCATGTAGAAATAAATTGGAAGTGAACGACTTTGATAAATTTAGAAACCCACATTTTTTTGGTATCAGTTTTGATTTTTCTTTCTAAATAATTAGCAGGATTCAGCCTGGCTTTCATCGACAAAATTATCTCCAGGACAAGCCATATTCATTTCGGAAAATAGCTTCATTTTGCATTTACTTGATATTGTATCTCTCAGCCCATCAAACCTGATTCTTGGATGTTTCTGTGCTAAGCTGCTCACATTACTCATAACCATGTTAAGTGGGCAGGCAGCAATATTCAAAATCAAGTACTCTTCTAGCTGTATAAACTTGGTCAAGTCTGAACATTTCTAAACCTTGGTGCTGTGAAATGGTAGTGATGATAAATAGTCCACAAGAATTTTGTGATGAGAGAATAAAATAATGCACACAAGGAACTCAGCAGGGTTCTCTGCACAGAGGAAGAGGCTGCTGACATGTTAGCTATTGCTGAGAGGTCGTTTTTTTTTCCAGAAAGCATTCTTCTAGAGAAGCTCCCCTTTCTTTTTGGAGGTAACAAAGCCCCTGCATACTATAAATCTTTAAAACTTGCTAAGTTTTGTTTCCTAATAACATAGAGACTGTGATTATTTATGCTTTTAGCAAAATTTGTAGCAAATTATGATGTTTTATATTCATCCTAATGTCTCACTATCTAGTGAGGTCTAGACAGCTTTTTTTTTTTTTTTTTTTTTTTGGAGACGGAGTCTCGCTCTGTCGCCCAGGCTGGAGTGCAGTGGCGCAATCTCGGATCACTGCAAGCTCCGCCTCCCGGGTTCACGCCATTCTCCTGCCTCAGCCTCCCAAGTAGCTGGGACTACAGGCGCCCGCCACTACGCCCGGCTAATTTTTTGTATTTTTAGTAGAGACGGGGTTTCACCGTTTTAGCCGGGATGGTCTCGATCTCCTGACCTCGTGATCCGCCCGCCTCGGCCTCCCAAAGTGCTGGGACTACAGGCGTGAGCCACCGCGCCCGGCCTAGACAGCTTTTGAGTGAAGTGAACATTGGTTTGTGAAGCTTGATACAGTAATTCAAGACCATTGTCTCCACTGGTGCCAAGAACTGAAGAACTTCCACATTTCTGCTTAACTTTCTGCAGCAGAGACAAGAGATTTGATGTCTGGACATTCTAGAAAAGTGCTGTACCTAGCACTGGCAAAGCAAATAATTTTTAGTTAGATGATGATGGGATAAGGTGGGTCTTTAAATCTAAAATGAGGATAGGATTATTTTAGTGTGGGAAATTCTGACTAATATGAATGGACTTGTAGTACTCTTTGCTTGTAGAGCAACTAATCTTTTTCCAGTGAATAACATAATTTGCCTGTTCCAGAAGGTAGAGTTGTGTATTGCCAATGATAAGGATACGTTCTGGAAAATGCATCATTAGGTAATTTCATCATTGTGTGAATATCAGAGAGTATATTACACAAACCTACATGGTACAGCCTACTACACACCTAGGCTATATCATATATAGCCTACTGCTTCTAGGCTACAAACTTGTACAGGATCAGTCCCCAAGCTTTTTGGCACCAGGGACTGATTTTGCGGAAGACAATTTTTCCATGGACTGAGGGGGGTGGGGAGAAGTGATGGTTTGGGGATGAAACTGTTCCACCTCAGATCATCAGGCATTAGATTCTCATAGAGTGCACAACCTAGATCCCTCACATGCACAGTTCACAATAGGGTTTGCTCTTTTATGAGACTCTAATGCAACCACTGATCTGATAGGAGGTGGAGCTCAGGCAGTAATGCTCACTGGCCTGCCACTCACCTCTTGCTGTGTGGCCCGGTTCCTAAAAGGCCAGGACCAATACCAGTCTCCAGCCCAGGGTCTGAGGACTCCTGCTGTACAACAAGTTACTGTACCAAATGCTGTGTGCAACTGGTATACAATGGTAAGTATTTGTGTATCTAAACATAGAAAAGATATAGTAAAAATATTGTATAAAAGATAAAAAATGGTACACCTGTATAGGTGTACACCATGAATGGAGCTTGCAGGACTGGAAGTTACTCTGGGTGAGTCAGGGAATGACTTGTGAGTAAAGGTGATGTCCTAGGATATTACTGTGCATTGCTGTAGACTTTATAAACCCTGTATGCTTAAGCTACACTAAACTTATAAAAATATTTTTCTTCCTTCAGTAATAAATTAACCTTAGCTTATTGTAATTTTTTTACTTTGTCAACTTTTTAATTTTTTAATTTTTTGACTCTTTTGTAATAATGCTTAACTTAAAACACCAACATATCATACAGCTGTATAAAAATATTTTTTCTTTATATCCTTATTTTATAGCCTTTTTTCTATTTTAAAAATATTTTTAACTTTTTAAACTTTCTTGTTAAAAACTAAGACGTGCACACACAGATTAGCCTAGGCCTACACAGGGTGAGGATCATCGATGGATCATCAATATCACTGTCTTCCACCTCCATGTTTTGTGCCACTGGAAACTCTTCAGGGGCAAAAACACATATGGAACTGTCCTCTCCTGTGATAACAATGCCTCCTTCTGGAATACCTCCTAAAGTATCTGCCTGAAGCTGTTTTACAGACAACTTTTTTTTTTATAAGTAGAAGGAGTGCACTCAAAAATAACAATAAAATATATAATGTAGCATAATATAGTAAACACATATACCAGTAACTAATCATTCATTATTATTATCAAGTATTATGTATTGTGCATAATTGTATGTGCTATACTTTAATATGACTGGCAGCACAGTAGTTTCATTTACACCAACATCACCACAAATATATGAGTAATACGTTGCACTGTGGTTATGACGCCTCTAGGCAATAGGAATTTTTCAGCTTCATTTTAGTCTTAGAGGACCACCATCACATATGCAGTTCATCATGGACCAAAATGTTGTTATTTGGTACATGGCTCTACTTGAGATGCCTTGATATTTTATGTTCTCACACCCAGTCCTCTCAATCAACACAAGATGATGACATTCACAGGGGCAGAGAGACGATGAGTAGGAAGAATAGATTTATGTCAATTCACCCATTTGTGAAGGAGAGAGAACTAAAGAAAGCTTAGAGATGAATAGGTCCCAAACTATCAGTTTGTATTAATCTATAAAATGCTGTGAATTCCTTGGAAATATAGTTGTGGTCCTCCTTTTAAACTGAACGAAAGGAAAGAAGATATAATGCCAAGGAAATGGATATAACATTTACTCAAGTTGAACAACAAATGCTAAGTTCATAGAAATTTATAGTCTGACAAAGTAGGAGGAATTTTGTCATTTTAAAGAATTTTTGTCCTCCAATTAACCATCAATTATCTTCCTATATAGCATGTAAAATAAGAATATAATATTTTATAAATTATTATTAGATAACATGTTGGTTTGTTTCAGTTTCTAGATTTAAATACCTTCCCTTCTGGAGCCTTCTCATATTAAACAAATATTTTTAATGAAAATTTATTGGCAGCCATAGACTAATGTCACAATGATGTTAACTAAGCAAATATGAAAAAAGATGTTATGGCAGCTGTTTCCAAGATGTTGTCAAATCTTAAAAGATGGTGTCACTTTAAACTAAAAGTGCATCATTATTTTTTCCTAGAAAATTCTGCTATTTCTAAACACCCTTTGCAGCAATTAGTAGAATATCAAAGGATGCTGTCTTTAAACATTAGGACTTGCTTAAGACTTCCAGAGTTGTGATTTATAGATTTCATCGTTCTGTTACATTTCATTTCCAGTACCATCATTGTGCTCTATATTTTCTGCAACTCAGAATACTGTTGTTTAACTGATTAGAGATATTTTTAAACCTGAGATAATGTCTTTCTAGTTAAGAGCTATATTCCTGGGGTTTCTTTTTCGCAATAATTTCTCAATCCTGCAAGGACAAGGGAGTAAATCACTCACAGAGATGATTTACAGTTGAAGTGATGATTTAATAACCCATCTCTCTCTAATACAGTGCCTCGAGGGGCTCCTTGGCACCTGAAAGAATTTTAGCACCTCTAAAACTGACCATTTCCATCCAGCAGACACACAGAATCTGTGAAGATTTATGTTAGAATGTTTAGTGTCACCCACTATTCCGCAATATGAAGGCCTATGTTAGACTTTGACTACCATGTTAAATGTGGTCCCATCGACCATGATCTTTCCCAAAATAATGTTGCAGTATTTTTATAATAGCAATCAATAAAAATCACAGGATATCATAGATGTCTGTATTTATTATGATAATTTTCTAACATGTCAGTCAAAGGTCATTTTCTAACATCATACAATACCAAAAAACTACTGTATTTTTATGGTACTATGACAATGGCCAAATGATGGAATTCAAGTATTTAAGGTAGGTGAGCCCTTTGCCAATTTGCACTTTATGCTCATTAGAAGTAAGCTGCAAATTTGGTTCTGAATTTGTAGCCATACACGCTTGGGGCATTTCTGCTTCCATCCCCCTTGTCCGGTATAGCCCAATCCCACAAACCCCTTCAACCTGCCAAGATCAAGTCCACTTCTTGATGTTCACATTTACTGTTCACTCCCCTGGGATTGCTGGGGTTTCCCAGGTATTTGTCTGGCTCCTTCTTCTTGTTCATCTCAGCTCAATTGTCAATGCCTCAAACCTATCAAAAGCAGTCCATGTTTGTACCACTACTCTGCTTTGGTTTTCCTTAGTATTCTCATTATAACTCTCTAAAATTATTTTCTCGTTTATTTTTTAATTATCTGTTTCTCCCATCCTCACTAGGATTTAAACTCCATGAAAACAAAGAAATTGTCTATTTTTTGCTATAACCCCAGCACCAGGAATAATGCTTGGCACATAGCCAGTGGTTTATTTTGTTAAACAAACACATGAATGGATATTTATGGAGAATTTCTCTTAAGGATAAGCCGTCAGTAACTAAACTATAACCTCAGTTTCAGTGAGACCACCAATAATCTGTGTTCTCAGATGATATTTTAGGATTCTTTTCTGGAACTTTGCTCTGAAGGAACTTAATGGACCTACATTAAGGAACAGCATTGCAACCTCCCTGTGAAGGCCCTTGCTATATTCTTAACATGACTGAGATTGAAGATATTTTTCTCAAAATTAACATGTTCTCTCTATAAAGACACACCAAAAAATATTCTCATAGCTCTCTGTATCAGGAAAAGAGATAACTTCTCAACAGGTGCTTGTTTTCCTTCCTTTCTTCCTTCCTTCCCTCCTTCCTTCCTTCCTTCCTTCCCTCCCTCCCTCCCTCCTTCCTTCCTTCCTTTCTTCTTTCTTTCTTTTCTCTTTCTTTTTGGCAGAGTTTTGCTCTTGTTGCCCAGGCTGGAGTGCAACGGCAGGATCTCGGCTCACTGCCACCTCTGCCTTCTGGGTTCAAGCAATTCTCCTGCTTCAGCCTCCCGAGTAGCTGGGATTACAGGCGCCTGCCACCATGCCTGACTATTTTTTTTTTTTTTTTTTTTGTATTTTTAGTAGAGACGGGGTTTTGCTATGTTGGCCAGGCTGGTCTCCAACTCCTGACCTCAGGTGATCCGCCCGCCTCAGCCTCCCAAAGTGCTGGGATTACAGACATAGCCACCATGTTTTTCTTTCTTGATGTCAAAACTCATATGATTAATTCAGTGTTTCTTTTTTATTAGTTTGCTAGGAAATTCAGATCCAAATTTGCAGCTCACCTGTAATGAGCATACAGCATGCATTCTGTGTATTAAACTCAATTTTGTTTCCCTGTCCTTATTTTCTGTTCAATTTCCATTCAATTTCTACCTAATTTCCTCTCCAAGTTCTTATTTATTTGCTTTATCCTATTGTTTGATTCTTTGTAATCATATTGTTTGGAACAGGCAAGGTGGAAATGCATTTTAAAGTGAGATTGTATTCCAAAAAGCACTATGTTATTTTTGGATCTTATATATTGAGAATGTAGGTGGAGCCTTGAGTGACACAGAGCCCTTTAGGATATAAGCAGGTGTTCTGTAAGATAAATTGGAGAACTTCCCTTTCTAGTGACTTGTTTTTTGGCCCAAGTATTTAAGATGCTCCATATGCTGGACAAAAATCGTCTTCCAAAAGAAAAAAAAAAACCATAAAAGTTACTTTTTGGACATTCAAGGAGGTGAAAGAAAAATCCAGACTGCTTTGAAGGAGGCTTCCTGCACTGCCTGCAGTGCAGAAGGGTATAAACACAACCCCAGATGCCAGATGTTTTAGCATAGCAATGTGAAGAAATACTCTCCTTTCTTTATTTACACTTTACAGCAAATATTTTACAAAGAGAAAGCAAAGAATGTTGATGTTCCACCAGTAAAGCTTCAAGCATAACAAGGTCCCAAAGGCCAAAATATTAGCCTTCCCTAAAGTGTCCTTTAGTGTGTAGTGATAAACATCAGGCATTCTATTTTCTAGTATTCAGAAACGATGATTATTAGGAAGAAAGAAAAGCTTGCAACACTGATCAATTTCTCTTTTTTTCAATGTTGCCAGGATGTAATTACAGTTGTCATCATTGTTTTGTGTGTGTGTTTTATTTTAACCAGGGGAAAGAATTTGTAAGTTTACATACACACAAACACACACACACACACACACACACACGGGGGAAGGGAGAAGGTAACCACTTTTCCTGCTAGCCAATTGCTTAAACTTTCTTTGAATGGCATTTTTTGATTATAGAATCACTTTCCAATCTAGCCATATACTTGATGATGAGAAAATACTCTTAGTGGCGATCTCACTGTTCTGAAAACTAACACATTTAAAGGAATTTCCTTCTTTTTTTTTTTTTTTTTAAGATGGAGTTTCCCTCTTGCTGCCCAGGCTGGAGTGCAGCGGCTGATCTCAGCTCACTGCAACCTCTACCTCCTGGGTTCAAGCGATTCTCCTGCGTAGCTGGGATTACAGGTGCCCACCACCACGCCCAGCTATTTTTTTGTATTTTTAGGAGAGATGGGGTTTCGCCATGTTGGGCAGGCTGGTCTCAAACTGAACTCGGGTGATCTGCCTGCCTTGGCCTCCCAAAGTTCTGGGATTACAGACATAAGCCACCTCGCCCGGCCAGCAATTTCTTAAAAGTGGCCATTTGGATATTGTTACCAACCTAACGTTCTTATTTCTTACTTTAGTTAGTAAATCAAAAGAAGAGACAGTAAATCATACACTTAATAAAACATCAAAGACAGACCCTGCTGGGAGTGACTACCAGTACCAATTCTATCATATCTGTCAGGAAAGGCCTGATGCCTGGATAGGAAACTCAAATAGGCTGGGGAGAGACTGAGAGAAGGAGGGGACTTCATAAATCACACCACAGTGATTTATCCCAACATGCTCTCAGCAAGCAAGGGAAGTTGATACAAGTATATTCTACACACAGTTCACAGCAAAGATGGTTATATTATTTTGTCCTTTAGAATGGAAGATCGTATTAAATTAAATTTCAGAGACCCTGCAGCCCATTACACTTAAAGAATTGCCTTTTTTCTTCCTAAAGCAAAATTTAGGGAATTCGGTTCAATAAAAGACCAAGGAAAAAGTAAGGCGCTAGAATCTTGCCAACCACCTTATCAAACCAGGACCTTTGAATAAAAGATCAAAGAAATTGAGCATTCACAGGAATCTTCCCTAATCCAAACAGATGGAAAGATTAGAAGAGATCCTAAATTACACCAAAGTTTTGTCACTGCCCTCCAGGTGAGAAGATAATCTCGATCTTATCTAATGAATAATGAAGGGCATAGCAGGAGACTGGGGTCCTGACCTCCTGAAAGATTACAGAAATATGTAACAGGCCTAATAAGAAGTCTCATATGGAGAACTAAAGCTAATGAAAACAATTGGAACCAAGAGGAAGTTAGAATGCACTTTTGAGATTATTGGAATATTGACTTTACATTTTTTGGAGGGGTAAATATGACCATATAGCAAACTGAGATTAACCTTTTTCTATTTCTGACTTTTTCGGTATGTCTTTGAAATTTTGTGTGCTTCTAGATGAACACATCATGTTATACTGTCTTTTATGCATGAATCTGCTATTATTGAAGCAGCCTACCATCATTAGGAATGAACACCTTCCCCTGTCTTCTTAACTATCACTTACCCCCATAACTCACTACTGTTCCTTCCAAAATCATGCCTTTGCAAGCTGGCAAGCCAAGTATGACTTAGCTAAACATGCACTAAAGCGGTTAACAGACCCAAATGGGATCAAACCCAGCATCTTGGCTTTATTCCACCAGATGCTAAGAAACACATTAAGACACCATATGGTGGATGAATACATAACCACAGGATTGCATTTAGCATCTTTACATTTTTATTTAGTTTTTGATTTAGAGGTTAGACAGTCCTTGTTTCAACACCATTAAGTTTAGGGTGAGATTACAGTAATAACTAAATTTAATGAACCTTTAAATAGCATAGTAATCAATTTGCACCAAGTTCAAATATCAGGGGTTACTGACTTTGCCTATGACAATGTCTTTAGTATCACCTCCTAAATAACATCAAACAAGGGGGAAGAAAACATGAATTCTAAATCTGATTCCACAGTTATTTTACTTTGTACAATGGCTGGTTCCTTCTGGGTCTACTGCCAGCACTGTGTCATGGACTTTAAATGACTCATCTCCTTTAATTGTCATAACAGCAGTCCTATGAGGTAGATATTATTATTTTCATTTTACAAATGTGGAAATGAGGCAGAGATATGAAGTAACTCACCCGAAATCATGCAACTAGGAAGTAGCCCAAACTCTTACCCACTGTACTCATTGGCTTTGATTAATTCATCTATGCCATCCACACCTCTATTCTCCAAATATTTATTCCCCATGAATGTTCATAGTTTAATTAATGAGCAATTAGCTTAGCAATTGGCACAATAATTATGTTACCATTCATTAACATTTTATTCAACAAATTTTTTTTGAACAAAAACATTTGTTCAAAAAAAATTTTTTTTGCATAGTCATCTCATCTAATTGGGCCAAAGTGCATTCTAAATAGACAATTTGTGCCAATGCATTCCAAGACATTTATCCTCTGCTGAATTGCTATGTTTTTGAACTATTTGTTTGATATTTTTTGAAAGTCCTGTTATTTTGCTGGAAAAAATAGACAACATTCAACGTTTATTCTTCAATGCTTTCTACATTTAGGAAAAAATGATTTATAGTGCATAATATATTCCTGTAAGTTATCCCTGACCTTTCTTAACTCATTTACTCTTTATAATGTGAATACATGTCTCCCAGTGAGCTATTTTTTTCCCTCATGGTCAGGAATTTTGGGAATAGGAATAAGTCAACTCTCTATCTCCTGCATGGATAAGTATTTACCTTTCTTTGCTTTTCTTGCTGGCAAAAGCTTCTATCTGTATTGTTTTTATCTTGATCAAACTTTTAACATTTTCTGAACTCTATTTACTTTCCTGCTAATTATCACAACTGGAGTGAATTTCCTTTTTTTAATACTAAATTAAAATGTCTACAGTTGCTTGACATAAAGGAGCATAACGCTTATATGGTAGGTATGCATTTTAGAATTGCATTTTTGCAGTTTGTGTTTAAAATTTGCTGGACAATATTGATTATTTCATTTTAAATTGGCAAATAAAATTGTACTATTGATTATGTACAATATGATGTTTTGAAGTATACATATATTGTAGAATAAAATTGCTCATTTTTTAGTTATGTTTCTTTGTGGATAATCCCATGGATTTATTCTTCAGGTGATTAATTAACCAATTAATTTTAATAAGGATCTAATTTTTATTTAAATTTAAATTTAAAGTAAGTTTTGCATGATAGCAATTGTTTCTATCATATTTTGGAGTTATATAAAAAAGCAAACAGAAACGGGTCCATTATTCTAGACTATGAAAAATATACCAGTGGTAATGGGTAATAGTGAGGTATTGGGAATAACTTTTTTAACTCTTACTTCTTTATTCTAAATTTCCTTAGAAAACATAACTATTTTGTAACAGATTAACTTTATACTGGGAAATGTATCCTTTTTAAGAAGAGATTTGGACATTTTGTTTTTATCTAGTGCTTCCCATCATATTGGCCTTATGCGATGCAGAAACACATACTCAGAGGTCCTTTATGCAATCCCTCTCTGCCACTGAGACCTTTCTTACCAAGCGCTTGTGTTACCAGAAAGGGTTCCCGATCCAGACCCATGGATAGAGTTCTTAGATCTCGCACAAGAAAGAATTCAGGGCGAGTCTGCTGTGCAAAGTGAAAGCCAGTTTATTAAGAAAGTAAAAGAATAAAAGAATGGCCACTCCATAGACAGAGCAGCCCTGAGGGCTGCTGGTTGCCTATTTTTATGGTTATTTTTTGATGATATGCTAAACAAGGGGTGGATTATTCATGCCTCCCCTTTTTAGACAATATTGGGTAACTTCCTGACATTGTACCATGGCATTTGTAAACTGTCATGGAGCCAGTGGGAGTGTAGTAGTGAGGACAACCAGAGGTCACTCTCATCGCCATTTTGATTTTGGTGGGTTTTGGCTGGCTCCTTTACTGGAACCTGTTTTATCAGCAAGGTCTTTATGACCTGCATTTTGTGCTGACCTCCTATCTCATCCTGTGACTTAGAATGCCTTAACCGTCTAGGAACACAGCCCAGTAGGTTTCAGCCTCATTTTACCCAGCTCCTATTTAAGATGGAGTTGCTCTGGCTCACACACCTCTGACACTTGTTCAGCCTAAGAGGCCATTGTTTAGAGATGGCTGCAGCAGAGGTGAAGCTCACAGAGCCGGCAGTGTTGACATTCTTGGGCCCAGGCCAAAATGGAGGGAAATATTTTTCTCTTCATCCAAAGCATCTTTAAAATCTTGACTCTGATCTGGGAGCTGAGACTCCTTGGAACTCAGGGATCGATTTGGCATCTGGGGCTGTGAGGAATTTTCTACTTTTTATAGAATTATCTTAATGCTTTAATAGAGAAGAAGCACTTTGTTTGTATTGGTAGAGTTTCAAACGCTTTTGTTTCATAGCCTCTTTATTGTGTTTGGATAGCAGTAACCCACTCCTTGGGGTCACTTACAGGGAACTTCAGCCCACTCTATTCAGAAATTATTAATATTGCCTTCATTTGAGAAGGTAAAGCACTTCACCATACTTTAATTGTTTCTCTGATTAGAATTAAAGAATCACAAAGCTTGAGGGATAATACCACCTTATTTTACAGTTAAGGTACCAGGGATCCAAAGTGGTTAAAGTGAGTCATTCAAAATCAGAATGAGGACCAGAAGCAACTCTCTGGAATGTCATGCAAGTCAAGTTGACCTGAATTGCTATCCCATTTCACCTTTCCTTAACCATTTGGCTTGGCTTATCTTGTGCCACCTCCTGTGGAAAGTGTTGTGAGATTAAATGTCATGTACATTACACTCCCAACCCCCACCTATCTGTAAACTCAGGCCTTCCCATGTCCTCTCAAAAATTCATATTGGGTTGTTTGTTCTGCTCTGTAAAAGAAAGAGGTTTGAATCCAAAATGAAGGGAATATATACATACTTAATTCTGATCATATCAACTCATACTCCCTCACCACAGTAAAAATTCTTCAATGTCTCCTTTTTATAAAAGTTGGGTAAAATCCAAGCTCCTGCAGGAGGAACTCCAGGATCTAGCCTCCATCTCTCTCCTAGGGCTTTCCCACTTTTCCGCTTCCTCTACACGCCTCATCTCCAGTCATGCCTCTGCACAGTCTCTGGTGGAAATAACTTCCCACTACAAAATCCATCTTCCAACACTCATCTCATCTCCCTTTCTCTGTGAATCTCTGAGTGCCCATTCACAAAGACGTAATTTTTAAAATTACCTAAATTCCTCAAGGCAAGGATCCTATTTTATTCACTTTTGTGTCCCAGCAGTTAATACCTAGGTTCCAGAACCAAGGCGAACAATATTAAATCTGTCTTTAGAATTGAGAGATATTATAGTTTAAAAGTTAAGAGCACAGACTTTAGGCTTAGATTCCTAGAGTTAAATCTCAGCTCCCCAACTTTCCAGTTTTTGTGGCCACAGGCAAGTAAATTAAGCTTTTTGTTCTTAGTGCCCTCATATGTTAAAAAGGAGTTATCATAACATCCACCTTATAGGGCTCTGTTGACAGTTAATATGTTTAAAACAATATGATATATGATGAGTGGTATTATTACTAATCTATTATCGTTATCATCATCTCCTCAACATAATTTATTAAACTCTAAATAACTACTACAGAGGGAAACATTTTTATATAGCATCAGGAAGCATAAGCAAATCAAATTCTCTAAAAAGATTGCATTCAACAAATATCCTGGCTTCCTGCTAATACAGAAGACACGAGGTTACGCTCAGGAAAATATAACTAAGAATACATCAAGAGGCTAATCTTCAATCTCACAATGCAATGGGAAACACAGACACATACACATAAAATAGTAACACTTGTGGAATGGAAACCAACCAAATGAGAACACGCAATGGCAGAGCTTGCTACAGCAAGGGAGTAGCCACCATCACTTGCATTTGGCAGACACTCCAAGGCAGGCAGAGGAGTGGGAAGCTTTACAACAAAAAAAAGGGAAAGCTTCTGGCATGCCCTGGTTGGAGGCTGTTGGCATGGGCAAGCTGTAGGCAGCTAACTAGAAACAGGGTATCCTATGTGATTGGCTAGGGGTGCATATTTGGCTTTCTGTGTTTCTTCTTAAGTTGGAAGTGGGAATAAAAATTAAGGAAGCTGTCAGTGTTTAAACAAGTTTTGGGTCTTTTAGGTTGAACTAGGGGTAGCAGTACGACTTCCTATAGTCTATCTTATAGATAGAGACCTGGCTACCTGTAGCTGAAGAATGGGTTGATTTCCTGCGCTGGTCACTGCAGGTTGTGGGCCTGTAGAAAATAAATGCTTCTAAACAAAAGACTGATTAAACAGGCAGCACAGTCACAGAGATTTAAAAGTACAGAAATAGATCTAAGTAATTATGCAAATTTTGTGTACTCTATATATTCAAATTAGTGGATAAAAGATAAATAATTCAGTAAATCATAGAGGGATAACAGTCCGACAATGCTGAAATAATAATACCAGATTATTATTTCAACCTGAATTTCAAATAAATTCCAAATAGATCAAAGTCTTAATGATAAAGGATAAAATTTCCAAAATAATAGAATATTGGAGTAATTTTGTTTTTATCTTAAAGTCTTTCAAGCAAGATCTAAATTTTAAAAATCATAAAGATTGATAATCAATTACACACATTAAGATTTTCTACAAGGCCAAAAATTGCCATAAACAAAATAAAATACAAGTGAACAGCTGGTGTATAACATAACACACATCAGGCAATATATTATTTTACTTATAAGTCAAAGTACTACTTTACTTAGTAAATAAAAGTACTATTTTAGTTACGAATCAATAAGGAAAAGCCAACACCTGTTCAAGATGGATTAAAGACTTAAACGTTAGACCTAAAACCATAAAAACCCTAGAAGAAAACCTAGGCAATACCATTCAGGACATAGGCATGGGCAAGGACTTCATGTCTAAAACACCAAAAGCAATGGCAACAAAAGCCAAAATTGACAAATGGGATCTAATTAAACTAAAGAGCTTCTGTACAGCAAAAGAAACTACCATCAGAGTGAACAGGCAACCTACAGAATGGGAGAAAATTTTTGCAACCTACTCATCTGACAAACGGCTAATATCCAGAATCTACAATGAACTCAAACAAATTTACAAGAAAAAAACAAACAACCCCATCAAAAAGTGGGCAAAGGACATGAACAGACACTTCTCAAAAGAAGACATTTATGCAGCCAAAAAACACATGAAAAAATGCTCATCATCACTGGCCATCAGAGAAATGCAAATCAAAACCACAATGAGATACCATCTCACACCAGTTAGAATGGCAATCATTAAAAAGTCAGGAAACAACAGGTGCTGGAGAGGATGTGGAGAAATAGGAACACTTTTACACTGTTGGTGGGACTGTAAACTAGTTCAACCATTGTGGAAGTCAGTGTGGCGATTCCTCAGGGATCTAGAACTAGAAATACCATTTGACCCAGCCGTCCCATTACTGGGTATATACCCAAAGGACTATAAATCATGCTGCTATAAAGACACAGGCACACGTATGTTTATTGCGGCACTATTCACAATAGCAAAGACTTGGAACCAACCCAAATGTCCAACAATCATAGACTGGATTAAGAAAATGTGGCACGTATACACCATGGAATACTATGCAGCCATAAAAAATGATGAGTTCATGTCCTTTGTAGGGACATGGATGAAATTGGAAATCATCATTCTCAGTAAACTATTGCAAGAACAAAAAACCAAACACCGCATATTCTCACTCATAGGTGGGAACTGAACAATGAGATCACATGGACACAGCAAGGGGAACATCACACTCTGGGGACTGTTGTGGGGTCGGGGGAGGGGGGAGGGATAGCATTGGGAGATATACCTAATGCTAGATGACGAGTTAGTGGGTGCAGCGCACCAGTGTGGCACATGTATACATATGTAACTAACCTGCACAATGTGCACATGTACCCTAAAACTTAAAGTATAATAATAAAAGAAAAAAAAAAAAAGAAAAACAAATTGAGTACTCAATAAATAGTTAATTATAATGGCTTATAATCATATTAAAAGATGCTCACTTTCACATAGTCAAATATATAACAAATGAAATCCAAATGATATGTATTTTTTTCACTTTGATTGCAAACATTTCACACTCTTGTTGATATATAATTTACATATCATTCAATTCACCCACATAAAGTATACAATTCATTGTTTTAATATATTCAGAGTTCTGAAACAATTTGAAAACATTTTCATCACCCCACAAAAGTGATAATGCTACCGATTAGCATCATGTGCCATTTCCCCCATTCCCAAACATTAATCTTCTTTCTGCCTCAGTGAATTTTCCTATTCTCGATATTTCATATAAATGAAATCACATTCATTTAATGTTCACAAAATGGTTTTTCATGACCAGCTTCTTTCACTTAGCCTAATCTTTTCAAGGCTCATCCATTTTGTAGTACATATCAGTATTTTATTGTTTTTTATTGCCAAATAATGTTCCACTTTATTGATCCATTCATCAGTTTATGAATATTTAGGTTGTTTCCATTTTTGGGTATTATGAACGTGATGCTATGAACATTCATGCCCATATTTATATGTTAGGTATTTACCTTGGAGTGGAATCACTGGCATATTTAACATTTGAAGAACTGCCAAACTGTTTTCCAAAACATCTGTAACAGTTTTCATTCCCACCAGCAATATATAAGGGTTTCAGTTTTTCCATATACCAACCAACACTACTTACTGTCTAAGTAAGTCAAGAGTACAGACTCTAGGCCTAGATTCTCTTTTTTATTGTAATTATTCTGCAAAATATCTGTTCAAATCTATTGCCATTTTTTAAATTGGGTTGCTTGTCTTGTTGTTGTTAAGTGCAAACAGCTCTTTATATATTCTTGAAACAAGTCCCTTGTTAGATAATAATTTTCAAACATTCTCTTCTTTTCTGTGAGTTGTCTTTCCATTTTCTTGATGATGTCCATTGAAGCACACAAGTTTTTAATTTTGATCAAGTCCAATTTATTTATTTTTGTTTCATTACTTGTACTTCTGTGTCTAAGAAGGCTTTCCTAACCCAAACTTATGAAGATTTACTCCTATATTTTCTTTTGAGAGTTTTATAGTTTTAGCTATAATCTATTTTGATTTAATTCTTCAAAGATTGAAGGAAGAAGTCCACTTCCTTCTTTTGCATGTGAATACCACTTGCTCCAGTACCATTTGCTAAAAAGACAATTTTTATCATTTGAATTGCCTTGGTTCTTTTCTAGACATAGACAATTCTAGATATAGGGTACCAATTGGGCATACTTCTAGACTCTAAATTAAATTATATTGGTATATATATATATATATATATATATATACACACATATATATATATACACATATATATATATACACATATATATATATACACACACACACACATATATATATATATATATACACACACATATATATAGTCAGTACCATGCTGCCTTTATTACTATAGTTTATAGTTAGTTTTAAATTCAGGGAATGTGAGTTATCCAAGTTTGTTCTTCTTTTTAAGGATTTATTGGGCTACTCTTGGCCCTTGTATTTACATATAAATTTTAGGACCAGATTGTGAATTTCTACAAAGAATCCAGCTGAAATTTTGAGAGGAATTGTTCTGAATCTGTAGATAATTTTTGGAGTCTTTTTATCTAACAATATTGAGTTATCTGATCAATTAACATTTGATGTCTTTCTGTTTATTTAGGTCTCCTTTAATTTTTTAAACAATGTTCTGTAGTGTTCAGTTTATAAATCACACACTTCCTTGATTAAATATATTCCTAAATAGTTTATTCCTTTTGATGCCATTGTAAATTGAATTATTTTCTTAATTTCATTTTTTTGTATTTTTATTGCTAATATAGAGAAATGCAACTGATTTTTGTGTATTAATCTTGTATCCTAAAATTTCGTTGAATTCATTTTTTAGGTTTAATAGTTTTTAATGAGTTTTTTTAGTATTTTCTATATATAAGACCATGTAATGCATAAATACAGACAGTTTTACTTCTTCCTTTCCAACCTTTCCAATCTAGATGCTCTTTATTTCTTTTTCTTGCCTTATTTCCTTGGCTAGAATCTCCAGTACAGTGTTGGATAGAAGTGATGAGAATGGACATTCTTATTTTGTTTTTGATCTCAGAGAAAAGATTTTCTCAGTCTCTCACCATTAAAAATGATGTTAGTACTGGGATTTTTACAGATGCATTTTATTAGGTTGAGAAAGTTTTCTTGTATTTTAAGTCTGTTGAGTATATTTATTATAAAGGGTGTTGGTTTTTTTAAAATGTTTTTCCTGTGGCTATTAAGATTACCCTGTGTCTTCTGTTTTTCATCTTATTGATATACTATATTACATTAATTGATTTTAAGATTTAAACCAACCTTGTATTTCTCAGCTACATCCCACTTGTTAATTGTATATAATGCTTTTTAAATGGTGCCTGGTGGGTTTGATAGGTTTTCCTATTCTGGATATTTCATATAAATAGAATCACATTCGTATAAGTGGTCACAAAATTTCTTTTGTGTTTTCAAGGTTCATTCATTTTATATTTGGTTTGCTAGCATTTTGTTGAGGATTTTTGCAATTATAATTACAAGAAACATTTGTCTTTTGTTTTCTTTTTTTGTGATGTCTGTCCAATTTTGATATTAGGGTAATACTGTTTTCATAGATTGAATTGGGAGGTTTTCTCTCATCTTTTGTATTGTAGGAATAATTTATTCACAATTGTTAATTATTCTGTAAATGTTTGTTAAAATTCACCAGTGAAGTCATCTGGGTCTGGGATTTTCTTTGGGGGAAGCTTTTAAGTTATTAATTTAATTTATTTACTTGTTGTTGGTTATTTCCAATTTTCTATTTCTTTTTGAGTCAGTTTTGATAATTTGTGTCTTTCTGGCAATTTGTCCATTTCATCTAAGTTATCTAAGTTTTCAGCGTACAAAGTGTTCATAGAATTCTCTTATAATTTTTTGAAAATTTTCTGTAAGGTTGGTAGTAATGTTCCCTCTAAAGATTAAAACATTTTTAGTATACAATGTTGACATGAATGTAGAGAAAGTCTTGCACACACTTTGGTAGGGACTGTGAATTGTAAATTGATGAAACCTTTTCCAAGGAAGAGATTTAGCAGTTAGATTCAACAGAACATGGTGGCAAATTAGATGGGGGTGGTAAGATGCAATTAATGACAGCCTGGAGTATTTTAGCCTCAGTGATAAGAAGACGGCTGTTTCACACACAAATAAAATGAAAATAGGGGGAAAATCAGTTTTAAAAAGAAACTAATACATTTAATTATCAATTTTTATGTTGGATTGTTAGATGAGTTGTAGAGGTAGAAATGCAATCAGCCAATCAGAAATTCAGAATTACTATTTAGAAGAGAATAATTTGGAGATCTGTGTTGAAACAACAGCTTTTTGAACCTCCATGGTCAGATGAAGGTATTTTTATTTTTATTTTCAGAACTAAGTATAAGAGACAGAAAAACAAAATACGGCAGAACTTAGAAGCATACCTACAATTATGGAGCAGAAAAAGAGAAAGAAATTATCACAAGCTGAGCTGGAACATTTATAGGGGTAGAGGGAGAACTAAGAATAACATTGCACAAACCAAATAGAAACTGTAAAGGAGAAAAGGAATAAGAATATCAATTATTCTATGAGATCAAGTATGGTAATGACTGGGAAGATGTTACAGGGCCCAACAAATAGGACGTTAAGTTTGGCTTTTGAAGAAGTAGTTGATCTACCAAAAACTCATAAGAATTTTTTCCCAAAAGTTACTTATTTCAGATTGTATTAGTTACTAAAATTGATTTAGCAGAAATATGTTCAAGTGCTCAACTGTACAATTCTTTTGAGTCCTAACATATAATCATCCTTACATATCATAAATATAATTGCCATTAACCATATTTCTGTGCTGAAACAGAAATTCAATATTTTTGCACTAGATCAAGGAAATTGTTTATATACTTTGCCAAATATTTATATCTCATTTTATATGTTAGCTCACTGCTACCAAATATTGAAAAACCAAATGGATCCCTAAAACCAAGATGAAATGTTTCCGACTGAAAGATAATATTGGGGGCTGAAATTTATCTTGGCATAAGTTTTATCCTGTGAGTAGAGAGTACTAAAATCCGACCTTATTCTCTTGTGAAAAATTTTAAAAGGCTACATTATCCCCTAAATAGTAACTGTCTGGATGTCTGACCAGAATATATTCCATCTGGTCCTTGGTTTAGGCAAGTAGAGACATAATGTTAGAGACGTAATGCAAGTTGTAGCAAATTAGGAAAATTAAGCCACATAAAAATGTCATTATGAAACTGTTAGGACATTCTCAGAAAACTGTGACTCAGTGAAATATGATGTGGAAGCACTCTGCCCTAGGTGGTAAGGGAGCTATAGCTTCCTGTTCGGTAGGCTTACACACCAACGGGAGTCCTGCTGCCTAGACTCTTTCTGTCTCATGGAAGCCATCTGCCTCTCAGCGGACCTGAACACCTGAGTCTGCAAAGGCAAGGCCAGCTCCCTATGCAGCCCTTAGCCTGAGCAGGGCTTCCCTGCATTCCTGAAATTCGATCCTACTGATTGCTCTAAAGGGCTACAGATTTGGCTAATGGCACTAGTATTTGGAACGGAATGGGCCCTTGAAAGGTCTCAACTGTAAAACAAGTCCTGTGAATAAGGAGTTTAACTTTCACATTCCACTAAAGCTTCAAATATGTAACAGAAAAATAATTGTTTTCTTTTGCTCAAAATAAATGGCCATTTTCTTATTTTATATCTTTGTTGGAATTAGCAATATTTTCTATTTTTTCCTAAGATTAATCTGCACGTAAGTGATGATAACTAACCATGACTCTGATTCCAGCCTGACTTGGTGAAATTTTAGAAATGAATGTTGTAAGGGCAAAGGGCTGAAAAAGTTGTTATTTTTGTTTGTCTGTTTGTTTACCTACCCAGGCAATGCTTCTTGTAATGAAATACTTTTCTAAAAAAATTATGAACACACCAAAAACCTCAGGATAACCTCTCCTTCCACCTGCTCCCAGACCCAGAGAATCAGGATCTATCATAAGATAAAAACTGGATTAGTTAGCAAACCACAACACTGCAGTCGTACAAACTCTTTCACCTTTTAGCACAATCCACTTCTCCTACTTTTCACTAACCACCTTTCTTTATTCACTCAGAGAAAGCAATTCATGAGAGGAAGTTAGGCAAGGATCTGCGCAGAGCGACAACCGAGGGCACTGGCAGGGACTCACAACATCTTGTGAGTTTTGTGACATACTGCAGGACAGGGAAGAGGTCATTGTCCTCGGAAGTAGTGTGCTTTGGTGTGTTTTCATATGTTCCATGAGTTTACAGCATCAGATATCAGAAGACAAGGATAGGTGAAGATGCTATCTCTGCACAGATGAGGTACACCATGTGTATATCTACTAGAAAATGCCTCCTAATTGTGCAACCAAGAAAGAAATTCATCAATATCCCAAGACAATAAAGATTCCACATACTCTGACTTTTGAGGAAGTATGGCTCAATCATATACCTTATGGGAATAAATGGAGAAAATTAAAATGAGGACTGTGGAAAGAAAATTACCAATTAAGAGGAATGAAAAATTGCCCTTTTTCGCTAGATGCAGCAATGTCTACAGTTTTGAAGAGAACAATTTAGTATTCAACAATTTTATTCACAAATGGTCCTTCTTGTGTGAAGGTAGCATAAATACATCCTTGGGTATATTAGACCTTAGAAAATATGCCAAACGTGTGCTCTTCTTTTAAAAATCACTCATTAATAAAAGAGGAAGGAAGCAAAATTAAAAGATAAAAATGGGGAAAATCATGAAATAAATGGTCTGGCAACAAGCATTGAAATCAGCTCAATGTGGAGTTTATGCTAAACCATTATATATTTTGTTACAAGATAGCAAATAAATGCCAAAAATAATTCTTCAAAGACACTTAATAGAAAAAGAGCAACTTAACGCCAATAATTTGAATAAAATTCTGAAGCCTGACTTCAAAAACAAATTGACCAATAGAGAGCCAGTGTTGAAAATTAAGTTTACAATTGCAAAATATTTGAACATTAAGCCTTAACTTAATAATGTTGTCCTGCAATCAGAAACACCATAGTGGGGGAATGCATTATGGGGTGTGCAGTACCAAAGTGTTTGATAATGTGACCTCTTGTACTAGGCCTTGAGAAAGAGCTGATATAATCATATATGAAGGTGCTTTTTCCAATCTTTTAAAATAAAACACAAAAACAACATGTAAATTCTTTCTTTTTTTCCCAAACAACAGTAAGAATAATGTAGTTTCTGGTTAATATCTGAAGCATGATAATGAGAATACTGGTTACACACGGGGGCATCAGGAAGGAAATGAGGCACCATGGACTCACCATGTCGTATTGGAAATCACAGAGCAGAGGGGCACAGGCCCATTTTTCCACTCGAACTCTGAGAGGAATAGGCTACAATGTTTGCTTTCCTTGATCCTGGGGCAGCCATAGTATAACATAAATGTAATTTTGGCCTATGTTTAGGCAGAGAGAAGGCCTGAGAGACTGGTTCCAAGTTACACAGAAATTTGAAAGACTCCATACTGGAAGTAACTTTGCTTACTTTCTTTGGCTGGATTTTGATTGAATTGCTCTTAAAAATGGCAATTATAAAGTTTTCTTTTTGACACTTTGCTGATAGGTTTTTTTAGATATGTGGAAATGCTTTAGACATGTGGAAAAATTATAGCACAGGATTTTTTAGATATGTGGAAATGCTTGGCTCCCTAAAAGAAAAAAATGTACAGAAGTGTGTCAGTGGTCATAGTCAGATTCTTAACTTTCTATTTAATCTTATTATTGGGTAGTATATAAATAAGAACTACTAGTACCACTTATACAAAAGGAAATAAGTCTTTCCTTTTTTCTTTCTCAAAGTATGTTGGAATAAATAAATGGACATTTGGTTTGTGCATATCCATCCAAAGAAGGAATTTTGTGTCCCTTCTGTCTTTCTCTTGGGCTCCACTTCTACCCTAAGGCCAGGAAGCTTACGAGACTCTTTTCATTATTTCTGAAAAAAATTGTTCAAGGGACAATACTGCAACAGGAAATTTAATTGAGAATTTCCTTAATTCTGAGACTTTGAATTTGAGACTTAACTCTAGAAAAAGTGATAAAAGCATTTCTACTATTATAAAATGCTTCTTGTAAATTTATATTGTTTTCATTTAGTGATCCTAGATAAATTCTAATTCTCATAGCATACCTGGTAAAAGAAGAAAGTATCAATTATAATTAATATCCTATTTTATAAAATGCAAGGTTAATTCTTTTAGCATTTACATGAACCTTCAGTCCCTCATCTTAGAGCAAGAAAAATTCAGTGACTTTATATCTCCCAACTGCTAAAGCATAGCAATAACCTGAAAATGTTAACTATTTCACTATATGTCAGGTTTACAAGCTTTTCACGGTACAGATTGTGAGGAGAAAGAGAGCTAGGTATTGTGACCCTGGAAACATAAAATACTGCATATTACACAAATATGTTTATTTATGTTTTTTTCCTAAAAAACACCAGCAACTGAAAAAAATGAAATTAAAGAAGGAAAGGACATTCTTCCTTCTCTGGCATTAATATGATGATTAATCACATTTTTCTATAGGATGAAGAGTACCTATAGGACATGTTCTCCTCTTAGAAGATTTCATAGTATCATGTTCCTCTACTACAAAGCATTTAACACAGTCCTTATTTTACATTAATTTGTAAAATTCTTTATTTAATATCTATTTATTTGCTAGATGTAAGAACCATGAAGACAGAAACTATGTTTGTTTTGCTCTTACTATAACCTTAACACCTCATTTAGTGCCTGGCACATACAATTCACTTATTAAACATTTAATGGAGAAAGAGAGAGAGAGAGAAATGAAGGAGGGAAGGAAGGAAGAAATTAAGAAAGGAATGAGGAAAGGAGGGAGGGAGGGAAGGAAGGAAGGAAAGAAGGAAGGGAGGGAGGGAGGGGAGGGAGGAAGGAAGGAAGGAAGGAAGGAAGAAAGGAAGGAAGGAAGGAAGGAAGGAAGGAAGGGTTTGCTATAGAGGCCAGAGAGGATGAGTAGAGGTGAGTTTGAGTAAATTGTCTCTTAGTTAACGATGTACAGTTGAGAGAACAGGAAAGAGCAGTAACACAAGATAATAACAAAGTAAAGACACTTGCTATTTTTGCAATTGTATGAGTTCTTGACATGTTTGATCTGCTCCAGGCTACACTCTACAACCAAGTCCACCTACTGACATAGAATTACTAATGAAATTTCCCATTTAGCTGAGAAGAATGTGGGGTAAACAGGCTTATACAATTCCACAGAAAAATCACAGCAACCACTCATACTAATCCTTTGAAAAGAAAGATATTGTAAGAGGTAAATAACTACATGATAATTTGAAAAGGAAAATGGTTAACACACAGGAATAACACTGAGGCCACACATCTGTAATGCCTCACATCTGTAATCTCAGCATTTTGGGAGGCTGAGGCAGGAGGATTGCTTGAGACTAGGAGTTTGAGACCTGCCTGTGTAACATAGTGAGACCTCATGTCTACTAAAAATAAACAAAATTAGCCAGGTATGGTAGCAGGTGCCTGTAGTCCTAGCTACTCAGGAGGCTGAGGTGGGAGGATCACTTGAATCTGGGAGGTTGAGGCTGCTTAAGCTGAGATTGTGCCACGGCACTCACACACTTACAGGATGAGTGACAGAGCAAGACCTTGTCCAAAAAAAGAAGGAAAAAAAAAAAAGACCAAAGGAGAATACTGAGATACCAGAATTCTCCTCAGTAACACTTGAAATTAGATAATTAGATAATGTAAAAGATAATAACACTCCTAGACCTGGAAAAGTAGGGTAGGGAGCCCCTTGCCTCAAGAGCCTTACGTTTTGCAATGCCGTTCTCAAAAAAAATTTATATCCCCCATTTGATATTTCTAACTAGAGAGAACCAGCGATTCCTTTTAAATACAGTACCCTAAGCAGAGACTGGCATCTGCATTGGCCCTGGTCCCCATTTCTCTTGTCCAACCTCAATGTATGCTCAACCAGATTCCCTGAGAGGCTCTAGAACTAATATCTATAGGGTCCTGAATATCTCTGGGAACTTTATTCTTAGATACTTGATTTTTAAAATTCTACTCTAAGTGACACTGTTTTTCTGTTTTAATTTTCAATATACCATTACTAGGAGATATATGCATACATACTCCTTGTGTCAAGAGGAATTATTGTCTTTTATTTGTTTCTGGTTAATTTCATTAAAAATTCTGTCCCTGTTCATGAGAAATATTGGGCTTTAGTTTTTTTCCTTTAATATTTATGGTAGATTTTGGAATACAAAATTACACATTCTTCTCTGACTTTCTATATCCTAACCTGAAGTTGAAGTCACCTTCTACTGTAGTTTGTAGGTTACAATTCCACATTTCTGAAAGACTTTGGTTGTTCTGCTCCTAAAATGTTTCATAGAAATCCCCAGTGAATCCATATAGAACTAAAATTTTCTTTGTAGAAATATTCATTATTATAAATATAGTTTATTTAATAGAGAAAGGCTATTTCATTTTGTGTCAAAGTATTTTATAATATATTCTTACTAACCCTAAAATTTTAGTACAATTTGAAGTGAGTTCCCCTTTTCATTTCTGAATGAACAGTTTTGTTTGTAGTTGATTCAGTGGGTTAATCTTTCAAAAAACAAACTTTTGACTTTGTTGTTTTTCCCAATCATCCTTTTTTATTGCTTCCTACTCTGATTTCTATTATTTCCCTTTTTCACCTTACTTTGTTCTTCTTTTCCTGACTTCTCTAGATGGGAGCTTAGATAATTGATTTTAAACTTTATTCATTTCTAATATAGGCATTGAAAGATTAAAAAATTTCCCTCTAGGAACTTCTGGTTTCCTATCTGGCATGCAAGAAGCTTAGAAGTCATCACCCTGACCTAATAGCAAATAAAAAGAACAAACTGTAAAATCCACAACTCCTGTTAGATCCATCAGAAAAGTGAGGTCACAAGGCAGACTGCTGTCCTCAAAATTGGAGTGACAGACAAGTGGATACAGAGAATCACAACTTACCAGACCAGGAACCCATGAGCAGAAACCTTTATGGAAACCTGTGCCTGGGCTAGAAAACCTGAACTGCCATTGATGAATTACAGGAGACTCAGTGCGGACATATCTGAGACTCAAAAACTCCTGGGAAACTCATTCAAAGGAAGGTCCTCAAACTTTTAGGAGCTTCACTTCCAAGAGTTCTACCAGGTCCCCACAATTAATGTCAAAGAAAAGTCCTTTTATCCTTCCAGCAGAAGGAGGGAAAAATGAAACACTTTGAAATATGCCAGAGCATTCTATTCTTCTTAATAAGTTCTGCCCTCAAGAGAAACTATTTTACCAGAGGCTAACCTGCTAGGGATTTATCAGAGCCTACCCCACATGGGAGAAGGGGAATATTTAAAGCCATCTAGCTCTAGCCTTCCATGTGAAAGCAGGGAAATACATAACTCTAGCCTCCTCCAGCCATCCTGTCCCACGTAATCTAAAAAGCATTAGTGAAGTTCACAGGCCGGGGTCACAGGCCCACCAAGAGACTGAAACTTAATAGTAGAACTATAGCACCCTTTCTTCGCCACCACAGGTACACTTTACTGCTACATTTCTACAGACCAACTTACTATAGTGTCCTTGTGTAGTACATCATGTCTACCTGTCAATAAAAAATTACAAGGCACAGTAAAAGGCAAAAATGACAATTTGAAGAGACTGGACAAGCATCAGAACTAGAGTCAGATATGATATAAATGTTATAGTTAGCAGATAACATTTATTTTTTAAAAAAAGCTATGATCAAAATGCTAAGAGATTTAATGAAAAAAGTAGATGTATGCAAAAAAAGATAAATAATTTAAGTGAAAGATGAAAATTCTAAGAAAGAAAAAAAAAGAAATGCCAGACATCAAAAGCGCTGTAACATAGTGAAGAATGCCTCTGATGAGCGCCTTAGGGGACTGGACATGGCTGAGAAAAGAATCTCTGATCTTGAAGATAGGACAGTAGAAACTTCCAAAACTGAAAAACAAAGAGAAAAAAAATGAGAAAAACAGAACAGAATATTCAAGAATTTGGGGACAACTACAGAAGGTATAACATACATGTAATGGGACTACTAGAAAAGAAAGAGAGAAAAGAACAGAAGAATATGTCCAAACTCATAGAATTATACATTAAAAGGGAGAAGCTTACCATAAGTAAAAAACAAAAACAACAACAAAATAACCCGGAAGAATAGCTGACAATTTTCCCTAACTAACATCACACTCCAACTACAAATCCAGAGAATACCAGGCAGAATAAATGCCGAAGGAACTACACCTAGGCATATGATATTCAAATTTCAGAAAATTAAAGACAAAAATCCTGAAAGAAGTCAGAGGAAAAAAATCTCACCTGTAGAAGAGGAAAAATAAGAATTACATTTGACTGCTTCATACAAACCATGCAAATAAGAAGAAAATGAAGTGAAATATTTAAAGTGTTGAGAGGAAAAATAAAAAACTCTGCCAACCTAGAATTCTATACCCTGTGAAATTATGTGTCAATTATTTTAGGAGAAATAAAAACCCTCTCAGACAAACAAAAATTGAGAGAATTTATTGCCAGTAGAACTGCCTTGCAAGAAATGTTCCAACAAGTTATTCAGAGCAAAGGAAAATGAAATAGATTAGAAATGGAGAACTATATAAAGAAAGGAAGAACACCAGAGAATAAGTGAAGGTAAAATAAAAATTTTACTTTGCACATTCTTTTTTTTTTTTTTTTTTGGAGATGGAGTCTCACTCTGTCACCCAGGCTGGAGTGCAGTGCCACAATCTCAGCTCACTACAACCTCTGCCTCAAGGGTTCAAGCAATTCTTCTGCCTCAGCCTCCTGAGTAGCTGGGACTACAGACGCATGCCACCATGCCAAGCTAATTTTTTGTATTTTTAGTAGAGACGGGGTTTCACCGTGTTGCCCAGGTTGGCCTCGAACTCCTGGAGCTCAGGCAATCTGCCCACTTCGGCTTCCCAAAGTGCTAGGATTAAAGGCATGAGCCACCACTACTGGCCTGCACATTCTCAATTAATCTAATAGATAATAGTTTGCTCAAAATAATAAGAGCAATAAGGTATTTGATAATTTGTTTGTGTATGCTTGTATGTAAGTAAAATGAATGACAGCAATGATATAACCAATGGGAGAAAGAATTAGGGATATTTTGTTGTGAGTTACTTGCACTTTTGGTGAAGCACTGTAGTGTTATTTGAAAGAGGACCTGGATTAGTTGTAAATGTATATGCAAACTCTGGGGCTATCACTAAAAAAAAAAAGTAAAAAAATTAAAGAGGTATCATTGATATGCTAAGAAAGGAGAGAAAATATAATTATATAACACTATAATACACTCAGTTAAAACCACAAAAGACAGAAAAAGTGTGTAAAACAAACATAGGAACCAAAAAAACAAGGATAATAAATCGAAAACAGTAATGAATATGGTAGCTATCAATCCAAATATATCAATAATCATCTTAAAGGCCAATGGTCTAAATACACCAATTGACAGAACAAAATCCAACTACATGCTATCTACAATAAACTTACTTTAAACATAAAAGCATATATAGATTAAAAATAAAGGGACAGGCTGGGTGCAGTCCTCATGCTTGTAATCCCAGCAATTTGAGAGGCCAAGGCAGGAGGATCACTTGAGCCCAGGAATTTGAGACCAGCCTGGGCAACATAGTAAGACCTCATGTCTACAATGAATTTTTAAAAATTAGTGGCACATGTTTGTAGTCTCACCTACTTGGGAGGCTGAGGTGGGAGAATCGCTTGAGCCAGGGAGGTTGAGGCTGCAGTGAGCCATGATCGTGTCACTGCACTTTAGCCTGGGTGACAAGAGTGAGACCTTGCCCCAAAAGATAATAAATAAAATAAAGGGATGAAGAATGTATTATCCCATGTTAACATATCCCTTGTTAATACTAATCAAAAGAAAGTGGGAGTAGCTATGTTAATATTAGAGCAGACTTTAGAGACTTTAGAGCAGGAAAGCTATTGGGAATAAAAGTGAAATCACATAATAAAAAGGGGTCAATACGAAGACATAACAATCTTTCACATATATGTGACTAACAACAAAGCATCAACACTTTGGGAGGCCAAGGTAGGTGGATTGCTTGAGCCCAGGAGTTTGAGACCAGCCTCAGCAACATGGCAAATCCTCAGTTCTACAGAAATTACAAAAATTAGCCAGTCATCATGGTAGGAACTTGTAGTACCAGATAGGAGGGAGGCTGAGGTAGGAAGATCACCTGATCCTGGGAGATCGAGGTGGCAGTGAGTCGTCAACCATGATTGTACCACTGCACTCCAGCCTGGGTGACAGAGTGAGACCCTGTCTCAAAAAATAAATAAATAAAAATTTTAAAAAAACATGTGAGGCAAAAACTGATAGAATTGCAAGGAGAAATGGATAAATCTACTATTATAGTTGGAACTTGAACACTCCGCTATCAGAAATGGACAGATACAGTAGACAAATCACTAAGGCACAATGGAACTCAACATCACCACATCACCATCAATTAACTGGATTAATTGACATCAATAGACTACTTCATCAAACAACAGCAGAGTGCACATTATTTGCCAGCTAACATGGAAGCTTCAAGATAGACCACTTTCTGGGCCATACATAAGACACACCTTAAAAAATTTAAAACAATACAATTCACACAAGGTCTTCTATTAGATCACAATGGAATTAAACTAGAAAACAGTAACATAAAGATATCTGGAAAATTCCAAAATATTTGGTGATTAATATTCAGATCCACTTCTAAATAACATGGATCAAAGAAGAAATCTCAAGAAAATTTAAAAAATATTTTGGAATGAGCAAAAATGAAAATACAACTTATCAAAATGTCTGTGATGCAGCAAAAGCAGTGCTTAGAAATTTATAGCATTGAATGTATTTCTTAGAAAAGAAAAAGATATAAAATAAAGTATTAGAAAACTAGAAAAAGAATATAAAATTAAATTCAATGTAAGCAGAAGAAAAGAAATAATTAAAAAATAGAGCAGAAATCAGTAAAAGTGAAAGAAAATTTATGGAAAAAAATCAGCAAAACCAAAAGCTGGCTCTGTGAAAAAAGATCAATAAAATTGATATACCTCTAGTCAGGGTAGCTAACAAAGAACTAAAGCAGGCTCTAATTATTAACATCAGAAATAAAAAAAGAAGCATCAATACAGATCCAATGGATATTAAAAAGATGATAAAAGTATTATGAACAACTTTATGCCCACAAATTTGATAACCTAGATAAAATGGACCAAATTCCTAAAAGACACAGTCTACCAAAATTCACATACAAGAAATATACAATACATCTATTAAAGAAATAAATCAATAATTGATAACCTTCCAAACAGAAAGTGCCAGGCCCAGATGGGTTCAATGGTGACTTCTACCAAACATTTAAAGATGAATTTCCTTAGTCAATATTACCCTCATACCAAAACAAGACAAGGAAATGATAAGAAAATTACAGACTGATATCTCTCATGAACATAGATGCAACAATCCTCAACAAAACATTATCAAATCAAATCCAACAATGTATAAAACTAATTATACACCACAACCAAGTGGGATTTATCCCAGGTATGCAAGGATTGTTCAACATTCAAAACCCAATTAATACCATGCATCACATGAACAGGATAAAGAAGAAAAATCACATCATCTTATGTCTGCATGCAGAAAAAGCTTTTGACAAAATCTAACACCCATTCATGATAAAAATTTTCAGCAAAATAGAAATAGAGGGGAATTTCCTCAACTTGATAAAGAACACTTACAAAACCCCACAGCTAACATCATTAACAGTGATGAAAAACTCAGTTTTCCTACTCAGATCAGGAACAAGGCAAGGATATGCCCTCACACCATTGCTTTTCAACATTGTCCTAGAAGTCCTAACTAATGGAATAAGAAAATTTTAAAAATATAAAATATATAGATTGGACAGGAAAAGATAAAACTGTCTTTGTTCACAGATGAGATGATTGTTTATGTAAAAAGCCTAAAAGAACCATCAACAACCACAAAAACTTGGAAACAATAAGCCATTATATAAGGTCATGGGATGCAGGGTTAACATACAAAAGTCCATTTCTTTTCTATATACTAGTAATAAAAAATGGAATTTGGAATTAAAAACACACTACCACTTATATTAGCCCCCAAAAAGTGAAATACTTAGGTATAAATCTAACAAGTTATATAAAAAATATGAAGAAAACTATAAAACTCAGATGAAAGCTTCGAAAGAATAACTAAATAAATGGAGAAATTTTCCATATTCACGGATAGGAAAACTCAATATTGTCAAGATGTCAATAGTTTCTTGAACCATAGTTTGATCTATAGTTTCAATGCAATCCCAGTCAAAATCACAGTATGCACTTTTGTGGATACAGACAAACTGATTCTAAAGTTTATATGAAGAGGCAAAAGACCAAGAATAACTCTTTTAAAGGAGAAAAATGAAGTTAGAAAATTGATATACCTGACTTCAAGACTTACTATAAAGCAGCAGTAATCAAGACAGTGTGGTATTGGTAAAAGAACAGGAAATTGATCAATGGAACAGAATAGAGAACCCAGAAACAGGCCCACATAAATATATTCAACTGATCTTTGATAAATGAGCAAAAGCAAAGCAATGGAGCAAAGACTGTCTTTTCAATGAGTGCTGCTGTAACAATTGGACATACATACACACACACAAAATGAATTTAGACACAGACCTTATATCTCTGACAAAAAAAGTTGTAATCAATCCGAACAATCTAACTTTTTATTTGAATATTTAGTCCATTTACATTCAATGAAATTATGTTACAGTTGGGTTTAGGCATAATATCTTGGTATTTGTTTTCTCTTTTCCCATCTAATTTTGTTTTCATTTAGAGGTAGGAAGTCAGAAGAGACCTTTACTTCTTCATGTGTTATGTGATTTTTAAAAATATATATGTGTAAAGGAACAATAGAGACTGAAATAATATTTACACCCCACCAAAAGGCATTATCCCTTTTACTGTTGTGTCACCATTGTGGTGAAGTAAGTTAATCGAATATGTAGTTGAGTGACTACATATGTGGGCTTCGTTACAGCTTTAATATGTGGGCTTCATTACAGCTTTAATTAGATTCACTTCACCACTAACTTCAAATATTTTGAGGGGCAGTATCAGCAATTTCTCTTTATCAGAGTTTGAGATTGAAGCACTGGCAAGACTTCAGATTTACATTTTCTTCACTTCAACATTCTTCTGTAACCTTCTGCATCCTAACCATAAGTGGAATTTTCCTTTTACTGTGGTTTCTAAGTTACAATTCAGAGTTTAATAGTCAAGATCTTTTCACATACTTATTGGTCAATCAGATTCCTATGTATTCTAACAATTGTTTATTCATATCTCTTGCCCATTTTTCAAATATGTTGTTTTTAATTTTATATTTTTATCAGCAAGTTTAATTGTTTTTATCATATGGTCTTGAGTATCCAGTCCATCATACTGCAAAAAAACAGAGGCTATCGAGTTATTATTTTTGGAATCCATATATGTATGCATCTCTGTGTTACAGTTTATTCTCATCATAGGATCTCTTCCTAGCTGTTTTGCTTACCTTGAATGCTTGCAATTCCTTCTGATATTTCCATGAGTAATTTCTTGTATCTCAAATCTCAGCATATATACCCCTCTCAGAGATACTTTCCTAGCCTCATAACGTAAAGAAATCATCTTAGTCATTTCTCTTTCTTACTTTCCTTACTATTTCTTTTTACTTTCCTTTTTCCTTTTAATTTAATGTGCCCAAAATTAAGATGACCATGCATGTTTTCATCACTAGCCTGTGAAAGGCCTAAACATTGTTTCTGACAAAACAGTTTTGTTTTGTCATTGTTTGCCCTCTTTGTTCACCATCTCCAATTCCCCTTCTTTTTCCTAATAGATACTCATCCTCATTTATGTCACTTATGTCCTTTTCATCTACCTTACCTTATTTATTTGCACATACTTATATTAATTAAAAAATGCAATATGTTATATGTTGGCTTTTAATTTATATAAATGGTATTACAAAATAAACTTTATTGTACTTCCTTTTTAAATTCATTGATGTGTTTGGATATTAACCTATATTGCTATATGCAAATCTAGTATGATTTCTGAATGCTTCTCATCATAGGCATATAATTATATGTTATCTATACACTGTCTAGCTAAGGGCATCTATTCAGCCTCCATCCTTTTGCTAGCACTAACAATAATTCAATTAATAGTCAATTGTGCATGCTTCCTGTTTGTCTGTGTAGTGTCATTCACATCAACTTGCTTTGTTTGCATAGCACTTATCAATATGTAACATTTTTCTTGTTATATTTATTGTTTGCATATTTTTTGCATGCTCACCCTAGAATGTAAGGGCCATGAGAGTATAAACCTGATTTGTCTTACTAAGACACTGCTATGTCGCTGTCATCCAGAAAAATACCTGGCATATAGTAGACATTCATTATCATTTGTTGAATGAATCAAAGTTTTAACATAAGTTTGAGTATGCACTTAAAATAGTCTAGAAATATAGACTGTTTTGTCTATATTTTGGCTATTTATTGGAATATTGTTAGTCCTAGCAACGGGATGGAGACTGAATAGGTGCCCTTAGTTAGGCAATGTATGAATAATACATAATTATATGCATATGATGAGAAGTATTTAGAAATCATACTAGATCAGAGTAATGAATGAAGTCAGGAGAAGAGAAATTTTTGTCATTTTTATGTATACTTCTATATTTGTGTTGCTTGCAAAGAACATGTTTACTTCTGCATTTTTAAAAAGACTGGTAAGTATAAAATGAAAGTCATGGGAGAGAATGTCTCTTAATTATTTACACTATTGTTTATCCCATTAGTATAAACAATGATAATGATGATACCTCTTACATTTTTAGAATACATTATATTTTATAAAGTGTTTTAGAGTCATTTCTGGTTTGATGTCTCCATTGACCCTTTGAGGTAGGCAAAGAAGATATTTTATTCCCATTTTACCCAAGAAAATACAAGGTTTGGAGAAGCTCTGAGGCCATACGGCTAAGTATGGCAGTCTGTATACTCAAATCCACTGCCTCCCACCCATCACCAACATACTCACTATTCTTCCCCCATTACTCATGGAGGAGCAAGAGGAAACTTCTGCAGCCCTCATGCAATAATTACAACTGAAATTTGGGAGTATCCATACTAAAAAAAATTGGGAAAATTTGGGAGTATCCATAGTAAAAAACAAAAAAGTAATTGAATAAATCACTGAAATGTATTAACAAAATTTAGGTTAAATTAAGGGTAAAATATACTCTAAGACTCTGGATTGTCCTTGAATCCACTGATATTTACAATTACAATTATCGTATATTATTAGATATTTTCTAACATCTAATTGACATTGGTGTTGGGATTATGGATAACCATCTTTTTTAATCCTGGTATTTTATCCTGATGCTTCCAAATTTTCTGTATTATATTTATAATACTGTTTCTTAGGGCCTTTCTGCCACTCAAGCATATAAACCCAATTGATTTGAATTTCTCATTTCCGATTCTTCAATCCCATCCCCAATTCCTATGAGTCAATTCCACAATCACAATCCACCACATGTTCCAGCTTCCTATGATTTCATAGGAGTTTATGTTTTTATAGTATTCTGGGCACCTCCATTTTTACTGACAATGATGCAGACATGAACAGAAAGACCTTAAGGCTGCTGGCAGACAATTTTGTGATCACTACCATCATTCAGAACAACATTTCTAAAAATAACCATAGATTAGAAAGATCAGTTTCCACCACAAAGAACAGAATTTTTGAAGCCGTGGTTAGATAATTTCATTCCTAAAGATCTGTAAGTATACATGAAATTCCATTGCCAAAATAAACAATGTAACTTTGCAAGGTCTAACTGATACTATATACCTTAGGAGCCATGAACTAGCAAAACAAAGCTAAATTCAGTGCCTATTATCCTTTGTGATTTGATTATTGTATTCAATGTTGTGTTTTTAATATTCTTTTATGTTGATGATGTTGCTTGTGATAGCAGTGGCTGCTCCAGACAGTTTGCCACTGCCATCACCCAGGCTGATTCAGAGAGGTGTGGCTAGGGCTGCACACTCCACAGAGTGGCCAGGAGCCCTGTCCTCCTGGGTGGGGCTGCAGCCGCCCAAGTTGTGGCTGAAGATCCAAGCCTCCCTGTGCTCTTGGGGGTCTGGGAGCAGGCAGCAGCCCTGCCCTCCCAGGCACAGCTGCAGCCACCCAAACCAGGGCTGCAGACCTGCAGGAGCCCCACTGCCCCCCTGCAGCTATAGCTGCCCAACCCTTGGCTACAGACTCAGGCATCCCTGCACTCTTGTGGGCCCAGGAAGGCCCCCCATGTCTTCACAGGCTCAGAAGTGCCTGCTCCCGCTGCCTGACTTCTCCCTGCTATCTGTACCCTCTTCGAACTTGGAACAAAGTCTGGTGGAGCCCAGTGGCCATGAACAGCAGCAGGAGGCAAATTCCTGGCTGGAAGGGGGTGGGTCCCTGTTGAGGCTCCACCTTCAGGCCAGAGAGGGCCTGAAGGCTGGGGGCTGGGCTGCCAGTCCCACAGATGGGAGTGGGAACTGGTACCTTTTCAAGGCTGCCCATGGACCAATCGGTGTGCACTACCTCCCCTCTGAGACCCATAAAAGCCCCAGGCTCAGCCAGAGCTGAGCAGACCAGACCAGACAACCAGCCGCAGAGAGGAGCTACCCTTTCTGCTGAGGGCTTCAAAGACCTGCAGTGACACTGGGACTACCAGAGTGGAGCAACCCACTCCAGGGTCTCCTATCTGCTAGGAGCTGGGCAGAAGACAGGACAACCAGCTGCACAGAGGAGCTGCCCCCCTCCAGGGCTTCCTCTCTGCTGAGAGCTGAACAGTCCATGGTATGACCTGCCTACAGAGAGGAGCTACCTACTGTGGGTCTCCTCTGAGCTGTTCTAACACTTCATAAAGCTCTCTTCATCTTGTTCACCCTCCACTTTTCTGCATGCCTCATTCTTCCTGGATGCAGGACAAGAACTCAGGCAAAGATGCCACTGGCAACAGAGGTTTCTGGCCAGAAAATTTACACCCCAAAGATCCCATAACACTTATATTTTATTGTCATAAAATATTGCTTTTTAAGAATATACCAAATGTATTTATCCATTCTACTCTTGATAGATGTCTAGTCTATTTGTGTTGCTATGCCAAAATGCCTAAGACAGGGTAATTCATGAACACAGACATTTATTTCCTGCAGTTGTGAAGGCTGAAGTCTACAATGAAGGTGGTAGCATTTCGTGTCTGATGAGTCTTCTTGCTGCATCCTCACATGGCAGAAGAGTGGAAGAGAAGGAATTCAGTCCTTCAACCTCTCCTATAAGGGCCCTAATGCCATACATAAGTGCTACACCTTCTGGCTTAATAATTTCCTAAAGGCCCCACTTCTTAATAAAATCACATTGGCAATTAAGTTTCCATACATGAATTTTGGGGGACATTCAAACAGCAGCAATGTTTTTTTTTTCTTACAGAACAATACTGTTTTGAATATCCTTGTCTATGTAAATGGTGCACATGTGCATGAGCTTTGTTTAAGGATATTTACCCACTAAAATTGCTAAGTTACAAATTACACAGTTTCATATTCATAGACAATGCCAAACTATTTTCCAAAGTGATCATGCCAATTTATACTCCCTCTAGTAATGTATGAATGCTCCCATTTTTCTATATTCTTGCTAACATTTGATATTATCAGGCTTTTACTTTTTACCCCAGTCTGGTAGAAATATAATGGCTTATTATTTAAGTTTTAAGTTTTTTCCTTTATCAATTCTGGAAAATTCTTATCCATTTGTTCTCAAATATTACCTCTGTTCTATGCTCTCTTTTCCTTCTTAGAGTCCAAGTAGACAAATGTTAGACTTACCAGTTCCTCAATGCCTCTTAATCTATCCTTCATACTTTTTATCTCTTTGCCTATTTGTGTTGTATTCTGGATAAATTTTTCAGATCTTTCATTCAATTCACTAAATCTTTCTTCTATTAGATGCATTTTAGGTTAAAAATGTCTTTTGAATTTTTTATTCCAATTATATATTTTATTTCTAATTTTTTTTCTTCCTTGAAGTTGTTTGGTCATTTAGTATCATTCCTTATTTCCTACACATATTTTTAAACTTGGCTTTTATTTCCTATAAGGAAATATATTTTATAATTATGTATTATATTTCACTGTCCTTCAAATTTCTGAGAGTCTGTTTCTACTGTTTATTGTTTCTGCTGGTCCTTCCTCATGGTGTCTTGTTTAGTTATTTTTTATTGTGGGCTGCTCAATTGCTTTAAAATTTATTATGAAAAATCACTGAGTTGGGGCATGATGATGGGTTCCTGCAGAGATTTCCATTTGCTTCTGCCAGGTGGTCTTTGGGACACCAACACTTTGCGATCAGTCTAAATTAAATTCTCAGCTTGAGGTTTGTAGACCACCCATGTGCTGTGTATTTAGGCTTCAAATGAATTTGAGAATTGGTTTGTGGTTAGAAGTTCTCAAAAATTTTGTTTTCCCTTCCATTCAGCACCTGTGTGTGAGAGAGTTGAGTTTCATTTAAGCCCAAGATTGGAGGAGGTAGTTTTCTGAGTTTACTTTTACATTGAAGGTATGGCTATTTGGATCTCACCTTTATGGGAAAGGTGAGGATCTCTATTAGGCTCCTCAACACGAGTGGAACTTTAAGCTGTCTCACCTTTTTTGAGGCATTCAAGCCCACAAAAACCAAAGCTCATGTTAATTTTGCTCAAAAAAACTTCAAAGTAAAATCCAGCTGCAGTGCTCCACCTACTTCTCAGTCCCTAGACCTAATTCCTTACTCTTAACTCATTGATCCTTCTAAAAGAATTATGTTTCTATCTTAAGCAAGCAGTTTTGTTGTTTTCAGCATGAGACACAAAGTTGCGCTGGTTTTCTTTTAAGTCATTTTATTTTCCTGGTGGGCTTATTCCATACCATATCTAAAGAATTCTATCATCTTACCCAATTTCATGTGACAACAGAGACAGAGATTGAAGTGCTGCAGCTGTAAACGAAGGGATGTGCACATTGCAGGCACTCCACAAGAGGCTAGGAGAGGCAAGGAAGGATTCACTTCCACAGATTTCAGAGTGAGCACAGCCCTGTTGGTGCCTTGATTTCAGACTTCCATCATCCAGAACTGTGAAACAAATTTCTGTTGTTTTAAGTCACCTAGTTTGTAATACTTTGTTACCATAGCCCTAAGAAACTAATACAGCCTCTATTCAAAATAATCCATTTGTAGTGATAGGATCATCAGGATAGAGGATCCCTTATGGGCATGAAGCTCTGTGCCCTGGGAAAGAGAAAAAAGAAGAAGAAAGGCTTTTCCCAGTGTTCTTCCTGGTATTGAATCTGTCAGACAGTTAAGAATGGCCAGGGTGGTTGTGCTATGCTTTATTCCTTGTAAACACCCACTGATGTTTCACAAACTGGCATCTGAAATACTTTCTAAGAGAGATTTAGTAAGTTTGTTACATAGTTGTACAAAGTAACATTACCTTTTTGTAATATTTAAGTACAGCCGCAGAGAATTTTGTTACAATTAGAAAGCAAGCTGACATCATATTTCTTTCCCAATATGAGTTGAAATAAAAATGAATGCTAGTCCTACTTTTCCAGCTGGGAGCCAAAAACAGCAAGCCAGTGAACCCAGGAAGGCTGTCACAAGGAGAGCAGAGGATACTGTATGATTTCTGCATCCCAGATTTCATAAAATGTCCAGGAAAAAATTAACTTGAAGCAACTTATATGGTTAAGATATAGCATTGGCAGTATTTACCGGAGACATAAATTATATTAGGAGTTAACTAGGCACAGGTGGAGAAGGGTTTAGGGCAATAAGAACATTCCAGATGAGAGAAGAGCGTGTGAAAGGCTCAGTGGAGGGGTAGAGTGCAGTGCTCTGGAGAAACTGAAGTAAGGCCAGGGTTTCTGGAGTGCAGAAAACCAAAGGAATGTGGTGCAAGATGAGGCTACAAGAGGTAGGCAGCAGACGATTGCATGAAGCTTTGCAGATGTCATTAAGGGAAGACTTTAAAGTGTTTCAAATTCACGTACAGGAAGGCTGCATGTCAGAGGAAACCTCATATAGAGATGTAAGTCTGAGACCAATCTGAGTATTAGTAGACACTGAAATCAAGGTCTTACCTACACAAAGTACACAGACTGAGAAGACAAGAGGGTTTGAGACCATGCTTGCTAACCTTCAATTATCTTTTATTTCAATGGGAAACTGAGGCTCAGACACTTTCAGTAACTTGATCAACTCTATTATTACACCTCTTATCACAACCTCCTGGAGTCTCCTCTATGAAAGGAAGGCTTGCTTTAAAAATGCTTCTGCTGGTTGTAGATGTGTGGTATTATTTCTGAGGGCTCTGTTCTGTTCCATTGGTCTATATTTCTGTTTTGGTAGCAGTACAATGCTGTTTTGGTTACTGTAGCCTTGTAGTATAGTTTGAAGTCAGGTAGTGTGATGCCTCCAGCTTTGTTCTTTTAGCTTAGGATTGTCTTGGCAATGTGGGCTCTTTTTTGGTTCCATATGAACTTTAAAGTAGTTTTTTCCAATTCTGTGAAGAAAGTCATTGGTAGCTTGATGGGGATGGCATTGAATCTATAAATTACCTTGGGCAGTGTGGCCATTTTCACAATATTGATTCTTCCTATCCATGAGCATGGACAAGAAATGGGGAAAGGATTCCCTATTTAATAAATGGTGCTGGGAAAACTGGCTAGTCATATGTAGAAAGCTGAAACTGGATCCCTTCCTTACACCTTATACAAAAATTAATTCAAGATGGATTAAAGACTTAAATGTTAGACCTAAAACCTTAAAAACCCTAGAAGAAAATCTAGGCAATACCATTCAGGACATAGGCATGGGCAAGGACTTCATGTCTAAAACACCAAAAGCAATGGCAACAAAAGCCAAAATTGACAAATGGGATCTAATTAACTAAAGAGCTTCTGCACAGCAAAAGAAACTGCCATCAGAGTGAACAGGCAACCTACAGAATGGGAGAAAATTTTTGCAATCTACTCATCTGACAAAGGCCTAATATCCAGAATCTACAATGAACTCAAACAAATTTACAAGAAAAAAAAACAAACAATCCCATCAAAAAGTGGGCGAAGGATATGAACAGACACATCTCAAAAGAAGATATTTATGCAGCCAACAGGCACATGAAAAAATGTTCATCATCACTGGCCATCAGAGAAATGCAAATCAAAACCACAGTGAGATACCATATCACACCAGTTAGAATAGCAATCATTAAAAAGTCAGGAAACAACAGGTGCTGGAAAGGATGTGGAGAAATAGGAACACTTTTACACTGTTGGTGGGACTGTAAACTAGTTCAACCATTGTGGAAGACAGTGTGGCAATTCCTCAAGGATCTAGAACTAGAAATACCATTTGACCCAGCCATCCCATTACTGGGTATATACCCAAAGGATTATAAATCATGCTGCTATAAAGGCACATACACGCATATGTTTATTGTGGCACTATTCACAATAGCGAAGACTTGGAATCAACCCATATGTCCATCAATGATAGACTAGATTAAGAAAATGAGGCATATATACACCATGGAATACTATGCAGCCATAAAAAAGGATAAGTTCATGTCCTTTGTAGGGACATGGATGAAGCTGGAAACCATAATTCTCAGCAAACTGTCACAAGAACAAAAAACGAAACACCGCATGTTCTCACTCATAGGTGGGAATTGAACAATGAGAACACTTGGACACAGGAAGGGGAACATCACACACCAGGGCCTGCCATGGGGTTGGGGGTGGAGGGAGGGGGGAGGGAAAGCATTAGGAGATATACCTAATGTAAATGATGAGTTAATGGGTGCAGCACACCAACATGACACATGTATACATATGTAACAAACCTGCACATTGTGCACAGGTACCCTAGAACTTAAAGTATAATAAAAAAATTAAAAAATAAAAAAAAATGCTTCTGCTATGTTGACTTTAGGCCCTAAAGTTTTCCACAGGAGAAAATTTTGGCTCTTTTAATAAGCAGTTTCTTCCAGTTCAAATAAAATGTTATAAAATCTCAGTAAAGGTTCTTCCTCAGAAAGAAAGAAAGAAATCATGACAATCTGGGTATGCATATTCCTAAGAAAATGAGTAGCCTCTTCTGTTGCTGATCTTGAATAATTAAGGTCAAATGTTGAAAGAGCTAAAGAAAGCAGCTTGAGACAGATTATTACAGGAGTAAGTGGCTCACACACTTAAGAACTGCACTCAGTCACATTCAAGATAAGGGTTTATCAACTAAGGAACTGCCCTTTCAACACCTGAAAGCACTTTGTATCAGAAAATTGTGGATTATATCCTGAGTGAAAAGTCAGGATAATTAAATATTGATTAATAGTAGTTGAGTTTAATGAGAAACACATCAGAAGTTGAGATATCAAAATTCACTTTCTGTTTTGCATGAGCTTGCCTCACAGCAAACTTTATGAATTTAGGTACAATCATTATAATCAATATTGTATTTTTTTATGAAAACTTCACATTACATAAATCTTATGCTATGTCTCATCTCTTAAAGCTCTTCATACCTGGAAGTCACTTTGTTTTCACAGTTTTTGCTAGGTACTGCCATTCTCTGGGAAGCATTTGTTTAGCCAGTCTTCCAGAAAAACATCTGTATACACCACACTGTATTCCAGCCCCCGTAGCTTCATTTCTGCTTTACTACATGGCAAAATGAGTCGACTGCAACCTCTGCTATAATACCCATTTCCCTGCTCATTCCTGATCATGCTGCACTCAGGCTTTTGCCCTCATTGTTCTATTTAAATGGCATTTTTTAAAAGAACACCAATGACCCAATGACCTCTTTGTTGCTAAAGCCAGTAGTCACTTCTCAGTGCTCATCTCATTTGACCGATGAGTGGCATTTGTCACAGAAAATGGATATCACACACTCATGTGTTTCCTTCTCCTTCTGTCACTGTTCTTTTCCCTATCATTTCTTACTCATTGATCTGAACTCTAAAAAGTTTAAATGCCTTGGTCTTTGTCCTTGGACTTTTTTTCTCCTTATCTTCTACTCACTCTCTTGGTGATCTTATTTAGTCTCGTGGCTTTAAATTCCACCTAAGTGGACAATTCCCAAATGTATATTCCCAGACCAGAAGTTGTTCCAGAATTTTTGACTCATGTAACCAACCACCTAACTGACATAAAGTGATGAGGGTATTTTAAAAGTGAAACAGAGCGTTAAAAAATAAAGGGGAAGATACTGCTCAGAAAGATGAAATAAATGTCAAAGTGATAGAAAGTATGAGAAAAGGAATAAAAAATTTTAGAATCTATTCAAGAAATTCCATAGTTTACTATTAGAAAATTTAGAAAGGGAGACTAAAGGAAAGGTAATAACAAAAAGGGAATGAATACAAATATTAATTTTCCATAATAAAACACCCTAGATCACTGTATAAAAAGGCCCACTGATGCATAGCAGAATAATTTTTTAAATCTATACTCATGCAAATCATTCTGAAATATCAAATATCTTGAGATGAAGAGGAGATGCTAAGTTCCCAGACAGAAAAACAGGGTAATATAAAAGAGCAGTCATTAAAATGGCATATGGAATTGCACTTTTCAAAACAGCAACACTGTAAGCTAGAAAATAATTCATTCAACAATGATTTACTGAGTGCTTGCTCTGAACCAGGTACTATTTAAGGTGCTGACAAGAAAGATGCCTTTGAAATTATGAGAGAAAATTATTTCTAACCTAAACCAAGATACTCAGGAAGACTAAAGTATATAAAAAAATAACTGTACCTCATATGAACTCTTGCTGAGCTACTGGAGCATGTGGACTGCTAAAATAAAGTTTGTAAACCAAGAAAGAAGATTCAGCCTTCAGGGGATATGGATTAAAGAACAGACTTCCAGGGTGATTGGAAGGGATGTCCCAGGACAAGAATGGTTGGGCTCCAGGAGAGATGTCATGGTGGTGGCGGGGAATGAAACTCACTGATAACCTACTGTGTTTCACTATTTTGAGAAAAGTTTCAGAATTCTATTAACTCTGAAAATTCAAATTAAAAGTGTTGGAAGTAGCAGCCTGAGAAGTGAGACTTGAGATGGGGTACTTTTATTGTTATAAGTTGTATATTAACATTTAACTCTTTCAAATATGGTCATTTATTACTCAATAAAATAGTTAAGTACATGTCTTTAAAAGAACAGAATTAGAATAAAAATATGTCAGTTAAGGCAAAAACACGATAGTATTTCTTCTTTTGTTTAATTAAAGCTAACTTAATTCCAACAAGATTGCCACAATCCCCTTTAAGGTAGTTTGAATAGATGAACATCAGTTTCCATACACAGTTAGGAAAGCAGATTGTGTAAGGTAAGGACTGAAACAAAGTTTATTGCCTCCATAAACAATTGCATCAGGCTATGCAGCCTATATTTTCTTAAGAATGAAGATAACATATTCTTTATCAAAGCAAACCAAAACAGACTATAAATTATATATGTTTCTTGGTTCACAGAGAACTACAATTCATCTGGAACCAAGCAGGAATGGAGCTCTATAAAGACTCACTAAGTCACTGTAAATTATAGACAGAGGAATTTTTCCACCGTGGTGCAGCCTTCTTTCTGGTCAGTTCCTTTCCTAGATTTTGAAATGCAAGGCATCCAACTGACTATCGTATACCCAAAACACTTTTTTATGTATTCCCAATAAATAAAAGTCAGTGGAAATAATTAGAACCACGGTGAAAACAGGGAAATTGTTCAATTTAGTTAAAGTTAGAATGGTATTGTCGGGGTACAAATTTCCCAGGTACATGTAGTGGGAGTCCAATGTCTGTAGCATTGACATGTTGATAAGAACATAAAACACTGACATTCAGAATATGAATACCTTTTCACCCAAAGAAACCTGAATTCAAAGATGGTTAACCACAGAAGTGAAAATATCTTGGGTGGTCTAACTCTAGATATTTGTTCTTAGCGTATTTGGTCAAAGCACAAAACCACTAAAGAGTCTGGTATGATGTATGGTCTCTTCCTAGAAGATGCTTGGGGTTAAACAGGTTGTTGTTAGTCAGACATGGGTGAAGTAATTGTGGCAAGAAGCTTGTGGAGAGGTTTATCAGGGGCCAGGTCATAACCAGCCCTTTCTCCCAGAGGAAGGATCATTAATAGGGGCCAGCTTCCTTCAAAAAGCCCTACTTTTTCCTGATCTCACCTACTAAGTAAACTAAAATTCCTGGACATTATATTACAAACCACATTAAGAAGACTCTGAAACATGGAGAGAGGAAGACAGGCCAGGACTCAAAGAATGACACAGTGGCCTCGTATATCCAAGACTAGGAGCTGAACAAGATGTTAACCTGGAAACACCAATGAGTGCAGACAATAAAAAGCCCCAAGGAAAGCTTGCTTCTCTATCCAAAGGGCCAGGAAATAGGTAGCCGAGCAAGATGGATAAAAATCCACAACAAATAAAATAAAAAATAAAGCCACAATTTCATTCCTACCAACATCAAGAAAGGCTGTTTAGAAAGTTTAGACTTCCACCCTCTTCAAGATATAACAAGGTGTCCCATCCCCATTTTCCCCTCCCCTTTCTATTCAGAGAAGGCTGAATGGAAAGTTGGAATTTTCATCACCACCAGGCTGCACCCCAACCCTGTGGTGTCAGTGGCAGCCAAGTGAGTAGTAGCAGGAATGACCCCTAAGGATGCCCCTTCTCCTCTCAGCTTAGGAGGTATTGGTGGATGCCTATGGGGAGTTGCAACGCCCATGTCTGCACAGTGGAAATGAGGAATCTCCCACCTTAGGTGTTAACTGAGACCAATAGGAACCTGGAATTCTACTCCCATCTGGCAGTGATGACGTGGGATATCCCATTTCACATCCCCTGCTGGAGCCATATCATAAACACCCAGCTAAACCAGAAGGTTTAAATAGGAGCCATATCAGAAATAGCCAGCTAAACCAGGAGGTTTAAATAAGATCCAGAGTTTCACAGCATCATACCCAAAATATCCAGGTTTCTTTCCTTTTTTTTTTTTTTTCTGACATGGAGTCTTGCTCTGTCCCCCAGGCTGGAGTGCAGTGGCGCGATCTAGGCTCACTGCAACCTCCGCCTCCCAGGTTCAAGCAATTCTCCTGCCTCAGCCTCCTGAGTAGCTAGGATTATAGGCATGTGCTACCACAACCAGCTAATTTTTGTATTTTTAGTAGAGACGGGGTTTCACCATGTTGGCCAAGATGGTTTCTATCTCTTGACCTCGTGATCTGCCCGCCTCGGCCTCCCAAAGTGCTGGGATTACAGGCGTGAGCCACTGCACCCGGCCTCCAGGTTTCTTTTTTTTTTTTTGAGATGGAGTCTCACTCCGTCACCCAGGCTGAAGTGCAGTGATGCCATCTTGGCTCACTGCAACCTCTGCCTCCTGGGTTCAAGTGACTCTCAAACCTTAACCTCCCAAGTAGCTGGGACTACAGGCACGTGCCACCGTATTTTTAGTAGACATGGGGTTTCACCACGTTGGCCATGCTGGTCTCAAACTCCCGACCTCAAGTGACCCAGTTGCCTTGGCCTCCCAGAGTGCTGGGATTATAGGTATGAGCCACCATACTCGTCCAGCTTTCAATAAAAAAATCATTCATCATACCAAGAACCAGAGAGATACCAAACTGAATAAACAATCAACAGAAGTGTGTGCACTAAACAACAGAACTGCAAGTTATACAAAACAAAATATGATAGAACTGAAAGGAGACATAAGTAAATCCATAATTAGAATTGGAGAGTTTAACACTATTCTGTCAACAGATAGAATAACTAGACAGAAAATTGGCAAGAATATGTAAGAACTCAATAACACCATTATCCAACAGGATCTAATCAACACTTAGAGACCACTCCACTCAACAGCAGAATGCTCATTCCTTTCAAGAGCCCACAGTACATATTCCAAGAAAACTATATCCTCGGCCACAAAACAAACCTCAGTACATTTAAAGGCATCGGAATCATACATATATTATTCAACCACAATATAATCAAATTAGAAATGAGTTAACAAAAAGATAACAGGAAGATCTCCAAACACTTGGAAACTAAAAAGACACTTCTAAATAATCTATGAGTGAAAGAGGGAGTATCAGAAGAATGAAATATAGATTGAATTGAATGAAAATGAAAATACAATACATCAAAAATTGTGGGACACAGCAAAAGCAGTGCTGAATGGAAATTTGTAGCACTAAGTGCATACATTTGAAAACATAAAAAAACTCAAATAAACAATAATGACATGATTAACTATATAGAAAGTCTCAAGATATCTCCCAACCATAGGTGTTAATCTAACAAAACATGTACCATACTTGTATGATGAAAACACAAAATGTTCATAAATCAAAGAATATCTACATAAATGGAAAAACATATTGTGTTCACGGATTGGAAGTTAAACATATTAAAGATGTCAATTCTTACTAAATTAATATGCAGCTTTAATTCATTTCCTATCCAAATCCCAACAATAATTTTGTATACACAGTTGCCTCTTGAACAGAAGTTTGAACAAGACAGGTCCACTTATCCACAGATTATCTTCCACTTCTGCCACCCTAACACAGCAAAACTAACTCCTCCTCTTCCTTTTTCTCCTCCTCAGTCAACTCAACATGAAGAGGATGAGGATGAAGACCTCGATGATGTTCCACCTCCACTTAATAAATAGTAAATATACTTTCTCTTCATTATGATTTTCTTAATAACATTTTATTTTCTCTAGATGATTTTATTGTAAGAATACAGTATAGGCTGAGTGTGGCTCACATCTGTAATCCCAGCACTTTGGGAGGCCAAGGTGGGTGGATCACATGAGGTCAGGAGTTCAAGACCAGCCTGGCCAACATGGTGAACCCATCTCTGCAAAAAATACAAAATTAGTCAGGCACGATGGTGGGCGCCTGTAATCCCAGCTACTCAGGAGGCTGAGGCAGGAGAATCACTTGAACCCGGAGGTGGAGGTTGCAGTGAGCCAAGATCACACCATTGCACTCCAGCCTGGGTGACAGAGTGAGATTCTGTCTCAGAAAAAAAAATACAGTATATAATTCATATAACGTACAAAATATATTGTAATAGACTGTTTATGTTATCAGGAAGGCTTCTGGTCAATAGTAGCCTACTCAGTGGTTAAGTTTTTGGGGAGTCATGAATTTTCGACTGCATGAGGGCTCAGTCCCCCAACCTCCACATTGTTCAGGGTACAACTGTATAGATAAGTTTATTCTAAAATTTATATAGAAAGGCAAAATAACTAGAAGAGTTAGTTATGAAATAAAAAGGACAGTCATAGAAATCAATCTACCTGACTTCAAGGCTCATTAAGTAGCTATAGTAATTAAGACTGGTATTTGGCAGAGGAATAAACGTAAAATCAGTGGAATATAATAGAGAACCTAGAAATAGATCCACACAAACATGCCCAACTGATTTTTGGCAATGATGCAAAATTCAGTTCCATGAAGGAAAGACATTTTTTTCAACAAATGAAGCTGGAGAAAATGGGCATCCATGGTCAATGGGGAAAAAAAAAAAGAAAAAAACCACCCACAACGTTGACCTAAGTCATATACCTTATACAAAAATTAACTAGCACTGGATCATACACTTGGATTGAAATGTAAAGTGTAAAACTATTAAGCCTCTAGGGAAAAACAAAGGAAGACATACTACATAACATACAATGCTCCTCTGCAATAAAAAGGAACAAACTATTGGTACGCACAATAACCTGGATGAATATCAGAATTAGGCAAAGTGAAAAAAGCCATTTCCAAAAGGTCACACATACTGAATGGTTTCACTTATATAACATCCTTAAAATAAAAAAATTACAGAAATAAAGAAGAAATTAGTGATTTTAAAGAGTTAAGGAGAGCTGGATGCAGGAAGAAGGGGGTGTGGCTGTAAAAAGGCAAAATGAGGGATCCTTGTGGCAATGGAGATGTTCTGTGTCTTGATTGTATCGATATCAATATTCTGGTTGCAATATTATACTGTAGTTTCACGAAATGTTAATATTGGTGGAAACTAAGTCATGGTTAAATGGGATCTGATATGGTTTGGCTGTGTCCCCACCAAAATCTGATCTTGAATTGTAGCTCCCATAATCCTCACATGTCATGAGAGGGAACTGGTGGGAGGTAATTGAATCATGGGGATGAGTTTTTCCTGTGCAGTTCTCATGATAGTGAATAAATCTCAAGAGATCTGATGGTTTTATAAAGGGCAGTTCCCCTGCACACACTCTCTTGACTGCTGCCATGTAAGACATGCCTTTGCTCTTCCTTCACCTTCTGAGGCCTCCCCCGCCACGTGGAACTATAAGTCCATTAAATCTCTTTTTCTTTATAAATTACCCAGTCTCAGGTGTGTCTTTATTAGCAGCATGAGAACAGACTAATACAGGATCCCTCTATATTATTTCTTATAACTTCATGTGAATCTATAATTATCTCAAAATTTTAAATGTAAAAAAAGAAAACTAAAAATGAACTTCCTTCCCACATACCCAAATGAAGAATTTGACAAACCAAAATAATATTCCTAAGTAACAGTGTACTCAGTTTTTTCCCCCTTTCTTTGTTCCCCATACCTCCCACAGTCCTTACCTTGCCTCATTTTTTAGGAATGATTTTTTAGGTAATGGTTAGTATATATGTTCAATGATGTATGCATTAAACAGCTTCCCTTACATCATCTTTCTCTCCAGCTATTTCTGCCACACCATCCCAGACATTGTTCATTTCATCAAATTATAACTTATTAGTACTTCCCTCACCTCCCACCATACATGACAGCCTTCAAACTGGCACCTTCATCTTTGTCTAGCAAACCAACTTTTCCACCCTCTTAGTTTGATTTTTATTTTCTAACCACAGGGTTGCTTATCTTCCACTCCTGATTAAAATATCATTCTCATACTCCAAATCTTCATGCTCCTTTCTTAGATTTCTTAGATTTTTCTCTTTATTTTGAATATTTGTTTTCTTTTTCTTTTTCTTTCTTTTTTTTGAGACAGAGTCTCACTCTATTGCCCAGGCTAGAGTGTAGTGGTGTGATCTCAGCTCACTGCAACCTCTGCCTCCTGGGTTCAAGTGATTCTCCTGCCTCAGCCTCCCAAGTAGCTGGGATTACAGGTGCCCACCACCACACCTGGCTAATTTTGTATTTTTAGTAGAGATGGGGTTTCACCATGTTGGCCAGGATGGTCTTGAACTCCCGGCCTCAGGTGATCCACCCACCTCAGGCTCCCAAAGGGCTGGGATTACAGGCGTGAGCCACCAGGCCCAGCTGGAACATTTGTTAAATTACACAAGTAATACATAGATAGCACCTGTTCGTGACTCATAGAATATAGAAGTACTCAGAGAAAATTGTAACATTGATACCTGGAGTAATTGTTTCTTTTCAGAATTTTTTGATTATTTTATGCATTTTTTCATATAAACTTAAAAATGAGCTTGTCATTGTACATGAAAAATCCTGTTAAAATTTTGATTGAGTTACATTGACTTTGGTGATTGCTTTCTCAAGAATTAACACCTTCATGATTTGAATCTTCTATAGATCATGATATGCTAATCTTTTTTTAGATACTTATAGTCTAATATAATCAGACTAACACTGATTTTCATGTGTCAGTCTTCTATTCAGTCACCGTTCTGAATTGTCTTATTAGTTCTAGTAGTTTTTCCATTATTTTTCTTGCATTTTCTCAGTATAAAACTATATTGCTTACAAATGATATCATTTTTTCTTCCATTCAGATATATGTGTGTATATCTGTATGTGTATATGTGTGTGCACACATACACCTATACCTGAATATACATATGTGTGTATGTGTATATATATATATGTATGTGTGTGTGTGTGTGTGTATATATATATATATATATATGTGATGGTTAATACTCTCAACTTGATTGGATGCAAAGTATTGATCCTGGGTGTGTCTGTGAGGGTGCTGCCAAAAGAGATTAACATTTGAGTCAGTGGGCTCAGGAAGGCAGATCCACCCTTAATCTGGTGGACACAATCTAATCAGTTGCTAGCAAATATAAAGCAGGCAGAAAAATGTGAAAAAGAGTGATGGGCCTAGCCTCCCAGTCTACATCTTTCTCCATGCTGGATGCCTCCTGCCCTCGAACATCGGACTCCAAGTTCTTCAGTTTTGGGACTCAGACTGGCTCTCCTTCCTCCTCAGCTTGCAGACAGCCTATTGTGGAACCTTCTGATAGTGTAAGTTAATACTTAGGAAACTCCCCTTTATATATACATATATATATATATATATATATATATATATATATATTTATATATAAAATATCCACATTTCTGATACACACACACTTTTTTATGGTATGTAACTTGCATTTTTCTTGTATTTTTCTTAACTCACTGTATCACTGAGGTCCTTCAGTGGCATATTAGATGTGATGTTGACAGTGGGCATTCTTATTTTTTCCAGAGTTTTACTTCACTGGACTTAATAGAAAAACAAATTGGGTTTTTATTCACTATTTTTCACATATTATCTATTGGATTAATTTCCTTCACTATTTTTCAAATATTATCTATTGGATTAATTTCCACATTTATTTTTATTATTTTATTCCTTTTATTTTTATTTTATTTTTTATTCACTTTTCAGCTTTTTACATTTATACTTAGGTCATTCACTTTATCATATTTATACGCATATAAAGATCTATGTATTATTTAGACATCTTCTTAAGAACTGCATGTTAAAACATGTTAATTAATGCTTGGGTTATATTCTAGTCTGAATCATCTTGGGCATAGGGGTGGCACTGTCACTTGGTCTAGCCTGGGTCCTGTCCCCACCCTTTGTTTGGATGGGAGGAGTTCATGGAGTACATGCTAATGTGACTCCGCCATGCTGGTTTAATATCTGCCAACAGAAAGACCTATTTTAGTTGTGCTACATGCACTCACTGCTTTGATTTTAGACAGGCCAGTGTGGACCAAAGATTGTCTCTTTCTTACAGAGCCACGAGGCCTGTCTAAGAGTTGTTGGTCCCAATAATTAAAGTTAGCATGACAAAGGTATGAAGTCAGGAACTAGAGAGGAAGATAGAGTAAGGAAGATTCGGAAAAGAAGGACAACAATGTTCCCATTTTCTCCCAAACCCTTCCTGCTTGGCATCCCTTGCTTGTTTAATGGGGTTATGAATTACACCAAGTTTTCAAGATAAGAGAAGATAAGCCTGGATAAACTCTGTGATGCAGGGAACCAAAGAAATACCCATTACTTTTCATTTTCATCACAAATCTAAGTTGTGATGAGCTTCACAGAACCTGAGAGTTCCCATAGAGTAAATGAACAGGACTCAGGTTAAGAATCATTGTCCTTGGCTGAGAAAAAAACAAAACAAAATAAACTTCTTATTTCCATTTAGGTACAGTTGTCTTACACCCAAACTGGCACTTTTCTAGGTGTAGCCTCTGACCTTTGTGACAGCTTAGAGGTCAGGAAATTCTTTAGGGATCCTCAAAAAAGATAGAATTATTTTTTATTGAAAAACACACACAAAATCAAAACAGAAGACCAAAGATGAAGATCAACATGGTGTCAAACCAGATTTCTATCAACTCCTTATTTAGAAAAAATGTAAGCCTAGGAATATTTTGTTTTTGAAATAGAGCCATCCCCTTAGCAGTGAAGAAACATTGAAAAAATTGGCCTCTGCTATCAAGGATGGAATTTGGATTGTAGGTCTGCTCTGATGTCATCATTTTAGAGGATGAGTAAAAGGAATCATAAGGATATATCTTTCAACCTATTATAAGACGTGATTAGGAGGTTTAAGGTAAGATTCTGGAACCTCTTGGGGAATTATTGATTTGGAATTTCCCATATACAGTAAACAAATATGCAGTGTTTCCCTCTTGTCTCTATTCATCATTATCTTCAGCTGGGTTTTACTGACGATCTAACAAAATGGGGATTATCTAGATCAATTTCAGGTGAAAGTAGTGGATTTTATAACTAAGTCTTTCAAAACCTTAAACAATAGCATCTAAATGCCTATGTGGGAAAGAAAAAAAAGTCACAAGAATTCTAGAATCCTAAATGACTCTACTAGACTCCTAAATTCTATCACAAGGCATCCTATGTACTTAAAAGTGAATCCTGAATGTGAACTGCCATAGTCCCTGTTACACCTAAAAGACTTTGGGCAGCTTCACCCCAGGTCTGTTGCTAAGATAGGTGGGGAAATTTGAAACCTGAAAGATTAGACAGGAAGTAGCTAGTACACGTGCCCAAGGGAAGTTTTCTCCCCAATGTCTATCTGAGGAACTGAGCTGGACAAGAGACCTCTCTATGGCAGTAATGATTAAAGACAATGAACTAAAAGTGGATCAGAACAAGATTTTGTTTTCCCACCTGTACCTGACAACTGTTAAATGACCTCAAAAGCCCAAAAAGGAGACTTGAGTAAAGCAGCTTCCACCATGAAACTTTTCTTCAGACACCCAGGCCTGTGAGTCCCCAGCATTCTCCCGCTATGGCATGGTAACTTCAGGACACACAGCAGAGTTTATAAATACCTTTCCCTGTCCCTGTGTCTGTTTGTAAGCAAAAATATAATGACAAACAGAGGGATACATGGACTGTTTCTCAGCATAACATAACCATAAAATAATGAGACTTTCTCCTAATTGCATTATGAGTGGGTCTTCTCTGCCAGCTGACTTACATACAATTAAGCTTCTTGCTGAAAAATGCCAATAAATATGCAATTCATGAATAGCCTAGCTAAAAAGTCTGGTGAGAGCCATGACTTCTTACTGGCGAAGGCCAGGAAACTGCAAAGACAATAAACTTTGGCGTCTGCTCCAGGCTAACTGGCTATGGCCAAGGCGCAGTGTTCACATGTCACCTGGGTCTCTGCCAGGCTATTAGTCATTACACATTCTGCCCCAGTGGTGCATTAGAAATGGTGTGGACTCTGAATATGCTTAGAGGGAAGAAAAAAGAAACACTAGTTTATGTTCGGTTAGGTTAAAATTTTTGGCTTTTTCCCTTCCTGGGAAAGTTAGACTTCACACAAAAACTGAAATCTTTGTTCGCCAGTCTTCGAAGGCTTTTTTCCTGTAAAAGTACACAATGGTTGTTAACTGCTCTAGAAAAAAGATTTCAGTTAAAGAAAACAGGAAAGTTAGCACAATGAAAATGGTAGATGTCATTAACAGAACAATTTTCACCCACTCAAACAATCAACTTACCTATTTGTTTTTCGTATCCATCTCTGTACCTTCAAGAGTTTTTCCTATTAGCCCCGCTGCCAGTTACAACCATAATATGCCTCTCTGGGTACTATCTGCTGTGTCGTTGGCCAAAGGATCTTGGGATTGCATTTTTAAGGACAATATCTTTCTCTAAGTAGTAAACCACAGAGATTAATAGCATCTCAACCCCAGACACAATAATAAAAAGCAGCTGACCATTTCTTTAAAACATGCCATTGGGTTTGATCTCCAAACAATAGCTTCACTTGCCTAACAATCAGAGCAGTTAAGTTTAGATATCTACAAAATCAACCATATTTATACTGATCATTACAATTACCACTTAATTAGTAAGTAGAATCATCAAGCAAATATAAATTTGCAAACAAAATTTGATGTGATTTTTGTTACATGTGGTAAACAGAAATTTGTCAACTACCAGTGACAGACACACATTTTGAACTATGTTTTCACAGAAATAGGACATTATTTTTTCCTAATGTGACTAAAATTTAGTATACTAACTTCGAGCACAGCAGATCCAAGGACTAAAATAATGTCTCAACCCAGTTTCTGTTTACAGGTTATTTCTTCTGACAGAAACAGAGCTTTTTATTAATTGAAAAGACAACATACATTTCCTGCTTATGTCTTTTGTGATTCTTAAAATTTTCAATGCCACAGAAAAAGAGGCATCCGTGGGTCCCCAGCATCCATGTAACAAATTTTGAGGAGGATTCTTAATGTCTGCCTTCAGCCGTATTCTCTTCTGAAAATGAATCAATTTGCGCATAGGGATGGCACTGTCACTTGGTCTAGTCGGGGTGCTGTGCCCACCCTTTATTTGGATGGGAGGAGTTTATGGAATACATGCTAATGTGACTCCATCATCCTGGTTTAATATCTGCCAACAGTAAGACCTATTTCAGTAGTGCTATATGCTCTCATGCTCTCACTGCTTTGATTTTAGATAGGCCAGTTTGGACCAAAGATTGTCTCTTTCTTACAGAACCAACAAGGCCTGTCTAAAAGTAATTGATCTCAATAATTAAAGTTAGTGTGACAAAGGTATTGAGTCAGGAACTAGAGAGGGAGATAGATTCAGGAAGATTTGGAAAAGAAGGACAACCCCTATCCCATCTTCTCCCAAACTCTTCCTGCTTGACATCTCTTGCTTGTCAATGGCAATAATGATTTCCACCTTAGGAAGCTCTCAACTAGCTTACAGACTGGGACAAAGAGTAGATATGTAGGGAGGGGAGTATAATAAGCAGCTCTGCCATGTCTACATGGCATTAGGATAAGGGAGAGGAATGTTGGACATGCCAAACAAGGCACATTGTTAATAAAAATCAGTATGATCACCAAACAACGGCAAGTACTGTACGCCTTTTACCTACACCTGAATGTGATCTTCTCCTAAGTATTAATTTAGCTCAGCCTAGAAACTAAAGCATTTAGTTCAATTATACATTATCTACCTTTCATGTGAAGTGATATATGAGGACCTCAAAATCTGATTAAAGACATTGTAGAGATGCTCATTTTATTCTACATGATATCATTTTATATAATGAATGTTAGTACCAGTAAGTGACCTCAAAACAGATATAATAAATGAAGAGAAAATAGCCATCTAATTGTATGTTATACACTTTATGGACAAATACTTAGCCTCAAAGAGAGAGTCTAAACCTATATATAAATGATAAAATGCTCACTCATTGTTTTCATAATTTTACAGTTGAAACCAGATTGTTTAGATATCTTTATATTAAAATTAGTAAGAATTAACCTGTATGGAAGTTTAAAAAAATCCACCAACAATCTAATAACATCAGAATCTAAATCAAATACTTTCACAATATGAAGCAGATGTTTAATCCATGAAGCCATTCCATATGGGGTTTTACATGTTATTTGAGCCACCAGACTCTCCCTAGGTTTTTCTACTGAAAGCAACTTAAATATTGAGAATTGATATTTTAAAATGCAATATGTAATGAAGTTAAAAGAAAGGCATAGGGCCAATTTTTAAATAATTCTGCAAATTTTATGCTCTCTCATCAGAAAAAAGATTCATTTTCAATTTTCTATAAATAAACATGTACTCTTTCTCTTTTATCAAAGGAACATTATGATTTTCAGGTGGATAAACCAAAAAATAATAAGAAGAAAAAGTCTTAATTTAGTGTTCTCAAAAAAATAGCACCAATTTTCATGGAATTTAACCTTATATAAACTGCCCCCTCACTTAATACCACTATCCCCATTCAGCTCAGTTGTCTGCCTCACATTACCCTGTAAAAACCCCTGAGTTTCAAGAAAACAAATAACTATATGAATTATTTCATGCACCAACAAAAACCTAAGTAAATATATTTTGCAATTCTATTTCCTGACTTCAGAAATTTATCTTGTCATATTCTTGTTTTTTTATACCAGCGTTATTTGTTTTCAGCATCATCTGCAAAGTCCAAGCATTTGTTTTAGAGACGCCCAAGTTTGGGTAAGAAGTTTGGGTAAGTCTGGGTAAGAAGAGTAACAAGTAAACAAACAGTGTATACATAGGAATTATACATAGTCAACTTCATCTCCATTATGTAAGTGGATGTCATACCAGCGTATCTCAAGCTACCGATGCTGATATTTGTGGTAGCAATTAGAAAACATGTTGGAAAATATGGCCCAGCATAAGCTATAAAGAATGAAGAAAAAGTAGTACAAGGAGAGAATTAATGTGGTTTTAATGACAGTTATGTGCAAGGAACTACAGAAACAAGTTTTTATAGTGAAAAGAAATATACCAAATAAATACTCTTTTTTCAGTCTTCATAGAATCTTTATCCGTTTCTACCACTTCTTTTAGGTCAGGCTTAATTTATTTCAAATCTTGAATTTATGAGATAGAACCAATTTACTGACTTATATTTATATCCTGAACTTATAATCCCATCTATTCATTTCTCATTTTGTATGTCTATCTATTTAGAGAATTTATACTTGGAAACAAGGAATTGAATTCTCAGTTTCCTAGGATGTAAAATTAATTTTCAAACACACATGTAAATGGTTTGACTCAAAAACAGATACAAAGTCATACAGCTAATCAATAAGATTCTAAATATTATAAATTTAGGTACCCCAAAGTGTCTTAAATGCATTCAGTTTTATTTATGGCTACATAAATAAGAATAAGAGTAAATCTACAGTTTAATGATTACACACACAGGTTATGACATACAGGAGGCCATAATCCCCTAATAAACCCTAATGGGGTTCTCCATTTTTTTAAAGAAAATGTTTCATATTGTATTTTGGGGAAGGGAAACCCAGTGAATTAAAATCAGCTCTCAGAGATCTTTTGCTAACTCTGAACCATTTGTTGCTCCTGCCCTCTGTTAGCCTCTAGAAGAGCTTTAGCGGCTCCAAGGGAAGTTTATTCAACTGCTTCTCATCACATCCACCCACACAGATTTACATGCAAAGAGCTCAGGATGTTCAAAAATGTGGACATTGAAAACAGAAAGAAAGAAAGAGGAGGGGAAAAGAGCGAGAAAAACATTTTTGAAATGTGTCCCTTCCAACCCATTTGTAATAACTGCAGCCCTTTAACCAGGTCATTTTATTGAAATCATTAGCTGTTACTAAGAAGTTTTGTCGTCATCATCGGAATATGCTGAGCTCACCAGGACACCTCATGCTTTTCAAAGCAAAGAAAGAGGCAGGAAATAACTGCTATTCCTTTTTTTTTTCCTGAAATACGATGATAAATTAAGGTGACTGTAGGAACAAAAGGGGTCTCCAGTGAGGTCAGTCTCTTAGAACTCATTGTAGTGGTACTTCTTTGTTGCTGTTGCCCACCTTAGAGGGATTCTAGGCACCATTTGTTTGCATCTCCATTTATATCTGAGCCTAATCTTAAATCTACTACTCTCCTATTTCAGCATTTTGGCATGATGGGTTTTTTCAGGGTTGGCCTGGGTCTGCTTGTTCGTTCATTCCTGGGAGAAGAAAAAAAACTTAAAACGTATAAAATTTAACAGAAAACCCATACAATTAGAAGATGCTGGATCAGGATCTTCTATCTTTGTGGTGCTTGTCTTGCCCATAGATTTCTTTTGAGAGGGACTGCCACCTCCACTGTCCCTGCCAAAGGAAGCATATCATAAAATATCTTAGATAAAAGTGGTTGTGCTCTAATTATGTTTGTAGGCCCTCTGGTAAGAGACACTGGCTAGGGAGAGTTTATAATGGAGCAATAATCTATCTAAAGGCAGACAAGCAGCTTGTGAGGCAGCCTAGCATTGGAGTGTCACTCAACAGCTACTACAGGAATCTCTCAGGAATTAGAATTGAGAACTCTGAGAAAGAGTCAGTGAGTAGGGAAATTCAGGAGTCAACTAGGAAACTGAAAGAGGAAGAATAAACATAAAGTAGAGATGAAAAGAATGGCTGATTCTCATTGGCTAATAAGAGAGCCAAAATAATAACAACTTATTGAAAAAGCAGCACTGGATTCCTGAATGGCCTTCCATTTCTTAAAGTGTTTTCTGGACATCAGTCCTCCTCTTCCTCTAAAAGGCACCCAGGCTGGTGTCCAACATTAGCCAAATTTAAGTACCTAAAAGCAGGTTTACCCAGATTTCTGTGAGGCCCAAACACCATGACTGAGAAACCTATTTTTCTCATTTTCCCGTAAATCTGTATAATAAAACTCCCCTTACTTGAAGTACTTTGAGTAGTTTCTGTTATTTGCAACCGAAGAATGTAACATCAGGGGTCAGTAACAATATTATCATTTAAATCTGGGGGATTTTATAAACTCATGTAAAGTGAAATTGATAACTAAGGACCTTGTCCACATAACTATGGGACAACTAAAATTTTAACAATGTATTTATGTATCTAATGTGTCAGTTTCCCTTTCACTTTTGATGATTCATCCAGTTGCTCTTACTAGAAAGTAAGGTGTTGTCTTTGATCTCTCATTTCCTCTCACTTCAGAGAGCCACCAAAACCTGATGATTCTGCCTTCCAATTACATCTGAAATCTATTCACCACCCCTCAAACCCTACAGCTTCTTTGCGCTGTCCCATTTCAAGGCATCTGTGTTCCTGATTTCAGTCTGTGGAAAATACCTTCTGACCACCAGGATGTTTCTTACTGAAATTCTTGCTACTTTCCAATACATTCATTTAAGCCAGTTCTATGTTCAAAACTCTTCAATGTCATCTCATTTCTCTTAGGATAAGGGCAAAATCTCTTAAAGACTAAAATCTGGCCCCTGTGTATCACTCCAGCCTTTGACTACAAACTGCCTTATTTCTGTTCCCCAATTATATACTGTTCTCTTTCTCGCTCAAAGTATTTTTCCCATCCTATCACCTCAGCTGAAACAGTTTCTCCCACCCCACTGCCTCCACTCACACTCCGTTCACCTGGCTTAATTCTTAGTTGTAATGGCAATGTAAGATTCCCTGTTTAAAATTCACTTCTTCAGATAAACTTGCCCTGACACTGCCTTATAGATCAGGCTCTCTTGTGTAATTTCAATCATCCCATATCATACATCCGTAACACTTACATTTGTGATGACTCCAAATGATTTAGTCTTTTAGGGTTACCCTTTTTTCACATGTATTACATAACTAGAATTTAGTTCCTAACTTTCAAAATTGTGTAAAAATTTTGAGATATAATCCTCTAAAAATCTCAAATATGTTTGGCATGTTTGAATGTAAAATATAGGCTAAGTAACACTCCCAAAATTGACTTTGTGGATCTTGAGGGCCTCAATAATCTTTCCTTTAATAATGAATAATATGATTTTATAGGTTTTTAAATTCTATATATTTATAAGAGTTGCAAAATTTACATTCTTTGAATTTTGTCATAACACCATGCATGTGAGACTTAGTCAAGGAGTTGGGGAGAATTTCAAATATTCAGAAATTTTAAGTGTCTGAGATTAATTTTCCATTTCTGGTAGACATGTAGTAAATATATATATATATAGAAAATGCCACCCCAATGATGGGCAAATCTCATGTCCTCATTAGTAAGACTTTCCCTAAGAATTTTGAGACAAAATAAAAGATTATTGGAGGGGCAACAACTATTTGAAGGGAAGTCAAGAAAGGCTCTTTCTGAGGCAAAAAAAAGAGCAATATCTAATTAAAAGCACAGAGGGGTATACACTTCTCAAGGGCACTGAGATTGGTGTCCAACATGAGCAATGTTTTAAGTACCTAAAGAGGAGGTACCATCCTTCGGTTTAACTGAGTCCAAAAGAAAGCTGGGTCCATAAAAGTGCCAACTCAGATGGGTCTTTTCAAAGGCAGTTGAAGTCTAACACAATGATAATGGACTGCCAAGTGGGAGACAAATGTCATGTGCATTAAGGCAGAAAAAAGTTCCAAGTAGATGCCTGAAGGCTGTTACTATAATTGGACGCTGAGTGGGAAAAGTAAGATTCACATTTCAATGGTAAGATCCTTTTCCTTTACTCTGTATGATGTGTTCTGGAATTTCTGACTGGCTAATTTTCCTCGTGAGTATTTCCCAGCATCTTGCCGTGTTGTTAGATGTCTCATGCTGTCTCCTTTTCTCTCTTGGGTCCCTAAACTGCTCTTTCCCCATCTGCCCCACAAAATTTGAAATTGTTCTAACTTTAATATGTCAGGGAAGTTATTTCTAATTTTGGATCTACCTAGTTCATCTTAGCTATGTCATATGAATCCCCTGTTTGATCCCCAGAAAAAACATCAGGACAATTTCCTAAATAACAACAGTTATCTTCCAAAGAGTAACAAGCTTTCTATCAACACTTCTTTGTCCTTGTTGCTATAGTTATATTATTCTTTGTTTCTTTAATGTCTCTTTTCTCAGCTAGACTATATAAACTCTGTGTGGGCAAAGGCCATGTCTGTTTTCTTCTTTTCTGAATCATTTAAAGTGATGAGAAGAAAATAAAAGCCCAATATATATTTCTTTGAATAAATTAATATGCATTGATACATCTTAGCACAGATTGAAAGGTAATGCTGATACTTTCCTGCACACCCTACCACCCCCAAAATGATCTGTCTTTTAGGATTTAAGTACTAATCACAATGACAATCCTCCTTTTGCTTGTAGAGTATGTTGGGATGATGCTTAGGACTAGACTGAAAATGGGAAAATGGCTAGTCAGCAGACCTGGATCTGGCTCCGTGAAATTCCCTATGGCCTCACTCACTGCCTGCACCCTGGAGCAGAGTTAAAGGAATCACAATGGTAGTAGAGAAGCTAGATAAACTGAGAAGAATCTCATAATTAAGCAGAAGATGCTCGCAGGGATGTAATGAACACTAATGTACTTACGAATGCAATGCATAATATCAGCTGTCCTATAGTCAGGACTAGCGGTCAGGATTGCCAAACCTCACAGCACTCCGTCATCGGTCAGCTTATCAACCAAAACCACAAACCACTACAAATGTGAATTCTCAGTAGCACTGTACATACGAGGAAACAAAGCTCAGCTATTATAAAACTTATCAAAGATCTAGCTGATAACCAGGAGACCCAGAATCTGAGCCCAGGTAGGTCTGATCCTTTTCCTTCTTTCTCATGCTCTCAATGACGTTTCCACTATGGTCAGAAAATATGGAAACTTTTTTTTTTTAACAACATCCTTTTGACCAAGGGAAATACCACCAAGTATTTCCTTCAAATTAGTCTCTGCAGTTTATTGTAAAGAGCTTTCTGATCCAAAAGTTTGTTCACAATCAAATGAGTGGACAAAATTGTTTGCTAAACTAACATGTGTCCTTGTTGCTTATTATCATGTTTTGCAAACACACTGCAGCTCCCTTGAGAAGGTTTCTTTTTAATATTATTATTTTTAAATGGTACATTGTAATTATATATATTTATGGAATATAATTTTGTGTTCTCACCACAAAGAATTGATAAATGCATGAGGTGATGGACAATGTACACACCCTGATTTGACCATTACACAACATATACATGTATTGAAACATCAGATTTTACCCTGAGAAGCCTTCTCATCAAGTGTCTTCTCAACATTGAGGATACCATGAGTTTAGATGAATAAGCATTTTTTTAATCAGAGAAACAAAAATGATGAAATGATTTATTTAAGTTTGATGTAAACACTTGAAATGGAGGGTTGAAACCATTCTATAAATAACTTTAAAATAGATAAAACCTTATTTTCCTCAATTATCTAAATATTTAGGTTAAAGTGGGGTTTTAAAAAATTTATTTACTATATCTAGAGATTTTCCCATCTGCCCATTTTATTCATCGGAACTGAGGATGCTTCTTAAAAGTAAACATTCCTAATGAACATGCTTTTAAAGAACAAGTGACTAAAGTATAAAAAGTTTTGTGGCTAGTGTGTTATTTTATCTGCTTGCTTCCAGACTATCACACATATTTCTTCCACATTAAAATTTATCTCTCAGGTATATTAATTCTGCCCAGGTTCTCTAAGCATATCATCTATCCTGTTTCAAGTGTCACGGATATAATGACAGAAAATGTCCAGTATTGGCAATTACAGCTTAGGTACAAATATGAATAACACGTTACTTCCAACCAGCCAGATCCTTGTATTTCATTTCACGTAGGCAGTATTTCCTCTCTTCTGTTTTCACTGGACACTTGCCTGCTTTCACAGTACCATGCACCACACATCCTGTTTATTAGTTTAAAAGAGTTTAACAAGGGGACTTATTTTATGTTTTTCTCTGTCCACCAAAGTGCAATTTACTACTCTTATAAAAAGTGGCTTCCCCAGTGTATTTGCACTGTGCTTCATTGCGACTCCTTCTGTAATATTCTATGTGATGTTCAAAGTCACTCTACTTACCATCATTCATACTTACTTTCCTTTCATAAATATTGCCCAGTGGCAATTTAATTACCAATTTGATTTAAAGCTTAAAAACTTGTTCCGTTCGCTTTTTCAAAATGATTTTAGATTTTATGTTTTATTGATTATGTTCTTTAAAAGAACACACTTGTATCAAATTCTATAGCAATGTACAAATTTGTCTCCACTGTAAGGACTCTTACTTTGCACTTCTGATGCTTAGCGAAGTAGAGGGAACCCATCTTGCTTTAATGTAATTTCAACATAGTCCCTAGCCTGGCTGCTTGAATGAACTACATACTATTACACTGATGTTCTGTTTACAGAAAAGGTCTTATTATTTAGCATTTATGTGAACTGCTCCCCTAGTTCCCTTAGAGACTCATCAATCCAAACTACAAATATGTCCTATTATATTTCCTGATGTTACCTTTACCGAGTCTCTTTCTCATGGTCCTGGCATACCTTGGTGTAAAGTAAAAATCACAGAACTAGAAGTGCCAGCCCATGTGATATGGCATCTGGCTAATGCACTTCCCTAGGGCTTAAGAGACTATATTTTTAAAGTTATATTTTTTTCCCTCCTGGAGCCAATTACACTCTCTAAATAGAAGTACGCAGGGACACATTGAGAGCACTGTTGAATTCTTCATCCAAGTGTCTTCATCCTTTCAAATGTTTTACAACAGTGATTCCTGGCCCAAGGCCATGTCCCCCAAAAGCAAATCATCCCTCTTAATCAAAATAAAAAAGTCCTGTCTTCAGACTCATCAACTTCCCCACTTCATACTAGAAGAATAGCTTCATTTGGCTCACCACATGGAATGTTTTTTCCTGGCTACAAATATCATGAACACTAAATTCAACTACATAATGAACCATATGATGTGAACACTGCTACAGCTCCATGTAGGTCAGTGGGACGAAGCACAAATGGAATAATCAAAACCACAATCAGTATGCAGTTCTCGTTTGGGCTTGCTAAGGAGGCAGTGGTGGAGGCTGTGAATACTGTTAAGAGTGAAGCATGCTTATTCCTTGCTATAAATGAGCAAGGAAGAATGATATACTCAGTTTACCTCAGGTGCAAAGGATACAAAGCAAAGTAAAGAAGCAACCAGTTATTAGCAGAGAACTCCCATGACAAATGTCCTGTTGGACCACTGGTTTCTGTCTCAGGCCCTCGTTTTTGGTGGAATCAGCTTTTACCAGGAAGGCACAGTTGAAATTAACACATCATGGTGACTATGGCTATGAGCTGCCTGTGACTGCTTTTGTCAGAAGGGAGCATTGCAACAGAGAGCGGCATGGTGTAGTAGCTGAACAAATGTAATTAGTCTGCTTGGGTTCAAATCTTACCTTTACTTCTTAGTACCTGTGTGGTTTGGGGGAAAATACCTAACTGTTGAAAAATCCATCTTCCTTTCTGTATAGAAACAGAAGTAAAATACTACTACTCCCCTCAAGGTGTTCTTGTGAAGGTATCCATATAAGACAATTAAGTAGTTGGTTTTCAGTAAGCAGACAGGTTTCAATTATTGTTATTTCAATGATTGTTGTTGTTCACGAAGAGCCTATTCCTATGCAGGTATAGAAACCACCTCAGTTAGTGTGACCAGTCATCTTGGTTTGCCACAAAGGTTTCCTGGGCATGGGATTTATGGTGTTAAATCCAGGGAAGCCCTTGGCAAATAAGAATGAGTTGGTCAACTTAATTATTACTCAAACTATTATGAAAGTTACAGGCCTTTTTGCTTCTTTATAATTCAAGTACAATCTCTATGACTTGTATTCTTTGTACTATTGAGCAAAAAGGAGTTGGGAAGGTAATTACTAACAAATACTACAATCTGGGAGGTAGAAACGATTCACAGAAGAGAATAAAAACTCCATGAAGGTAGAGAGTCCTTTCTCAATAGAGAGGACTCTTTAAGAAAGAGATAGTGACTGATATTTTTCCCCTGCTTATTAGTTAGTGGTTTATTTTGTTTTGTTTTTTGTTTTTTTACAAATGTCCTTTTGTTTCATTGTTAACAAAGTGGTTGCTAAAACAGTCTCTTCTGGATGAAAGCAGAAATTAGATGCTGATGGGACTGCTATTACTCTCTGCTACTCAGCCATCTGCAGGGAAAACTATTTCCTGAATATCTTTCTCCTATGGGTGGTCATAGGAATAAAAGAACAAACAATATTAGCTGCTCTGGAATGGAAGGTGGGAGTGAGAAGAGGAAGTGCTGTGAAAAACATTTGTCTAAGGCCGATCTTTAGGGGAAAGTATGGGACTTCCTTTTTTTTCTTTTGTTTTGTTTTTGTTTCCTATTACTATGTTTCATACATTATTAAAGCACTTGTGTTTAGGCTTACAATATAAAGATTGTTCATTTTCTATGTTCATCAGAATGAAAGATATACTGGTTTCTGTCTCTCAGGTCAGCCGTCAGCAGCTGGAGAGGCCCTTGAGTCCCCTACCTTCATCCCTGATGTCACCTGTGATATAAACCACAAGTTACCTCTTAATGGCTTGTGAACAGAACTCACTTACAAAGCTGGAAGGTAATTTAGTTCTTTCTTGCAGATGGCGAAATGCCGTTTTACATACCTAAGCAACTCTACTTCCCATATCATTATTTGAGATGTCAACATGTTAAAACTGAAAAGAACTCTGACAACGAATCATCTTTCTTGATGAGCATGTGATTTTTTTTATTTTAAAAATATTTAGCAATAAGCCAATCATAGTGATGCACCTGTAGTTCCAGCTACTTGGGAGACTGAGGCCGGAGAATAACTTGAGCCCAGGAGTCTGAGTCCAGCCTGGGCAACGTAGCGAGACCCTGTCTCTTTTTTAAAAATCAGCAAGTAATTTATAGTAATAATTATACACTGATAAGATAGCAGACACCAGGCTAATTGGTTTACATTTATTATCTAATTTATTCTTCACAGCTATGCAGAAGGTATTATAAGCTCTTCCAGACAGATTAAAAACTGAGGACTCATAAAGGTAAGGTAACTTGTCCAGGTCTCACTGGTAAAAATTAGCAGAATCTGGCTTTGAACCCAAATTTGACTGACTGTAACACCCATAATCTTACCCACATATTACATCTTCCTGATACTTTAAAACATCCATACTAGACACAATAAGGGACACAACAGGAATAAAACACAGTGTCTGTCCTCTACAAGGGTAAAATACCCTCTCCCTTTCCTGGGCAAAGGCTCCCACTCTAAGAGCCTCTCCCAGCCTGGGGTGGAGCATACAGCTCCCCTCCTCTCTGGTTTCTACCTTAATCTTTCTCTGCCTCCACCCCAACCCCATGTACTGTCTATTCTCCTCTCTTTTTTCCTTTCTCTTGTTTGTAATTGCCCTAAATGGCTCAACAGAAAGAGCCTCAATAATTTCTTAAAACATGGGCTCAAATTGTGAATATCAGAAAGTTAGTTCCCTTTTCTTCATATCCCTTTTCCTCTCACACATGCCAAGGCCCTTCCCTTTTCATCTCACCCCACCCCATTTAACATTATCAGGTATAAACCAAATGTCACCTTTCTGAAAATGTCCCAAGTCTACCAAAGCAGAAAAAAACTCTTCTTCTACTGGGAGTTAATATCTTTTTGAGAAGAATTTCATCACAGCATGTATCACTTTTTATTGTAATTATTGGCTGATGTGCCTCTGTCTTTAAGGGAATGTGAGTTTCTTAAGGAAGGAACCATGCCTCAGTTAACTCTGTCGGCACCGCCTGCCAAGGAAAAGCTAGGGGCTCTGCTTCTTTATTGCTGTTTCCTGGTTCCTTATGATTGGGCTCAGAGAAAGAGCAGAAATGCAAACAGGAAAGTCAAGAGCCTCAAGAGTAAAAATCAGCGTAGGAGAATAAGTAGGTAAATAAATTATGATATATTAATTCTATGAAATCTTAGACTATGCAGCTATTAAACACAATGAGGTCAATATGGAAGAACTGATGTAAACATTTATCTTACATATTATTAAGTGGAAAAAGCAATCATGGACTAATTCTTTGAGCATAACAAATTATATAATTTTTTTTTTTTTTTTTTTTTTTTTTGTTTGAGATGGAGTCTCGCTCTGTCGCCCAGGCTGGAGTGCAGTGGTGCAATCTCGGCTCACTGCAGGCTCCGCCTCCCAGGTTCACGCCATTCTCCTGCCTCAGCCTCCCAAGTAGCTGGGACTACAGGCGCCCGCCACCACGCCCGGCTAATTTTTTAATATTTTTAGTAGAGATGGGGTATCACCGTGTTAGTCCAGGATGGTCTTGATCTCCTGACCTCGTGATCCGCCCGCCTCGGCCTCCCAAAGTGCTGGGATTACAGGCTTGAGCCACCGCGCCCGGCCAATTTTTTAAAAAATACAGATTTGTGTATGTGAATGCACAGAAAGAGGAGAGTTTTATGAAAATATACAGCAAAATGTTGCTATGGATTACCTCTGGGAGGGGTGCAAAGGAATTAGGGAAAGTGTAAGGTGGAGGTGAAGAGAGATCTGAATAACACTCTATGATTGTAAGTTAGTTGCAGTATAAAAAAAGAACTTGAAAACTTAGGATCTACTTTTCTCAATCTGTCCCCAATGTGTTCTCATATTCTTAAATACCTGTGCAGTAAATACAAGCCGTTGGTGTTAGTTTTTCACTTAGTATATAAAAGGACTGTGTAAATGAGTTGGGCAAATTACATTCTCAGCAGCTATCTCTGTAGGCTGATAATTACATGTATATCGACCAGCAATTCAAATTTGAAACCATGAATTTTGTGATCACATCAGGTATGGCCCCAGGAATTTCATGCAGTCATCCACGTATTCATCAAACAGTTTTAAATACCTAGTATATGCTCAACAAATACTGGAATAGCAATTAACAAAACATAGCACCGTTTACATAGACCACTTTTCAATGGGGTAAGAGAGGTAATAAATTTATTAAAATAAACAAATATATACTATTATGCGGTAAATGCTATTGAGAAAAAAACATAGCAGGTAAGGAAATACAGCATGGCCAAAATGATACTTGAGACAAAACAGCCAAGGTAGACTTCTCTGGTATTTAGAGAGGCATATAAACAAATTGGGACGAGCGTGGGGAGGGAGGTCATGTGACTAAGAACATTCTAGGCGGGAGAAATAGCAGTGAAAGCACCAGAAACGGGAACATGCTTGCTATGTTTTAGGGGCATCCAGGAGTTCCTTGCAGCTGGTGTTGAGGGAGAACAGTGGGAGATGATCAGAAAGGCAGTAAGAAGCTGGTTCTTGTGATCAAAGGACCATTGTAAAGATTAGGTTAAGGTATGTGATCACGAATTTCAAAGAGGCAGTCAGCAAGGTTGTCTGTTTTTCTCCCACCATATTCTCCACCTCAGGTCCATGAGTTTTTCCACAGTTAGGATGGCCCTGGGAGCAGATTGTTGAGGTTAAATGCAAGGAGTGGAGTCTGCAACTGGGTAAGGAGGAAAATGAGGACATAGATAGATGGTAAACACTGAAAAATTGTTAAGGTCAGTGGATAGGAAATCCTGGTAGGGCTGAAGAATTGTTGGGCTGTTAAGGAGTACACATTAATTATGTAAATGTAAGAGATGATTGTTGACAAGCAGGATGCTAAACACTAAATTTTGAAGGAGGTATTATTATTTGTAATAGCAACTTCTGGAATATGATTGAGGAAACCCTGGATTTAAAAGTAGGGTTGGCAGTTTGATTTAAGGGTCCTGACAGTTCTTTCAGACTACTATAGCAAAATATCATAAGTTGGGCACTTTCTAAACAACAGAAATTTATGTCTCACAGTTATGGAGGCTGAGAAGGAGGATGCCTTATTGCTGTGTCCTCACATAGTGGAAGGGTCAATCTGACTCTCTGTGTCCTCTTTTATAAGGACACTATTCCCTTTCTTCATGTTACAAAGAAGTGCTGTTGTTTGGTACTACACACATGGTTGTTAAGGCTTTCAGTTGGAGGTATGTTTTTCCTATAACCCCTTTTAACTCCTAAACTTCTCAGACAGTCGTGGCACTCAAATAGTGACTAATTAGACTATAGTAATAGTTTACACATGTCATTCATCAACCACTAGGATAAAAGCTTATTATCTATTACCTTGTTTTATATTTACAGTAACCACAAAGAGGTAGAGAGTAGTGTCACTTCCCAGGGGAGAGATGGGGAAACTGAGGTACAGAGATATTAAGTAATTTGCCTGTTCATAAAACTATTCAGAGGCAGAATTTGAACATGAAATACAACATGTTTGACTCCAAAACTGTACGTTTATTTAACCTCTGTTCTTTACTGCTAAACTCTTCATAAAATAAAATAAAAGTAACCAAGAATGCAAAAGACCATGAAGCAAGAATTCAAGTGCGTAAGCAACGATTTGCACTTCCTTTACGCTTAATCAGAGTAAAGACAATGTATCAAGTAGATAAAATAGTCCCTTGGAAATTACTAGGCAATATGATCTACAATAACTCTCCAAAATACAGCACTCACTATGTTAAAAAATCAAAATGAACATTCTAATAGGATTATCTTACGAGGGAATTTTGCTTGGCATCATAGGCATTGCTCTCATTTCTCTTCAGATATTGGGGACATGCATTCCATCCTCAATAGCTACACAGGATATATGGCAAAAAGATTTGGATGATTCATTAAATGCAAAGCTTTGGCAGCACATATGGGGAAGTGTTTATAAAGAGTTTGAGAAACAAGCCTGCAACAAATTCAGGTTAATATTCTTCCCAGAACCTGCTGGTCTCCATCCAGATAGGGTTATAGACAGATGGTTCATTTTGGAAATGCTGAAAATGCAGAGCTGTTACTCTTTGTCACATCACTTTGGATCTGACCTTTACTTAAAGGAGTAAGTCTAATTTGTTCTTATCGTAATTGTAGGACATAGAACATTATCAACAAAACAATAATATGTACTTCATTTTGAACTCCACAACCACTATTTTGACCAAAGATGAACAGTGCCTATGCTCAAGCCATTAAGAAAACTGCCAGGACAGGACTGAAGCAGTACTAGGTGGAGTTTAAATTGTTTTTATAAGGCAGAATTTTGACTCCTCAATAGATTTGCCAAAGAATCAAGTTTACTTCATGTTTTGCCTCCAAATTTTACCTTCTTTATATTGAAGATTGTTATTATTTAGATTATACAAGCTACCTTGAGATTACCAGGGGCTCTTTGTCACCATCTTTATAGAAGAACTAGTTGAATGAGGGTCAAATTTTAATGAAAGAAAAAAGAGAAAAGCATTGCTGTCTCTTTAGGTCACTAGGGTAAAGAGAATTTGGGGACAATGAGGAATTGCTGGACCTAAAAGCAGCAGACACACCAGTTCTGCTGAGTTTTGAGCCTTATTAACTCCTCTTGGTTTGTCCTCTGACCCAGGCTGGCCTGAGTAAACTCCAGCAAAATCTGAGGAACTCAGGTGCTGTGTCCATCAGTCAGCAACCAGCAGGAGTCTGGGTGGCTGGCCACGCCAGTCTGCTTTGGCACCAGTGAAGAGTCTGGTCATGGGACTAAACATCACTCACAAAGTTCTTGGAAAGGAGAGATGTTTCTTCTGGCTGCCCAAGGTGGCTGCCATGGAGGTAGAGGGCATTTCTGGGGAAATGCTTGCCCCACTGCCTTTCCAGAGTCAGAGGCTGTACTGGCTTTGGTCTCATAGGGTTTGTGGTAAGAAACCACCATCACTGCTGTCAAGGAAGCTATGCATGAGTGTAAGGCTACACATCTCTGTCAACATGCTGTAATCACCGTTAACTCCCCGGGTGGGAATCTAGCCCTTGTTGTCACAGTCATACAGCATGAAGATGAAATGGATCAGAAGGTGAAGGAGGCATCAAGGGCATGGGATCTTGGAAAAGGAACTTAAAACAACCACCACAGCAACCCAGTTATTGAGTTCTTAGCACGGGCCAGTCTTTGTGCTAAGTGCTTTGTATCAATTATTTAACTGAAGCCTCTCAATAACCCTGTGAGGCAGGTATTATTAGCCCCATTGGTCACGTGTTGAAGTTAACAAGACTTTAAAAAACAGCTTGACTGAAATCTGGCTGATGAGATTGCTCCTCCATTAACCAAAATTCTATTCACTGGAGTCCCGGACAGACATTTCAGGATTTCCAGGAGCACAGTCCCCATATGTGCCAGCTGGCCCCCGAGGCAGCCAACATTCTCTGGGCTGCACACCCATGATTGGAAGCTGGAGTCCAGCCCTCTGCACAGCTGGCTTATGAGCAAGCCTCTATTTTCCCCCCGAACTCCTTCTGTCTGCAGGTTTATGATGCTCAGGATTTTTGTTACATCTGGCTGGAATGCAAGTGAGAATCATACTTGCACTTCTACCAGGCCTGTTATCTGAAAGCCTTAGAGGACTTTACAAATTTTATCAACCATCATCTGCTCCTCGTTTAGGTATTGCAACCATTTCAGAAGTGAGTAATCAGCACATGTAGTCATTTGTTTGAAGACTTCAATAATCACTTTATCAATTGACAGATAAAGCATTGTTGACCTTTAATGAGGCAGTGGGTGGCAGAGCCATTCATTTCTAGACATTAGGCAAGTTTTAATACAAACTGTGACAGAGCAATATTTCCTTTGTTTATCAGATCAAAATCTTTGGCTCTAATGTGATACTATCCAAGCCATCTCCCCTTTCCATGCCAATTAAGTAACTTCCCCTGGGAGCAGGGAAGATAGCTATAGTTGTGGCCCAATGTCTGCAACCTAGAAAGTTCCATCTCATTACTTGCTTTGCATTAAAATGAATCTATCAGTCTCAATTTATATTCACATGGGTAAAGAATTTCTACATAAAAACTTCATCATTGCATCGATCACCCTCAGCCCCACCCCAGAGTATTAGGAAACAGACTCCGAAGCTAAATTGACTGACTTTAAATATCAACTCTACCATTTGCCATCTTTATGTCTTGGGCAAGTTACTCAAACTCTCTGTTTCAGTTTCACCATCCATAAGATGGGGGTAATAAAACAGTTTCTATCTCATATGTTTGCTGGTGAGGATCAAATGAGTTAATGTGTTAAACTTGCTTAGAACAGAACCTGGCATATAGCAAGCTCTATATAGTGTTGGTACTATTATAATAATGAATACTAATGTCATAAACCTGTACATGCAGTGAAACATACTGTAGCTTCAGTACTATTTCTTCCCTTTCCACATGAATCCAAGAAAACATTTTTTTTTCAAACTTCAATTAATATATCTGGCCTCATAGCCCAACTTCCTTCCTCTTTCCTTGTTAATACTATCTGGCTCCTTTCCACCAGATTTCAGCCCTACTTTGTTTCTCCATCAAGAGCTTTCTTCCTTGAAAACTTTGACATAAATCCCTAAAACTTTAATTTATATTAGTGAGCATTCCACATATCCCCAAATCATCCCCTGAACAAAACAAACAAACTAACCACATTCATCTTGGCTTCTTTTTGAATGTGTAACACCCAGAGACCATCTCAGGGAAAATCAGTATTTTAAGGAGAATTCAACCAATAGCATGGCTCCTCTACCATCCTAAATACAGCACTGGGAATACTCCCATTTGGGCCATATAAATCCCAATATTTAATGAGGAGTTTCCTTATTCATTTCAAATAGACACAGACAAGTACAGTAAATTCCTCAGAATGAAATGTGACTGACAGAAAAATAGTACCCTGGAGGATGAACAAAAAACCCAATGGTCTCCACATATTCCAGCCAACCCATACAGAGTTTTCTGAACAGTTCTAGAGCCATCGATGGGTCAGCACAGTTAGCAGAGCAGGCTGCCAGAGAGCCAGATGTTGCTGTTGGAAATATGTCAGCAACACCTCCTGCACACAGCCATGGATCTAAAGAGGAGAGACTAGACGGCAAATAAACTTTGATCCTTTTATTACAGTCATTCAAATGACAATTGCTAGAAAATATTGTGTTGGGCATTTTTTCTTCTGGGAGAACCTGCATTAAACAATAGGGATTAGAAATAAACAGATGTTAAATACTTGATAAAATGAGAAGGAAAGAAACTGAGGCAGAGAGAGAACAGCTTTCACTATGCAAGGAACATGCTTTTTGTTCCCACCTAGAATGAAATACACCATGTTCCACATTTGAGTTCAGTAAAGATGTGGAGCCAATGCAGCCCCAGTCTCCATTGGGAACATTTTCCTTGGCATCACTCTGCACATTTTGGATTAAACACTGTTCTTTCTGAACTGACAAAGAACTTAGGTAATGTCTTTTTTGTAAGAATTTTAAAAATATATTGGCAATGAAGCTAATCGCACTTCGAAAGCTCCCTTTTCCTAGTAATCTAGTCACAAAACAATCAGCATTACGTTCAACCAGAAAGAATATTTTCGTGCCAAGTAAGGGTCTGCTCTATCTACCGGTAAGGTATATCCATCTGTTGTTACCATTTATTGGTACTTGGAACTGCAAACCAGCATTGTAGAACGTTTACGGAAGAAAGAGGATGTGTCTGACTCATAGCACAAAGACATTCGTTGCAAAGTGGGACTGTGTTGTGAAATGAGGTCCTGGGACAGGGTAAACAAAAGTGAATTTCCCTTAGGGATGGCAGGGGTCTCTTTCTGTCTTTTGTCATTTGACGATAAATATCTATAGACAATTGGAAATGTCGCTGGAAAAGAAACAGTCCCCTAAGCAGCCTCCCTACTACCCTCACAATGATACCATCATTGTCACTGCTGGCAGCTCTCTCACTACAACTGTGTTCACTGTCCTTATTTCCAGTCTACAGCCCCCCTCCCAACCACCACTACAACACCACCACCACTATAAACACCGCCACCATCACACCCTCATCACCACCCTCCCCACCACTACCATTATCACCGCCATCACCACAGCTGCCATTACTATCATCATCGGCCACCCTTCCTGCTACCATCACCACCTAAACTACCACCCTTCTGTCTACCACCATCACCGCCAAACATTCTATAGGACTTTTTCTCCTTTTGATTTTATTCCATAGGCATGTAATATGCTTCTAATGCTCAGCTCTAATTCCATTTTCTATAACAATTCAGCCCAGCCAGAAATGACTGTGACTATCTACGTTACTCTTAGCTGCTTTGTGTTAATGTTACTATATTGCAAGCTTTTGGATATTTTTTCCTCACTTTTTTCTCTCATGATCTTGTCAGCACATAACAGCTTCCTTGGACATAAGTAAGCACTCTCCAGGAAAGTGATAAAGATTACATAAATAAAATTTAAAAAGTTGGCTGGGTGCAGTGGCTCATGCCTGTAATCTCAGCACTTTGGGAGGCCAAGGCAGGCGGATCACCTGAGGTCAGGAGTTCAAGACCAGCCTGGGTAACATGGTGAAACCCCGTCTCTACTAAAAATACAAAAATTAGCCAGGAGTGGTGGTGCACGCCTGTAATCTCAGTTACTCAGGAGGCTGAGGCAGGAGAATCGCTTGAACCCGGGAGGTGGAGAATGCAGTGAGTTGAGATCGCGCCATTGCACTCTAGCCTGGACAACAAGAGTGAATCTCCATCTCACCAAAAAAAAAAAAAAAAAAAATTTTAAAGTCACCCTATGTTTCTCTTTCATTCTTCACTCCTATTACAATACCTAAAACTAACCAAGTAGTGAGACATTGAGCAACAGGACAAACACTAGGGACAATTATACAAATAAAAGGACATAAGCCATCAAATAACTAAGACTTCATTGTATTTATGTGTATAACGTGGCTCTTTATCCCATTATTAAATTCTGTGGATGTCTAACATAAATACTAGTTAGAGATATATTAGTTACAGATATATATATGTTCTGAAACATGACATTCACCCATGAATTTTTTTTCAATATGTTCAGAGACTTATCTAGCATCGCAATAGAGTTAACACTGCAAAATCAGCTACGATAAAGAAGTCATTGCTCTTCAACATTGTATGCAGGTGGTCTAACATTAATGGTTAAGTTGTAAGCTCTGCTGGGGCAGAGAACACTCTTTTCCTTTTTTTTTTTTAACTTTGATTTAGGTTTAGGGATACATGTGCAGGATTATTATATAGGTAAATTGTGTGTCTCGGGGGTTTGGTGTGCAGATTATTTGTGACCTAGGTAATAAGCATAGTATATGATAGGTAGGTTTTCAATCCTTATCCTCCTCCCACCCCTCCCATCCTCAAGTAGGCCCTAGTATCTGTTGTCCTCTTCTTTGTGTCCATGTGTACTCAATGTTTAGCTCCCACTTATAAGTGAGAACAGGTGGTATTTGATGTTCTCTTCCTGTGTTAGTTTGCTTGGCCTCCGGTTCTATCCATGTTGCTGGAAAGGACACAATCTCATTCTTTTTTATGGCTGCTTAATATTCCATGATATGTATGTCCCACATATACTTTTTTTTTTTTTTGAGACGGAGTCTCGCTCTGTCACGCAGGCTGGAGTGCAGTTGCGCCATCTCAGCTCACTGCAAGCTCCACCTCCTGGGTTCACATCATTCTCCTGCCTCAGCCTCCCAAGTAGCTGGGACTACAGGCGCCCACCACCACGCCTGGCTAATTTTTTTTTTTTTTGTATTTTTAATAGAGACGGGGTTTCACCGTGTTAGCCAGGATGGTCTTGATCTCCTGACCTTATGATCCACCTGCCTTGGCCTCCCAAAGTGCTGGGATTATAGGCGTGAGCCACTGCACCCGGCCTTATTCTTTTTTTTTTTTTGTTAATTTTACTTCAGGTTTGGAGTACATGTGAAGGTTTGTTATATAGGTAAACCCCTGTTGTGGGGGTTTGTTGAACAGATTATTTCATCACTCAGGTATTAAGCCTAGTACCCAATAGTTATTTTGTCTGCTCCTCTCCCTCTTCCCACATTCCACCCTCGAGTAGACCTCAGTGTCTGCTGCTGTTCTCTTCTTTATGTTCATGAATTGTCATCATTCAGCTCCTGCTGTGAGAACATGCAGTATTTGTTTTTCTGTTCCTGCATTAGTTTACTAAATATAATGGCCTCCAGCTGCATCTATGTTCCCACAAAAGATATGACCTCATTTTTTTCTGGCTGCATAGTATTCCATAGTGTATATGTACCATATTTTCTTTATCCAGTCTGTCATTGATGGGCATTCAGGTTGATTCCATGACTTTGCTATTGTGACTAGTGCTGCAGCAAACATTCATGTGCATGTGTCTTTATGGCAGAATGATTTATATTCCTTTAAGTATATACCCAGCAATGGGATTGCGGGGTCAAACGGTAGTTTTGCTTAGCTCTTTGAGGAATTGCTGTACTGCTTTCCGCAATGGTTGAACTCCCACCAACAGTGTATAAGCATTCCCTTTTTTCCACAATCTGTTACTTTTTTTACTGTTTAATAATAGCCCTTCTGACTGAAGTGAGATAGTATCTAATTGTAGTTTTGATTTGCACCTCTCTAATGATCAGTGATATTGGGCTTTTTTTTCATATGATTGTTGGCCACATGTATGCTTCTTTTGAAAACTGTCTGTTCACGTCCTTTGCTCACTTTTTAATGGGGTTGTTTTCTCTGATAAATTTGTTTAAGTTTCTTATAGATTTTGGATATTAAACCTTTGTTAGATGCATAGTTTGCAAATATTTCACCCTTTTCTGTAGGTTGTCTGTTTATTCTGTTGATATCTTGTTTTGCTGTGCAGAAACTCTAGTTTAATTAGGTCCCATTTGTCAATTTTTGTTTTTGTTGCAAATGCTTTTGGCATCTTTTCGTGAAGTCTTTGCCAACTCCTGTGTCCAAAATGGCATTTTCTAGGTTATCTTCCAGGGTTTTTATAGTTTTGGGTTTTACATTTAAGCCTTTAAACCATCTTGAGTTAATTTTTGTAAATGGTGTAAGGAAGAGGTCCAGTTTCAATCTCCTGCATATGGCTAGCTAGTTATCCCAGCACCACTTATTGAGTAGGGAGTCCTTTCCCAATGCTTATTTTTGTCAATTTTGTTGAGGATCAGATGGCCGAAGGTGTATGACCTTACTTCTGGGCTCTCTATTCTGCTTCTATTGGTCTATGTGTCTGTTTTTGTACCAGTAACATGCTGTTTTGGTTACTGTAGCCTAGTAGTTTAGTTTGAAATTGGGTAACATGATGCCTCCAGCTTTGTTCTTTTTATGTAGGATTGCCTTGTCTATTCAGGCTCTTTTTTGTTCCATATGAAATTTAAAATCGTTTTTTTTTTAGTTCTGTGATGAACTATCATGTAATTGGTAGTTTGATAGTAATAGCATTGAATCTGTACATTGCTTTGGGCAGTACGGCCATTTTAACAATATTTATTCTTCCTATCCATGAGCATGCAATGTTTTTCCATTTGTTTGTATCATCTCTGATTTCTCTGAGCAGTGTTTTGTCATTCTCATTGTAGATGTCTTTTGCCTCCTTGGTTAGCTATATTCCTAGGTATTTTATTCTTTTTGTGGCTACTGCAATGGTATTGCATTTTTTATTTGGCTCTCAGCTTGGGTGTTGTTGGTCTATAGGAATGCTAGTGATTGTTATACATTGATTTTGTATTCTGAAACTTTGCTGAAATCATGTTCAGATCGAGGAGCTTTCAGGCAGAGACTATGGGGTTTTCTAGGTTTAGAATCTTATCGTCTGCAAACAACGACAGTTTGACTTCCTCTCTTCTTATTTGTATGCCTTTTTATTTCTTTCTCTTGCCTGATTCCTCTGGCTAGGGCTTCCAGAACTATGTTGAATAGGAATGGTGAGAGAAGACACGCTTATTTTGTTCCAGTTTTCAAGGGGAATTCTTCCAACTTTTGCCCATTCAGTATGATGTTGGCTGTGGGTTTTTTATAGATGGCTCTTATTATTTTGAAGTATGCTCCTTCAGTGCCTAGTTTGTTAAGAGTTTTGACATGAAAAATGTTACATTTTATCAAAAGCTATTTCTGCATCTATTGAGATGATCACGTAGTTTTTGGTTTTCGTTCTGTTCATATTCACCCACCAATTAAAATAAAAAACACAGTGCTAACAGATGGGAGCGTAGGAGTATCGATAGCAACAAATTATTGCTCAGGCTTTTGTCACTGTTTGTTGTAGCAGAGACTTCCTTGTGAGAAGGGCCAGAAGAGAATTACAATAGCTCACAATTACTCATATAGCATGCACCAGAATGCTCTGGAATAGGCTAAGAGATTCATTAGGAAAGTTAGAGAGTTGCTTTTCCCCAGGAAACCTTTGGCATTATTAATTAATTAATTATCTATCATTTTCATTTTCATAAAACCTCTTCTTCACATGCACTATACATGGAAGGGGAAATCATTTGATGACTTCTGAAGTCCTTTGCTACCCTGTTGCAATTCTAGGATTTTCTATCATTTATGGACAGAATCTGTTTTTACAAACCCCCTGAAACATGAGGCATGATTCTAGCTGCAGAAAAGAAACATTCCTGAAAGTACTTTATCTCAGCCATGGCCTCAAGGCTGTCCTTGCAAAGTTTGTAAAATCTAATGGGATTATGGTGGCAAGATGGAAAGAGGCTGTCAGCATGTCTCACATGAGATAATAGCAATAATTCTAAAATTGTCTTTTTCTTGTTGCAACAACTGTCATCAGAGAGGCTCACATTTTCCTTGCAGCAGCAGCATCTCTACAGACATGAATCACTCTAGAAAGCAGGAGAAAAAGGCAGAAGGGAAGGTTTATATGTTGCAGCCCGAAGAGCTTAATCACTGAAGATGTATAGCTTGATGGTCGCCTGGTTTTAGGGATTAAGGAGGAGGTTATTTGTTCCACTGCCAAGTCTTTTCTAATAAACTTCTCCAAGTTGGGTTTATCTAATCATTATCTGTTCAAACTGTTAAGATTAATTTCTTAGCCTATGCAATCAGAAAAGAAGTCTTGCGATGTGATTCTTGGTTAATGTTGTGCCAGAAACATCAGGATCTAATGAATGGAGTCCTGGTCTAAAAGCCAAGTTGACCTACTTCTTGTGCCAAGTCCATCCCTGACTGACTCCATCACTATCCTTGATGAAGTAGGCTCAGCAGCAAGTTCCTTAGATCTTCCAATAAGTAATTAAACTTCTCTGACCTGAAATTCCTTATCTCTAAAATGAAAGGATTTCTTATGTAGTTATGAAGCTATAATCTCCCCATAGACAAATGCCCCCCACCACCCCAGCAGGGAAGAAAGAAGTCAAGTAGTCTGTGAGTTAAACTGTCTTTGCCATGCCACACTATGGTGAAGGCATAATTCACATTTTGCCTTGACAACCTTTTATTTGTCAAGACATATTTACTGAATTTCTACAAGGTGCCCAGTATTAGGTTAAGTACCAGATATAAAATGGTGATTGCTATGGTTTAAATGTCCCCACCAAAACTCATGTTGAAATTTGATTGCCATTGTGACAATATTAAGCAGTGGGACCACTAAGAGGTGATTAGACCATGGATTGATAGATTAATGCCATTTTCATGGGAGGGGGGTTCATTACCACAAGAGCAGGTGGTTGTTGTAAAAGTGAATGGGATGCACTCTTGCTTGCTCTCTCTTAACCCTCTCTTGCCTTCCAATTTCTGCCATTGGCTGTCACAGCACAAAGGCCTTTGCCAAATGACAGTGTGGTGATCATGGACTTCCCAGACTCCAGAACCATGAGCAAAATAAACTTCTTTTTTTTTAAAATTACCTAATCTGTGGTATTTGTTATAGTAGCACAAAATGACTGAGACACTGATCAAGCAAACATATTTACTTGCCTTGTGGAACCTATCATCTAGTAAAGGAGGCACATATTAAAAAAGGTAATCACATAAAAAATGTATAGTTACAACTTTGGTAAGTACAAGGAAAAAGAAAAGCATGATGTCAAGTGAGATTCTAGTCCCCTACCTCCTCACATATACTCAGGCCAAATGTGATAATGAGGCTAGTTGAGGTAGAAGGGAATGGGAGGAAGGAAAAAAAAGACTTTGCCATGGTTTGTGGAGGGTCTATGGCAGCCAAGCCACAGCCTATGCTGTGGCATCTTTGATGGATATGCAGAGGTACAGAATCTAAACTGTAGCATCACATGAACTACTGAATCAATGCTCATGAGTAGTGTGGTGTGAAGTGCAGTCTAGTTAGCAGAACTCTCCAGAAAAGGTGGCCACTGAGTTATTGGGCCCCAGAGAGTCTCACATGACCATTAAAAGTTGTCTCTCTGTGTATCTAACATGCCACTAGATAAGACTAAATCCTTGAGAACTTAGAACCAATGCCAATCTGAGTTTTCCTACTGTTGCTCTTTGTCCTATTTTCTGTGTGATTTGTGGTTTTTCTTAGTAGTCACATACTATCTGAAGATAGTAAAACAGATGATTTTTGTACAAAAATATGGTTTTCTGCTTTATCAATAACCCATGATATAGTGAACAAATAACCATTAAAATGAAATGCAGAAACCAGTCTATTCACCTATTAATCTGTTTCCCGTCTGTTGACTGGCAGATGTAGACATGCTTGTGGACATTACCATTGCCTCCAGATGATGCACATCACTGAAAATTGGTTTTCCCAAGTTTTGCAAAAGTTGTATTTGGTTCAAAATCACATACATGCTATTTTGTCTGGACTCTACACACTTGATTCCCTACTGTCTCTTCAACCTGTCCCCTAAATGACCAATGACTTGTCTGTCCATCAACCGATAGATGGAGAAGTGTAAAAAGAAAACACTAAGTGTTTTCTCTGCCCTCACTTCTGAGCACCTGGAGTAATGCTGCATCAGGAGCAAAAAGTTCTGTCTACCCCTCTGACTTTCACTGCATTGCCTCGCACCTTAAATCTGTTCTTTTGCCATTCAATGGAACAATTTTCCCATCATTTACTCAATGCCAGGACTCTCAATGTATAGCAATTTAATTTTCTTCACACTTTTTAGAGGTAAAAAATAACCTCTTGGAGTCCTGCTATTTTGCCACCTCATTTTTTCTGCCTTTTAAAAGTTATATTGTTAATGAAACAAAGATATTATTAAAACATTGAAATAACTGAAAAAAATACAAAACAGAAATGTAAAAATAACTCAAACTCATACTACACAGGAAAAAGCAAGTTTTCACATATTGGTGACCTTTCTTCGTACTTCTCTCTCTCTCTCTAGATAAATGCTCATGATTTATAATTTTTACTTGTAAGGGAGCATGCAGAACAGGATGACTGGTAATCCACATGCTTCACTGTCTGTATGCCAGTAAATCAAGATCTACGACCATGTGACAATGGCTGCATAGATGTCCTTTCTCTCTCTCTCTCTTTTTCCGTGTGTGTGTGTGTATTTAATCATGGAGAGACATTTGGATTGTTTGGGACACTTCAGTGTAGTGATCCAGGAAATTATGAAGGGTAGGGCTGCAGGTTGGTGAATTGTTTGGGGTTCCCTTTTCCTCAGTAACCCTTTATAGTCTGCCGTGGAACACTTGCCGGATGATGGCCTAACAAAGATGTTCACACCTTAATTCCAAGACCTCTCAATGTGTTATCTTACATGGCAAAAGTGACTTTGCAGATATGAAGTAAGGTAACAAATTTGTGTTGTCTTAAGTCTAATTTTCTGGTAATTTAATTCAGCAGCAGTAGAAAACTAATACATAGTCTTTCCTCAATTCCTCCCTGTTACTCTGCTAAGAGATTCAGTGAAATCATCATTACCCCTTTTGGGAACTCTTGTCCAGATGTAAAGATTTTGATCATGACGCTTAAATTCTGCCTTACAAATAACCTCTTGGAGTTCTACAGATTAGTAACCTAAGAGTAATCTTAACCATGGGAAAATTTTCTTTCTGGGAAGTAAGTGAGGAAAACAGAGTGTACCAGCCTCACCATCATATCAGTTGAAATTACCAGGTCAGCCTATTATGGATGTAACAACCCAGCCAATCTCACATGTAGCTGGTGGCAATGGGGCCTTGGGTCAGCCTCACTCTTGCCTTTCCCATGGACAGTAGGAAAAGTGAATCTAAACAGTGACTACATCCCAACATCATAGTACTCTTTAAAATCTTGGTATAAATAAAAAAACTTTTCATAATAAAACTTTTATGCAAACTTTTCTTCACATAAACACAGATATCTTTTTTGACAGGGTGATGTTAAGAGTCAAAGGTTAAGACATTCTAAAGAGTAAAAGGAATTATTAATACTGGAGAGAGCACTAGAGTGTATCAACTACAACTTTTTGGCTATATAATCTGCTCCCTAAATTTAAGATGAGGCAAAACTCTCACTAACTTTCTGAGGAGAACTGCTGTTCACTGCACAGATGAAGGTTACAACGAACCATTGTATTATATCAACTTCAGGGTTTTTGGTTGCAAGCAACTGATACAGATGCTGATTAACTTAAGAAAACAAAGATTTTATTGCAAGGGTATATAATAGCTCTTGAAAGCCATAGGGGGCTGAAGAGCGAGCCTTGGAAAGGTCAGAAACCAGGGCACCTTGGAGACCTAAGTAGCAGAAACTAAGAGAGAATTATTAGGGCACTGCCCATGGGATAAAAAAGCTCCAAGATTTAAAGTCCTGGGAAAGTCGTGTGCAGCTCTTAAAAAGTTGGGAAGGGGAGATTGATTGTCCCCAGAATAATTGCTCCCCAAAAAAGGAATTAATAATAATCATAAAGAAAAATAGTTACGTAGCATTTCACTATGGTCTGGCACCATCTTGAGCACTTTACAGGCAGTAGGCATTAGCTCATTCAATGCTCATAACAATCCTAGGAAGCTGGTTCTGTCAATGGCACCATGTTATGTATGAGAAAACTGAGATACTGAGAAGCTGGGCACTTTGAGCAAGGTCCAGAGATGGTAAATAGCCATGCCAAGATTTTAGCACAGGCAATTTCAGATAATAATACTTAACCATGAGGCTTTTCTGTGAATTTCCCAAGAGAAACCTGGGGTACTGTTATCAGAAGAATGTGAATGGCTGTGGGCAGCAAAAACTACACTGGAAGCCAAACAACCATTAGTATTTATTGGACGTTAATTTATTAGGTGTCACAAGGCAAAACATTAGAAACTAAAGATGGAGAGATAGAGCCTCTACCATCACACAGATAGCACTATTATAATATGAAGCAATGTACTGATACATAAGCTCCATGAGGGCAAGGAATGTATAGGATTCTTCTTCAATCCTATACTCTGAGCTCCCAGAACATGATCTAGGGTCTGGCACATAATAGGTGCTCCGTAGATATTTGTCGAATACATAAATACAAAAAATATACCCAAAAGTAGACTTAAATAATTTTTAAAAACAGATTCAAATATGATAATTACAGGGTGTGTCTTTCGGAGAGGTGCTGTGTGTCAAGAGTTGAGGAGACAGTAAATTATGGGAAGCTTCCTGGAGGAGGAGGCATTGGCCTCTGGATGTTAGTTATAATAACTTCAAATAGGCAGGTCATAAAAGAGAAAAACAGAGTTGTTTACTCTTAGTTTATTTGGAGTACTTTTCTAGTAAAAGAGTTCTAATTAAGAGATTCATATTTTCATAATATTCTAAAATGAATCAGAAAGGATTTGAAAATAAATGTTATCGATTGTGTTTTGATTATAATTATGGAGTCTAAAGACCTTCCTAAAATGGACTCTTCTGATGGGGTAAGAAAATTATAAAAGGAAATAAGAGGCCAGGAGTGGTGGCTCACTCCTGTAATCCCTACATTTTGGGAGGCTAAGGCAAGAGGATTGCTTGAGTTCAGGAGTTCAAGGCCAGCCCAGGCAACATAGTGAGAACTAATGTCTACAAAAAAAAAAATACAAATAAAAATTTAAAAATTATTCAAGTCTGGTGGTGCACACCTGTATTTCTAGCTACTCAGGAGGTTCAGGTGGGAGGATAGTTTGAGGCTGGGAGATTGAGGCTTCAGTGAGCTGTGATTGTACCACTGCACTCCAGCCCGGGCAACAGAGTGAGACCCTATTTAAGAAGAAGAAGAAGAAGACAGAGAGTATAAAAGGCACATTGTAAGATTTTTTGGGGGGTTGGGGGGCAGTGAAGTAAGTTAGGGAATGGAGAAGTGGACCATAATTTTTTCTCTTTATAAAACTGGAACTTCTTTTGATTTTTCAATGGGTATAAAATTTAAGACTCTTCAAAAAAACTACTATAGAAATCATGTCACTTCATTTCTCTTGTGGTGCAGGGCTGACATTTAGCCACCATACATGTAAGAGGTATTTGGGCCATAGCAGTCATCCAACACCAGTGTGTCTCTCAAGAGGTGGGTTCCCAGCACCAATCATTCCATATTTTTTAAGAAAGCTCCCAGGTAGGTGTTCAACATAGAGAAAGAGACAAGATTGAAACCATGATAGAGATGATTTTCATGAAGAGGATGTTAATTTATGGACAGGAAGCAAGGGGCTGAAGTAAACAGATGCTTGTTTGGATGACAATTGTTCTCAAGAATGAATACTAAAATTCATTTCTTGTATTATTTGCATAGATTATTGAATAAAGGAATTCTCTAGCATAATCTCTAAAATTATGAACTCCACCTAAATTCTGTAAGTAGCAAGTAGACAGGTGAATGAGCTAAGACTAGAGGGAGGTCTTAGGAACCTTTGTGAGCAGAGTCAAGCAAGATATATTCTCTATCAATTGCAACCCAGTAAAGGAACCTGAAATGACAGTAAAAATACTCTGAGAACACAAGCTTGACATGCACACTGAAAAGTCAATCATGTCCTCTACATCATCAAAAGTAGGAGAGGTGGGCAGCCACTGTATGAAGACTAAAACATATGGGATGGGTAAATCCTCAAAAAAGCAGAAGCTGAGCAAGAATATCATCAAATTCTATAAAGTTACCTATGGAACTGATGAAATGGGATGTTTGCTCCAAAATTACTAAAAGAGGGATGCATTTTTTGGCATGAGTAAGATAAATATTTAAAACAAATTTTTAAAAGATTTTCTATCTACACCTTTAAAAAGCGTATGAAATTGATACTATTAAATGGTCTCTTGAGGGCAAGCATTGGTCTTATTCATTGCTGTATTTTCATTTACTACTCTGGAATCTAGAAGTATTAGATGCTTTTTAAATGTTTCTTAGATGAATAGATTAAATAAATAGATAAGAAATATGAGTTTTCATAACTTAAAGTTCCAAAGTTCCTTAAAACTATCTCTGTGTATGCTTGTGTGTGTGTGTGTGAGAGAGAGAGAGAGAAAGAGAGAGAGAGAGAGAGAGAGGATGGGTATAGATTTCACAGATAGGAGAACAAGTCACTTGAAGATGGTAACTAAGTAAAATACAGTATGTTCTCATCTCATTGTGACCGTCTTGCTTCCCCAGTAAAATCTACCTATTTTATCCTCAGCTGTCTAGCCTACTCTAACCTCTAATTTATAAAATAACTGTTAGGGAATGTGATCCACCAAACCAGATATCATGGTCATTACAGCGTCCACAGATAGAGACTGGACTTTTCTTACCTCCCCAGTATTTCCATGACAGAGACCATCTATCCCACAAAGCCTAAGATATATTGACTATCTGACTCTTTCTAGTAAAAGTCTGCCAACCCCTTTTGCAATTACTCAAGTCTCCCATTGTAGCATGAAAGCAGCCACAGACAACACATAAGCAGACAGGCATGGTGGCATTTGACATATGTGAGAGCTCTGATATAGAGGAAAGGGATCTAACTCTAACTAGGGAGTTCAAAGAAGGCTGCATGGAGCAGTGATCTAGGCACGGAATCAGGAATGGTGAGTAGCAGCCAGCAAAGCAGAGGACCACAGGGTAGGGGATTGGGGCAGAAGCAACAGCACAGAAACAGAGGTGAAGGGACACTGGATGTTATTAAGTAACTTCAAGTCCTATGGTGTGGCTAGAGCATTTGCTGCCTATGGAGAGTAGCACCAGATGAGGCTGGAAAGACCTTTATTCAGTCAGGGATGTGTCCACTCTGTTCACACCCTATCCCTCGTGCCTGGCTCAAAGCCTCTCAAGTGACAGAGGCTCCATAAATGTTAGTTCACTCTGAATGAATGAATGGTCTGCAGGGTCCAGATCAAGAAGTTGCTGTAAGTTATTTTGAGACACAAAAAAGAGAAAGCTGAGTGATAAGTTGGGCAAACATTAGGACACTGCCACTTATGACCTGTTACCACGGGCAATTTCCTTGATGTCTCTGGGTCTCTAAACCTCCATTATAGTGAATGTAAAACTGAAATAGTCGCGCTTACCTCATAGTATTGTTGCAAGGATTAAACACAGTGTGGTTTACATAAACTTCAGGGTACAAGGCCTGGCACCTAGAGGCATTCAATAAACGGCAGCAATTATTGTGAGTCTGTTTCACTGCTGAGTTTGGCAGCATCTCAATGTTTGATATTATATCTATTTTGGCAAGGAAAACTGAAACAGAGCTGAAGACCATGATGGTGAAAGCAGTGCGCTAAGATTCTGTTCTGGTTTCGGCTGGGATTGTTTGTTCAGCCCCAACAGCTAGTGCCGAGTCCCCCTTTGGGACACTGAGAACTCACCAGCCACACAGTAACCAAAAGGAAGGCAGAAACCTGAGCAGCCAGGCGGGAGGCAGAGGCGGCCTTTGTGGAGAAAACATTTGTTCCCCTTAAAGAAATAGGATGTTTGAAAAGAAAACATGCAACTTTGGAGACACAGACTCCAGCACATACATTTCAGTGACCACTCCCTCCAGATGGGCTTGAGGAACAAGCCAGCTACACGATATATCCTTTGCCAAGAACAAAACTCACTATAGAGAATGCTGTGTTCTCACATAAAATAATTTTTGTGTTATATTAAACTAGAGTCCAATTGCCATTTTCCAGAAAGCAGGCAACCACTTTAATTCCCTAAGTTTATGATGCAAGTAAAACTCACAATATCCACCATCAGTTTGTGGTTCTGAGTGTTGTTTATTATGCTTAGAAAGAATGCCCTGGAGTTTTCTCAAGCTTTGGAAAGGCAGAAGAAAATGAGTTAAATTAAACTGGTCTAGACCCGAATTGGGCAAACTCTTGGCAAAGAAACGATCTACATCCAGACTTAACTTGAGAAGCCTTACTCCGTAGGGAGCCTGGAATAACAGTCCCAAAGAGGAGACAAACGACAATGTGAGAAAAGCCAAATCTAAAAAGCACAGTTAATGAGACCACGAAAGACTTCCTGGGTCATCTTGTCAACCCTCCTGCAAAGCTTCCCCTCTGTGAAGTAACTTTTCTCCAACAACCACTCAAGGTGTTCTGATGACCATCTTTTTGTCCCCCATGGCTTGCCTCATTGATATTAGTGACATTTAATCAAACGAATCAGCTTCCTATGTAAAATATAATTTATTATTTGAAGCTGGTATTAATGGCTTGTCTTAAAAGTATTGGGAGATAATACTTTGTTTTTTTGTGTGTGTTAACCTTACTCATATATATTTTGTCTTTTGTTCAAACTCTCAAGAAGATTCTTTACCTTGCATTATTATTTAAACTTTTCATCAATAATACAAAATTTTAGAGATCTAAGAATTTAGGAAATATTTAATGCTCTTAAAATATAAATCTATACAGTAGTCCCTCCTTATTCACAGAGGATACCTTCCAAGACCCCTGGTGGATGCCTGAAACGCAAATGGTACCAAACTCGATTGCTGTCAATCAGATCATATTCCTGTTCATATCTTCCACCCACGAATTCAATGCTTTTTCCATCTTAACTAGACACTGAACACATGCTGAGCTGTAATTTTTGCAGTCTGAGATGTGATGGCAAAACTCACATTAATTTCTTTTTTTCTTCACAATTTCACAAATAGAAGATTATTTCTTACCGCGTATCTTAGCAGCCTCAACATACAATTCTTTTCTTCCTTATTAAGTTGAGAACTTTCACTTTTTCACTTAAAGAAGACACTTTAAGGCTTTTCTTTGGCATATCCAAATTGCCAGTATCACTATTTTCATGTTTTCAGGCCATTATTTAGTCAAATAAGGGTTCCTTGAACACAAGCATAAGACACCGCCACAGTCCACCTCATAACCAAGATGGCTACAAAGCTGCTGCCCAGAGGGGAGCGTGTACAGCACAGAGATGCCGCACACAGCAAGGATTCACATCTCAGGGGCGGAACCAGGTGGCTCAAGATTTCATCACACCACTCAGAACGGCATGCAATTGAATTATTTATTTATGAATTATTTATTTCTGGAATTTTCAATTTAATACTTCAGGCCGCAGTTGACTGCAGGTAACTGAAACTGCAGATAAAGGGGGACAACTATCTGTGCATATACGTGTACATGTTGTTAATTTTTTGTATTTTTTGAAGGTCACAAGATATATAACTTTTCCTTTGGTTATTTTCATACTTACAGGAGATTAAGAGTTTTATAGACCTCTGGTGTTCAAATCAGTTTTGCCCTTTTTTGTGGGTATTTCCTTTAGCTATACTGTGGACAGCTATGTCCCACTACATACCTGAAAGAAATTCCACAGCACTGATTCCCAATGCAATATCCTAGAATAGAGCAACAAGAAGACCCATAAAAATGATTTGCTTATACTATTTATAAATTAAATCTGCTTGGTAATAAATTGGCTAGGTGCAAGTCAGACATCTGCACATGTTCCTTTCAGAGAGCAGTTATGATCGTAAAGCATGAACAGCTCTCGAGCTGTCTGCCTTCTCCAAAACCTCTTACTTTTCTTCATGAGCTATTCTTGCCCAGTTTGTTCTCATTATAAAGGTAGTTCCCATTTGAGAGACAGTATTGCATCACGGTTAAACACGTAGACTCTAGAGCTGTTCTGAGTTCAAATTCCTGGTCTGCACCTTACTAGCTGTGTGTCCCTGAAACCGCCTTTGCAAAGATTATAACTGAGGAAATTATGACAGTGAAAGATATCAGAACTAACCGACTCCATCTTGCTTCTAACTTTTAAGCTGTCCTTGTTCCTTCCTGGGTGCAGGCTGAACTAACCTGGGGAAGGAATGTAGTTTATGGTTTGACTCTGAAACAAAACTGATAATAGCCCTTTCCCAAAAAGACCCCCTTCTTGCCTTGGGACCAGTCTGCCTTCACAGGACTAACAAATTAGCTACAAGAATAGAAATTATGGTTTACGGGTCATGTAGCCTCTGGCTGCAAAAGTCTGAACCTTCCCAAATTGCTCCTGGGGGTAACATCACTATTGTAAAACCCGAGATCAGTGCTTGAGATATTTTGCAGACCCCGCACTCAATGCACCAGCTGACACCACCCAGACCAGTAATCTGACTCAACCAGTTCTGCCATCCCACCAGGAACAGAAGACACCAAGAAAACCTCACTGCGACCCCCTATAATTCCATCTCCAACCTCACCAATCAGCACTCCCTACTTTCCAAGCCCCTATCCGCCAAAAAATTGAAGAGAATTTTTTAAATCTTAATATTATTTCTCTATTCTTTTTCCAATTTGTATTATAATTTTATATGTGTCATTTCTTTCCATCTTGAATGGATTAACTATTATCTATCATATGTTCATATGTATTCTATTTTATTTCTGTTAATTTCTAATATTAAGTATTTTGGATTTTTGTCAAACTTCTGAAGTGTAATGTTTAGTAATATGTTTGCAAGACTTTTCTTCACCATTAATGTAATTGTTTCACTCTATGGATTTTTCTTTTCTTTAAATTCTCTTTAAAAACTCTGATCCCAGAATGCTCAGGGAGACTGATTTAAGTAATAATAAAACTCCAGTCTCCCAAACAGCCAGCTCTGCGTGAATTACTCTCTCTCCATTACAATTCCCGTGTCTTGATAAATTGGTTCTGTCTAGGCAACGGGCAAGGTGAAACTGTTGGGAGGTTACATCCCTAGGCAAGTCTTTAGCCTTTCTATGGCACAATTACCTCATTTGTAAGGAGAGGGCAGTAGTTGTAACTACCTCATATTTATGAAATCCCTCAAAAATTTTGTGTTCCATAGTTAGTGTTCACTGACTATTAGGTAGGATTTATTCTCCCTTCATCGTCTGTTACCAACCTTTCCATGAAATCCTTATTCTACAAGTTTCTAAGAATGGACCTATCAATAATCTATATTAATATTAATCAATATTATGATCCAGAAATACTATCTTCCTATAGACCAACACTTAAAGACCCACTGCCCCAGTGTTCAGTGATGATTTGGAAACCAGCACTATCACTACCAGGTGACGGTGCCATCATTGCCCTAGTATAATAACCATAGAGAGATCATCACAGAACAATATCTGTCTTTGTAAAACCTCAGTGTTTATTTGGTGAGGTCACTGAGGTAAGTCTAGGTAAAAACATGACATCAAAATTTCCTGTGTAATCTACATTTTTATAATGCTCAATTTACACACACACACACACACACACATTACTCCGAGACTATAAATATTTCAACAACTGTTTCACAAAAGTTCACATTCGCATAGGGTTTTATATAGGAACAACAGCTTTAATTTTTTTAGCATAGTCTTTTTGGTTCTTGGTGATTTCCCAAAGTTTGAAATCGTATAAAAACCAGTCTCTGTGTATGTGTTGTTCATTCTGTATTACCTGATTTTTTCAGTCACTTTCTTTATCATTACTTGGTCATCTTGGTCACATTTACCTTCTTTCCTAAACAATCATAGCATAGAACCACAGTTTTACATTCTTTTTGCAGGTTTAATTAAAATGTATTTCTTAAAGGAATGCTTTATTCCTTCGAAAGTGTTGATTTAGTTCATTTATTTTTTAAAACTAAAATTGAATTTTTATTTTTAGGACATCAATACTTTATTCCTCAGACTCAGTGGGTATAAGAGTTCCTGAGGGGCCGGGCGCGGTGGCTCACGCCTGTAATCCCAGCACTTTGGGAGGCCGAGGCGGGCGGATCACGAGGTCAGGAAATCGAGACCATCCTGGCTAACACGGTGAAACCCCGTCTCTACTAAAAATACAAAAAATTAGCCGGGCGTGGTAGCGGGCGCCTGTAGTCCCAGCTACTCGGGAGGCTGAGGCAGGAGAATGGCGTGAACCCGGGAGGCGGAGCTTGCAGTGAGCCGAGATCGCGCCACTGCACTTCAGCCTGGGCGACAGAGCGAGACTCCATCTCAAAAAAAAAAAAAAAAAAAAAAGAGTTCCTGAGGATATTTTATTTTAGCATTCTTTAACATTTATGTTTAATTAAATGAATAATACATGAAAATATGTTTTGAAAGTCTTTACCTTATACTTCTAAATGACTTTTTTATTATTCCAAAGTATGAATAAATCATGTGTTTAATTATTTCCTCATTGATGAACATTTTGTTCTTTCAATTTTTAAAATCTGTGAGCAACAAGGCTTCAACAACCATTTGTATACATATCTTTTTTCAAATATGAAAGTTTCTTTGTAAGATAGATCTAAGAAGTAATGTTTCTGGCTTAAGGGGTATATGCATTTTCAAACTGTAGTGAGAAATGTCTAAGATGGACCTGATTACATAAATAGTAAAATTTTCTAACTGGAAAAATACCATAAGGTATTATAAAGAAAGTAAGCTTCTTTTCCAATTTAATAAGAGTTTTATCAGAAATGGGTGTTGGATTTTATTAGTTTTTTCACTCACCACCTGAGAAAATGATCATTTCTTCTTCTTTACCATGATTATGATGTTATATTAACAATATCTTATTTGTTGGTGATAGATTATTATTGGATGTTATTTTTCAATTTTTTATTTAGGATGTTTTCACAAATATTCATAAAAGATCTGATCTTTGATTTTCTGTATTTGTATCCTTTTGTTCAGGTTTTAGTATCATGGCTATGCCAACTTCCATTGTGAAAAGAATTCAGAGCTCTCTGTTTTAGAAAAGTTTAAACAAGGTTGGAGTGTACATTCATAGCGCCTCCATCCATTAAACAATTTTATTCTGATGCCTTCAGGGAAGGGATTGTACTCCACACACATTCTGCTTTTCTTCCTAGGTAATTTTCATTATTAAATATTTCTGCCTTTTATGGGAGTTGGTCTTGGTGACTTCAGTTTCTTGGAAAATCAATCATTTCCTCCAGGTTTTCAAATATATTTGCATAGTGCTAAAGAATTTTTTAAAACTTAATATTATTTCTCTATTCTTTTTCCAATTTGTATTATAATTTTATATGTCATTTCTTTCCATCTTGAATGGATTCACTATTATCTATCATATGTTCATGTGTATTCTATTTTATTTCTGTTAATTTCTAATATTAAGTATTTTGGATTTTTGTCAAACTTCTGAAGTGTAATGTTTAGTAATGTGTTTGCAAGACTTTTCTTCACCATTAATGTAATTGTTTAACTCTATGGATTTTTCTTTTCTTTTCTTTTCTTTTTTTGTTTTGAGACAGAGTTTCGCTCTTGTCGCCCAGGCTGGAGTGCAATGGCACGATCTCGGCTCACCACAACCTCCACCTCCCGGATTCAAGTGATTCTCCTGCCTCAGCAGCCTCCCAAGAAGCTGGGATTACAGGCGCCTGCCACCACACCCAGCTAATTTTTGTATTTTTAGTAGAGGCAGGGTATCGCCATGTTGGCCAGGCTGGTCTTGAACTCCTGACCTCGGGTGATCCACCCACCTCGGCCTCCTAAAGTGCTGGGATTACAAGTGTGAGCCACTGCGTCCAGCCCAACTCTATGGATTTTTCTTTGAGCACTATATTATGCAGAGTCTTCATTTTTGCTATTTTAAATATATTTTGAAATTTTGTTCTTGATTTAATAAAACTCAAACGGTGTAAAGCAGAATTTTTACATTGACAGGTGGTGAGACTTTTGGAACTATACTACTTATTTCTGTTTTTTTTTTTTTTATTGAGAGAAGGGAATATATTTGAATGTATTCTATACAACTTTTGCTATTTTAGAATGTATTGATTATCTTTTGAAGTCTAATATGTGGTAAGTAACATTTATAAATGTTTCATGTATATTTCCATAGAAAATGTGTGCTTGTGTGTGTGTATGCGTGTGTGTGAAAAAGAGAAAGAGATCTCTTATAGTAATTATTTAGTTCCTGAGCTATCCTTAATTCCTTTTTCCTTCCAATCTACTAAGAGATTTGCATTAAAGCCTCCAGATTTCAGTTGACAATACTGTATGTTATTAATTTCTCCTCGACAGGAATCCTTCATTTCATTTTGCACTTGTCCCTGAAAATAATGTAGCTGATCCTCCTACCTTACAATATATATAAACACACACACACACACACAATATACCTCAGACTGGAATTGCCAGCTCATAAGGTTAAGTATATACTCAGCTCTGATAAGTACTACCAAACCGTTTTCAATGAAGTTTTACTAATTTATAATCCTTCCTGGAATATACGAGAATTCCAGTTGACACTCTGAATTTTCTGTCTTTTAATTTTATTCATTCTGATTAATTAATTTGCATTTCGCTGATGACTAAGAGAGTTGAGCATCTTTTCATATGTTTATTAGCAATTTGGATGTCCTTTTTCATGAAGTGCCCACTTTATGATTTGGCCCACTTTCTATTGTGTTGCCTGTCTTCTGTTTCTTTCATATTATTTGTAGAAGTTCACAATATAGGGCCGGGCGCGGTGAGTCACGCCTATAATCCCAGCACTTTGGGAGGCCGAGGCGGGCGGATCACGAGGCCAGGAGATCGAGACCATCCTGACTAACATGGTGAAACCCCGCCTCTACTAAAAATATAAAAAATTAGCCCGGCGTGGTGGCGGGTGCCTGTAGTCCCAGCTGCTCGGGAGGCTGAGGCAGGAGAATGGCGTGAACCCGCGAGGCGGAGCTTGCAGTGAGATCATGCCGCTGCACTCCAGCCTGGGCGACAGAGCGAGACTCCATCTAAAAAAAAAAAAAAAAAAAAAGTTCATAATACAGTCGGATACAATTTTTAGTCAGCTTTGTGTGTTTGTGTGTCTGTGTGTGTGTGTGTGTGTGTGTAGTATTTGCCTTTTAAAACTATGTCCGTAGATAATTTTGATAACAAAATGACCTAAAAATAAAAGGTACAAAGAGAGAAAAATAATTCAGGAATGGGCAAGCCTTGGTATGAGCACTGAATACTTTCAAAGAAAAGTTATGGGTATGGATACAGAGCAGAAAACTATATGTGATACCCCCACATAGTTTAAAGAGAAGTACTTGGAATTTCAGTTCTTTTTCTTTTAATAAAGTTACAATTTCGTTGGGTTGCATCTATTATCTTAATAATTTTTTTCTCATTTCACCCACCTGTTTTGTGTTTCTTTAGTCTCCTATCTCGTATTCCTTGGATTAATTAAACTTTTCTTTCCATTTATTTCATATGTTAACTTGTTAAGTATATATGATTTTACTATTATATTATGTTAGATATTACAACAGACATCCTTGACTTACTATAGTCTGATTTTTTTTAATTTTGCCATTTTCCTGGTATTACTAGAAATTTAGAACACCTTGACCCTGTATACCCCTTAGCATTATCGTGACAGTATTTTATTATACATATTTTAAACTCCACAATACATTAATATTACTATTATTGTTTTCTATGGTTAATAGGTATTTAATATTTATTTCTCTTATATGCCTATTTATTTTTTCAATTGTTCTTCCTTTTTGCATTTTTAAAATGTCCCTCTATGATTATTATCTTTCTGTCTGAAGAGTTCCCTATAATTTAGGTCTTCTATAAACAAGTTCTCAATTTTTTCTGAGAATATCTTTGTTTCATCTTTATAAAGTTATTTTTGCTGAGAATGTAAATAACCTCTGGAAGTTATTTTCTTCCAGTACTTTAAGAATGTCATTTTGTTGTGTTCTAGCTCACATTATTTCTGTTGCAAAGTCAGTGGTAAGTCTTACTGTTGCTCCTTCTTATTCCTTACTCCTAGACGTCATCTCCAAAAACGCCAGTTTCTCCGCAACTGATCATAGCCTCATGAACCTCCTTGCTTTGTCACTTCTTGAACCCCACTCCTAGCAAACATTTTCTGGAAAAGGTAAATCTCTGTCAAAAAGCATTGCCATGTCAGCTACTTAAGAAGGCATAATTGTTCCCATAGCATTGTACACGTTTCATCTCCTTTGAATTAATCTTTATTGTACTCTTCCTTTGCACAATTAAGGGACTCTCTTTTTCTTGAATTTGAACAGTACTTTGGAGTTGATTAATGTTTATTTTATTTAAGACAAGGTAAGTGCTTTCCTTCTAAGTATCACTGATTTTTAAATATCTAAGAACATTTTAACTACATTATTGAGTATTGATTCTATTTTTATTCTTTAATTTAAAAACTTTTTCTTTAATATATGACCTCTAATGTCTTCTCATCTGTCCTTGCTTTTTCCACATTCTGTGTTTTTCTAATGCTTAATTTCAAATTTTCATTGGCAGAATTTAATCTCTTCTGTCCATTTTTATAGCTATATTTTATATTCCTCCTTGAAATGGTCAACAATTATTATCACAAAACTTAATATATATGGTGTATTTTAGAGTATAGTTATATTATTTCCACATAATTTCTTTATACTTTACAACTTTCCTAATAGAATTATATAATTAATGTCTGTACACTTTCCCTTACTTTTCATGTTTCCTGGTAATTTACTAACCATTAGAGACCTAGCCTCATGAGAGCCAATTTTTAAAATCAGGTTATAAATTTATATAATAAAATTCACAGTTTTGACAAATGTAGACACTCATGTAACCAGCAACCCAATTGAGATATAAAATACTTATTGCTGCGAGCCTAGAAGGTTTCCTTCTGCTACTTTCCAATCAATCCTTTCCTTACCAGAAGCAACTACTATTCTGAATTATATCTCCATAGATTCATTTTTGCATGTTCTTGAACTTGATATAAATAAAATCATATTATATTTATACATTTTATTTGGCTTTTTTCACTCAAAATGCTTCTGTAATTGATATTGTATTAATAATTCATCCCTTTTTCCTGCTGAGTAGTACTCTATTGTATGAATCTATCACAGTGTATCTTTCCAGTTTCCTACTGATAGATATTTGTGTCGTTTTTGAAGTTCAAATTAGATTTTACTGCTCTTTTCTAATATTTTTTCCTTCAATGGGAAGAGAGGCAAGATATGCCAAAATGTGTACTAAACTTTGGAGTATTTTTGAATCTTGCCATTTGCTTAAGAAAGCTTTATATGTTTTTTTGTTTTCCTCTTTTGACAATTTCAGGGACGTTTATAATTTAAAAGTGATTGAGAATCTCCAGTAATTTCCCTTACTCTGTGATCTTATCTGAACAATTAGGGTCAAGTGAATTAAATACATCTTAAAGAAGCACTAAGAACTTCAGAACGTGCAATTTTTAAATGTAGAAAAAATGTTAACTAAGAATAATTGAAACAAAATTGCAGAATTAACTACATACAAGTATTATTTGGCCTGTTTCGTGGTAAAATTTGGACACAATAAAACTCACCAATTTAAATGCACAGTTTGGTGAATTTGGGTAGTAGTATACAGGCCATGTAACCACCAGCAAAATAAGATGTAAAATAGAATACCTCACACAAAAAACATTGCTTGTGCCCCTTTGCAGTCGAGCCAGTTCCCCAAACTCCAGCCCCAGGCATCTACTGATGGGCCTTCTGTCACTACAGTTCAGTTTTTTCTAGAATTTTATATAAATGGAATCATGCAGGATGCAGTACTATTATGCTTGCTATCTATCAGTTAGCATGTTTTTTGTAACTTTATTGTGGCATATTTTATATATCATAAAATTCACCCATTTTAAGTGTATTCAATGATTTTAATAAATATACTGAGTTGTGCAACCACTACCATAAATAAGTTGTTGAATACTTTCATCACCCCAGTAAGATCCTCTAGGCTCATTTACTATGCATCCCATTCATCCCACTCTCTGCCCCAAGCACCCACGAATCTTTCTATTTCTACATATTTCTGTTTTGTGGAGATATTATGTAAATCAAATCATACAATATGCGGTATCTCATATTTGGCTCCTTTTCCTTAACATAATGCTTCTAAGATTCATCCATGCTGTTAAGTATATTAATATTTTGCTCCTTGTTATCACTCACTTTTCATGCATTGTATCAAAGTGGATGGTGTTATTTAACTTGCTTATCCATTTATGTTTTGATAGACATTTGGGTTATTTCTAGTTTGAGGCTATTTCTCAATAATGTTCCTATGAACACTTTCATACAAGCCTGTGTATGAAACATGTTTTTATTTTGGGGGATTGAATACCTTGGAGTGAGACTGCTGGGCCACATGGTAAGTGCTTGTATAACTTCATAATATACTGTCCTGATGGTTTCAAAAGTAGTTGTGCAATTTTGCATTCTTCCAGCAATATGTAAAAGTTCCAATAGCCTAACATTGTTATCAACACTTAGTATTGTCAGGTTTTAACCTTTAGCCATTCCAGTGGGTGTGCAGTGGGTTCTAGCTATAGATAGAGATCTATATCAATGTAATTTCAAGCAACATCCTAGACAACTTTTTAAAAGAAATTGACGAGCTGATTATAAAATTTATATTGAAAGACAAAGGCACTGGAAAAGCCAAAACAATCTTGAAAAAGAAGGATAAAGTTGAAAGACTTACATGAAAGTCATGATTTCATGACTTACTATACAACTATTATATACAGGACAGTGTGGTGTTGGCTTAAGGATAGATCAGTGAAGCAAAATAGAGAGCCAGAAAATAGATCCATATATATGGTTGTTGATTTTCCACATTAATTTTAATATTCATTCATTCAACAAATACTTATTGGGCACCTACTATATGCCAAGCACTGTGATAGGCACTGGGGATTTGGCCATTAACAAAGCACTCAAAAGTTTCTATCCTCATGTAACTTTTATTCCAGTTGGGGGATAAAAGTAAATAAATAAAAAATATGAGAGCCGGGCACAGTGTGGTTCACCCTTGTAGTCCCAGGTATTTGGGAGGCTGAGGTGGGAGGATCACTTGAGTCTGGGAGCTCAAGCTGCAGTGCCCCATTATTGCACCATTGCACTACAGCCTGGGTGGCAGAGCAAGATCCTGACTCTAAAAAATAATAATAAATAAGAAAAAATATTAGATAATTATAAATCTTTTGGAGCAAATAAAGAAGAAAATGTGGATAGGGAGTGATAGGCATCTGTTTTAAATTTTGTGCTCAAGCCTTCTCAATAACCACAGGGAAAATCCTTCTAGGGAGAGGAAGCAGAGCTGCAGAAGCCCTCAGGTAGGCCTTGAAGGGGTGAGTGCAGTGATGGTGAGCCAGAGGCAGAGGCCTCAGCTCAGGGACATAGCCTGGGCCAGATCACACAGGATCTTACTGGGATTGTAAGGAATTTGGCTTTGACTCTGCCTGAGATAGGAAGCCACTGAAGGGTTTTGAGTGGAGAGGTGACATTATATGATTAAATCTTTCAAATAATTACTGTGGCTGATTGATGAGAATGGTGGTCCAAGATAGAAGAAGGGAAGGCCAGGGTGGACATGGGATGTGTGGCCTAATCAAAGATTAATCTGGCAGTCATGAGAGACCCCGCAGAGAGATGATAGAGTGAATATTAGAAAAAAGAAAAAAAAGATGATAACAAAAGGAACAGATAAGCAGCATCTAAAGAGAGATGAGATAAACTGTGATCACAGTATCTAAAAAACTAGAAGAGGATAAGAGAGGATTGATCATCAGAACACAGATGTGAGATGCATAGTATCAATTGCTTCAGAGAGGACAAGAGGTCTCAGGCTGAGAAAAGATCTGTGAAGTTTATGCATAAGGAGTTATTTGGTGAATTTTCATAGCACATAGCACTGGGACTGTAGTGACTTCAGAACACATGGAGGCACAGCACAGACCACCTGTTTAAGAAATTTTCCAGTGGAAAGAAGGACAATAGTATAAGTTAGAGGACAATGGGAGGAAATGAAGGTTGGTTTCAGGATAAGCTTGACCACAAATATCTATGGGCTGCAAAGAAAGACCTGATGGGCTGGGAGTAACTGAGGACGGCAAAGAGAAGGCAAAAGTTTGAGAAAATGGTGGGATCAGGAGGAGTGTAGAGGAGTTGCTAGAGATCAATTCCTAGAGTCTCCAATTCTGGAAGTTGCCTTGAAGGTGCTGTTTCTTTTTATATATTTGCAACGTTTGTTTTGCCCTCCTGAAATACTGCATTCACAAAAGCACCAATTCTGTCCAAACTTCCCCCAGGTCACATTAAGTCACTTCAATTAGGTTTCCCCATCTTCCTTACTCTTAACTTCAAGCTCTTGTTCTCTTTGGGAATCTAAATATGACCCCCCAATTTCAGGAAGATATGAGTCAGCCTTGTAGAAAGCATCTATTAGATGTTGCCTGGCTGAGATTCTCTCTGTGCCTCTGTGCCAGGCACTGTAACTTGGTGCAGTGAGCAGTCTGAGCCTGGCTTTGTTGGAATGACTTGGCGGTGATCCACTGGAGGTGCTGTTTTGCTCCCTGACACACAACATCTGGGCCTTGCCATACAGAACAGCCTGGTTTCTAAGTAGGAGGTAGGCAGGATCAACTCAGCAAGACTTGGGAATTTCACCCCCTACATACACATCCTTCTTTAATTTTTCCTTAAAAGGCTCACACCCAGTTTCATTTTCACACACAAAGAGGTCCTTTGTATTTCATTATGACCAAGTCACAAAAGTAAATGTTTTCCTTTAAAAAGAAAGTGGGTGTGGATGATGGTTGCTTGTGTGGAATGTGAATAAAGACTATCCCCTCAGCAAGCTGAACTCCAAAGAAAAATAGAATTATATTGAGCTTCCAGTCTGGCAACAATGCTTTTATTTTAATTATTTGTTTGCTATTTTCTTTTTTTCTACTCTTTAAGGAATTTTGAAAAAGAATTAAATTTAACCATATTGAGTTAAAAGAACTCTTAAGTCTCTGAACTGAGTTACAATGCTGAATAGAAGCAAATTGTCCTCCATTCTCCTTTATTTCAAAAGTGGACACTCAACTGAAATTTTAAAATATGGTTTAATGTCAGTATAATATGTGGAGTATATTCTTATTTTCTACATGGGAACTAGAAGCAAGTGACCTAATTAGGTACAGCTCAGTGGGATTAAGCAGATTGGCTCATACAGCTAAAATATACTCTGGTTTTCTTTCCATCACTGCTCCTTTCTGGCTGACCACATGAAGCGTTAGGACTCTACCTTTGCAAATTTTGAAGTAGACAAATATGTGGTGTGAACTAACTCAGCATGTACTTTTTACATTCTTCAACATAGCCAAGGATGTTTTCACGTGCGACCATGTGAAGAGACCACCAAACAGGCTTTGTGTGAGCAATAAAGCTTTTTAATCACCTGGGTGCAGGCGGGCTGAGTCCAAAAAGTGAGTCAACAAAGGGAGATGGGGTGGGGCCATTTTATAGGATTTGGGTGGGTGGTGGAAAATTACAGTCAAACAGGGTTTTTCTCTTAGTGGCAGGGGCGGGGGTCACAAGATGCTCAATGGGGGAGGTTCTGAGCCAGGAGAAGGAATTTCACAAGGTAATGGCTCAGTTAAGGTGGGGCAGGAACAAATCACAATGGTGGATTGTCATCAGTTAAGGCAGGAACCAGCCATTTTCACTTCTTTTGTGATTCTTCACTTGCTTCAGGCCATCTGGATGTGTACGTGCAGGTCACAGGGGATATGATGGCTTAGCTTGGACTCAGAGGCCTGACATTCCTGTCTTCTTATATTAATAAGAAAAATAACATAAAATACCATTGAAGTGTTGGGGCAGTGAAAATTTTGGGGGGTGGTATGGAGAGATAATGGGCGATGTTTCTCAGGGCTGCTTCGAGTGGGATTAGGGGCAGCATGGGAACCTAGAGTGGGAGAGATTAAACTAAAGAAAGATTTTGGGGTAAGGGGTGATATTGTGGGGTTATTAGAAGGATCATTTGTTGTACAGAATGATTGGTGATGGCCTGGATGTGGTTTTTTATGAATTGAGAAACTAAACGGAAGACACAAGGTCCAAATAAGAGAAGGAGAAAAACAGGTATTGAAGGACTAAGAATTGGGAGGATCTAGGACATCCAATTAGAGAGTGCCCAAGGGGGTTCAGCATAATTATTTGCTTGGTTGGTGAGTTTTTGGGCTCTATCCTTGAGTTCTTTTATGTTGTCATATAGCAGAAAAACAACACTCTTCATTTAAAAATATACAGTGTTTTTTTGTTTTTTTGTTTTGTTTTGTTTTGTTTTGTTTTGTTTGCAGTGAGTAAGTTGAGGCCTCGGCGATTTTGGAGAAAAGAGAAATGCAAAGCCAAATTGTTTATTAAAGAAGTATTAGAAATGGCTAGGAGAGAGTGAGAGAGATTGATAGTGTGGTGGAGATAGCTGGGGAGAGGTAGAGGATGGCATAAGAACAGGAACAAGAATAAGAGTGAGTATAAAAGTTAAGAATAGGACTTCACCAGCGTGAAAGTATTGGAGTGTACCCTGTCAGCAAAGATTATCTGTCCACTTTAAGAGAGACTTAAGGGTGGCGGTTTTAGGTAAAACCAGGAGATATCAGTTATGATGGTTTGAAGGAAAGTGTAAACCAGCAGTGTAAACAAGGGCAGGGTATTTATGAGTAGTTTTGAATGGTGAATAGGAGTATGACTGGACAGAAGATAGTAGGGATGACAAGTTTTTGGGGTGCAGTTCAAGTTGGGCTGGTGTCTGGAATGAGAGTGGGGCCTAATAAAAAGGAGTGTCCATACATGAGCTCAAATGGGCTGTACCCTGTAGCAATCCGAGGACAGGCCCGAATTCTGAGAAGGGCAAGTGGTAAAAGTACTGTCCAGTCCTTTTTAAGTTGGAGGCTGAGCTTGGTGAGGTGTACCTTTAAAAGACCATTAGTCTGTTTTACTTTTCCTGAAGATTGAGGACGGTAAGGGGTATGAAGGTTCCACTGAATACCAAGAGCCTGAGAAATTGCTTGTGTGATTTGACTAGTAAAGGCCAGTCTATTATTGGACTGTATAGAGGTGGGAAGGCCAAACCAAGGAATTATGTCTGACAGAACGGAAGAAATGATCGTGGTGGCCTTCTCAGACCCTGTGGGAAAGGCCTCTAACCATCCAGTGAAAGTGTCTACCCAGACCAAGAGATATTTTAGTTTCCGGACTTGGGGCATGTGAGTAAAGTCAATTTGTCAGTCCTTGGCAGAGGCAAATCCCTGAGCTTGATGTGTAGGGAAGCGAGAGGGCCTGAACAATCCCTGGAGAAGTAGTAGAATAGCAGATGGAACACCGAGAAGTGATTTCCTTAAGAATAGATTTCCATGATGGAAAGGAAATGAGAGGTGCTAAGAGACGGGCTAGCGGCTTGTAACCTACATGGAAGAGGTTACGAAATATCGACAGAACAGAATGGGCCTGTGAGGCTGGAAGGAGATATTTTCATTGGTCCAAGAACCATTTGCCTTGTGTGGGAAGAGATTGATAGGTGGAAGTTTCAGTGGGAAAGTAGGTGGGAGTGACCAATGAGAAGGAGAAAAACTGGCTGTGAGGGACAGAAGTTGGAACGCTAGCTGCTTTTTAGCTACCTTACCAGCATAAGCATTGCCCTGAGTGATGGGATCTGATGCCTTTTGATGGCCTTTACAGTGAATGACTCCAGCTTCCTTTGGAAGTGGCCTTGAGAAGAGTTTTCATTAAAGAGGCTTTAATGATGGAGGACACTTGTGTAATGAGGAAACCTCTTTTTGCCCATATTAACAGCATACTGGTGCAGGATATAGAAGGCATATTTAGAGTCAGTATAAATATTGACATGTAGTCTCTTTGCAAGAGTGAAGGCCCGAGTTAAGGCAATGAGTTCAGCTTGCTGAGAGGTAGTGGAGGAGGGGGCAGAGCAGTAGCCTCAGTGATACATGTGGAAGGTACTATAGCATAGCCTGTCTTTGCTGGTGAGTGGCAATTAGGCCTGGTGGAACTGCCATCAATAAACCAAGTGTGATTAGGGTGAGGAACAGGAAAGAAGGAAATATGGGGAAATGGAGTGAATGTCAGGTGGATCAGAGACATATAGTCATGGGGGTCAGGTATGGTATCCGGAATAATGTGGGAGACCAGATTGAAGTCCGGGCCAGGAACAATGGTAATTGTGGTAGACTCAACAAAGAGTGAGTATAGCTGAAGGAGCCGGGGAGCAGAAAGTATATGCGTCAGGTGTGAGGAAGAAAATAGATTTTGGAAGTTATGAGAACTGTACAGAGTGAGTTGAGCATAGTTTGTGATTTTGAGGGCCTCTAAAAGTATTAAAGCACCGGCAGCTGCCACACACAGACATGAGGGCTAGGCTAAAAGTGTAAGGTCAAGTTGTTTGGACAGAAAGGCCACAGGGCTGGTAAGAATTCCGACCAGACAGCCCTGCACTTTGGCTGTGTGTAATGAAAAAGGTTGGGATGAGTTAGGGAGAGCTAGTGTGGGAGCAGCTTTTAGGACTGTTTTTTAAGGAATGGAAAGGGGAATGGCGAAAGGATTTACGGGGTCAGCTAGGTTTATCTAGAACAGAATAATGGGCTGTGGAGGGAGGTATTGAGGATAGGACAGTATATGGGTTTGGCACCATGGGGTGGATAGGCAAAACAATTTGGTTGATAAGGCGCAGATCCTGAACTAACCTGTAAGGCTTGTCTGGTTTTAGGACAGGTGAAATGGGGGAATTGTAAGGAGGGTTTATAGGCTTTAAAAGGCCATGCTGTAACAGGCGAGTGATAACAGGCTTTAATTCTTTTAAAGCGTGCTATAGGGTGGGATATTGGCGATGTCGAGCGTGGTAAGGGTGATTAGGTTTTAATGGGATGGTAAGGGGTGCACGATTGGTTGCCAAGGAGGGAGTAGAGGTGTCCTATACTTGTGGATTAAGGTGGGGAGATACAAGGGGAGGATGTGAAGGAGGCTTTGAACTGGGGAAAAGGGCAGCAATGAGGTGTGGCTGTAGCCTAGGAATAGTCAGGGAAGCAGATAATTTAGTTAAAATGTCTCAGCCTAATAAGGGAACTGGGCAGGTGGGGATAACTAAAAAGGAGTGCATAAAAGAATACTGTCCAAGTTGGCACCAGAGTTGGGGAGTTTTAAGAGGTTTAGAAGCCTGGCCATCAATACACACAACAGTTATGGAGGCAAGGGAAACAGCCCCTGGAAAAGAAGGTAATTTGGAGTGGGTAGGTTCCATATTGATTAAGAAGGGGATGGACTTATCCTCCACTGTTAAGAGTTACCCAAAGCGTCTGTGATGGTCCAGGAGGATTCCGAAGCAATCAGGCAGAGTCAGTCTTCAGCCGCTAAGCCGAGAAGATCTGGGAAGGAGTCAGAGCCTTGGGCCAGTTGGACAGTCCAATTTCCAGTGGGATCCCACACAGATGGGACATGGCTTAGGAGGAATCCTGGGCTGCAGGCATCCCTTGGCCCAGTGGCCAGATTTCTGGCACTTGAAGCAAGATCCTGGGGGAGGAAGTCCTGAAGGAACACCTGACCGCTGTGGTTTAGGCATTTTGAAGTTCTTTTGTGCTGGAGATGTGGCTGGGGTTTCTCTCACAGCAGAGACAAGTAATTGCAACTCTTCTCTATTATTGCACATCTTGAAGTCGAGGTTAATTAAGTCCTGTTGTGGGGTTTGAGGGCCAGAATTTAATTTTTGGACCTTTATTTAATGTTGAGAGCAGATTGGGTAATAAAATGCATATTGAGAATAAGACGGCCTTCTGACCCTTCAGGGTCTAGGGCTGTAAAGTGTCTAAGGGTTGTTGCCAAACGGGCCATGAACTGGGCTGGATTTTCATATTTGATGAAAAAGAGCCTAAACGCTAACTGATTTGGGAGAGTTCGGATAAAGAAAAAGGAGTATTAACCTTGACTATGCCTTTAGCTCCAGCCACTTCTTTAAGAGGAAATTGTTGGGCAGGTGTCCTCACTCAAGTTCAAGTACATTAGAAACATTCTTATCCTGAGGCACAGGTTTTTAAAAATAGTTGCATAAAATTGTTGATATCGAAAAGTGTCTGTTTATATCCTTTGCCCACTTTTTGATGGTGTTGTTTGTTTTTTTTCTGGTAAATTTGCTTAAGTACCTTGTAAATTCTGGATAATAGACCTTTGTCAGATGGGTAGATTGCAAAAATTTTCTCCCATTCTGTAGGTTGCCTTTTCATTCTGATGATAGTTTCTTTTGCTGTGCAGAAGCTCTTTAATTAGATCCAATTTGTCAATTTTAGCTTTTGTTGCAATTGCTTTTGGCAATTTCTTCATAAAATCTTTGCCCATGCCTGTATCCTGAATGGTATTGCCTAGGTTTTTTTCTACGGTTTTTATGATTTGGGGTTTTATATTTAAGTCTTTAAGTCCATCTTGAGTTAATTTTTGTATGAGGTGTAAAGAAGGCATCCAGTTTAAGTTTTCTGCCTATGTCCAATTTTCCCAGCACCATTTATTAAAAATAGGGAGTCCTTTCCATATTGCTTGTTTTTGTCAGGTTTGTCAAAGATCAGATGGTTGCAGATGTGTGGCATTATTTCTGAGGCCTCTGTTCTGTTCCATTGGTCTATATATCTGTTTTGGTACCAGTACCATGCTGTTTTGGTTACTGTAGCCTTATAGTATAGTTTGAAGTCAGGTAGCATGATGCCTCCAGCTTTGTTCTTTTTGCTTAGAATTGTCTTGGCTATACAGCCTCTTTTTTGGTTCCATATGAATTTCAAAGTAGTTTTTTCTAATTCTGTGAAGAATGTCAATGGTAGTTTGATGGGAATAGCATTGAATCTATAAATTAATTTGGGCAGTATGGCCATTTCCATGATATTGATTCTTCCTATCCATGAGCATGGAATGTTTTTCATTTCTTTGTGTCCTCTCTTATTTCTTTGAGCAGTGGTTTATAGTTCTTTTTGAAGAGGTCCTTCACACCCCTTGTTAGCTGTATTCCTAGGTATTTTATTCTCTTTGTAACAATTGTGAATGGGAGGTCACTCATGATTTGGCTCTCTGCTTGCCTATTGTTGGTGTATAGGAATGCTTGTGATTTTTGGACGTTGATTTTGCCGAAGTTGCATGATGTCATCTGCAAACAGACAATTTGACTTCCTCTCTTCCTATTTGAGTACTCTTTATTTCTGTCTCTTGCCTGATTGCCCTGGCCAGCACTTCCAATACTATATTGAATAGAAGGGGTAAGAGAGGGCATCCTTGTCTTATGCTGCTTTTCAAAGGGAATGCTTCCAGCTTTTGCCCATTTTGTATGATATTGGCTGTGGTTTTGTCATAAATAGCTCTTATTATTTTAATATTGTGGGTTTGTCATAAATAGCTCTTATTATTTTGATTATTTCAATACCTAGTTTATTGAGAGTTCTTAACATGAAGAAATGTTGAATTTTACTGGAGGCCTTTTCTGTATCTATTGAGATGATTGTGTGGTTTTTGTCATTGGTCCTGTTTATGTGATGGATTATGTTTATTGATTTGTGTATGTTGAACCAGCCTTGCATCCCAGGGATGAACCCGAATTGATTGTGATGGATGTGCTTTTTAATGTGCTGCTAGATTTGGTTTGCCAGGATTTTATTGAGGATTTTCACATTGATGTTCATCAGGAATATTGTCCTGAAGTTTTCTTTTTTTGTTGTGTGTCTGCCAGGTTTTGGTATCAGGATGATACTGGCCTCATAAAATGAATTAGGGAGGAATCCCCCCTTTTCAGTTGTTTGGAATAGTTTCAGAAGAAATGGTACCAGCTCCCCTTTGTACCTCTGGTAGAAGTCGGCTGTGACTCCGTCTGGTCATGGGCTTTTTTTTGGTTCGTAGGCTATTTATTACTGCCTCAATTTCAGAACTCGTTATTGTTCTACTCAGAGATTTGAATGGCAATTATTAAAAACTCAAAAAACAACAGATACTGGCAAGACTGTGGAGAAATAGAAACACTTTTACACTGTTGGTGGGAATGTGAATTGGTTCAACCATTGTGGAAGACAGTGTGGCAATTCTGCAAGGATCTAGAACCAGAAATGCCATTTAATCCAGCAATCCCATTACTGGGCATATACCCAAAGGAATATAAATAATTCTATTATAAATATACATGCACACATATGTTTATTGCAGCACTATTTACAATAGAAAAGACATGGAACCAACCCAAATGCCCACCAATGATAGACTGCATAAAGAAAATGTGATACATATACACCATGGACTACTATGAAGCCATAAAAAGGAATGAGATCGTTTCCTTTGCAGGGACATGGATGAAGCTGGAAGCCATTATCCTCAGCCAAGTTACACAGGAACAGAAAACCAAACACCTGATGTTCTCACTCATAAGTGTGAGTTGAACAATGGGAACACATGGACACAGGGAGGGGAACAACACACACTGGGGCCTATTGGGAGGGGAGCAAGAGGAGGGAGAGCATCAGGGCAAATAGCTAACGCATGTGGGGCTTGAAACCTAGGTGATGGGTTGATAGGTGCAGCAAACCATCATGGCACACGTATAACTATGTAACAAACCTGCACATTCTGCACATGTATCCTGGAACTTAAAGTAAAATAATAATAAAAAAAGAAAAAATGTTCATATTGAATCTTTCCAATGTGGCACACAGTGTGCTACTCACAAATTTCCACTCCCCAACTTGTGTGTGGAAAGCTGTGTCCAAGAAAACAGGTGAAGACTTACATTTGCCAGTTCTCTTGGTATTCCCATTTTATGGCTTTTGTGGGAATGCAGTTCATGCTTGTCTGCTATTTTATTTAATTTGCCTCCTTGTAAATTCCAGCTGTTGACCATGTAATTAATCCCTGTATGGAAAAAATATTGGCGTTTATTTCTGCAATACATACGCTTCATCCCAATAGGAGAATATATTCATCATAGTCCTTTTCATTATTCTACAGTTGTTCCTCGAAACCATTTTACATACCACACAATTAATATACACTGGGACTCTGCTCCCAACTTCTGCATTAGAACTATGGCTTTCATTTGTTCTTCTTCATTTTTAATTTCTGAACTCTAGGGTTTTAAGTAAAGAGAATCTTTTGTATTACTCCTAGAAAAGACTACTACTTAACTTATCAACTTATTGTAGAATGTGGTAACTAGAATGAGTACGGTGGATAGATCTTAGTAACATAACTGTAGCTGATACCAGAGACAGTCTTTGACATTTATCTTTGGCCACAATTTTCTCTTACTAGGTCCTTTTTTTTCTTTTTTTTTTTTTTTTTTTTTGCTTTCTATGCTACCTTTTGCCTCTTTTCAGTTGTTCAGTCTTTGTAGTCTCTTCTTTCTACAGATGTCTTAAAACTTGTTTTTCTCTATTACACAAAAGTAAAAATGGCTGATAATTTTAAGTACCATCCTCACTGGGCTATTTGCCTTTTGATTGGGACCAAGGCTTTATGATAACAAGAAAGTTCATCTGCTTTTGTTCAGAAGGTGACTGGACAAAGCTCTAGAAAGCCAACCTGTTCCTGGCATGTCATCTTATACTTAGTTCTTATACTATACATATACAAGGCCATCTTGGTTCACTATGACATGATTTCTGGGATAAAGATAACACCTACATTGTTGGTTTTGACTTGATGACAAAGTAAACCCTTAGACATTCTCAAAAGTTTAAGTTTGGTTAAAGAAATTGATGAAAGATCATCAGCTTGTAACAATGTCTGAAAATCATTTTTATTTAAGCCCAGAGAAGAAAAAGCTAATTTTAAAAAAATTATTACTATCTGGAAATTTACCCTGATCGGAAAATATATGTACTAATGAAGAACAGCTGTGTTGTGGGCAAAATTATGAAAGCAAATTGCATGGTTGACTGGTTATTTCTTTTTAAGACAGAAATCAAGAAGACATATTGCTGACCCAAATGTGGATGGACTTTAATATGTATTTGTTATATATAAAGTTAAAGCCTGCTTTATAAAAGGTTACAGTTATTTATCAACTTACATCTATTGTCAAATAGAAAAGAATTTGGAGTGAATATAAATGCTTAATTTGAAGAAAAAGTAGAAAATTGTAGGAAGAAATCCTCCTGAGTGCAAAATTTTAAGGAGAAAGATGTTGTTGAAAATGTCTAAAGGATTTTCTAATTTGTCATTTTCTCTAAGATATTTTAAGGTCCACAGACTGTTAGCCATACCACAAACACATAAAAGGGAGCCAGAATCAGGGTAAAAATAAATGAATTTCTTCAACTAATATTATTTGATAATTTACCCTAATTTAAGTTGTAGGTGGTGTAAAAGTAAACTAATGTGGAATGTGTTCTAAAGGATTCTGCTTGGGTAGGGAAGAAAATATGAATATAAATGATTTAATAAAAGATAATGAATCTATTAATTATATTCACTTTAGTGTATATCTTATGGATAAAATAGTTTTATTATCATCATCAAAAGATCGAACCCTTTATTAGTGTGGTTTTAGAGAACTAGTCAGAAATATACACATAAATCTCAATATGTGTTAAAGACTATTCTTCTGACACTGTTACAGCATCTTTGTTTTTGTGTTATGAACTGTTTTACTTTTTCAGATTGAAATAGAACTAAAATTTTTAAAAACCTTTTCTTTCAAAAATATGACTGTAAAATTTAAATTATAATAATACATTTTATATTCTGAAAACAAGTTAGTGCAGATTTAGAAATTGGACATCTAGAAGGCAGCTTTATTACAAAATCTATCCCAAAGTTCATGTCATCTTTACAGAAACCTATCAATATCCTCACTGCAGTGAATGCGTGACCATGGGACAGAAGGCAGGCTTAAGCAAGGCATTTGGTGTACGGGGTTTTGCAAGGTTTATTCAACTAAGATGTGTTTGCATGTTTTTGTGATATGGTTTGGCTGTGTCCCCACCCAAATCTTATCTTGAATTGTTGCTCTCATAATTCTCACATGTGTGGAAAGGACCCGGGGGGAGATAATTGAATCACGGGGGTGATTTCTCCTGTACTATTCTTGTGGTAGTACGTCTCAAGACATCTGATGGCTTTATAAGGAGAAATCCCTTTTGCATAGCTCTCGTTCTCTCTGTTCCCTGCTTTTTGCCTTCCACCATGATTGTGAGGCATGTAAGACATGCCTTTTGCCTTCCACCATGATTGTGAGGCCACTCCAGCCATGTGGAACTGTGAGTTTATTAAATCTCTTTTTCTTTATAAATTACTCAGTTTCATGTATGTCTATATCAGCAGCATGAAAACAGACTAATACAGTAAATTGGTACCAGTAGAGTGGGGATGCTGCTGTAAAGATACCCAATAATGTTGAAGCAGCTTTGGAACTGGATAACAGGCAGAGGTTGGAACACTTTGGAGGGCTCAGAAGAATACAGAAACATGTGGGAAAGTTTGGAGACTTGTTGAATGGCTTTGACCAAAATGCTGATAATGATATGGACAATGAAATCCAGGCTGAGGTGGTCTCAGATGGAGATGAGGACCTTGTTGGGAACTGGAATAAAGGTGAGTCTTGCTGTGTTTTAGCAAAGAGACTGATGGCATTTTGCCCCTGCTCTAGAGATTTGTGGAACTTTGAACTTGAGAGAGATGATTTAGTGTATCTGGTAGAAGATTCTGTTCTCATGGTAGTGGATAACTCTCACAAGATCTGATGGTTTCGTAAGAGGGTTCCCCTTTCACTTGGCTCTCATTCTTTCTGTTCCCTGCCACCATGTAAATATGCCTTTTGCCTTCTGCCATGATTATGAGGCCTCCCCAGCCACGTGGAATTGTGAATTCATGAAACCTCTTTTTCTTTATAAATTACCTAGTCTCATGTATGTCTTTATCAGCAGCACGAAAACAGACTAATACAGTATGCAAACTATTTAAGTATGTCTCCTGCACACTGCTGCCTATTGAATTTGAACGTAAATTCAATATTGAATTTATATATTCAATAAATATAAGAAGATATATTTATTATTTATATTTATGTCTCTCTTCTCAAATCTCAGAGAGAATTACAGCCCCATAGCCCCATAATCATGGTTTCTACAAACAAACAGTAGAAATGGAATCCATTCTCCAGGCTTACTCTTACTCCCACACACACAATATTTCTTATTTTACAGCATCTGGGTTAAGAGTTACTTAAATAGGAGTTTATTTACTTTTTTGTTTGTTTATTTGCTTTAGAGACAGGTTCTTGCTTTGTTGTCCATGCTGAAGTGCAGTGGTGCAATCACGGTTCACTGTAACCTCAAACTGCTGGGCTCAGTGATCCTCCTGCCTCAGCCTCCTGAGACTAAAGATGTGTACCACCAGGCCAGGATAATATTTTTTTAATTCTTTAGAAGAGACAGGGTCTTACCATGTTGCCCAGGCTGGTCTTGAACTCCTGGTCTCAACTGATCCTCCCACCTTAGCCACCCAAAGTGCTGTGATTACAGGTAGGGTTTTTTTTACTTTTATGTAAATCTGAAAAAAGCAACCTTCCCTTTTTAAAAAGAAAAAAAGTATTTTCTTTACTGCAAATTAATAATTCTGGTCATGGGAAGTGTCTACCTTACTCTGGACCTTCACTTTTATAGTGATTTAGTTGAATCTTCTGTTGACCCACAAGCACTAGCTCCAGGACTAATGCTCCTGAGAATTGGGCAGAAGGAAGACATGAGCACCCAGATGACCTCTAGAGCAACATCATTTGCTCACTTTCCCTACAGCAGCCATTGCTTCCTTTGCCTGTAAGCAGTCTGCCAAGAAGGGGTGCATATATTTCTCTTCTTCCAAATTAGATTGTCTTGCCATGAAAAGAATGTTTCACTGAGTCATTGGGTGAAGCTAAAATCCTTTAAAAATGAAACCCAGTGGAACTATAATTATATATATTAAATTGTAACATGGTTTGCGGTAAAATACTTTTTGAATAACAAACAATGAATTCATAATGGAATTTTTGGAAAGTAATTCAAAATAAGACCCATAGAAATGCTTTTTCTTAATCAACAAAGAGCTTGTGTTAGGCTGCTTATGACCCGATGTTAGCCAAGTGAGATGACAGCTGCAGAGTGTCTTACAGTCTGCTCTTCTTCAATGCCACAGCTGTAACCAACACACCTTTCTGCTGAGGCACTATATTAGTCCGTTCTTATGCTGCTATGAAGAAATACCCAAGACTGGGTAATTTATAAAGAAAAGAGGTTTAATTGCTTCACAGTTCCACATGGCTGGGGAGGCCTCAGGAAATTCATAATCATGGCAGAAGGCACCTCTTCACAGGGCAGCAGGAGAGACAACAAACGCAAGCAGGGGAAATGCCAGACGCTTATAAAACCATCAGATCTCATGAGACTCACTCATTCTCACGAGAACAGCATGGGGGAAACAGCCCCCATGCTCCAATCACTTCCCACCAGACCCCTCACAGGACATGTGGGGATTATGGGAACTACAATTCAAGATGAGATTTGGGTGGGGACACAGCCCAACCATATCAGGTACACAATGGCTTCCTCTGCCTCTCCAATGCAACATGCACATCACCCTGCTGGGGAGGGAGAAAGGGATGCAAGCAATGCATTTAATCACCTTACATTTTTCCCTCTATTTCAATCTGCTCCCTTAAGACAAATTGCCGTTGTTAAAATGCATAGTCTCCTAATTTTATATTGATTAGAAGAGGCGGAGCTTGCAGTGAGCCGAGATCACGCCACTGCACTCCAGCCTGGGAGACAGAGAGAGACTCCATCTCAAAAAGAAAAAGAAAAGAAAGAAAGAAAGAAGTGGTCTAAGTTGTTGTTGCACTGATGAAATCACCCACATATATATATTGTCCATCTACAATTTTCTGCTGTCAAGAAATTGCAAAATAATACTAAATTTTTCATTTTCCTAAAAGTAAGGCAGGTAAGCACTTCTGCTTTCTACGTGGTAGAATTTTGATCTGATGAAACCATTAAAGTCAAAAACTGCTGGGGAGAATAATGACCCAATTTAGGTTATTTTATTGATTCTATGTCCACCTCCAGAAATCCCTGCTCAAATTCTGTGACTTACATTTACCTTGCTAAAATTATTTGTAGCTGAACTTACTTCATTCCAATCTCATAGCTGTTCTACTATCTGATAACCTTTTCCCAATAAACTTTAAAAATTTTCTCCATGGATGATTTACTTCTTAGTACCCATCCCCAATTAGTAAACAAATAATCTTCCAAAATGAAAAAGACCTAATGAAATTATTTAAATAGAATTAATTGGAAGAAAATGTTCACAAATGGGAAGACATATAATAATGTGAGACACGGGATATGAACCCAGGGTTTTGGCAAGTGAATTTTTAAAAGATGGGTGTTCAGGAGGTGTAGGTGCAGTTTGGGTATGGGAGTGGAAGGAGGTGGTAACAGTAGAATATTTTCTCACTTGAGAGTGCTGAGAAAATACAGGAAAAGCAATAGAAATTCTGGAATTTTAAAGGAATTCACCAGTTGCACAGTTGAAAGACAAAGATGGGGGGTGGATAGAAAGGGAACTGAGAAGTAGGAGTCCTCAGGGACTTGGGCTTTCCAATCTTACTGTGTTTTCATCTGGAATACATTATTCCAAGATCCTTCCTTACTAAATCCAGAATCCCCTTTCTGAGCTTTAAACTATATCTGCTTTACGCTAAGAAAACTACTGTAAAGTTTTCAATTAATTTTAAAGAACTATAGTTTTATGTTACTTGGAGAAATCATTTTTTATTGAAGACAGACAAGTAGAAAGTCTAGAAAATATCTAAGATACACACATGCAGAAATAATGTAGAAACATTGAGAGGAAAGTGAACAAATTGATGGAATGGAGTGCCAAGATCTTGGAAGGCATTTTGTATTTCTATTAGTGTTTTCCCATGAATTTTAGGCAATAAATTAGAGTTTTTTAAATGAACCCTCTAAAATATTATTTCCATGCCACTCCTGGTTGCTTTAACTTTAAAAATACCTTCTTAACCTATCTACGTTTCTCCATCTTCACTGCCTACCCCTGACATAGCCATCACCTTGCTTTCCTGAAGAGCTGCATGGTCTCGTCATTGGGCTCCCCACAATCTACTCTAATTCCTTCCAATCCTTGTCCACACTAGAAACAGAATGCACTTTTCAAAGCAACAATAATAAATGGAACCCTGTGGGCACTTTGCTTTAAATACTCAGTGACATCCTACTGATCTTTCATAAAGCACAAAAAAAAAATTTTTTTTTTTTTTTGAGATGGAGTCTCGCTCTGTCACCCAGGCTAGAGTGCAGTGGCACCATCTCGGCTCCCTTCAACCTTCACCTCCCAGGTTCAAGCGATTCTCCTGCCTCAGCCTCCCAAGTAGCTGGGACTACAGGTGTGCATGACCACGCCTGGCTAATTGTTGAATTTTTAGTAGAGACGGGGTTTTGCCATGTTGGCCAAGCTGATCTCAAACTGCTGACCTCAAGTGATCCACCAACCTTGGCTTCCCAAAATGCTGGGATTATAGACATGAGCCATCACATCCGGCTGAAAATTCTTGAGATCGCTTTGCATCACCCTGTTCTGGCCTCACTCCCTCTCCCAAGTGCACTGCTCCACTTCTCTGATATACTAACTTGCTCTTTCTTCCTCTTTGCTCAGGCCTTTCCAACAGGCTGTGGAACACTTTTCTCATCATATTAACTTTTGCTCATCTGTCAGATCACAATTGAAATGTCACTTTCCCTCAGGGAAGCACTTCCTCACCACCTCCCAAATTTGATCAGTAACCCTTGCAGTACCTTATACCTCTTGGTCCTTTTCCTTCAAACTAATCCCAAATTATCCTTTTATCTCCATTTATGTGATGATTTGTGTACTCTCTCTCTCTTTTTGATGTAGGTTCTATAAAAACAGCAACTCTGTCTTATTTACAAGTATATCCTAGAGATAATACAGTGTCTGCCATTTAATAAAAAATGTTGAATAAATGAATGGAATAGAAGAGACCTGTGACGGGAAAGTGATTATCACTAATACATGCATTTTTAAATACTTATTTTTCATTAAATGTTATTTCAGTTGACTATTCATGGGCTACTATTGGTGTACCATTCAGAAATTTCATGAAGGGTATTTGTCAACTTTATTGATTTTAAACCACATCCCCTCTTAAAGTGACTTAAAAATATCTCTCATGAAGTTTTTTTTTTTTAATTTTTTGTAGATAAGTGCAAACTTAATTTACAGTTCACTTAGATCATTCAGTCTGCGGAGGTTAACTCTTCAATTTAAGTTCTTAATGTAAATAACATTTTCTCAAGAGTTTCTGGGTCCCTAAGATAAGTGCCCTTCTTCTGATATTCCTTGTGAGCAGGTGGCTCTCCACACAATAATCCGGAAATAGTCTCCTTCCATCTTGGGGATCTGCCATCTCCTGGAACCTCATGGTCATTTATATGCAACCAGACAATAGACAAAGGGAGCCTGGAGAAGGCACGTCTACTTCTTCAAGGACACACATTTCTTCCTTCATTTCCATCAGTGAGGACCTATGAGATGACTACACGCCACTAGAAGAAAGACTGAAAATATAGCCTAGCTGTGTACCAGGTAGAAGAAAACACAGGATTGGAGAACACCAAGAAGTATCTGCTAATCTGGGTCTCAGGCGCCTAACTTTTATTAAATGACCACTAAGATGTATATATACTCTGTGCCATGGAATTATGTTGGTATTCCTCTTTAAAACTTTTAGTCATGGTAACATCAAGCCAATTCCAGTGGGAGTTAAGTTTAAAATTGATGCACCAAGATTTCAGCAAATCTTCATCAAGCCCTGTTGCTTTAGGCTCCAAATCAGTTGAGAGTTGCTGCGTTATCTACCTCCTAGACCCAGGCATAGTAGCTGCTGCACAGCATGACTAGATCGAAGGTTTGCATGAGTGACTGACCCACCGTGCCACAACACTGCCCACCCAAGCTGCTGGACAGAGGAGAAGGCCTCTGTATGCACACCAACTGCAGGGAAAGAGGTGGGATTTCTAGCACTCTTGAGGCTGCTTGGTGCAGGAGTGAGGGTGTGCAAAATAATGACTCTGGATCAGGAAAAGTGAAACAAGGAGAAAGTGTGTACTTCCACTGCCCTTTATGCTACAGAGACAGAGGAGTCTACCTTAAAGTCCTGTTGCAACTGCCTTATTCTTACCTTGAATCTAGATACTCTTTAAGGAGTTTTTTTTTGTTTTCGTTTTTGTTTATAGGCGGAGTTTCACTCTGTCGCCCAGGCCGGGGTGCAGTTGTGCAATCTTGGCTCACTGTAACCTCCACCTCCAGGGTTCAAGCGATTCTCCTGCCTCAGCCTCCCAAGTAGCTGGGATTACAGCCTCCCGCCATCAGGCCTGGCTAATTTTTGTATTTTTAGTAGAGACGGGGTTTCACCATGTTGGCCAGGATGGTCTCAAACTCCTGACCTCAAGTGATCCACCTGCCTCGGCCTCCCAGATTGCTGGGATTACAGGTGTGAGCCACCATGACCAGCCTCTTTAAGGATTTTTTAAGTTTGGTTAAAAGAAATAAAAGTATTCGAAATTATATGATTCTTTTCCTATAAACAAAGAAAATATCCAATGAAAAGGCAAAATGCCTGCAAACTTATAAATCATAAATTAGAAAAACTCAATTGTAATTTATACAAGCAAACTTATCTTCTTTTCCTTACCTATTTCACCTTCTGTAGCTACAATCTCCATCAATCACTTCATCTTACAAAGTATCTAAGCACAAAACAAAGAACTATCTTATTTATTTTAAACCCAACCATATCCAGTCCATCAACATGTGATGCTTGCCCTGTAGTCTACGTGTTTCTTTATCGAATGTCTTCTCTCTACCGTACTGCCTAGCACAGATCCCATAGGATTTATCATTAGGACTCTAGCAAAGTCTTCTTTCCAAAAAGACTAGTCTGACCACCACACACCATTTATTTCCCAAGTATCTTCTGTGCGCCTCTAATGCTTTGAACTCACCTCCATATTATAGCTAACTTTTCCAATTCCATCAAGGTCCTCATCTGTAAAATTGAGGTTACAATAGTAGTTAAGGTATTGGGTTGTTATAAATAAATGAAAGTACTTGAAGAGTTTTCTTCATATTGTCTTACAAGTATTTCTTATATTCCCAGGACTCCTCAAAATTCTGCTTCTCAGTTTGTCAATAGTGGGAATTTTATTATCTTTATCTTTGTATCCCTGGGGCCTGCCTCATTGCCTGATATGGAGAAGGACCTCAACAAAGGTGCTGAATAAATGATTTAATAATAATGGCCTGAAGTCAGATCATACACAAAAATAAGTATTGAGACTTCCATAAATCTTTTACATATAAACATAATTAGACATTGGCCACTCTTTTTAAGTTTCTGCATTTTTTTCTTTCATTTAAGAAAATACCATAAGGAAAATAACATTCACTATAACTGCGTAAAATACCACAGACGTCAGGAAATGTATGAGTTAGAATTGTTATAATAAACTCAAGTTCACCCACATTGCACATAATGTCTATTAAGGTACCCTATTTAATAGTGCAGCTAGTAATCACAAAAATTATATATGTGCAGTGTGAGTGAAGTATAGTTATTACGAGAGCTTTACCTCCTGTATCGCTGGACTTTTTTCTGTTCTTTTTTTGGATAGCACTGTGTTGGTACATTAGTATTTTGTTTATTTTCAAGTAATTTCTCTAAAAATATGCAACTTAAATTTTAGGGTGGAATCTTTTTAGAGAGACAAATGTATTTTCCACAAGTACTCACAGGTCCAGATCTCTCAGGAATATTCAAAGCATTCCTTTGGTGACTAGGAGTCACCAAAGACTCCTAGGCTGAGGAGCTCAAAGTCTGTTCAATGTGCAAAACCTCAGGACTATTGTTAAAATTCCAGGCAAACTAGAAATTACTTGAGCCAGAAATTATACAATTGTATACAGACCTCCAAACCAGTGGTTCTTCCCTAGAGCACTTTTAATCATTTTAGGAGAAAATAGCTTTACTTTAAAAAGCATAAAACTTGGAATTGTATAGAGTGTTGGGAAAAAAAGGCAGTCAAAGTGACCTTGCAAAGTGAACTCCTTGCCTGGAAGTGACCACCACTGGCAAAGCTTCCAGAAAGATTTTACATCTATAAATTGAAAAACCTGGAGTCATAGGTACCAGAAATATACAGTGCCTTGAGTAAAGATCCGTTTTATATGATTATTATTTTTGGATTTAAATCAGAGAAGTCTCTGTTTTTAAGCAGTTCTAAAGTACAAGAACTGAGACGTGAATACTCAGCCTAACCATCTTAGTTCAAATATGTTATAATAAAAAGTGGCTCAGGATCCAATAAAAATACTAAAAGAATTTTTCCTGAAACCTGGAAGTTTTATTCTAAAGCTTACATTAAAAATACACAAATAATAGTAACCAGAAAAAGTCTGAAAAAGAACAATGTAGAGGACTAGCCTCTCCAGATACTAAGACATACTATAACATATCAATAATTAAAACAGTACTGAATTGAGTGTGAATTACCAAGTAGACCAATGAAACAGAATAGAAATTTTAGAAATAGATTCAAATACCTATGGGAAATAAGAATATGATAAATCAAGCTTTTCATATCAATAGGCTACAGATGCACATTTTAATAACTGGTACTGAGACAACTGAATAGCCATCTGGAGAGAGACAAAGTTGTTCCGATACCTCTCTGCACACTCTAGGAAAAGCTCCAAAAAGAATAAAGGAATACATTTTTTAAAGAAAACCATATAAATATTATATGAAAACATGAGTGAACTTTCTTATTACTTTCAACCAGAGAAGAGTTTTCTGAGCATGACGTGAAATCCGAAGACCATAAAAGACTGAAAAATGAGAATACATAAAATAAAAAATGAGAGCCAGAGAAGAAAGAATCATAAGAAATTGCAAGACAACTAACAAACTTCAGAAAAACTTGCAACACCTATCACAGATGAATGTAAATTTTCCCAATATGTAAAGAGCTACCTACTAGAAATCAAGAAAAGACAAAAAAACCCTGATAGAATTACAAGGAAAAGATATGAACAGAGAGATCATCCACACAAAATATACCCCTTAAACAGGTTAAATTATGTTCAATCTCACTCATGTTAATGAAAATGTATAGTCAGCCCTCCATATCTGTGGTTTCTACATCCACAGATTTAACCAACCGTAGATGGAAAATATTTGGGAAAAAAAATAAAAAATAAGAATATAGTGCAACAATAAAAATATTGCACATTTAAAACACAATACTTTCTAATAATTATTTATTATATGCAATGTATACAATTATATACAATGTAAATGCTCCATTTACATTGTAGTGGGTACTATAAGTAATCGAGAGATAATTTAAAGTGTGCAAAGTGTATGAAAGTGTAAGAGGATGGGAGGAAGTGTGTTGGTTCTATGCAAATACTACATCAGTTTACACCATGGAATTGAGCATCCAAGTATTTTAATATCCACAGGCATCATGGAACCCATCCCCCAAAAGTACCAGGAGACAACTGTAAAACTATACAAAATTACCATTTTTTACTTATCAACTTGGCAAAAATCTGAAAGTTTATATTAGTGGAGGAAAGAAAATGACACCACCCCAATGCAAAAATATTTGGCAGTCTCTAAAAAAATTTCAGATATATCTTTGACCCAGAAATCCCATTTCCAAGAATCTATCCCAGTGATACAATATGAATGTAAAATCACATATGTACAGATGCCTTCACTGCAACATAATTATAAGAGAAAAAGATCGAAACTAACCCAAGTAGCCCACAAGAAATAATTAGTTGAAGAAATTATGATGCAGCCACTCAGTGCAATAATATACAGTTTTTTAAAAGGAAGATCTTCATGCATTGATATACAGAGATTGACTGCCTATGTTCTTAAGAAAATATACTTAGGTGCAGAAAAGTGCCACATTCTGAGGAAGAAAGAAGAGAATGTGTACATATATGTGTTTGTGAAATGAAGCAATGGAAGGATAAACAAGAAACTAATAAAATTATTTACCTGTAGGGGCAGGGTTACAGAGTAAGGTAAAAAAGGATAAGTATGGTATAAAGAAACTCATCAATATAGTTACCTATAGAGGGCAGGGAAATAGAATAGAGGGGGGCAGGAATAGGAGCAAAACCCTGTGTATATGTTTCTACACACTTTTAACTTTTGAATCATGAAAATTCATTACTATTCAAAAAATTAATAACTAATTTTAAAACAATCTCTTATACTGAAATTAATTGTCTTCTGCTAGTCTCAAAGTTATGTCAGCCCAGTAGCAATGAGTACCCGTAACACCAAGATTTTGATCTATATCTTCATTCTCTAGGAGACCAGGCAATTTAGAGAAATAACTAATTTTACAACTGTGAGCCTGGGACACATTTTTGTACCAGAAATAAAGCTTTCCAAAATCAATGGAGTCATATCAAAAGTTCATGGAAGCCAATTCAAAGGTGTCACACTGGCCCGAATGGAGAAAAAATAAGCAATAAAAGAATGATTGAATGGTTTGAAAATAGAGTCACTATGGAAGTCCTCACAAAATAGTTAACCCTGAGTAAAGACTTGCAGGAGAGGACCAGCAAGTAAATACTGGGAGGAGGGAATGTTCCTCCCGGAGAGATAACAGCAAAGACAAAAGCTCCAAAACAGGAGAGTGCCTGGAGTACTGAAAAGCACAGGTGGTCAGTGTGACTGGAGTTCAGTGAGTTAGGAGAGCAGTAGTGGGGTCCAGATCACAGTAGAAACATGTGGCATCGGCTTCATGGTCATGTGACAGTGATGAATGCTGGATGCCAGAAAGATGGAAGCCTTTGCTATGCAGTGACAAAACATTTTAAAAACTGACATTTTCGGGCCGGGCGCGATGGTTTACACCTGTAATCCCAGCACTTCGGGAGGCCGAAGCGGGCGGATCACCTGAGGTTGGGAGTTAGAGACCAGTTTGACCAACATGGAGAAACCCCGTCTCTACTAAAAATACAAAATTAGCCGGGCGTGGTGGCACATGCCTGTAATCCCAGATATTCAGGAGGCTAAGGCAGGAGAATCGCTTGAATCCGTGAGGCGGAGGTTGCGGTGAGCCAAGATCGCGCCATTGCACTCCAGCCTGAGCAAAAAGAGTGAAACTCTGTCTCAAAAACAAAACAAAACAAAAAAACCTGACATTTTCTATTGCTTCAAAAGCAGATCAACTGCGTTTGAACCTTTGGCTCTAGGGGAGAAGGTCAGAAAAATGTTAGAGGTTTGTGTTGATTTTTACTGGATGCATTTAGCAATATTTCAAAAGAAACAATTAGGCTTAGGCAAGAATTGGCAGTTTCAAAGCAATTATTAAAGGGAAGAGAGAGTAGAAAGAGATCTGAGGCCTCAAATGCTAGGAAAGTCCATTGCTACAAACTCCAAACAATGAAAAGCCTTTGAACAACAAAGCCTCATTAAGACTCAGCTCTGTTGGCTGGGTGTTAATGGCTCACACCTGTAATCCCAGCACTTTGGTAGGCCAAGGCAGGAGGATTCCTTGAGCCCAGGAGTTGAAGACAAGCCTGGGCAACATACGGAGATGCCATCTCTACAAAAAAAAGAAAGAAATGAAATGAAATAAAAAAAAAAAAAGACTCAGCTCTGGGGCAATGATCAGATTAAGGGTATGGCCTTCTGTGTAAAGTAATGGCTTCATGATAGGCCATTCTGTTGCAGGACAGGCTTGGGGGCAAGGAAGCAAAGATACCAGGCTTGTGTATTATGTCTGGGAAAGGATGAGCATATGTTCACTGACACATAAAACTAATGAAATCAAATTAATTCATAGTCTACTAAATTTTCCTGGGAGTTGTATTGCCAAAGAAATGACAAACGTCAACTAAAAAAGGCTTTGAATGTTTGAACAACAAAACAAGACTAGGGATCCCAAATTTATGCCAGAATGGAGTAGGCTGCAAAAGCTTTACAGCCCCGATGCCACATGCCCCCAAAATGACTTCAGTAATGGCCATGGAAGACAATAGGCAAGGACAAACCTCCCAGAAGGTAGAACTAGAGGTCACAGAGAACTATGAACAAAAGAGTTTCTGCCAGAGAACAGAATCAGGTCTAATCAAGGAACTTCATTCAACAGGACTAGAAGGTTTTGACAGGGATTACCCTGTGGGCTTTTGTCCTTGTTATGCATTTTCATTTTCAAAGTAGAAATTTGAATTTTTATTATCTTGTCCCTGCTCCACTATTATGTATTGTGTGTGTGTGCATGAGTGTTGGAGAGCAGGCTGAAAGGGCATGAACCATAAACCTCTCTCTAGCTTACAGATTTCAAGATCCATGTTTACATGAGTAGCAATGTGCCATGTAGTAGCTGGAGATCCTGACCTTTGAAGTGGGTGCACTGAATGAGGGGAGCTTCAGGTTATCTTTTTCTAGGAGGTATCAGTGGATGGGGGAAAGAACAAAACTGATAGCCGGTGCCTAAAGAACCGCTATTCACTAACTCACTCCTTTACTCCTGGCACTCTCATCAGACTACCTTTCCCACCCTCCCTGCCTGCCTCAGAAAAACGTTTGTCTTGATCCTATACTCTCTCCTTTCACATATTCCAGTAAGACACTGACCTCCAGAATAATGTTAGAAGCCATGGTGTGAATTTAACAGAGCCTCCATCAGCCTGAATACCTGAATGACCACGTGGAGTACAGCCTCTGTCCTCCCCATCACCTTCGAATTAACTCTGAGAAAAAAAAAAAAATGATTATATTAATCAACTGAAATTTGGGCTTGATGTTTATAGGAACCTGTAGACAGCAAGCCAGGAGCTAAAATCTTCAAGGAATAAAGGGATATATCCCTGGGCAAGGAACTATATATAACTGCACTTGATTCAGTAGTAAAATTTAATCTGATGACCTAAAATTCAAAGATAGAGGAGTTTGTGGATGAGAAAGAAAAAATGATCCAGAAGTAATGGTGATGATCTAAGAAAACAGCTACCCAATCTCCAAGCCTGGTGGTATAAGGGGTGTGGCAAAGAAAATGCCCACCATTGGAGAAGGACAAAGAGGAAGCAAGATCACCAAGAAACAGCCAGATTTCAAAGCAAGAGTGTAAGAGGATGCTCTTAGATGAGGTGGAAGGCTTCAGAAGATGGATAGCTTCTTGGCTCACTGCAACCTCCACCTCCTGGGTTCAAGCAATTCTCCTGCCTCAGCCTCCTGAGTAGCTGGGACTACAGGCACCTGCCACCACGCCCAGCTAATTTTTGTATTTTTAGTAGAGACGGGGTTTCACCATATTGGCCAGGGTGGTCTCGACCTTCTGACCTTGTGATCTTCCCACCTTGGCCTCCCAAAGTGCTGGGATTACAGGCATGAGCCACCGCACCCGACCTCTGCTGCACGATTCTAAGTGGCTAGTTATCTTCTTTCACACTTTGTTTTTTGGGATTTTGTTTTGTTTTGTTTTGTTTTGTTTTGAGACAGAGTCTCACTCTGTTGCCCTGGCTAGAGTGCAGTGGCATACTCTAGGCTCAATACCACCTTCACCTCCTGGGTTCAAGTGATTCTCCTGCCTTAGCCTCCCAAGCAGCTGGGATTACAAGTAAGTGTCACCATTCTTGGCTAATTTTGTGTGTGTGTGTGTATTTTTAGTAGTGATGGGGTTTTGCCATGTTGGCCAACCTGGTCTTGAACCCCTGACCTCAGTTGATCTGCCCATCTCGGCCTCCCAAGGTGCTGGGATTACAGGCGTGAGACACTGTGTCTGGCCTCACAACTTTGAATGTATGATTCTATTATTTCTACCACTGTTAAGAAGTCAGCTAATTGTTTTTATATTGTATTTCAAATTTTTATTTATTACTTAAACAATACTTGTCTAGCATTTGCCATGTGCTAGACTCTGCTCTAAGAAATTAACAAATATTAACTTATTTGATTGTCATAATAATCCTATGAGTATAAGATAGGTACTGTTATTGTCATTCCTATTTTCAATTTGATTGACCTTAAATGACTGGTCCATATCACCGATGTAAAGGCCTGTTCATTAAGTAAATATCTACAAATAAGTACTTAAGAAGCTATTTAGAACAATATACTGGCAATTAATCCAGCAAATATCAGTGAGACTAGAATGGTTGACCAGACACTCTCTTGGAAATCCTGATACAGGCTGGGTATAGCAGCTCATGCCTGTAATGCCAACACTTTGGGAGGCCAAGGGGGGAGGATCGCTTGAGCCCAGGAGTTTGAGACCAGCCTGAGTGATTACATTGGGAATTCTCATCTCTACAAAAAATAAAAAGGAATTAGCCAAATATGGTGATATATGCCTGTGACCTCAGGTACTCACAAGGCTGAGGTGGGAGGCTGGCTTGAGGTCAGGAAGTTGAAGCTGCAGTGAACTGTGATTGCACCACTGCACTGCAGCCTGGACAATAGATCAAGACCCTGTCTCAAAAAAGAAAAAAGAAAAGAAAAAATCCTCATACATAACTTAAAAAAAAAGAAAAAGAAAAAATTCTGCATTTAAGGTGAAGTGAGAGCCTTGAATAGACAAAGGAGGCAGTTTTTTCTTTCTTGGAGCTATTTGAGCTGTTCCAGTCTGCCAAATGTAAAATGGTAGGAAAGGCACTACTGCAAAGGGCACCAGAAACTAAGAAGAAAAGCAGTGGCCTCAAGTCAGATGACACTAATTATCAATGTAAAATATATGTCACCTGTTTAGTACCAGCAAAGGAAAAAGCAAGACCGCAAATAGCTGGTAATGAAATCCTGTGGAATTGCAGTTGAAACTCCCCTGAAAACTGCTTCAAGCCAAATGCTTGAGTCACCAGATGTCCACTTCCTAAAGAGAGAAGTCTCTATGAGCCAGGTCCTACTAAGTTCAGTTAGTTTATTGCCAAAAGAATGTCTAAAGGGCTTTTTACCCCTATTTTGATTCCACATTGTGGCGATTTTGCTGCTTTTCAGATTATTTTTGGAGGCTTAGAGGTAGAAGAAAATATGCAGAATATTCAAAGAAACTGAAAAAATAATTCTGTATGGCTGAGCATAGATTTGAATGGAGAGCAGATACTGTTACCAAAATACTACAATTTCAGTCTAGGTCCCGCTGCTCACCACAAAGAAAGCCAATCACTGAGACTATAGTATTGCCAGGAAAGGAGGCTTTAACCAGGTGCTGCTGCCAAGGAGTTGGGAGATGTATCTCAAATCCATCTCCCTTACTGACTAAAATTGGGAGTTTATACAGCAGGGAAGGAATGTAACTACACCAAGGTAAATAGGAATTAGGGAGGGCTAAGGAAATCATGAAGGATGAAGGTTTTGGCTTCTCATTGTCTGGATGTGGTGATCTGGTGAGTTTCAGTTTCTTGATACTGTCTAGTTTCTTGAGGAAGAAACTGGGGTAAGACCAATGTAAGTTTCAAGCTTTAAGGCTGGGTCAATTTCTATGTTTATTTTAAAAGACTGTAAACATCAGTTCTATGGGACAATTGGGCCGATTTCAATATGATGTGACCCAAGAGGCACTCATATTTTAAAATTATTACAAAACAAACAGTCCCTGAATTCTGAATCCATTCTAAGTACAATGTATACTTTCTGATATACAGAAATCTGTATGATTTCTGGTTTCCAATAAGATTAAAAGGAAAAAAAAAAGCAAATCTGTAAAGGTAAGTAAAACAAGAGTTGCTTAGGGCAAGTTTAGGTAACCCTCTAACTACAATGAGATCAAACTTGAAAAAAAATCATTTACATTGAGTGCATAATACTAAAAGACAGCATCACCTAGAATAAAGACAATATACCTAAGATATATGTGTGTGTGTGTGTGTGTGTGTGTATATATATATATATATATATATATATATATATATATATATTCACCCAAACACGGAGTGGCTAGAATTGTGGAGGGGGGCGGGTAGGAAATGGAGATGTTTTATTTGGTCACCTTATAGAAAATGCAAAATTGTCTTCTTGGTCAAGAGTTTTGTGTTGACATCGAAACATGAACTACAACAGGTAATGGACCAGGGAACTTAAGCTTTGTGAAAAGAAACTCAGACAATGATTTCAAACACATGTTTAATCATCCATCAATCCAAATGCAAGTATTTGAGGCCAAGGGATTGAATTCCAACTAGATATGTAGTTAGGTATAATGAAATAGAAAAATTGTCTCAGAAAGAAAGGGAAAAAAATGAGGACATGCTTACAAACTTCAAAGATGTGGGCTTTTCTTGCCAGAACATGCTTTCCAACATTAGGACAAGGCTGGTGATGCTTGCTGTCATGGCAATCACTTGAAATTAACTTATCAGCTCAGCCAACAAGAGGAATTAGATCAAACAAATTTTGATTTAGCATTCATCAGACAGCTGAATTACATCCAGAGTGACACTGTTAGCTTTTTTTGCCAAGCTATCACTCAAGAAATTACGGTAAGATTAAGAGCATACATTTTATAATCATTTTCTTAATGAAAGAAATAACAAAACTATAAATATCATATTTGTGGCCCATGGTATGAACTTAAATTGTGTGTCCCATCAAAAACCAAGACAATTTTTTTCAATTTATCTCACTGAATCTCTTCTTTATGAAGCCACCTGAAAGGACAACATGGGTGATAAGTGTTCTAATTTTCCTCTTTTCCCTTTATCTATGCCATGTGGATCTCCTTGTTAGAAAAGATGAGATCTCTATTAGTTTAAAAATCAATAATTTTAAAAAAGCATTACTCATGCTAGAAAATAAAAAGAGGACTTGATTTGTAATTGACTGATTTATATAAATCTCCTGAGTTTTAAAGAATAATTGCAAAGAAACAAGTTTGAAAGAGTCATGGTGGAGCTCATCAGTTGCCTCTTCAATGATTTACCAAACGTATTTTTTCATCATGACCTAAAGTCAACAAATACCTGTTTTATTATATTAAGGGAAAAATGTATTTATTTGAGGATTATGCATTATTATTTTTAATAATAGGGAATAAGCCCCATCACAAAGGAAAGAAACAGAAAAATCATAACCTTATGTTGGGCATTGTACTCCTTCATCTTTCTCTACAATTGTGCCAAGATCTAAAATTATCCTGTGATCCTCCTTTTGCCTTCCACTAGCCATTCCTATAAGTCATAATGTACCTAGACCGGTTATGTTGGTGCTGGGAGCTACTTGTTATATGACTCATGACATCAAAGGCTCATAACACTAAGAAAGAATGGCAGCCCAAAGAGTGATCTGAAGTTCAATGAGTGCACAACTGGCTTTTAAAAATGGAGCAATGATGGTAGCTCTTCTCAGCAGAGGTACTGACATGCTCTTGTGTCACAGCTGTTGTTAAATTAAATCTTATCAAGACAGTAAATACACCCACGTAAGCTAAAGGCCACCCAACCTTTGTCCCACATAAATCTGACAGAGGGTAGTCTCAGCCTCTCTCCTAGAAAGGGTTTGAGTGACAGTGCAACTGATGCACATCTGTTTGCTTCTTAAATCTCTGCTACAATCTCAAGCCTACTTGAAAATTCCTCAGTCATCCTACCTAGTAGCCAAGTTTCCCTCCATTTTTGCATTTGTCTAAAGTTTGCAAATTGGTGACCCTGACTGAGATAACATTCTCAGGGGGTTTTATGCTGTGTTTCTTTAAAATGCTGCCAATATTTGAAATCAGATGATTTTGCATAGCCCTTTGGTATTTCCCTTGAGACTATTTATTAATTACAAAGGGAAAAAATAAAATAATAACTTTGTTGTGGAGAAATCTAGAAAACACTGCCTTAACCAAGGAATTAGAGTTAACATCACCAGTTTAAAAAAAACAAATCAACATAATGTATCCACTAATGTGATTTGTTGAGGAGAGCACAGAGAGCACATTACCCTTGCAGTGTACCTTCCCAAAATGGATAACCTCAATCTCATCATGAGAATACAGCAGAAAACTCAAATTATGTGACACTGTTCAAAATAAATAGCCAGTACTCTTCAAAAGTTACAAAGAAACTCAATAAAATGTCATGGATTAGGGAAGACTAAGGAGACCTAACAATTAAAAAGTGATGTGGCATTCTGGTTTGGACCCTAGAACAGAACATTGAACATGATGGTAGTCCTGGATACCTCTGATACATTCACTAATGTCCCTTTTTTCTGTTCTTAGGGTCACTTAGGCATGTAGTGCCCTTCTGACTCATGGTAGCTATTGAGTCTCCAGCACCTTACAGTGGTCAGATAGAGTGTGGCCCAAATCCTCAGACACATAAAAAGAGGCATTCACCATGAATCACATGGGTAGCATAAACTATCTGGTCAAACTGATACAGTGTGGCTCAAGACCTCATCTCAAGCAAACAAAAATATTTTTATCAGGCAGAATATTCCAGGGGCTCCGAGGTTACCTTCTCAGAACCAGGAAAGGGCCAGTTCTAATGACAGGCTTGTCTTTGGAATGTACAGAATGGAATAACTAGTTTTATCCAAATAAATCTACAGTTTGTAATACTATACTAATGCTAGCTTTGTAGTAGATAATTCTTTATAGTATTGTAATATGTTAAAATTATGGAAATCTGGGTTTAATGAGTTGAATAGTGGACCTCTGATATGGTTTGGTTCTCTGTCCCCACCCAAATCTCATATGGAATTGTAATCCCCATGTGTCAGGGAAGGGATCTGGAGGAAGGTGATTGGATCTTGGGGGCAGAAATCCCCAGTGCTGTTCTTCTAATAGTGAATGAGTTCTCATGAGATCTGATGGTTTAAAAGTGTGGAACTTCCCCACTTGGCCTCTCCCTCTCTGCTGCCACCATGTAAGACGTGCCACCATGTAAGTTTCCTGAGGCCTCTCCAACCATGAGGAACTGTGAGTCAATTAAACTTATTTTCTTTGTAAATTACCCAGTCTCAGGTAGTTATTTATAGCAGTGTGAAAATGGACTAATACACTCCCCAAAAAGACATATCCAAGCCCTAACTCTCAGTATCTATATATGTGGCCTTATTCAGAAATAGTGTCTTTGCAGATGTATGTAAGTTAAGGATCTGGAAATGAAATAATTCTAGATTTTGGGTGATTACTAAATCCAATAACTGGTGTCTTTATAAAAGAAAGGAGTTCCAGAGGGGAAGGCTATGTGAAGAGAAAGGCAGAGATCAGAGTGATGTGTCTACAAAGCAAGGAATGCCAAGGGTTGCTGAAGACCACCTGAAGCTAGGAGAGAGGCATGGAACAGATTCCTTCTCAAAGCTTGTAATGGAAAGAACCCTTGCCTTCAGACCACTGGCCTCCAAAACTGCCAGAGAAGAAATGTCTATTGTTTTAAGCAACCAAGTTTGTAGTTGCTTGTTATAGCAGCTCTAGGAAACATATACACTCGGTAAAAATATACAGAAACCCTCTGTACTACTTTTGCAACTCTTCTATGAATCTAAAATAATCGCAAATATTTTAAACAAATTTTTAAAGTAAAACAGATGGTTTCACATGAAATTTGGATCTTTTAGCTTTCCTGGAAATAACTGGAGATTCTGGCACTACTTGGCCTGCTTTCAAAACAAATGGCAATGGTGAGTTATAACTGAGGAGCAGTGGTTCCCATTAGACAGGGCCTTTTCCACAGGTCTCACCACTACTCATTGTATTGCACATGGCCTGCTTTCATTGTTTATGCAACTACCTGAACCCTATATGCATGTGAGTACATGTTCCAAGCTTTTTCCAGTCATCACTACAGGAATGGAGCAAAGCCTCATATCCCCATCAGGTGACTGATAATCCACTGTTCTAAAACAGAGGCAGATGTGCTTACTTACTGCTTTGTCCACCTGATTGAGACACCAGAGTTAGCTGTTCATCTGAGTCACCATGGAGTTGGCCACACACTTCTCTAATAGCACAAAGTTCCAAAAAAATGTCTTAGCAATACCCTCACTTCCCGAGAGTCTATCCCTCCCAGTGGGAAGCTCCGTTACCAGGTCCCACTCCTGCCTATTCCTGTGCTGCCTCATGCTTCTGAGAATTGACTGACAAGCCTCAAACATGAGTCTTAAAGTATGTCAGTTGCACATGTCCACATTAAATATGTCTCATCTGTGGAAGATAATGAGAGTGAAACGAAGCAGCATTTTGATTTATGCACCAGAGGTTAGGTTTCTGTACAATTCGCTAAGAGAAAAAGAAAAAGAAAAAAGACAGCAGATATTTAATGTGGAATAAAATATGCATTGATCATTTGGCATAATTAAAGAAATTAATATGAGTGTATTCTGAGAATAAGACATTTTTAAGTTAGCAAGCAAATTTGAGAGTCTAATGCTAATAATATATTTCTCCATATATTTTTTCTCATACTTTAACTTTTAAAAAAGTGTATATTTTGATTCTGCTCTTCAGAAAAATGTAATCACTGTATATTCTTCTATCTGCTATTCTTTTAAGAAGTTAAACATGGAGTTTTATATTAACCATGAATGCATGATATGTGAGTATTAACGTACTAATAATCTGCATGTATTAGTATAATGTTGCAAAATGTTCTAAGAGTGAGAAATATAAGAGTAGAACTAATAGCCTCAGCCACAGTAGGATGTAAATATCTCCCCTCAATGTATGATGTTCAAAAAGGTCTTACTGGAGATTATTTTTGATTTTGCAGGCTGAGAATTTTCAGTAGGAATTAACAAAACTTAAACCATTGCTACATGCAAAATAAAAAAAGGAAATGGATCACTTTTCAAGGGAAATCCATGAATATATGTTAGAGAACTTTACCAAACAAGAAATGAGAGCCAGATTAATATGTAAAAATTAAACATACAGATTGTCATATTTTATAAATATGTATATATCTGAATGACTTTGCTTGTTTTGCTCACTGTCACCAAACCATCACAATGAAAAGAGCATTTTTCTTTCTTCCAGATGGTCTCTTTCATCATCTGCCTTTGGCCACAGGTGCTATTGAGATGTTGTTTTTGCAGAGTGGCTGTGCTTGACACAAGTTGAATATTTGCTTGAAGATCCTATTTATGGGCATAACTCTCATGACATTCGCATCAACAGTCATTCATTTGTCTATTAAACAGTAAATATTGTTTAATATTCCAGGCACTATTCTAAAAATTAAAACTACAAACAAGTAGTTATAAGAATTAATTCTACAATTGTTTGCTAATTAGGGAGAAATACAGGAAGGAAGGAAGGAAGCAAGGAAGGAAGAAAGAAAGGAAGGAAAGAAGGAAGGTCTCAAAATAGAGAACAGGGAAGGGGTTATTTTTTACCTTATGTAATCATGGAAGTCTCACTGAAGAGAAGACATTTAAGCAAAATCCTGAAAGATGAGGAGAACTCAGCCATTTAAAAGTTTAAAAAAAAAACAGAAAGCAAAAAAGAAATAAAGAATTTATCAATTAACAGATAATATTAATAATGAAAGTAACTAACAAAAGCAACTAATATTTAGCAAATACCAAGCACTCTGCCATGAACATTACATACATTATCTCATTTAATCCTCCAATAATTATCTAGGAGACTTATTATCCCAATTTTTAGTAAAGGTATTCCAGTTAAGTAAATAATCCAAAACCTCAAGTAGTGAAGCTGAGATTTGAATCCAAAGTCTATTTCCAAACATTGTCCAGAATCTACCTGACTCCAATATCTGATGAAATCTCTAGCACTGAGCCTTTGAAAACATTGTATACCTTTCCACTTCCTAGAACGACCTCCTTTTTCTCCACATTTACTTAATCCTAAAACCAGCTCAAAAGCAACCTTCTCCTCTGCCCTTCAGTAGTAATAATAAATTAACTACCATTGCTAGACCCCATTATTATACATCCTGAACATTTAGTCTTCAAAACAACACATAGCAATGATCCTGAGACTTAGGTTCAGTAGGGGTTCTCAAAACTTCCACAAATATCAGGAATACCTGAAGAGCATGTTAATATAAAAGTTGTTTTTCCAATACTGGAGTTTCTGACTCAGTACGTGTAGAGTAGGGTCTTAGAACTTGGATTTCTAATAAGTTCTAAGCAAGGCTGTTGCTGCTGATCTATGAACCAGTCTTTAGAGAAGCACCAAGTTAAGTAACTTAACCCAAATTTACTCAGCCAACAGATGGAAGGCAGAGTCAGCTGGGATTTGTACTCAGGTGCATGAATGTCCAAAGCCTACATTCTTAACAAGTACATTGTTACTAATATGATATTCCCCAATTGGGATTTGGGTGAGTACCAAGTATTTTGTATTTAGGGTACTTCATATTATTATTATTTTTTCTGTTCCATTTCTCCAGACAGAGCACGTATGTAAGCTCTTCTTGTCACTCTCAGTGCATAGCATAGAGTCTGCAGAACCATGATGCTTAGTAAAGGTTGCTTTGTTGACAGTTGTTTTAGTCTGTTTTGTGCTGCTATAACAAAATACCAAAGATTGGTGGGACAGGCATCAGATAGACATTCTCATTTCTTTAGGGAGAAATAGGTAAGAAGTAACAGGCCCCAGGTAAGTCAAAACCCATCAAGGAAAACAACCTTAAGTATTAAAGCTGGATAATAATTTCCTTTAACCCCATATCCTGCATCCTAAGCACACTGGGGTAGGGGGCTGGGCTCCCAAGGCCTCAGGCAGCCCCACCTCTATGGCTTTGCTGGGTTCAGTCAACCCAGAAATTCTCACAGGCTGGGGGCTTGCGCCTTTGGCTTTCAAGCTAGTGACCCTACAGCTCTGTGATCTTGGGGGCTGCCCCACTCCCATTACTCCACTAGGCTTTGCCCTAATGGGGACTATCTGTGGTGCCTCCATACCTGCAGCAGGTTTCTGCCTGGGCCCCCAGGCTGTCTGCAACATCTTTTGAAATATAAGTGGAGGCCACCATGGCCCCACAGCTCATGCACTCTGCACATCTATGGAGTTGGCATCACATAGATGCTACCAAGGCTTCCTGCTTGTGCTGTCTGGAGCTGTAGCATGAGCCCCATCTGGATCTACCTGAGTCAGGGACTGGGGCAGGCAAGGGGCTCTGCACTGGAATTCAGGAAGCAGAATCCCGAGGTGCCCTGAGCAGCAAATGCTGAGGTCCCACAGGAGCCTCTCTGGAAACCTCACCCTCAGAGTCCTAGCTTGCCTTGAAGATCTCTGAAATACAATTGAGGTCTTTCTCCTATTGTCTTAATGAATAGAACCTGACTTCTTTCTATTAATGTTAATTCTCTTCAGCAAAATAGTCACTTGGCCACACCTTAGTATTCTCTCCCAACACATTTTAAAATTCTTTACATGGCCAGCCCAAGAGTTTTCCAAATCTTTTCATTCTGCTTTCCTTTTAATTATAAATTCCATCTTTAAATAATTTTTCTCTTTTTATTTTACTGTAAATATCCAAAAGCAGCCATGCAGCACCTAGAACCCTTTGCTGCTTAGTTATTTCTTCTGCCAGACACCCCCATTCATCATTCTTAAGTTCTTTCTTCCACAAAGTTCTAGGACACAAACACAACTCTGTCAAGTTCTTTGCAACTCTATAACAAGCATAAACTTTACTCCACTTTCCAATACCTTCTTTCTCATTTCAATCTAAGTCCTTATCAGAATGACCTTTACCATCCATATTGCTACCAACATTCTGATCACTTAAGTAATACCTGAGAAGACTTAGGCTCTCTCTATAGCTCTTGTCTTCCTCTCAGCCCTCACTAAAATTACCCTTAATACTCCATTCACATCAATCCAGACTTTCTCTGGCCTGTTTCTCTAAATTCTTCCCGTCCTTATCCATTACCCAGTTCCAAAGACACTTCAACATTTCCAGAGATTTGTTAGAGCAACAGCCTGACTTCTCAGTACCAATTTTCTGCCTTAGCCTGTTTTGTAATTTGTAAAGAACAGAGATTTGTTTCTTATAGTTCTGGATGCTAGTGCATCTAAGGTCAGAGGGCTAGCATCTAGCAAGGGCCTTCTTGCTGTGTCATCACATGGTGGAAGGAGAGAGAGCAAGAGAGGGCAAGAGGTGGGATGGAAGGGAAGGAAATGTAACTCATCATTTTATGAGGCAGAGCCCTCATGACCAAATCACCTCTTAAAGTCTCACCTTTCAACACTGTTGCACTGGAGACTACATTTTCCACACATGAACTTTAGGGTACATATTTAAATTATAGCAACAGTGATCTCACCCTCTTTTGATTGAGGCTATTTTGACTTCAAGAATTCAGGATTCCCTGAGGCTATGTAAACCAAAAATAAAATTCTAAGCCCCCCAGCTGACTGAATGGACCCCTGCTTTCAGCCAAGAGGACTCCAAAGAAACCTGAAAAGCTAGTTCAGTCAATGATGGGAAGTAGGGGTCAGACATGCCTCATTATACTTTCCTCCCGCTGGAATTCAGGTGCAGCTGACCAGCATTAACATTAAAACAGAGATCTTAAGACTAACAGACTGTTTTTAGCAATAAGATACCAAATTCCAACCTGACTCTAGTATAGCATCACATGACAGATAGCAGGCCCTGTAAGAAATCAAAATATTTTACTCAAAATGTATTTATTTCACATATTTTGAAATGATCCTGCAAAGCTGTCTCTTGTGGGGGAAGTTTACCTACTGTAGACAATCTCTTTCCTATTCTAGATATTTTTCTGATCCTGAGGAGATTAGTTAAGAGTCTAGTACCTTTTAAAAGCCTGAATAGGAAACATTTATGAGACTTCATCTACATAATAAGAACCTTGATTTCCATAATCCCTTATCTTAACCCAGGCACTCATTTCTATTGATTCCAGGTTTTTATTTAATAACTTAACTCTTTCAACCAACTGCCAATCAGAAAATCTTTGAATCCACCTATGACCTATAAGCCCCCAGCTTCAAGTTGTCCCACCTTCCTAGACCAAACCAGTGCATACTGCACATGTATTGATTGATGTCTTATGTCTCCCTAAAATGTATAAAATGAAGCTGTAACCCAATAATCTTGGCATATGTTCTCAGGACATCCTGAGGCCATGTCATGGGTCACAGTCCTCACATTTGGCTCAGAATAAATCTCTTCAAATATTTTACAGAGTTTGGTTTTTCTTGTCAACAGCTACCTCTTGTAATGGAAGTTTATTGCAAGAATATGTGTGACAATAAGAGAGAGGGAATTTTGGCAGGGATCTCAGCCCAGTGTGATTGATACTGGATCTGAAAAGTCCTCTAGTCTGCAGGCAGCTCTGGTTACCTCAGTAGCATTATCATTCTGCGGCTATTCTAAGTATGTGTACTTCCCTTTGTATCAATTTACTTTCATTCTTGTTGCTGTCTACTTGATTCTTTTCATATTCCCAGGTCAAATTCCTCAGAGAAGGAGCATCTGATAGATCTAGATAATTACTAGCATTCCAATTTGGAAAGGGTTTTTTACACTTGACAAAGTAATGTGCTCTGCCCCATCTATGGATTGGCAGCACTTGGGTGAGGTGCCCATCCCTGGTCTAATCAGTTGTGGTCATCTGGGAAGGGTTTCATGATCCAAAATAAATCTGGTCATGGCTGCACTCTCAGCAAAGGCTGTGGGCAAGATAATCCCTGTGATTGACATGTCTGGTACAAAAATTATTTTCTACCAAGTCTCCTCTTTGTATTTTTCTAATCATATAAAGCATTTAAGTAAATGACATGAGGCATTTTAAATATATTCTGTGGTTCACAGAGTTTTCTTTTCTTACATCTTTTTGTTCATTAACTCTTTGATGAGATTTCTCCTGTAGTTTTACATGTAATATTATATTCTCAATGGAGCACTGTAATAGAGCTATAAAAAATAAGAAATAACAGTGGAGAACGATTAATCCCTTATTCCTGAATGTGAGAATAGCATCTTAATCCCGTATCTCAGAGGGTGAGAATAGATATGGGAGGAAAGTTCTGTTTTAGGTAAAACAACACTGACAGTCTCATAAATTTAACTGTCATCTTGTGTTTGCTCTTTTGGCAGCGCCAGAATGTAATAATTGAAAGCTTTTATTCTTCAAACATAACCTATATTTTCAGAAAAACTTGGACAGAGATTTTGTTTTACCTTGGATCGTTTATACATTCTTTTAATTTTTTTCTTCCTTTCTCCTGCAAATAGAATACTATATATTAAATTTCTATAGTCAGTTAGGCAAATATACAAAATGTCAACCAACTTTACATTTCTAAATGATTTTATCTTAAGAACTGTTACTATTATTAACCCACTAAGAAAATCCAGGCTTTTTTAAAGCAAGGGTCCCAGCTGTGCTTTTATTTGCTAGTTGTTGCCCTAAAACTCGTGAAGCCCTATCTCAAATTTCAGAGTTTCATTCATCCATAAAATAGGGTTCAGAATGATTTGTTTCCTGAAATCAGTTACTAAACTATTATTCTTTATTGACTTTCCTGTTTCAACTGCTCTTCTAATATGAGAGTGTCCTGCTTAGGAGATTATCTCTGTATCTCACCCTAGGACTCCTTGGAGCCTATTCTTTCTTCTTTTTTGTCTATTGGCCTTGCATTTCTACAGGTTGGAATTTGGGTGCTTTCCCTTGGAAGCCTGTGATAAGAATTTTATTTTTAAAAACTTTCTGTGTTTCGGAGTTTTTAAAATAACTTTCATATATGGGGTAACATCCATTTGTTCAGTCAGTTATTTCCCAGGTGGGAGGGATCATATAAAGAAATAGTTCATGGTTCAGGAGAATTAATAAATATATACTGGTTTTATGAAGGTTCTTTTCCTTGCCACAAGCATATTTCATAAACAAATTATAAAAATACATGTTTTAAAGTTAAAAAATACTAGAAGAAAGTGGCCTATTTCAACTAGGAGACCTAAGTATCTAAAATTAGCCAATAAAAACATAATTTTCGCAGAGTTAAATTAAATTCAATCAAAATGAAATCTTATCCTATCATCTATTGTCTTAAGTTGGTGACTATCCTGGTGTCTACTTTCCTCTAAGAGGGCAGCAGAACAGAGCATGTGTCCATGTGACCAGCCAGAGGCACAAACGTATAGACCTGAATGGAAACGAATGATCTTAGATATAAATCTTTCTTAAATGGTGTATTGACAACACATACCTATGAGAATGTGCAGAATGTATTCACTAGAGGTAACAAGTCAGCTCTGAAAGATATCATTTCATCTGTTATTTGAAACAAAAGGTGGAAACTTAATTTAATAATACCTGTAAAACTGCAGGAGAAAATTCTTTTTTAGGAGGTGTATTATGACCAGGAACAAATTCCACGAAACCCTTTATAGGAGGTGGGGGGCAGGGTGAACATCTGGATTCCCTCTGTATCATCAAAAGGCTCTGGGATTGGCCCCTTAGGAATTTATTTATTCATTTTCCCAGTCAACCATGAGATTAGAAGAAGGGGGAATGAAAAAAGGGTGAGAAAAATAACTTTGGTATGATTACAATTTCTTTTCGGTAAAAATAAATATATTATGGTCAAGTTAAAAAAAAAGAGAACAAGGAAGCAATATTGGAATGTCATGGAATGACAGTTAACAAGCTTTATTTGTTCTGTCATACAATGTAGTGGCCTCTTAGCCTTTATTTCTTTGGGCACATACATGAATCAGAACAGAATACAGAGAATCATTTTATCTACAAAGAATCAAGATTCTCAACCCCCTCACACCCCATACCCCCGTCTATTTCTATCTACTCCTCATTGGATCTGAGACCAGAGAAACTTGAAGGAAAGAGGAACTTTTCATATTGTAGAGAATCAATTACATGCCATTACCTTATTTATGACCCAGCTGAACTTTATTCAATTCTGCAATTCTCAAAGTTGGCATGTAGAATAATACATTATAGAGAGCCAGTGGGAAACATTTCCTAGGAATCTCCTGTCTAAATGTGCACTGTGTAATTTAGCTTCAATTAACTTCAGGGGGCTAACAGAATAGAAGAAGCAAGCTCTATAATTTCCCATGCAGTTTCAAAATAAAGATCACATACAGAAAACCTTTTTGTCTAATAGTTTTGCTTCCTCCTAAAGATGTCAAATTGGGTCATTTTTTGTTGTTTTCTCCATTGCAATATGAAGAATGTCTGAGGCCTGATGAGGAGTCAACTTTGCTTTGCCTGATGTTGATTCCACAGAGACTGCTATTCCTCTAAATGGGAATAACTTCAGTGAAGGTAATTCATAATGATGGGCAAGTTCAGAGTGGAAACGGTTGAAAGCATTTTATTGGTTTAACTCTATTCTACAGAGGAGAATACATTAAGCTTCTTACATTTTAGGTTCACAGAAACACATTTTACCTTTTTTATCAAAGTATCTTTAGGACCTCTAATTCAGACCCAAACACAAGAAAAATACAATGCCAACTTTACTAGTTATCACTTATTGAGTTTCTTCTCTGTGTTATGGGAATTCTATTAGGCACTTTATAGGACTCCAACTCTGCAAGCTATGCATTATTGCCTACTTACAGATGAGGAAATTGAGTCTGAGGAATTAAGAAACTTTCCCATGATCACCAGGCTTATAACAGAGCTGAGACCCATGGCTGCTTTGCTGCAAAGCTGAACTGGTTGTCTGTTTTTGCTTCAAAAAGCATTAGCATATGACATCAATAACCAAATAAGAGTAATTTACATTGGTGGTTAAGCCAATCTTGATGGAGCTGGGGGTAGAATTTCCATTCACTTTCAAACCATGAGGAATAATACTACCTTTATATTCCTAATATAGTCCTTGCAGGAGATTAGATTATATCCTTATTACTAGAGGTTAAACCTGCTTTTACGAAACATGCAATTCACTCTTGAAAAACTCTAAACCATAGCAGGGAAACTTAAGCTTTGCTTGCAGAGAACAATTAAACCATGCATATACAATCTAGGTTTCAACATTTGACATCCTTCTCTTTCCAACCTATCCCCCAAACTCTCCCCTACCCCAATCTCTCACCCTAACTCACCATATTTTAGAAATGGCTTATACTTTTAGGCAAAATTAAATTCCCTGTAGCCTATGCAAAGCTTTTATTATTTTACTTAGACCATTCTCTGTTTATAATATGAATAAAACGGCAGGATTTTAATTCCCATTCAGTTTGGCTTAGATCCAGGTTGGTGATGTTGTTCTCTCCTCCTTTGCATTCTCGTTGAATGCAATAGGCTCTTCCAGAGCCAGACTGGTGGAGCAGCACCACTTCCAGTCTGAAACAGCTGCAGAAACGTTAGAAGAATTCTATTTCTAATGATTAATAGCAAATTTCTGAAAGGACAGAAGATTAACCAACAAATCCCTGGGATTTCTTTGAATCCCCCAAATTCAACAATATCAGCATTCTATATTTTCTCCTAATAGTCTTCTAGGCATGTGCCTTATAAACAAAACATAACAATAAATTATGTTCTTTTTAAACTATATTAAATCTTTCCATGATTTACTTATAACTTATAAAGCTATAGATGATAGGACTTTGATTTTTATTAGAAAAAATACATCCAAATTTGGTAAGTCAAACTCTCAATGGCTAGAACACTAAAAATCTATCAACCTTGAAATGAGAAGGATTCTAGTAATACTAAGTCCTCAAGAAAAAGGAAAATATACTTTATTTATTTCTATTTTGATTAACCAAATTTACAAAGAACCATTTCTGGTGACATACCTATACCTTAATTACTAATCCATGAGATATTAATAAAACAACATTTAGTGATATTGTAATATTGTCTGAGAAGTAATCACAATATACCGAGCCCTTTTAAACTGTATTCAGTAAAGGAATTTTATTGAGCAGAGATTGTAGAAAAAGTCTGTGTCTCTAAACTAACACATAAGGAATTTGAGACTTAGAAAGCTTAAGTAACTCACCACAGAGGTACTAAGTAATGAACTCTGGACTTGAACCTTGTTTTGTCTGACTCCAAATCCATGAGTCAAGGCATGTACATAACTCATTATAACAGGAGACAAAAACTTTCATAAGAGAAGCATACAAATCAGAGAAGGTTATATTAAATTGGAAAGTATAATGGACACAGTCAGTGATGAGCAGGACCATGAAGGATGGTGAGGATTTTGCAGTTATATGAGGAGTCTATCTCTGGGGCAATCCAAAGAAATGGCATTTAAAAAATGCATTCAGGGTGGGATTGATTAGGAGCCCCAAGTTCTTGCTCTCTGGTATTTTCTGCCAGTAGGGGTGCTAGAGGGAGACTGTGAGGCTGGAAGGAAAAGAAGGAATTGTTTCTTTCCTGTTTGTTTTCTGTTGGCCTTTTACATTACAATAACCTCAACAATGTTTCTTAAGCCTGGTGGCAACAGTTTGTTCCTGGAGGGGCAGTAAAATAATTTCAGTTTTTGTTTTGTCCCATTACCAGAATCAATCTCATTACACTTTCAGAAATACTAGCATCAGCTGGCCAGAATCTACTCTGCAGGTGTCTGGGCCCCAGCTCCATGGAGACCCTCTTCTGTACTTCTAAGTTTTAATAATTCTGATATTTTCTCCCTGTTTTCCAGGCCCAGGGGTGATAGCTTCTTCCTGCAGTTATTTTCCGTATGATATTTTAACATTCTATTTTTCCCATTTTCAATTCTCCAGTATCTGGTTAGTGAGTATATTGTATCTCTCTGTTAAAACAACCGATATGGTTTCTGTCTCCTGAATATACCTGGACTGCTACAAATCATTCATGGGCTAACGCACAAACCAGTCACTGGTGAGAAAAAATGGAGTTACCACAATGGACTTATTATGAACAAACATTCAACTCTTATACATATAGAAAGGCTTACGACATGTATGTGTGGCCAGTATCTGAATAAAATTGTGGGGAATAGCTCTATTAGTGAAAAGGAAGAGGAAAAGGCTTTTAGGGAGAAAAAAGTGACAGCCACAGAGAAGATGAATAGGAGGTGGCTAGGTGAAGAAAGAGCGAAGAGCATTGTAAGAAAGAAAAGGAATTGGATGTGGAAGGAGCCAGAGTTCGGAGAGACTGAGATTTACTCAAGAAACTGAGGGAAGCACAATGTTGCTGGGGTGGTGATAATGGAGAAAAAGAAATGAGGCTAAAGAATCTAAAGATTCAGGAGGGAAAGAGTTTAGATGGCCTGGGGATTCCAACTCAGAGTATAGAAAACTTGTTGTGAAATGTATAGAAATATGGATATTAGAAAAAGAACAGAATAGTAAGATTCATGTTATGTTGAATATAATGGTTTTGGGCTACTTTCCAGGATGTGATTTTTAACTTGGTATGAGAGATCTTGACCTGGGTCATCAACTTCAAGTCAATGAGGAAGCCACTAGAATAGAAATAGTATAAACAGAAGAGAAAAACTAAGGGAAACTTTGGAGAATACCTGTATTTTAAGGGTGTGAGGATGGAGATTGTTGTCAGAGAGTCAAATTGAAGATGAGATGAAATACTTTCCAAGAATGACTAGGTCAAAGACAAATGTTACCAGTGGACGGCTAAAGAGAAATGGAGATAAATTAAATAGGATTAAGGAGGTTGGACAATCATGAGACCACAGAGACAGAAGGGTCAAGAATCAGGATAACAAACTCACTGATGATAATGACAATGGAAGGAGCAGAAATTAAGTCAGTGAGAAAGTGGGGAGAGTTACCCTGAGGACTGCAGTTGACCAAAATGAAAACAATGCAGACAGTATGAGGTCTAAAAGGTATCTGTAGAATACTGGCCAACCAGAGAGCATCAAATGATACACAGTTTATCTCTCAACCCCAAACACCTATGTAGTTTAAAAGGTCGCAGAGTTCACTGTGACACCTAAGTCTAAATAATAGAAATAATTTTGGAATAGAAAGAATGGAAATTTAGGTGAGTACTGCTGCTGGGGATTTTGCTGGAGGTTTCATACTTAGTTTGGTGGCACTTCCTTTAGTGTTTCTTCTTTTAATAATAGTGTTCTGGTTATTTATTGTGTGTGACAAAGTACTTCCCACTGACCCACCCCCAAAAAAACTTCATGGCTATAACAACAACCATTTTATTTTCTTTATTTCATAATTTGGGGTGACAGAAATTCAAGCACGGCTCTGCTGCTGATTCTTTTGCTGTATGAGACATCAACTAACAGCAGAGCAGATCTACAGAGTCTAAGATGACATTCTGGTGTGGGAGGCTAGAAGGCTGGACTCAGTGGGCACCTCTCCCTCTCCATTGAATCTCAAGCTTTCTCCACATGGTCTTTCCAGAGTAGTCTGACTTCTTATGTGGTGACTCAGGGCTCTAAGAATGCATGTTCCAAAAGTCAAGCAGAAGCTGAAAGCCTTCCTATGACCTTGCATTAGAATGGGGCTTCCACTTCATTCTATTGGGTAAGCATGTCACTAAGGCCCGGCCAGAAACAAAGGTAGTAGAATACACTTGATATGGTTTGGCTCTGTATCCCCACCCAAATCTCGTGTTGAATAGTAATCCCCAGTGTTGGAGGTGGGGCTTGCTGGGAGATGATTGGATCATGGGTGTGGTTTCTAATGGTTTAGCACCATCCCCTTAGTGCTGTCTTCTAATAGAGTTCTCACAAGATCTGGTTATTTAAAAGTGAGTGGCACCTTCTCTTTCCCCTTCACTCTCCCTGTCTTGCCAGCCATGTGAAGATGTGCCTGCTTCCCCTTTGCCTTCTGTCATGATGGTAAGTTTCCTGAGGCCTCCCAAGAAGCAGAAGCCTGTACAGTCTGCAAAACCATGGGCTGATTAAACCTCTTTTCTTCATAAATTACCCAGTCCCAGATAGTTCCTTATAGCAATACAAGAACAGACAAATACAACATTCTACCCACTAATGGAAGGAATAGCAAAAAATCTGTGACCAACTATAATTTGCCACACATAGGATAAGTTTTTAATGCCCTACTCCTTTTAACCATGTAGTAAATCTTCACTATGCAAGCAGATATTCTTAGAGTTATTTAATTTATTCATGAATAAAGCATCATGAGGTAAAACTACTATCAACAGGCCAAAGTTATATTGTTGGCTGTTACGAGCTGCATGACTCTGAGCAAATCATTTAATATTTCTATGCCTCTTCCCTCAGTTTCAAGAATGTTTAATGTATCTACTTCCCAGGATACTTACAAGGATCATATGGTCAGCTACATAAGATTCTTTGAAGATAATGCACTCACATAAATACAAAATATAATCATTATTTGCTGGTGTCATTGAGATTATAAGGAGTCCGGATGGTTTAGTCTTACAAAGCACCAGTTTCCTAAATCTGAATTAGGATGAGTTCTGGGGAAATCGAGGGCCTGTCATCAAGAGTCCTCCATCTCCTAATATTTTGCAAACACTTAAAGAGAGTCTCTTGAAGTCTGCTGACAAATGCATATATGAAACCTTCGCTTATCTAAAATTGCCACCCAATATGAACGAATTACATGATGGAGAGTACCTACATTTCAGCTTTTTTCAATAGAACCCTTATGTGTCTGTCCATGTGGACAACCCTTTCTGAGATTAACAGAGTGAAAACTTAAGCCTGAGTTCCATGTCAATAAGAATTTTATCAGTATAAGTATTCAATCAGTAGCTCCCATTTAACAGAAAAACTGGTTTAAAATTAAACCACTTTAACAGTAATGATATTTGTGGTGATTTCTCTTAAATATATGAAGTATCTAAAATAGTCAAATCATAGAAGCAAAGAATAGAATAGTGATTGTCAGGGGCTGGAAGGAGGGGCAAATGGGAGCTGATAATCAATGTACATAAAATTTCAATTTTGCAAGATGTATTAGTTTTAGCAATCTGATATACAACATTGTATGTAGAGGTGACAATACTGCATTTTACATGTAAAAATTGGTTGAGCAGGTATGTCTCATGTTAAGCATTCTTATTTAAATAAATAAGACAAAAATAAATAAATAAAATAATGACATACTATACAAGACTACTCTTGAGGCTGATTTTTGTTAATGGGTTAGATCTTGTTCTAGGCAATTTAATTTCTGACAACTCAGAGAGCCTTATTTTATAAACATTTTGCCTATAAGGTAGTTTTTTAGTATAGCATAAATTCTGGAGTATCACCTAGGCAGCCTGTTAAAGAGTCGTAGGTATAGGTTATAATCTTTGAGAGTTAGAATCAGTGCGTCTAGGTAGAATTCAAGATATTGGAATTTTTTTTTTCCGGACCGCAAGATGATACTGATGCAGGGGCTCCACAGTTAAAAAAAAATATTGCCTAAATATGGGGTGAATGGAATGGCCCAGCCTTGGGTAAAAAGAAGATGCTAAAAGTGTGAAGTGATAATATCACAATGAGCTCTTAAATTTCTGAAAATATTAACTCAAAGCAAAGAGGTGTGACTGCCCTCTCTCACACTCAATAAGTATGACTCTGCACTCAATTATATGGTGTTTTATGGGTTACTGGTAGGGGCCTCTTAGTTTATACAGTGCAAAACCTTAATTTTACAGAGGAAAACATGCTCCTCAATTCATGTCCTTCATTGTGTTTCCAATGTCTCCTACTTTCCACTGTCTCAGAACATTTAGCTCTATGTAGTAATTCACCATTTAGGACTATCTCTCCCACTTAACAATAATAACCTCAATCCGTTGGACAATTTCTCCTTCGTTGTTGTTTTTCTAAGGTCCATCATAGTTCTAGGCATTTAAAAGGTGTTTAACAGAAGATAAGTGGATGGATGGATAGGTGGGTAGATGGATGTATGGATGTATGGATGGATGGATGGATAGGTGGGTAGATGGATGTATGGATGGATGGATGGATGGATGGAATTAAGACAAGAGAACTTAAATAGCATCAACAAGGATGCCAAGAGGCCTTTATGCTACTTCTAGGCCAAATTGTAAAAGAAGCGTGAAAGAAAGAAATCTCCACTGACAGTAAGTGCCAGGTGTCAGCAACAACATGACGGTAAAGGAAATGCTCAGAAAAGAGATCTCAATGTGCAAAGAATTTCATTGATAACTAACTCTTATTTTTCAGAGGGCCCAGATGAAAAACTCCAGGGACTAGGGGTAGAAGGAAAATAAAGTCAGAAAAGGGGATGTGTGGAGCCAATAGAGATGTGGTCAGAGAATGTGCATTTCAGAGTTTCATGTAGTTTGACTTTTATATTTTTGACAATTATAACCTCCATGAGAAAAAAAAGTAACAATTTTTCTAATTTATCTTCTTAATTTTTTTCCAATTCAATAATTTGAAGGGTCAAAGTGATTATTTATTCATAAACTGAATGTATTGCCAAGTATTACGTTGCACTATGTTTGAAAAAAACATAATACAGATTGAAAATAAGAAACATATTTCTTGATAACACATAGAACAGTAAAAAATTATACAGTATAAAATATTTTAACTAATTAATAAAGAAAACAGTATATCAATTAAGAGAATTTGAAATTAATGTGCTAAGCATATAGTTCATACATACAAAGTTAACAAGCTAAACCCCCAAAAATTAAAAGAAAGAAAGTAATAAAGAGAAAGACAAACTTAGTGAAAAGGAAGACAAACGTGAGAAAAATAAAGTCAAAAGTTTGGTTTCTAAAAAGAACAACTGACAAAGTATTGTGAGATTATAAGGACCAATGAAACAGAGAATGAATAAACACCCAGTAACAATATTTTTAAAAGATACCTTACTGGAAGTGTTCCAGATATGAAAAGATATTAAAGAATGAAAAAAAAAAAAAACCTTAGCAATAAAGGAAAATACAGGTGAGGTTGGTAAATTCCTGGAAAATATAATTCGAAAGAACTGACTCAAAGAGAAATAGAAGTCTAAACAGTCTTGTAACCATTAAGTATAATGAACCAATACTTCAAGATTTTCTCACAAAAATGACTGTAAACTCAGTTGTCTTTCTCAAGGGGTTTTACCAAAAATCTAAAGAACAAATTCAAACCTATACAAACCCTTTCAGAGATTAGAAGAAGGGAACTTTAAGAAGGTAACATAGAAAAATACATTCATGATTATTGGATAGGGAAAGCATATTAAAAGAGAAAAGAAACACTATTTTTAAAGAAGAAAATGGCTAAATGTGACATTAAAATTAAGAATTTTCTTCATCAAAGGATACCGTAAGATGAAAAAGAAAAGCCACTGATGATTTGTTGTTATTGCTGTTGTTTTTACTTTTTGGCATCTGTTTGTTTTCAGCACTTAAAATTGACAAAAGGCTAGTATCACAAATATATAAAGAACTCTTACAAATAAAAATGAAAAAGGTGAAAAATGCTCCCCACAACACACACATAGATGAAACACTTGAATGGACACATCTAAAAGAGGAGATTCAAATAGCTAATAAATACATGAAAAGTGTCCAAACTTACTGTAGGGAAATGCAAATTAAGACCACAGTAAGACCATGATATCCTCAATAAGAGAATATTAAAATGTCTGGCAAAACCAAATGCTAGCAAGCATGAGTATCAATGGGAACTCTCAGAAACTGTTATGGTATGTCCATTGGTATAAGCACTTGGGCTAAAACCTGTCGTCATCTAATAGAGTTGAAAATATGCATATCCTATTACTCAGCAATTTCATTCTAGGTCTGTTCCCTAAAGAAACTTATACACATGTGATCAAAGGTACACAAACAAGAATATTCATAGCTAAATTGATCGTGGTAGCTGAAAAGTTAGAAAAAAACCAAATATCCAATGATAATGAAATACACATTCATTGTGGTATACACAATGGTATATTATGCAAAAATAATAATCCTTACTACAGGTACTTCCCAAAATATAAAAGATTCTCACAAACATAACATTGAGCAAATGAAGCTAGAAACAAATGCATGCACTATAATTCTGTTGTATAAACATAAAAAAGACCTAAAACTAAATTATAGTGTTTAAAAATGCACACAGAGAGGGCAAACCTATAAAGGAAAGCAACAGAATGCCTATAACTAAAATTGAGAAGAGTTCGTCATCAGGTGGAAGGTACAGAGGACTTCTGGGGTACTAGCCATGATTTCATGACCTGAGAGGAATTCCGTAGGAATTGACTTCATGAATATTTCTTATATTGTGCAATTATATTTCATACAGTTTCCTGTTTATATACTTCAAGATTTTCTAAATGTTAGAAATTGAGATTTATTGGAAATTATTGCATATTCATAAGACAATTTGTTCTCAAGATCCAAGATACCTGTTGATAAATAATTCTGCTACATATTTATCTTTGTAATACTATTCATTTGAGAATTATTATATGAATTTGCCAAGCACTGACTATATTTTTTAATTGAAGCATACTTCTCATCTGTCTTCCACTAAATTTATTTACCTCTCAAATGCTTTACCAAGTTTATCGTAGTTTCTAAAAAACTGCAATGTCCTAAAACATCCGGGAATTTTTTTTAATTAATGGTAACATTTTCATCATTTCAGAGTATTGCCTCTGGCTAATTTTTTTTTTTTTTTTTTTTTTTTTTTTTTTTTTTTTTTTTTTTTTTTTTTTTTTTTGGTAGAGATGGGTCTCACTATGTTGCCCAGGCTTGCCTCCAACTCCTGGCCTCAAGCAATCCTCCCGCCTTGTCCTCCCAAAGCACTTATGATTATAGGCATCAGCCAGGGAGCTCAACTAATCCTTTCTTTTTTGACAATCCAGGAATACGTTCAGTATCTATCAGAAGAATTTTATATCTAGATCTATCATTCCATTTCTAACCGTGATGACACTTAAATATAAAAAGAAAATGAACACATAAGCTTCATCTGTACACTTTTAATTGATTCCTACTCAACCTGTAGCTTTATCTTATCAACCAATCAGTTGAATGCTTTGAGTTGTGGCTCAAACAAACAAATATGACTGCTCTGAAGGATCAAATCATTTAGAGTACTTTGTTCCTACAAACTAATTTTGTTCCTACAAAATAATTTACTTCAACCTCTGGAAAAACAGTGATTTACTCCAGAAGGTTCTTTTGAGTTTTAATGCATAACTTTCTTAAATGATGTGCTTGTGTTTTAAGCTTTATTTATTGTAAGTGCTTAGTAACCCAAGCCACAAAATTGCGAAGACCTTATTCTTTTATTTTCCCAGTTCCTTTTTCTTCTTTCAGTGGTGCCAGCAACAAAAGGACATGTAACTTTATATTTTCTGGTTGCTAATATTTTACCTTGCAGACTCTCGAATGACAAGTTCTCTAATTGCTGCTATTTATCACCATTCTGTTCCTTTTTGTGCTATCAAGTGGCTAGTATGTGTTTCCAAATTATATTTTTAAATGAAGTTCCCTTAAGTTGACAGAGGTTAAAAAAATACCCAAGCCAAAATGTTTTGGCTTTTCATTTTTTTAAACAGGATTTGGTTTTGCAGTTCCAGAAATGGGCCACATCAAACTTTCCAGGTTTTTTCCTGTGGTCTTTGTATGAAATATAAACTCTTAAATCCTTTGAAAAACATTTACATCATCATTACTCATTAGAAATAAAAATAATTCAATTAAAAATTTTACTTAAGATATTCTGAGTGTATTCACAGAACCTTCAGATTAACAATGGAATTACACAGAAAAAATTAACTGGAAATTCCCATGGCAGAAATCACTGAATAATATAATTTAATAAGAGTTGTTAATAATTCAACATGAAACTTAAAATTTGGATTTCTCCACTGCTTTTAGATATACAGTCGATCCATGCATTCTCTCTGTTCTGTTTTTGTTCTTAGAGAAGCAAAGAATGTTTTCTCTAACTCGTCAGAGCTGTGTTCTCCAACTTCTCCTAGTCCACAATGAATAGGAAGAATGCTACTGTTCTACAAGGAATGAAAACTTCCCTGAATTCAGAAAAGTTCCAGAAAATCTGCATGGTAGTTCAACAAATGACAACTCCTACATATCAGAGAGTTCCAAAGGTAAGAATATCCAAATTTTAGATTATTTACATGATATAAACCACAAGGCTTTTTCACTACTTCAGTCCCTCTCCTTGGACACATAGTTTGCCTGTCTGTGTATCTATTAAAATGTGGTGTCCTGTCTTGAACACACCACGTAGCATGTTAGACCAGCACAGGTTAGAACAAGCCTGTCCCTGTGCTTATTGTGCCTCTGGTACTTCTGCCCATAAGCCTTTCTCACACATGTTGCTCTTAAGCCATATTTAATTCACCTTAAATTGTGCAGTGAGATTTGGGGTTCTAAATTACTTCTATTAACTATAAGCTTGACATTATAGAATGCCAGCCACTCAAATTTGAGTATTCACTCCATCATGTGATATATAACCCTCCTGTTTCATATCATCTACAACTTTATCAAGGTCATAACTGAAAATACAGAATAGAGCAGGGCTAAAGATAACATAAGTTAATTTTAATCAATGATCTTTGCACATAGTTCTCTAACTTGTTATAAATTCATTTAAACACTGTCCTATTTTTCAGCTCAAATTTTTCCACCAATATCCAGAGAGTTGATCAAATGCATTACTGAACTTAGCACAACGTCCATACCATGCCCCTGATCCACAATCCCAAAAGGGAATGAATCCAAAATTGGTTGTGCTTTTTTTCATAAACCCAGTAGTTCCCCACTTGTTTTCTGAGCTCTTATAACCAATCTTTTAATAATCTGTTCTGGAATCTTTCCCAAGACAAGTAACAAGTTTGTGGAATTTACTTTCTTACAAATTTCAAAAAAGAATCTAGTCTTCAGGTATCTGTAAGTTTCTTCATAACGCTTTATAGATTATTAAGCAGAGGCTCAACAATGCCACACTTATATTCTCAGTGTTGTACTGTGTAATTTTTTTCTAACCTAGGAAACTAAGATACACTTAGAGCATCCAATAATTCAGAGCAAATTATGTTCTCACCTCTCTTTTTGAGAAGTATTACATTTACCAAAAATAAATAAATAAATAAATAAATAAAGGGACTGACGCTTGAATGTAGCTAAAATGAATTTGCTTTTAGGTGGGCAAATGGAAATAGTCTTCGCTATAAAACTCGGCTAACACATACTTCCTTCTATGAAGTTATTTATTTTGTTCTCCCCCTACCTGAACAACAAACCTGCTTTTGAGTCAAGGATCTGATATAACCAGATATTTTAGTGTGACTTTAAGTCAATGTGCTCTTTCTCAAAGGGAGTATTTGTGTTTTGATCCCCATTTCTATCTTCAAGTGTGGAATTTAAATCTAGGTCCTTTATTAAGGGAATTTCAAGTACCAGAGAGCAGGTGGGGGAAATTCAGGTAAACTGGGAGGGGGAGAAGGGCTCCTATATACACCTTAGATCACACCACTTGACTGCTCTTTCTTACACTTGTACCTGAAAACCACCTGGACCAGGAAAGAAGGAACAGTTCAAGAAAGATAGTAGACGTGCACTATGTTTTGACCCCTTTGTGTCTGAAATATGAGTTTGAAGATATATGCCTATATTTATCTTCAAAAACATAAATCTTACGTTTCTCTCAGTAATTCAGTGCCTGCTGCTAAAAGATTGCAAGAGAGGCTGTGGAGCTGAAAGTTGAACGTCACTGCAAGTTCGGCTCAGAATATTTCAGAGGCTGGGCTTCAATTCTTGTACTATCTCTTCCTTATGATGGTTACTATGAACGGTGCCAGTTTGGAAGCTTAACAAAAATTTTCAGGCACGATTCTAACATAAATCATATATAATAATAAATATAATCATCATATAATAATATTCCCAATTAAATTGGATTTTTAACCTTTCAAATAATTGACCATATAGTATATCTCCTGGAACTTCTGTTATCTAATAGCCTGAAATAACCATTCTTAAGTCAATCCTTATACATAATTTTAGATGAAAATATTTCACTCTAATGTCATTTCACTAGTAAAATGTGCCATATAATATATTTTATTAACTGCGAATTCAATGCCATTTGTATTTTAGGTAAACTACTGATGAAAAAACAAAACAAAACAAAACTACCCAGGGAAGCTATTCAATGCCCTGTGCAATGAGACATTCTCAGAGAGAATCATGATAAAGAAAAGATGTGGCTGAATAGCATTAGGCATGGATCCAAAATTCATTCACATAGTTTGGTGATTTCATTTGCAATTCCAGGAAGTTAGTTTGTGGTAAATCTTTGTTCTTATATTCCATCAGATATTTTTAAAATTGGAAAAGCCTCTGAGAAATGACATAGAGAATTAATGATACCTCAATACACTCTTGGCAAGTAAGGAAACAGATCTGAATAATTATCACCCATTCCAGTTGTGAATTTATTGTGAAAATTCTGATGCAATTATTTTTATGTTAAAATAATAAAGTTGAAATAATCTACTGGAATGTTGCCTTTGGAACTTATAGTAGGAAAGATGTCGGCACAGCCACAAACTTCTAAATCTGCCCCTGTAGTTTTTCTTTGAAGATGAAATAACTAAATAGATAATAACTGTATCAAATAGATTTGTAACATGGTATGAATGGGAATTCAGTTTTTGTTTGTTTTTGCTATGATGGCTTCAAAGTAAGATAATTACTTCTTAATTTCAATACTATGAAGTAAGTAAAAAATCCCAGATCAATTTTGAATACAAGAGTAACATTTAAAAGAATTTCCTAGTTGAGCTCAGTTTAAAATTGATAATATAGCATCTTAGTAAAATATAACATATCCAGTCCAATTCTTTTCTTTAATACTATCCAACATATCTTCCATTTAAGAAAATATTTGAGCAAAAATTGGAGTGAGAGTAGGGTGGAAAAGAACCATTGTGGAATGGGGTGGGAGGGAAATATTTCAGCAAATACTTTGCGTCAGAGCCTTGCCCGCATTAATTTTTCAAAATAAAATAATCCTGGGAGATACAAATCATTATTCTCATTTTTACAGATAAGAAAAGTAAATCTCAGAGACGTTAAATAGCCTGCTGAATATTACCTGACCAGTATTCAAATCAACTAACTCTGTTAACTCTAAAATCCATGCACTTTCTGCCACCACACAGATGTTGAATGACAAGGGGTAAAATTAAGATAAATGGCAAATTATCAACTCCTAGGAGTATTACATAGCACTAAAATTATACTTTTGAAATCTAACATTTTAAGAAATATGATAATTATTGCATGAACGAGGAGAATTCCAAATGTAGCCATCCTATGATTATTATTATGTAAAAAAAAATTTAAGTTGATTTCGTAAGATAGTAGTAGGATTATAAAGAATTCTAAATATATCTTTTATCATTGTTCTAGAGATATCTGTGAAAAAATATATACATGTAGAAAGGGGGAGAATATCTGTTTCTTGAATATGGTCAAAATGAATGTTTTGGGATACAATTTAAAATTGAGAATGCATTTTTACATAATGGATTCAAATATGTTATCTCATTTAATCCTCACAAATATATGAAATAAGATAATTATTATCCACATTTTACAGCTGAAGAAACTGAAGAAGTAATAGATTAAGTAACTTGCCCTCAGTTATCCAGTTGTCCAGCTAACTACTGATGGAGGCAAGTATTGAGCCCACAGCTCATATTTTAACCATAGAACCTATGCTGCTAATATTTAGGAAAGACAAAATGCATCAACAGTGCTTGTTTTATGGAAATAAAAAGTGGATGATGATAGATTACATAACAATGATAAAATGACAGGCTAATATAAAATACCAAAGCAGTAAAAAAGACAGAGCTAACAAGCCAAAAATAATCAAACATTAGAAATAATTCCAAAAGAGTCACTAACACTAATATGGTATCACAAAGGCTAACCACATAAAAGGATGTGTAGAGAAAAACATAAACACATCTTACTGAAGTTAGCAAAAATAAATAAGTTATAAATATATTATATATTAAGATTGACACTTAAGAAACAATTGAACAGTTACAGATGCCAAAGAGAAAATGTGAGAATGGAATGAGAATTCTGTACATAAGAATAAAAAGGAGATGAAATGGGTAAATATGATGAATAAATGGAGGAGAAAATTTTGTACCTGATATTTACATGTATTTTATAGCTAATTCTGCAATAATCCACAATTGGATTGCATTGACTTGAGTTTTGTCTCAACAAGAATTTCCATATGTTTTGGTAACATACCGTGGTAGAGGTCAGGAACTCATCTTCCAGTCTTCCCTTACCCTCATCTATGTTACCTCAGGCACTGACTTAGCCTCCCCTGTCCTCAGTTTCCTCATCTGCAGAGAAGGAAGTAGAGATGGGAGGCTGTCTAAGCTCATCCTGTGGGTGCAAGTAATTTCTGAACTGTATTTCACTAGTCCTGTTTTTTGAGCACAGTGACAGAAAAAAACACGAAAAAGAGAGATGAGCTGTAGTAACACTTATGGCAGTAGTCTAAACAAAATGACTGCCTATTGCTCAATACAGCTATTCGAATCTATATTCCCCCTATGTATTTATCAATTCCTTTTTCTATATGGTGAATTGTTTTAATACACCCAACTTTAACTGCACATCATGAATCTCAAGGATCATACAGAGAAAGAGGCTTCAGAGGCAGGTAGACTGTGTTAGAATGTTCTGCCCTGATGCTTGCTGAGAATTTTGCTTAATTTCCCTGAGCCTTAGTTTCCTCATCTACGAACAAATATTATCCACTTTAAGAATTAAAATGAGGATTAATGAAATAAATGATGTGAATTAGCTAGCCCAAAGACTGCCACTTAGTAAGGAATTTAATAAGTGGCCGCTATTACCAGGGCACTACACCACAGGGGGGTTAGTGAGTAATGTGAACCGGCCGTACCAGTTGAGCAGCAATCAGATTTAAAGACTGAGAGAAATAAAACAGGCAAGTGTCCATTTTCCCGGGTTTATGGAGACAGACTACAAAGTGGAAGTATGCCAAAAAAAAAAATTTAGAGAGAAGTAGATTACAAAAACACAAAGAAATCAACACAGGAGAATGCAGATAAATGTGGGAGAAAAAGGCTAAGCTAAGAGGAAAACTATTTTGATTCTGATTCAAGTATGTGACTGATAAAGCCGTGACCCTTCCCAGGCTGGGTGAGTGGTGGTCCCTGAGTTTAAATGTGATCCCAAGAACATACTGACCCAGATCTGGTTTTAGTGACTCTATACACAGAGTCGATGGCAATTTTAAAATATGAAAAGACTTTAGTTACAAGACAAAAACTGTTGCAAATTTTTTGCTTTAAATAAGAAGTGTGAACACATGCACTGCTTCCCACTAAGTAAATGCAGACACCAAAGAGAAGGAAAGCCCCTGGCTTCCCCAAAGTCTTTAAACATACCCCAGAGTGACTGCTCTATAAGGTCATCAAGGGTACCTCAAGCTATAGAGGAATCACTTTGTTCTTTAGCGACTAAAGTGAGTACTTAGAAACCAATGACAAACTACACAGGAAATGCTTAATGTTGAAAAATGTATGCATGTAAATGTCCACAGATCAATTAATATAAGCTGTACTTTCTCATCTTCCTGCTTTTGTTCTTATTCTTTTCTGCCTGAAGAGCTCTGCTTTTCACAGTTTATACAGTTTCCAAGTTTCAGCTCCAATGGTATCATCTTTGGGAAGTTTATTTCTCCAGAACCATAATCTATGTGATTATTTTCCACCACTGGAACTTCCCATATCATCACTTACATATTTATCTGATATACATTTTGCTTTATATTATATCATTTTTTGCTTCTTTTTTTTCTCATCAGGTTGTAAGCTTTTCTAGGGTAGATAATTGATTTGATTGTCACCACTGCTAAGTACACATTTTCCCATGTCGTAGGTACTCACTAAATATTTGTTGAGCGAATGTTGTATCACAAAATTTATCAACAGCGCTCTACCATTTTAAATGCTAAAGAATGTGACAAAAATGTAGTAGCAGGACTCCTTCTACTGTATCTCTCTGGAATGATTGTTGGTCATTCAACAATCATTCCAAAACCACAACAGCTCCTAGGCCAGAAACTCTGGGTCTTCAACGTGAAGTTAGTTTCACAAGCTTTTTTCAGATCACGTGAAACTTCCTCTTTCTTCTGGGACATTTATCATCTTTTTTGCCTGATCAGTTTAAACAAGCTTGTTATATTCAGGGTCACAAAAGTCAACATATTTAAGGCTTTGTGTGTAAGTCCATTAATTAATTTATTTAGTAAATATACTGAGCATTCCTATAAGCCACATAGCAAGGATTAAAGATTAATAAACAGAAAACTCTCCCATCAAGGAATTCCTGATATAGCAGAAGAGACAATGTTGGTTGGGCACAGTGGCTCATACCTGCAATCCCAGCATTTTGGGAGGCTGAGGCACCAGCCTGCGTAACATAGTGAGACCCTCATCTCTACAAAAAAAAATAATAATAATAAAGAAAATTAGCCAGGCTCCCACTTGAGCCCAGGAGTTAGAGCCTGCAGTGAGCCATAATTGTGTCACTGCACTCCACCCTGGGCAACAGAGCAAGATTCTGTCTCTTCAAAACAATAAACAAACAAGGAGAGGAGAAAACATTCCATGAGGTCAGCGACCATGTCCACCTCACACATCCTCATTGCTTGACACAGATCCTGGCACATCTGGGGCACTCAGTCAGTATATGTTGAGTTAAAGAATTAACTAAAAGTGACATGTCATGCAGAGGTATGGGTAACATTGGTTGGTAGCACATGGAAGGCAGGAATTTGTTCTGTAAGACGGAGGAGTGACAGGGGAAGGAATGACTTTAGAGAAGAAAGGGTGCCATTACCAGGTCTCGAATGATGAAGAGAAATGTATTAAATTAAGAAAGAATAAGCACTGACCAGGCTGAGTGAACAACAGGGGAGACGTGAAGGTGTATGATAGGCCATCTAGTGTGACCCATCGGTTTTAACCTTCTTTGGATTGGAGATCATTTTTAAGAATGTGTTGACACCTTTGACCAAATTGCTTCAGAAAAATAAATAAATAACCATATGTAAAAGGGAGTTTTCCTGCATAGTTTTGGCAGAGGTTCAAAGGCCCAAAGGTAGGTACCACATACCTCCATGTTCGGAACTAAGGTACTACACTACCTATGCAGGATTTGCAAAAACTAACCCTAACTCTTTATGCTTCATGTAGCTGCAGGTAATACAAGAGGTTCAGGGGAAAAGAACATTAACATAAGGTGAGAGAATGCTGCGAGGAGTTCGGGCTGAGGTGTTTTCTTCATTGCTTCAGGTGGGGAAGGGAAGAAGTGGAGCCAAGTGGTAGGGCTACAGGGGATCCACTCAGAGTACTTGCTTGGGAGACACAGGGAAATAGGCTCTATGTCATGACAGAAATACAAAGACCCTGAGTGGCTGGGAGCAGCAATGCAGAGAAAGGGCAGAATTGGGAACAAGATGCTTCTCTGCCAAGATAGGTGAGCAGTCCTTTGAGCCAAAGGGCACCACAGGAGGAAACTGGCCTAGGCTCCCTTTAAAAGGGCTCTGCCCAGTAGTACTATCTGTGAGGAAAGATGTCAGTGAGCAAAATGACCCCCCAAAAAGGTGGACTTCCAAGGCCTGGGGGCCGAGGTGGCTGGCTGTATGAGGGAAGGTGACATTGGATATTTCCAGAAGTGGAACGTTCCTGGAAACCCACAAAAAATGTACCAAGAAGAAAAAGCCCTGGTGAGCCACCAGTACCAAATTTCAACAATACCTGCCAAAGTCTCTTTCACAAATCGCCTTTCCCCCAGCCAGGTGTGAAAGAATCAGAATCTTAGCCAGTAAATTGTGAAGTGCTGGCAAAGCAAGGAGAAAAAAAGACAATGGGCTTTCCAGACTTAAAGCCATTCAAAGCTAGGGCAGAGGGAAGTTCTAAATTACCAAAGAGTTTGCAGTTTTTATTGTTACTCTGGTCTGGACTGTCAAATACAAAACGTATCTGGACTTTGTAAGGAGAGACTTTCTTTCAAAGGATTATTGCAAGGTAAGGAAAGGGACTATTGCAATAGAGGCATGGGATGATTACAGTAGGGAGAACACTCTGACAGTAAGACATGAAAGCACCTCAAGGGTTAGGCAAAGAGTGTATCTGCTATCGGGAGGAGTGGACAGGGCTACAAAGAACTGGTGTTGACAAGTGGATGAAAGAATGGTATGATCAGAGATTGTTTTGCCTTGAAGCCAGCCTACTCTCAGGAGACCTTGTATGTAGCTCAGGCTGGGGAGAGGGGAGCTCAGGGCCCTGGAGGAAAGAGGGAAACTCAACAAAAGTTTGGTTAATAAGTATTTTGTTCTGATTGACCAGTAGGGACAAGTAGTTCAATGAATTATTTCTAAGTCAAAGAATGAGAATTTGCAGTCTGTGTCGTAGGTAAACAAAGAGTCATCGAGTCTTCTCTAAGTCACAGGGGGCAGGGTGGTAATGTCCAAAGAGCTACTTCAGAACACAAAACAGTGGGAGAATTTCTTAACCATCACTGTTTACCAATAGCACAAGACTCAGGTAAAATTCAACATTGTGAGGACTTTGCAGTTTCTGAAATAAGATTGTAGCTATGATTGAAAAGAATCAGAAAGTTTATTAAAATTGCGAAAATTATATCCAAGGGCAAGAAAAACTAGCCCACTGGACATGCTTGAAAGGATGGCAGCTGATTAAATCCCTTTGAGTCCAGCTCATCTGACAGCTACACATGTGAACACCCAGTTGCATGCAAAACTTCAGGGCTTTCTCAGGTCCCAGGCTAAATGAGAATCACTCAGCTAGGAGTTTTAGGGGATCCAGCAAGGGCAAACTGAAGCAGAAGAAGCACCATGCCTACTCAAGCAGCCTTGTTGGTTCTCTGAATCAGATAAATAAGATACGAAGTTTGCCTTTTAGGAGCTTTTACCCCAAGGAGAAATTTAAAAAAAGAAATATAAATAAGTTATTATAATATAATAGAAATGTACAAACACCACAAGAGATGAAGGGATTTAGAGGAAAAAGAAAATTCCCATAACCCAAGAGCTCTGAAAATTCTGAGGAAAGGAGCATGATTTTTTTTTCCCTGGGAGCATCAGGAGAGGTTTTATGAAAGGATAGCCCAAATCTGATGTTGGTCCAGTACAAGATTAGAGAAGACGAAGAAAGAAGATGCCCAGGCATTCCAGGTGAGGTTAACAATATGCACAGGTGGGAGGCAGGGCCTGAAAGGGCCTGTTTGTGGACTTGCAAGTAGTTATGGACACAGGAAAAGAAGATGGGGAGATGGCATTCCCAAGGAGGTGGTAATCCATGAATGCCACACACTAATGCAGTTTCATGCAACTTTCTTTCAGCATGAAAGAATATGCCCCAGAAAATATTTGACAGACAAATGGCATGATCAGATTTGTGCCTCAAGAAAAATAAGTGACATTAATATTTGAAAAGAATTGAAGAGAGAGGCCTGGAGTTAAGATGGGTTGGTGCTATATTTGACACATAAAGTGCATCACTTTTTAACACCTACCTCCTCTTTATAACAAACTTATTTTCAGTAATAAACATAAAATGAGATAAATAAGGACAATGGCTAGAAAAGAAATGGAACCATTAAGATTTTCTTTTCTAAAACTTTACAATGTAATTATACCACTAAAAAAATTAAAAACAAAATCAGTAAAAGAGAGCAATATATAGTATGTATTATGGTATACACTTGTAAATGTCTAAAATATTTTTGGAAAAAGAGAAAAATCTTATACATGCATGTTTATTTGACACAATAATGAATATTAACATTACAGTTTCTGTTAAAAGCCTTGATTTCTGCAACTTTATCAAAATCAATAGTTTTTCATATTCCTGTTCCATAGCAAATATAGCTATATTTATCAATCTCTCTTCATTCAAAGTTGACTAAAGAACATGTTTTGTTAATTTTAAGTTTCAAAATTTTATTTTATCTGAAGCAACCAATATACTACAGGTTGTTTCAAACAGTCTCAGACATAAGTTTGGCAGAGAGTCATAAAAATCCTATTTCACAATAATTTCAGAAAATTTAAATGCAAATAACTCTTAATGGTCATGAAATGGAATTAATTCAAATTCTGCTTTTTTATCTTCACAGACCTTGAGTTATAATTGTTCATTTCAGATCAACTGTTTAAATGCAGGAATAGGTAGTACTACAAGATCGGAATACTTGAATCACGCCTGGAACATGCTTGCATACTTCCAACCTGCTATGTATGTTCTCTGTGGGCAAAGACTGAATCTGTATGTCAGGGGTAAGCTGTATAACTGAAAGTTCTCTGGATTAATGCCTATGTACAATACAGTGTTTATTGAAAGTGTATTCATCAGTTTTCATGTTGCTAATAAAGACATACCTGAGACTGGGTAATTTATACAGGAAATAGTTTTAATGGACTCACAGTTCCACATGGCTGGGGAGGCCTCACGTTCATGGCAGAAGGTAAGGAGGAGCAAGTCATCTCTTACATGAATGGCATCAGGCAAAGTGAGAACTTGTGCAGGGAAACTCCCCATTATAAAGCCATCAGATCTCATGAGACTTATTCACCATCACGAGAACAGTATGAGAAGGACCCACCCCCATGATTCAATTACCTCTCACTAGGTACCTCCCTCAACACATGGGAATTGTGGGAGCTACAATTCAAGATGAGATTTGGGTGGGGACACAGCCAAACCTTATCAAAAGGTAGGTAACATAAATGTGCTGATTTTAAGCTACTATAAATTGATGTTACTGTTGAAACTCAACAACAATAGCAGCTATTCTTTAGAACATATACCAAAAAAGGATTTTTTAGAAGAGAAGCATTTTATCACTGACATTATTTAGGGTTATAAGTGCAGGATATAATAACAAACAAATGTTCTTTCAGTTATTTACACAGTTAACTTTAAATTCTCTGTAATTTAAAATGCACTATTTTATTACCTGTAACCAACGAGATGGTTTCTTCTAGCCTGCCCTTGAATCTTCCACAGAGAAGGGAAAGGAAAATGGTAACTGGCATTTTAAAGTATCAACACTGTGCCAAACAGGGTGTTAGATTCTTTGAAGAGATTATTATTTCTCCTTTTTAAGATGCATATTAAGATCAATTGCCAAAGATCACACAGCAAAGTAAGTGGTGAAACTGGAATTCAAACTGAGGTTTCTCTGACTCCAAAACATATAATATCTTCAATCTACCACATTGTTTCTTTACAGAGGATGGGAGGGAGATAAGTTTAAGGCTGTGGCAAAATTTGGATGAGATGTAATTGAGCTTGGGTTTTGGCAGTGTCAGGGGAATGCAGAGAAAAGCATGGTGGGAGGTCATATTGCAAGACCAGATGGACCAAATCTGGCAACATATTGGATGTGGGAACATGACAGATGATAAAATCCAAGTTTTGAAGCCTGGGGAAAGCACAGACAGGCAACTAAGACACTAACAACTAGCAGTTGCCAAAATCTGACTGAAATTACAGTGAGATATGGAAGTATCTACCGACCAGGACCCTTATTAGAGACCTATATGTGCAGAGTTAACACTTTGATAAGCTGCTTGGTATTGATAGGTAATGTTGTCTATAAACAGTAAATGATCACAAATTGCTTTCTAAGAATGGGGAATTGACTTACTCATAGAACTTTCACTTTGCTGAGTAGGAAATGCAAGTTTGGAGGCAGAGCTGAATTGCTCAGGAGGGCAGAGATGTGGCTAAGGTAGCTATGATCCTCAGTGCCATGCATCATGACTTGCCTTTGTAAGCTCAGTCTCTTTTCTAAATAAAGAATAAAAAATGTTTTTCAAATATAATGGCTTGAAGTGTCACCAAATTACTAGCTTTCAAAGTGCCCCTACATACTATAAGGGTAGTATTGCTTGAAAAATAATTTAGATGATAGATAGACAAACAGACAGTGAGAATAAAGTAGCAGGTTTTCAAGAGCCAATCTGCAGTAATTCATGTAGGCTCACAGCAATTTAGGGCCACTCTGTTCATGCCATTTGGATTAATGGCATTTTTCTCAGGCAACATTAATTCACAGGATACTTCTTTCTGATACTTACATTTCTTTTCTTATGTGGGTGGGATCTTGTTTCTTTTCTTCTTATCTATTATTGCCACTGGCCTTTACTGATAAGAATACAGTAGGTTGTATTTACCTTCCTAGCAATCTACTGGTTGAATTTCCATGGAGCCCCACTAACGACCTGCAGGGAGGAAACTGTACTGACAACAACTGCCACTATGGGGCAGCAGGGAGCTATATCCCTGCATATCTCAGAGTATCATTGATTTCACAGTCCTAGGAGGAAACACACATTCGATAACTAGTTATAGTTTTTTCCCCCCCAATACTTTTATATGGTCGATTCTTATATGATAGGTATGTTTGGCTGCCTCTAAGTCTTTATAAAAAAATATCTATTCCTACTCTACATAAAAAGAAACTTAAATACCTCGAATCTTGGTCTTTAATGACATTTACCAATGTGACTAGATGGTCTGTATCAATCATTCACAGGATCCTGAGAATCATTTAAATTTTGAAAAGTTTACTCTTTCCCACACCTGAAACATCACATTCTACTTTTGGTCAGTAATAGCTAACATTTCTGGAGCTCATATGTGCCACACACAGTTCTAGGCACTTTACATGCATTGGCTTATTTACTCTTCACAACTCTCTGAGGTAGCTTTGGTTTTGAACCTTTTTACATATGAAAAAACTAATTACAGAAGACAAAACAGTCCAAAAAGCATACTATAGCTAACAAGGAAAGCATGGATTTGAACCCAGGTAGTGTTGTTTGGCCCTAGATCCCATGCTCTGAACCAACATTCATTTCACTCATAAAATCTGAGGCAGACTTTCATAATAAAAATATGACTTAAAAATTAAAATGTAATGAACTTCATTGTACCATGAAAGCCTAGAGGGTGTGACAGGTCTACAAAAATCACAAATTCTGAGATGATTCAGCAAGACCCATCTCTAAAATATGGAGCGAACTAAGAAAGACAGGAAGGAAAAAAACTACTTTGAAAGGGTTAAGGATTCCAGAAGGCTGTAATAGCAGGTTTGCAATCAAGGGCCACCATAAAGAAACAGCAGGAGGCGGGGAGGTAATCTTGGTCATGCTGTGAGTGCACAAGTCTTTAGTTTAGAATTGTGTCAAACCACCCAGAAAGCTGTGTTTAAACTTTGTTCCATTTCAGAATGGACATGGTATTTTTTTCTGAAGCCAGAAACTGAAGATCAACTTAAAGCACTTGATTCAATAGAACCTCGCTGAAAAGTTGGAAAGGGTTTTTGCTAAGAGGTTTCAGTCAGGATAAGTCTATTTTTCATCATAAAATAAAATACAAATTATCCATACCATTTAGCAGCAAAAAGCTTTTGAACCCACCTCCCAAGTAAAACCACAACATTCTTCAATTCTGCTTTCTGGTAGGTCAATCAATGTGGCAAAAAAAAAAAAAAAAAAAAAGTACATGTTTAATACCTCAATGTGCCACTGCCTGAGTCCCTTTACCCATTTGGAAGAGAGATTCATTTCGGCTATCCATGCTCTTTTGTTCATGTCTGTGGGCATAACTGGATTTTTTTTCAGGTGCAGGAAAGTGTCTCTGGGGAGCATAGTTTGTGCAATTATGTGTTTCCAAGCAAGAAAGCCAAATTGAGGTTTGGAAGAGCTACACAAAAATGATGTTGGTAATAATTTCCATGGCAAGTTGATCCAATCTGAAAATGGGATTTTATTTTTGTGTATCCTATGTCTTTTAACCAACCTTTCTGAATCCTGATTGATTCATGCAAATCTATGAAAGATCAGGTTTTTTCAGGATGTAGAGTCAGAATAATACTCATTATTTAACCCGCTACAAAGAACACTAATATTTGGCAATTCTGCTCTTACGGAGTATCATTTCTGTTAAATAAGAAAAATCTGAGAAAGGGGAAAATGTAGAGGTTTCCCTATTTCTCCAGGAAATAGACTTCACCCTGAAAGCTGAAATCCTATGCTCATTGTTTTCTACTGAGGACTAGCTGAACAGCAATAGTAGACTTATCTCAGTCACGTGCTGCTATGAGAGTAGCAGCCAAACACCTCTCAGGGGAATCAATATATAAATTTTTGTTTTTAAAAAGTTTTTTTATGACAGCAGACAGCTGCCTTCTGTCTATTTAATAAAGTTGTTTCTATTTAAAGCAAAGATAGAAGTTAGGTAACTATTGAAGAAATTAACTTTCAAAGCACGTTTTCTAATTAACTTTTCTGCTAATGATGACCTGGAGCCTTTTTGTAGATTTGGTTTCATAAGCTTTACTTTATATCTGTCTACCTATGGAAGCATCAATTCTCTTACTCTCTCTGAATGCTAACTGGATCCAATAGTTCCCTAGCTTGTCTCAAACAAACCTGGTTCCCCACAATCCACAATGTCAAGACTGCTAGTTTCTCCCCAGTTTTTCCCCTTGAGCACATCTGACTGGTTTTACAAAGGGAATCACAACACGCTGTCCTTTCTGTCCCAGCTTGCCCAGAGCCCTAAATTTGGGTGAAAGACATTTATTTTACAACTGGAACTGTAAAGAATCCAAACCCTTATTCTTTCTGACTAAACATATTCTTCTCAGATGCATTAAATATTTTCAAATCTCAGTGTGATTATGTTAAAAGAAAAATCATGGAATTTCTCAAAATTGTAAATGTTATTAAGGTGAGATTCTCAGATATGCTCTCATCTGAGATGAAAACAAAACTGAAAGCCCAGGTCCCTTGAAAGAAAAGAATAGCTCCTTTGTATGTGTTCACTGTAAACACACAATAAAGTTCAAAAATGCATCCACAGTCAATGTTTCAACTACGGAGAAACAAAGACTGGAAAGAAAAAACAAGAATTTAATGATGCCTGTAAAAACATCCTATGTGAAAATAATGCCACCCACCATCACTTTTTTCTTTTTTTTTTCTTTTGCTAACTACAGCATAGTTTTTCAAAGAATCTTTGGCATCTCTAGATGATAAATTATGTGAATTATTGTTGGATCAAAATTCCTTTGAAATAACTGCAGGTGTTCAAGATCCTGTCAGAGCAAATGTATTTTAAGTACCCTGAGGACGCTGACATCCAGCCATTTCTCAGCCTTCTTTGAGGTAGAGCTCCTGTTGGGAGTGGCCTGGTTTAAATTGGAGACATATGGAGAGCTACTCAACGAAGACTGGGGAAGTCTATCCAATTGGCATGGAATTAGAATCTGACTCCTTCTGATTTAACTCCATATCTGTGGTTCTTTTTTCTGCTATGTATTCTCCCCTTTATTTCTTAATTCATAGTAAAATGCTTCAGAGATTATCTCATTGCTAGGTTGCGAACTACAGCTTCTTAGGAACATAATTTAGTGGACAGAATTATATTAATTATGATGTGATCTGCATTGGACAACTCATTTATATACATATTTTATTTTCTTTGGGGGTCTTTACAAAAAACAGGTTTAAAGATTTTGGTGTTTTAATTAGTATAAGCAGTAAAACCTAGCAGGTGCTTCTACTTATTAAGAGAATGAATGAATGAATGTTATCTTGTATTTTAAGAGAAAGGTAAGGGAATTAAATATATATAGCAAATTATGAGTCACATGAGCATATTACATGAAGAAATTATGTGTCTCATTAAATTCTTACATAATAATTAGAAGAAAAATATTATTGTTCACACATCGATTAAGAAAATTGAGGGTCAGGAAACAAATTGTACAATATCACACAAATAGTAAGTAACAAGAAAATATTTTTTCCAGCTTCACTTTACTCCGACCAACGACCATTCTCTTTTCATTTTATTTCAAATTTTCCTGCTGAGTAGCTGGGACTACAGATGCACACCACCACACCACTCTATTTTTTTTTTTTTTTTTTTTTGTAGTAGAGACAGGATCTCACTGTCAGGCCTCTGAGCCCAAGCTAAACCATCATATCCCCTGTGACCTGTACACATCCAGATGGCCGGTTCCTGCCTTAACTGATGACATTCCACCACAAAAGAAGCGAAAATGGCCAGTCCTTGCCTTAAGTGATGACATTACCTTGTGAAAGTCCTTTTCCTAGCTCATCCTGGCTCAAACACCTCCCCCACTGAGCACCTTGCGACCCCCACTCCTGCTCGCCAGAGAACAAACCCCCTTTGACTGTAATTTTCCTTTATCTACCCAAATCCTACAAAACGGCCCCAACCTTATCTCCCTTCGCTGACTCTCTTTTTGGACTCAGCCTGCCTGCACCAGGTGAAATAAACAGCCGTGTTGCTCACACAAAGCCTGTTTGGTGGTCTCTTCACAAGGACGCGAGTGAAATTTGGTGCTGTGACTCGGATTCGAACCAACAGGACTTAATTAACCTCACCTTCTAGGTGTACAATAATAGAGTAGAGGCAGCCAAGTAGCAACATATTTCTGAGTTGCAATTCCTTGCCTCCACTGTGAGAGAAACCCCAGCCACATCTCCAGCACACAAGAACTTCCAAACGCCCAAACTGCCGTGGCCAGGCATTCCTCCAGGCCCGCCTCCCCCAGGAGCCTGCCTCCCCCAGGAGCCTGCTACAAGGGCCAGAAATCTGGCCACCAGGCCAAGGAATGCCCACAGCCCGGGATTCCTCCTAAGCCATGTCCCATCTGTGCGGGACCCCACTGAAAATTGGACTGTTCAACTCACCTGGCTCATCTTGGCTCAAAAAGCTCCCCCACCAAGCACCTTGCAACCCCCACTCCTGCCCGCCAGAGAACAAATCCCCTTTGACTGTAATTTTCCTTTATCTACCCAAATCCAATAAAACGGCCCCACCTTTATCTCCCTTCACTGACTCTCTTTTCGGACTCAGCCCGCCTGCACCCAGGTGAAATAAACAGCCTTGTTGCTCACACAAAGCCTGTTTGGTGGTCTCTTCACAGGGACACAAGTGAAACTCACTATGTTGCCCAGGCTGGTCTCCAATTCCTGAGCTCAAGTGATCCTCCCAGCTTGGCCTCTCAAAGTGCTGGGATTACAGACATAAGCCATTGCACCAGGTCTTATTCTTCTTTACCATGTTTTTAATTTTGAATTATGTACTCACATTTGAATGTCTATGTTTTCCCTATGGAAATCCTATCAGTTCTGAGTTAAGGATTTTATTTGCTTCTTTCAAGTGCCTTTAGGCACCTGTATCTCATGTGAATGCTCACCAAAGAGTAACCACAGCAGAGGAAGACTTTACTAATCAAGTGGATAGGATGACTCATACTGTTGATTTAGAACTGGTGGTGGCTTTCCCCAGCCAATCCTGCCATTGCCCAATAAGCTCATGAACAATGTGGCCATGGTGGCAGGAATGGAGTGGATGCACGAGCTGAGCAACATAAACTTTCACTCAGCAAGGTCAACCTGGTTATGCCATCGATGATTTTCCAAACTGCCAGCATCAGAGACCAACATGGAGCCCCCAAGATGGCACCAGTCCCCAGGCTAATCAGCCAGATACCTGACAGGCTGGTTTTATTCAACCTCTTCCATCATAAAAGGGGCAGTATTTTTGTTCTTACTGGAATAGACATTACTCTGGATATAGATCTGCCTTCCCTTTGCATTTCCTGCATACAATACTTCTGCCAAAACTACCATCCATGGACTTACAGAATGCCTCACCTACCATCATAAGCAAATAAGGTATCACTTGAAAATGATACCTTACCACTCTGGCATCATTGAATAAGTATCTTGGTTTAGGATTTCCTTGACTATAAATAAAGAGAAATTATTTCAAACCCAATAACTACACGAGGGCATGCCTTTCCTTTTTAAAAAAAATTCAGGGAAATTTCATTGTTTCCCACACAGAACCCAGGCTGAGATAGAAGATTTTGCTTACTATTGTTCTTTGCTACCATATATTTTCTTCATAGTCCTCCATTTCACAGAGAATGTGGATTTCTAATGATGTTGATATACACGAGACTATCAATTCAAACTCTTTACTTTTCGTGGACTCAAGGCCATATCTCCTGTCTTCCGTGTGACTAATAGGATCTAAGACTGTCAGAAGAATCAGCTACATAATTTGTGGGGCTTGCTTGGGCCTGATCATGTATATGTCACTTCCGTTTGATGATGAAATGCTTTTGTGCACACCCAGCTTTATGAAGTGTTTGGTCAGGTAGCACCCAGTTCATGACCACATGGTCATCTCAGGTCACGTAGTAACTTAGTGGCCCATGGTCAAATGTTCAGTTTCTACTAAAGCCCAGTAACAGGCCAAGAGCTGTTTCCCGAAAGAAGAATAATTATCTGTGGGTGATGGCAGGGCCTTGCTCCAAATCCTAAAGGCCAGTGCTGTGATTCACCTACAGAGGGCTGCCAAAGGCTCCAAACAGCATCTTCCACTAACACATCAAATATCATTGGGTCTGCTGGACCATATGGCCCAAGTGAAGGCATAAGTAAGTTACTTGAAGAAGTGGCCCAAGAGCCCATGGTTCCTACTCTTGACACACTGCCCTCGCTCTCCAAACCTGCACCTATGGCCTCATAGGGAGTATCCTATGATCAGCTGATAGAGGGAGAGAAGACTAGGACCTGGTTTACAGACAGTTCTGCAAGATAGGCAGGCACCACCTGAAAGAGGATAACTGAAGCATTACAGCTCCTTACTGAGACATGTCTGAAGGACAATGGTGAAGAAAAATCTTCTCAGTGGGTGGAAGTTCAGGTAGTACACCTGGTAGTACACTTTCCTTGGAAGGAGAAATGGCCAGATGTGCAATTATATACCAATTTATAAGCTGTAGCCAATGGTTTGGCTGGATAGAGTTTGGGACTGAGAAGGAACCAAACTGACAATTGGGAAGTACATGACAAAGAAAATTTGGGGCTGGGTGCAGTGGCTCATGCCTATAATCCCAGCACTTTGGGAGGCTTAGGCAAGAGAATTGCTTAATCCCAGGAGTTCAAAACCATCATGGGCAACATGATGAGACCCGATCTCTGCAAAAACCAAAAAGTTAGTCAAGCATGGTGGTGTGTGCTTGTAGTCCCTGCTGCTCAAGAGGCTGAGGTAGGAAGATCACTTGGGCCTGGCAGGTTGAGGCTGCAACGAGCCATGATCATGCCACTGCATGCACTCCAGCCTGGGCTGCAAAGTGAGATTCTGTCTCATAGAAACAAAGAAGAAAAAAATTTGGAAAAGGGATATGTAGACAGACCTCTCTGAGTTGGCAAAGGACATAAAGGTATTTGTGTCTCATGTGAATGCTCACCAAATCATAGCAGAGGAGGACTTTACTAATCAAGTGGATAGGATGACTCATACTGTTGATTTAGAACTGGTGGTGGCTTTCCCCAGCCAACCCTGCCATTGCCCAAAAAGCTCATGAACAATGTGGCCATGGTAGCAGGAATGGAGTGGATGCATGAGCTGAGCAACATAAACTTTCACTCAGCAATGTCAACCTGGTTATGCCATCGATGATTGCCCAAACTACCAGCATCAGAGACCAACATGGAGCCCCCAAGATGGCACAATTCCCCAGGCTAATCAGCCAGTTACCTGACAGGTTGATTATATTCAACCTCTTCCATCATAAAAGGGCAGCGTTTTTGTTGTTACTGGAATAGACATTACTCTGGATATAGATCTGCCTTCCCTTTGCATTTCCGGCATACAAAGCTTCTGCCGAAACTACCATCCACGGACTTACAGAATGCCTTACCTACCATCACGATATTATACACAGCATTGCTTCTGACCACAAAACTCACCCCAAGACCAAAGAAATGTGCCAATGGGCTCAAGCACCAGAATTCAGTAGTCTTACCATGTTCCTCATCATCCTGAAGCAGCCAGCTTGATAGAAAGGTGAATGGCCTTTTGAAGACTAAGTTACAGTGCCATCTAGCTGACAATACTTTGCAGAACTGGAGCAAGGTTCTCCAGAAGGTTGCATATGCTCTGAATCAACATCCAATATATGGTTCTGTTTCTCCCATGGCCAAGATTCATGGGTCCAGAGATCAAAGAGTAGAAATGAAAGTGACACCACCTCACCATTACTCCTAGTGACCCACTAGCAAAATTATTGCTTCTGTTCCTGTGGTGACTTTATGTTCTGCTCCCTAGAGTTCCAGAAGGAGGAATGCTTCCACTAAGAAACACAAAAATGCATCCATTGAACTGGAAGTTCAGACTGCCACTTAGCCATTCTGGACTCTTCACGCCCCTGAGTCAACAGACTAAGAAGAGAATTACTGTGTTGGCAGTGGTGATTGATCCAGATTATCAACAAAAAATTAGACTATTACTCAACAACGGCAATAAGGATGAATATGTCAGATTACATAAGATCTCTTAGGGCATCTGTTAGAATTACTATACCCTGTGATAAAGGTGAGTGGGAAATTATAACAACCCAGACCAGGCAGGACTACAAATGGCCCAGACCCTTACAGAATGAAGGTTTGTGTTATCTTTCCAGGTAAAGAACCATAACCAACTGAGGTGCTTACTGAAGGCAAAGGGAATACAGAATGGGTACTAGAAGAAGGTACTTATAAATACCAGCTATGATCATGTGACCAGTTACAGAAACGAGGATTGTAATTGTCGTATTTCCTCCTTATTTTGTTAAAGATAGGTTTATGTGTATATATACATATAGTAAGCAAATATCTTGGTTTTTGCTCCTCTCATTCATTTATCATGTAACATAAGATTCATCAACTTTATATTAGCATTTAAATATTGTTAATTTTATATCATTAGTTTATGAGTAATCAGCAAACTGTAAACATCACTCAAGGACTTTACCTTCTCTTCTGAGGAAGACATTAGTGGATTTTCGCTTGAATGCAGGATAGCTGCATCATGTTAGATTGATAGGTGGAACCTTGTTATTGTCTTTATTTGAAGGTTTAGTATGGTTTAAGGAGATGAGTATGGGTGTCAAATTGACCTGGGGTGGATTTATAACGATTAATTTTAGGTGTCAACTTATATTAAGGGATACCTAGAGAGCTGGTAAAGCATTATTTCTTTACCAGATCTCATCTGCAAGCGTGTATCCACAGGAAATTGGTGTGTGAATCACTGGGATGAGTGAAAAGATCTGCCCCAATGTGGGCGGGCACCAACCAGTCAGCTGGGACCAGGATAGAACAAAAAGGCAGAGGAAAGATGAATTCTTTGTCTTTCTTTTCTGGGGCTGGGATGCCCTTCTTCTCCTGCCCATGGACATCAGAACTCCAGATTCTGTGGCCTTTGAACTTTGGGACTTGTACCAGTGGTCTCTTGGACTTTGAGGCCTTTGGCCTCAGACTGAGTGTTATGCCATCTCTTTCCCTGGTTGTGAGGCCTTCAGACTTGGACCGAGCTGTGCTACTGGCCTTTCTGGGTCTCTAGCTTCGAGATAGTCTATGGGACATCTCAGCCTCCATAATCTCTGAGTCAAATTTGCTAATAAATCCCCTCATATCTATCTATCTATTATCTATCTATGCTATTGATTCTGTCTCTCTAGAGAACCCTGACTAACATTGTTACAAGCCTGGAGAAGGCTTTCGAAATAGACAGTGGAAGTTGTTACTGGAGCCCAGAGAAATGTGTGAAGAGAGATGCCTTGCAGGAGCTTTGGGCTTCAGTAGAGGAATACAGCCAATATATGAGGGTAGAGGGGTGAGAAGGGGAATAAAAGCCTTGACCTCATTTTCTTGTCCTCAGTCTAATTTCCTGTTTGTGCCTCCCATTGGCCAAACTGTAGGGATCTCATAGATAGAGTACCCAAAGGTCAACATTTTGAGGCCGAGGACATGATACAGAAGGATGAACAGTGCCTTTGGAGGAAGAGATGCCAATTCAGAACTCATGAACTTTCTCATAATATGTATGAATGCACATGTGTGGAGGGGAGGGAATTTTCTTGGAAAAATAATAAACACAGCAGTTGCTGATCAACTTCATTGGTCATTACCATGAAGGACTGTGGGCACAATTTTGCCCTTTAGATAAGGCTTAAACTCTCCTGTTTGCCACAGTCTTCACTTTGTTGGTTATTTATGTTATTTATGTTAGCAGCCTGGCCTTGTAGACTTTTGTGTCTATGAGTTGTAAACTTCCAAGTTGTTGTAAATATTATAATGAAGGTATGCACAAGATAAATTGCTTATTCCTGCTTGGGGAAATAGAGAAAGGATTTCTAGAAGGCTTGATGTTTGAACTGAGTCTTAAAATATAGATTTCACAAGGTGGATATTATGGGGAAGGCACGCCAGGCAATGGAAACAATATTAATGAAGACTTAAAATTGCTTTAACATACAGTTGAAGAAACTAAAAGGTATTTAAACATGGTTGCAGCACCAGGTTGTTGGGGTTATTGGTAGAGATGAGAAAGGAAAGGCAGCCAGGGGCCACATAATGAAAGGCTGACAGCATGATGCCAAGGAATTTACTCTTCATTCTGTAGATCACTGTTTCCCACTTCTAGGAAAGAGGGTGATCCTCAAACCACATAGGAAACTATCAATTATTGTCACCTAAGAAGCTGTGAAAATGCAAAATTTCTAGACTCCAATCCAGACTTCATAAATCTATACTTTTTATTAATTCCTCCTGTGATTCTGATGGCTATCCAAGTTTAGGGATCCTAGATGTAGGTTTTCAAGGTCTACTGCATGATATGTAATATGGTGGGTGCCTTAGCAGAGTTGCCTTTAAGAAAGATCATTCTAGATGCAGTAAAATATCAGCCAGAAATTGAGAGAATCATAGATTGGGAATTTATTCAGGAAATTATTATAATTCAGAAGAAAACAGGGGAACTTGATAAAGAGATGAATGAGTTCAAGACTAATTTCAGAGGTGAAATTAATAAGATGGTGACCAATTAAATTTGGCAGGTGAGTGAAAGGGAAGAGTTAATATAAATTTTAGATTTATGGAATTATATATCAGTGTATGTTGTGAGTCTAGAATACCAAAACAAGAATGGATTTTGAAAAAGATATTTCATATCCATGGAATGTGGGGTTCATGTGTGGAATCAACCTAGAAACATTATATATCATTTTTAAAATCTGACATTCTCTCTTTGAAGGTTCTGGTTTTGTAAAGATTTGTTCCACAAATTATTCCTCTTAAAAGACCTCTTAACCCAGCATAGCTGCTGCTTTTCTCCAAAATTTCTAGAACCAGGTAAAATTTTCAACTTTACCTTTATTCTCACTTTCATGGAAACAGTCGTTTGTAGTTTTCATCTTGATAGAAGAGATTCATTTCTATGCCTAGAAAGGTAAATATTGTTACATATAATAACAATGAACAGCACAAAATGCCTAACTGCATATTAATGAAAAGTAAACTTAAGCAGTCCTTACTAATAGTATATAATAAAAACATAATTCAAAATGCCATTAGGCTAGCCTGTCAGCAGTCAAAATGCACATATGATATTGTAGAATTTAGACATAAGAAAAACTCTTTATGTACACACAGCCATTTCTTCTCAGTAACGAATAAAAATGCAAGGTAAACACTAAGTGAAGCATAAAACGTTTGGAATTAATTTGACTTTTTTTACCCAGCTTTTTTAAGAGGTTCTCACAATTCTCTGAAGAAATTCTGATCCATGAACTATGTAAATTGCTCCTTTACATGACATTTACAGTAGAAAGATATACTCAAGAGATTGGGTTGTCATAAGGGAGAGAAACCTTAATCCAGACCATTTATTGTAAAAGCGTATACAAATTGTATTAATATGTAGATGTTCTCTGGAAAAAATAAAATACTTCTCTCATTCATCCTTGCTGATTCCCTATAGATGATAAAGAGACTGCCTTTATCTACATTTTAGAAAGCTGAATTTAAAAGAGTTGATTCGACTTCTACATTTTTTAGTAATATCTTCTGGCAAAAATTTTATTTACATATATCCAGGAATATCCTTATAAATATGTGAAATTGTACATATGATGTAAATTAAAATTTCATTGAAGTCTCTCTACATAAAAATTTATTAAGTTTAATACCTAGAAAATATGTTAAAATTATGCTGAGTCAGTGACATTAAAAAAGAAATTGTGACTATCTTTGTTGATTAAAAGGAAGGTACTCCAAGAAAGGTAACACATTTTAAATTTTGTTATCATTTACATTTATTCAAAAATATATCGTATCACCTCCCTCCTTAACATCTTGCTGAGATCAGACCACTAAGGAAGGAAGTGTGAGGGAAGATGAAAGGGTGATAATTTTATATAATTTTAAGTTTCTAGATAGAAGTGTTTGAAGATGTGCCTCTGAGAGCAGCCTAAACTCCCTGACACCCAGAGAAGTTTGGGGAAAATAAGTATGCAAAGCAAATAAACCATGCAAAATAAATAAACTATGCATAGTAAGCCAAAGGGAAGTTTCACAATCTTGACAATGATAATCCCTGGATACAGCATGTATCGTTATTATACCTTTGCTTTCTCTACTCTGCCTGTACCACTACCACTATCCGATGGCTTATGGAATGCTGGACCCACCATCATGAAATACCACACAGCATAGGATCAGACCAGGAGAGCATCTGTCCACTGCACAGTAAGGGAGGTACCAAAGTAAGCCCATGACTATGGGATCCTCTGGGTGTGTCCTTTAAGAAAGGAAAAGAATAGTAAATCTAATTAAAATTCTTGACCAACAAAGGGTATTAAGAACAGAATTTAGAATGCATCATCCTATATATCTAAGGACCAAGTTGTACAAATATTTGTATGGTCATGTGATTTCATTTCCTTTGGTGAAATACCTAAGAATGGAATTGCTGAGTCCTTTGGTAAGTGTTTAACTATATAAAAACTAGATTACAAAAACTACCAAACTGTTTTCCAAAGGTGTTGCACAGTTTTGCACTCCCACTAAAAATATACGAGTTCCAGGCACTCCATGTACTAGCAAAATTTTTGTGTTGTCAGTTTATATAATTTTAACCATTCTAGTGGATGTATAGTGTCATCTCACTAAGGTTTAAATATGCATTTTTCTAATGACCAATTAATGACATTGGGTATCTTTTCATATGCTTATTGGGCTTTATATATCTTCTTTTAAAAATACCTATACAAATCTTTTGCCAAGATTTAAATATGGTATTTGTCTTCATATTATTGAGAGAGGGGAATTCATTACATGTTCTGCATACTAATACTTGAGTCAAATATATGTATGGTAAAGTTTGCCTTTTCATTCTTTATACTGTCTTTAGAATGACAGAACTATTATTAATTGTGTTGATAACTAATTTACCAATATTTTTCTTTTGTGGTTTGTGCTTTTAATATCCCTTAAAGAAATCTTTGTCTAATCCTATGTATTGATCCCCTTTCATAATGCTGTAAAGAACTGCCCAAGACTGGGTAATTTATAAAAGAAAGAGGTTTAATTGACTCACAGTTCTGCATGTCTGTGGAAGCCTCAGGAAATTTACAGTCATGGCAGAAGGGGAAGCAAACACCTTCTTCACAAGGTGGCAGGAAGGAGAAGTACTGAGCAAAGGTGGAAGAGCCCCTTATAAAACCATCAGATCTCCTGAGAACTCACTCACTATCATGATAACAGCATGGGGAAACCAGCCCTATTATTCAATTACCTTTATTTGGTGTTCCCCTTGACACATGGGGATTATGGAGATTATGGGCATTACAATTCAAGATGAGATTTGGGTGGGGAAACAAACCCTAACCATATCACCTTCACTATGATTCACTTACCTTCACCTCATCTCTCCCTTGACACATGGGGATTATGGGGATTATAAGGATTACAATTCAAGATGTGATTTTGTTGGGGACACAGCCAAACCATATCATTCTGTTCTTGGTCCCTACAAAATCTCATGTTGCTTTCACTCTTCGAAGCAAGTCATGCCTTCCCAATAGTCCCCCAAAGTCTTAATTTATTCCAGCTTTAACCCAAAAGTCCAAGTCCAAAGTCTAATCTGAGACAAGGCAGGTCCCTTCTGCCTGGGAGCCTGTAAAATCAAAAGCGAGTTAATTACTTTCTAGATACAATGGGCGTACAGGTATTGGGCAAATACACCATTCCAAATGGGATAAATTGGCCAAAATGAAGGGGCTAAAGGCCCCATGCAACTCTGAAATCCAGAGGGGCAGTCAAATCTTAAAGCTCGGAAATGATCTCCTTTAATTCTATGTCTCACATCCAGGTCACACTGATTCAAGAGCTGGGTTCCCATGGTCTTGGGCAGCTCTGTCCTGTGGCTTTGCAGGGTATAGCCTCCCTCCCGGCTGCTTTCGCATATTGGTGTTGAGTGTCGGCAGCTTTTCCAGGCACATGGTGCAAGCTGTTGGTGGATCTACAATTCTGGGGTCTGGAGGATGGTATCCCTCTTCTCAAAGCTCCTCTAGGCAGTGCCCCAGTGGGGACTCTGTGTGGGGGCTTCGACCCCACATTTCACTTCCTTACTGCCCTAGCAGAGGTTCTCCATGAGGACCTCACCCCTGCAGCAAACTCCTGCCTGGACATCCAGGCATTTCCATACATCCTCTGAAATCTAGGTAGAGGTTCCCAAACCTCAGTTCTTGACTTCTGTGCACCCACAGGCCCAACACCACGTGGAAACCAACAAGGACTAGGGCTTTCACCCTTTGAAGCAATGGCCTGAGCTGTATGTTGGCCCCTTTTAGCCATGGCTGGGATACAGGGCACCAAGTCCCAAGATTGCATAAAGCAGCAAGGCCCTGGGCCCAGCCCAGGAAACCATTTTTTCTTCCTAGCCCTCTGGGCCTATGATGGGATGGGCTGCCATGCAGACCTCTGATAGGCCCTGGAGACATTTTTCCTATTGTCTTGGTGACTAACATTTGGTTCCTTTTTACTCATGCAAATTTCTGCAGCCAGCTTGGGTTTCTTCTCAGAAAATGGGTTTTTCTTTTCTATCCCATCATCAGGCTGCAAATTTTCTGAACTTCTATGTTCTGCTTCCCTACTAAACATAAGTTCCAATTCCAAACCACCTCTTCGTGAATGCATAAAACTGAATGCTTTAAATAGCACCCAAGTCACATCTTGCATGCTTTGGGGCTTAGAAATTTCTTCTGCCAGATACCCTAAATTATCTTTCTTTAGTTCAAAGTTCCACAGATCTCTAGGGCAAGGGCAAAATGCTGCCAGTCTATTTGCTAAAGTATAGCAAGAGTCAACTTTATTCCAGTTCCCAAAAAGTTCCTCATCTCCATCTGAGACCACCTCATCCTGGACTTCATTGTCCGTTTCACTATCAGCATTTTGGTCAAAGCCAGTCAACAAGTCTGTAGGAAGATCCAAATTTTCCCACATCTTTCTATGTTCTTCTGAGCCCTGGAAACTATTCCAACCTCTTCCTGTTACCCAGTTCCAAAGTTGCTTCCACATTTTCAGGTATCTTTATAGCAGCACCCCTCTCTCTGAGGTACCAATTTACTGTATTAGTCCATTTTCATACTGCTATAAAGAACTGCCTGAGACTGGGTAACTTATAAAAGAAAGAGGTTTAACTGATTCACAGTTTAGCATGGCTGGGGAAGACTCAGGAAATGTACAGCCATAGTGGAAGGTGAACAGGAAGCAAGGCACCTTCTTCGTAAGGCAGCAGGAAGGAGAAGTGCTGAACAAAGGAGGAAGAGCCCCTTATAAAACCATCAGATCTCGTGAGAACTCACTCATTGTCATGATAACAGCATAGGGGAAACCAACCCTACTATTCCAATACCCCCACTTGGTGTTCCCCTTGACATGTGGGGATTATGGAGATTATGGGCATTACAATTCAGGATGAGATTTGGGTGGGGAAACACACCCTAACCATATCATCTTAACTATGAATTTTTTTTATACTTCTCTTAAAAGTTTGGCAGTTTAGCTTTTATATTGCTCTAATTATCTATTGCTGCATAACAAAATGTACCACAATTTAGAAGCTTAAAACAACAACCATGTTTATTTGGCTCATAAATCTGCATTTAAGCTGAGTTTGGTAAGCACTGCTTGTCTTTGTTCTACTCAATGGCAGTTAGGGCACCTGGAATGGCAGTTAGGGCAACTGGAAGGCTGGGAGCTGAAATCACCTGAAGTCTCATTCACTCACATGTCTGATGGTTGATATTGTCTATCAGGTGGGATCATAGCTGGTGTTGTCAGGCAGAACACTTACCTGTGGCCTCACCATGTGGCCTGGTCTTTTTTATAATACGATACCATGGCTGAGTTCAAACTTCTTGAGGGAAAGAGCCAGAAACAAAATGTCATACATCATATGACCTAGCCTCAAATGTCATGGTATCACCTATAGTCTCTTGGAGTGAGTTGCTAAGGCTGGTCATATTCAAGACTGGCCCATATTCAAAAAGGCTCTGCATTTTGAAATGTGGTTAAATCTGAGCAGATGTGTTTAAAACCACTACATACTTTTAAATATATGATCCATTTTGAGTAATTTTTTAGTATGGTGTTAGGTAAGAATTACAAGTAATTATTTTTCCAAAAGGAATATTCCATTTCAGCACCATTAGTTGAAATAAATACTGTTTTCCTCTTTGAATTACATTAGAATCTTGTTCTACAAAAATTAAATAACCACATATGGGTGGGTCTCTTTTTGACATTATTCTTTCATTCTATTGATTTATATGACTATCCTAACACCAATACTATTTTTTTTGATAACTACAGTTTTATAATAAGTCTTGAAATCATGTAGTGTAAGTCCTCCAACTCTGTCCTTATTTTCAAAATTGTTTTGGCTATTCCAGTTATGTTTATATATAAAGTTTAGACTCATATTGTCAATTTCTATTTTTTAATTCTATTCTAGTTATATTTACATATAAATTTTAGAATCATATTGTCAATTTCTATTTTTTAAAAATTCTACTGGGATTTTGATCAGATTTGGATAAAATCTATTGATCAATTTGAAGATAACTGACATTTTAACAATATTGAGATTTCCAATTCATGAACACAGTGTGTTGCTACATATATTTAAGTATTTCCCTAGGGATTTTTGCATATATTTTCCAATGTACAGGTCTTACACATATGCTGTTATATTTATCCCTAAGTATGTTGTATTTTCAGACACTTTTAACATGGTAATTAAGAAACTTCATCTTTCAGTTGTTCATTGCTGTTATATAAAAATATACCATTTTGATTTGGAGGATTTTGACCTTTCATTCTGCTTAATTCACTTAATAATTTTAGTAGCTGTTTTGTAGATTCCTTTGGGTTAGCTATGTAATCATCCTTTCTAACCTGTATGTCTTTCACTTCTTTGGCCTGGTTTATATCAGGCCATGGTACATTGTTTAATAGAGGCTTCATAGCAAACCTACTTGCTATTTCTGATCTCAGGGGAAAATATTCAACCTTTTACTAATAAGTACGATGTTAGCTTTACATTTTTGATAGACACCTTTTTTCAGGCTGAGAAATCTCCTTTCTATTCATAGTTTGCTGAGAACTTTTAACACAAATGAGAGTTGAAATCTGTCAAATATGTTTTGGAGTAGTATTTACTAATATGATGACATGAGTTTCTCCTTAATGCTCTTAATGTAGTGAATTATATTTGATTGATTTTCAAAGGCAAAACGATCCTTAGATTCTTAGAATAAATGCCACACAATCATGATGTATTATCCTCCTTTTATGTTACTAGGTACAATTTGCTTTCATTAATAATATTTACATCTAAGTTCAGAAGGAATATTGTCCAAAGTTTTCTGTTCTTTTAGTGTTTGGTTTTGGACACAGAGTAACGCTGAACTCATAAAATGATCTGGGAGGTATTCCTGACACATCTATTTCCCAAAACAGTGTATATAGGATCGATACAATGTCTTCCTAAATATATAATAGAATTGGATAGCGAAGCCATCTGCCCTTGAGCTTGTGTATGTGTGTGTGTTGAAAACTTTTGAATTATGAATTCAATTTTAGATAGATACAGATTTATAAATGTCAATGTCAAAGTCCAGTTGGTTGATGTCTTCTATATACTAATATTCTGTCAATAAATCACTGAGAAAGAAGTGTTCAATCAGCAACTGAAATTGTACATTTGTCTGTTTCTTCTTGCAGTTCTATAAATGTTTGTGTTATGTTTTAAGGTGCATAAATATTTAAGATTTTTTACATTCGCTTGATGAATTTACCTCTTTATTATTATGAAATGATCCTCTTTATAAAAAATTTTTTGTGATTAAGGTGGTAGTTGAAACCAAGGTTTAGAATGATATGTGAGGATAGGATAGGGGGATATAGAATGAGAAAAAGACAAAGATTAACCACAGAACTCTAGGGAACACCAATGTTTAAGGAGCAGGCCAAAGTATAGGAGCCCATTCCAGAAATTAAGATGGAGCCAAGGACAAACTTGAAGAAGTACCATGGAAGAGTAGTGCTACAGAAACAAGTGAAAAGGGAATTTAATAAGAGCATGGATATTGTTTGGTTTTGTGTGCCTGCCCAAATCTCATGTTGAATTGTAATCCCCAATGTTGGAGAGGGGTCTGGTGGGAGGGGATTGGATTGTGGAGGTGGATTTCCCCCTTGCTGTTCTTCTGATACAGAGTTCTCATGAGATCTGGCTATTTAAAAGTGTGGAGCACCTCCCCCCTTGCTCTTCCTCCTGCTCCAGCCATGTAAGATGTGACTGCTTTCCCTTCCACCATGATTGAAAGTTTCCTGAGGCCTCCCCAGTCATGTTTTCTCTGTGGCCTGCTGAGCAGTGAGCCAATTCAACCTCTTTTCTTTAGAAATTACCCAGTCTCGATTCCTGGGCAAGATGGCCGAATAGGAACAGCTCCAGTCTGCAGCTCCTAGCAAGATCAATGCAGAAGGCAGGTGATTTCTGCATTTCCAACTGAGGTACCCTGCTCATCTCATTGGGACTGGTTAGACAATGGGTGCAGCCCACAGAGGGGGAGCAGAAGCAGGATGGGGCGTCACCTCATCCAGGAAGTGCAAGGGGTTGGGGAACTCCCTCCCCTAACCAAGAGAAGCCATGAAGGACTGTGCCTTGATGAACAGTGCATTCTGGCCCAGATGCTATGCTTTTCTTACAGTCTTGGCAACCCACACACCAGGAAATTCCTTCGGGTGAGTACACCACCAGAGCCCTGGGTTTCAGCACAAAACTGGATGACCATTTGGGCAGACACCGAGCTAGCTGCAGGAGTTTTTTTTTCATACCCCAGTGGTGCCCAGAACACCAGTGAGACAGAACCATTCACTCCCCTGGAAAGGGGGCTGAAGCCAGGGAACCAAGTGGTCTAGCTCAGCAGATCCTACCCCCATGGAGCCCTTCAAGCTAAGATCGACTGGCTTGAAATTTTCACTGCCAGCACAGCAGTCCGATGTTGACCTGGGATGCTCAAGCTTGGTAGGGGGAGGGGTGTCCACTATTACTGAGGCTTGAGTAGGCTGTTTCCCCCTTACAGTGTAAACAAAGCCGCTGGGAAGTTCTAACTGGGCAGAGCCCACTGCAGCTTGGCAAAGCCGCTCTAGCCAGACTGCCTCTCTAGATTCCTCCTCTCTGGGCAGGGCATCTCTCAAAGAAAGGCAGCAGCCCCAGCCAACCGCTTACCGATAAAACTCCCGTCTCCCTGGGACAGAGCATATAGGGGAAGGGGTGGCTGTGAGCACAGCTTCAGTAGACTGAAATGTTCCTGCCTGCTGGCTCTAAAGAAAGCAGTGGATCTCCCAGCACAATGCTCAAGCTCTGCTAAGGGACAGACTGCCTCCTCAAGTGGGTCCCTGACCGCTGTGCCTCCTGACTGGGAGATACCTCCCAGCAGGGGTCAACAGACACCTCATACAGGAGAGCTCTGGCTGGCAACTGGTGGGTGCCCCTCTGGGACAAAGCTTCCAGAGGAAGGAACAGGCAGCAATATTTGCTGTTCTGCAGCCTCTGCTGGTGATATCCAGGCAAACAGGACCTGGAGTGGACCTCCAGCAAACTCCAGCAGACCTGAAGCAGAGGGGCCTGTTAGAAGGAAAACTAACAAACAGAAAGGAATCACATCAACATCAGTAAAAAGGACATCCACACATAAACCACATCTGAAGGTCACCAACATCAAAGACCAAAGGTAGATAAATCCACAAAGATAAGGAAAAACCAATGCAAAAAGACTGAAAATCCCAAAAACCAGAAAGGTTCTGTGATCCTCCAAAGGATCACAGCTCCTCCCCAGCAAGGGAACAAAACTGGATGGAGAATGAGTTTGATGAATTGACAGAAGCAGGCTTCAGAAGGTGGGTAATAATGAACAGCTCTCAGCTAAAGGAGCATGTTCTAAAACAATGCAAGGAAGCTAAGAACCTTGAAAAAATATTAGAGGAATTTCTAACTAGAATATCCAGTATGGAGAAGAACATAAATGCCCCAATGGAGCTGAAAAACATAGCATGAGAACTTCATGAAGCACACGCAAGTATCAATAGCTGAATCGATCAAGCAGAAGAAAGGATATCAGAAATTGAAGATCAACTTAATGAAATAAAACATGAAGACACGATTAGAGAAGAAAGAATGAAAAGGAATGAACAAAGCCTCCAAGAAATATGGAACTATGTGAAAAGACCAAACCTATTTTTGATTGGTGTACCTGAAACTGATGGGGAGAATGGAAGCAAGTTGGAAAACATTCTTCAGGATATTATCCAGGAGAACTTCCCCAACCTAGCAAGACAAGCCAACATTCAAATTCAGGAAATACAGAGAACACCACAAAGATACTGCTCGAGAAGAGCAATCCAAAGACACATAATCATCAGATTCACCAAAGTTGAAATACCAGAAAAAAATGTTAAGGGCAGCCAGAGATAAAGGTCATTACCCACAAAGGGAAGCCCATCAGACTAACAGTGGATCTCTCTGCAGAAAACCTACAAGCTGGAAGAGAGTATAGGGGTCAATATTCAACATTCTTAAAGAAAAGAATTTTCAACCCAGAATTTCATATCCAGCCAAACTAAGCTTCAAAAGCAAAAGAGAAATAAGATCCTTCACAGAAAAACAAAGGCTGATTTTGTCACCACCAGGCCTGCCTTACAAGAGCTCCTGAAGGAAGCAGTAAATATGGAAAGGAAAAACTAGTACCAGCCACTGCAAAAACATACCAAATTGTAAAGACCATCTACATTATGAAGAAACTGCATCAACTAACGGGCAAAATATCCAGCTAGCATCATAATAACAGGATCAAATTCACACATAACAATATTAACCTTAAATGTAAATGGGCTAAATACCCTAATTAAAAGACACAGACTGGCAAATTGGATAAAGAGTCAAGACCCATCATTGTGCTGTATTCAGGAGACCCATCTCAGGTGCAAAGACACACATAGGCTCAAAATAAAGGGATGGAGGAATATTTACCAAGCAAATGTAAAGAAAAAAAAAAAAACAACAGGGGTTGCAATCCTAGTCTCTGATAAACTGACTTTAAACCTACAAAGATAAAAAAAAGACAAAGAAGGCCATTATATAATGATAAAGGGATCAATGCAACAAGAAGAGCTAACTATCCTAAATATATATGCACCCAATACAGGAGTACCCAGATTCATAAAACAAGTTCTTAGAGACCTACAAAGAGACTTAGACTCCCACACAATAATAGTGGGAGACTTTAACACCCCACTGTCCATATTAGGCAGATCGACAAGTCAGAAAATTAGCAAGGATATTCAGGACTTGAACTCAGCTCTGGACCAAACAGACCTAATAAACATCTACAGAACTCGCCACCCCAAATCAACAGAATACAATCTCCTCAGCACCACATCACATTTATTCTAAAATTGACCACATAATTGGAAGTAAAACACTCCTCAACAAAGGGAAAAGAACAGAAATCATGACAAGCAGTCTCTCAGACCACAGTACAATCAAATTAGAACTCAGGATTAAGAAACTCACCCAAAACCACACAACTACATGGAAACTGAACAACCTACTCCTGAATGATTACTGGGTAAATGACGAAATTAAGGGAGAAATAAATAAGTTCTATGAAACCAATGAGAACAAAGACACAATGTACCAGAATCTCTGGGACACATTTAAGGCAATATTTATAGGGAAATTTATAGCACTTAATGCCCACAGGAGAAAGCGAGGAAGATCTAAAATCGACACCCTAACATCACAGTTAAAGGAACTAGAGAAGCAAGAGCAAACAAATCCAAAAGCTAGCAGAAGACAAAAAATAACGAAGATCAGAGCAGAACTGAGGGAGATAGAAAAACAAAAAACCCCTCCCAAAAATCAGTGAATCCAGGAGCTGGTTTTTTGAAAAGATTCACAAAATAGATAGACCACTAGCCAGACTAGTAAAGAAGAAAAAAAGAGATCAATTAGACACAGCAAAAAATGATAAAGAGGATATCACCACTGATCACACAGAAATGCAAACTACCATCAGAGAATGCTATAAACACCTCTATGCAAATAAACTAGAAAATCTAGAAGAAATGGATAAATTCCTGGACACATACATCCTCCCAAGACTAAACCAGGAAGAAGTCCAATCCCTGAATAGACCAATAACAAGTTCTGAAATTGCAGAAGTAATTAATAGCCTACGAACCAAAAAAAGCCCAGGACCAGACAGATTCACAGCCATATTCTACCAGAGGTACAAAGAGGAGCTGGTACCATTCCTTCTGAAACTATTCCAAACAATAGAAAAAGAGAGAGACTCCTCCCTAACTCATTTTATGAGGCCAGCATCATCCTGATGCCAAAACCTGGCAGAGACACAACAAGAAAAGAAAATATCAGGCCAATATCCCTGAGGAACATTGATGCGAAAATCCTCAGTAAAATACTTGCAAACCGAATCCAGCAGCACATCAAAAAGCTTATCCACCATGATCAAGTTGGATTCATCCCTGGGATGCAAGGCTGTTTCAACATATGCAAATCAATAAACATGATCCATCACATAAACAGAACCAATGACAAAAACAACATGTTAATTGATGCAGAAAAGTCCTTCAATAAAATTAAAAACCCCTTCATGCTAAAACCTCTCAATACACTAGGTATTGATGGAACATATATCAAAATGATAAGAGCTATTTATGACAAACCCACAGCCAATATCACACTGAATGGGCAAAAGCTGGAAGCATTCCCTTTGAAAACCAGCACAAGACAAGGATGCCCTCTTTCACAACTCCTATTCAACATAGTATTGGAAGTTCTGGCCAGAGCAAACAGGCAAGAGAAAGAAATAAAGGTATTCAAATAGGAAGAGGGGAAGTCAAATTGTCTCTCTTTGCAGATGACATGATTATATATTTAGAAAACCCCATCATCTCAGCCCAAATTCTCCTTAAGCTGAGAAGCAACTTCAGCAAAGTCTCAGGATACAAAATCAATGTGCAAAAATCACAAGCACTCCTATACACTAATAACAGAGGGTCAAATCATGAGTGAACTCCCATTCATAATTGCTACAAAGAAAATACAATACCTAGGAATACAACTTACAGGGGATGTGAAGGACCTCTTCAAGGAGAACTACAAACCACTGCTCAAGGAAATAAGAGAGGACACAAACAAATGGAAAAACATTCCATGCTCGTGGATAGAATCAATATTGTGAATATGGCCATACGGACCAAAGTAATTTATAGATTCAATGCTATCCCCATCAAGCTACCATTGACTTTCTTCATAGTATTAGAAAAAACTACCTTAAATTTCATATGGAGTCAGAAAAGAGCCCATATAGCCAAGATAATCCTAAGCAAAAAGAACAAAGCTGGAGGCATCACACTTCTTAACTTCAAACTATACTACAAGGATACAGTAACCAAAACAGCATAGTACTGGTACCAAAACAGATATATAGACCAATGGTACAGAACAGAAGCCTCAGAAATAATGCCACACATCTACAACCATCTGATCTTGGACAAACCTGACAAAAACAAGAAATGGGGAAAGGATTCCCTATTTAATAAATGGTGCTGGGAAAACTGGCTAGCCATATGCAGAAAACTGAAACTGGAACCCTTCCTTAAACCTTACACAAAAATTAACTCAAGATGGATTAAAGACTTAAATGTAATACCTAAACCATAAAAAGCCAGAAGAAAACCTAGAGAATACCATTCAGGACAGAGGCATGGGCAAAGACTTCATGACTAAAACACCAAAAGCAATGGCAACAAAAGCCAAAATTGACAAATGGGATCTAATCAAACTAAAGAGCTTCTGCACAGCAAAAGAAACTATCATCAGAGTGAAAAGGCAACCTACAGAATGGGAGAAAATGTTTGCAATCTATCCATCTGACAAAGGGCTAATATCCAGAATCTACAATGAAGTTAAACAAATTTACAAGAAAAAAACAAACAACCATCAAAAAGTGGGCAAAGGATATGAACACACACTTCTCAAAAGAAAACATTTATGCTCCAACAAACATATGAAAAAAAGCTCATCATCACTGGTCATCAGAGAAATGCAAATCAAAACCACAATGAGATACCATCTCACGCCAGTTAGAATGGCAATCATTAAAAAGTTAGGAAACAACAGATGCTGGTGAGGATGTGGAGAAATATGAACGCTTTTACACTGTTGGGAGTGTAAATTACTTCAACCATTGTGGAAGACAGTGTGGTGATTCCTCAAGAATCTAGAACCAGAAATACCATTTGACCCAGCAATCCCATTACCAGGGATATACCTAAAGGATTATAAGTCATTCTACTATGAAGACACACGCACATGTATGTTTATTTCAGCACTATTCACAATAGCAAAGACTTGGCACCAACCCAAATGGCCATCAATGATTGACTGGATAAAGAAAATGTGGCACACATACACCATGGAATACTATGCAGCAATAAAAAAGGATGAGTTCATGTCCTTTGCAGAGACATGGATGAAGCTGGAAACCATCATTCTCAGCAAACTAATACAGGAACAGAAAACCAAATACCACATGTTCTCATTCATAAGTAGTAGTTGAACTATGAGAACACACGGACACAGGGAAGCGAACATCACACACCCGGGCTTGTGGGGGCTAGGGGAAGGATAGCATTAGAAGAAATACCTAATGTAGATGGTGGGTTGATGGGTGCAGCAAACCACCATGCCACATTTACACCTATGTAACAAACCTGCACGTTCTGCACATGTATCCTAGAACTTATAGTATAATAATAATAATAAAAGAAATTACCCTGTCTTAGGTATTTCTTTATGGCAGCACAAGAACGGACTAATATAAGCATGTTTAAAAGTGTCAAATGTTGCAGAGTCACTTTTAAGATGTCTAAATATTGATAATAGAAGGTGATTTTGAGAAGTTTATCAATAAACCTTAGCAAGAGCATTGCAATAATGAGTTGGACTTAGATTGGATATGAAAGGAAGGAAAGAGAGGTCAGTATGTTGAAAATATATTGAGAGAAGGGCTATGAGATGGGAAAGATTTGATCATGTTTATGTACTGACATGAAAGGAGAATTTTGAAGATACAGAAGAGAGGGGTGATTATGATCTTAGTGAGAAGGAAATAAATCTCGTAGTTATAAGCTGATTGGAACAAGAACCATAGTATACTGCCAATTATTAATTGCCATAATTCATAAAAACAACATTTTATTACTCTCTATAAACTTCAGCTATGATCATTTCTACATATTTTAGGGCACTATTTAACTTTATTTCCCTCCTAATTTTCTTTGCAGGAGAAATACTAACTACTTTTGACACATCTGGCTTATCACAGAAGAACTCATGATTTACCAATTGTTTTCCTTTGGTTTCATCAGTTTCCTCTTTGTGCAGTGTTATGCCTCATCATACAAGAATGTCATGTTTCCCCATTATGTTAGTGTATACAAGATGAAGAAAATATGTTTTCCAAGTAACATTCTGAACATAAAGTACATATTTTCCATCACTTCTAATTTAGAGCACAACAGTTTCTTTCTGGTTTCTAACAGGACACAAACTAAATATAAAATTTGAAGAACACCATAATTGCAATGATATATAAAATGCTATTTGTGTAAATACTAATAACCATACATTTTTCTTATTCACATGTCAATGTGTGGTTTTCATATACGTTACATATTTTTAAAAGGTCTTAATGATGTGATGTATCTGATTACTTAGAGTGGCAGAGGCACTCTTCACTGGTTACTAATTACTGCTCTATCAGGGTTTCTAATCATTTTTGAATCACAGATAAGCTTGAGAACCTGATGAAAATCATGCCCCATGTTTCTAGAAGAAATACATAAACCTGGACGTATATGCACATATAAATTTGCATACCTTTTTGGAGATTAAAAAGCCTGATTTAAAGGAATATAATTTTGGGATATTGGGGTTAATGTCAAAGGAAAAATAAAGAGCATAACATTGAAGGCATAGCAACATGGTTTGTTTGTTTGTTTGTTTGTTTGTTTAGTTAGTTAGCTAATTATTTTGAGACAAGGTTTCACTCTGTCACCCAGGCTGGAGTGCAGTGGCTCAATCATGGCTCACTGCAGCCTCGACCTCCCAGGTTCAAGTAATCCTTCCACCTCAGCCTCCCAAGTAGCTGGGACTATAGGCATATGCCACTATGCCCAGCTAATTTTTTTGTATTTTTTTTTTTGTAGAGACAGGGTTTCATCATGTTGCCCAGAATGGTCTTGGACTCCTGGGCTTATGCAATTCTCTCGCCTTGGCCTCCCAAAGTGCTGGGATTACAGGCCTGAGCCACCAGGCCCAGCAGCAACATGGTTTAAAAGCAAGAGTTTTGGAGTCAGATTTGGATTCAAGTCTTGACCCAGCACTTAGCAGTTGGGTATTCTCAGCCATGTTACTTAACAACTCTTAGCTTAAGTATATACCTATGTAAAGTGAGGTTGGAGAAAGGATTCAATTAGATAAAAAGCAAAGTACGTGACAAATGCATATAATATGCAGATAGTCGATGTTTGTTTTAAATTCCAGGGAAACAGCTTCAATTGAATGGTTCTCAAAGGCATGGGAATTTTTCATTTAGATTTTGTTGTTTATGTTTAAATCTATCAGATTTGGATTAAGAATCTCACAGAAAGTTAATCTCAAAATCCAGCTTTCTGATTGCTGAGTCTGATAGAAGTATTGCTGTGCTGTATACACACCGCTCAGGTAGTGCGCATCTTTGGTTGGGGTGACCTTCTAGGGGTCATTCGGTCACCAAGTGACAGGATGCCATGGATCAGTGGGCACAACTAATTCTCTTTAGTATTTGAAATATCCCATAGAGTGACATGTTTTACAAGGTTGTTCTCAATATTAGTCAGTTAAATAACAGAATGAAAAGGTGCTTAACTTTGGCAGAAAAGAAAATACACATATTCCACAAACAAGAAAGATAATTGTGATAATTTTATCAAATGCCCTAAGTCACCCTCATATGTTTCAATTATCAAAAGTAATATTCTTGTTATATAATAATATATAATAAAATTCCAGATTTTAAAATGTGTTATAAGATTTCAAGGATCATACTAGTTGTGATGGCAGTTCATTTGGCTAAGATTGACATTTTTGGCTTCTTAAAACAGTGCTCTCAGTCCTGTAGCTTCAGACACAGCTTCACTAACGAGGGTAGGACCTTAATTTCAATTTCCTCATCTGTTCTCTTATTTCAGCCAACGAACAGTATCCTAAGGCTGTGTGCTGACCTCGGAACATGAGTCTAGACAGAACACTAGAAAATGCCTTTAAAAGGTGCCATGAACAATATCCAAAATATCATCTCTTGATTGGGCCGGACAATTTATTGTGCCAAAATCCTTCTATGTGTGGTTGCACCCAAAGCAGGTGCTTCTATGGAAAATATATCCAAGACAATTTCTGTCTCATTTTACTTTGAGCAAAGCCAATTTTTAATTTAAAAAGTACATGCTTAGATGCCTCTGAGATGTTTTCCTGACATAGTAATCCAAGTAACTTCTGACTGAGACGAAGGGAAGGTATCTCTCTCTGAAGAGCCTTATCATAGAGTGAGAGTTTTAAAGAGTTTTGGGAAAGCTCTGCCCTTCTGAAATTGAATTTTGTTCAGGATATTGAGATTTTAAGGGCATTTTGCCTCCTTGCCAATTTTATTATACCATTATTTTTTATTTAAATTACAGATTCTTTTTTGTCTCCTTCTCTGCAAGAGGCTGGCACCAGATCACCTCCTGAGTAGAGCAGACATTCCAAAGGATGTCCTGCCAACAATAATGGAAAGCTGGATACAACTGAATATGTAAAATGGTACCTGAGATGCTTAGAAAACTGTAAAGTTTAATGCTGCATATCCAGTGCAAATGTCAAACACTACAGCTGCTGCTTCTACATGCTGCATGAAAAGCGTGTTTGTGTGTGTGTGTGTGTGTATGTGTGTGTTTAAATTCATGGCTTCTTTTTTCTTTGCTTATGAATCTCTGCACATCTGTCTTTTAAAATGTCTTATTTATAGGGTCAACATTTCTTGTCTAATGAGATGGGCCAAAAAGATCTTTAATCACTCACATACTCACAAGGAAAATGACATGTCCCAAATAAAAGATTGAGCAGGATTTATTTCTAAAATATCTTAAATGTTCTCCAATAACACTTGACAAATATAATTTTCAATACTGACTGAACTTTTCTTCCCCTTAGGAGTTCTACACTCATTTAAAATAAATAGTATATCGTTGATGGTTTTTGAAGTCTCAGAATGTTAAGCTGCCTTTTAGAAATTCTGAGTTACATAGAAAACATTAAGAATCTATCTTCTTAATTTAAACAAATGGCATGGTACATTCCCCAAACACTCAACCACCATAAATAACACTGGGAATACTAAGAATGCATGATTCAGGAGATGCAGAAAAATTGTACTTTCCCAGAAAATCTGCGTTTTATAAAGAAAGGCACATAACCTTTCTGGAAGCCTCAGGTATTGCACCTTCAAAGATGATTCTTTTATTCAACCTTAACCTAAAAATCACAGGATTATGACAAAGCATAAGTTTAAAAATAAAAAATTGCTTAAAATATTGAAAATGTAAATTCCTGAAGATTTGAAGACACATGTAATTTCATAAGAAGGGGGGCTTCATATGGATATACAGTACAAAAAATGTCTTCATAAAGAAACAATGACTTGAATTGATTCTACACTTTAGGGAAGCTATTCTTTTTAAATGAGACTTTGAATTGGGGACAAAGACCTTGACACTGGAGTACCCACTATAGTGTAGCTGATTTAAAGCACCAGGGGTTTAAATGGTCACAATATATTATTTTCGGTAAGTACACTTCTGGAATGTTTCAGTTTGGATTAAGCATCCTGAAACATGGATTTAATTAAAGGAGCCCTTCAGATAATTATGGGACTGATTTTCAAAGGCATGCTAGATGATTCAGATTCCTAGCAACATTCTGAGCTGCATCATTTAAAGACTGGTCTGGAAGGGCTATCCTCTGAGAATTTATCATTTTCCAAGAACTGAAGAAATTTCCTGGCTGAACATCTAGAAGTCAAAAACTGAGACCTGGAGCATCTTTATCTTAAATAACTATCAACTTTGAGTGACATTTAGGAGCCTCTTAGAAAGGCCTCAAAAGAGCAGGCTCAGATTTACCAGAATAAGAAAACATATTGTCTAAAACTGAGCTAGGAACTCTGGGATCATCCCCAAATTCTGACCAGTGAAGAGACTCCTATGTGCACTCACCACACTACCACAGCTCTGCTGAAGGATGGATAAAAACAATGATCTCCAAAATGGAAGTTTAGGAACCCACAGGAATTGGAAAAACAAGCCATTTTGGTCTGGAAAGACAATATTATAAATTCTATCTATATCCACTTTTTAATTATGTCCTTAAAAACTTTTTATGTATACATTTAAAATGTACCTAATAAATGTAATATGTTATGTAATGTATAAATAGGTATACTTCTGTGCAGACATGTGATCAGCAGTAGATACCACAAATTCTAAAACAGTTTCACTTTCTGGGACTTCTCATCCTTCTCAGAATGGGGTGTAGGGTCAATGGGTCTGCTGCCTGGCAGTACCTGATAGCAAGCTGTGGGGATCAGCTGTTCCATATTATTCACGATAAAGCTGGTGTGCTGTGGATTCATCCACTCATTCAACAAATATTTCCCAAGCTATGAGGATGAAACAGTGAACCACGGAGACACAGTTAGATCTATGTTCACGGAGCTTACATTCTCACAGGAGAAAAGATAAACAAGCAAGAAAATGAGTAAAATGTAAAGCTAGGCAACATCACATATCCCTAACGTAAGACATTACTCATGTGATATTCCTGCCAAAAATGATTAACTGTAATCTAATCATGAGGGATTAACTAAAACAATGAAATTTAAAAAGACATTCTCCAAAGTTGTTAATAAGATGAAAGACAAAAAAAAAAAAAAAGCTGAGAACTATTCCAGATTAAAGGTGACTAAAGATATATAATACAATGCAATATGTGATCTTTGTTAGAATACTGAATTGGAAAAAAACAGCTATAAATAACATTATTGGAACAATTAAATAATTTAAATATTGACTGAATATTAAACAGTATAATTGAATCCATACAATTTTTCCTGATGCGATCATTGTATTGTGATTATTTAAAAGAATGACCTTGTTCTTGGGAAATACTCATGGAAGTAGATAAATCCAGGTGAATGGAATAAGGTGTTCATTAAATATTCTTGCTGCTTCTCTCTAAGCTTGAACATGTTGCAAGTAAAAAGTTGTAGAATAATAAACAAAAGCTGTGTGTGTGTGTGTGTGTGTGTGTGTGTGTGTAGCAATATAAGAGAAAAAAAGCAATGAGGGTGGAGATGGAGATAATTATTTTATGTTGGTGATGAGAGAGATCCTTTTTAAAAATATATTTGCATTTGAACAAAGATGTAGTTGCAGAAAGAAGTGAGGGAACAGACTATGCAGCTATCTGGGAGACAAGACTTTCAAGCAGCATATCTGCCATATTTGAAGACAGAAAAGATACCAATGAGACAAAAGCAGAGTGAACAAGAGGGAAGACAGAAGGAGATGAGGTCAGATAAGTAGCTCAGAGTAAGGTCATTGTTGAACCTCATAAGGAATGATGGCATCATTGGAATTTTCCTCTGAGTAGGAGAAAAATCACTGGAGGTTTTTGAACCAAAATATCATATGATCTATTTTGATGCTACTATAAATGGGATTATTTTCTTAATTTTATTTTACACTTGTTCACTGCTAGTACATAGAAAAACAATTGATTTTGTGTACTGATGTTGTATCCTACAAACTTATTAAGTTTTAGCACTGCAAAACATTTCATTGTATGAATGTATCACAGTTTGTGCATTCACCTACTGAAGGGCATCTCGGTTACTTTCAATTTTTGGCAATCATGAATAAAACTGCTATAAACATCCATGTGCAGGTTTTTGGTATGGACATAGTTTTCAACCCATTTGGGTAAATACCAAAGAGCATGATTTCAGGATCATATGTTAAGAGTCTATTTAATTTTGTAAGAAACTGAGCAAGACTGTTTTCTAAAGTGGCTGTACCATTTTGCATTTCACCAGCAATGAATGAGAGTTCCTGTTGCTCCACACTCTCATCAGCATTTGGTATTGTCACTGTTTTTAATTTTAGCCATTGTAAGAGATATGTAGTAGAAATTACTTTTTTACCCTCTATAACGAACCCCTCCCCCAGCCCCACGCACACACACACGAATTTAAAGTCAAAGCTGAAGTATCAAATCATCACTTTTTGGACTGAACATGAAATTTTTTCAGTAGACGAATTTGTGCTAAGCTTGAATCACACCACACTACACAAGGTGAGAGCATTGTAAGATGCTCTGTTTTCATGCCTGCAAGTGATAGATTATGCCAGAGTTGCAGGTTTGACCAACATTCATATCTGATATGAGCAATAAGATGCAAATATACATGGTCTGAATAAAGTGCCATTGTGCACATATTCTTTAAATAGATTCCTTCTAGTCTAAGGGTTCTAACAGAACATCTTGTAAATGCGTGGCATCTTCAATAAAAATCTTATAAGCTTTTCTTAAAAGATTTCAAAAAGCATCTTTTTCTTGAATTTTAAATGCAGAAAGACCTTAAAGTTTATTTAGACCAAGTCTGTCTTTTTTTACCAGCGGCAGAGGAGGCCCAGAAAGGTAAAGTAATTTACCCAGCTTATGTGTTGGATTATTTGTGGTAGATCAGTCACAGGAACTCTACTCCACACCCTTTCCATTGTATAATACAATGGTGCCCCTTGAAATTGGCTGTGAATTATGTCTTTCCAGCTGCAAATTCTGCTTTCCTGTCTACCTAAGCAACTACAACTCACCTATCGTCGCATCTTCTGCTTCATAAAAGCTCTATCTCCTTTTGAAATGATAAATCTTCCACTTATAACGTTAAAATTGATGACAGTGATAATTCCAAAATTGACTACTCACAAGTTTAAATTTTCCTTAAATAAATTTCAAAGCCAATAATCTGTTTATCTGAATTGTTTAAAATTTTCCCATCCCTCTTTTTCTGTCATCTTCTTCTCTTAAAACCCTCCCCACATAGAGTGAGCCATGATTTCCTTTCTATGCTTTCCCTGCACTTTGGCATCTCTTCCTTCCCTAGTGGAATCTATTTTAGGTTCATGAAATCTCCTATTTTAATGATCTCTTGGGCAACTATCTTTTACGTTCTTTTTATTTTGGGGATTTGTATACTTCACCTTCTCTGTTCAAATCCTATGATTCCAATCTATTAAGAGATATGATGTACTGTAGATTAGTTCCCTAGTAACAGAAATGTTCTTCCATGTCAGTTATAAAATAATAGGAAATTATATAAGCAAAAACAGCAGCAGTAATTTGTTCCCTGATTTCATAAATTAAGAAAAATATCATCTGAACAAACATCAAAATCATGTTATGATTAAAAACTCTATTAATCAAAGATATAATTAGTGTGCTCAAATATGAGATTGCTGAAGTATTGGGACTTATGACTAGAAGAATATAGAGAAGCTTCCATGAATATTCTCTGGAAAAATTAAAAATGATAAATAAATAAGAAGCCAGGAAGTAACTGTGAGTGAGGAGATGCAGATGTTTCAGAGAAAGAAAACATCGCCTTAATGTTGCTATGGCTGTATTTAAATATAATAAGTGTACACAATGACAGATTATCCCAAGACAAGAGGTAATCATTATGAGATACTTATAATAGCTGGGTTCTACTTCAATGTCTAATTGAAATATCAGACATCACACATGTTCAGCAGATATAATTACACCATAATCATCCTAAAGATAGAATGCAAACTTAAGTATGATGCTAATGGAGATGAAGAGGATGGGTTTTTGAAGATATGGAAGAAAGTTGGATTAGAAATAGAAAATAAACCAGTTCTCTCAGACATCAGTGGTTGATACATTTCATTCACATTGTTCTTTTATTTTATTAATTTATTAATTTAGTCTATTTAGACTAGTCACACTATTATTATTATTATTATTTTTGAGACAGAGTCTCACTCTGTCACTCAGGCTGGAGTGCAGTGGTGCTACCTCAGATCTCGGCTCACTGCAAGCTCCGCCTCCCAGGTTCACACCATTCTCCCAGCTGCAGCCTCCCAAGTAGCTGAGACTACAGGTGCCCACCACCACACCCAGCTAATATTTTGTATTTTTAGTAGAGACGGGGGTTTCACTGTGTTACCCAGGATGGTCTTGATCTCCTGACCTCGTGATCTGCCCGCCTCAGCCTCCCAAAGTGCTGGGATTACAGGCATGTTATTTTTTTCTATAACATGTAGTATGTTCAATATTCAAACTTTTGAGAAAGTACCATGACAGTTAAATATTGAAACTATAGATACTGTAAGCCTGTTCCTAGGAAAGACTTCAGAATATATATCTCTTTGCTAAACATTTCAGTGTATTTGATTATTCAATACTACCATTTAATGTTATAGTGTACAGAATAGTACTGGACAAACACAACTCATTCTTGGGATGCAATCTTAAAACAACATTTTTTCCCCCACTGCCTGTTAATTTTATTAGGAGAGGCTAGACTTTCCTTATCCTTGGAAATAACAGTTTCAATATGGATAGTAAAATGTCTAGAACTATGTAATAGTTAAAACTCTGAGTTTATTTAAAATTAGGGTATCTCTCACAGTATAGAGCATGTACTCCTTCCTCAGCTCATAGAAACATGATAATGCCCTCACTTCCCTTGGTCAAGGTCCCTTCATCCTTCAGTCTAGGCTACCCTCTTAGACAGGACCTTCCCCATGTTAACGTTCATCTCCAGAACCTAATTCACAGGTTACTTGTATACATTCCCTAATACCAATAAAACCTCAAAGTGCAGGACGCCCAGTGAGGCCACTCTCCTCTTGCTAATTGCAAACATGCAGTTTGCTATTTCTCATCCTAGAGATTTCACACATGACAGCAAGATCCCACTCTTGGAGTGGTCTCATTAAAGCCTCCTTTCTACATGTCAGACTAACAGGTAATGCAACCTTATCCCTTTGAGGGGAGACATGGCTATTTACAGCACTCAGTGCTCTCTCTTAAGAAATTTTCCTTGCATTGTCTCATTAAAGACCCTTTTCCCAGGAAAAGGGTCTTTAAGCAAGGAGATTTTTGCATCAGACCTCTAACAGGTCTTTCTAAAGAAATTGTCCCCAGATCCTCTCTGAACCTGACACATACTGATCCTTTTATTTTGCAGATGTTAATGAAGAATTGAAGAGCACTGTATCTAGTTTTCTGCTCTCCCCTGTAAGTATTAACATTTATACTGCCACTTCACTTTGGAATGTCATATTAATTGTTCTCAGCACCTCAGTTTAAACTACCAACTCTTTTTTGGTAGTACCAGCTACCAGTAATTCCACACACCAGGATTAAATGGCAAAAACCTAAGTAATGATGGTGAAAATACTTCAAGAAATGTATATAGTTTTTAAAAATCGAATTATCTGTCACCTGAGTCATTTAATGTTTATAAATAGAAAGCCTTGATTTTCATGTGGCTCTGGATAATTGCAGAGCCATTCTGGCGTCAAAACTAGGTCCAACAGAACTTTAGGGAAACATGCCCCAGTGCTTAATAAATACTTGCAAGTAGAAGATGCAAAACGGTCCACTGAACAATCTCCATCTAGGCCCTTTGCATCTGGCCAAGATGAAGTGAGCGGGGGTGCCTCAGTTTTATATCTAAATGCCCAGCATGTTCAGGTCATCAGTCTGTCCATGACAATCTGGGATTACGGTACAAATTAGCAAGACCAGCAACTCAAACTAGGTCCATTGTTGGTCAAGCCATTATGGCATCTATGCTGGTTCATGTGTCTGGCCCAGGCAGCATGAGTGTGATAGACAGTGTGCCTAAACTATTAATAGTAAGTATATCCAGATCATCAGTCTCTTCACAATGGGCACTGTTGAAGAGTTGGTCCAGATGTTGGCCATATGTTTCATCTTTCATATATATCCTTAATTATGGTCTATGCTCTAGCTGGGAATGCCTAAAGGTGGCTGTGGTTGAGTAGGAGGAGTGGGATGGGGTTTTCACCAGCATTTACCAAGATTTGGGTCCTTTCTGCCTTCTGGCCTGGCCACTAGGCCTCTTAGATGAGTTAACTCCAACCCCACTGGATGGAGACTCTGTCACCTACCATCCTCCACTTCTACCTCATTGGTTCTACCACTGTCTCCTCCCAAGCCCCCTAAGAAAAATACTTCAGCAATAGTGCACAGGACTAGCCATAGGAGATACTTGGTCTCCTCGACACTGTCTATGTGGCCTTAGAAAGGTCACTTTAGTTCTCTGGGCTTCACTTTCCTCCTCTTTAAAATTAGAACAATAATAATATTTGCCTTGTAGGGCTCTTGTGAGGATTTAACGAGCTCATTCATGCAGCAACTCTAAGTCACTAATCAATACATTTGGTGGATACTAGAGATTTTACTGATTAGAGAGATCACATGAAAACTTCTTGCAACCAAACACAGCACACCTAAGATATACCATATATGCACATAATGTGGTATATACATATAGATATAAGTTCTACACACTGACAGGTATTTGATTTCCTTCACTACATGCTTTGAAATGTTTTGCTACAATTATAGAATTAAGTTTCAAAAATACATGTAATGGTGAAAATATTTTACTCATAATTCTAAGGTAATTATCCCTGAAATATTTATTTTTATATATTAAAATTTGATATCAAGTATTCACTTCTATTAAGAAACAGAGATGGATAAGTTTAAGTGTCAGACCCAGGAGCAAATCTTTGCCAAGACCTGTTAAGTAAGTCTCCAACTCACAAAAATGCCTATTCCACATTTATCAGATGAAGGCAAGTGGAGAAGAAGGGATTTCTTTATATCTTTTGTAGGCCTCCAAGGATTAGGTCAGTGAAATGAGGTCCTAGTCCTAATCTGACACTGGCTGTGTCCAGCAATTGAAAGATTTACTATTTGTGGACCTCGATTTTCACATGTGTCAGTGAAGAGGTTAGTGCTTGATTGCTTTGTGCTGCAATGAGCAGAAAGCCCCGTCTCAACTATTTTAAACAATCATGAGACATCATATCTCAAGAGTAAGACTTCCATAAGTTGAACGGGCTCCATGCACAGTAGTTCAGGATCACTGCACTGCTCCTCTGTGATGCTCTTGGCCCCATGCTTGTCCATGTGCAGGCTTCAGACCAGCTGGCTTCACTCATGATCACAAGATAGGGGTTACTGAGCCACATATCACTTACACCATGATAAGATATAATTGAAGAAGGGGTGATTTCTATGAACAAGAAAACCTTTCCCTGGTTCACTCCAGCAGTCTTTCTTCAGGACTCATTGGCTAGGATGAAATCACATGTCCCTTTCCAAAAGCAGTCATAAAGTTTCCACAACTGGGTAAAATAAGATTTACTGGAGTCATGTTGGGAAGTTTGTTAACTGCTTTAAGAACTAGGCTTTTATTGAAAAGGCTTTGGAGCAGGCAACGAATGGTGCTTGCTATCCTCACTTAGGTATCTTTTAGTTGTAAAAGAATGAGTCTGAGGTATTTCTGTCATTGCCTGATTAATAATGCCATGCTAAGTCATCATTTAATGCAACATTGAAATAGCTGGCTTCAAGAAGACAAATAAAGATTGTATATAAGTCATGGGGGAAGCAAACAAGATTTATGTTCAAAAGAGGTTCAAATATTCTGAAAATTACATACGTAGTTTTGGAATGGCCCAATGATAGGGCAAAAGGGGTGGTGATCAATTATACTTCCTTTATTTACATTTCCATGAAATAATAAAATATGCCAGGCTTTCCTAAGATACCAAAGGAAGGCTGGGAAAAGCAAATTGCATCCTGGCTACCAAGTCAGAAGTCAGCCTAAACCAAGAAGTAGATCAGCGATGCTTAAATAATCAGAAATGCAACTGTAATAATCAGAAAAACAATCTTGTGAAAGCTCAGTTCTTAAAATAAATTCCCATTGTTTCCATCTACAGTTATTCTCTATCTTTTGGATAGTAGAGCATAGTCAGGATTTCCATTAGAAAAAAATTTTTTTTGTTGTTCATGTGCTTTCCTTCTTCCTTGGGCTTTTTTACCTATCTTTCTTTCTTTCTTTTTCTTCCTTTCTTTCTTCCCCACTAATATTCCCCTCCCTCTTTCTCTTTCTGTCTTATTCTCTTAAGACCAGTAACATTGTTTCTCCATTTGGGAGAAAATACTCAGTGGCGTTCTGAAGATGGCTCATACTGGCTCACTACAGCTAACTGTGCACATCCTTCCGAACTCTGAGGTCAGTAAAAGTTTTTAATAGCTTGAAATTGTCCACAATGGGATAATTTACACAACAGAATTTGGCAAGCACTACAAATCACAGCTTACTCTTTTTGGTTTCTTGTTGTTTTTCCAGAAAGCTAGATCACCAGCATACCACTAGAGACAGCATATCAGAATGACTAACAGCAAGGATTCTGGTCTGATACTATTTTAGTTCGAGCACAGTCATCCTTTGGTATCCTTGGGGAATTGGTTCCAGAACCCCCCTGGATACCAAAATCCATGGATGCTCAAGCCGCCTATATAAAATTTATATAACCTATGCAATTCCCCCACATACTTTAAATCATCTCTAGATAACTTATAATACCTACTAGATTATAAATGCTATGTAAATAGTCATTAAACTGTATTGTTTAAGGAATAATGACAAGAAAAAAAGTCTATACATGTTCAGTACAGATATAACCATTCATTTTCAATCGGTGATTGGTTAAAATCACGGATGCAAACTCCATGGACACAAGGGCCAGCTGTACTGTCTTTCCCATTTAATTTTTCTGACCATCAGTAAAATAGTAATAATAATACATATCCCATAGGCTAAGAATAGAATGGGACAATGCTTTTTACAAGTGTTATTATTTGTGGTAAAGATCATCACAAATTCTTTGTTTAAAAGGCACAATTTGTATCCCCTTCCCTAGAATGAGTGTGGCTTTGTGACTGCTTGTACAATACACTCTGATGTCAGGAATGATGTTCCAGTTTCCAGGCCCAGGCCTCCAAGAAACTGGCAGCTTTCACTTCCTGTCTCCTGAAATGTTCTTTCTGGTGTATATTAGGGATCTTCAGGGAAGTATAACCCATAGGATAGATAGGTGTATATATAAGGCTTTTTTTTTTTTTAAAGTAATTGGCTCACACGCTTGTGGGGACTGGCAAGTGTAAAATCTTCAGAGCAGGCTGGTAGGTTGGAGACCCAGAGAAGGGCTGATGCTGCGGTTTCAAGTCAAAGGCAACTTGGAGGCAGAATTCCTTCTTCCCTGGGCCTCAGACTTTTCCTCTTCAGGCATTCAACTTATTGGATGAAGCCCACTCACATTATGGAGGATACTCTGTTTTACCCAAAGTCTACTGATTTAAATATTAATCACATCTAAAACACACCTTCTCAGCAACATCTAGACAGTCATTTGACCAAACATCTGGGCACTGTAGCCAAGATGACACATATAATTAATCATCACATAGGGTAGCCAACTCCAGGTAGGAAGTCCAATTATATGGTGCAGAGATCAAATACAGAGGCCCCGAGACTATGTGGAGATGGACAGGGGACAGGCTGAGACCAGCCTTCCAAATTTCCCTATCAAAGCACAAAACATGTGAGTGAAGCCATACTGGGGTCCTCCAGTTCATCCCAGTTGTAATGGTTAATGTTAGGTGTCAACTCGATTAGATCGAAAGATACGTAAATGGCTGGTAAAGTATTGTTTCTGGGTGTGTCTATGGGGGTGTGGCCAGAGGAGATTGACATTTGAGTTGTTAGACTGGGAGAGGAAGATCCACCCTCAGTATGGGTGGGTACCATTCAATCAGCTGCCAGTGCGGCTAGAAGAAAGCAGGCGGAAGATGGTGGGATAACCTTGCTTCCTTGGTCTTCTGGCTTTCTTCTTTCTCCTGTGCTGGATGCTTCCTCTCGCTCCTCCTGCCCTTGGGCATCAGACTCCAGGTTCTTTGGCCTTTGGACTCTTGGACTTGTACCAGCGGTTTACTGGGAGCTCTCAGACCTTCGGCCACAGACTGAAGGCTGCACTGTCAGCTTCCCTGGTTTTGAGGCTTTCAGACTCAGACTGAGCCACTACTGGCTTTTCTCTTACCTAGCTTGCAGATGGCTTATTGTGGGACTTCAACTTGTGATCGTGTAAGCCAGTTCTCCCTAATAAACTTTCTTTCATATATACATATATCCTATTAGTCCTGTCCCTCTGGAGAGTTCTGATTAATACAGATTTTGGTACTGGGGTGGTTCTAGAGGAATGAATTTTAAGGATGGATTTCTCTAGTCGGTTTTGGGGTTCCTGGCTCTTTAATCTGGTTAGACCTAACCAGATTAACTACTTAACGACTCTATTTCTAATAGTGTGGAGAGCACTGATAGTCCTTGGCGTGAATTGTTTAGAGAGTTGTGCAAAATAAACGCATTTGATATTCCTGATTCACCACTCTTGAAAGGCAAGGAGTTTAGTGACTCTATACATGATACCTTTGAACATTTGTAGAGAACCAAGGAATATAATGAAGTTGTTTGGTTGCTCCTAAGTTTGCTGGAGAAAGTGATGAAAGAAAAGAATGAGCTCAGGGATTCCATCTCCCATCTCCTGGCTCCAGAAGCACATACTTAGCCTCAAATCTTCTAAGATTGCCCTGGGTGAGAGTCTTATGTCTTGTAGACAAAGGGCTGAAATTGCTAAAAATCAGACACGAGTTCTTCATGTGAATAGCTGACCTGCAACAAAAGATACAGGCTCAGTCTCACCAGATGTCGACTGTTAAAATGAGGGCATTCATTGGGAAAGAATGGGACCCTGTAACTTGGGATGGGGATGTGTTGGAGGACCTTGATGAAGCTGGAGACACTGAGCTCCTAAATTCTGATGAGCCTTTTGTGTCAGAGGAAATGGCCTCCCCACCCCTAGTGGTGGTAACATCCCCTCCCCACCCAGGCTGCCATCAGCCTTTCCACCTTTGTCTGAGATTGCACTGCCTGAGGCAACAGTGATGGTCTCCCCTGATGCAGTTGCCAGGCAAGGAAATGCTGATTCTCCTCAGGACCAACCCCCACCACCCCTCTTTGCTTCTACCCTGTAACTAGACTCAAGTCCCAGTAGGCCCCTAAAGGTGAGGTTCAGAGTGTGACCCATAAGGAGGTGCGCCATACTCCAAGAGAACTACTTGAGCTTTCTAAATTATATAAGTGGAGATCCAGAGAACAGGTATGGGAATGGATATTAAGGGTGTGGGATAACGGTAGAAGGAACATAAAGTTGTATCAGGCAGAATTTATTCATATGGGCCCACTAAGCAGAGATTTTGCATTTAAGGTTGCAGCAGGGGGAATTTAAAAAGGTTCTAATAGTTTATTTCCTTGGTTAGCTGAATCATGGATCAAAAGATGGTCCACTATGAGCGAGCTGGAAATGCCTGATCTCCCTTGGTTTAATGTAGGGGAAGGGATTCAAAGGCTTAGGGAGATTGGAATGCTAGAGTGGATTAGTCATTTTAGACTTTCTCATCCCAACTGAGAAGGTCCAGAAGACACATCCTTCACCAATACCTTGTAAAATAGATTTGTGAGGGGAGCACCTGCGTCCTTGAAGAGCTCTGTGATTGCTCTTCTCGGTATGCCAGATCTTACAATGGAAATTAATTTTCCCTCAATGGGAAAACTTAAATGCAATAGGAATAATTGGATCCCAAGGTGGCATGGGACAAGTGGCAGCACTCAACCATCAAAGGCAAGTTGGGCATAGTTACTGTAATGGACAACAGAGGCAAAGCAGCAAGCAGAATAGTCTGACACGTGTAGAGCTCTGGCATTGGCTAATTAATCACAGTGTTCCTGGAAGTAAAATTGACAGGAAACTTACTGCATTCTTACTTAATTTGTATAAGCAGAAAACTTCCAGGTCAAGTAAACAAAAGACTAATTTGAATTATGAAAACAGAGCATGATGGCTTTTCAATCAATTTTCAGATTTGAGCCAGTTTACAGACCTAGAACCCCTTAAATGGAGGGGAGGCCTCTTCCCTTAAGGAAGGACCCCCCACTACACTACCAACAATTTTTACTGTTAATCTTTCTCCCATCCTTCCCCAAGGAGACTTCTGGCCTTTTACCAAGGTAACTGTGCATTAGGGAAAGGGAAATGATGAGATCTTCTGGGGACTACTGGACACTGGCTCTGAGCTGACATTGATTCCAAAAATGTCAAAACATCGTGATCCTCCAGTTAGTGTAGGGACTTATGGAGGTCAGGTAATTAATAGGGTGTTAGTTTGGTCCAACTTACAGTGAGTCCAGTGGGTCCCCGGACTCATCCTGTAGTCACTTCCCAATGTCAGAATGCATAATTAGCATAGACATATGCAGCAGCTGGCAGAATCCCCACATTGGTTCTCTGACCTGTGGGGTGAGGGCTATTATGGTGGAAAAGGCCAAATGGAGGCGATTAGAGCTGCCTCTACCTAGAAAAAACAATATTGCATCCCTGGAAGGATTTCAGAGATTACTGCCACCATCAAGAACTTGAAAGACGCAGGGGTGGTGATTCCCACCACATCTCTGTTGAACTCTCCTATTTGTTCTGTGCAAAAGACAGATGGATTTTGGAAAATGACAGTGGATTAGCACAAACTTAACCAAGTGGTGACTCCAACTGCAGCTGCTGTACCAGATGTGGTCTCATTGCTTGAGCAAATTAAGAAACCTCCTGGTACCTGGTATGCAGCTATTAATTTGACAAATGCCTTTTTCTCCATTCCCGTCCATAATGTCCTACCTTATGGGTATATCAACTCTCCCGCTCTGTGTCATAATCTTGTTCACAGAGATCTTGATTACTTTTCCCTTTCACAAGATATCACACTGGACCATTACATTGATGAAATTACACTGACTGGACCCAGTGAGTGAGAAGTAGCAACCACACTGAGAATTTGCATGCCAGGGTATGGGCAATAAATCCGACTAAAATTCAGCAACTGTCTACCTCAGTGAAATTTCTAGGAGTCCGGGCTGCGGGGCCTGTCAATCAAAAGGTGGAAGTGGAAGTGGTATCACTCACCATCACCCCTAGTGACTCACCAACAAAACGTTTGCTTCCTGTTCCCATGGCATTACGTTCTGCTGGCCTAAGAGGTCTTAGTTCCTGAGGGAGGAAAGCTGCTACCAGGACACACAACGATTCCATTAAACTGGAATTTAAGATTGCCACTTGGCCACTTTGGGCTCCTCCTTCCTCTAAGTCAAGAGGCTAAGAAGGGAGTTACAGTGTTGGTGGAGGTGATTGACCAGACAATCAGGATGAAATCAGACTACTCTACAATGGAAGTAAGGAAGAGTATGTCAGGAATACAGGAGATCCCTTAGGGTGTCTCTCATTATTACAATGCCCATGATTAAGGTCAATGGGAAACTAGTTACCCAATCCAGACAGGATGAAAAATGGCCCAGACCCTTCAGGAATGAAGGTTTGGGTTCCTTCACCAGGCGAAAACCAACAACAGGCCAGGGTACTTGCTTAAGGCAAAAAGAATACAGAAGGGGTAGAAGAAGCTAGTCATCAATACCAGCTATGACCATGTGACCAGTTGCAGAAACAAGGACTGTAATTATCATGAGTATTTCCTCCTTACTTTGTTAAGAACATGTTTGTGCATGTATAACCTGTACTAGGAAAGTATCTTCATTTTATTTCCTTTTTCCTTTATCATGTAACATAAGTTTTATTGATTTCCTATCAGCATTTAAGTGTTGTTAGGTTAAGGATTAGTGCACTTCCAGTTGTATGAAGCATAGTTGTATTATGTTAGGTCCAATTATGACCTTATTATTGTCTTTATTTAGGGATTAAGTATGATTTCAGGTGACGTATATGGGTGCCAAGTTGACAAGGGGTGGACTTGTGATAGTTAAGGTTAGGTGTCAACTTGATTGATTGGATTAAAATATACCTAGGCTGGGCGAGGTGGCTCACACCTGTAATCCCAGCAGTTTGGGAGGCCGAGGCAGATGGATCACGAGGTCAGGAGTTCAACACCAGCCTGGCCAAGATGGTGAACCCCCATCTGTACTAAAACTACAAAAATTAGCTGGGTGTGGTGGCAGGTGCTTGTAATCCCAGCTACTTGGGAGGCTGAGGCAGGAGAACCATTTGAACCCAGGTGGCAGAGGTTGCAGTGAGTTGAGATCACGCCACTGCACTTTAGCCAAGGCAACAGAGTGAGACTCCGTCTCAAAAAAAAAAAAAAAGATACCTAGATGGCTGGTTAAGTATTTGTCTGTGAGGGTGTTGCCAGAGGAGATTTACATTTTAAGTTGCTGGACTGGGAGAGGAAGACCCAACCTCAATGTGTGTGGACACCATCCAATCAGCTGCCAGTCCAGCTAGAACAAAAGCAGGTGGAAGAAGGTAAGATAACTTTTCTTGTTGATTCTTCTGGCTTCCTGCTTTTTCCTGGGCTGGATGCTTCCTCCTGCTCCTCCTGCCCTTGGACATCAGACTTCAGGTTCTTCAGCTTTTGGACTCTTGGACTTGCACTAGTGGTTTGCCAGGAGTTCTTGGGCCTTCAACCATAGACTGAAGGCTACACTGTTGGATTCTCTGGTTTTGAGGCTTTCAGACCCAGATTGAGCCACTACCAGCTTCTCTTCCCCAGCCTGCCTATCGTAGGACTTCGCTTTGTGATCAAGGAGTCAATTCTCCCTAATAAACTTCCCTTCGTATATACATATATCCTATCAGTTCTGTCCCTCTAGAGAACCCTGAGTAATATACACCAGTCATCAGCTGAATACCACCAACTTCTACCCAGTCAATAACTATGTGGAGCAAAAGGATCACCCAGCTGAGTCCTGCTTGTATTTCTGACATACAAAATCATAATATATTTAAAATATTTATGCAGTAAGTCACTAAGTTTTGGGGTAGTTCTTTACACAAGAAGAGATAACTGAACACTATCTATCTTTATTTAAACCAGGCTTTGTTTAGGATATAGTTATGCTATAATTAAACTTATTTTTAGGTTATTTTAGGTTTCCAAGCCTCATGATGAGATTAAGGTGTGTTCCTTGTGTGTTCCTTTCTGACAGCAGACAGGTCTGAATTTGTCCAAGTGCATTTGCATGAAAAACTGAGGCGATTCCTGGAAAGTGAAAGATTCTGAAGAAAAACTAGTTTTGCAGATAATCCTGACCCACTTTACTCATGAGGATGCATAGGCTTTTGTAAAACTGCTTGCTCTCTGCCTTTCTACTCAGCCTCACATGAATTAGTGCCTTATGTAGAAATGAGATCACCATGTGCTGGGAGTGAGCTGTGGGGAGGAAGAACACTATAATTAAAGCCTGAAGGAGTTATCTCAGTCAAATTTTCATAAGCTATCAATCACAAGCATCTTGTAAGTACCCCTTTTTGACAAAACATAGCTTTGGTTCCCCCAAACCTCAGCACATTAGAGGAATAGTGCCCAACAGGTCATGGCAATCTTTAAAGAGCGAGTATGACATGGTTTGGCTCTGTGTCCCCACCCAAATCTCATCTCGAACTGTAATCCCCACTTATCAAGGGAGGGACCTGGTGGAAGTTGATTGGATCATGGGGACAGTTTCCACCGTGCTGTTCTTGTGATAGTCAGTGAGTTCTCACAAGATCTAATGGTTTTAAAAGTGTTTGGTAGTTCCCTCCTTGTGCTCTGTTTCTCACCTTTTGCCATGTAAGACTTGCCTTGCTTCCCCTTCCCCTTCTGCCATGATTGTAAGTTTTCTACATGTAAGCCATGTGAAACTGTGACTCAATTAAATCTCTTTCATTTATAAATTACCCAGTCTTAGGTAGTATCATTATAGCAGTGTGAGAATGAACTAATACAGAGGGGTTATACCAGTCAGGAGTGGCAGAACTTAACAGAAGCCATGTCAATGCCCATTGACTCCACTGTGCCTGGCTTGCTAGAATCAGGGAGAAAGGGTCAGGAAAAGAGAAATCAAACAGGAGATCCATGTGTTCATCACAGGAGAGCATGAGTAACAATCTCCCAGGCACACTTGACTATTAGAAAAGTTTCAGGAAGCTGAGATTCTGCAGGTGGAGTGAGAACCGTCAAAATGTGCGTCTGCACTCTCTTAACCCAGCACCGTTTATCCAGCTCTCTAGATTCACTAACTTCCAACTTTCCCCCTGTAAAACAATTTGAATAATGCCTGTGGCATGACAAACATGCATCAGTAGGAAGCCAATCTCTGCCATGGCCACACAATTTGGCTGTGACCACATGAGTGATTATCAAGAATCAGTCATTCTCCTACAAAATATATCATATCTATTACTGCAAAAACAAATTTGTGTTAAATATGTAAACCAATAAAAATGTATGTGAAAATTGTTTCTCTGAAAAATACCTCAGTAAGCTTTCAATAAAGACTTTAAAGTCACTATAAAAGATACTGTCAATTTGGGCAAATGTGATAAAATTGTCAAAGATTAAAACAAAAATGTAGAAAAATTCTGCATTCAGATTCCTTCACAACTCTAAGTTCTTGTCACTTCTTAAAGAAATCAAATCTGGAACTTATATTCTAAGGGGAAAAAGTCTTGATATCTTTAGGGGATACTAAAGATAACCTTTGTCTTTCTTGCTTTGCTCTGATAGCCTTTGAGAATCAAATGGCATTCTATAAAGTGCTGTTCCATCTCCTTCTATAAACCTCATGTAGAGGGTAGATTTAGGCTAATATTCATTTGCACACACCCTCCTATAAAATAGGATAACTTTTTTTTTGACTGCTGTTGATTTAACTTATTTTTCTGAGTTTCTCCTTTTCTTGAATAATTCTTGATATTTAGATTTAGTATATGCTTTCTATATTTTTAAATTTTCATTGACTATTAACAAATAATTTTTGTGCTTGTCTAAGTTTGTCAGCTTACACAATCTCATTTGGAAAGTGAAAGACCGAATTGTCCATCCTTGTATAAAAACCTGGTTTCTTATGTTTGATGTGAATTTACTAAAAAAAAAAACTCCAGATATGAAAAGTGTGCATCGATTCTAACCCTTTGTTCTCAGTTAGTGTAAGTAAACTAGCTTCCATACAAATAAGCCCTTAAGTCTCGGTGATGTACACAATATGAGTCCATCTCTCATACCAAGTTTGGTTCTGAGTTTCTGGTTAGCATCATTTTGGAACCATAACTTTTCCCATCATGTGGTTCCAGTATTCCTTAAAGCCTGGGAATCCTCTCCTGGATTCTCTACATAAGCCCAGCAAACTAATGTAGAGAATAAGAATTGGAAATGGTGCAAACATTTTCAGTGGACCAGGCCTGAAAGAGAAACACATCAATTTTGTGCATATTGCATTAGATAGTATTCAGTTACTCGGCAACATCAAACTGCAAAGAAACTGCTGAGTCAAATAAATGCAGTCAAATAAATGCAGTCAAATAAATGGGATATGTAGTCTAACTGTGTTTTCTGGAGGAAGTTTGAATGAGCACATAGCAGCCTCTTTCTCATAAGTCCTCCACTACATATAATATTTCCAATACATAATGATAAACTTATTCTGTGTCTTAAAATGATATTTAGAAGTAAACATGAGGAATGCAGAGGAAAACTTTCTTCTTTTCAAATTGTATTGCCCTCCCTAACATAAAGAATCAAGAATTAAGCTAAACCTCTCCTGTAATGAGCTATAATGTATTATGAATTACTGCTACCAGTGAACAAGCTGCTTCATCATTATAATGTGCATTGTAAATTGCCTTCCATAGTGTTACACAGGTAGTTTTGTAATGTAGGTATTACTTCTATAAAAATAAAAGGAAACACTCAGAAAATATGAACTATTAGGGAAATAAGCCCTGAGTAGAGATGATTTTTAAAGCAAATTTGATTGTTATTGCCTATTTTCAATTGAAACAATGTAGTTGCTTGATTGACTTGAGTTTTTTAAACTAATGTTAAAAATGTTTTAATTGCACAAAGATAATTACAGGTTACAGAAACTTGATTTGTGTTCACTTTAGACTCTAGAAGTCTGTATAAAAACCAAATGTGATATGAGAATAATAGAATAATAATTTAATATGTGGAGAATATATTTCATGAAAGCTTACTCCAAAGAAAACCAAGCTAGAATTACATAAATTAGAGCTCTAAAAACATTCTTGTTAATTTATAATTTGGAAATGAAATAACCATATTTAACTTAGAAGAAATATTCAAAATGATTAATTTAACATGTTTCACCCAAAAATTCTTTAGATGTTGCATAGCATTCTTAAACTATAATCCAGATAAACTTTAAACTATGACAGAAAATATCTCAGTTGTGTATACCTAATGTTTTAAATTAATATCCAGAATAAATACATTGTATATTATATAGCATTAACGGACTCTCTTCTTATAAAACGCCACTTCTGCAGTCCCTTTAGGAGAAAGATAATCTGCTTGTCTTTCTGTCTTCTTTGAATGACCTCCTGAAAAAAAAGAAAATGATGCCTCCTTGGCCACATTTAAAAAATCATTTTCTAGTCAGCAGTGCTTAATTCTCCCCATCCATTTATTCATCCAAGCACAGGCCAAGAATATTCTGGCATATTTCAGAGCTAGAGGATTGAATGGGTGGTGTCTGATAGTTTGCTTTTTGGAACAGTTATCATTACTGGTGGAATAATGATTTATTTGACCAGAGTGTCTGAGGAACAAATTGGAGAAGCCTGGGAAGCCGAACTGAGTGCAAATAAAACAGTGTAGTAGATGAGATTTATGTTCAGCATTCTTGATCACTTCATTTTCATTAATTCTCCCTCCTTAAGTTCCTCACTGTGGAGCCCAGCTGGTATGTAACTTCAGGCAGTGCACTGCAATCTGAACCTTTATTTCTCTTCTTTCTTTCCTCTTGGATTCCATTTCCTCTAGCCCTCCTCATTAATCTGGATGACATGCATTGAATAATCAATTAATCTTTAGTAATATGTGAGAACACATCAGTGCCTTGATATATTACTCCTACATATCATTAGTATTTTCACACAGAACTATGGGACATGAAAAGCTTTAATTTCTCTCTTGGCAACTGATAAAGAATTCAGGCAGGCCACTCCCTGGCTTTCAAATCTGAACCATATCTGTAATATATATGTAGCCTTCTCCTTCAATAGTGAGCCATTAGTTTTATTTCCTCCTTAATATGTTATGAGATAATGGGTTTATATGAAGAGAATAATCTATTAGAGATTTGTGTAACTCCCATTATAAGAAGACTCTGATTGTTGTGTTATTTTAGACTACATTAACTCTATAAGATGTTGGTCTTAATCTCAAATGCCTACAGGAATTAGGTAAAATAATGGTGTGAATCTGGCAGTACATACACCCACCTAAAGAATTGAAATTCAACTGTCTTAAACTTTATGTGGGCTACATTAAATGTGTTTGCATCCTCTGCTTTAAAGCCTGTGATAACAAGACAATACCTCTGTGGTAAAAGACAGGAGGCTTCACAGGACAAAGTGATGTCTTGGGCTCTTCACTTTGGGATACAAGAATTGAGATCTCAAGAAAGGTCGAGGTTACTTTGTCTTTCTCGGTCTTGTTGATGGAGGAAAAGTCAAGCTATCTAATTGGCAATTTAGGGAGTAGACCTGATCACCAAACAGTAATATTCAATGTTTCTAAAAACATGTTCATGTGTAAAGTAAACGAATGGTGAGATTATGGGAATTTAACTTTTTTCCTCATAATTTAATCTTTCTTTCTTTCTTTCTTTCTTTTTTTTGACATAGTCTCATTCTGTTGCCAGGTTGAAGTTCAATGTTGCAATCACAGCTCACTACAGCCTCAACCTCCACAGCTCAAGCCATCCTCCCACTCCAGCCTCTTGAGTAGCTGGGAGTACAGGTGCGAGCCACCACGCCCAGCTAATTTTTGATGTTTTGTAGAGATGGGGTTTTGCCATGTTGCCCAGGTTGATCTCAAACTCCTGAGCTCAAGTAAACCACCCACCTCAACCTCCCCAAATGCTGAGATTATAGGCATGAGTCACCGTGCCTGGCCCAATCTATTTTAAGTGTAACACAATAAGCAAATGCTGCTTTTATAATAAGATAACAATGAAGTTTCTTTTCATTAAGATCAATATGCTTACAAGGCAATGTTTACACCAATATGTTTATAAGACTATGTCCAAGAGGCAGGCATTAGGATAGCGGCAACCACAGGGAGCCAGGCCAGGATGTGAGGAGGTCTCCTAAGAACTGTGGGTGCTTGCATCTCCAGAAAGGATGCAAAGCACAGCCCTCTGTACTAGTAGACTCAGAATCATGTACTATGCATGTCAAACTGTCTATATTGCTTACACATTCTGCATATTTGTCATTTCTTCACTGGTTGTTTTGAAGCTCCAGCCTGCCTAAGCTGGGTTAATGGAAATAAGAGAAAAAGCTTCTGTCCATATTTGAGCAGAAGGGTAGAGAGGAACAAACTCCTGGAAATCCACTGGGCGGGTAGAGTGTACATCTGAAAGTCAGCTGAGCCTGTTTATCCTTCCAAAGTCATGCTGGGAATTCAGGATTTACACCTGGGACGGGAGGACAGTCCCCATAATAGGTACAGAATAAGTCAGCTCATAAGTACAGAAATTGAGGGTGAAGTTTAGAAAACTTTTATGATGATTTGACATTAATATGACATAAAAGCACATAATTTTTTTCCTAAAAATTTATTTCCATTATAAGGTATTATTCTGTAATAGATTAGAGATTTTTTTAAAAGACTGGTCTTTTACCCTACATAATTTAAAACACACCATTATAGAAGGCTTTGAAAATGTATAATGGGTACAATTTTATTTTTCCACATATTAGGTCAGATTCACTCACTCAAACAAGGTCCTCCTTTAAAAAGTGCAGCATTTATTCTAAATTCGGGAATAATTTTTTATATTTTCAGAGTTAATGCTGATTGAAACCATAAAGCACACAGGTAAATTCTATACTCATCTCACAAACCATACCAAGAATAGCTATTATCAACAAATTATGACACCTTTTGCACTTTCAGCAATTCCCCTAATGAAACATATTATCTTTACTATGGTAGTTCTTTTAAGAATTCTGGTAACTACTTAGAAATGTTAACAAGATGATTCACAAGCAAAGGGTAGTACAAATTCTCCTATGCCTAAACAAGGATATATTTCTGAGTGTCTAAGATTTCCCCTGACAAAATACATTAAATAAAGAAAATCTTTGCTATTGTCTTTCCATTTCAACCACAAATTGGGATGACCCAGGAGCTTGGGCAAGGTTGCATGCTCAGAATTTTCGTTCATTTTAACCAAAATGAACATTATTATTCATTTGTTCAACAAATATTTATTGAGGGCCTATCATGTGCCAAGCATTCTTCTTACATGGAAAAAGAGGAGTAAACCAAACACACACAAATCACTATCCTCCTGGAAATGACACCCTAGCACGGAGTTTTCATTCTAAGGGAGCTGTTCTGGGGAGTGCACATCTCTGCTGCCTGTGCCCCTCCTTGTCCAACTCTTTCATAAACCCTCTTTGGTGCTCAGCCCATTTCTTGCAAAGCATAATAACATTGAACCATTATTTTTTATATACAAATTATGAGACGTACTGGGATCTAGTTCTGGGATTCTCTGTAAGAATTCATTCTAAGGTGACAAATCAATAAGATCATGAGAAGGCTGTTTATGTCTGCATGTGAGGATGTGGGAGACTCTTAAAATACCTAGAGAGATATGATTTTGGACAGAAGAGAACTGAGGTTCTGTGTCGTAAAAAGTGGTAGCTTCAAGTTAACAAATTTGAGAACTGACATTTTTCTAATATATTTGTCCCAAGGCTATGTGAAACCTTGGTTATACACTTAATGGCCCAACACCCCAATCAACTTTTCTATCATCAATTCCTCACCTTTAATGATTAATAATTTTGGTAACTAATAGAATGACTATTAATGATTAAATCACCCAAACCTTATAACACAAATTTTAACCCTTCTATTCCAGAGAAGACTTGGCCTAGGTGAAAGCTTAGCTCTGTAGGTAAGCAATTAAGAAGGCACGGTGTTAAAAAGGTATTGATGAAGGTGTCTGCAGATAGAAGGGACAACACACATTTGTTTATTCATGAGTAAGGAATTGCCCAGATATATCCTCATTTTAGTCTGCATCAAATCAAGTTTCCAGGGAGTCGCAGGAGAAGTTCTCTATTTTAGTTTTTAACGTGGCTACAATTATGAGGACATTAAATGTCTCATTATCTTCAAGGTAATATTAATAGCTTAATTTTCTGTTCAGTGTGAGTCCACGAATGTACATCCATGGCCTGCACTTAATATGTAGTTTTCATTATTGGAGACTTAACTATGGAAATGCTTCCCTGGATTGAAATGTATGCATAGAATGTAGACACATCAATTCATTTATTTACTAAAATTGCACAGACTATTTATAAATGTGTTTTTCAAAATGTTCTGTTTTGTGTAAGCATTCACTTAGCAGATTTATTCCATCTGGGCTTATGCATGACAAAGATTCTTTACAAGTTTACAGAATGATGGACTGAGCTATAGCTTCCAGAAAATATTTTTTAGTTAACAAGTGCAGGAAATCTTTAGGTCCCCATTGAACAGAAGATAATGTGGATAGTTCAACCATATATAAGACCTTCTCCTCCCACCCACCCCAACAGATACACACACACACACACACACACACAGACTATATTTATATAGACAGAGACAGAGACAGAGAGACAGACAGAGAGAACATGAACTCCAAAGTAAGGTAGAAAGAAATTTCACGAGCTTAAAAGGTCCCCTTTCTTTCATTAACATGCCCTTCCATCTTCATATACTGCCCTCTAATTGTCTTATAAGTGTAATACTGGAAGGACATAATCTGTGCCTGCAGAGTGCAATGGACTTGTATAAAGTGATATGGCTAGTCAGTCTCAGAACACAGGCTTCAACTCTCAATTCCAGAGCCTCCCATTAAACCACAGAGCAAGTTATTTAATAATTGCAAGACTTATTCTCTAACATTTAGTCCCTTGTTACTAGTTGAATTATTATGTTCTCAATGATAAGAAAGATTTAATTCTTTTCTTCAAGGGACCAATGGCTTGAACCTGCCTGTAGGGTTCTCCCAATTTGCACTGTGTGCTTCTGTCTATTCCACTCTTCCAATACTTACCACAGTTCAGTGATCTTATCTCTGTCCATTGTCATCTCTGACACTAAACTCCTGGAGGACAGGAACTGTGTTACTGTCATTCATTCATTTATTTGGCACATGTTATTGAAGCATCCTTGTCTTAGTCTGTTCAGGCTAACAAAATAACATACACTGGGTAGCTTATAAATAATAGAAATTGATTTCTCCCAGTTCTGGAGTCTGGAAGTCTAAGACCAAGACACTAGAAGATTCCGTGACTGGGGAGGCCTGTTTTACAATTCACTGATGGTGCTTTTGCTGTGTCCTGATGTGGCGGAAGTTGGGAGGGCAGATCTCTGGTTCCTCTTTTCTAAGGGTACTAACCTCATTCATGAGAGGACTGCCCTCATAAACTAATCAGCTCCCAAATGTCCCACCTCCAAATACCTTCACATTGGGTATTAGGTTTCAACATATGAATTTGAGTAGGGGGACATAAACATTCAGAACACAGCACTCCTAGTACTTGGCCTTGTGCCACGAAGTTAGAAACGACCACACTGAACAAAATAGACCTCATGGAACATGCAGTCTGACAAAAAAGACAGACATCAGAAAAACAATCACAGAAACAAATCTATAATTACAAAGCACTATAAGGAATCTGAAGGAAACATGAAGGGTGTAATTAGAGAGAATACCAGGGGATCTTATTCAGGTAGAAGGATAAATGATGGCTTCGTTAAAGACATGACATTTAATGTGAAACCTGAAAGAAGGAGAGGAGCTTTTCAGGAATAGACATAAACAAGAGTGATCCAGGCAGTGGGAGCATAAGTAGGGGAGATGATGTGAACTGAGGCCAGAGAGGTAGCAAAGACCTTGTACGGGCATGTCAAACATGCTGGATTTTAGCTAAGTGCCATTACAAGTATTGGCAGTTTTAAGTAAAGAAACAGTGGGGATAGAATGAATTTTTAGAAAGAACACCTGGTTGGTAGTGTGGAGATGGACTGGAAGGATCATCGAGAAACCAGGGAGAGCAACTAGGCAGCACTACAGTCCCCCGAAGGGCTCATAAACTTCGAGCTTGCCATGACATATAGACCTTTCTATCAAATATTAACTGGACTTTTTGGCTTCCATTGGGTGGAGAGACTCCTACCTCAAATATTTACTTTACTTTACTTTGGTTAGAAAGACCTTAAAAATGCTATCCCATCATATTCTTCTGGGAGCTTAAAATATGTTTCTTTCACTAGAGATTATCTAACTTGTAATGTTAATGTAACTCGATTAAATTCCATGCACAAAATATCTATCACATCAACTGGCCTATTATAAATGATCAAAAAAATCAACTCCCAGCTGGGCGCGGTGGCTCACGCCTGTAATCCCAGCACTTTGGGGGGCCAAGGCGGGCAGATCACGAGGTCAAGAGGTAGAAACCATCTTGGCCAACACGGTGAAACCCCATCTCTATTAAAAATACAAAAATTAGCTGGGCATGGTGGTGTGCACCTGTCCTAGCTACTCAGGAGACTGAGGCAGGAGAATTGCTTGAACCTGGGAGGCAGAGGTTGCAGTGAGCCGAGATTGTGGCACTGCACTCCAGCCTAGCGACAGAGCAAGACTCTGTCTCAAAATAAATAAATAAATAAATAATAGCTCCCTTGTGTTGCTCTTTTTGTGAACTTCTACACAACACAGCATCACATTGGTGACACTGACTTTACAACTTCCTTGTAAGAAACCCAACATAGTCTATTCTAAGTTTTGAGAATTTCACTACCGAATGAACGTTCCAAAGGACATCAAAGTTATACATCATTCATCTATACAACCAAGTGTACTACAGACATCAATAAAAATCATTAGACAATCATTATCCATGTGATTTTTGAAAAGGACAAAACCCTAGCGAACATTTTTCTGAATTGGCAGATACTCCACTGCACAGAGCTCAGAATCAGTAAGACAGAAGTGATAGATGAGTTAACAGGACCCAATATCAATAAATACTCTACCCACATGGATTTTATCCAAGGCAGTTCAAAAATTTTGAAGAGAAAAAATAGACCAATGGCAGAGATCCTGGAAAACTAAAATATTTTGGAAAAGTTTTGGAAGACCTATAATCAGAATAACTTCCAAAGAGAATAAAGTAGGTGAAATTAGGGAGACTGACCTAAAATTGTGAAGAAAAGCAGTATGGTTGACATACTGAATAAATTCTTGTTAAAATAAGAGGGTAGAAATTTTATAGATGATTACACATGTGAAGTATTAGAGATTTCAGTTGACTTACAAATTGATGCACTTATTGACTTATCTTGGATTATATGTCAGTTCTTCTGATATGCCAGAAATCCCTCACTTAATCCCTCCAAATCCACTCTCCACTCTCCACCCTTCCATCTTGTTCACTAACTAGGAAAGCTGACTTGCCTGGGTTACATCAATAGAATTGCATGGCCTCTTGCTTCCAGTTGGTTTGACCAGCAGAAAGCTGAGGGGAAGGAAATTGAGCACATTTGGGCAGCCTGTGTTCCTTGACAGAAGGTTATTTTTTCACTCTAGATGGCTGCTGTATAAGACATTCTCTCCTTCTGGGGTCTGGTAATGTCTTCTTCCCACTGTCCACTCAGTTCTAAGGTTGGTACAAGCTTGTTTCTGCTAGCTTCAGGTTTCTCCACTATCCCTTGTGTTTCACCACCACCAAACCCCACACCTCTTTGTAATTAGTCCCTTGTATAAATAAACTCTCCTTAGTTATTCTGAGTGTGATATCTGTTCCCTTTAAAGCCCTCCCTGATCTGTAATTCCTGATGGACTGTATTTCTAATAGACCTGTTTTTACTAGACCAAAACTTCACTTATTTACATATGAACCCTGTAGCCAGAGAAGTCTGAGCAATTGATCTTGGTTTTCATCCCACAGCACTGAGTTCAGAAATGGCCTTGAACCAGATCTGGCCAGACTGGGATGGGAAAAGGTAATAAATTAGGGCTGTGTTCCTGGCCTGTGTTCTGTACCAAAATGGGCTCTGTGTATTTTGTATTTTGTATAATACAGAGACGAATGAAGTGCACCAGGCCAGGATGAGGGGTCTCCAGCATGCAGCCAAACTAGCCTACCTACAAATGGCTCGAGACTTATGTATTGAAATTGAAACTGGAGGGAATAGCTGAGCTTCTAGAAGCTCTAATGTGAACTTCAGTGACTCATGTTATTACCTGAAATTGCATGACCCCAGTGAAGATTTTGAGATCTAGAAGCGTGTATATCTGCCCGTCCTAAAAAATGTTGCTGATCTTGCTATTGTGGATCGTAGCTGCTCTAGTTTCATTCTCCAGCCTTTGATTGTGTAAACTATGTCTAATATGCCCCTGAGTTTCTGAGTCTGCTCTCACCATCAAGCCAAACCTACTCTTGATATTTGTCAATACAGCAGTCATGCAGCTTACTATCTTCATGATTTATGCTTTATCTGCATATCATTTTTAAAATCAACTTTAGGCCAGGCACAGTGGCTCAAACATATAATCATAGCACTTTGGGAGGCTGAGGAGGGTGGATCATCTGAGCTCAGGAGTTCGAGACCAGCCTAGCCAATATGGTGAAACCCCATCTCTACTAAAAATACAAAACGTAGTTGGGCATGATGGTGTGTGCCCATAATCCCAGCTACTCGGGAGGCTGAGGCAGAAGAATGCTTGAACCCGGGAGGCAGAGGTTGCAGTAAGCCGGGAATGTGCCACTGCACTCCAGCCTGGGCAACAGAGCAAGACTCTGTCTCAAAAAAAAACAAAAATAATCCATTTTAAATCCACTTCTAATTTTAATATTACACTATGTAAAATATCAGTAAATTACAGACACAAGCCTCAAAGTCCATTCAAAAGAGGGAAATCTAAGAGGAGTGGGGCTCCTCCGCTTATGAAACTTGGACTGTCAGGTCATGAGCTCTTTCAGGGGAAGCAGAAACATTCTTCCCTCAAACATCAACTCTTCACCACTTAGACACTGAGAAAAGGAGAAAAAAAGTCATTGTTGAAAGTTAGAAACTAGCCTACTTCATCCTGAACCTATACCACCTAGGCAGACCAAAATAACCCAATTTGTAAATGTAATTCAGAGTGATTATGAGAGTATAATCCTCCCACATACTTAGCTGAAGCAAACACAATCCAGTCTAGTGATTCCTACTGGAATCATTTTAGGCCTCAGAGAATTTCTAGAAATAAACTGACAAGAAAAATAAGCATATCACAGGTGAAAATAATTACACATACAAAGAAATAAAGCCCCCTGAGGAAGAATAAGCAAAAACAACAAACAGAAGAGAAAGAAACACAGGAATTTCAGACACTAAAAATATTAGGACACTGATTATGACAACGTTATACTCACTGTGTTTAAAGAAATAAAAAACATAAGTGAAAATATACGCAGATAGCAAGAAACTATGGGAAATGGCCAAGCAGATTTTAAGAATAAAATAAACTTCTAGAAATAAAAATTGTAATGATTGAAATTATAAATGTGTGGATTTAATAGCAGTTTAGACATTTTATGAAAAGATAATATGTTACTTGGAAGACAGATCTGAGTTCTCCAGAATGCATCACAAAGAGGCAAAGAGAAACTATGAAAGAAAATAAGAGACATTCGGAAGTGAGTGAGAAGTCTAGCATATCGAGATATAGTTCCACGTGGAAAAGAGAGAACAAGTCAGAGATAATTATTTAATGATAATAATATATGAGATTATTCCAGAACTGATAAAAGACATAAACCTTCTGACAAAATACCTAACAAATGTCAAGAAACTTATACATAGACTTTATCATAATGAAACTTCAAACACCAAAGAAAAACTCTTAAGAACAGCCAGAGTTAAAAAGAATAAAAAACAAAAACCATATTATATCCAGGTGAACAATTTATGTTATTATTAATATAGTTATTAATATAATGTTAATAATGTCAATCTGGAATCATAAAACTAAATATCTTTTTAAAATGAAAGTGTACTAAAGATACTTTCAGACAAATCAACACTGTGAGAGTTTGTCACCTAAAGACTCCTAGTACAAGAAAGTTCTGAAGTATGTTTAGTAGAGAGAAAAAATTAATAAAATAAAATAAGCAATAGAGAACAATCAATCTAAAAGCAGTCCTTAATAATAACTTATAAAGTAAGTAAACCTCTGACAAGAGGGATCCGTGAAATAGAGAGAAAGCAAAACAATACATAGGGAAGTAACAATGCACAGAAAAGAGACATTAGCAAATAAACAAGAGGAGACCATGAATCATTGAAGCAAAAATTTTAAAACTTGAATGAAATGATCTATTTTCCTCCAAAATTATAACATAAGAAAATTGAAACAACTATTTGAGAAAACCTGAAAAGAGATGGAACTGGGGGTTTAAAATCTTTCAAACATAAATGAAGGAATCCCTACCAGGCCAGGTAGACAGGCACATTCAAGCTTATATTCAAGAAAAATGTAATCCTTCCACACTTACAGCTTCAGAGAATTAAAACACAGGAGGCCCGGCTCATGCCTGTGATCCTAGCACTTTGGGAGGCCAAGGAGTTTGAGACCAGCCTGGGCAACATAGCAAAACCCCATCTCTACTAAAAATACAAAAAAATTAGCCAGGCATGGTGGTGCATGCCTGTAGTCCCAGCTACTTGGGGGGCTGAGGTGAGAGGATCACTTGAGCCCAGTAAGTCAAGGCTGCAGTGAGCCAAGATGGCACCACTGCACTCCAGCCTGAGCGACCAAGTGAGACCCTGTCTCAAAAAACAAACAAGAAAAACAGGAAAACTCCCCAAATCTTTTTATGAGATGAAGATAACATCTCATATCAAACCAGACAAGGACAGTACAAGAACTGAAAAGTACAGACCAATCTTAATTAGGAATAAGACATAAAAAGCCCTAATAAAAATTAGCAAATCGATTCAGAGTACACCATGCAATATACCCTGACTAAATAACATCCATTTCTGTTATGCAAGCCTGATTTAATATCATAAAAGCTATAAGTATAATTCACTAATATAATAAAGGAGAAAAATTATATGATCATCTCAGTAAATATAGAAATAGCATTTGATAAAATACAGCACCTATTCAAAAATAAAACCTTTGACCTACTTAAAATAAGAGAGGAATTCCTTAACCTGAATTAAGGACTATATATCAAAAATTATATACCAAAACTTTAAAGTGCCAGATATTGTTCTAATTGTTCTGATTAGTTTATTCCTTATAACAACCCTGTAACATGAGCACTGTTACTGATCTTGTCTTATAAATAATGCAGTAACAGAAAAACTCAGTCCCTTGTCCAAGGTCACAATAGATTGTAATTGGAGGAGATGTGATTGAACCTGTGCAATAATTTAGAGTTTTCTCTCTGAACTACTATGCTAAGTTTTAAAAATACCACACTTTCTTTACTTTCTTTAAATAAATTTAAATTGCTCTCTGAGTCTTCAGATGGAAGGAAATTCCATTTCAGTCATTATTGAGGCACCAAATCAAATATTTGCAGTTAAACAGGTTGTGAACCAACTTGGCTGCACTCCTGGGTGGGTGCTTATGTGCAGTGGCTCTGAATTTTACTCCAAAATATCACATTAGTATGAACCTCTGAAAAATAGTATCTCCCCCAAGGGCCTCCTACTAACAGGTTGGAAAATTGTATTTTGATCATGTCTGTAGGGTCATCTTCTCCAGGCTTATGCAAGTATCTCAGAGGAACTATGTAGACCAGGACATTTGGGAAAAGCCCCCTTGTTCTCTAATTCCCCTTGGTCTCTAGTCCAAAAGGGTCACTGGGGATATGTTCATTATTAATCTTGCCTGGACCCTGAAGGTTAGAGGCTCTGGAGTTTCAATGTCAAGCGTGAGCCCAGGGGTTCATGTCAGGATGGTGATTGGCACTCAGCCTCAGAGGGCCATAACTCATCCAGTCTCCCAGAGGTCCTGACAGTCCCTGGGGTCCTGGGAGACAGCAAGGTGCAGAAACTCTCATATCTGCCCTATCCCCGTATCTGGCCCTGGGAAAAGCTCTCAAAACCTTCCTCCTCCCCAGTTTCACAAGTTCCAGGATGTCCTTCTCTGCTTAGACAATCTGATTCTATTGCTGCATGATTCTACCTTTAACAAAAACTCTCCATGGGTATGGTTCTTTCTTTGTCTGGCAACTTTTACTCCTGGCCCTGCCACAGAAAAGTCGTTATTAATTTCCTTCAGTAAGGAAAAAAGACTTGGCCACTAGTCTTGGAATGTAGAAGGGAAAATTACCTACAGCAAGAGAACAAAAAACAATATTTCAATAAATTATCCTAGCATATATATATATATATATATATATATATACACTTAAAAATAGTCCTGATAGTATATCCCAAAATGTTAATCATGTGTATCAAGGATGAGATTTTTAAATTACTTTTTTCTTGCTTTTATCTACATTTTTCAAGTTTTTTACAATGAATATAGATTTGCGAATTTTTTTAAGTTGATCTTTCATTTAAAAGGGTTCATTTGGTGTGTTTTATAAACTACTCCCAAGGTTAATTTTTTCTCTCCTTTAAGAATTCTATAAACACTTCACAGTTTCAAGTCAGTATACATCCCTATGGTGTGTATAAGACGTGATTTCAATGAATGGTGATTGCAGACACTAGGATCTATTTTAACTTAAATAAAATCTTTAAGAAAAAAATCTAAAAATACTGTTCAGTTCCTGGAAAAAAAGAGGAGGAAATGACCACCCACTCACTGAGAACTGGGAGAATGAAAGTCACATCCGTCAGGTCCCCATTCAAATGGACTCAAAACCACTTCAGTGTGTCCTGTCTCACCTCAATCACTGTTTTAGAGAAAAACATTTTTTTCACCATACAAAAAATTAGTGGAATTCAGAAACAATGAACATTTGTATTGTGGACATAGTACACTTTATATCACTTCCAGTGACATCAATGATAAGCCACAATTTGACTAGTGAGATTAAAATTTATTTCACAGCTATTCAACTCCAGCACATTTTGGGTTTTATAACCAGTTTTCCAAAGTTGATTATCCCTTCTGACACCGAAAGTTAGACAGTTTGAGTGTGTGTGTATGTGTGTGTACTTTGCAGAAAAGAAAAATAGACCACCCCAGAAGTTAGGATATTCCTAATACATTTTGGGGACACAAATAGTTTTTCCAGAAGTCACACAGTAAAAATCATAAGAGTAAGTGCTGGAATTTTCCATATTCTAATTTTTTTTTCTAGAAGAATAGAAAAGCAAGGCTCTTTTATGTTACATTCCTAAGAAAAATGTTGAATCAGCTGACTTCTGTACATAGCTTAGCAGTGAGGCACTAATTAGAACTCTCATACATTTTTAAGAAGGATGACTTATTAGCAGTGCATCCTTGATATTGACTTGAGTTGGTCAGAGTAACCAATTGCTTCTAACCTTGGTTTTTAATTGTAATTTACTGTTAATTTAACTTCAATACTATCTATTTAGTTTAAGTACTGTAATGATCCATGTTTGAATCAATGGTGTTTTTTGGCGGGAGTAAGGTGTTAGGACTATCGAATAAGTTGTATTTTAAAAATATGTGTATTGCGCATTTCAACTATTAATCATTCACATTCTATTGTTAAAGTAGATGTATTACTATTCACTATCTTCATTACCGCAGAATATATTGTGTTTAAATAATGACACTCACTATTATTAAAGTCCTTCCCAACTGTATAGCATGAATGAGTGGCTTTTTATTAGTGTAAAAAGCTTTCAGGGAAAGTTTGATTCCTACTACCGTCGTAATGGACTGAATATTTGCTTCTCCCAAAGTTTGTATGTTAAAATTCTAATTTCCATTATGATAGTATTAGGTGGTGGGGCCTTTGGGAGGTAACTGGGTCATGAGGGTGGAGCCCTCATGAATGGGATCAGAGGGTTCTCTAGCTTTGCTTCCCTTAAGTGAGGACACAGTGAGAAGTGAGTCACCTGCAGCCTGGAGAAATGCCCTCACCAGAACCCGACCATGCTGGCATCCTTATCTCAGTTCTCACACCTCCAGGACTGTGAGAAATACATTTTTGGTTTTCATAAGCCACTCAATATATGGTACTTTGTTACAGTGGCCAAAACTGACTAAGGCGACCCTATAATTTTAAATTTAGGAGAAATTAATTTAAATAAAGAGAAGGAGAAATCAACTACCACCCTCAAATAAATGATACCTTCCAAGCATCTTGGTTGTTTCGAAAGTGTAAAAATTAAAGCATTTTTTAAAAACCAACATGCTGTGTTTTCTCAAAAATATATTTAACTTTTAAACTTGATAATCAGTAAAATGGGAGAAAAAAATAAGACCTTTTCCTTCTCTCTTATGTTCACATCATTTCCATGCTTTTAAATTTATATTTGCTTAAAAATATTGAATTTTGTCACCCTTTTGTAATCTTTCTTCAAAACATTAGATTAGAACCAAAAAATAAGAAAGGAAACTTTTAGAAGACTGTGAAATTAGCATTGTAGAAGGAATCACAGTTATCGAGAAAGAAAGAAAGAAACAGCTACTTCAGGAGCAAATGAGAGCAGGGAATATTTAAGGCAAATTGTGATAGACTTCTATGGCCCTCAATAAAACACACCTTCAAGTATTCATTGCACTGTATGATACTGGGGCTGACCATGTGACTAGCTTTGGCCAATGGTACACAGCACCCATAAAGTAAGCTGCTGCATGAGAAGTGCTTGCACATTGCAACTTGCCTTTTTGAAATGTTCCCTCTTGGAACCCAATTCTAGGGATGCCCAAGAAGCCACACAGTGAGGCTCGGGTAGAGAGACCACTGGCCAACAACCCTAGCTAAGGTCCCAGCTGGGAGCCAGGGCCAGAAGCAATTGCCAGTCATGTGAACGAGACTATTTTGGACCTTCTAATTTTCCCCATGCTCCAGCTGATCCTATGAAAAGAAGAAGAACCTCCCAGTCATACCACAGAAATATGAGAAGAAATACATTGTTATTGTGTTAAGCCACTAACTTTTAGGATGGTTTGTTTCACAGCAATAGATACCTTTAACAAAATAAATGAGGCTCAGAGAATTTATGTAATTTCCCCAGAGTCACAAAGTAGGTAAATTATATGTAAATCAGGATTTGAAACAAGACCTCTGTAACTTGAAATTCATGGTCTTGCCTCAAGTTGCCACTGTTCATATTTAAATAAAGAAAAATGAAGAGTCACATATTTTTCTCAATAGGAAAGACCATATAGCTCCATTTTATAGGAAGCAGGAGGATATACAAATGTCTTTATCTTATCCCTGGGGTCAGAGACCCCTCCTGGATCCCATCTCAGAGCTCTGTAGAAAAATCACTCCAGATAGGCTCTGACATGCCCTCTAAATAAGCAGTATGCTCTGGGTGGCAACACTTAATTCATACCTGCTATATTAAACAGATGGGAACCGAGACCCAAACAGGTGTTTGACACATTTCGCAACTACAAAAAAAAAAAAGTCAGCTATTTTTGAGAAATTAAAGATTAAAATTACATTGTCTTTTACAGAAAGATTTAGTGCTCACATCATTAAAAATTTGAGTTTAATAGACCCAAACTTCTTTATTCACACTTAACTTTGAAGGAGAATTAGGGGAATGCATGTTCAGACTGTATGGCCCATGGGCAAATCTTATTCAGTGCAATATAAATTGAATGGTCTTCCACAGAAAAGAAAGTGCATTTGTGACCAAAAAAATGTTCATTAAGTATATGCGAGACGCAAATTAAAATGACAATGAGCTACAACAAGACGTCCACCGAAACAGGTAAAGTTAAAAACACTAAATGTTGATCAATATATTATGCAACTGGAATTCACACATTATTTGTGGGAGTGAAAAATCATACAACCACTTTGGGAAAAGATTTGGAAATTTCTTATAGAAACACACCTAAACCTATGATCCAACAATTCCACGCTTGGGTATTTACAGTAGAGTAATAAAAATGTATGTTTACAAAAGAAATTGTACAAGAATAGTGATAGAAACTTTATCCAAAAAAATTTGATTTTTTCACCCTTTTAAAAACATTATTCAAAACATTAGATCAAGACCAAAAAAATAAGAAAGAAAACTTTTAGAAGACCATATAAAATTCATAATAGGCAGAAACTGGAAACAGCCTAAGTTTCTGTCACTAGGAGAATAAGCACAGGGTGTAATATTCATAAGGTGGAACAGTGCTGTGGAGGTCATGAATAGGCTCCATTCAGACTTCCTGCTGAGGGGAGCAAAGCCCACCAGAGCCCCAACTATTGCCCTTTAGCTCCACCCTTACAAATATTATGGCTCCTCCTTATGGATGACTAAGCTGGCAACGTAATAATGAAGACTTTGGGACTCCTTTAACAGGCAACTCTGGGTGGAGAACTCTGCATTGGCCTGCCTAGGACTTTCTCTGAGCTGCTCTGGAGTCCGTGGCTCTTCCTACACAGTCCTCCGCTGTCCCCTTCTCTTTCACAGGTGTCAGACCAACACAGCAGTCTGAAGGCTCTCCCTACCTACTCCAACTCCCTTCCCTTTATCCTTCATGGGCATTTCCCTCAACAATTTCTTACACATCTAATCCTGTCCTTTTATCTTCTTCTCAAGTTACCCAGGCTAAGAAAATTATTCAGTGATAAAAAAGAAATGAGGAACACGATGAATGAATAAAAAAATCATTATGCAGATTGAAAAAATAGAGACTCAAAGAAATAAATGTGATATTGTTACAGTAGGTAGTTAGGCAGACATGAGCAGGGCAGGAGAGGGCCCCCCAACCCCACCAAACCAGGAATGTCAGGCAACCATCAGGTGATGGTCAGGAGGTTGTTAAACTGTCGCTCTAAAATAGTAATTGGTTGCAGCTGGTGCCAGGGAAAGGCTGTCTCCAACAGACAGAAAACAGCTGAAACTGGTGATCAGCAGTTTCCTAAAAAGATCTCAGGAGTTGGGCGAGTGGGCTCAAGCATGAGCATTAAGAGGCAAAATGGTGGAGTTTAACTGGCCTATGACCTTCCTCCAAAACACTCGACTGGTAAGGGAAGAACACCTCAAGTGACCATGTGTACAACTTCAGTAAACACACTGTGCATGCATCCCCTCCCAAGTGTTAGTGGGCCCCTGTGCATGTGGACAGCCCACCCCAAGGGAAGAATCAGAGGAGAAGGGATACAACACCCCGAAACCATGCTAACATATAAAATCCCAGTCAAAGTTCAAACCACACACTTGAATCTCTCAAGTCGCTCACTTGGTCTTCTTCCAAGTTTACTTTACTTCCTTTCATTCCTGCTCTAAAACATTTTAATAAACTTTCTCTCCTGCTCTAAAACTTGCCTCAGTCTCTCACTCTGCCATATGCCCCCTCAGTCAAATTCTTTCTTCTGAGGCAGCAAGAATTAAGGTTGCTGCAGACCCAGGCAGATTTGCTACAGCTAACAATATGATTCCATATATGTGAATTTCTAGCAGGTCAAACTAATCTATGTTGAGAAAAAATCTGAAGAATGGTTGTCTCAAGAGGTTAGGAATAAGCATTGACTGGGAAGAAACATGATAGAACATTCTATGGTTATGATAATATTCTATATCTTGATAGAGGTTTGGATTGCACAAAACTCATCTAATGTTAGGCTTAAAATTTGCATATTTTGTCACGTGAAAACTTTGCCCTAAAACAAGAACTGTAAATTAATACTGAACTCTAGTTATATACATGCTGAAATGTCTGGAGAAAAGTATACTGATTTCTGAAACTTACTTTTAGATTCATCAAAAATGCAAGGATGACTAGATGGACAGATCTGTCATAGTAAAAGTATAGTAAAATGTTCAGATAGACTCTAAGGGAGAATACATGGGTGTTTACTGTAACATTATTTGAAATTTTCTGTATGGCTAAAAAGTTTCTTAACAAATCCCAGAACACTGCAGATAAGAAAATCAAATGCATCTCAAGCACTCAGATGCAAAAAAAGACAAAGAAATTTAATGGTGAAGAGGTAGAGCAGGATAACTGAATAGAACCCTCCAGCTATTGTCACCTCTGCAGGAAAACCAAATTGAACAACTATCCCCCAAAGAAAGGACTTTCATATGAACCAAATACCAGATGAGCAACCGCAATACCTGATTTTAACATCATAGCAAGGAAAGAGGCACTGAAGAGGTTAGGAAAGACAGTCTTAAAAGGCCAACACCATGCTACCCCTGTCCCCCGCAGCAGCTGCATGGCAGAGAGAGAGAATCTGTGTGCTTGGAGGGAAGAACAGCACAGTGACTGTGGGACACTGTATTGGAACTCAGTGCCACCTGTCTCAGTGGAAAGCAACACAAGGTGGAATCTGGCTGGCACCCACAGAGGACGCACTAAGACCAGCCCTAGCCAGATGGGAATCATCCATCCTAGAAGTCAGAAACTGAGTTCTGGTTAGCCCCACTAAAGGCTAAAGTACTCTAGGGTCCTAAATAAACTTGAAAGGTGGTCTAGGCCACAAGCATTGCAATTCCTGGGCAAGTCCTGATGCTGTGATGAGCTTGGAACCAGTGGACTTGAGCTGCATGCAACCTAGTGATATACCAGCTGGGAGAGCGAAGAAAGTACTTGTGTCACCCTTCCCCCAACCCCAGGCAGCACAGCTTACAGCTCTGGGAGAGATTCCTTCCCTCTGCCTGAGAAAATGAGAGGGAAGAGTAAAGAGGGCTTTACTCTTATAGACATACCTCTATAAGTCTGCAGTAGTCATAGCATTACTGGGCCTGAGGTGATCCTTAATGCAGATACAGCTACACTGACCAAAACTGAGATCACAACACTCAATACCCTTTGAATAGTTGGAAAGCCTTTCCAAGAAGGATGGATACAAACAAGCCCAGACTGCAAAGACTGCAACAAATACTTAACTTTTCAATGCCCAGACATTGACAAACATCCATAAGCATCAAGAACATCCAGGAAAACATGACTTCACAAACAAACTAAATAAGGCACCAGAAACCAATCCCAGAGTGACAGAGATATGTGACCTTTCAGACAGAGAATTCAAAATAGCTGATTTGAGGAAGCTCAGTGAAATCCAAGATAACACAGAGAGGAATTCAGAATCTTATCAGATAAATTTAACAAAGAGATTGAAATAATTAAAAAGAATTAAGCAGAAATTCTGGAGATGAAAAATACAATGGACATACTGAAGAATGCATTAGAGTCTCTAACCAGCAGAATTTATCAGGTGAAAGAAAGAAGCAGTAATCTTAAGACAGGCTATTTGAAAATATACCGTCATAGGAGAGAAAATAATAATAATTTAAAAAGTATACCTACAGGATCTAGAAAATAGCCTCAAAAGCGGAAATCTAGGAATTATTGGCCTTAAGGAGGAGGTAGAGAGAGAGATGGGGGTAGAAAGTTTATTCAAAGGGATAATAACAGAGAACTCCCTGTACCTAAAGAAATATATCAATATTTAAGTACAAGAAAGTTATAAAACACCAAGCATATTTAACTCGAATAGGGGACTACTTCAAGACACTTAATAATCAGGCTCCCAAAGGTCAAGGATAAAGAAAGGATCCTGGAAGTATCAAGAGTAAAGAAATAAATAACATACAATGGAGATCCAATACATCTGGCAGCAGACGTTTCAGGGGAAACCTATGTGCCAGGAGAGAGTGGACATGACATATTTAAAGTGTTGAAGTGCATACACTCTCCCAAGACTAAACCAGGAAGAAGTTGAATCTCTGAATAGACCAATAACAGGAGCTGAAATTGTGGCAATAATCAATAGCTTACCAACCAAAAAGAGTCCAGGACTAGATGGATTCACAGCCGAATTCTACCAGAGGTACAAGGAGGAACTGGTACCATTCCTTCTGAAACTATTCCAATCAATAGAAAAAGAGGGAATCCTCCCTAACTCATTTTATGAGGCCAGCATCATTCTGATACCAAAGCCAGGCAGAGACACAACCAAAAAAGAGAATTTTAGACCAATATCCTTGATGAACATTGACGCAAAAATCCTCAATAAAATACTGGCAAACCGAATCCAGCAGCACATCAAAAAGCTTATCCACCATGATCAAGTAGGCTTCATCCCTGGGATGCAAGGCTGGTTCAATATACGCAAATCAATAAATGTAATCCAGCATATAAACAGAGCCAAAGACAAAAACCACATGATTATCTCAATAGATGCAGAAAAAGCCTTTGACAAAATTCAACAACCCTTCATGCTAAAAACTCTCAATAAATTAGGTATTGATGGGACTTATCTCAAAATAATAAGAGCTATCTATGACAAACCCACAGCCAATATCATACTGAATGGGCAAAAACTGGAAGCATTCCCTTTGAAAACTGGCACAAGACAGGGATGCCCTCTCTCACCACTCCTATTCAACATAGTGTTGGAAGTTCTGGCCAGGGCAATCAGGCAGGAGAAGGAAATAAAGGGCATTCAATTAGGAAAAGAGGAAGTCAAATTGTCCCTGTTTGCAGACGACATGATTGTATATCTAGAAAACCCCATTGTCTCAGCCCAAAATGTACTTAAGCTGATAAGCAACTTCAGCAAAGTCTCAGGATACAAAATCAATGTACAAAAATCACAAGCATTCTTATACACCAATAACAGACAAACAGAGAGCCAAATCATGAGTAAACTCCCATTCACAATTGCTTCAAAGAGAATAAAATACCTAGGAATCCAACCTACAAGGGATGTGAATGACCTCTTCAAGGAGAACTACAAACCACTGTTCAATGAAATAAAAGAGGATACAAACAAATGGAAAAACATTCCATGCTCATGAGTAGGAAGAATCAATATTGTGAAAATGGCCATACTGCCCAAGGTAATTTACAGATTCAATGCCATCCCCATGAAGCTACCAATGCCTTTCTTCACAGAATTGGAAAAAACTACTTTAAAGTTCATATGGAACCAAAAAAGAGCCCGCATCACCAAGGCAATCCTGAGCCAAAAGAACAAAGCTGGAGGCATCACACTACCTGACTTCAAACTATACTACAAAGCTACAGTAACCAAAACAGCATGGTACTGGTACCAAAACAGAGATATAGATCAATGGAACAGAACAGAGCCCTCAGAAACAACGCCGCATATCTACAACTATCTGATCTTTGACAAACCTGAGAAAAGCAAGCAATGGGGAAAGGATTCCCTATTTAATAAATGGTGCTGGGAAAACTGGCTAGCCATATGTAGAAAGCTGAAACTGGATCCCTTCCCTACACCTTATACAAAAATCAATTCAAGATTGATTAAAGACTTAAACGTTAGACCTAAAACCATAAAAAACCCTAGAAGAAAACCTAGGCATTACCATTCAGGACATAGGCATGGGCAAGGACTTCATGTCCAAAACACCAAAAGCAATGGGAACAAAAGACAAAATTGACAAATGGGATCTAATTAAACTAAAGAGCTTCTGCACAGCAAAAGAAACTACCATCAGAGTGAACAGGCAGCCTACAAAATGGGAGAAAATTTTCGCAACCTACTCATCTGACAAAGGGCTAATATCCAGAATCTACAATGAACTCAAACAAATTTACAAGAAAAAAACAAACAACCCCATCAAAAAGTGGGTGAAGGACATGAACAGACACTTCTCAAAAGAAGACATTTATGCAGCCAAAAAACACATGAAAAAATGCTCATCATCACTGGCCATCAGAGAAATGCAAATCAAAACCACAATGAGATACCATCTCACACCAGTTAGAATGGCAATCATTAAAAAGTCAGGAAACAACAGGTGCTGGAGAGGATGTGGAGAAATAGGAACACTTTTACACTGTTGGTGGGACTGTAAACTAGTTCAACCATTGTGGAAGTCAGTGTGGCGATTCCTCAAGGATCTAGAACTAGAAATACCATTTGACCCAGCCATCCCATTACTGGGTATATACCCAAAGGATTATAAATCATGCTGCTATAAAGACACATGCACACGTATGTTTATTGCGGCATTATTCACAATAGCAAAGACTTGGAACCAACCCAAATGTCCAACAATGATAGACTGGATTAAGAAAATGTGGTACATATACACCATGGAATACTATGCAGCCATAACAAATCATGAGTTCATGTCCTTTGTAGGGACATGGATGAAATTGGAAATCATCATTCTCAGTAAACTATCGCAAGAACAAAAAACCAAACACCGCATATTCTCACTCATAGGTGGGAATTGAACAATGAGATCACATGGACACAGGAAGGGGAATATCACACTCTGGGGACTGTGGTGGGTTGGGGGGAGGGGGGAGGGGGAGGGGGGGAGGGATAGCATTGGGAGATATACCTAATGCTAGATGACGAGTTAGTGGGTGCAGCGCACCAGCATGGCACATGTATACATATGTAACTAACCTGCACAATGTGCACATGTACCCTAAAACTTAAAGTATAATAAAAAAAAATAAAGTGTTGAAGTGGACATGACATATTTAAAGTGCTGAATATGACATGACATATTCTATATTACCTAGAATAGTATATCTGACAAAAATATTCTTCATACAGGAAGAAGAAATAAAGACGGTCCCAGACAAACAAATGCTGAGGGATTTCATAAACACCAGAACTGCCCTATAGCAAATGCTAAATAGACTGCTTCAATCTGAAAGAAAAGGATATTAATGAGCAACAAGAAATCATCTGAAGGTACAAAACTCACTGATAAAGTAAATACACAGAAAAACACAATATTATAACACTGTAATTGTGGTGTCTAAACTACTCATATGTTCAGTAGAAAAACTAAAAGATGAACTGATCAAAAATAGTAACTACAATAACTTTTTGTAGACATAGCACAATAAGACAGAAATAGAAACAAAATTGGAAGGAAAAAAGTACTTTTTATTAGTTTTGACTTTGCTTATTACTTAGCTAGTTTGTTTATGAAATAAGTGTTAAGTTCTCATCAGCTTAAAATAATGGCTTATAAGGTATTATTTGCAAGCTTTATGGTAATCTCAAATTTAAAAAACATACAATGAACTCACAAAAAGTAAAAAATTAAAACATACCACCTGGGAAAAATCACCCTCCTAAAAGAAAGACATGGAGGAAGGAAAGAAGTATGAGCAGACTACAAAACATCTAGAAAACAAATGACAAAATGACAGCAATAAGCCCTTACTTATCAATACTAACATTGAATGTAAATAGACTAAACTCTCCAATCAAAAGACATAGAATGGCTGAATGGATTAAAACAAAAGAGTAAATGATTCGTGGCCTACAAAAAACACACTTCACCTTTAAAGACACATATAGATTGAAAATAAAGGGATGGAAAAAGATATTCATGCCAACAGAAACCAAAAAAGAAAAGGAGTAGCTATACTTGTATCAGACAAAATAGATTTCAAGACAAAAACTATAAGAAGAGACAGAGAAGGTCACTATATAATTACAAAGGGGTCAATTCGGCAAGAGGATAACAATATATATATTGTAAATATATATGCACCCAAAACCGGAGCACCCAGATACATAAAACAAATATTATTGGAGCTAAAGAGAGGGATAAGCCCCAACGTGATAGCTACAGACTTCAACACCCCGCTTTCAGCATTGGACAGATCTTCCAGACAGAAAGTTAAAAAAGAAACGGAGGACTTAACCTGCACTATAGACCAAATGGAACTAATACATACTTACACAACATTTCATATACCTTCTCCTCACTACATGGATTACTCTCAAGGATAAACCATATACTAGGCCACAAATAACTCTTAAAAATTCAAAAAAGTGAAATTATGTCAAGTATCTTCTCTGACTACAATGGAATAAACCTAGAAATCAATGAGGAATTTTAGAAACTATACAAACACATGGAAATTAAACAGTATGCTCCTGAATGGCCAGTGGGTCAATAAAGAGATTTAGAAGGAAATTTTAAAATTCCTTGAAACAAATGAAAATGGAAATACAGCATACCAAAACCTGTGGGATACAAGGAAAGCAGTACCAAGAGGAAAGTTTATAGCAATAAGTGCCATCATCAAAAAAGTAGAAAAACTTTAAATAGACAATCTAATGATACATTTTAAAGAACTAGAAAAGCAGGAGTAAACCAAACCTTAACTTAGAAGACAATAATAGTAAAGACCAGGCAGACGTAAATAAAACTGAAATGAAAAAAAAATACAAAGATAAATGAAACAAACAGTTTGTTTTTTGAAAGACAAACAAAATTGACAAACAAGAAAAAGAAGACCCAAATAAATGAAATCAGAGATGAAAAATGAGTCATTACAGCTGATACCACAGAAATTCAAAAGCTCATTAGAGACTACTGTGAGCAACTATATACCAATAAGTTGAAAAATCTAGAAGAAACTAACAAATTCCTAGATACATACAACCTACCAAGATTGAACCAGCAAGAAATCCAAAGCCTGAACAGGCTAATAACAAGTAACAAGATTGAAGCCATAATAAAAAGTCTTCCAGTAAAGAAAATGCCAGGACCTGATGGTTTCACTGCTGAATTTTACCAAACATTTAAAGAAGACTTAATACCAATTATACTCAAACTAGCCTAAAAAGTAGAGGAGGTAATACTTCCGGGCTCATTCTACAAGGCTAGTATTACCCTGATACAAAAACCAGACAAAGACACATCAAAAAAGGAAAACTACAGGCCAATATCACTGATTAAAACTGGTGCAAAAATCCTCAACAAAATACTAGCAAACTGAATTTAACAATACATTATAAAGGTCATACAACATGACCAATTGAGATTTATCCCAGGGATGCAAGAAGGATTCAACATATGCAAATTAGCCAGTGTGATACATCATATCAATGGACTCTAGTACAAAAACCATGTGATCATTTCTTGAGTAATACCATAAAAGCACAAGCAACCAAAGCAAAAATGGACAAATAGGATCACATCAAGTTAAAAAGCTCCCACACACCAAAGAAAACAATCAACAAAGTGAAGACACAACCCACAGAACGGGAGAAAATACTTGCAAAGTATCCATCCGACAAGGGATTAATAACCAGAATATATAAGGAGCTCAAACAATGCTACAGAAAAAAAATCTAATAATTCGATTTAAAAATGGCCAAAAGATCTGAATAGACATTCCACAAAAGAAGACACACAAATGGCAAAGAATTATATGAAAAGATGCTCAACATCACTGATATTAGAGAAATATAAATCAAAACTAAAATGAGATATCATTTTACCCCAGTTAAAATGGCTTGTATCCAAAAGATGGGCAATAACAAATGCTGGAGAGGATGTAGAGAAAAGGGAACCCTCTTACGTTGTTGGTGGGAATGTCAATTAGTACAACCACTATGGAGAACAGTATGGTTCCTCAAAAAACTAAAAATAGAACTACCATATGATCCAGCAATCCCACTGCTAGGTATATACCTAAAAGAAAGAAAATCAGTATATTGAAGAGATATCTGCACTCCTATGTTTATTGCAGCGCTATTCACAATAGCCAAGATTTGGAAGCAACCTAAGTGTCATCAACAGACAAATGAATAAAGAAAACGTGGTACATATACAAAATGGAGTACTATTCAGCCATAAAAAGAATGAGGTCCTGTCATCTGCACCAACATGGATAGAACTGGAACACATTTTCTTAAGTGAAATATCCAGGCACAGAAAGAAAAATTTTGTATGTTCTCACTCATTTGTGGGTGAAGAAAATTAAAACAATTGAACTTATGGAGTTAGAGAGTAGAATCGTGGTTACCTGTGGCTGGAAATCATAGTGAGTGGGGCTGGGGGGAAGTGGGGTGGTTGAGTGGGGCTGGGGGGAAGTGGGGTGGTTAACGGGTACAAAAAATAAGGCCTACTATTTGGTAGCACAACAGGGGGATTACAGTCAACAAAAATTTATTGTATATTTTTAAATAACTAAAAGAATATAACTGGAATATTCATAACACAAAAAATTAAAATATTTGTGTTGATGGATACACTATTTACCCTGAATTGATTATGACACATTGTATGCCTTTATCAAAATATCTCATGCACCCCATAAATATGTACACCTACTCTACACCCATAAAAAACAAATTTTTTTTTCAAAAAAGTTAATGGCATCAGACTAGAAGCTAAAGCATGATGTAAAAATAAAGTAAAGGCATTTTCAGACATTAAGGGTCTTGCCTATTATAGGTAATCTTTTCTCAGTAGGATGTGCTCCACAAAAACAAAAAATCTAAACTAAGAAATAGAAGGATATGGCATCCAGGAAAAAGAGATTCAATATAGCAGCAAGGCAAGGAAAATTCCCAGTTTCAATGTGACCAGAAACCTTAGGATGATAGTTATGTAGTAGGTTGAGATAATAAATATTGCAGGAGGACTTGGAGCTTAAAAAAAGATGACGAAAAAAAAAGAGACTGATAGATTATTATCTGCTGTGCTTGATTTATGACTTTATTTTAAAGAGTTTCATAGATCAGTAGAAGAATTTGGTGATTGTTAGCAATAAGTACCTGTATTTATAAGATAAGCAAACATGTAAAAAGAATTCATTATAAACTCCAAAAAAAACAAAAAGCTTCATAAGATGTAGAAGGTCACTATATTACAAACTCTGCTGTTGACAATATTAACATACTCAAAAGAATGTGGACACTCAATATTAATTTAACCAAAAATTACATGATAACTATACTGAAAGTGATGAGAGATGGAAATTGTAGGCACTGGTGGCGATTGCTGTTAAAAAAAAAAAAAAACTAACTACTTATCTTCAGTAACTGGAAATCAATGGATAATGTCTAAAATTTAAAAACCAAGAAAGCAGAAAAAGCAAGTTTTCAGAAATACAGCATAAGAAAGAGTTAAGAATTGAAAGTCATCATCTCTGAGAGCAAAAATTAAGGGTAGATATGTATGAAGGGGGCTGCAGTTTGTTGTCATATGCCTTGTTGTCTTACTTTGCTTCTAAAAGTGTATACATGCATTCACTCTGATTAAAATTATAATTTAATTTAATTTTTTCTATCTGGTGCAACTATAGGTATACTCAGGATTTATTTCTCCATACCGCATTCATTGAAATGTCAGACATTCCTTGGTGTGTCAAAAAGGAAGGAATGCGGAGACTAGAAAATGGAAGACCACAATGGATTTACCATATGCAAACTGTCTAACCCACTCTCTACATTCCCTAGGGGGAGTCCAGAATTCACTTCCTTCACTGAAGTTTGTGATACACATTAGTGAGAATAACACCAGCAACTTAGAAAGGTATCTTAGCATTAGGAATGCTAATGATAGGAACTCCCCAATGGGTCATGGGGATGATTCAATCAGATGTCCATCATATGGCATTTAATCAACAGAGGGAGAGGAGGCATAGTTATCATAGTGATCAGAATGTTCTAACCTAGATATTTTTGACAATGTTTAATCAACCATGCAGTCTAAGATGTTGAAATAAAATCTTGTATATTTGAAAAAACTTTGGATCTGGTAAATACCACCAAAATACATATAAAATTCTTGACCTCTTACCCAAGTCCTAGAACAAAGTCATTTTAAAAAGTTTTACTGATATGTAATAATTGTCTGTATGTATGGGGTACATGTGATATTTTGATATATGCATATAATGTATAATGATCAAATCAGGGTATCTAGAATATCAATCACCTCAAACATTTACTTTTTCTTTGTATTGATAACACTTGAAATCTTCTCTTCTAGCTATTATGAAATATTCCACACGTTATAGTTAACTATTGTCACCCTACTGTTCTATCAAACAATAGTACTTAGCCCTTCTGTGTTTGTACTCATTAACCAGCCTCTTTTCATTCTCTTCCACTCCTGACCTTTCCTAGCTTCTAGTAATTATCATTCTAGTCTCTATCTCAAAAGAGGACACACAAATGGTTTACGGGTATATTTCAAAAGGCTCAACATAACCAATCAGGGAAATGTAAATCAAAAACTACAATGAGATTGTTTCACCCCAGTTAAATGGCTATTTACAAAAGACAAAAAAAAAAACAAAAAAAAAAACAAAAAAAAACAAATGCTAGCTATGATACAGAGAAAAGGGAACTCATACACTGTTGGTGGAAATGTAAATTAATATAGCCATTATAGAGAACAGTGTGGAGGTTTCTCAAAAAATTAAAAATAGAATTACCATATGATCCAGCAATCCCACTGCTAAGTAGATACCCAAAAGAAAGGAAATCAGCATATCAAAGATATATCTGCACTCCCATGTTTATTGCAGCACTATTCACAATAGCCAAGGTATAAAATCAATCTAAGTGTTCATCAGTGGACAAATAGATGAAGAAAAGGTGGTATATATACACAGTGAAATAGTATTCAGCCATAAAAAGAAAGAGATCCTGTCATCTGCAGCAATGTGGATAGAACTGGAGGTCATTATGTTAAGTGAAATAAGCCAGGCACAGAAAAACAAATATTGCATGTCTCACTCGTATGTAGCAGATAAACATGTTGCACAAAGTCATTTTAAAGATCCAAGAGGCTCCTTCAATGAAGAAAAGCCTAATGACCACAAAGGACAATAAAATCACTGGTGTAGAGAAGAGATGCATTGCATAGAGACAAGAGCTTTTATTTTGCAGTCAGAATACTGGATTCAAAGTCTGGCTGTAACATTTACTAGCTGTGTGACTTTTGGCATTTACTAAGTTAATTGTGTTATAAAGAAAGAAAAATATCAAACATTTAGAGAAAAGATAAGACACAATCTGTGAGGCAACACTAATTCCTAAGAACGCAGGATTCGAGTGCTCTCCAGCATTATCCCCAGAATGAACTCTAGTGGGCATTTTGTCCACTTCAAGGGAAACCAAGTATTGGCACACTACACAACATTTCTCCCAGCCAAAGAATTCACTTTACTTTAGAAATAGCCAGTCTTATCATAGGACCCTCATCTAGAGTCAATCATCTTATAAAAGCGTAAAATGTGCTGGGCGCGGCGGCTCATGCCTGTAATCCCAGCACTTTGGGAGGCCGAGGCTGGCAGATCACGAGGTCAGGAGATCGAGACCATCCTGGCTAACACGGTGAAACCCCATCTCTACTAAAAATACAAAAAATTAGCTGGGCATGGTGGCACACACCAGTAGTCCCAGCTATTCGGAAGGCTGAGACAGGAGAATCACTTGAACCCAGGAGGCGGAGGTTGCAGTGAGCTGAGATCATGCCACTGCACTCCAGCCTAGGCGACAGAGTGAGACACGGTCTCAAAAAAAAAAAAAAAAAAAGAAAGAAAGAAAGAAAAAAGGGTAAAATGCACTACTGAAGATGGATTTAAGTCCTAATGTACAATAGATACTTTGAAAATTCAGGGCCTGGTTCTGTAGATGTAGTAATTGTTCTTTAACCAGCAAACAGTAAACAATTCTGTTTTTCCCAAAACCAAATTATATTAGTTGAGGAACAAAGGACTAGAAATATGGTGCTATTCACTTAATTATCTATGGTGCTATATTAAACATGGTGCTATTACCTAATTGCTAATTACATCTTGCAAAATTTTGCATTCCATCCCATCAGCTCCAGGCTCTGCTGGCATGGGGATCATAGAAAAGAGGAATGTTTTCAGCATTTGATGGAGCTTAGACTTCTATTGGACTATTTTACACTCTTCATGTTGAAGACAGGGGGAAAATGGTGTTTTAGCGTAGTTTGATTGATTCTAATTCTCAAGGAAAAACTGGATTGCTGTTATACAATGGGGGCAGGGAGGAGAATAAACAGAACACCTTCTCATATTACCATGCCCAGTGTTAAAAGTTAATCAAAGACTCTGGCAATCTATTCAGGCAGAACCACCAAAAGCTTAGATCCCTCCGGAAGAAGGTTTGAGTGATCCCACTGGGTAAAGAATCCCAGCCAGCTGAGGTGCTAGCAGAGGGCAAAGCAAACAGAAATGCTTGGTGGAGGAATAAAGTCATAAATACCAGTGACAGTCTCATGGTCACTTGCAGAAACAAAGACTAAAGCCTCTACCCAATTTTTCTTTCTTGTTGAATCATGGTTATATTTGCGCATTTTAATTAAATTCCCTTTTCTTGAGGAGGTAGGTGGTAGTAATCAACCATATAATGCGTGCTTTCAGTAGCCAAATTCTGAAGTGGGATTATGCGGAACCAAAGAAGTGGACATCCCCCAGAGATTCTGGATTTGGAGTCTGGCTCACTTCAGATTTTCTTACTTGGGGGAGGGAAAGAGTGTATTGTAAGTTATACGAAGGATCATTATATTATGTTAGATAAGGACTTTTTTAATGTAAATATGTGTAGAAGGACAAATATAGTCAGCCAAAAGGGTAAACTGTAGTGAATATTCCTTATTTGTTGGCTGCACAAACCTCTTCCTTTTGGGGAGAAATCTCCCACTGTGTGAGCCCTGGAGAGAGACACAGCCCACCTTTGCACACAAAGGCCAAAGGAAGACAAGTGTGTCCTCTCCATATCCCATGAACAGGTGCCTCGCCCCCGCCATCTGGTTCTTTTTCTCAGCTTTTGTACCTTCATCAAGTGATGCAAGGATAAAGGGACAGTTTATGCTACTGTGCTCAGCATCAGGGGTGGGTAGAGATAGTGGGCGGTTGTGGCTTTACCATCCTGGCACTGTCACCTGAGGAGGTAGGGCCAGCAGCAGTGTCTGAACCAGAGCATTTGAGGCAAGATTTTGCCTGTGTTCCCACTTCCTGACTTCCTCTTGTTTCTTACTTATATCCTTCTCTTTAAATTAAGCAAAATTGTTTTCCCTTGCTAATTAGGCAAAATTGTTTTCCTTTGCTTACAGCAAAGAGCCAAGTGAGACAAATCTATTTTCACTACTTTAGAAGAAAGTCAACCACTTTGGTGGGGCTAGCCCATCTGAAAGTAGGAAAAGAATACGTGGCTTTGTTAAAAAGCCTGTTTTGGCCTGCAGCCAGGAATGAAATATGTCAGACTCTGCCCAAGCTACCATAAGTGAACTAAAGGGAGGGGAAAAAAACATTGCAGGATTTACAACTGAGACCCGGAAAAGCCTGACCCCAAGCCTGCCAAGCACCATCTCTAGCGCACACTCTGTTTGATAATAGCGTCAACTACCTAAGCACAAGCTTTGTAAACAAAATAGGTTCATGGATCCCAAATAATCTTTTCTGCCATCGATGTCCTAAAACAAATAGATTCATTCAGTAGATGGTGCAGGGAGGTGGCCACCAATGGAATCCCCAAATTAAGCATGACTGATTAAACTGTTGATTAATTTTTGAAAATAGCACAGAAATGAGCATTACATTTAGCAAGACAATGGAGAAAAAAAATCATCAGTGTACACTGTTGTGAGTCAAGACTCAAACTCAAAACTTTACAAACTTACACATAAATATCTTTTCTTTAGAACTCACTAACTATCCATAAAAGTGGGTTTTGATACAGGGTGTACTAACTCCTCTTTATTTAGTCACTTAAAAAATATTCCCTTTCCTTTTACAATACCCATATGAAGTTTTGTCTTTTCCTCTTCCAACTTTCCATGTTCCAAATGGACTAGTGCCAAGCATGAAAGGAGAATTTCTCCTATGGAGTCAAAGGCTTCTATAGAGGTTGATAATTCAAGTTTCCTGTTAATCTAAACCCAGCACCAGAAATAAGCTTTGCTCATGGCCAGCTATCCCCTCTGAGCCAGGTTCAACTGAATTCCTTTGAAGGTGCAGTGCTTAAAGCACAGCAGCGTGCACCCAAATGTAATCTCTGTCTCAGAGGTTCCTCCTGAGCCCTGCCTTCTCCTATATGTTCTCTCTCAGTAAGAGGAAGTACGATCAGCCAATTTCTCCAAGCCAGATATACAGAATTGACCTGGATTCCTACCTTCCTGCTCCTTGCCAATCCTCTCAAAAGTTGTGCATTACTCTCCATTCCCTTGGGCAAATCGCCATCGGAAGGATTGGAGCAGTAGCCTCTCAAACCCTCTTGAAGCTTGAGCCCCTCTCCCCTCTTAGACCTGACAGATTCTGCACTGTATACCAAAACGACTTTTTAAAAACAAATCATTCTTCTGCTTAAAATTATTCAGTTGCTACCCGCTGCCTTAGGAAGAAGTCCATATACCTTAACACACCTGCAACGCCATGCAGAATTCCATCCTGTCCTGCTAATACAATCTAATTTTTGGCGATTCTTGCCTGGAGGTTCCACTTGTATTTCCCCAAAATGTTCACATTTTCTTGTGCCTGAGGCTTTGTCATAGGGAGAGGAGAGACTTTGTTTAAAGGTCTTTCTCTCCATCTGCTTATTATCCAGATTAAATCTGCACCTCCTTCCAACATTATCTCAGATGTTGCCTCCACCAGAACCTTTCTGACTGCCCAACATTAGCACTGTGTATGCAGCTCCATAAAAGCTCTATGTTGTATTTTCTTTTTTGTAGGTGTCCTCAATGCAGTTGACTGTGTGCTCTTCAGTGTCAGGTTAGTTAGTGCTCAGTAAGCAATAAATAGCTGCTGAATGAATGAATGATTTATAAACTTGGATGCTTTTTTATTATGATTTTTCCCTCTCAGTAAGTAGACATACTCTGTAGGCAATAAGAACTTCCTTGGTTTGTTTTTTAATGAGTCTCATTCCTGGTCTCTTGGCTTTCAAGTTTCATGTATGTACTAAAGCAATGTCTTAAATTTGCTTTTATATAGGCCAGAATTAGCCAAGCAAAGTGAAAAGGAAAAATTATTGTTGAATATAGAAAATAGGACTATTACATTTTGAAATTGCACTTTATCATCTGATACTAGAGAAACAATAATCTGGCCGGGCGCAGTGGCTCATACCTATAATCCTAGCACTTTGGGAGGCTGAGGCAGGTGGATCTCCTAAGGTCAGGAGTTCGAGACCAGCCTGGTCAACATGGTGAAACCCCATCTCTACCAAAAAATTAGGCCGGGCACGGTGGCTCACGCCTGTAATCCCAGCACTTTGGGAGGCCAAGGCAGGGGGATCTCCTAAGGTCAGGAGTTTGGGACGAGCCTGACCAATAGAGAAACTCCATCTCTACTAAAAATACAAAATTAGCTGGGCATGGTGGTGCCTGCCTGTAATCCTAGCTACTCAGGGGGCTGAGGCAGGAGAATTGCTCGAACCTGGGAAGCGGTGGTTGCGGTGAGCTCAGATCGCACCACTGCACTCCAGCCTGGGCAACAAGAGTGAAACTCTGTCTCAAAAAAAAAAAAAAAAAAAAAAAAAATTAGCTGGGCTTGTCCCAGCTACTCAGGAGGCTGAGGCAGAAGAATCGCTTGAATCCGGGAGGCGGAGGTTACAGTGAGCCAAGATGGTACTGTTGCACTTCCAGCCTGGGCAACAAGAGCAAAACTCTGTCTCAAAAAAAGAAAAAAGAAAAAAAAAAGAAGAAACAATAATCAACCACTTTTGAAAAGAATGAACCTTGCTCAGATCATGAGAGTTATGACATCCTGCCAAGCCCAGAGGTTATGTGTAGTAGGCTTTATACACAAACATTTAACTTTTCTGCAGGAAAATACCTTATTTTCTCTTGCTTTTATAGAAATCATAAAAGTCACATTTGTAAGCCCCTAACAGACTGGACACTTCAACCTTGCATTTTAATCCTATATACATATATATATATATTTTTTCCAGCGGAGGGCTATAGTCATATACTACCTTAAAGAGACACACACATTTGAACTAAAAATACAAAGACCTCCAAACCTGTTTTCTCTGATAATTCTTCTGCATCTTAGGTAGAAATAAAAAATTGTGGTGACTGTTATGTGTTTTCTCTGAGGTCTGGTTAGGAAAATTATTGTGCAACTGAAGAACATCAAACATTTGTGAATGCATCAACAAATTCCATTTTATAAGATGGTTACTTTTACTGACACTCTGATAACATTTCTTAGAATCAAGTATATTCATCTATATATCAAATGAGAAACTATATTTTAGAAGTGTCAACTATTCTGTATGCTTTAGCTTGACTGACGTGGAAGGGAAAGAATAATATTCATGCTAAATAAATTTACACTTAACATATATGTGATGGAAGTTAAAAGACACAATAAGATTTGGAATTCTGGACTCATTTATTAAAGAGATGTCATAAGAAGTGTTTGGAGTTCTTTCTTGGAATTGTTATAGAAATACTATAGCAACAGGAATTCTACTAATGTATATATTTGTATAACAACATAGTTTTCTCTTTTCCACATTTTGGAAACTATAAGGAAGGAAGTGAAAACTTCAAGTGTCTGGAATATTGTATATCCATATGCCTCTACTAAGTCTTACATTTTACTTTTATAAAATTTTAAACAAGATGTGTTCTTAGGAAAATCATACAATTTTTTTTTGCATTTTAACAAAAAAATATTGATGAAAGTTAGGAAATTATAAATAAAAACATTTCAATCACAATATTGCGAAGGCCTTTTTTATGGTCAAGTCTTACAGTTAGAACTTTACATTTTGAAAAAAGGTGTTTTAAAACTCCATTCATCTTTCCCTGAGTGTTAATATGAAGTAAGAGCAGATCCTGAAAAGAAGTTTCCTAAAGTATTTTTATTATTTATATTTCATTTGAGACTAAAAGGAAAGTGATATTCCCCATGAGCCAATGAGCAATGGTCAAAGTGTTCAATGGTAAATGAGAAATCCATTAGTTGTTAATATTGGGGTTCCCGAATTCTAATTTTTGCCTTATCTCTCTGTTATGATCTTATTATTCAATCCTGGTAAGGGGTTTTGATTGAAAAAGACTGTTATGAAATCGTCAAGACGTAGTAAGCAGGAAGTGAAGATATGCTATGATTTCCTTTGTGCCCTACATTGTAATTCCTTTATTATAATACCAGATTGGTATCGAATGTGAGAGTGCAGTTGCATCTGATGTTTATGCATTTTGATACCATCAGTGCATTAAAAGACACTGTGGTTTGCCCCATCTGGGGGAAGTTAAAAATTCACACAGAAGTTTCATATTACACATCTTAGGTTGATCACTCTTAGGGGACTCAGTGAGTGCTGAAGTTTTTATAAAAGATCTGAGATCCCTGGAGTTTAGTATAAAACTAGTTTTCAAAGAATACTGCCACATTTGGCCTATTGAACAAAACACTGTTAAAAACAATGACAATCATTCAGATTTAATTGTTCTGGCTATCTTAACTGGAAAACAAATAATAGTTAATTCTCAGTTTCAGGTATTGTCTCAACAAATAAATGACAGTTGTTAATCTTGTGTGAAGTACTCTGAAATAATATCATATGACAGTTTTCAATGCCCACACAGAGTGACAAAATTATCAGGCCAAAGATAAGATACAAAGTCTTTATAGTGTTTGTTTTACAACAGTGTAAAACTGGTGTTTTATAGGTTGGTGCAAAAGTAATTGCGGTTTGGGCATTAAAGGTAATGGCCAAACCGCAATTATTTTTGCACCAACCTAATACACATGTAGTAGAATATTTTCACTGTCAGGAAAATGAATCCTTTAACCTTGTCTTTGAATATCTGATACATTGATGGCATTTCTCCCACTCTTATGTAGCATTAGAGAAAAACATACAGAAACTATGATTTTGCATGCTGCATTGGTAAATGCTATTTACTCTAAGATCTATGTAAGGCGTTTACATTTTACTTTCAGTACTGCAACTACTTCCTCCCTCCACCTCACTATTTTCTCTGATTACTCCAGAAAAAACAGTGTTTATTCAAATTCCATCATTACAGATCCATCTTAACACCTAGAGCAAACATCATTTTATCTACTAAATAGCTCTGGAGAGATGTAAAGATATGCAAAATGTACTTATGGCAGGCAGTGTGGTACAGCAGACAGAGCACAGATAGACCTTATGAGATTTGACTTCAATTCTAGTCAAGTTCATAATTTCTTATTTGTGTGGGAAAGAAGAGTTATTTGCAGTCATTTAACCCATCTAATCTATTTCCAATACCTAGAGCAACTGTTTCAATCATTTATCACTGTTTTCAAATTCAACATTCTTCCTCAACCCTTTGACTCTCGACATACGACAATGTCCTTACTTAACTTACAAAAATAGAAGCACTAGGAATGACCTCAAACCCTTTTTATCCAACCTCCAAGTGGGTCTATAACTTTCCTCCATGCATTCCATAATAGAGTATACATGTACATGGAGGTAAGTGGCAGAGTGTTGGGTTCACAGCATCTTGGAATATTCATTTTTACTCAAATATTTAGAGAAGATAAGACTTAAATTGGTGACCTTTTAAGAGTCACAAACCTATGCAAGTAATATCAGCAAAGTGAGGCTTTTCCATGGCAGCCAACCTTATATTTCTTTCTGGAAGCCTGGAGCATACAAAGTTTTATTAATAGTATTTAACTGAGTAATCTGATTTAAAATACATAATAAATTTTGTTATTATAGTAGATATCAATTTCTCAGAATTCAAAGCCATGTTAGTAAAAAATCTAACTTTATTTTTCCATAATAAATATCTGCTGCAATAAACATATAATCACATCACATCCACAGTCATAATTGGGTTTCTAATATGAGTACACATGGTAGGAACTCTGGGATGGCCAAGTCCAGATGGTGGCAAAAGTACAATATATATCATTTTCATGAAGGGATAAATTCAAAATAATAAATGATCAGTAAGGCACAGGCACCAGCAAATGAAAATGGATAATGGCCACTACAAATTACCAATGTCTACTGGCAGAATATCATCCATGGTTTTCATATCAAATGGAGGAGTCAGCATAGACACCTAAATTGAGTCATCTGTAACACAGTCATGGCATCTGAGCCAGTTCTCTATACTTAGGGGCCTTGGATGAAAACAAAATCACACATCTTGATGACAAATCGACTGTAATTCTACACACATGTTCTCTGGTCTTTCTTCTCAACCTTTCCCCCAAAGGAGCACTAGGTAGTTTACATTGTGAAAAATAAGAAAAATAATTACCAAAACGTTTTAGGTTGTATTTGACACTGAGCCCTAGCTAACCTTAATTCCAGCAACCCATAAAATGACTATGATCTGACAGTCAGTGTGAGGCTTATGGGATCATGTGGGAAAATAGAGAACTTGCCCAAGGCCAATGGGACAACAAACCCATCCAATTGTTATTTTCACAGCTTATTGGTATATTCTTGGATGGATATCTTTGGCCACTGGTAGAATCTTTCCACTGGCTCACTGATCCATGATGTCAAAGCCACCATAGTAGAAAGGGCCACGTGCAAGACATTAGTGTTCCTCAATCCAAGGCCTAATATCAACTGCACAATACACACATCCCAAGGTCTCAGGCATTTAACCCAATAGAAGTGAATTTTTATGTATGGAGTCCAATAGGAGTGTTTCTGCATAATGGCATTCATCCACACCATTGGTTAGAGATACAGGATCTTTCCCTCTTGAATCTCTGCCATTCCTTAGGGCATTAGAATTCTCTACATTCACATGGTGGTATGTGGGGAAAAGAGACTCCAAAAGAAGCAGAAATGCTTCTGAAATGTCCTGGCCTTAAAATGGCAACCATCATTTTTATTTCCATTCCATTTGCCAGAACATAGTCATATGATCACATCTAACTACAAAAGAAGCTGATAGTATGGCCTAGAGATAATTTCAGAAAGAACAAAAGAATAATGATTTTGGCTAATAGCTGACAGCCTGACACATGGGAGAACTTGAGAGATTTATGTTATGTTGAACACTTTAAAAATGCACTTCTTTTTAATCCCATATTAATAGATAATTGAGGATGAAAAACTGGTTGGGTTTTCGGATGGTTTTTCAGATAGTATACACTGCTATTGAATTACAGTCCTACTCAGTTATGGCCCTGGAAGATAGTAGAAAAAGATAATACTTCCAATGGGCAGATATTTGAGTTACCTGCTATCTTATTAAAGCAAAATAACCTGAGAAGAGTTTCTAAACTGATGCTTATGCACTAGCTAATGGTTTGTTCAAATGGGACTCTCAGAATAGATAAAGGCTAGTAATATTTATGTTCCATGTGAATGTTTACCAGAAGACTAGCACTGCTTAAGAGGTGTTTAGAAAAACAATGACATGAACAACATCATATATAAAGAGTTGTGAAGGGAAGGCATAAATAGCTGGTAAGGTTTTATGACCAGCTGCAGAAACAAGGAAAATATATCATCTAGAGATTCCAGACTTGAAACTGAATGCATTAAATTAGCATCAAGTTAATCTACTTTATGGTGCTGAGATCATTTTTCTGTTTGTGATAGATGTGTTATGACAACTGAGGGTAGTTTTAAAGTTTTATATATGGAGGAAAATGAAAAATGCATGTGCGGGTGTGTGCGCATGTGTTTGTCCTGGTAAGCCATTGATAGAATCTGGTGGGCATGTGTTGTTTTTCCTATATGGAACATCTTCCTTATTTTTACAGTTAATAAAAATCCTACTTTTCCTTTGAAAACTGTCTCCCATTCAAAGTCATCACTGAAGTATAGGAAGAATCCAGTATATGCCTATGTGATATTTCTTCTTGGAATTTGAATCTGATGCAGGGGGAGAAAAGAGTGAGGCAAACAAGAATGTCAGTACAGATAACAAGATGGTCTTGGGTCTCTGGCTGCTGAGATTCCCAGTGGCCCTCATTCTTATCCTTGCAGACTGATTGCTTGGCACTTCCTTTGATAAAATACCCAATACTGTATTTTCTTCCACTAAAATATAGGATTTTGCTTAATCAGTCAGAACTGAATTATTTTCTTGGACTCAGAGAACAATAAGCATAATGATGTCAATCTATAGAACAGACAGCAATTTTTTTTATTAGTGGTGCTCTTACAAATGAGGTTTTATATGGGATCCAAATGCATCTATTCCTTCTGTAATGACCTTAACTTATCCCTGAAAACAATGTCACTAAGTGAAAAGTTATTAAATAAAACATATAGAATGTGTTGTTATAAAATAAAAAATATGGAATGTGTCATGCTAATCTAAGATATGCAACAGTTTTCTATACATATATCAACTGAATAACAAAAACCTTCTTATAAAAATTAATCAATGTACAGATTTGTACATATAAAGCAATGTAATGAAATTTTATTATATTTCCAAAGAAAGAGGAGAAAGCTTGATAACAGACAGTGGCTGGAGGAGGAGGGTTGTGAGATCATTCTTTGGAAGGTGGTGGAAAGTCAGGTGTTTTAATATTGGACAGGTATTTAGTATCAGAACCATATGAGCTTTACAATTCTCTTTCCCTTGAGACTTTAGCTCTAAAACAACTACCTGATATGGAAGGCTTTGACATAAAGATAAAAGATTAGTAGATTCTTTGGGTAGAAAAATATGTGCTTCAAAACATGAAGAAATAGTACACATGTACAAGAATGAAAAATAAAAGAGGATATTTCTTTATCTCTCTTGGTTGGCATTCATAGGCAAAGCAAAACATTCGCGTCCATACAAATACAGCATGCACTTTAAATTTGTTCCACATAATAATATTCTTTGACTAGAAACTATTGCATGTAAATTTGTGAGTGCGCCTTTTCTTGAAACAGTAATGTTGAAATATAACTTTGGATAGTATGCTTATTTAGTAGATGTGAAGACAAAAAATGTCATTCTACTGGAAAAAATAATCATTGCCTTATAAGTGATGTAAGTTTGCCAGGACTATTGTGGTAAAAAGTCATTAAGAGAAAAAGTGATATGTAAGGTGAGACTACACACAAAACCAATAAAAACCACTGGGGAGGTGGTAGTGAGCTATGCCTCCTTTGTGTTCCCTCCACCCAGTCGCCACTTCAAAGTTTTGGCCAACTCATCTTCTGAGCTTTACATCCTCTTTCTTCCTTCTAATTTCTGTTATCCACTGTACCACATCTAAACTGTCCTACTTGCTAATTCTTGAATATGCTGTGAACTTTCAGGCTTTCAGGCAATTATTTATGTTTCTCCCTTTCACCAAATATGTTCACATTCTCCTCCAAGTTTAAGAAAATTGTACTCATTTTTCAATTCCTAGCATATATGTCACCATTCCTAAGCTCCACCTAAAATAAAAATAAATAAGTTGTCATGTATATTCTTGTAGCATATGATTATACTTCTATGTCAGTACTTATCACATTTCATTCCAGTTAGCTGTTTATGTGGCCAATTTCCTCGTAAATCCCTCAGAGAGAGGAATTCTGCCTTATTTGTTGTTTTATGCCCTGTTTCTTGTACAGTGTCTTGGGATGAGAAAGACATGTTGAATTCTGGGTAAACAGAACAAGAGAAAAGAGTTTTAAGAAATATTTGGTGGTCAATAGTGGAAGATGAATAAAATTGAAGGTATAGGTGGTGTTAAAATTCATGTTTTGAGAATGTTCTCTACTCAAATATGTAATGTTTAAGATTATAAAAGAAAAAAATTTAAAAAATAGTCATGTTCAAAAAAGATAATAGAGCAAAAATAAAGCAAAACCTGATGTGGTAAGTAGACTGAAGGCACAGGACTCCTGGGCTTCAGGCTATTGGCAAACATAGATAACCAGTTTATATCATGCATGATATTAGTGATCATAAGCAGCAAGAAAATCTTGCACGTATGCACAGAGATTTTCCTAAGGCAATTAATTTCATGTACTCTAGATCAAGACTTCTAGGCTCAAGTTTTGGCTCTGCTACTTTTAGTTATATGAATTTAGACAATTGCTTAACCTGTCCATGCCTCTGTTTCCTTATGTCAAAAATGGAAATAACAATATCCACCTCTTAGGAGTTGTTATGAGGATAAAATGTGTTGAGCACTTGTATAATTCAGACTAACGGCTGGCAAATAATTAGGACTCAAATTTGAGCCATAATAATTATTGCAGTAGCAATGGTTCTAATAAGGAAAAGAGTCCAGCCAATGAAACATTCCACCACCAAGAGAATTGGTAAAGAATCATATAATGGAATTCACCACCAATTAAAGTGTACTTGCTACATTTGCTTGTATCCATATGGACAAGTCTTAGAAAAATAATGTTTAAAAATAAAGCAAATACTTGAATAATATTTACAGCATATTATTTATGTGAAGTTCAAAAACAAAATAGTTGTATCATACATATGCATTCATATATGCATATGTGGTAAAAGTTTAAAAATCAAATGGAAAGACCACAGACTAACTTATAATAAAAAAGTTACCTATGAAGGAACAAGCAAGATAATAAGATTATGATGTAGGACAAAGGAGTTTCAGTGTTTCAGTATTTTTTTATGTTTTTTAGAATATTTGGCTGGGTGCAGTGGCTTACACCTGTAATCCCAGCACTTTGGGAGGCCAAAGGGGGGCAGATCACCTGAGGTCAGGAGTTCGAGACCAGCCTGGCCAACATGGCGAAACCCATCTCTACAAAAATACAAAAATTAGCCAGGCATGGTGGCTCACATCTGTAATCCCAGCTACTCGGGAGGCTGAGGCAGGAAATCGCCTGAACCCGGGAGGCAGAGGTTGCAGTGAGCTGAGACTGTGCTACTGCACTCCAGCCTAGGCAACAGAGAGAGACTCTGTCTCAAAAAAAAAAAGAAGACTATTCAAAAAAATAAAAACACAAAGAAAGGAAGGAATTACATATAGGGACAATCATTATTTCATTCTGCTTCCCTTGTATCTGTAGAAAGTGTATCTTCATATAGTGACATTCTCTAAGAATATGGCTTCTATTATTTATATTCTAATAAACAAAACATTTTAACTGAAGTTACATATTAACTTCTAACAATTTCTAAATTTTAAATTTACTTTTAATAACTTAGAAGTGTAATATTCCTTCAAAAGGCAAAAATAACAAAAGTGAAGAAAATTAAAAATGGCCTAAAATGATGTAACACTAGAATTTATTGACATGGATATTTCAAAGGTGAACTACATTGATGAAGAGCCTCCAAAGCCTATATTGCAATGGGAGAAAGAAAACTTCCCAAAAAGATTATCAGGCTGTTGCTGTGACTAGAACTTGCAGTGATTACTGAAGTATTCTGATTTCTCAAGAAAAGCCAGCTTTGCAGATTTCTATGTAAAATATCCTAGTTTTTAAATATTGGTGTATCAGAGGTCAGAAGACCATCCTCAAACTCGATGATTCTTAGATAGGATCACAGGACTGAAAAAAAAAGCTGTTATATTCATGGCTATAATTTGTTACAGCGAAATGATCAGACTAAAATCAGTGAAGGGAAAAGGCACACAGGGCAGAGTCCAGGAGAAACCAAGGGGAAAAAAACTTCCAGTTTTCTTCTTTCTGTAGAATCACATGGAGATGACATAATTCTCCCAGCAATAATGTGTGGCAACACATGCAAAGTGCTGTCAACCAGAGAGTCACTCTTGAACCCTAGTGTCAGGGTTTTAATTTAAGGATCCATCATGCAAGCATACAACATTTGCATGACTGACTTTTGCTACTCAGTCTCCAGCCCTCCAAAGGCCAAATTTATACAACTTGGTCCCAAACCTCAAGTACACACAAAAAAGCACTTACCATAAATCACATTGCATCCTTTTTTCCTTCTTGTATTAATAGGATCCTCTTTTGCCCTTTGGAAAATTTCCCTTGTCTGTCTCAGTCTAGTGGTTCAAGTGGACCTATCTAGAGGTGGGACACATCATCTGTGCTTGGTTAAGGGAACACTGGATCAAATTCAGCAACTGGCATATAGATGAACAAGTGATCCAAACTGAACAAATAAAAGCTCTTCTTGGGAACTATTAGGAAAGAAGTGCCCTTTCATTACAGCTTGACAGTCTAGATACGGTGTCAACTTTGGCCTGGCTTGACCATTTTAGCCATTACATGGTGATACCCTGCCTGGGAATTAAACCAGGACAGAAGATAACAGAGATGAGAGATAGAGTCTAATAATTTCTGATAATAATGGTGAAAATTCCTAGGTTCAGGCAAGGCTGAAGCCACCAGCCTTCAAAATCCCAGAAAAGTTAGCTAGTTTTGCCATAGCTAGATTAAGTGCATTTCTGTAACTTGCAACCAAGGGAGTCCTCACAAATGCAAGGCTCTAGCCAGCTGGAAGATGTAATAAGGAGGGAGGGAATGTTGTGACCTAAAAGCATTATCAATGAGCACTGAAACTTACACTTAAGCTTAACATGTGCTTAATATACATTAGTCGATTTTTGATGATATTGTGAAATGTTTGTTTATGACAGATAAAAATGCAGAATTCGAAGCTACATTGTATACAATGGGGATTCTGTATACTCATTTTCTTAATAGACTTTATTTTAAAGAAAATTTTCAGCTGGGCTCAGTGGCTCACGCCTGTAATCCCAACACTTTGGGCAGCTGAGGTGGGCGGATCATGAGGTCAAGAGATCGACACCATCCTGGCCAACATGATGAAACCCCATCTCTACTAAAAATACAAAACTTAGCTGGGTGTGGTGGCATGTGCCTGTAGTCCCAGCTACTCAGGAGGCTGAGGCAGGAGAATTGCTTGAACCCAGGAGACAGAGGTTTCAGTGACCCAAGATCGTGCCACTGCACTCCAGCCTGGCTACAGAGTGAGACTCCATCTCAAAAACAAAACAAAATAAAACAAAAAAACAAAAGAAAATTTTCAGATTTAAGAAAAATCAACCAGATAGTAAAGAGAGTTTTCATATGTCCCCCAACCCTCACCCAGTTCCTCCAATTGTTAACATCTTACATTAGTTTGGGACTATTGTTCCAACAGATTAATCAATATTGATGCATTATTTTAACTAAATTCCACAGTTTATTAAGATTGTTCTTAATTTTTACTTAATGTCTTCTTTCGGTTCCAAGATCCCATCCAGCGTACCAAATTACATCTAGTTGTCATTGTCTCCTTAGGCACCTCCTGGCTGTGACAATTTCTCTGACTTTCCTCATTTTTGATGATCTTGACAGTTTTGAGGAACATTGGTCAGGCATGTTGTAGGAATCCCCTCTACTGGATTTGATGTTTTTCTCATTAAGCTGGGGCTGGTTATGGGTTTGGGGAAGCAGGAAGGCAAACGTAAAGTAATTTTTTTGTCACGTCATATCAAGATTGCATAGTAGCAACATGATTTATGATTTATGAATACTGACTTTGATCATATGGCTGAAATAGTGTCTTTCAGGTTTCTCCACTGTAAAGTTATGATTTTTCTCCCACTTTTTGTTCTGCAATCTTTGGAGTGAAGTTACTATGTGTAGCCTACACTTAAAGAGTAGGAAGTTATTCTCTTCCGTCTTTAGGTTGGAGTAACTACATAATTTTTGGAATTTTTCTGCATGAAATAATTGTGTCTTCTCCCCAATATATTAACTTAGTCAATGTATTAATCCATTCTCACTCCGTGATAAAGAACTGCCTGAGGATGGGTAATTTATAAAGGAAAGAGATTTAATTGACTCACAGTTCTTCAGGGCTGAGGAGGCCTCAGGAAACTTACAATCATGGTGGAAAGGGAAGCAAACATGTCCTTCTTCACATGGTGGCAGGAGAGAGAAATGAGTGCCTAGTGAATGGGGAAGCCCCTTATAAAGCCATCAGATCTCGTGACAACTAACTCACTATCACAAGAACTGGATGGGGAAAACTGTCCCCAAGATTCAGTTATCTCCACCTGGTCCTTCCCATTGACATGTGGGGATTAAGGGAACTGCAATTCAAGATGAGATTTGGGTGGGGACACAGCCAAACCGTATCAGTCAATAATTTATTTATATTAGTATGAATTCTATGGATGGTTGCTTTATATTTTGGGTTACAATTCAACACCATTTATTTATTTTGTTACTCAAATTTTCCTGCTTCGACCATTGGAAGCTCTTTCAGTTGGTACCTATGCTTTTCATTATATTCCACAATGTGTGTGTGTGTGTGTGTGTGTGTGTGTGTGTGTGTGTGTCTAGGTTAAAAAAAAAGCTTGTTAATTTGTTTATCTTGAGCACTTTATTACTTTTTGGCATTACAAGATGTTTCAGTCTCATCTTGTATATTTCCTGCCCCAGTACTAGAAACAGCCACTTCTCTAAAGAGTACTGGTTCCTTTTTAATGGATAAAGACACTAGAAAACAAGATCTGGGCACTAGGAACTAGGTGTGATTGTTGTTACTACGGTATCGTTTCTTTTAGGACCTTCCAGGTAACAGAGCAGAGAAATATATGTATGTATCTAATTCATGTATATATACACATCAATCAATGTTTCTGTATATAACCATCTTTATCATTTTAAACATGAATTATTACTGATGTCTCCATCGCTGAATTTTTACCATGGGAAGTGTTCTGGCTTCCTCCCCTTGCTTATCTAAATTCCCACTCCAACAGTGAGAAAACTAGCTGCCACCATCTGCCATCCATCTATTATTCTAGAAAACATGAACAGAAGTATCATAATTTCTAACTTATATCTCTGATAAAGTTCTATCTCTGTATTTTATCAACTAGAGTACAGTCCTTTTGAGTAGTTCTCTCTGTCTTTAGTCTAACAGACTCTATTTATGTCCATAGGTACTTAGGTCAGCAACTTTTACCTTACCAACTTCAATGAGATTGTTTTAGATATTTGTTATACAGTGTAATTATCTTATCATTATCTGTATTCATTCCTGGGATCCCTGAATTCCTAAACTATTTTAAAAATTCACACATATTAAGGTTCACTCTGGGTTGTAAATTTCTAAGGGATTTGGCAAATGATTAATGTCATATATCCACCATTGCAGTATTATACAGAATAGCTTCAACATCCTAAGAATCCCGTGTGCTACATCTATTCATCTCCACTCATCACAGTCTTACCCTGAATTCTGGCCATCACTGATATTTCTACTGCCTTTACAGTTTTGCCTTTTTCAAACTGTTACAAAATTGGAATTATACAGTATGCAGCCTTTTCAAACTGCTTTTTTTTTCAATATGCATTTAAGTTCCTTCCATACTTTTTGTGGCCTAAAAGCCCTTTTTTAAAAAAATCCCAGAGTAATATTCCTTTGCATGGATATACCACCATTTGTTTATTCTTTTAACTACTGAAAAACATCTTGGTGGCTTCAGTTTTGCGTGATTATTAGCAAAGTTTCCAAAAATATTCATGCGCAGGTTTTTTGCATAGATATAAGTCTTCAACCAATTGGGTAAGTAGGTAGGAGCATGATTGCTGAACCTTATGGTAAGATTGTGTTTAGCTTTGTAAGAAACAGCCAAACTGTCTTTAAAAATGCTGTACCATGCATTCCCACCAACAATTAATGAGAATTTCTGCTGCTTAACATCTTCACCAACATTTGGTATTGTCAGTATTTTTTTTTAATTGCAGGCATCTAAGAGGTGTGCAGTTGTATTTTGTTGTTTTAACTTGTGATTCTTTAATGACAAATCATGCTGAACATTTTTATATCCTTATTTGCCAACTTTATATCTTCTTTGGTGGGGTATCTATTTAGATCTTTTCCCTTTTTTCATTGAATTGTTTTATTATTGAGTTTAAGAATTCTTTGTATATTTTGGATACAAGTTGTTCATCAAATATGTCTTTTGCATATATGTTTTCCCAGGCTGTAGTTTTTCTTTTCATTCTGTTAATGGTGATTCTTTTAGTCTTTCCCAAAGTACATTTTTTTCCTTTTAATTAAGTTCAATATATCCATTTTTCCTTCCCTGGATTGTGTTTTTCGTGATGTTTCTAAAAACTAGTTACCAAACACAAGGTCACCTAGATTTTCTCCCATGTTATCTTCCAGTTTTGCAGTTTACATTTAAATATATGATCCACTCTGAGTTTGTGTTTGTGACATGTGTAAAGTATGATTACTTCTTTGCATATAGATGTCCAAGTATTCCAGCACCACTTGTTAAAAGACCATCTTTCTCCATTGAATCATCTTTGCTCTGATCATCTTTGCTTTGATCCATTGAATATGTTTGCATGGGTCTATCTCTGGGCTCTCTATCCTATTCCATTGATATATGTATCAATTGTTTTTCCAATAATACACTCCCTTGATTACTGTGGTTTTATAGCAAGTTTTAAAGTTGGATTTTGTGTGCCCTCCAACTGTATAGACTATAGATTATCAGTGTTCCTATCAGTTTATGGCTCCAGCAGCTTTTACTCCAGATAAGCTGATCTTGACTGCAATTTTCTGTATTCACTTGTCTCTCTAGATTTCACAGCGACAATTTGCCCTGTGACCCCAATTCTCTGATGAGTCTAAGGAAAATCATTGGTTTTCAGGTTGTTCAGCACTATTCTTCTGCGGATGGGAGTGACAGCTTCCAAGCTTTTTATATGTCCCAGCTGCAATGCCAATGCTGTGACTCGGTGTGCTTTTTAAAGTCAAGTCAACTACTTAAAGGCTAACTCACTTGTGATTCCATCAGATCAGGAGGATTATTTTACTTTTTCTGGGGATACAGTGACGGTATACAAATGTTGGAGGAAACTTGAGGCTCTGAATCCCTCAGTCAGGGGGCACTGGTGGAGTTGTTGCTTTTTAGGCTGTGTGGCTAGGAAAAATTTGTAAAGATGAAAATACAGGTTAATGTTTTGGAGATGAGAGCCCCATTGGTAGATCTAAGCATGTATGTCACAGAGGGAGACACAAGTGAAATAGCATAATAAAGTTGAAAAGTATTTACACACATAAAATTTTGACTTATCAGTTGCTCTAACATTAATAATCCTTTTAAAAGATCTCTGAAACTAAGTTACAACACTGCACATGAAAGACCACAGCATGATTCTAGAGATAAGCTCATTGAACACCAACAGTTAATAAGGCAGTAACTATAAAGAATGAGTAGGTTCACAAAAAATGCAATTACTAGCATCATCTAGTAAGTCAATACCAGGAACAATGTCCTCTGAACATACTTGAAAAATTAGTCATTAGGCAGAGATATATGAAATTTTTATGGTTCGTGGAAAAATGAGTAAAGATGTTTGCAGATTATTACATAATCTATTTCCCGGGGTTGATTTATTGCTTAATAAAGTATTTGACGTGAAAACTAAAAGAGAATAGATTCATAATTGTTTAGAACAGTTGTTAACACACCATCAAATAAATTGGCAAAAATATAGAGACATCTGTATCGATGATGAGAAAGCAATGGCGGAAGAAATACAGGAATAGTGGAAAAGCTGTTGCCAAAGTACATTGAAAGACTCACTGTGTTTCACAGACCAGCACTGGCAGTTAAGAAAACGTAACATTAGACATAGTTCTAAACAAGGAAAACTGTCACTTTATTCAGATACAGCCTTTATGCTGCAGAATTATCAGAGTGAAGTATAATGACATAGGCAAGAAAATCGGACCCCACAACGAAGTCTTCATGAAGCCTCGTCCTTTGCCATCCACTCCTGTGTACAAGGAAAGGCCTCTCTCTTGTAAACACAGACAGTGAGCTTGCAGGGGTGCTATTCTTCTACAGGGGAATGGATGGTAGCTGGTGGGTTATTTGTGTGTCTGGGAAAGGGAAGCCAGGTAGCTTTCCTCGTAGAGAGAAATGTTTCCTCAGACTTCTACAGGTCTGCAAGTCTGGAAGGGGGAAACTCTCCTGTCTGCTTCTGGCTGGAGTCAAAATGGCTAGGCTCTATTGGCCACCATGCTTGTTCAACTCCCCTATCTCCAGGAGGTGGAACAGGAAACACAAGGAGGGGAAACAAAAGAAAGAAGGCATTCTGCCCCTGAAGAGGGGCATGTTACTCCCCTGCCTTATCTTGTCAGAAGCAAGCACCAGCTTGGATCAAGAACATTTCAATCCATTTATTCATTCACACATTTGTTTATTTCAGCCCAACAAAATGAGTACCTATTCTGTGAAATGCACCATCTTAGGTGCAGGGCCCAACTGTGAAAGTACTCCAGTCATGAATCCAAGAATACCTGCAGCCCATAAGCCACAGAGTAATGCTTTGTCTTAATTTTACCAATGACAGGAAGAGAGTTATAGGATTTTTAATTAATATGAGTTTCTTTAAGAATAAGTCAAAAGTAACTCAATAGTGATAGCCATGGTGTGTGCACCTATCATCCCAGCTACTCAGGAGGCTGAGACAGGAGGATCACTTGATGCCAGGAGTTTGAGGTTGCAGTGTGCCATGATTACACCTGTGAATGGCCTATGAACTCCAGCCTGGGTAACATAGAAAGACCTTGTGTATGAAAGAATAATAATAATCTTATTTTATTTTATTTTGTTTTTTTTTGAAACAGAGTCTTGCTCTGTTGTCCAGGCTGGAGTGCAGTGGCACCATCTTGGCTCACTCCAACCTCCGCCTCCCAGGTTGAAGCAATTCTCATGCCTCAGCCTTCTGAGTAGCTGAGATTATAGGTGTGTGCCACCACACTGCCTAATTTTTGTAGTTTTGTAGAGATGGGTTTTTGCCATGTTGGCCAAGCTGGTCTTGAACTCCTGGCCTCAACTGATCTGCCCACCTCAGCCTCTCGAGGTGCTGGGATTACAGGCATTGGCCACTGCACCCAGTCAACAATCTGATATTTTAAATGGGCAAAAGATCTAAACAAATATTTCTTAAAAGAAGACATACATATGGCCAACAGGTATGTGAAAAAATGCTCAACATCACTAACCTTTGGAGAAATGCAAATCAAAACTACAATTATTTATCACCTCAACCCAGTGAAAATGGCTTTTATCAAAAAGGCAATAATAGATGATGGCAAAGATGTGGAGAAAGGGAAACGCTTCTACACTGTTGGTGGGAATGTAATTTAGTACAGCCACTATGGAGAACAGTATGGAGTTTCCTCAAAAAACTAAAATTAGAACTAACATATAATTCAGCAATCCCACCACTGGGTATATATCAAAAAAAAAAAAAAGGAAATTAGTATATTGAGGAGGTATCTACACTCCCATGTTTATAGTAGCACTATTCATGACAGCCAAAATATAAAGTCAACCTAAGTGTCCATCAATAGATGAATGAATAAAGAAAATGTGATCCATATACACAATGGAATATTATACACCCATTAAAAAGAATGAAATCCTGTCATTTGCAACAACATGAATGGAACTAAAGGACATGATGTTAAATGGAATTAGGCAGGCATAGAAAGACAAATATCGCATGTTCACACTCATATGTGGAAGCTAAAAAAATTGAACCCATGGAGATACAGAGTAGAATGATGGTTACCAAAGGCAAGGATGTGTATGGGGGAGGTGGGGTAAGAGGAAATGGTTAATGGGCACAAATATACAGTTACATAGAAGGAATAAGATTTAGTGTTTCGTAGCACAATAAGGTGACTATAGTTAACAATAATTTATTCACATTTCAAAAAACCTAAAATAGTAAAATTGGAATATTCCTAACACAAAGAAATGATAAATGCTTGAGTTGATAGATATCCCATTACCCTGACTTGATCATTACATATTGTATACTTGTATCAAAATATCACACGTGGCTTGGCATGGTGGCTCATGCCTATAATCCCAGCACTTTGGGAGGCTGAGGTGGGAGGATCACCTGAAGTCAGGAGTTCGAGACCAGCCTGGCCAACATGACAAAACCCCATCTCTACTAAAACTACAAAAATTAGCCTGGCGTGGTGGCAGGTGCCTGTAATCCCAGGTACTCAGGAGGCTGAGGCAGGAGAATCACTTGAACCCAGGAGGCGGAGGTTGTAGTGAGCCAAGATTGTGTCATTTCACTCCAGCCTGGGTGACAGAGAGAGACTCTGTCTCAAAAAAACAAACAAACAAACAAAAAAAACACATGTACCCCATAAATATATACAACTATTATGTAATCCAAAAAAACTAAAAATTAAAAAAGAGTAAGTTAAAAGGGAAAATAATTCCCTCTTATTTCTTAAAAAGGAACACTATTAACTAAATATCTCTCAAATATAGGTAACCCAATTCAACTGAGATTTGTTGGCTAAACCTCACGTGGAACCTGCCTTAAAGTTAACCTCATAAAGCCCTTCATCAAGCATCCATACATACACTCACACACATTTACTTCCAAGAGGCACTGATGAATAAGGCTGATTTTTACTGACATTTTCATGGAGTGATGGAATAATATTGGTTTACATCCCACATGATATAGCAAAATCTTCTAAACATCCTCTTCAAAAATTGGTGCTGAATATCTTCCATTTCCCCTTCAGATCCTATCTCTCTCTACCCTTCTCCACCCTGTCTGTGCCTTAGGAGGTTGACCTGCATTGACCACATCATTGGGCTTCCTGTCTGTGGTCAATGGCAAATTGTAGCAGGAGCAAGAGCAGGGTTGAGATCCCCTGGTCTATATCCTGCAGGGTTGTCCTGGGTCGTCTTCATTCCACCACAGAGGTTTCATCCCTTGTAGGCAGCCTTCTCATCACAGGCCCTGCTGACTCTAGCTTTTGAACAAGTCCTGCTCTTCAGATCTAGGAATGACAATGATGTCTTTTTCTTATTAGTGCAGGGATTCTACAGTATCTCTTATAGTTTTCCTACATGCTGCCTTCACAGTCCTTTTATTATATTCTCTTCAAATTACCCTAATTTGGATATGCCATCTGTTCTTTGCCAGAAAGTATTGACTGATACAATATCACTATTTCCCCTAAAGCTTGACTGTCTAAAGGATTTGTCACATTTCTATGTATCTCTCAGCCCCTCTCAATCCATCCCCATAGAGCTTTTCTCAGAGCGTGCTCCATACACTGACCTTAATCTGCAAAACCAAAAGTCCATCCAGAAGGTTCAACAAAATAAAATCTGACTATTAGCTTAAGGTACAACCATAGCCTCTTCCTCCAATCTTGTTCTGGGAAGACTCAATGTATTTGACTGTAGTTTCTTCTGGTTAAGGAGACTGTAATATTTTCTTGTGGCACCTAGGGTCTCCCCTACTCATAGTCTGCTCACCCTCCAAATCTCCCACTCTCTTACAGGGTGGAGTGTGTGACTATTTCTGAATGTCTGTTTATTCTACTGTCTAGCCTTGCCTGATTAGGTTCAGCAAAACCTTCAGAAGTGTAAACTGGGGAAGGTATACCTGCCATGCAGGTAGGGTGGGCAGCACCTGGATTCAAGAGGGAGGAGGGGATCAGGATTTGGAGCCAGGCTCCTTGTCATGCTTTTTTTCATCTGACACTTTAGTGCCTCCCCAGTGTTCCCAGCTAACACCTGTGTGCAGCATTGAAGGGAATACCTTTCCTCCAGATTTCTAACTCCTGTAAATGTAGAAAGATGGTAATGTAAAGAGACCAGTGCACATTGTCATAAAATGCATTGCATCCTCACCCTAACTTCTTGTGATAACCAAGAAAAATGATAGGATATTTCAAACTCCCGAAGTCCAAAGCAGGCTTAATATGATTGTGAAGTTGTTCTATCTATACTGGCTCTTCTAGATGTATGTTTTTGATGATCGCCAAGGGCTCAATAACTTCAGGTCAGGGATATGATCTCTGGCAAAGGCCTTGGACTGGCGGTGAAGAGCAAGCCAATTCCAAGTCTCCTCCAGCATCCTACTCCACAAGAGGTTCAGATGCAAGACACGCTGAGCCATATATCCAGGGCCTTTCCTGAGTCAGCCAGGTGGCTACTGATAACTGAGAATTCTGTTGGCCGGTGACATCTGCTAAGGTTTGGAAGGATTGTTTAGCCACACATCACCCCTATACTAACCTGCTTTAGCTTATTTCAATTTTTGAAACTGTGCTGCCCAGCACCTTCTTGCAAGTCTTACTGCTAATGTTTCTCCAATCTAAACATATGTGCAGAGCAAATCACTGTTTCCTGTTGACAAGCTTCTCAAACAAACTGGATAACTGGAACAAGCATCTCTTTCAGCTCCTGCTGCATTATCTCTAAACATTGTGCTATAAACACAGTCCCTTTTGCAAGTCCTTAAAACAGAACCTGTAAACTCCCCTTCATTTCTCTGCTTCCAAGACTTACCATCTACATGTCTCTGAATGTTTTAACCATGACTCAGAGCCATCTGCCCTGCCTACCACTACACCTCTTGAAAACCATAGGAGTTTAGTTTCTGATACCAGGTTCCAGATTCATGGTTCTATTCATGGGTCCAAAGCTACCTTGATGGTTTACCCAAAGCTGAGCATTTTAGCAGAGGATTCCGGGTCTCAGTTGCCTTTGAATATTAGTTGACTCATTAATGATTATTAGGGAAATCCCATGTCTTACCCACAGGAGCACTGTTAATGTGTAAGTCTTCAGGACTAAATTCAGAGACTCAGATTCCATTCATGCCACTTAATAGCCAAGTGGTCGGTCTCTTTCCGACCAATCTCTTAGCTTATCTGAGCCTCAGTTTACTCATCCAAAAATGAAAGAGCAGCCAGGCGCAGTGATGGCTCAGGACTGTAATCCCAGCACTTTGGAAGGCCGAGGCAGGCAGATAGCTTGAGCTCAGTAATTTGAGGCAGCCTGGGCCATGGCGAAACCTTGTCTCTACCAAAAATACAATACAAAGTAATCAGGCATGGTGGCCTGCCTGTAATCGCAGCTACTCAGGAGGCTGAGGTGAGAGGAACGCTTGAGCCCGGGAAGCGGAGGTTGCAGTGAGCTGTGATCTCACCACTGCACTGCACTCCAGCCTGGTTGACAGAGTGAGACCCTGTCTCAAAAAAAAAAAAAAAAAATTAGAGAGCTGAACTAAATCAGGGAAGATAAACAATCTTCATGACATGTGGCATTTCTATTTGAGTAGTAATGGTTAGCCATAATAATATATTGAGAAAGATTTGAGAGTCAAGTTCAGGCTTGGTGGAGAAGACTATTGGAGGGGAAGGGTCAACAGCCATACTATGTATTTGCCTCCCCTGGACTAGATGATTTCTAAATCCCCCATCAAAGCAAAAATATGAGGGTACCAAATATTTCTTCAACACCTGACCCAGAGCCACGAGCCCACTGGTCCATCTGCAGATGGGCCTATTAGCTAATAAGCCATTTTGCATTTATTGGTCTGGAGAATACAGAAATACCAGCCAAGAGATCAGGCAGCACTATCCTAGTCACTGCGTAATTCCTTCCACAGATGTTTTTACCCTTGTCAGTATCTATGAAGAGCAATCATATCTATCTTCTTGTGGTTACAGTAAACATAACCACATGACAACTATATTATTTGGCATGTTAGAAATGGATACAAACTATACTTTTATACTTGAAATATAGGGATTGATGTCTGCAAAGAGATTGTGTGCTTTCATTTAAAATCATGATTTTAAATACACTTGTTTTTTAATATTAATGGTAAAATACTAAGCCCAAAATAACTACTTCTTAATTTTTGTAATTTTTTTTCTGCTAGCAAAACATATGTACAATATGTGAAATATTTTACCCTGGGCTGTAAAAGGGAAGGGTGTAACTAACATTTCCTTTTCAGTCTGAAAATTTACAGGAATGCACTAGGACATCTGTATGGAATTAGCAGAGCTGATTCTATAGATTCATGTGACTCACCAGTTCTAGTTTCTGTGCTTCTGAGACCAGCTTTTTTTCTTCTTTCTTTAATAAAAATAAGACTTGTCTACATTATGGGTAACATAATTAAACCAGGATAACACAAATTTGTTTAAATATAAACTCCAAACCATCAAGTTGCTTCATATGTTTGCATTCACTTATAAAATACGATCTCCTGAGATATCTTTCATTGGGCTAAACACCAAAACAAGCAAACAGATTCTGAAAAATAAAAAGACAGCATTCTGGGATTTCAAAGTTGACAAATTAAGCGTTCCTATGTAATAAAATGATTTCATCTTGGAATTATCTTTTGCTATTTAGTTTATGAACTCTACGTTATCCAAGCTTACATTTCATAAAAGTGTAAATATGTTTAACATAGATCACTTTTGCTTCATTACTCATGCTATTAGATTTTAAACCTTGAACCATAAGTCCTTGTGTGACTCCACTGGGAAATCCCTCATAGTGTTAACATTTTTTTACACTCAAGCGCTTGTTTACTCCATTTTCTCACTTTTTAACAAATTAAAGTTCCAATGTATTACAGCAGTTTTACATTTGTCTAGATAAGCCACAGAAAAGACTAACATAATTTAGGAAAGAGGCACAGAAGATAGTGCATGGTATCAGAATTCATGAGAAAGGGAGTACTGGATTGTTTTTTAATTTTCATCCAAAGTAACAGATGATCTCGCTTCCATCATTAAAAAACACGATTATATAAATACACATATAAGAAGTAATCTATAAGCAAGTGCAAACTAATTACGGTCTTAGGAAAGGGATTTTTGTTTTTTTACCCTTCCTCCAAGTCTTTTATTTATTTTTTGAGCTTTTTAAAAAAAACAACAAAAAACACAACCAAAAGAACTGACGAGAGGAAGACAAAGCCCCAGGATCAGCCAGAGACCAAGCAGCATGGGATGAGGCCCAGGTTGGGCCTAGCAGGATCTGTGGAGCAAGGTGGTGGAAAGTCCTGAGGCTTATGGTCATGTGGGGTCTGCAGAAGGAGAGGAGGTCACTTAAAAAGAAATACATATACATTACACATCTATACAAAGTGTCCCATGTTGAGGGAGTGAGGCGAGGTCATGGGAGCTGGCCCACTTTCTCCTCGGACCAGCCTCCCAACAGGCTCACTAGCTTGGCCAGCACAGGGACCCCTGTAGCTAGCGGTCTTCTTCTGTGGAGTGAGGGGAACATAACAATTTAGTTCCAGTTCCAACCCATGGTGGGCAGAGGTTGGTGGAAAGGGTTTTGTTTTTGTTTTTGGTTTTGGTTTTTTGTCTAAGTGTTTATGCTAGTGAGAAAATAGTAAAGAAATTAGCCGACATAGATAATATAGAGTATATATATTTTTAGATGCATTTTTCTAGAGAAAGAAGAAAAGTTATACTCTAGGTAATGCAACACATACAGAAGTTTGGAGATGGGACAGTAATAGCGTGACTGCAGAGATTCACGTTAGTGATTAATGATGATGATAATGGCTATAATTGAACAGTAATATTCAGGACTACAGAAAAATCTGATTCGTTTGACAGAGCAGAATATCTAAGACAAAGGAATTCCCAAATATGACGTATGGTAGTCTTTTAATGCAATCCAAAAAAGTTAGGGTTTTATTTTAGAAGCTATAAAGCTCATCTCTGAGCTGAGAGTGAGGAATATAACTTCTTTAATCTGGTTCTCTATAAAAATGTATCTATATAAACATGGGACTTACTATGAAATGAGGGTTGCTGAGGAGGCTAGGTAGAGTATCCAGTTTGGAGAAAAGTGAATTTGAAATAAGGCTAAAAAAATGGAGAGTTAAGATACTGAAAATTCTGTAAAGCAATGTTTAGGCAGGAGAGAGAAAAAGTAGAGAAGCACTATGGTTATCACTCTAGGGAAATCAATGGTGATCTGTTTTTGTATCAGTTCTAATGTCATCATAAAAAATCATTGCATGAAAGAAGGTCGCAATGTTTCAAGATCATTTTTTCAATGAAAAAAATAAACAAATCTAGTGAACACTAAAGGTTGCAGCCACCTCTATGTTGTTCTTTTGAAACACTAAAAGAATTAAATTTTTAAAATTATTCAATAAAACTTAAAAGATATCAACTTAACCATAAAAAAATCACTAAAAAGGTATAGGTGCAAGTATAACAAAAATTTACAGAAAAGAATTTTACCTGCTTTATATATTCGGGAAGGACAGACATTCAAGAAACAAGTTCCTTTATAATGAACGTCCTTTAAAAGAATTGCTTACATTTCTCTTCATAGTGAAAAAGGAGCCATTCTACATTTGAAAGGGAAAATCTTCTTATTTATAAAAGGCGTCTTCATCCAAGAATCTTAAATGTACTATGGCAATTGGCTTCAAAATATCTACCCCATAAATTGCTTAATATAGTTTAAAGATGGGAAATTTGAAACCATATGACTTTACTTTCCTGAGATTTTCACTATTTCAGAGGGATGAAGGAAAGGGAGACAGAAATAAAAAGAAAAGGAGAGCTGTGAAAAAGAAATTCAAACAAATCCATAATAAAAAAATTTGAGGAAAAATTAAAGATATAAGTCTCTTTACCACTCACATGTATTTTAGTTTTTCCTAAGGAAATACAATTTATTGAATCAACTGAGAAATTCCTTTGGTAGATGGGGAAAAAAAGCAAAAGTTGCTTATTATTTATTTGTTCTTTTTCAATATATAATGAGGGTTTTATTATATTTACATGGTTCAGAAAAAATTAAATTGATTTCCTGCATATTGTCCTAGTTTAATAACCAAAAACTGGTTTGGAAAAGGCATGCAAAGATAAAAGAATATAGAAGTGTAGTATTTTAAAGTTTTTTCATATGACAAAAGGTTTGGCTTCTTTAAGTAAATTAGATGACTTAGAAAGTGGAAAATATGCATTTTCTTGATGAATGTTTTAGTAATACCACAGTTAAAGTTATAGTACATGCCAATGTTGAAGAAGACTAATATATCCTTAAAAATCTTACCCTTGCTTCTAACAGTTATAGAAAGAGGCTAAAATAGAAATTTCATGCGTTTCCTTTAAAAGTAAAATTCAGCAGTTCAATATTTAGAGAGTGATAACAATGACTATATTCATATTTAATGTAATTATTTAAATTCTGGATGGAAGGATTTTTCCACATTAGGAAGTCTTTTCAGACAGTACTTATCAAATATACAAAATTTAAAATATTATGTTTTTTCATTCAATGATCACTGTTTATTTTTAAAGTACTCATTTTAAAAAGTGGAAATGCATCCTTAACTATAGTTACAAAATCAGTCAATTTACATTTTTTATTTGGTACTGAAATAACATAAGTAAACTTATTAAATTTTTAATTTTCCATTGGCATAATAAAATAAATAGCAAAACTATCATACCTGCTATATATTGCTCTAGTATTTAGTGGCATTTTAATAACATATGAATGAAAACTTAAAAATTATCTTTTAGAAATAAAACACAAGGACGGGCACAGTGGCTCATGTCTGTAATCCCAGCACTTTGGGAGGCCAAGGTGGGCGGATCACCTGAGGTCAAGAGTTCAAGACCAGCCTGGCCAACATGATGAAATCCTGTCTCTACTAAAAATACAAAAAATTAGCCGGGCATGATGGCAGGCACCTGTAATCTCAGCTACTTGGGAGGCTGAGATAGAAGAATCGTTTGAACCTGGGAGGCAGAGGTTGCAGTGAGACCACGAGCTGAGACCATGCCATTGCACTCCAGCCTGGGCAACAAGAGAGAAAATTTGTCTCAAAAAAAAAAAAAAAAAAAAAGAAACGAAAAACAATGAATTATTGGCAATATCTAAAAATTAAATGTAAAATGTATTTTTCAATGGCAAGATCTTTGATAAATAAACAAGATTTATGAAATTATTTATAATTAAATAAGAATTTTTTTATTTAAAAAACGTAGATTGAAAATATTCAGACATATCACAAAGGAAATATTCTTAGAAAATTGTTTTCACCATAACAATACTAAAACTATTTGATGAAAACTCTTGCTCAAAAACATATTTGAAAGATACCATAAAACTTTCATGAACAATAACATAATAACTTCAGTGAAGACATACTTGTCATTCTGGAATGAGAAGAATAAATTTTATAAAGACGAGAATTCATCCAAGATTATTTGCTGGAAAAATGCAATTTCTATAGAAGTCAATGCAATTCTCAAGTTCATCCAGAATGATAAAAAGAATTAGTGCAGTGGACATTTACTCTTTGGGTTCACCCAGCATTCACTTCTTCCCTGTTGTTTTACTGTTTTGCTCCTTCCACAAATAACTTATGTACTCCAAGGGAAGCTCACTTCACCCAGGCCAGCAGTAGTCCACAACTGGCTTAAACCAATCAGCTACCTCCACTTGCTTTCCAGAGTGACTGTTTCAGGAAAAGTTCTGTGATTTAGTTCAGAAGAATGCACATTTTGCTAGGTGCTTCAGAGGAAAGAAAAAAAAGAAAAAGCCCTTACTCTTCTTTAGATGTTAGCTGGGACATTCTCTCTTGACTCTCTGTTCAGCAGAGCTCATCTGCTAGAACAGTGCCTGACACCAAGTAGACTTTCACAAAGGTGTTGTCTCAACTGATTAGAACACTGTTGCTCTTCCAGTGAAGCCATCCAAAAGGAAATATGGCACACATCAAGAGAAATCATAGAGAAATGAAAAGCCTGTGCAAACAATGCCTTCCAACCCCTCTATAGTGGACGTTTGTCGTTTCTGCCTGCCCAGCATATTTTGAACTCCTTCTTTAGATTTTAATAGTCCCCTATGTTACGAATCTTGCCTTGCCAATATAGAAACAAAACTACCTTTCCTACGTTTCTTTGCCCCAAGCATAAAGAAACATGACTTCATTTCTGCAACATACACAGCCATAAGATGACTGAGTTGGAATAGAACTACATAAGGAAACAGGAAAGGGTGGGGTATCTCTTCAGAGGGTAGCAATAGAGTTAAGTAGAGTAGTTAAACGGAGGTAGCCTGATCTGAAGGTGGCAGTGGTGAAGAAAATCAGTAGCTTTAGAGAATGAATCCGGGAGATTTTTCCTGAGCCTCAGCCTTTGTTCCCCCAGTCCTTCCAGTGATTTTGTATGCTTTCTCCTATCCTTCCATAAACATCTTATTGAGGAAACAAGCACAGTGAATTCTGTTGCCTACTGCTTAGAACCATTACCAATACACAGCCCTACTTCTGTGTTCTCGTATTTTTTAACCCACTATTGGCTGCAAGTTCTATTACTTACAGTCTAATTGATTCCAAGGTAGCAAAGACAACTTGGAAAAAAAAGATTAAGAAAAACTAGAACTCGTGCCAGCAGGTATTAAACATATTATAACTATCTGAAATATCACCTAGAGAGGGAATATCAGCAGAGGAAATCAGTTGCCAGGTCCATTCAAGAGCAAGCAAGAGACCGAAACTGGTAAACAAGGAGGTGGGAAGAAAGTAAGAATGGAGTGTAATAAGAGCACAGTCAGAAGCATTTTACAAGGAGGGAGTAATTAATTATTTCAAAGGTTGGGATTGAGTTGAATGAAATGATTAAATGGCTATGAGTAAAATGAATGCCAAATCACATCCACTGGATTTGGCAACTTAGCATTCATTTTTTGACCCAGAAAGTGAGTACTTTTTGCCTACTGGTCAGGAGAAACTTTAGTTGGCATAGGCTTAAGAAGAAATAGGTGGACTTTGACTTGGTTGCAGCTTCAGCAGAGCTATGGACCCACAGGTTCCTGTGGGTTCACCGCCAGTATTTCTCCCTGAGGAACAAGTCAGTCAGGAAGTGACACTGTAGCCATGGCTTTTGAAGACAGAAGAGACACTTGTGGAACTAAGGGTGGCAACTCACCAAACTAGAATTATCTAACCAGTGGCAAGGTAAAATCCCTGGAGATGGTTTGTGTTGACTTGATTAGAGGTACATAGGAAAAACTTAAAGTGAAGGGACAGATCAAAGAATCAAAGAATCACTACAAGAAAAATTTCTTACGGCGAATGTTCTAACCATTGGAATGGTTTCCAGATGAGAATCCCCAAGCACTCATTAACTTTAACAGTTCCCTGGAAACTAAGCAGATTACTTCATCAGTATTGAGCCAGGAGTAGAGGTTGAGGTCGTCATTGCAGGTACTTAAGTCAACTAGCTTAATAAATTGGTATCAGTAGCTAAATACATAAATAGAGGATGAGACAGTAACAGCAGCAAAAGGTCCCAAAGAATTATCACAAAAACTGGAATGAGACACAAAGGCTAAAGAGAATTGTTTATTTAAGATAATAGATAACTTAAGAATGCTGGTGTACTGATAAAGAAAAGAGGGAAGGGTTTGAAGAGTGATTTCATTTGTTAAGCTGGAGGTGATGTGATCCAAAGGATAAAGTGGAGGATTTGGCCTCTGGGTTGAAAGTCGACATTTCTTCCCACTAGCAAGAGGTGAAGCAAAGAAGTTCAAGTGGAGACAGATTACTAGATTGGGTAGTGATTTTGAAAATGAAGGTGCTCTTCTCTTATTTCTTTTATCATTTCAATGAAGTATAAGTGAGATCATCAGCTGATAGAGGCAGAAATGTGAAGAGAACGGAGAAAACATTAAATATTTGTGTTGACAGTGAACTTACACAGCTATATAACATTTTCATCATTGCAGGAAGTCCTGTTGGGCTGCACTATTCCAGAGCAATGTGTGGCCACGAGGTGAGCAGCTTAGGTAGGATGGATGTAATTATGATTGGAAACAAGGAAGGCCAGGAAGCTGGAGGCCAGAGTGTCAAATATACTATTAACATGGATGTTGTTCCAGGAGAATTATGGCAGCAGTAGAACTGGAGAGGAAGAGATTGATTTAGGTGTTCTCAAGACTTCAATAAATGACAGGGAGTGACGAGGAATTAGAAAATCACACTAAGAAGGAACATTGAAAGATACAGTCAAATGGTGTATGAGCATCAAAGGAGCCGTGGGCTTTGAAGACTGTGGAGATGTTTTGATAGTATCAAGGAGGCACAAGGAGGGCATTTACACACATAATGCCCCGAAGGTTCATGAGGTATGGAAAAAATGAACAAGCGGCCTCTACTGAAGAGGACTGCAAAGGAACTTGTGTCAGAGAAAGTCCCCAGTGATTATTTAAAATCTAAAGAAAAAAAAGCCTCACAGTGTATAATTGTTATAAAAGTAGACAGAGTATGCCGTGGTGTGGTGGCTCATGCCCGTAATCCCAGCACTTTGGGAGACCAAGGCAGGTGGATCACCTGAGGTCAGGAGTTCAAGACCAGGCTGGCCAACATGGCAAAACCCTGTCTCTGCTAAAAATACAAAAAATTAGCTGGGCACAGTGGCACGCGCCTGTAACCCCAGCTACTCGAGAGGCTGAGGCAGGAGAATTGCTTGAACCCGGGAGGCAGAGATTGTGGTGAGCCGAGATCACGCCACTGCACTCCAGCCTGGATGACAGAGTGAGACTCCATCTCAAAAAAAAAAAAAAAAGTAGAGTAGTGTACTCCATAATATATAATAATATATATATAATATATATAATTCTAAAACAACACAAATCATTAAGAAAGGGTAGTGTATCTAATAACTAGTGCTGGGCACTCAAGTTACTAAATATCAGAATGATTATTAAATACAGGATGTCAAAAAATAGAAGAAAAATCAAATAACAAATTTCTAGTTAGGAAAACACTTTCTATGTTATGAGAAAATCTGGCAGAAAAATTAGCAAAAAATTGACAGATTTAAAAAAATTCTAAGTAAGAAAGAAAACAATTTAAAAATAAAAGATGAATCAAACAAGGAAAAATTTTTCAAACAACAGAAAAAAACACCCAGAAAGGAATAAACTCACAACAGTGAAAAGAACAGGAAGAAATGGTTGACCCATTGAAGCGAAGATTCAACAAATTCAAACAGGGAACCTCCAGAAGGAACAATATTTGATTACTAGGAGTTTCAGAGATGTGGAAACGAAAAGATAAAGGAAAATGTAATAATCAAAGAGCTGAAGAACACCACTATTCTCGAGATGGAAGGAGTCCATGAAATGCTTGGTATGATGAATGAAAAAAGACTCTTCCTTAGAAAATTTCAGAACCCCAAGGAATAAATAAAGATCATCTCATTTTTAAGAAAGAAAGGAAAAACAAAGAGCCAGCTCACTGGCAAAGGCATGAGAATCAGACTGGCATTAACCTCATCAGTGCACTGATAGCAAACAAAAAAGCAATTAAAAGGTTGAGGCTAGGGGGGCAGCAAACAAACTAGACATCTTGCCCAGAAAAGTTACCAAACAATTGCATATCAGAATAAATGCATTTTCAGAATTTCAGAGCATAGCAGAAAGTTGTTGGCTCATTTAGATTTGTTAGTGTTTTGCTTTGGCTGTTCATCATCCAGCCTTCTTCCATTTTTAGGGAATATTCCTTGTGTATGCAGTATTGGTTGGACTTGGTTCAACACCTTCAAATATGGAAGACAAATTGATAAATCCTCCTCTAGAGGCAATATGGGCTGGGATCTAAATTTTGCCACTGAATGCTGTTATCCAGGATTTTGAATCCAAAGTCAATGTTATAAGAATGAAGGGGCAGAAATAACTTACTAATGGTAGCTAGAATAATATCTAGTGGTGACAAAAGGCCTATTCCTGCTAAAAGACAGTGGTCATATTTCCTGCTTGAGTCTCCCTGCTTCTTGAACTTTGTTCTATAATTTTTATCACATTTGTGAGCTATCCAAGTTCCTTTCAATAGATTCCTTTCCTGTTTAGGATAGATACTCAGTTTCTTCTGTTTGCATCTAAGTATCTTAGCTTATTCTATAATTAAATCAGATTCCAGGAAACAAACTTCCAGGAATCAGTAAGAAAATTTGGCCTAGCTGGAGATGAAGGCAAACAGCTAATCATATTGTTCACCTGTGATCCACTGCCCTCAGAGGGCAAGGCTTTAAACAGTATGAAGGGGGTGGGAAATTCAAGAACTACCAGCTACTTCTGAAAGTCTCAGGTATGTTAAAAGAAAGGAATACCTTAATCAGGTTCCTAAGTTCTCAGTGAAAGGTAAAAATGCAACTTAAGGAATGCCTATCACTTTGCTAAAATAATCTCTCATCTCTTAAAGCCACAGAGCTATAAAAGCCAATGAACAGATTTGAGATTTAACCATGAAAATAGCTGATATACAATGTCAATTAAATTCATCACCTAGTCATGTCTTAATAAAGGTTCGTGTATCACAGAAATGGAATTCCGTCTTCAGTTTGGAGAGAATATATGTGATTCTAATTGCTTGCTATGCTTATAAACAAACCACAATGGTGGTCCTTGCTAAATAAAGTTCAGATGCCAGAAATCCCTTGGTACATAGCGTAAAGAATGGAAAAAGATATATGACATAAAAATTAATTTTAAGAAATCTAGAGTGGTTTTATTAATTAGACCAAGTAGATTTCAAGGCAAGAATTACTACCAGACATAAAAGTGGATACTTAATTTGATTATAGTAAAAGAGAAAAGTTTTAAAAGCCATAAGATTGGAAAGGAAGAAATGAAATTGTCTTTTACTACAGATGATATGATTATATAGGTAAAAAATCATGTATTTACCAAAAACTGCCAGAACTATTAAATAAGAGGGTGAAGGATCAATATTAAAAAATCACTTTTATTTTTATATCTTAAGGATCTCAGAGTTAGGGTTGTCTCAGAGAAACAGAACCAGTAGGATATACATAAAGAAATTTATTGCAAGAAATTGGCTTACATGATTGTTGAGGTTGGCTAGGTAAGTTGGAAATTCACAGGACAGGATCAGCATGGCAGGCTGAAACGCTGTGGCAGGAACTGAAGTTTTGGTCCACAGGAGGAATTTCTTCTTCCTCAAGGAAATCTCAGTTCTACTCTTAAAGCCTTTCAACAGATTAGATCAGGTCCACCCAGATTAGCAAGGATAATCTCTTTTCACTGAAGGTAAACTGATTATAGATGTTAATCAAGTCTACAAAATACCTTTATAGTAACACATAGATTAGTGATTGACTAAGAGCCAAACTGACACCCAAAATTGCCCATCACATTAAACAACAAATAATTGGAAAATAAAATGAACAATACAATTTTCAATAGCATCAAAAATCATAAAATACCTAGGTTAAATTTAACAAAATATATTCAAGACCTCTACACTGAAAATGACATTACTAGGAAAAGTTAATGAAGATATAAAGAAAGAAATCTCCCCATGTCCATGTGTTGTCAGACTCAAAGACTCAATACTGATAAAATGTCTACTCTTCTAAACTTGATCAACAAATTCAGTGCAAGCCCAATCAAAATCCCAGCAGATCTTTCTCTAGAATTTGATAAACTGGTTCTAAAATTTACATGAAATGTAACAGACCTAAAGTAGCCAAAAGTTTTGAAAGAGAACAAAGCAAACTCTAATGCTTTCAAACTTACTATAAGGCTTCAGTAATCAAGACACTGTGGTACTGATCTTTGACAAAGCTGTCAAAGCCGTTCAATAGGAAAAGGAAAGTCCCTTCAACAAACAGTGCTGAAACTGGTATATATGGTCAGATATATCTATATATGTCTACAGCGATCTAGATATGTATAGCCATTTATAGATATACATAGATATATGTATACATATACTTGTATACACACACACATATACATATAAGAATATGAACCTAGACCCATTCCTTACATTCTACACAAAATTAACTTGAAATATGTCATAGACCAAATTATAAAAGCAAAAATCTTCAGGAAGAAAACATGGGTTAAGTAAAAATTTCTTAACTAGGAATCATTATCCATAAAATAGAAAAGGTAGACTTACAATTCATGAAAATGTAAGTCTCTGCTCATCCAAAGACACCATTAAGAAAACATATGGAAACTGCAGGCTGGAAGAAAATATTTGTAATGTCTATATCTGATAAAGACTTGTATCCAGGATATATAAACAATTTCTACAACTCAATAATAGAAAGAAAAACAACCCAATAAAAAAATCAGCCAAAAAACCTTGAACAGCCTTTTTATGTAAAAAGGCACAGAAATAGTTAATAAGCACAAGAGAAAGTGATTAATATCAGTCATTAGGGAAATACAAATTAGAATCACAATGGCATATATCACATAGTCATTAAAATGGCAAAGGTGAAAAAGCCTGACAACACCAGATACTGCTGAGGATGTGAAACAATCAAAAGTCTCATACATTGCTGCAGGTACTGTAGAATGGTATAGCCAGTGTCGAAATTGTTCTAATAGTTTCTCATAAAGTTAAAAGCACATCTATTTTGCTGGGTGTGGTGGCTCACACCTGTAATCTCAGCACTTTGGGGGCCGAGGTGGGCAGATCACCTGAGGTCAGGAGTTTGAGGCCAGCCTGGCCAACATGGTGAAACCCCGTCTCTACTAAAAATATAAAAATTAGCCAGCCATGGTGGTGTGCGCCTGTAATTCCAGCTACTCCTGAGGCTGAGGCACGAGAATTGCTTGAATCCAGGAGGTGGAAGTTGCAGTGAGCTGAGCTTGAGCCACTGCACTCCAGCTTGAGCAACAGAGTGAGACTGTGTCCCACTACCCTCCTCTTCCCCGCAAAAAATATATCTACTCTATGACTAAAAATTCCACTTTCAGGTATTTACCAAGAAAAATGAAAACATAAGAACATAGAAAATGTAAAGAATGTTCATAGTAGTTTCATTTTATTCATAATGGCTCAAAAATTAAAACAACCTAAACAAATGAGGAGAATGGATAAAAACGATTGTAATATAAACAGACAATGGAATACTCTTCAGCAACAAAAAAGAACAAACCACTGATACATTCTACAAAATGAACGAACTGCCAGACTTTTATGCTTAGTGAAAGGAGCTAGATATAAGAGTACATATTGTATGATTCAATTGATATGAATTTCCACAATAGACAAACTAATCTCAGGTGAAAGAAAACCATACAGTGATTGCCTATGGGATGGGGATGAGGTGCAATGGAATTAACTGAGTTATTACATAAGGGATCTTTCTGTGGTGATAAAAATGTTCTATATTTTAATAGACAGGGTTATAGGAATATTTGCAATTGTCACAACTCATCAAACTTTACATTTAAGATGTGTGGATTTCACAGTATGTAAATGTCTCCTCCATTTACAAAGAAAAAGAAAAAAAAAGCTTCCAGGGAGTAAGGTTTAGGTTAAGCCACACTGGAGCTGAGCTCAGTTGCTTCTTATCACAATATTTTTGCAAGATTTAATTTGTAACCATTTGCTTGTATTACTTTGATTAAAATTTAAAGTACTTGTACAGACTTCCAAGTTAAAATGGTAGAATAAAAACATCTGAGACTTTCCTTTTCTCCAACCGTAATGATAGAATAACAAATAGGACCAAACCAGTCAAAATACCTAGGATTCAACCAAAAGAAAAGGAAGAGATTCATGTGATACAATTCAAAATGTGCAACCTGAGAGAGAGGTTTCCTTGAATACCCTTGTCTTGATCCCTTGCAGTAAACATAATCCATAGTCCAAACTCCCCAACACACACACAGACACACACACACGTACACACACACATACACACACACACAATGCAATAGACGTGAGAGAAAAGTTTTTAAAAAGTTATTCTAAGACTTCCAAACAAAGAAAGGTGAACCAACACACAAAAGTTGCATCTGCACTAGAAAAAATGTGGAATATGGGAAAGTTTAATTTAAATGTCCCTACGCCGGCAGGAAACTAAAAGAAAGGCATTAGTCACCACTAGCTATAAGAATCTGAGAAATGTTGCCCTGAAGCTGGGTACATTACTGTACTGAATAAAACTGAGTGTTAAGGAAATAAGTAAATAGGGAGGAATGGACACTGAGTAGGCTACTAGTAATGTATGCCATAGATGGCAAATTCTATCTAGAGAAAAGATAGCGAAAGAAACAGAAGAAATGTCCATAGGAAGTTTTCATATTGTGGAAGAACATAATGAAAACATGAACCTAATAAAAGCAGAGAACCTTAAAAAAGAGACGATAAAACTGCAGCGTGAAATGAAAAGGAAAATCGTAGATCTAAGAAATAAGTTGAAGGGCGGGGCACAGTGCTCAGGACTGTATTCCTAGCACTTTGGGAGGCGGAGACAGGCTGATCCCTTGAGCCCAGGAGTTAGCGACCAACCTTTTCTCCACAACCTCGGCAGCATTTGTTATTTTTTGACTTTTTAATAGTAGCCATACTGACTGGTGTGAGATAGTATCTCATTGTGGTTTTGATTTCCATTTCTCCAATGATTGATTTTGAGCTCTTTTTCATATGATTGTTGGCCACATGTATGTCTTCTTTTGAAAACTGTCTGTTCGTGTCCTTTGCTCACTTTTTCATGGGGTTATCTTTTTCTTGTAAATTTGTTTAAGTTCCTTATAGATGCTGGATATGAGACCTTTGTCAGATGCATAGCTTGCAAGAACTTTCTCCCATTCTGTAGGTTGCCTGTTTACTCTGTTGTTAGTTTCTTTTGCTGTGCAGAAGCTCGTAAGTTAAATTAGATCCCATTTGTCAATTTTTGCTTTTGTTGCAATTGCTTTTGGTGTCCTCATCATGAAATCTTTCCTCCTGCCTATGTCCTGAATAGTATTGCCTAGGTTGCCTTCAAGGGTTTTTATAGTTTTGGATTTCACATTTAAGTCTTTGATCTATTTTGAATTAGTTTCTGTATATGATGTAAGGAAGGGGTCCAGTGTCAGTCCTCTATATATGGTTAGCCAGTTATCTCAGCATCATTTATTGCATAGGGAATACTTTCCTTATTGCTTGTTTTTTCAGGTTTGTTGAAGATCAGATAGTCGTAGGTGTGCTGCCTTATTTCTGGGTTATTTATTCTGTTCCATTAGTTTATGTGTCCGTTCTTGTACCAGTATCATGCTGTTTTGGTTACTGTAGTCCTGTAGCATAGTTTGAATTTGGGAAGCATGATGCCTCCAGCTTTGTTCTTTTTGCTTAGGAGTGCCTTGACTATTTAGGCTTCTTTTTTTTGGTTCCACATAATTTTAAAATAGTTTTTCTAGTTCTTTGAAGAATGTCAGTGATAGTTTAATGGGAATACCATTGAATCTATAAATCTACAAATTACTTTGGGCAGTAGGGCCATTTTAGCAATATTGATTCTTCCTATCCAAGAATATGGGATGTTTTTCCATTTGTATCATCCCTGATTTCTTTGAACAGTGATTTCTGGTTCTCCTTGTAAAGACCTTTCACCTCCCTAGTTAGCTGTATTCCTAGGTATTTTATTCCTTTTGTGGCAATCGTGAATGGGAGTTTGTTCATGATTTGGATCTTGGCTTGATTGTTGGTGTACAGGAATGGTAGCACTTTTTACACATCAATTTTGTATCCTGAGACTTTGCTGAAGCTGCTTATCAGCTTAAGAAGCTTTTGGGCTAAGATGATGGGGTGTTCTAGATATAGTTTCATGTCATCTGCAAACAGGGATAGCTAGACTTCCTCTCTTCCTATTTGAATGCCCTTTATTTCTTTCTCTTGCCTGACTGCCCTGGCCAGAACTTCCAATACTATGTTGAATAGGAGTGATGAGAGAGGGCATCCTTGTCTTGTGCCAGTTTTTCAAGGGGAATGCTTTCAGCTTTTGCCCATTCAGTATGATGTTGGCTGTGTTTGTCATAGATGGCTCTTATTATTTTGAGGTATGTTCCTTCAATACCTTATATACTAAAAGTTTTTAAGATGAAGAGATGTTGAATTTTATTGAAAGCCTTTTCTGCAGCTATAAAGATAACCATGTAGTTTCTGTCTTTAGTTCTGTTTATGTGATGAATCACATTTGTTGATTTGCATACGTTGAACCAGCCTTGCATCCCAGGGAAGAAGCTTACTTGATTGTGGTAGATAAGTTTTTTCATGTGCTGCTGAATTCAGTTTGCCAGTATTTTATTGAGGATTTGTGCATTGATGTTCATCAAGAATATTGGCCTGAAGTTTTTTTTGTTGTATTTCTGCCAGGTTTTAATATCAGGATGATGCTGGCCCCATAGAATGAGTTAGGGAGGAGTCCCTCCTTTTCAATTTTTGTTAATGCTTTCAGTAAGAATCAAAATAGCTCTTTGTACATCTGATAAAAATCAGCTGTGAATCTATCTGCTCCTGGGCTTTTTTGGTTGGTAGGCTATTTATTATGCCCCAATTTCAGAACTCATTATTGGTCTGTTCAGAGATTCGATTTCTTTCTGGTTCAGTCTTGAGAGGGTATATGTGTCCAGGAATTTATCCATATCTTCTAGATTTTCTAGTTTACTTGCATAGAGGTGTGAATAATATTCTCTGATGGCTGTTTGTATTTCTGTGTCATCAGTGGTAATAGCCCCCTTATCATTTCTGATTGTGTTTATTGTGTTTATGTAAATCTTCTCTCTTTTCCTCTTTATTAGTCTAGCTAGTGGTCTATTTTATTAGCTTTTTTGAAAAACTAGCTCCTGGATTCACTGATCTTTTGAATGGTTTTTCATGTCTCTATATCCTTCAGTTCAGCTCTGATTTAGGTTATTTCTTGTCTTCTGCTAGCTTTGGGATTTGTTTGCTATTGGTTCTCTAATTCTTTTAGTTTTGATGTTAGGTTGTTAACTTGAGATCTTTCTAACCTTTTGATGTGGGCATTTAGTGCTACGAATTTCCTTCTTAACACTGCCTTAGCTATTTCCCAAAGATTCTGGTACATTGTATCTTTGTTCTCAATATTCTCAAAGAACTTCTTGATTTCTGCCTTAATGTCATAACTTACCCAAAAGTCATTCAGAAGCAGGTTATTTGATTTCCATTTAATTCTATGGTTTTTTTTATATATATACGTTGAGTTCTAGGGTACATGTGCACAACGTAGAGGTTTGTTACATATGTATACATGTGCCATGTTGGTGTGCTGCACCCATTTACTTGTCATTTACATTAGGTATATCTCCTAATGCTATCCCTCCCCCTTCCCCCCACCCCACAACAGGCCCCGGTGTGTGATGTCCCCCTTCCTGGGTCCAGCTGTTCTCATTGTTCTATTCCCACCTATGAGTGAGAACATGCAGTGTTTGGTTTTTTGTCCTTGCAATAGTTTTCTGAGAATGATGGTTTCCAGCTTCATCCATGTCCATAAAAAGGACATGAACTCATCCTTTTTTATGGCTGCATAGTATTCCATGGTGTATATGTGCCACATTTTCTTAATCCAGTCTATCATTGATGGACATTTGGGTTGGTTCCAAGTCTTTGCTATCGTGAATAGTGCCACAATAAACATATGTGTGCATGTGTCTTTATAGCAGCATGATTTAAAATCCTTTGGGTATATACCCAGTAATGGGATGGCTGGGTCAAATGGTATTTCTAGTTCTAGATCCTTGAGGAATCGCCACACTGTCTTCCACAATGGTTGAACTATTTTACAGTCCCACCAACAGTGTAAAAGTGTTCCTATTTCTCCACATCCTCTCCAGCACCTGTTGTTTCCTGACTTTTTAATGATTGCCATTCTAACTGGTGTGAGATGGTGTCTCATTGTGGTTTTGATGTGCATTTCTCTGATGGCCAGTGATGATGAGCATTTTTTCATGTGTCTGTTGGCTGCATAAATGTCTTCTTTTGAGAAGTGTCTGTTCATATCCTTCGCCCACTTTTTGATGGGGTTGTTTTTTTCTTGTAAATTTGTTAGAGTTCTTTGTAGATTCTGGATATTAGCCCTTTGTCAGATGAGTAGACTGCAAAAATTTTCTCCCATTCTGTAGGCTGCCTGTTCACTCTGATGGTAGTTTCTTTTGCTGTGCAGAAGCTCTTTAGTTTAATTAGATCCCATTTGTCAATTTTGGCTTTTGTTGCCATTGCTTTTGGTGTTTTAGTCCTGAAGTCCTTGCCCATGCTTATGTCCTGAATGGTATTGCCTAAGTTTTCTTCTAGGATTTTTATGGTTTTAGGTCTAACATTTAACTCTTTAATCCATCTTGAATTAATTTTTGTAAAAGGTGTAAGGAAAGGATCCAGTTTCAGCTTTCTACCTATGGCTAGCCAGTTTTCCCAGCACCATTTATTAAATAGGGAATCCTTTCTCCATTGCTTGTTTTTCTCAGGTTTGTCAAAGATCAGATAGTTGTAGATGTGTGGTATTATTTCTGAGGGCTCTGTTCTGTTCCATTGGTCTATATCTCAGTACCATGCTGTTTTGGTTACTGTAGCCTTGTAGTATAGTTTGAAGTCAGATAGCATGATGCCTCCAGCTTTGTTCTTTTGGCTTAGGATTGAATTGGCAATGAGGGCTCTTTTTTGGTTCCATATGAACTTTAAAGTAGTTTTTTTCCCATTCTGTGAAGAAAGTCATTGGTAGCTTGATGGGGATGGCATTGAATCTATAAATTACCTTGGGCAGTATGGCCATTTTCACAATATTGATTCTTCCTACCCATGAGCATGGAATGTTCTTCCATTTGTTTGTGTCCTCTTTTATTTTGTTGAGCAGTGGTTTGTAGTTCTCCTTGAAGAGGTCCTTCACACCCCTTGTAAGTTGGATTCCTAGGTATTTTATTCTCTTTGAAGCCATTGCGAATGGGAGTTCACTCATGATTTGGCTCTCTGTTTGTCTGTTATTGGTGTATAGGAATGCTTGTGATTTTTGTACATTGATTTTGTATCCTGAGACTTTGCTGAAGTTGCTTATCAGCTTAAGGAGATTTTGGGCTGAGACGATGGGGTTTTCTAAATATACAGTCATGTCATCTGCAAACAGGGACAATTTGACTTCCTCCTTTCCTAATTGAATACCCTTTATTTCTTTCTTCTGCCTGATTGCCCTGACCAGAACTTCCAACACTATGTTGAATAGGAGTGGTGAGAGAGGGCATCCCTGTCTTGTGCCAGTTTTCAAAGGGAATGCTTCCAGTTTTTGCCCATTCAGTATGATATTGGCTGTGGGTTTGTCATAAATAGCTCTTATTATTTTGAGATAAGTCCCATCAATACTTAATTTATTGAGAGTTTTTAGCATGAAGGGCTGTTGAATTTCTTAGTCTGGAATTCTAATTTGATAGTTCTATGGTCTGAGAGACTGTTTGTTAACATTTCAATTCTTTTGCATTTGCTGAGGAGTGTTTTACTTCCAATTACGTGATTGACTTCAGAGTAAGTGCCATGTGGTGAGGAGAAGAATGTATATTTCATTGTTTTGGGGTGGAGAGTTCTGTAGATATCTATCAGGTCCATTTGGTCCAGTGCTGAGTTCAGGTCCTAAATATCTTTGTTAATTTTCTGCCTCAGTGATCTGTCTAATACTGCCAGTGAGGTGTTGAAGGGTCCCACTATTATTGTGTGGCAATCTAAGTCTCTTTGAAGGTCTCTAAAAACTTGCTTTATGAAACTGAGTGCTCCTGTGTTGGGTGCATACATATTTTAGAAAGTTAGGTCTTCTTATTGAATTGAACCCTTTACTATTATGTAATACCCTTCTTTGTTTTCTTTGATCTTTGTTGGTTTAAAGACTGCTTGTTTGAAATTAGGATTGCCATCCTGCTTTGTTCTGTTTTCTATTTGCTTGGTAAATTTTTCTCCATCCCTTTATTTTGAGTTTATGTGTGTCACTGCCTGTGAGATGGGTCTCTTGAAGACAGCATAGCAATGGGTCTTGGTTCTTTATCCAGCTTGCCACTCTTGAGTCTTTTAATGGGGGCATTTAGCCCATTTACATTTGAGGTTAGTATTGATATGTGTGGATTTGATCCTGTAATCATGATGTTAGCTGCTTATTTTGCAGGCTTGTTTATGTGGTTGCTTTATAGTGTCAATGGTCTGTGTACTTCAATGATTTTTTTCTTTTTCTTTTTCTTTGTTTTTTGAGATGGAGTCTTGCTCTGTCACCCAGGCTGGAGTGCAGTGGCATGATCTGGGCTCACTGCAACCTCTGCTTCCCAGGTTCAAGTGATTCTCCTGCCTCAGCCTCCCAAGTAGCTGGGATTACAGGTACGGGCCACCATACCTGGCTAATTTTTTGTATTTTTAGTAGAGATGGGGTTTCACCATGTTGGTCAGGCTGGCCTAGAACTCCTAACCTCAATGATCTACCCACCTTGGCCTCCCAAAATGCTGGGATTATAGGCATGAGCCACCACGCCCAGCCTTTAGTGTGTTTTTGTAGTGGCTGGTAACAGTCTTTCCTTTCCATATTTAGTACTTCCTTCAGCAGCTCTTGTAAGGCAGATCTGGTGGTAATTAACTCCCTCAGCATTTACTTCTCTTATTTCTCCTTTGCTTATGAAGCTTAGTTTGTCCAGATATGAAATTCTGGGTTGGAATTTTTTAAGAATGTTGAATATTGGTTCCCAATCTCTTCTGACTTTTAGGGTTTCTGCTGAGAGGTTGACTATTAGTCTGATGAACTTCCCTTCCTAGGTAACTGGGCCTTTCTCTCTGGCTGCCTTTTAACATATTTTCTTTGATTTTAACATATTTTCTTTGATTTTGACCTTGGAGAATCTGACGATTATGTGTCTTGGGAATGATCTTCCTGTGGAGTATCTTACTGGGGTTCTCTACATTTTCTGATTTTGAATGTTGGTCTTTCTATCCAAGTTGGAGAAGTTCTCATGGATGATATCCTGAAATATGTTTTCCAAATTGATTCCATTCTCCCCATCTCTTTTAGGTACACCAGTTAGTCATAGATCTGGTCTCTTTACACAGTCCCATATTTCTCAGAGGTTTTGCTCATTCCTTTTTACTATTTTTTCTCTATTCTTGTCTACCTGTCTTATTTCAGAAAGACAGTCTTCAAGCTCTGAAATTCTTTCCTCCGCTTGGTCTATTAGGCTATTAATACTTGAGATTGCATTATGAAATTCTTGTATGGTGTTCTTCAGCTCTATCAAGCTGGTTACATTCTTTTCTATACTGGCTATATTGTCTCTCAGCTCCTGCAATGTTATATCATGATTTTTAGCTTCTTTACACTGGGTTATGACATGCTTCTTTAGCTCAGTGAAGGTTATTTTTATTTGAATCTAATTCTGTTATCTCAGCCCTCTCAACCTCAGCCCAGTTCTGAACCCTTGCTGGAGAGATAGATGCAGTCATTTGGAGGAAAAAAAGGCACTCTGGTTTCTTGAGTTTTCAGCTCTTTTGTGCTGACTCTTTCTCATCTTTGTGGGCTTATCTACCTTCAACCTTTAGGTTGTGGACCTTTGCATGGCTTTATTTTATTTTTTTCTTTTAACAGTCTGGCCACTTTTCAGTGGGGCTGCTACAGTTTGCTGAGGGTCTGCTCCAGTACCTAGTCAGCTCAGATTTTCCAGTACCTGGAGGTATCACCAGTGAAGGCTGCAAAAGAGCAAAGATGGCAGCCTGCTGCTTCCTCTGAGAGCTCTATCCCAGGGAGGTACAGACATGTTGCCAGCCTGAACGCACCAATAGGAAGTGGGTGGAGATGCTGGTTGGGAGGTCTCACCCTAGTCATGAGTAACGGGATTGTGGACACGCTTAAAGAAGCAGTCTGGCCATGCTTTTGTAGAGAAGCTGTGCTGTGCTCGGATACCACTTCTGCTCAGGTGGCTTGGGCTCTCCAAACACCGTGGGCTAGAATGGCTGAGCTGCCCAAACAGCAAAGATGGTGGCCTATCCCTCCCCACCGGGAACTCGATCCCATGGAGAACTGAAACCTCTGCTGGCCAGAGAACACCAGTGGGAGGTGGTTGGAGGCTTCGTTTGGGAGGTTCCACCTAGTGAGGAGGAACAAGATCAAAGACCCACTTAAAGAAGCAGTCTGGTCACACTTTAGTGGAGCAGCTGTGCTCTGCTGGTGTACCACTTCAGCTCAGATGGTTTGGACTCTCCCAAGACCACAGGCTGGAATGTTTAACTCACTCAAACAGCAAAGATGGCAGTCCACTCTACCCCCAGAAACTGCATTCCATGTAGGCACAACACTGTTGCTGGTGGCCGGCAGGAATTCCAAGCCAGTGAGTCCTATCCTGTGAGGTGTCATGGAAGTGGGGCCCACAGACCATTGCTGCTTGGCCCCCTGGAATCAGCTGCTTTCCTAGGGGTATGTACAGAATTGTAACTTCCCACTTTGCTGGAGTTGCAGTTACTTTTGCTGGGAAGCCTGGAGCCAGAGTATGTAAAGCAGCTGCTCTGCCAAAACTGCATGTAGCTCTGTGTGTCTGAATGAAGGACCTGGTGGAGTTGGTTCACAAGGGGATCTTCTGACCCAAGAGTTGCAAAGATCTGTGGGAGAAGTGTAGTTTCCTGAGGTTGCACCTACACTCACTGCTTCCCTGGACAGAGGAGGTTTCATTGGCTCTGTGTTGCTTCCAGGCAGACTGCTGTTTTGCCTTGCTTTTCTCCATTCTCCATGGGTCAAGTTATTTCCTTGATTAGTCCTAGTGTGAGTACCTAGATGTTGCAGTTGAAGATGCTGTATTTACTTGTACTTTTTGTTCCTCTCCATGAAAGCCACACACCATAGCTGCTTCTAGTCAGCCATCTTGGCCATGCAGCCCCATTTTCTTACCTTTCTTAATGAAAAATCAATAACCATTTCAAGATGAATAAATCAACAAATAGTAGTCTAAGTTGTATATTGTTTGTATGTCATAAGGGAAATCACCAGAACTAAAAATAAAACTGCAGCTAAGAAATTCAGAAGGTGAGAAGGAGAAAAGAGGTAGAAGAAAGTGTAGTGAGCTAATTATCTAATCTTTCGTAGGAGACATAAACAAAAACTAAAGCTGCTATAGCAAGAAGTAGTGATTAGATAAAATATATCAACTGACAAATGTTTCCATAGCAACGTGTAAAAAGAAGATATAAGCCTTCCAAATTATAAGAAGGAAAGCACACACTGCATACACTGAACCAAAGTAATGGTAAGAAATTTCATGAATAAAATACAAAAATAAAAAACGAAGTATTTAAAACAAAAAAACCCATAACATTGGATGAAAAAACTAAAACCAATTATATTTTTTGACACCTAATGTAAATAGGGTATATTCACAGAAAGATGACCAGATTGGGTAAAAAAATAATATTTTATAGATGAAAATATGTTGTATATACAAGAACCATACAGAGCTAAAAGACTCAGATTGTATAGAAGAAAAAAAGACATAACAAGGAAATAGTAACAAAAAAAAACTTGAGGTAGAAATATCAATATCACAAAGACTAAATCCAAAGCAAATATTTTACAAGATAGTCCATTTTGTGAGTATAAGATATACAATTTACTATGAGATTGTAGTTGCCATAAATATGTACATAAATAGTAAAAGATAGAACACATATGCTGCAAACAAAACAAGAAGAAATAGACCGAAATATGGTATTGCAGTGGAATTTAACTTGCCTCTAGGTTCATGACAGATCAGCTACACAATAAAATAAGCACACAGAAGATGTAAATGATATAATTATTATACTTCAGCTAACAGATATGTCTCAAACTCTTTAACACGAAAGAGTATATAACCTCTTTTCAAGACCCCAAACATACATAATGCCATATAAATAAACAGATAATTTCCAATATATACACAAATACATGAAGAACAGATCATGATCTCTGGATATATTTCAATAGAAGTAGAAATTAATACTCTAAAAAGAAAAATATATAATCATAGGAAAATTCTATATCTTTTTCTTAAATACTTTGAATTCAAAATGAAAATTAAAAAAATTATAAAATAAAGATAATAAACACATCACTTACCAAACAATTAAGGGCTTATCTAAAGTTGTGCTCAAAGAACAATTCATAGTTTTATACTCTTAAGGAATTAAAAAGGAAGCTAAACAAGTAAATTAAGTAGTAGACTCAAAAAGTTAGAAGTGCTAGAAAATTAAACCATGTGTTTTCAAAGAAAACAGAAGGAATAAAGTAATGATGACTTAAGCAGAAATTACTGATTTGGGAAGCAGAGAATCAGTGAAATTGATAATCCTTGAGCATGCATAAAGTTTGTGGTTATTAGGAGAAGGGAGAAAACATGGAGAAAAACACAGTTGAAGAAGAGTCTCAAAAACTTTTCATTAAGAAAAAAAAATTCATTATGAAAGCCTTCAAATACACACAAAATTAGAATAAGAAACATAATAAACACCCACGTATCCGATATCACATTGTCTTGATTACTGTACCTTTTCTACTAAGTCTTGAAGTTGAGTAGTGTCAGTCCTCTGTCTCTACTCTTCTTCAGTGTTCTGTTGGCTATTCTGAGTCATTTCCCTCTTCACAGAAACCCAGAAACCTTAGAATCAGTATGTCAATATCTACAAAATAACTTGCTAAGATTTTAATTGTCACTGGGGTGAATCTACAGCTAAGTAGAAAGTAACTGACGTCTTAACCATATTTAGTGTCCCTATCAATGGGCAGGAAATATTTCTCCACTTACTTGAATATTCTTTCATCTCTCTCTTCAAAGTTTTGTAGTTTTCTTCATATAGATGTTGTACATATTTTGTTTGGTTTGCATCTAAGTATGTTTTTTGCTAATTAATTTTTCGTTGGTAATAGATAGGAAGGCAATTGACTTTTCCACATTGACATTCTATATTGTATCCTGCAAACTTACTATAATTGCTTATTAGTTCCAGGAGTTTCTTGCTGGTCTTTAGGATTTTCTACATAGACGATCATGTCATTTGCAAACATAGATAGTTCTGTTTCTTCCTTATCAATCTGTATAAATATATTTCTTATTCTTGTCTTATTTTAGTAAAATGTAGAATAGGAGTGGTGAGAGGGTACATCCTTGTCTTACTCCCAAATAAATGGTGAGAAAGCGTTCAGTTTCTCACCATTAAGTATGATGTTAGCTCTAGTTGTTTTTTGTAGATATTCTTTATCATGTTGAGGAAGTTCTTCTCTATTCCTAGTTTGCTCATAGTTTTTATTATGAATGGGTATTGGATGTTGTCAAATGTTTTTTATTATCAATGAGTATTGGACTGATGTAATCATAATTGTTTTCTGTAGCCTATTGATATGATGGATTACATTTATCAATTTTTAAATGCTTAACTAATCTTTCATACGTGGCATACATGCTCATAGGTCACAGAGTATGTTTCCTTTCATACATTGTTTAATTTGCTACTGTTTTGAGGGTTTTTGCATCTATGTTCATGAGAGATATTGGCCCATAATTTTCTCTTCTTGTAATATCTCTGGTTTTGATATTAGGGGAATGCTGGCCTCATAGAATGAATTAGGAAGTGTTTGCTCTGCTTAGATATTCTGGAAGATGTTGCAGAAATTGATACCATTGGTTCCTTAAATGTTTTGTAAAACCCCAGTGAATTAGTAGAAAATGCCACTGAAACCATCTGAGCCTGGTACTTTCTTTTTTGGAAATTATTAACTCTATTTTTAATGGATATAGGCCTGTTCAAATTATTCATCCTAGTGTGAGTTCTGATAGTCGGTGTCTTTCAAGTCACTAGTCCATTTCATTTTAGTTATCACATTTGTAGCATAGAATTGTTCATACTATTCCTTTATTATATTTTCAATGCCCACAAGATAAGTATGATGGTTCTATTTTATTTATAATATTAGTAATTTGTGTGTTCTCTTTTTTTCCTTTGGTTAGCTTGGCTAGAGGTTTATCAATTTTATTAATCTTTTCAACTAACCAGGCTGCTCTGTCTATGGAGTAGCCATTCATTTTTTTCTTTAATTCTCTATCAAACTTGTTTCACTTTACTCCATGGACTCCACATGAATTTTTTCTTCTGCGAGATCCAAGAATGCTCTCTTGGGGTCTAGATCTGGACCTCTTTCTGGCAACATCTTCCATGGCAAACCATGAAGGGACCATACTGAAGAGACCCCCAACTCAAAGGAAATAGACTGCAGCACCAATTGGCTGAATTTGTAGTCAAGAAAACTTTTCTTTTGAGCTATTTACAGCTTTTAGGAATTGAGTAAAATATACTCCTGTAAACAAAATCTGGAGCATATTTCTTTCTACTTTATTTCTCCAGAATTTAGAAATTATTTATATCTTTTTGGGGTGGTTGCGGGGACAGGGTCTGGCTGTCACCCAGGCAGGAGTGCAGTGGTGCAATAACAGCTCACTGCCTTCTGGGCTCAAATGATCCTTCCACACCACCATGCACAGCTAATTTTTGTATTTTTTATACAGACAGAGTTTTGCTATGTTGCCCAGATTGGTCTTGAACTCCTGAGTTCAAGCAATCTGCCTGCCTCAGCCTCCCAAAGTGCTGAAATTACAGGTGTGAGCCACTGCACCTGGCCTTATATCACCTTTTGTTGGGATTCTGAGTTATAAATGGCCCTCACCATACCGATGCTTTCTCACTGAATGCTTCTCTATCCTGAATACAAGAGACCCTAATACTTAGACAGGAATATCATCACCCATTCAGCCTGAAGAAGTTACAGAAGATGAACCTTTTAGGATTAAGGGTCCCTTTTAGAAGGGAGAGGGGAAATATGTCAGAGGTGTTTGAATCAGAGCAACTCCATTCTGAATAGGGACTGGATAAAATGAGGCTGAGACTTGCTGGGTTGCATCCCCAGGAGGTTAGGCATTCTTTGTCACAGGACGAGATAAGAGGTTGGTGGAACTGGTTTCACAAGATACAAGTCACAAAGACCCAGCTGGTAAAACAGGATGCGGTAAAGAAGCCAGCCAAAACCCATCAAAACCAAAAGGAGGAGAAAAGCGAACTCTGATTGTCCTCACTACTCATTATATGCCAATTATAATGCATTTGCATGCTAAAGGATACTCCCACCAGCACAATGATGGTTTACAAATGCCATGGCATTTGAAGTTACCTTATATGGTCTGAAAAGGGGAAGAACCCTCAGTTCTGGGAACTCCCCATCCCTTTCTCGAACAACACATGAACAATCCACCCCTTGTTTAGCAAATAATCAAGAAACAACCATAACTATACTAGTTAAGCAGCCCATCCTGTGCTGCTCTTTCTATGGAGCAGCTATTCTTTTGTTTCTTTATTTCTCTAATATATTTGCTTTCACTTAAAAACAAAAACAAATAACCAATATTTTGTCTGTTGATATTCTCTATTGCTTTCCTGTTTTCAATTTCTTAATGTCTGCTGTAATTTTTATTTCTTTTCTTCAATCTATCTTGTATTAATTTGCTTTTCTTTTTTTGTTTCCTAATGTGGAAGCTTAGATCATCGATGTTAGATATTCCTTCTTTGCTAATATATGCATTCAGTGTTATAAATGCTCCTCAAAGCACTGCTTTCTCTGCATCCTGAAAATTTTATTTTATTTTATTTTATTTTATTTATTTATTTTGAGATGAGTTTCACTCTGACACCGGGCTGGAGTGCAGTGGCACAATCTTGGCCCACTGCAACCTCTGCCTCCTGGGTTCAAGTGATACTCCTGCCTCAGCCTCCTGAATAGCTGGGACTACAGGCACATGCCACCACGTCCACATCCAGCTAATTTATGTATTTTTTAGTAGAGATGGGGTTTCACCATGTTGTCCAGGATGGTCTCGATCTCTTGATCACAGATCTCTTGGTCTGCCCACCTCAGCCTCCCAAACTGTTGGGATTACAGGCATGAGCCACCGCACCTGGCCCTGAAAATTTTAATAAGCTCTATTTTCATTTTTATTTAGTTTAAAATATTCTTTAATTTCTCTTGAGACTTCTTTTTTGGCATGTTTGTTATTTAGAAGTTTATTATTTAGTCTCCAGATAGTTAGGGATTTTTCCAGCTCTATTCTGTCTTTTGTTCCTAATTTAATTCTATTGTGATCTGAGAGCATACTTTGTATGATTTCTATTCTCTTAGATGTTTGTTAAGGTGTGTTTTATGGGCAAAGTTGTGGTCTATCTGGGTGAATATTCCATGAGAGCTTGAGAAGAATGTGTATTCTGTAGTTATTAAATGAAATATACTATGAATGTCAACTAGATCCAGCTGATCGGTGGTGGTGCTCAGTTCAACTATGCTCTCATTGGTTTTCCATCTGCTGCATCTTTAAATTACTGATAGAGGGTTGTATATACAGTTTTAATAATTATCAACATTTTGCCATTTCATCTATTAACCTCCTTTTTTCAATCGCATGGGATGAAATATCTCTACATTGACAGAAGATGGGTAAGAATGTGTCAAGTTTCTTTAAAAAGGTTTTATCCTTAATATTTTAAATGTTTTAAAAAGCATAGATTCACAGAGAATTGCACAGATAGCACAGAGAGATCCTGTTTACCCTTTACCTAGTTTCTCCCAATGGTTATTTCTTATGTACAATATAAAAACCACAAAATTGACACTGGCACAATGTGTATGTATAATTCTATTCCATTTTTCACATGCACAGATTTGGGTAAGCACCACCAAGTGGTTAGAGAACTATTTCCTCATCACAAAGGTCTCCCTGTGCTACCCCTTTAACTTATCACAGTCTACTAGTATTATCATTTTACCAGTATAGAAACCTTACCACCTTTTATGTGTCTTTCCCTTCCTCTGTTTACAAAATAATTTTCTTAAATATTTCTTATATATACCTGAGACAATGTTATAATTTTTGTATGAACCATATTTAGAAAAATCAAGAGATAAAATTTATTGTAATTACTCATACTTTTCCATATATTCCCTCTTTTTGTTCTTTCTTCCTTCTTGTTTCAAGAATCCTTTGGTTAATATTTCATTTCTGATTAAATAATTTCCTTTAGCCATTATTTTAGGGTGGGTCTGATGGAGACACATTCTTGTTTTCCTTCATTTAAAAGGGTCTTCATGTGTCCTTTATTTCTGAAGGATATTTCCACTGGGTATAGAATTCTTGGTTGACAGTTCTTTACTTTCTTTCAGCACTGAAGAAATGGGTGTCACTCCCTTCTGGCTTCCACACTTTTTGATGTAAAATCTGCTATCATTTGAATTGTTTTTTTCCAGAAAGGACAAGTAAAGTGTCCTTTCTTTCGCTGCTTTCATGATTTTTTTCTTTGCCTTTAATTTTCAAAACTTGGACTATGATGAGTCTTGATGTGAATGCCTTTGGGTTTATTCTGTTTAGGACTTATTAGGCTTATTGAATCTGTATATTTATGCAAAGCCCAAAATTTGAAAATGTTTCACCATTATTTATTCTCCAAGTAATTTTTCAGCAGCTTTATCCTCTTTCTCTTCCTTTGAAATTCAGATAATCAAATGTTACATATTTTATTATAGTCTCATAGCTCCCTAAGGCTGTTTGATTTTTCAGTGTATATACTCTTCATTGTTCAGTTTGAGTGATTTCTATTTTTCTATCTTCAAGTTCACTGATTCTTTCCTCTGCTCTCTGAATTTTGCTGTGAAACCCATCTATTAAGTTTTAAAATTTTGTTTTATTTTTAAATTCTAAAATTTTCATTTGGTTCTTCTTTATGTCTTCTATTTCTGTGCTGATGCTTTCTACTTTCTTTCTTTTATCATCTGTTTCAAGAGTTTTACAATGGCCCACTGATGCATTTTTATTGTAGTTGCTTTAAGAATATTGTCAGACAATTCTAACATCTGTGTCATCTCAGTGTTGATGTGTATTGATTTTCTTTTCTCATTTAAGTTAAGATCTTCCTGGTTCTTTCAATGATAAATGATTTTCAGTTGAATCTTGGAATTAAAAAAAATTGCTGGTAAATAGTAGGTGTATATGAATCTTGGACATTTTTTACTTTATTTTGTGAGACTTTGGGTTATATTTAAATTCTTTGTTTTAGCAGCCTCCTCTGATACTGCAATGGTGGGCAGACAGGGCAAGGGATGCCTCATTACTGCTAGATGACGGTGGAAGTCCAAGATCTACATGCAGCCTCTGTTGACACTCTTGAGGGGAGGAGTAACTTGTTATTTATTACTGGGCAGGGGTGACAGTACAGGGTCACCACTCAAGCTCTTCTGTACCACTCTGGCTAGGACAGTGGTGTTTCATTACTGCTCCCAATGTAGTTTCCCATGATATTCCATGACACCTTGGTGGTGGTGGGATGGCCTCATTACTGCTGGGCAGTGAGAAGATTCCTGAGCATCTACTAGGTATCTTCTGACACCATCCCAGCAGACAGGGGCATCTCATTACTGTTAGGTGGAGGTGGAAGTCCAGCTTCTCCACTGACACCATGGGGAGAAGGTGGCTCACGACTGTGCAGGGGGATGAAAGTCTGAGCTTTCCACTTGGCTTTCTCTGACACTATCCAGGAGAAGGGGAGGGATACCTTGCTACACCCTGGTAAGGATGAAAGTCTAGGCTCCTTACTTGGCCATTGTTGGTAAAGGTGACTACAGTTTTTTTCTGTGGTTTGGTTAGGGCAGTTATTGTCTAAAAGTGTTTTGTCTTTCTAGGCTATCCCTTTCTTGTCTTTTGGCTAGAGAGGGCAGGCTTTCTTTCGAGGCTTTCTTTGGTCTGTTGCCAATGGCATTTCCAAATTGCCAGATTTCCTAGCACTCATTCTGGGATACAAAAAGCAAAAGACAATTCAGGAAAACCACCATCATGTCATTCCTCAGGTTCCAAGGTCACTAGCAGGGTAACTAGTCTGCCTTCTTCTCCCTACCATTTACAGTCTTCTTATGTGTGCATGCTCTCTCTCTCCACATATATTTATTTATGTTTAGTTAAGTATACTTGCCAAGAGGAATAAAGTACATCTAATCCACTCTGCCTTTGTTCTTCTTGCAGTATTTTGAATCAAACCCAGGCATCCTATCATTTCATCTATAAAGACTTTAGTAAGTATAACATTAGCCAGTATATTAAAAATATAACAATGATTCCATTGTCACATCTCCCAAAATTAAAAATAAATATTTAATATCTAGTAACCAGTGTTCAGTTCAGTGTTCTATCACTACATAACAAATTACCCCTAAAGTTATAGGTTTAAAAAATTTATTTTGCCTTAGCCTTTTATGGGTCAGGAACTCAGAAGAGTTTGCCTGGGTAGTTCTTACTTGGGGTGTCTCACGCAGTTGCAGTTATATATTGACTGTAGCTGCAACCATATAAATAAGACTTACTAGACTGGATGATAGCATCAAAAATGTTATTTTTCACTAACATTCATATCAAAATCCCAGATAAGGGGCAAGCATTGCTTTTGGTGGTTGTGCCATAACAGTTCCCCTCCCTCTTCTCTACTGATGTCATTTATTTGAAGAACTTGGTCTTGTGGTATATCCCATTCTAGATCTGGTTACCTATATTCTCAAGGTATCATTTAATATGTTTCATGGTCCTCTATTGTTCTTGGAAACTGGGAGTTAAATGTAGAGATATGGTTACATTCAGGCTCAGTTTTTTTGACAAAGATATTTCATAGGTGGTCTGTGTACCTCCTATTGCACCATAAAAATAAAAACATAATGTCTGGTTGTCTTACTTTTCATAAGTTAATAATTAATCAGTAGGTTCTGGTGGTAACAGCTTGACACATTCACTAAAAAGTTCCCAATTGACTTTTTGATGCACGGCTTCCCAAGTAAATTTGTATTTTGGACCAGATAATGCTTTGCTATGGGAGACTGGCCTGTACATCGTAGAATGTTTAGCAGCATCTCTGATACTCTCATCACCACTCCCACACACTGTCTTGTTGTGACAATAAAAAATGTCTCCAATTACTGCCAAATATACCCTGAGGAAAAATGGCCACAAGTTGAACACTTCTTACCTAATGGTTTTAGCAGTTGTTAAAAACCGTTGCCTAGGTCCATTATTTTATTAGGGTTTACAAGTAGTGATTTTTCTAATTCCATCATTCCTGCATTTACAACTGTGGTTTTTTTTTTTTTTCAAAAGAAATACTTTCTCTGGGTCTTTCTAGCAAAGGAAGAATAACTGGTTAATAATTTTATTTATCGATGCGTTTAGAATAGTGAGCTGTGCCCTAACAACCTCCAAAAGTGGCCAACTAATTTTTGTTTGGAGTATCATTCGGAAATCTTGAATACTGACACACTTCATGTATTTCAATCTTTTGCTGTCATTTCTTTTTTCTTTTTGATGCTCAAGTTTCCCCATCCTTAACCAGCAAGATCTCTTTCAACTTAGCTCAGGTTTCCTTTTGACATGACCTTAATAGTCAGATAATTTCTTGCTTTCAGGCATGACAAGACAGATAGTCCAGATTCACTTTATGCATTTCCTTTCCCAGACTTAGAATCTGCCACTCACCCAAGGAACCCTGATTCCTTTAATTTAGAAATGGTATTTAGGAACCACAATCTGGTCACAATGACCTTATGGTTTTTGGGTTGTCACTATTTCTAGGTCTTTGGAACATAGTTCCAAAGCCAGAACTATAAAACTAAGTTTATTTAGAAAGGTTTAGCTTCCACCATTGTTTCTTTCCTCATAGTCTCCCCTTTCTCTACAGATAACCATTTTTTATTAGATTTAGTTTATACTTCTTGTTTGTTGTTAAATCTATAACACACTCATACCCCTAAAAAGTAGCATACAATATTATACAGCTTTCATTTAAAAAATATTGTAAAAAATAGACATAACATAAAATTTACCATTTTAATCATTTTTAAGCGTGCAATTCAGTAGCATTAAGTACATGCACAATGTTGGACCACCGTCACCATTATCCATTTCTAACTTTTTCATCATCCTAGGCAGACCACTTTGTACTCACTAAACAATAACTCATCCTTCCCATTTTCCTGGAGCTCCTGGTAACCTTTATTCTACTTTGTCTCAATGAACTGCCTAGTCTATCTGTACCTTGCTTTTTTTTTATTTTAGTAGACTGTATATGCTAGAGATCACTCTCTAAGAGCATACAGAGTTTCTCTTCATTCATATTTGACAGCTGCATAATACTTCACTGAATAGATGAAGTCATACACAACAGTTGCTTGTTCATGGGAAGTTTGTGTTTCTAGTCTTTCACTATTATAAACAGTGCTGCAAAGAACAGTCAAATGTATGCACCATTTCATTTTTTTTTGTCTATGTATCTTTTATATAGGTTCCTAAAAGTGGAATTGCTGGATCAAAGGGTAAAGGCATAGGCAATTCTAGAGCATTTAGATTTAATGTGATGGACAGGAATGAACCATGAAGCCACGTAAGTATTAAACAACAGCAACAACAACAAAAAAAGCAGATACAGGATGTTTTAAATGGTATGACTAAAACACTGCTTTAAACCAGGAGATAGTTACATTAGTTAGCTCTTTTAGTTTAAATAATTTTATTATTTGAAGCGAAGTACGTGAAAATAACTGTATTGCTCTTTCTCTGGATTTTAACAAATCGGTGTCTCACATGAAATTATGTAACTCTTATCTTTTCTTCTGCTTTATGAGAATACTGTAACAAGGGGTACTACCTTCAGACCCTTTGACTACATGGAGAAATAAAGGAGGGAGTTGTGCCAATTACTGGAGAATTTTGGCTGTCAAATAGCACATCTGGGCAATTTGGGCCAGAAATACATATATATGATATATGATATATATATGATATATGATATATATGATATATGATATATACGATATATATGATATATGATATATATGATATATACGATATATGATATATACGATATATATGATATATATGATATATGATATATATGATATATATGATATATATGATATATATGATATATATGATATATGATATATATGATAGATCATATATGATCTATCATATATATCATATATCATATATCATATATATGATATATATGATCTATCATATATATGATATATCATATATGATCTATCATATATATGATATCATATATATGATATATGATATATATGATATATGATATATATCATATATATGTTATGTGTATATATGTATATATGTACGTGTATATATATACACACACACACACACACACACCCTCCTATACATATTCAACATTTTCCCCTTTAAACTAAGGTTTTCTAGGCTTGAATAAACCAGACACTGCTCTTTTGTACTGTTTCGCAAACTGTGCTTGGATGGTCTCTCCTTGTTTTCAGGAGTGTTTGATTTTTAAATTGTGATATTCCACTAAATGAGAAATGACCAGGACTTCACAGAGATTTCATGAAAGGAGGGCCACAAAGGAAGAACCCAGAGCAGGCCGGTGAGAGGCACTCTAAGAGGTACAGAGGGTTGCACCAATTGCTAGGATTTAATCAATCAGAAGGGGTCCAAGCCAGGAAGCAAGGGCATGCCCCGAGCCTCATTTACCCGCCTTGTCACCACCCTGCCCGCTAGTACATTTCAGAGTCTCTAACCCCTCCCTGCATGCAAGCCCAGGCAGAGTCCTGCCAGGTTTCACACCAGAGCACACCCCTGCACGGACTCCCCAGGACCGCGGCGCCGGCTGGCTGCCTCGGCCCCCCGCGGCCGCGTGAGCTCCCTCTTGGTGGTGGAGGGCGCATTTCAATCTGGAAACTCCCAGCCCCTAATTTGGTCCCGCAGACTGACGCCGCTCCCGGTGGGGCGGTGGGGGTAGGAGGGCAAAGGGGAGGTCTCCTCCTTCTTGGATTGAGGCTGCAACCAACAGCCCCGTGAGCCTCTATTCCTGGCTGACTGCGAATCCCCCCATCCCAGGTCAGGGGCCGGGACCCTACAGAAAGACCCGTTCTCATCCTCAACCTTGCGGCCTCTGTCCGGCGGGGAAGTTCAGCTGCGGGTCAGTTCAGCTGCGGGTCCGGCCAAGCCTGGCGCGCTTAGGCACCCTAGTCCCTGGTCCGCGGCCGGGCGAGGACGGAGGGGGAGGGGAAGGGGCTGCTGCCTCCTTTCCCAAATCCGGTCCCTAATCGCCCCATCCCCCGCCGTCTACTCGCTTTGTACAGGCAGTCAAAACAGAGCTAGCGGCCAATTGACGGGGACGGGAAGCAAAGCCGCCTAGCGCCTCGCCCCCTCCAGCCGGCCCCCCGGGCCCCTCCTCTCGGCGCCCGGACCTTGGCCCTCCCTCTCCTTTCCCACTTCTCTCTTTGCCCTAACTTCGCCCCCATCCCCCGCTCATTTCCTCTCGCACCCGGGCTCGCCAATCCCTCTTTCCAAGTCCCTCTTCCAGCCCGGCCTTCCTCTCGGGTTCGCCCCCCTTCTCCCCAATCTCCGTCCTCTTCCCTCCCTTCGCCCTCCCCCCCTTCCTTCCTCTTCCCCTCACCCAACCCTGGTTCCCCTCGTTCCTCAGTCCCGATCTCTCCCTTACTCTGTCCCCGCCCACTCTGCGCCGGCCTCTCAGTCCGGGTTGAGCCCCACGTGTGGACGGCCGCGCCCCCACTGACAGCCGCCGCCCGCCGGCCCGCCCCGCGCCCCGCCGGGCCTCTAAAACCCCCGCGCCGCGCCCTCCACCGCCGCATCTTCTCCAGCGCCCAGCCTCCCGCCCTCTCTCTTGCTGGCCGCACGCCCCGGCCCCGCGCACCTCCGCCCGGCTCCGCAGCCGCTACCCGCGCTTCGTTGCCCTGTGGGACTCCGAGCGAGCCCGGAGGGAACCCTCCTCTTCTTCTGGGGGCGACTTTTGTTTGCTTGCCTGTTTCTTTCTGGTGACTTTTGCAGCTTTCCAATATCCGTCTTCGGAGCGCACGGGAATCCGCCGAGCTCTGCGTGCAGGCCCTTTTTTCTTTTGAGGTTCACATTTTTTGAAATTTTACGCCAGGGCTTTTGTAATTTCCTCCCCCGCCCGCTGACGGTCCTGGAGTCGCTCGGGGCTTTAGGCCGGTTATGCAACGTGTACCGCTCGGGGCTGCCGGCTGCACCTCCGCCGCGCCTCGCCGCTCACTGCGCTAGACCCGGCGCCCCGCGTCTCGCTTCGCGGGCAGTCAGGGGGCCGGCGCTCTGTCGAGGTCTCCAGCTAGAGCAGGGAGCCCGAGCCCGAGGGAGTCCCCGGAGCCGACGAAGGGCTTATTAGACCCTGACTCTTTTCTGAGGCGCGCAGATTTTGTCTTTGATCACTCCCTCTCCGCGGGTCTACGGCCGCGCGCTTTCGGCGCCGGCGATGGGGAGAAGACGGAGGCTGTGTCTCCAGCTCTACTTCCTGTGGCTGGGCTGTGTGGTGCTCTGGGCGCAGGGCACGGCCGGCCAGCCTCAGCCTCCTCCGCCCAAGCCGCCCCGGCCCCAGCCGCCGCCGCAACAGGTTCGGTCCGCTACAGCAGGCTCTGAAGGCGGGTTTCTAGCGCCCGAGTATCGCGAGGAGGGTGCCGCAGTGGCCAGCCGCGTCCGCCGGCGAGGACAGCAGGACGTGCTCCGAGGGTAAGTGGGCAAGCGGCTCCGCACCTAGGGCTCCGGCTTGGGGGAGGGGGGAATCCTCAGTTTGGCGGCTTTCTGGCCCACTCCGTCCCAGACCCTTTAGCTGGAGCCTAGAGCTGCAGCCCCCTTTGCCAGAATATCCAAAGACCCCCAGGAGCGCGTCCCCCTTTTCCTTCCCAACCCCGCAGCTCAGCGGGCGGAAAGCCCTCTCTCCGGGGGTTGGGCGGCGGGTGGTTAGGGGGTCCAGGGGTGCCGATCGCAGAGCGTGTGCAGAGCTCGCGCTGCGGGAACAGGTTCTGAATGTCCGGCGGCAGGCGGGCCTGGGTCCGCCTGCTGCAGGGGCCAGAGAAGCCTGCTTGCTCCCCACGTCGGGGCCGCCGCTCGTGAGCCTTTTGTTTGAGGACGTGTGCAGGGTTCACAGCTCACCTTCTCATCGTCAACCCGAGCGCTCCACCTTGCGACGCGCTTTCCTTGACACGTCGGGGCCAAAGTAACAGTTGACCAAGGAGGAATGGATTTGGGAAGGAGGGCAAGGATTCTTTGGAACGGAATGGTCCCTTTGTTCTCTGCATCTGGAAGCTAGAATAGTAGCAAATTATATGTTTCCATGCCTCTTTTCGCCCTTTAAAAAGGCAGGCAAGGGACGACAGATGAAAGGCAGTGTTTAGACATTTCTGACCCTCCTGCATTCCAGCATCTAGCTCTTTTGCTTCCACGTCTGCCTCCCGATCTCCAATAATTTGAAGTGTAATTTTGATTTGTTTGTTGTCCTGAAATCTACTCGCTCGGGGCATTGCTTACGAAGACCGTTTATATGTTGCTGCATCCCTCTACCTATCTGTTACGTGACCGCGCTTGTCCATCACAGGCCCAACGTGTGCGGCTCCAGATTCCACTCCTACTGCTGCCCTGGATGGAAGACGCTCCCTGGAGGAAACCAGTGCATTGTCCGTGAGTGCTTGGCAGGGATCGCAGCTTGGGGCAGCGCACTCGGCCCTATCTCCGGCCGACCTCTTGCACTCAGCCATTTGGACGCATAGTTGCGTTTAAAATCAAGTGATCACATTGCACTGATAATCGGGACGCGGCCCCATTTGAATAGTGGGGAAGACTCAACCGGTTTGAGTCAGTTCAGACTTCACTTCTAGACTCTGTTGAAGGGCAATAATGATAAAGATTTCAAAGATAATTGAAAGTTTTATCTTTCTATGTCTATTAATACAAATTGGAAGAGGGGAGGAGTAGAGCAATTATCTAGATAACTCAAAACCACTTTTTCTGTAAAAAATCCAGATGAGACCACATGTTATTATGCAAATTATCAGGCTTTTAACTCTGCTTGAGGTTTGGGCCTTATGAAGATCAAGATTTCTTAGGCATTTATATAAAACCACTTTCTTATTTCTGGTTTTATATCAACAACCACATAACCTAGATACGAAAGGAGCATTCTCGCGGATTTAGTGTTGACCTAAGTTAACAAACTTTTAAAAGACAGAACTCTTACAAAGGGGCTTGAGTTTTTTTTTTTTTTTGCTTTTTGGAAGACGTTTAAATTTAGGGTTTCCAGACCCTGAACCTCAATAGTGTGCAGTAGATTTCCAAAGTATGAATCTTAGACCTTGAAAAATTCTGTATCTCTGACCTTAAAAGTTTTGATTATTTTATTCTGTTTCCAAAGTGTATAACCAGTTCTCCAAGTTCTAATTGGAGAGCTCATTAGTTATCAGCCTCACAGTCACGGACTCTGGGATGTCTTATTTCATATGCCTGTAAATTTGTGACTTGCAGTGTGACTGGCCTTCTCCTGTGTGTTTATGTAGCACAACCACATTTGTCTTGTTGGAAGGAGAGCCAGGTATCATAGACAGCACATTCATTTAGAGCCAGTCTTGACTTTAGATTGACCTCCATGTTCTCCAGGGAGAAAATAATTATGCAACTGTGAACAGAGAAAAAGGGCAAGGCACACTAACCAAGGGATAATAAGGATGTAGTGGCATTTCTAACTCTGTATTTATTGGTTTTGTGGTTTTGAGATAGATGCTTAATGTTATTTCTGGGCAGTTTTTAAAAAAGAGATGAAATCTCCAGTGTCATAAAGACTAATTTCTTCTTATTTTTTCTACCTTAACATCCCACTATTTCCAATGGCAAAAATAGGAAACAACTGTGTTATTTAAAGTGACTTATAAATATTTTGAACAAATCCTCTGATTATAATAAGCCTTTGCTTTATTTTTTAAAAGAACATGTTCTGCATTCTTTTCTCTCCAACACAGAAGTCATATGTGAGGCATTAATGGAGGGTGGGTTTACTCTTTCAGGCCAGTAGGGCATTACCATGGCTGCTTTAAACTTACACGGTTTTTTAGACTCCTGAAACAGCTAACGTCACTCATCACACACCTGCCATACTAGCTGGGAGTGACTTAGGCACGGCGGAAAGTCTGACTCACTAAATGTAATGAATGTGACTGCCATTATTGAGTTGGAGAGCAGCCGAGGAGGAGGGATTGGTTCATGGTACGTGTTGAAAATCTGTAAAGTCAGATTTTATTGGATCAGTGTGGAATGGGAATTCCAGAGAGCAGAGCCTTCCAGAATATTTGCAGTAGAAATATATGTATGGCCCCACTGATCACTGGTAGAAAATCAGCTTTGAAAATCTCAGGGTAACAGTGACTATTGTAATCTGCATTTCTGAGACTTGAAATATTTGGATGGTTATGAGCTACATTGGAATTTACACGTATCAGAAATCTATGAGAGTAAACTTTGAAATGATCTTTATATCTGTAAGAAACATTTATAACACTTGTGTCAAGACGTATCTACAAAAATATTTATTAGAAACACATCTAAAAATTCTAAGTACCTAAGATTATTAAACAGTGCACAAAATAGGGACAGTGTAATACCTTTATATTCTATTGCATGAGTCTCATTTAATGCTAATAGCCTGCATTCAATTCAGTAGTTCAATTAGTCTGACATTTAAAATGATCATATGTAGAGGTAATAAGTGAAATGAAACCGTTATAAACTCAAAATCAAGAATTTTAATTCCAGGCCTTCCTGATGATAATGAATTAAGTAAATTATTATATTTATTGGATTTATCTGTATCACACCATTTAGCAAAAGAAAGTATCTGAGACCATTTACAAAAAAGAAAATAAATAAAATACAAATAAATAAAAACCAAATATTAATTTTCTCATACATTTGTACCTCAGCATTCTTTTAATATAGAAAAATAAAAAATGGTCAACAGAATTTTAGTGTTTGACAGGCTTTATAAGGAGAAGATATTAAAAAGAAACTGTAATTCTCCAAGTTCTGGAAACCTAATGCATTTTGATTTGAGTCTCTATGTTTTGTTGGTATTGTGCTTAGTTGTAGCCTAGAAAAATTACTGAAGTACTTCCAAACTTCCAAATATTCATTTCCAAAAGTACGGAATTGACTTTCTCACCTTTTTTTTTTTAATCTTCTTAGAACATGAAGCAATGAAACAATTTGCTTATTAATTTATTTATTGTGAAATTATGCTATGAACAGTATTTTGATCAATATAATAAGAGTGGGATGAGGTTGGCTGGACTAAATAACATTTGAGACCTGAGGAAACATCAGAGCATTCCGGTATAATTCCTTTATGTTATGCTACCAAATGAAAACACTGAACCCAGAAAGGCTGTGGGTTTTTCTGGAGCTCATAGCAGATCAATGGCAGAGTGACAACTAAACTTCAGACCTTTTGGGTACTATGTATTCTTTACCTGGCCATGTGACTTCTCACAGCATCACTGAAGTCTCAGCCCCTAGGTCCTGTCTCCCTCTCCCTCTGGTATTTCTAGGTCTCATAGTTTTAGTAATTGTGGGAGGGACGTATTCAGTAAGTGTACCATAGTCTGAGGCTGTTGTGGGGCAAAAGGGCCTCAGCATTCTTGCTTCTCATTGGCTCACAGATACAGAGTATATACCTGTATCCACGACAGGTAAATGCCTGAGAATGCTCAGTCTCCAGCCCATCAAACCTTCATTTGGTTTGGAACCCGGGTGGAGGTACTTTGGGTCTCCTCTCTTAAGCCTAGACTAAATATTGGCCTTCTGGGGAGGAGGAAACTTTGAAATAAAACAATGTTTTAATGCACATTTGTCATTGGAGAGTTACTGGTGATCAGAAACTGTAGTACATTTTAAGAAGTAAGAGTCAACTCCATGGCAGGAAACATATTCTTGCCTAAAATATTTTTATCTTAACATCACAGTATTTGACACTATTCACTTTTTCTTTTTTTATTAATTTGAGACAGGATCTGGCTGTCATCCAGACTGGAATGCAGTGGCATGATCACAGCTCACTGCAGCCTTGACCTCTCGGGCTCAAGCTGCATTCTGACCTCAGCCTCCTGAGTAGCTGGGACTATGGGCACATGCCAATGTGCAAGGCTAATTTTTAAAAAAATTTTCGTAGCGTTGGGGTCTGCCCAGGCTGATCTCCAACTTCTAGGCTCAAGTGATCCATTTGCCTAAGGCTCCCAAGGTGCTGGGATTACAGACATGAGCCACCATACCCAGCCCACTGTTTTCATTTATAAGAAGTACTAATGCTAGTAGTAATATATGGATATCAGAAGGCATCTTGGAGAAGAAAAACAATTAGTGAGTTAGTTTACTTCTGCAGGAAATGCTTTTTTCATTGTTGAGGGTCCCAAATCTCTTTGAAAGTTGTGGGACCTTTCCCTAACTACAGCCAGTTTCAGAGCATTTCCAGACTTTCTTCTTGTCTTTATATATCCAGTCATGGCATGAGCATTAAAGTACACAGCCCTTGTGCCGAAAGAGAGAACTCAATTATGGTTATAGAGAGAAATCTCTCAGCTCCTAAATGAACTGTCTCTAAACATGGGAGAGACTTCCCATTCGAAGGTACTTGGCTACAAGTGTGGAGTATCTGTGGAATGTATTGTGTCAGTGAGCCTAACATTCTTTGCTGTGATGACCCTCATACCTTTCTGTTCATTGGAGGTCACAGCTGCAGGAGGCTTTGACTCTCCCCACCATCAAAATGCCACAGTAGCTTTTCTGAGCAGTAGGAATACGCTAGGTTGTGGAGATAATATGGAAGGAGAAAGGCTGTAGGAAGGAGAGGGAATTATTGAGGGGACCAAAGATTGATCACAGGGTAGGTCAGATACCAGCCTGGAAGGAATGTGTGTGGAACCCTTGAGGCTTGGCCAAGTCATTAGAACTGGAGCCTCTGGTTCAGCCAATTTCATGTTGTCTGTCTCCTGTGAAGGCTTTTGCATAGTGGGCTGTATTTTCTCTATTCCTGCAACCCTCCCAACTACTTAGAATCAAGGCTGTCTTCTCTGGGTGAATTCTGCATTTTAAACTCTCAGTCTTTAATGAAAGAGACAACCTGTATTGATAAGACAATTAAAGATTTAGGATTATGCAATTTTTTTTTCCTTATTGCAAAGCTTTAACTGTTTATTAAAAAAGTAATAATCCATACATAAGCCCATCATGCAGTGAGATCCATTGTACTGTTTGGTGAAAGTTCTTTTAGACCTTTTAAAGCCAGTAAATATGTGTGTGTATATATATATATATATATACACACATACATATATATACACTTATATATACATACATATATATACACACACACGCACACATATATATGTATTTTAAACTTAAAAAGCCTGTGCTTTATTTTATTCTACCATGTTTTCATTCTGTAACGTTTACTTACATATGACTTTATTTTTGTTTCTATTTTTCCATAAGTTATTGGGGTACAGGTAGTATTTAGTTGCACGAATATGTCCTTTAGTGGTGATTTGTGAGATTTTGGTGCATCCATCACCTGAGCAGTGTCCACTGCACCATATTTGTAGTCCTTTATCCCTCACCTCCTCCCACTCTTTCCTCCAAGTCCCCAAAGTCCATTATATCATTCTTATGCCTTTGTGTCCTCATAGCTTAGCTCCCACATATCAGTGAGAACATACAGTGTTTGCTTTTCCATTCCTGAATTACATCACTTAGAATAATAAGTCTCCAGTCACATCCAGGTCACTACAAATGCTGTTAATTCATTCATTTTTATGGCCGCATAGTATTCCATTATATATATGGTGATATATATATTATATGTATCACAGTTATATATATATATCACCATATATATATAACAGTTTCTTTATCCACTTGTTGATTGAAGGGCATTTGGGTTGGTTCCACGATTTTTCAGTTGTGAATTGTGCTGCTATTAACATGCATGTACAAGTATCTTTTTCGAATAATGACTTCCTTTCCTCTGGGTAGATACCCAGTAGTGGTATTGCTGGATCAAATGGTAGTTCTACTTTTACAGCCACTATGGAAAACAGTGTGGAGATTCCTTAAAGGATTATGCAATTTGAAACAGCTTCATTTGTTTACACGTTTTCATAAGGATACCTGTGAGACTTATTCCCAAGTCTGCAATGGGTAATTTTATTGCATATCTGAAGTTAGACATTTATATCATATATTTTATCTTAGTTTTTCAGGCTTTTTATTTTTAAATACAGCTTTCTTGTTTTGTAAACTATGGTTTATTATATAGTTATTCATTCATTTTCCTATTGTGCTTTCTACAGCGATTTGTAGAAATAGTTGTGGAGATGGATTTTGTTCCCGTCCTAACATGTGTACTTGTTCCAGTGGGCAAATATCATCAACCTGTGGATCAAAATCAAGTATGTTTCTTACTTGTGGCCTTTTCACTGCATTTTTCTTAAGCTTTGGAGCAAATGCTAAAGGTCCTTCTATGTGCCAGGGAGTTTTAACTGTTATTACTTTAGTTAATCCTTACATCAACATTATGAGATACTGTTAATACCCCATTTTACAGAATAGCAAAGTAAAGCACACATAATTTAATTAACTGGCCCAAGGAAACACAGACTTGAATCCAGGTATTCTGATGCCTAAGTGTATAGTCTCAAACACTAGACTGTATTTGTTGCCTTTGCTTAACATGTGTTTTGTGGGTTATCTAAGGGGGAAGGAGAGGAGAACTCCAAAGGCAGCATGTGTTTATTGAGTACTGACCACATACTTTACACATAATGGACCTATTTTGCTTCACATGTATTAACTGCCAACAACTTCATAAGATAATTATAACTGTGGACTATGATTGTGTGATTCATGACCCAATTAGAAATTGTTGGGTCCTTAAGGTCGAAGATTAATCTTTGAGGCTAGTATTTAAGATAACATTATAACAAGGCAGAAGCAAGATTGTTTATTTAATTGCTCAATAATTAAATAAATGCTTTCTTAAGTCTTGCCTCAAACTAGTGTGAAGTCATTATATTTTTAATACATCTTTCTTCAAATTTTCCCTAAAAGAAGGTAATATAGTATGTCTGACTCAGGAATAAGATTCAGGATTCATACATCAAATGCCATTGTCTTCTGATGAAACTCCTGATGAAAACTCTCTTAATTTCACTTCCTTTGAATCTGCCATTTCCTCAGCTTTTAAAACCTACCATTCAAATTCATCAAGATTTCTTGACCACTTTAACCAGAACATTTCATCCCCAACTTAACCTGAACCTCTCTTTCTTGCCTGATTACCTACAAGATACTGTTGCCAGTATGTTCATTATCCTGTTCCTAGTTTTCTCATATTTGCCTTTGGCAAAAAACACAATGCTGGAGGAATTTTAAGATTCAGTTTCTTAATTCCTCTACCTGGGAGCTGGGACATTCTCTGGTCCACTCTTTGCTTGTGGTATATAATTTAGCAGGGAATCTGTGCATTCATTTGGCCTTGGGCAATCCTTCCATTTCATCAGGAACTTTTCTAACCCTCCCAATCATCATCCTGTTTGACCTTGCTAAAGCTTTTGGCACTATTAATCATTATCTTCTTGAAATGTTGTTTTTCATTTTCTTTGAAACACCCTTGACTTTTAAAATGCCAGTGGCCTTCAGTGCTCCTTTTCTTGATCATTCCTTTTTAGTCTCTTTTCTATGTCTTCATCAGTCTTTCATTCAAGGTTTGGTATTCCTGAGTTCTGCCCTCCCTGGGTGAACTCATGTTTTCAATGACTACCAATCTGTTGATAACTCATAATATTTATCTACACTGGAGATCCCACCACTGACCTCCACACTCATATATTCCCTTTCCCATTTGACATCTCCACTCAAGAAATAGCAAGCAATTGAAACTTAGTAGCATGTCTAAAAGGAAACTGAATTTATTGCTGACCACAGGCTACTTGAACCACACAGTTCCTCCTGCCTTGGCAAATGGCTCTGCCATCCACCCAGTGCTTAAGTAACTGCTGCTTCTCTTTCTCTATGTCGGCTCTTTAAACAAGTCCTGTAGGCTTTACTGGAAAATAATTATCTCAGATTTATCTTTTCCTTTCCATCTCCACTGCTACCATGTGGTGTAAGCTATCCTCATCCTTCTCCCAGACTCTCGCCCTCTTCAAATCCGTTCTCTGCAGAGCAGCTAGAGTAATCTTTTTAAAATATAGATTACATCACTTCACTTTCTCATTTAAATCCTTTCAATGACTCCCTGTTGCATTTGGGATATAATGAAAACCCTTCGGTGGCCGAGGAGGCCCTGTGTTAGCTGGCTGGTCTCTGCCTGGGTTTCCAAGGTCTCTTCCCTGTCTGCCTCTTTTTAACCACAGGAATCTCTCCATTCTTCAGAAGAAACCTTTTACCATCCTAAGGTCTTTTGATTTGCTGGTTCTTCTCTCTCTGAAGTTTCTCCGTGGTACTTTTAATATCTGGCTTATTCAGTGTAAATGTCACCTCAGAGTGGTCTTGTCTAGTGCCAGTATCTAAGCTCCTTCTTGGCTCCAGACTAGTCTCCTTCACAACAGTTTACTTCAAACAGTTTATCACAGTCTATAATTACTTAGTGGTATTTGTTTACCTGTGTTTTCCGTAGCTCCCCATCGGAATTCAAGCTCTGTGAGGATAGCTTTCAAGTCCATTATGACAGTACTGCACTGAGCTGGAATGGTGGGCACTCACCTCCTGCATTCTGAATGGAGACAAAAGTGCCTCCTGCTTTCCAGAAACTATGCTGCTAGTCACCTTCTGTTTATTTTTTTTTAACATTGGAAGTGTTTTCAATGCATCCTGAAAAACATGTTATCACAGATATGCCCATGTGTGCACTTATAAAGAAATGATGAATAAAAATATGTTTGGGTCATAGTATTTCCTTCTGTAAGATATAATTGTCATTGAATTGGATAATTGAGTTTATAGTTTTATAACCTCTCACATATACTATAATTTTGATGACTGATGTTTTTATACTTTTTGTTATTGCTCTTTGCAGTTCAGCAGTGCAGTGTGAGATGCATGAATGGTGGGACCTGTGCAGATGACCACTGCCAGTGCCAGAAAGGATATATTGGAACTTATTGTGGACAACGTAAGGGACATTGATTTATTAGAAATCATTTGATTTGGTGGATATTTCATATTAAGTTATAATTTAAGGTCTCATAAATCCTGTGATCTTTTGAAAAAACAATTTTATGTAGTAAACCATACCTTAAAACTGAATTTCTAATTTTTATCCTGTAAGAATTTTTCTAATTCTTTTAGAATTTTGTGCTTTAGAGCAGTGATGTTCTTGAATAGTAACTAGTCAACAACTGGTAACTAGTGCTTTAGCAAATGTGACACATCTCACAGATTTTCTGTGATTTATTTTTCCTTTATCTGGCTCCATAAAACATGTATACTTTCCTGAAAAAAAAAGAGCAAGTTTTCTGTGATCTTTCTTTCTTTTTTACTTCTTCCTTCCCTCTCCAGTTCCCTCTTTGTATCTATGATTTTTTAGAACTTCTCAAAATTAACCCCAGGAGAGCCAATCTGATAAATTATCCTTTGCTTAAATATATTTAATACTAAGATACAGGGTGATGAAATGATTTTTAAAAAGCAGATGTTATTGTGAAACAGGGAGCTGTAACCCAGCAAAACTGGTACCTTCACTGGAGAATACCCTGTATGAATCAAGAAATAACCTTTTAGCAAGAGTGTAAGGATTGTAGTTTCTGGATTGTGACACATCACTGTGGAACATTTGGGTAATCTTCTCTAAATTGTGGGACATTTTTGGGAATTCACATATTTTGAAGTAATGTCACCTTATATGACATTAAAGAAGTGTTATTTCTGAAATTGAATCACAAATATAAGTCCCTTTTTACTTTATTTGCATTTTTACCTGATGTAGACTATACGTTCCTGCTAATCTTCAAGGCTTCCTTAAGGATTGCTGGTCTCTTTTTTAAACATAGAAAAACCAAGTCTTAGGTGTAAAAGAATATCTAGCTTGTTTTCAGTTAACATTATTTTATTTTTCTTGCAATGAAAAATTTTTTTAAATTGTTGTAAAATATACATAACAAAATTTACCATTTTAGCCACTTTTAAGTGTATAGTTCAGTGGCATTAAGTCCATTCACACTGTTGTGTAACCATCACCACCATCCATCTCCAGAATTCTTTTCATCTTGGAAAACTGAAACTCTGTACCCATTGAACAGTAACCCCCATTTCCCTCTCCCCTGCCCCGGGCAACCATCATTTACTTCTGTCTCTATGAATTTGACTACTTTAGGTATTTCATGGAAGTGTAAGCATGAAGTATTTGTCCTTGGGTGACTGGTTTGTTATACTTAGCATAGTGCCCTCAAGGTTCATCCGTGTTTTAGCATGTGTCAGAATTTTCTTCATTTTAAAGGCAAAATAATATTTCATTATATGAATATACCACATTTTGTTTATCCAGTCATCTGTTGATGGACATTTGAGTTGCTTTCACCTTTTGGCTCTTGTGCATAATGCTGAAATAGCTGTTTGGGCCCTTGCTTTAAGTTCTTTTGGGTGTATACCCAGAAGTGGAATTGTTGGATTACATGATAATTGTATTATTAATTTTTTGAAATGCTGCCATACTGTTTTCCACAGAAGCTGCACTGTCTTCCATTCCTACTAGCAGTGCACAAGGGCTCCACTCTATATACTTGCCAAACCTTGTTATTTTCTGTTTTTTTTTCTTAAATAATAATAATCATGCTAATGAATGTGAAGTTGTACTTATTGTGGTTGTTACAGTAATTTCCAAGTTTGTCTTGTAGTTAAGGTGATTATGGTAATTATAACTTTCTATTTATAAGTGCTATAAAGTTTTCTTTAGAATAATTTTATGTAAAATAGGAGTATCCATTTAAAGAAAGATATTCTGTTAAGGTCAGGGGTAGGTCAACTTTTTTTGTAAAGGCCAGAGAGTATATATTTTAGACCTTGCTTTCTCCATTGCAAATACTCAACTCTGCCATTGTAGTGCAGAAGTGACCATAGATAATATGTGAATGAAAGAGCTAGGATGTGTTTCAGCAAAATTGTATACTTTATAGACACTGGAATTTGAATTTCACACAATTTTCACTTGTGACTGAGTATTATTTCTTTGATTTTTCAACTACTTAAAAGTGTCAAAATTCCTCTTAGCTCATGGGAAGTACAAAAATAAGCAGTGGCCTAGATCTGGCCTTTGGGCCATAGTTTGCAGATTCCTTGTGTGGGTGTGGGTGGTTCTCAGGTATGACAAGAGGAGACTGACTGAAGTTTGAGAAATGGAGGGTGAAGGTTTTTAAGAGAATACAATACGTTGAGGCCAGTTTTCTAGCAAGAATAGGAGGGGCCAATGTGTTAAATTCTCTAGGCTAGGGTTGGCCAGGGGAGGCTAAGAAAGAACTGGATAACAGTGGAACAGATAAATGCAGCAGAGTTTCTCATTCCATGGATGATACTTTTTCTATATTTTCTTTGTACATTCAGGTATTTCCCACATTTTCTACAACAGACTTCTGTTTATAACCAGAAAAGAAAGACAGAAGTCTATCACGAACACAGTATTCATAAAAAGATAGATTGATATATATTTTTAGGCCTTAGAAAAGTGTTAGGATATCTGATTGCCAACTCTGTTTTGCAAAGTTTCATAACCAATGAAGAGACACATCTATCCTTGTTGAAACACATCCTTTTGCTCTGTAGAGGGAAAAATGAAAATTAGAATCACTGAAGAAAGCGCCTTGCCTTGCCTCAACTGATCTTTCAGAGTATTTGCTCAAATCTGTCCTGAAATTAGCTGTCTTCAGTCTGAATTAAGCTGCTCTTCATGCCTTGGGCATACGTGTGTATGTATGTATGAGGGTTGTACAGAACACGCTCTAGTGGGTGTGTCTCTTGTTCTTCACACAGGAATGAGAAGGCAGGGGATGGAAAGGACTTTCCGCTTCTAAAATGCTTTGATGTTCTTCCGCCCCTGTGTCAAACCATATTGATGTTACCACATTTTCCAGTCAGAGGAAAGGCAACATCACTGGGTCAGAAAATCAGCATATACTGAACATTTGTTCTCTAGGTTTCTCATGGGATGACATCTTCCTTAATGTTTACCTCAGGGATAATAGAACATATAGGGGAAGCAAAATGTGTAGCAAACACAATTTATTTGTCAGCAAGTAAGAAGGTAAAGGTATGATAACTAATAGATTACCAGCTCAAGGAATGGTGTAAGGAAGATGTTTTCCAAGTCGTCTTATATAGAAAGAGTGTTACAATACTGAGAGCAAAGAAGCAGATGGAACATTTTTCAATTTATGAATCCAGAAAAGTCTTGGAAATAGGATGCTTGCTAAAATGAACATTATAAAACATTTAGACTGCTTAGCTGCTTTCCTGGAAACAGACAGCACTTCTTAGAAAGCATTCTTCTATTTCATCCATTTCATTCAGCAATGTTGATTGAGTAACTACTGTGAATAGGTAAGATAATACCCTGGCCACATATTCTGGTAGAAATGACAGTTAATACTAAAAAGGTAAATACCTAATACACATTTAGGTAGCGAGAAGTTTTAGGAGAAGAATAAAGCAGGGTAAGAGGGAGAGAGTCTGGGTCAGGATTAGCAGTTGTCTGCTATTTTACATCAGGGGTCTCTGAGAAGGTGACATTGAAACACAGATCCGAGTCTGTGCCTTTAAATCTATGGAAAAATTGTTCTGGACAAGTGAAAAGCAAATTTAAAGGACCTGTAGTGGGAACAGACTCCATGTATTTTGGAAACCGTAAGATCCATGTCCCTGGAGTAAAGTGGGGAAAGGGAAAATGGTAAGAATTGAGTTTGGAGAGGGAGGTATAGGGCCTTGTAGTAGGCCAAGGAACAAAATTTGGACTACAGCCTAAATATTATGAGAAGTCACTGGAGCATTTTGAGCAGTGGTGTTCTGTGACCTGGTTAACATTAAAAAAAAATCACCTGTCTGCTGTGTTGAGCCTGGATTATAACAGAGAAAAGGAAAGGGCCATGTAGGAGGCTACCACAGTGGTGCTAGTGAACAATGCTGCAGCTGTAGTCGCTGAAGATGTGGTAAGTGGTTGTATTGAGCTTGTATTTTGGAGGTATACTCTGATGGACCAGGCGTGGTGGATAAAAAAAAATAGAAAAAGTAAAAATCAAAAGTGACAAGGAGAGGGTTTTGGTGGAGCTGCTGGATTAATAGCGATGTCATTTCCAGATACGGGAAATACTGTATAGGGAGTGGGTTGGGTAAGGAGTGGTGGGGCTGAGGATAAGAGTTTTGTTTTGGATTCATTAGATTGAGAAATCTGTCAGACTTATAAGTGCAAAGATCTATGAACTCTGATCTTAGGAGAGAGGTTGGACATAGAGATATAAATTTGGGACCGTATAGACCGAATTATTATATAGATAATATTTTAATCATAGGCTTAGATAAAGATCATTAGGAAGTTGTTGTAGCTAAAGAAGAGAGTTGAAAACAGAGACCCAATTCAGCCCAACATTGTGAGATGGGGAAGAGGAAAAGAAGCCTGCAAAGAAGAGTGAGAAAGAATGGACATGAGGATGGAATGAAAACTGAGAGAGTGTGGTATCCTAGAAAACGAAGGAAGAAGGCAGCACCAATAGCAAAGATTTATACCTTCCTATGTCAGACAGTAGGCTTTTGTTTCTTTCCTCTTGTTAACATTTTAACTTGGTTTAGAATGCTATTTTTCTAACACATTTGTGTAGAAATTACAATCATGATTTCAGACTTGACTTATGCCCAAGTGTCTGCGCCTCTGCTGAGTTGTAAGGGAGTCTGTCTAATAAAAATATATACCTGACCTGTTACCTGGCACAAAGTAAGTGCTCAGTAAATATCTGTTGAATAAAAATGTCCTCTAAATATCTGAGCTTTTACAGTATGCAACCAACCCACACAGGAAAAACAGTGTGTTTTCTCCTTCTAGGATTTTGGTGGGCAGCTAAGAAACCAGCTCATACTTCTATCTGTAGTACATCTTTTGCTCTCTTGCCTTTCATGCCACTGTCATGCTAGGTGTAAGCACAGTTTTCTTCCTGAGTGGTCAGCGTTCCTTCTGTGGTGGAAATTTAGGCATTTTCCAATTTTTTTCTGACTCCAGTTGAAATATAAGTTGCTGTTTCCATTCTTTTTTGTTACAAAAAAATATGTTCTTTTGTAAAATACCTTTCATCATAATTCATTTGAGAAAAGGAAATTCACCATTTTTGGTTTTTGCTTCTACTTTTATCTGTATTTCCTGCTTCTCTTCTTTTGCTATTGCTCTTTAATGTAAACTTCGGCTGCTGCAGACGTCTTGTCTTACAGAACATTTTCGTACAAATGTTCTATAGTTAAAAGAGGAAGGAAATTAAGAATGTAGAATACCTTCAGCGTGCAGCCACTGTGCACTTTGTCTTATATGCTATTTTATTTAGTCCTCAAACGTCTGTAGGGGAGGAACTGTTAAGTCTCTTTTTGCAGGCCAGGAAGCTAAGAATCAGAGAGGTGGTGTGGTGAGTGGGTGCTGGGGACAGCAGAGCTCATTATTTGTTCACTGCACCATTCTGCCTTGCGAAGTACTTGAAAAAATGCCGTGAAATTTTGATGTGCGGGAGTTTGTTGAGTTCTTGCAGTCTGTCAGATACCACAGTAGGTGACAGGGATTCAAAGGCAAACAGATCTGGCCCTTGTCCTGGGGGAACCCACTCTCACATGAGAGACAGAAATACAAGCAAATGGTTGTATCAGTGGCCCTTGATCTTTTTGTTCATAGGATCCCTTTACATTTTAAAAAATTATTGAGGTCCTCAAATGTCTTTTGTTTATATGAGTTCCTTCAATATTTATAGTATTAGAAATTAAAATTGAGAAATTTAAAATATTTATTGATTCATTAAAAATAACAAGAAACCCATATTATAAGCTAAGATAAATATTTTTTATAAACAATAACTATAATTTGCAAACCTCCAAAAATCTTTAGTGAGAAGGGAGGCATTGATAGTCTAACCTAGACAGATTAGATTAGGTTTAATTTGTAATGGGCCAGCTCTTTCTAGGAGAAACTCAAGGTTCATCCAGCCTTGTTCTACCTGCGAATTGGAAACTTTGTTTTGGAAAACCGTGGGAGAAGCCCTTCCTCCATTTACCGGAGGTTGTGTTCTGAGTGTTACAGTCAGTGTGGACAGCTTTTCCCCAAAGGCTGGCATTGTGATAAGAGAACACATGGGAAAGTGACTGTAATTTAAATTTCCTACAGCTCAATAGCATTTAAAGAAAATTCCACACATTTTAATTGATCACATTACTTTGGACTTAGTATTTTGCAGTGCATCTTTTTAACAATTGATTTTTTAAATCTTTCTTTTTTAAAAATTTAATTGTATTTTAATTTCTGGGATACATGCACAGGACATGCAGGTTTGTTACATAGGTAAATGTGTGCCATGGTGGTTTGTTGCACCTATCAACCTATCACCTAGGTATTAAGCCCCGCATGCATTAGCTATTTATCCTGAAGCTCTCCCTCCCCCTGCCCTCCCCAGACAGGCCCCAGTGTGTGTTGTTCCTCTCCCAGTGTCCATGTGTTCTCATCGTTCAGTTCCCACTTATAAGTGAGAACATGTGGTGTTTCGCTTTCTGTTCCTGTGTTAGTTTGCTGAGGATAATGGCTTCCACCTTCATCCATGTCGCTGCAAAGGACATTATGTTGTTCCTTTTTATGGCTGGATAGTATTCCATGGTGTGTATGTGCCACATTTTCTTTATCCAGTCTATCATTGATGGGCATTTGGGTTGATTCCATGTCTTTGCTATTGTGAATAGTGCTGCAATGAACATACGCATACATGTAGGAATCTTCAAATCCTGGCAGTTGTTTCTATGGAATTACTGCACAGAATGCTCTCATAGGTTTTGTTTTTTCCCACCTTCCCATCCATCTTTATTTTTTTCATGTTCCCCGTGGCCTTTTTTCCTTTTCCTTTCTGCTTCGTATTTACTTATATTTCAAGTCTGCCCATATTTCAAGGCAATGATGAGTGGGAAGTGCTATGTAGGACTCAGCTGGAGATAGGTAAAGAAGCAGAAGGGTATGGTTCCTAGGGAGCTGTACTTGTGCAGAGACACACAGAATCATGCCTTTAATTGAAGTGTAACTTATCAACAAATGCCTCTGAGGCCATTGGCACAGTGACGCTTTAAGGTCAAGATCATCTTTTATTTCCAAGTGCGTTTTAGTCTTCTGACCATCATCAGCAGAACAGAAATCACTCTGTGCATTCTGGAGATGATAGGCAATCTATCCGGTTCAACATACCTGATAAGGAAATAGCAGCATTACTGTGCTACTAGATATCAGTATACTTATTGAGTTTCCCATTTTATGATATGTACCTCACTTGAAGTGTTTGGCCCCCCACTTCCCTTTAATTTGAGTAATTAGTGTCCTTCAACTCCATTTGTGGACACAGGTCATAGAATATAATCCTCTAATTCATTTGTGAGGACAAATGTTTCAACAGGGTGGGTAGATAGGGAGACACACTTTCAGTATCAGTATTTTCTCCTGGAGAAGATATGATTCTTGAATTCAGCTGTCTTCATTATGGATCATGGGAATACTTAGGTTCCAAGGATTCTAGAGAGTGTGATCTTTTAGGCTGAACCGAGTTGCAGTGCACGGCAGTTCAGTGGGGAGAGGGGAGTGGTTCAAGTTTACTGGCTCCCTCTTGGGCTCATGGAACCCTAACTCCTGGTCTCCCAGGTCACAAGGCTAAAGGAGCAAAAGAGAGTGTGTGCTGTGTGTTTGTCAGCATGACTTTGGAAACATTTGGATTGTGAGTTAATTTTATATGAAAAAACATATTATGCTTACACAGCTTTTTTTCCCTTTTTTTCTTCTATGACCTGCAAATAGTCTCTACACATTGGTTACTTCTTTTGGCATTTTATAGCTAACGTTGATGGTATTTTCCCCCCTTTTCTTTGTTTTGCCCTTCCAGCTTTACCTTTTCCCCCCTTGGCTTCCTTTTCTTCTCTGATTTTTCCTTTTTCCCTTTATTGCCATATCATTTTCATTTTTTCTTATTACATTTTTCTCCTCCTACTCCTTCCCTGTGCTACCGGGATCGGCCTCTTTTTTCCTTCATTTCCCATATTTTATTCATTCCTTACCAGTGAAAATATAGATTATAGGGTTAGTAGTACAGAAATTGAGGGTTGAGTAGTTACATTCTAAATGAGCATGAGAGCCAGCGAATATGATTCTGATTAAAAAAAAAACAAAAAACCTTTTACCAAACACTTGCTTAACAGTGTGATTTACATGAAGTATGTAAGTTTTTGTCTGAATATACTTAAATATATTTACTTAAATTTAAGATGTGAACTTTAACCTGTGTAATTTATACAAGTTGCAGTTTAATTAACATAATGTACTATAATTTAACATAAGATCCTTTATTGGCAGCATCACTGCACTACTATATTGTGCTTGGAGACTGGCTATATAATGAGCTTCTTGCTATTTTTGTATGCAGCTGTCTGTGAAAATGGATGTCAGAATGGTGGACGTTGCATCGGACCCAACCGCTGTGCTTGTGTTTATGGGTTCACTGGTCCACAGTGTGAAAGAGGTAAGAAGAGAAATGAGACTTTACTTTCTGAAGAAGTCTATTTTATTGTAAAAATGTATAATTTTTTGCTATTCAATGAAGATTCTGCTAATGAAATTATATTTTTACTCTTCTTTGATTATGTCTCTAAGTTGAATGGTAAGATTTTGAGACATAGCTAATAGTGGCAGAAGTGTCTCAACTTTTTCCACCAGTGAACTCAGTTTGGGCGGCCAACTCTGGGGCTATGGCTCTAGGGTAATTTTGAGTGAGTGACTGATGGCAAATTCTAATAATGTGCTTAATTCAAATTAGGAGGCATTGTTGAAAGTACTGCTTCTGTTAAAAATGAAATAGTGTCAAGTTATCTTTGGCTGCAAACCCCACAAAATCTGACATAAATTGTCCTAAGCAATAAGGAAATGTATAACATTTCACAACAAAAAGTCTCGAGCTAGTGGGCCTCAGGTAGGATGTGATCAAGGCTTTTACCCTGTTACTCTGTTTCTCTTGACCCTGCCCTCCTTTATGTTTCACTTTTTGTCCTAGCCTGAACTTCTTTGTGTTTGTAAAATGGCTGTCAGCAGTCACTAAGGAAACATGTTTCTTCTTCACCTCTTGAGACAGAAAACATCTCCTCCAACTGTGGGCCAGCAATAGCCTCCAGAGACACTTTGTACGCTGCCTGGTTTAAGCTTGAGTTTTTAAAATAGTTCATGGCAAAGTGGGGGGTGGTGGTGGTAATATGTTTGATGTAGACTTACCAGGACCTGTCGTTGCAGCAGGAGATGATTTAAGCTTCCCCAGAGTCACATGGAAGGGATGATTGGGTATCTGAAGCCAGTAGAGCTTCCTTTTGGTAAGAGAAAAGGGGTGGAGGGATGGATGCTGGGTAGGCATCCCGCATTGTCCAACTTATTCATATAAATGGTTAGTCAAGCCAATGTGAAACCAATTTACTATGATTTGAATAGCAGTTAAACTCATGACCTATATAGACTGCTGAAAAATCTCTGGCATTGATCCCTCATTATGGATCATGGGAATATTTATGTTTCAAGGATTCTAGAGAGTGTGATCTTTTAGGTTGAGCTGAGTTGCGGTGCAGGGCAGTGCAGTGGGGAGAGGGGAGTGGCTCAAGTTTGCTGGCTCCCTCTAGGCCAGCGGAAGCCTGACTCCTGGTCTCCCAGGTCACAAGTACAAAGGAGCAAAAGAGTGTGTGTGCTGTGTGTAAGCTATCTAAAATAATGTCCTGATGGTAAACAGTTTCATGACATATCAAGAAGTTAAACTTCGTAAAATGTGATAAATAACTAGCATCGAGCCATAACAGTAAAAACAAACTTGAGCTAAAATTAATATTACATAATCATTCATTGTTATTTACATCCTCAGTGCATTTTTCCAGAGCTTGTTGTGGCATCAAGTTATACAGCACTTTCTTTATTGTGAAACTAGAATATATGAAATTATGTCAATGAAATATTACAGATAAGTAGGGGTCAAGGTTTATATACATATAGAGGCTTTGAGTCGTGAAAAAGCCTTATATTTTAAAAATTATACTCATTACCCTGACAAAACTTCATCTTGCTTTTCAAGTTTAACCTGGAGAAGAAACTGAGAAATTACAATTATATGGTGAAGTTTGAAAAGTAAAATCTTTTTCACATACATTTGGATGTATATATACATCAAGATATTTTTATTATTTTTAATGTAATTGAGATTTCTTGGGACTGAAGTACATTCCACAAATGATAAGAGTTTAATGTTACACTTAGGATGAATTTAAATGTCTTTACCAGATGCTTTTATTTGGGAAAGAAAAATTAATTATGAAACGTTAGCATAAAAAGATAAATTATTCAGAATGGAATAACACACATTTCTTAGATAACGCTAAGTTTATTTGAACATCATAGAATGTAGAATAAATTTAAAATTTCAAACATAATCATAATTGGTAGAGATGATCTTCATTTTTCTGGGAGTCAGGTAAACTTTGTAGCTCTTTCATCCTGAAGCAGATTTCAAAGTCAATTTGTAATTGGCAAAGAAATTGGGTGAGTAGTTTCAACTCAGAGGCTTCCAGGAATTACGTCATTATTCTTCAACAGTTATTCATTCATTAGATTTGTTAGTCCTTACTAAATTTCTGAGAATTCAATAAAGATTTACATATATTTTACATGTACAGTAGCATGTTTTCCAAAAAAAATTGTAAGATTAATTAGTTAATGGATTACCCTTGGGATATTTTTTAAATGTTGGTTTGTTTCTTAAAAGTCTTATTACTTACTACTCTTCAGATGGAAGTTCTAAAGCTTCATTTCTTTCAAAGAAGGAGTTAACAAGTTGCACTCTTACATAGCAACCATGAACTTTAATATTTTAAAGAGATGTTTTAAATTGAATTTATACATGTATAATAACCCATTCTACTAAAAATGAAGTTCATAATTTTTTTCAAGAAACATTGTGTCTGTGTGGATGCAAAAAGAGTAACTCACTTATGTTGAGGTTGGTGAGTAAGCTCATGTGCCCTGTTAGCGTTTAATGTTTATATATATATTTTTAAATTACTGAATTTCAAAATATATGTTCTTTGTTATCTTAATAAAAAGACCTTTGTAAAATCAGAGATATTTGTTCCTCCTAATGTAGAACACATAATTTCTCTTTAAATTGGCCTTTTGGGATCAGTCATATGATAAAACATGGCTGCTTTTCTAGCTGTCTGGGCTTTTGGCAGACTGGTTTCCAGACCCAGAGACTGAGTAGTAACCAATGGCTGGCATGATTATGGTATTTAACTTGAGTCTGAGTGTGGGTAACCTGAACTTCTTTGGAGTTCTCTTTTCACACTTGCTGATATGTACAATGACCTTTTATACTTAGCATCAAAAAAAAAAAAAAGAGTTCTTGTGGTTACAGGCTAATTGTAAAATGCAGACAGCTCATTTGTGGCCATAGCATATGAAGGTACTCAATTGTTTATGTATCTCTTTCCAAACAAATGTAATTTGAGAAAAAATAAATATCTCACTTAATATACACTTGAGATTAAACAGAAATGGAGTCAGCATTCAATGGTAAGACCTGATGGGTTTTTTCCCTAACACTTAAAATGTACCTTATGTTTTATCAGTAGAAACTTGGAGAGGGTGGGTAGACAAGACATAGATTTACCTGAGGAATTTCTGAACCAAATAGGTGATTACTTGATCGCAAATGTGGCCTGTCTAGAGTCCTTCTTTCAACTTTTTTGACTTAAAGGATTGTTGAAATCTTTTGTAATGGAATTTTCTTTGAAGTTTATATAAGGCTCATCTGTTAGAAATATATCCCAGACCCTTTTAAGTAATACATAAATTACTACTACAAATGGTTTTTATCATGTAAACATGACTTCCTTAAAATAGTATGCAAATTGTGTAAAATTTCAAATAATCTGGTGCTTAGTAACATTTCCTTTAAAATGTACATTTTTTTAGTACAACTTAAAGGAAAAAGGGACTAGAAAATTATTTGTTAATTATTGACATTTTAAAGAAAAATGACTTTTGTTAATCTGCATCTTCAGTGGAATTAAAGGTGAGATCAAGTTGCAAATGTTAGAGTTCAAAAAATCTAAACTTTCAAGCCTTTATGTAAAATGAAAATAGATTGATTTCCATTTAGGTTACCTTTTATGAAATCATCCAGTTATAGACCTAATGCGTGAACCCAGGTCTAAAAGCGTGCTGAGAAGGAGTCACTCCATCTCTGCCTGGATATCTCTAGTCAGGGGCTCTCACTCACTCACCCCATCATGAAACAGTCCTGCTCATCATCAGAGTCCTGCTTGCTGGAACTCTGCATTATTCTGCTGCTGTCCAACCAGGACATTTAGCAGATGTGTAAGATCCCATATAGTCTAATTCAGTGGGAAGATGATGATGACAACTTCTCTGAAAGGAGTCAACCACAACCTGCCACTCAGGTGTGCATGCTGGCAACTTGGCTTCTAATTATAAACTCTTTAATTATTGTATACATTTTTATTTATTCACCCATACTTCAGGAAGTAAAGTAACTGTAGTAGCCATTAAATCTACTTAGACCTTACCCAAATCCTCCAAGAGCAGGTGTAAAGATGGACAAATTTGGATTTTCCTGAATTCTGAGAATAATGTAGACCCAGACTCAAGTTCGTTTAGAAATAACTGATATACTTGTTAATCCAATGGACTTGGAATGTATTATAAAGTATTCAGGGTGACTGTACAGCTTATGAACATTCAAGTAACATAGCAAATTAGTAGTATGACCAGGAATATAGGGAATATGGTGACGAGAACAAGCTGGTATTACATAGAATTCTATACCCAGTGAATTTGATACTTTCAAGAAATGTATAAACAATGTTTTTAAGAAAATAAGTTCCATTGTAATTTTCTGTTTTAAAATGTCATGCATGTTTATTATAAAGTAATTTAGAAATAAAACAAGATGAAAGACGAGAATCTAATTACTCATAATTCCTACACTTAGGATTAATTACCGTTAATGTCTTGGAGACTATAACGTACACTGCACGTTGTAATAACACAAAAGGACAAGCAAGATGTAAGAGTAAGTTATACGTGCTTTGGGGTGTTTACTTCAATTTACCTTTTTAACTACAAATTAGAATATACAAGAGTGTAACTAAACTAATTTTTAAATTTAAATATTTAATATTTATTCATCCAATATTTGTTGAGTACTCTTACAGTATTAGGCTAAGTACTTGGAACTTGAGTTATAAGAAAAACCAATATATACTTCTTATTAATGAGAAGCAAATTATTGAAAAACTAGTCATCTACTTTACACATGAGGATGCAATAAGACACAGTAAATACCGTAATAGGAGTAGGAACAAAAAGTAAGAGAGCTCAGAAATGCTCACTAATGCAGGACAAATTACAAAAGTCTTTCTTTCAGTCAAATGAATGTAGAATGAAAAAACATAGCTTACTACAGTGGGAAAAACAGTATCAGACTAATTCCTGAGATATATCATGATTAAATCTTATACTAATGTTATTTAAACTCCATAATTCATGACCAATTACCCTAATTACTAAGCTGATATTTATTTTGCAGAAATAAAATGTCTCCCTTTTTCTTGCACTCTGAAGATTTAGTAGAATGAAAATTACAATAAGCAGAGAGAGAATGTTACCAACTGCAGATGTCAGACTCACATGTACCCTCAGGCACACACACACACACACACACATTTCTGCACTTGTGAGGCCGTTAAGAAGAGCATTTTATAACCTTGCACTCTCTAAGCTAAACTTAGCCTTAAATGGGCATCAGAGAAATACCAAAAGATCTGTGGGAACTTAACTTTTTGGCACTAGCTCAGTTGATACCCTTATCTTGAATGCCATTAAGAACAGAGGGAAAGAAAATTAGAGAAGGAAAAGCAGACAGTGGGAAGTGGAAGAAAAAGAGGGGAAGGAGAAAATGAAGACTGATAAGAAAAGAGAGATGTAATGCTAGAAGAGAAGTGGAGACGCTTGGTGTTGTATAAAGGAAGGACTTAAATCAGGGAGAAAAATCAATTCACTGATTGATCTACCTGGGAGAGGCCAGGCTTTCACTTCTTAATCCTTAATTTAAGAGTCTGCTGTTTAGATCTGTAAAATAAGACTGAACTTTTGGCAGCCCAGTAGATCCTGATATTTTATTCTCTTTTGAACAAAAGCAGTGTGTATCTCATTTATTCCAGCTCTTTCTTTGATTTTGGTTTATCTACCTACAGGCAGGGAAACCTGCAATATAAAATACAAAGGCTAGAATATTTTATATTTTTAACTCCATAAATATTTTTTCTTGTTTTCCTGTTTCAACATCGGATTAAAAGACATTAGAGGTTAATTGGTGTAGAAACTGGGAAAAACTACCAGACACACACAAATTAAATGTAATCAGTTGTTATTATATAGAATTTACTCAAAAGTAATTAAATCAGATGTGCATGTATATGGGGGAAGTTATGTAACAAATACCGTATATTTCAAAAGTTACAAATTCTTAAATAACACCTGTCTCCAGGGGTTTCAGATAAACAGTTGTGGACCCATAATCACCTCACAGATTCGTTGGAAAGATTAAAAGCAATAATGTGTTAAGCACCTGACACACAATAGGCAGTGTGCCTGACACATGGTAAGCTTCCACTAAGTGTTACTTGTTGTATTTTTAGAACACAGGCTGTAGTCAAAATCAAAGCTTAATATTAAAACCTATGTAACTTTAGAAATGTGATTGCCCTATCTGATGCCTGTTTGTACATATATAATATATATCTATTATGTTAACTTTGAATCATTTTTGTGAAGATTGAATGATATAATGCCTGGCATCCAATAAATGAAATAAATAATGGTCATTAATGCTAATATCGTTTTAAGAGGACTCCCCAGTTATCAAAATGATAGATGTGGTGGCTGGTTATTAGAAATAGAATATTCGAAAATGGACTCTCAAATGGGAGAAAAAAGAATGTTGCGACCTATTTAAGTCATACAAATAAGGCTTGATGATGTTTTTATTGACAGTGGAAAGACTTAGAATAAAGTGGATACTTTAAGAGAAGTTCACAATCCTGAGATGAGATTTAAACAAGAAATGAAGTGCCGTGGCCTGTGTCTAGCACAGAGTTAACTGCTCAATAAATGATCAGCTATAATTTAAAAATTAAGCCAAGATCTGATATGCTTTTTTTTTTTTTTTTTTTTTTGAGACGGGTTCCTGCTCTGTTGCCCAGGGTGGAGTGCAGTGGCGTGATCTTGGCTCACTGCAATCTCCGCCTCCCCGGTTCAAGCTATTCTCCTGCCTCAGCCTCCTGAGTAGCTGGGATTACAGGCATGCGCCACCACCCCTGCTAATATTTTTGTACTTTTAATAGAGATGGGGTTTTGCCACGTTGGCCAGGCTGGTCTCAAACTCCTGACCTCAGGTGATCCACCCGCCTCGGCCTCCGAAAGTGCTGGGATTACAGGCTTAAGCCACTGCGCCTGGCCTGATATGCTGTCTTAGATAAAATTGTCCTAATGGGTGAGAGAGAGACTGTTTCAGGATCTCTGGGACATCAGTTGTGAACAGCGTAAGTTTCACTATTTTACCTTTTGTGGGATTTTTGGTAACGGTACAGATTGACTGGAAAATATTGTATATCATTATTATGACCTTGTTTTTATGCAGTTGAATTAGACCCTACTTATCTTGTTTTGACATGTTTTTATTGTAAATGTCAGTGTTCCTATTAGTACTCATTACTTAACTGGTCTTTTGAAAATGTCTTAGTTTGCCCTTTTCCTATACACAAGTTATTATTCTAAACAGTTTATAGTATAACTCATATATAGGTAGAGTTTACTTAAGCCAAGTACTTGTAATCTATAGATTTGCATATTGCTAAATCTGAATGAAGAAGTAGGTCAGAGAGTTTTTCAAACAGTACAGAGAGGAGTCCATCTGTGATACTTTCTTTGACCACCCTACCTTCCTACCCCCATCTTATTTATTGGGCAAAACTAAGGCAGTCTGTCCTGTCCTTTTACCTGCCATATATCCATTCCTCTAGAATAGCTCTTTTCATTGTGTTGTGACTGTGTATTTGCTTGGCTGTAGGCCTCTTAAGAGCAGAGATACTTTTCTAAAATTGCCTTTGTGTTTCTTATACTCCACACAGTGCAGCATAATGGAAGACGCATCATACATGTGACTGCATAAACATGGGGGATTCCAAGTAGAAGAAATAGGATGAAAATAAGTATAGAGATAATAAAGGTCCTTGAATGTTCACAGAGATTAATCATTTCGTGTGGTTGTAATACACAGTTAGTGAAAGGAAAGAGTAGATGATGAGGCTGGAAAAATAGACACAGACCTTAATTTACAAAGTCTGAAATGCTGGAGTCAAGAGGCTGCCCTCTATACCCTCAAGTAGGCACTGAGTAGAGGAGCTATGAATGACTTGTATGCTTGAAAGCAGTTCTCCACAAACGTCATTCTGGAGTGGCAAACAAAATAGAATGAAGGGTGGAATCTCTTAGAACTCACTGCATGTCTGCTAGATTAAAGTTGTATAATATTTCACTAGGATTATGATTTATGTGTACAAAACTTAGATTTTTAATATAAATTGGAAATTATATAATTTGGAGGGAAGATAACATTTACTGAACTTTTACTATGATAAATACTTTAGAGGAATTAATATTTTTAACAACCCAAAATATTTTTTAACATAACACCATGAATAAAAAAATGGAGGTATAAAGAAGTGAAGCAATTTTCTCATGTTAACTCAGCTAATAAGAAAGTAGGATTGGAACACTGGTGGTATAACCTCAGAACCCATATACTTAGCCTCAACTTTGATTCTAGTGAAACACGACATTGCAAAAATAATGTATTTCCACTCTTTAGAACTATATTGTGTCAGTTCAATATGAGTACTGATAACAAGGCACATGATACCATTGAATTAAAGGGATGGCTTGTCGTTTGGGGATTATTTTCTTATCTAGCCTAGGGAATACACACACATATATATGTATTTCAGATTATGACTCTGAATTCATAGGCTCAGAATTTCTTTATGTATATAATCTAAAATATTCAAAACTCATAGAGCTTAAAACAAAATTCAGACTTCTGTGTTTAGCCAAGATAGACTAACAGGAATAAATTAGCCTTCCTGCCTGAAAAGAATAAAACACAGAACAGAATATATGAAAATGTGGTTTTCATGATATTGGACACTAAGCAACAAAAAACAGTGACCCGTGAGAGAAGGGAAACAACAGTGTGAACCTTTTGACTTCCGCAGCTTGCTGCCTGAAAGGGTTTTTCCAGGTTGTGCTACAACATGGAAGTTTGCCCCACCTGTGGCTCACAGGCTTCATGCAGCCCAGGAGAGCTTTGAATGCAGCCCAACACAAATTCGTAAACTTTCTTAAACCATTATCAGGGTTTTTTTTCTTTTTTCTTTTTTTGGTCATCAGCTATCGTCAGTGTATTTTATGTGTGGCCCAAGACAATTCTTCTTCCAGTGTGGCCCAGGGAAATCAAAAGATTGAACACTCCTGTGCTACGGGGTGAGAAAATCCAGGCACGGCCTAGCAGACTCCCTAAGTTCTGGGGAGATCAAGATGGCTAGAGTTCTCAGGGCAGAATCCTGGTGAGGAAACAGATATATAGAGAGAACTTGTGACATCTACAGAGGCTGTCTCTCAAGTTTTCAGCAGAATACTGACAATCACATTCATGTGAGGAATCTTTCTGAGACTGGAGAAGGAACTGCTTGAAAGGAGTGAAAGGAACAATACTCAGAGTTGCACATAAGCCTGGAAATACTGCCTTCCTCTCTAACCAGATTAGAGGGTCACATAATTGGTGGGGTATTGGTTAGAGTACTCAGAATAGTGTTGCCTCAATAGTGGAGAACAATTAACTATAGACTAAATGCTGCTCTGGCTGTGGAGAATAAATTTTAAAAGTAACAGCTAAAAGGATCAAACATCTATCTAGAAAGTTTAAGAATATTTATAAGAATACAAAAATATTAAGCACTAAATAAAGTAAAAAAAATCCCAATACATGGTATCTAATCAAATATCTGCAATCAAAAATTTTGTGTAAAGAAGCAGGAGAGCATGATCAAAATGGAAAAAAAATCAACTAAAATTCACCCCAAACTGACAAAGATGTTAGAATTAACAGACTGGAAGATGAAAGTAGTTATTATAAGGTATTCCTTATGTCCCTAAAGTTGGAGGAAAGATTAAAAATGTTAAGTAGAGATGTGGAATCCAAATTGAACTTCTACAGATGAAAACTACAATGTCTGAGGTGAACATTTTTCTGGATGGGATTAATGGGAGATGAGACATTATAGGCGAAAAGACGAGTGAGCCTGAAAACATAGCAACAGAAATTATTTGAAATAAAGCACAAAGAAAAAAAGGCTTAAGAATGTAGGAGAGCATAAGTGAGCTCTGTGACAACTTTCAGCAAACTAAATACATATATTTAGAGTTAGCAAAATAATAGATGGCAGAAAAAATATATTTGAAGAAATAATGGTCAAAATTTTTCCAAATTTGATAAATGCTATAAACTGACAGACCCAAGATCAATGAATCCCCAAGCAAAAGAAACTTGAAGAAAATTATATTAAGATACATCATAATCAATTTCTCAAAACCAGGGATACAGGGAAATCTTAAAGTAGCCAGAGAAAAGAGATACATTTTGTATAGAGGAAAAGAAGATAAAAATAACAACAAATTATTTGTCCAAAACAGTACAAGTAAAAAGGAAAGTGGAACAGCACATTTAGAGCACTAAAGTTGAAAAAGACAATTCTCTGTCTAGGCTTTTATATTTAATAAAATGTCTTTCAAAATCAGAAGTAAAATAAATAAAGCTTTTTCCCAATATATAAAAGGGAAGAATTCATTTTCCAGTCACCTGCACAGTAAGAAATATTAAGGCAGTTCTTTAGGCTGAAGAAAAATATTGCCAAATATTTTTGAATATTCTTTGAAAAATATTGAAAGGAATGAAAAGTATCAAAAAACGTAACTATGTGGGTAAATATATAATACTTTTCCTTAGTATTTTAAATCTTTTTAGGAAACAATTGACTGAACAAAAATTAATTACAATGTCCTATGGGGTGTAGAGTAGATGTGGTGGTAAAATAATAAAACAATACACAGAGGCTGGGATGTGCCTATACTATATGTCAAGAATTATGTTACTTGAAGATAGACATTGATAAGTTAAAGATGTGTGGTGTAAACCTTAGAGTAAGCACTAAAAATACAGAGTAATGATTAAAAAGCCAACAAAAGGTGATAAAATGGAATAATAAAGAAGAAAGCAACAAAAGAAGGTAAGAAGAACAAATGATTAATGGATAGTTAGAAAACAAATAGAAAGTGGTAGATTGAAACCTAGCCATGTCAATCATCACAATAAATGTAAATGGTCTCAACACTCCAATTGAAAGATAAAGATTGTTATGTAGGATTTTAAAAATCCAATTATATGCTGCCTATAAGAAATCTATTTTAAATAGAAGACACTAATGGATTAAGACCTAAAAGATGTAAAAAGAAATAATTGGCTAATAGTAATCAAATTAAAGCTGGAGTAGCTAAGTTAATATCAGACAAAGAAGATTTCAGAGCAAGTAATAGTATCAGGCATAAAGAAGGCCATTTCATAATAATAAAGCGGTCAGTTAATCAAGAAGATGTGATGGTTCTAAGTGTTCTCTCACTTAATAGCATAGCTTCAAAATACATGAAATAAAAACAGAACTGCAAGGAGGTGTAGACAAATCCATAATTAATGGAGATTTCAGTACCCCCTCTCAATAATTGAGAGTAGGTAAGAAGTCAATACGGGCATAGAAAACTTTAGCACTGCTGTCAATCTACTTGACCTATTTAATATTTATAGAACACTTTGCCACACAGCAGCAGATAATATACATTCCTTTTTATTGCACATGGAACATGTAGCAAGAAAGATCATATTAAATGGATATTAAGTAGATAATGAACAACTCAAAAGCAAAAATAAGGTAAATAATTTCTTGAAAGACATATATCGCCAAAGCTCAATTAAGAATACAGGTGGCCTTTTGAATCCATGAGTTCCATGCATGTGGATTCAGCCATGGATCAAAAATATTTGAAAATAACAATAAAAATAACAGTACAACAAAAAATAATATGAACTTAAAAAGTTTAGCAGTAAGACAACCATTTATATAGCATTTACCTTGTATTATGTACTATTGGTAATCTAGAGCTTATTTAAAGTGTATGGGTGAATGTGTGTATGTTATATGCAAATACTACATAATTTTTTTATCAGGGACTTGAGCCTCTATGGATTTCGGTATCTCTGGGCATCCTGGAACCAGTTCCCTGCAGATACTAAGGGACTGCTGTAAATAACATGAATATCCCTGTATCAATTAAATAAATTGAATGTGTAACTTAAAACCTTCTCATGAAGAAAACTACTGGCCCAAAAAGCTTTACTGGTGAATTCTACCAAACATTTAAGAAAGCAAAAATACCAATTCTATGTAGATTTCTCTAGAAAGTTGAACAGGAGTTAAAACTTCCCAACTGCTTCTGTGAGGCCAAATTACCTTGATACCAAAACCAGAAAAAGACATATCAAGAAGAAAACAACATATAAATATCAATTATGATATACAATTTCTCAACAAAATTTTAGCAAATGTATCAATAATATGGTAAAAGGATAATAGATCATAGCCAATTGAGATTTATCCTATGATATTAAAAAACATCGTGTTTCACTATATGAACAAATTCTAAAAAATCAGAGTGTTCATCTAAATATAGCTGACAAAGCATTTGACAAATTCTGATGCCAAAATCTGTTCCCAAAACAGTCAGCAAGATAAAGAATAGAAGAGAATTTCCTCAACATGAAAGAAGGGCATTTCCAAAAAAACTGTAATATGGTGACAAAGCAAGGATAGTCACTCTCGTCACTTCTGTTGAACATTGCACTGTTTGGTCCTAGCAATGGCAATAGGCAATACAAAGAAATGAAAGTCATGTATTTGGAAAGGAGGAAGTAAAATTGTTTTACTTGTAGATGATGTTATTGTCTATGTAGAAAATCCGATGGACTTTACAAAAATCTACTGGAGCTCATAAGTAAGTTCAGCAAGGCTGCAGGATACAAACTAATGGCAGTTGCATTTCCATATCTAACAATGATCAGTTGAAAATCTAAGTTGAAAACAATACCATTTACATCATCTTATTTATTATGTAATACTCATGGATAATTCTGCAAAAGATGCAGAAGCCCATGTGCTGAAAACTGCAAAACATTGCTGAACAAAATTAATGAAGACCTAATAAATGAAGAAATACATATGTTCATTAGTTGGAAGACTCAATATTGTGGGGTATCTCTTCTCCCAAAATTGTTGTATGAATTCAGCATAGGACTGATCAAAATCACAGCAAAAGTCTTACCAGGAATGTATGAAGTCCAGTAGAGCAGTATCTCATTGTGATTTTCAATGTCATTCATCATTAGGGAAATGCAAACTAAAATCACAATGAGATGTCATTCTACTGTATGCATTGCTTGTAAGAAAGTACATGGTACAACCATTTTTGAAAACTGTCAAGTTTCTTAAAAAGTTAAGTATATGCATATCATATGATTAGGCTATTTCACGCTTTATTTGCCCCAGCTAAATGAAAGCTTATATTCATACAAAAACTTGTACTCAAAGGCTTTGTAGCAGCCTTATTTGTAATAGTGCCAAACTGCAAACAACCCAAATGCCCATCAGCAGATAAATCAAGAAACAAGTTGTATATTCATACAGTGCATACAACGGAATATTTATTGTTTGTTAAAAAAGTAATGAATTATTTATATGTACATTATTGATGAACCTTAAATTATTTAGGCTGAGCAAAAGAAGACAGTTGAAAAAGAGTAAATACATTATGATTTTATTTTTATATAATTCTAGATAATTAAAACTACTATGACGACTTGCAGAGTAGTGGTTGCCTAGGGATGCAAAGGTATGGATAGGCAGGATAGAACAATGACACAGGAACAGGTGGTAACTTGTAAGAGTGAAGGATATGTTGTTATATAGGTTGTAATGATGATGGGGTTATACATGTATAAAACCATACATGTACACTTTAAATATATGATGCTGATTGTATGTTTATTATACCTCGGGAAAGCTGTTAAAAAATTGAACAATGAAAGTAATTGTTTCTCCTTTTGTATAAGTTGGTTTAGGTTTTGGGATTAATGCTTCTGGCCACATACACTTTTTTTCTACTTGTGGTTAGGGAAACACAGTGAGGGATGCTTCCAGAATCATTGTGCACATCTTTTTTGGGACTTCTATTTGGGGATATTGAGAAAGTAATGTTACTAATTATTGTCTGCATAATCAGTATGAGTTTTTCAAGGAGCAGATGGCCATTGTAGTAGTCTGTTCTGCCACTGCTAATAAAGACATAACCAAGAATGGGTAATTTATAAAGGAAAGAGGTTTAATTGACACACAGTTCCACATGGCTGGGAGGCCTCACAATCACGGCAGAAGGCAAATGAGGAGCAGAATCACATCTTAAATGGCGGCAGGAAAGAGAGCTTGTGTAGGAGAAAACCCCTTTGTAAAACCATCAGATCTTGTGAGACTTATTCACTACCATGAGAACAGTATGGGGAAAACTGCTCCCATAATTCAGCTATCTTCACCTAGCCCTGCTGTTGACTCATGGGGATTATTACAATTCTAAGTGAGATTTGGGTGGGGACACAGCCAAACCATATCATTCTGCCCCGGGCTCCTCCCAAATCTCATGTCCTCACATTTCAAAACACAATCATGCCTTCCCAACAACTCTCCAAAGTCTTAGCTCATTCTAGCATTAACCTAAAAGTCCAATTCCAAAGTCTAATCTGAGACAAGGCAAGTCCCTTCTGCCTAGGAGCCTGTAAAATTGAAAGCAAGTTAGTTACTTCCTAGATACAATGGTTGTGCAGGCATTGGGTAAATACACCTGTTCCAAATGGGACAAATTGGTCAAAACAAAGGGGCTACAAGCCTCATGCAAGTCTGAAATCCAGTGGGGCAGTCAAATCTTAAAGCTCCATAATGATCCCTTTTGACTCCATGTCTCACATCCAGGTCATGCTGAAGCAAGAGGTGGGTCCCCATGGTCTTGGGCAGCTCCGCCCCTGTAGCTTTGCAGGTTACAGCCCCTCTCACGCTGCTTTCATGGGCTGGTGTTGAGTGCCTGTGGCTTTTCTAGGCACACAGTACAAGTTGTTGTTGGTGAATCTACCATTCTGGGGTCTGGAGGATGGTGGCCCTCTTCTCACAGCTCCACTAGACAGTGTCCCAGTGGGGACTCTGTGTGGGGGCTGCGACCCCACATTTCCCTTCCACACTGCCCTAGCAGAGGTTCTCCATTAGGGCTCCACCCGTGCAGCACACCTCTGCCTGGACATCCAGGCATTTGCATACATCCTCTAAAATCTAGGTGGAGTTCCCAAACCTCAATTCTTGACTTCTGTGCACTCACAGGCCCAACACCATGTGGAAGCCACCAAGGTTTAGGGCTTACAACCTCTGAAGCAACAGCCTGAGCTGTACATTGGCCCCTTTTAGCCACAGCTGGAGCTGGAGCAGCTGAGATGCAGGGCACTATGTCCCAAGGCTGCATAGAGCGGGGTTTGAGTGTGGGGGGCCTGGGGACCAGGCCCAGGAAACCATTTTTTCCTCCCAGACCTCCAGGCCTGTGATGGAAGGGGCTGCCATGAAGGTCTCTGACATGCCCTGGAGACATTTTTCCCATTGTCTTGGGGATTAACATTTGGTTCCTCATTACTTGGGCAAATTTCTACAGCTGGCTTGAATTTCTCCCCAGAAAATGGTGTTTTCTTTTCTATCACATTGTCAGGCTGCAATTTTTTTCAAACTTTTATGACCTGCTTCCTCTTGAATGCTTTGCCACTTAGAAAGTTCTTCCACCAGATATCCTAAATCATCTCTCTCAAGCTCGAAGTTCCACAGACCTCTAGGACAGGGGCAAAATGCTGCCAGTATCTGTGCATATCAAGAGTGGCATTTACTCCAGTTCCCAACAAGTTCCTCATCTCCATCTGAGACCACCTCAGCCTGGACTTTTTGATCAAATCCATTCAACAAGTCTCCAGGAAGTTCCAAACTTTCCCACATCTTCCTGTCTTCTGAGCCCTCCAAACTGTTCCAGCCTCTGCCTGTTACCCAGTTCCATAGTCTCTTCCACATTTTCAGGTGTCTTTACAGCACCACCCCACTATCTGATAACAATTTACTGTATTAGTAGTCTGTTCTCATGCCACTAATAAAGACATACCTGAGACTGGGTGATTTATAAAGGAAAAAGGTTTAGTTGACTCACATTTCCACATGTCTGGGAGGCCTCATAATCATGGCAGAAGGTGAATGAGGATCAAAGTCATGTCTTACAGACAGCAGGCAAGAGAGCTTGTGCAGGAGAACTCCCCTTTGTAAAACCATCAGATCTCCTGAGATTTATTCACTACCATGAGAACAGTATGGGGGAAACTGTCCCTGTGATTCAGTTATCTCCACCTGGCCCCACCCTTGTTATTACAATTCAAGGTGAGATTTGGGTGGGGAATGGCCAAACCACATCAGCTGGGAAGTCAGGAAATGTAACTAGAAAAATAGTCAGGGTATGTTTTTATAATTTATTGTCCTATCACTTCTTCTCAAAGAGTTAAAAGCTAAATTTATGTTGAACAAAGAAAGTGTCATAGCACATAAAGAAGAGGAATTTTCTGCCTGCTTATTTTTGTTCCTTGAAAGCTTTTCTTCTTACAAAAATTAGTGCAAAATTTTTTAAAAATTATTATTTTAGATTTACTTTCAACATTATATAAACCACTTCCTAATCTCATTTGTTTTGTAAAATTTTAAAATCTGATTAAAATACTTAGGCCACAATTTCTTGATTTACCAACATTATACAATCTCTTTTATCTCTCCACCATAAGGGGAGTAAGTATGATATCTTTTATTGTTGCTTTTTTTCACCTCACCTATAGATTGATTCAATTTTTGTCAAGTGATTTTTCTAGGCTCTGCTTGAGTGCCTTCTTATTGTGTATAATGTTGATTTGTTGCTTTATACTTAAATTCCAACTTGGATAAGTTTAACTTGGGTGTTTGTACCTTTTTCCCTTCATATTTCTGTATATATGATCCAATTATCTTCTGACATTGAATGTGTTGTGGAGAAGTCTGACTCTAGCCTGATTTTTCTTCTCCTAAGTCACTTGCTGTTTTTTCCTGGATGCTCAAAGAGTTTTTACTTTATAATTATTTTTTTTTTTTTGTTCTGTATAAGTTTTAGTGAAAAGCATGTGATCATTTGATTGGAATGATAGACTTCTTCCTTAATTTTGGAGAAACGTTCTATTGTTTCTTTGAGCTGTTTGTACCTTTTTCCTTCCATATTTCTGTAGATAGGATCCAATTGTTTTCTGGCATTGTGTGTGCTATGAAGAAGTCTGACTCTAGCCTGATCTTTCTTCTCCTAAGTCACTTGCTGTTTTTTCCTGGATACCCAAAGGGTTTTTACTTTATAATCATGTATATATTTTTTTCTGTACTAGTTTTAGTGAAAAGCATGTGATCATTTGATTTGGAATGATAGTCTTCTTCCTTAATTTTGGAGAAATGTTCTGTTGTGTCTTCGAGTCATTTTTCTCCATTTTTAGGTTCTCTACTTCAAGTATATTGATTTCTTTTTTTAGACTTTTGATCTTTTATCCACTCTTTACTTCTTTTGATCTTTATCAGTAATTCTTTTTAGCAGTGTCTGTTCTGTTGTTTTTGCCAATTAGTGTAATGGTTTTATAATCATATAAGATATCTTACTTTGTTTTTAGTTTATTTAGAAGTTTCTCTTTTATTTCACTGTTTTGTTTGATCATTTAGACTTTATTTAGCCCTTTTGTTACTGAATTCATTTCCTTATATATTTATTAACAAATAGCTTTGTAATACAAAGAAATCATGCATAATTTTCTTTTGTTTTCTCATTATTTTTTCCTACAATGCAGTATTCTTTTCTTAATCTGCTTTGTGTATTAGGAAAAAATTATAGTATGGTACATAGTTCCCGACCCATTTCTTTCTGTCTTCTGCTTCCTTGAAATGGGCTTTTGCATTAATTTGGTATAGATGAATTTTTCTTTTCTCCCTTTCAGAATTACCTAGGGATTGTTTTCCTTCCCTAGCTCCTGTTTGAGAGCCAGGTATTTCAAGTGCATTATGTTCTGAGCCCCTATGAGGAAAGGAAGAGCACAGCTGGGATTTGGGCAGCAGTGATGAAAGGATCTGAGCTCTGTACTTTCTCAGGTTATTCTTCACATATTTTGTGTCAGGATCACTCCCTCTTGTCATGGAAGTATTCTTTTTCAAAGAGGATATCCCTGAAATTTGAATGATTGCTCCCATTTCAGCTACAGGACCTGATGCACCATTGCTATCAGAAAATCTTGCTTGGTGTTAGTTTTCTGTATTTGTCTCATCATTCCTCAGCATTAGTCTGTCTTCCTTATTGTGATTGTAAGGGGCTTCACCCCAGCCTGCTGCTCCCTGAGAATCCTTTGTTCTTATGTTCTTTGTGCTTAATGCTGAGGATAACTAACCCTGTGTGATGATATAATTCTGTCTTCACTGTCCAGTTTTCTCCCATCTGGTAGAGATCACAATGACTGGGCCTTTCTGTTTTTTTATTTTTGTTTTTGTTTTTGTTTTTTCTTCGAATGCGATGTTATGTGGGTAGGTAGGGATTTTAGTCCTATAATTTTTAACTAATTTATCCATAAGCTAAAGACGAACTCAGCTCTTCAGAAGGAATAGTCAGATTTCGGCCGGGCGCGATGGCTCACGCCTGTAATCCCAGCACTTTAGGAGGCCGAGGCAGGCGGATCACGAGGTCAGGAGATCGAGACCATCCTGGCTAACATGGTGAAACTCCGTCTTTACTAAAAATACAAAAAATTAGCCGGGTGCGGTGGCAGGCGCCTGTAGTCCCAGCTACTCGAGAGAGGCTGAGGCGGGAGAATGGCGTGAACCCGGGAGGCGGAGCTTGCAGTGGGCCGAGATCGCGCCACAGCAGTCCGGCCTGGGTGGAAGAGCGAGACCCTGTCTGAAAAAAAAAAAAAAAAAAAAAAAAAAAAAAGAATTGTCAGAGTCTCATCATTTTCATTCCCTATATCATTTGAGGGAAGAGGGGTTATGACACTCTTCCGTTTCATTCCTTGTCTGTTGTTTTTCAAACATGTCAGGAATTTGGGCATATTTCTTCTTTAGCTGCTGACAGTAAAAGTGTTGTTAGTTTCATTTGACCTTTGTTGTTGTTGTTGTTGTTGTTGTTGTTGTTGATATTAGCTGTGGGAAAGGGAGACTCTGTGATATGGTTTTACTCTACTGTATTTTCCAGGAATTTTTTTTATCACATTTAAAAAGTTTTTGACCTGAAATCTATCTAAAGTCACACAGAAAGCCAGGAGGAGGGGCTTCCAATCGAAGATGATATAGTTTGTGATACTGCAGCTGACATTTAAGACTAATATTGTTGCACTTTATTAAGTGCATATTACTCAATCAAGAAACGTTAATTCTGTGGGTGCCTCATCTTCTGCGAATTAAAGACTGTGTTTCCCATGACCATACTTAATGTCGTGGTTTAATGCATGCAAACTTTTTGCATATGGGCAAAGCCTTATGTTTGTGAATGTCTTCATCTGATTTAGAAATAGCACACAAAGTACATTCCAAATCTTGAACAAGATGGTTTTCATCTTAAAAAAAAAAAGAATTAAGTTCTGAATGTCACAGTAGAGAGTTTAGTTAGAATTTAACAGATTACTGTGTTCTTGAGCGTGTCAATTTACAAGTAATTTCTTGTTTGAAAAATGAGGACATTGGGCTAGATCAGTGTTTACTCATCTTGCTTGGTCATAAGAATCACCAGAGTATTTTTGTCAACAGTATTGATTCCCACATCTGTTCCTTGGAGATTCAAATTCAGTACTCTGAATACAGTGATTTGCAACCATTGTTGCTTATTATCATCACCAGGGAGTTTTTAAAAATCTCGGCACTCAGGCTTCATCCCCTATCAATTACATAAGAATCTCTGGAGCCATAGGACCCATGGCCAAACATTAGCATTTTTTAAAGCCCGCGAAGTAATTGTGCTATAAGGTGAAGTTTGTGAAACATTGGTATAGCATGAGGCCCTTACAAAGTACCCCAGGGCATTTTTATAATTAGCTAGGCTTAAGAAATCATTTATTAAAATATCTCTAATATTTTATCCAATAATTCAATTTTCACATTGAATAGTGCCTAAAATGAAGCCACTCTGGGTATAATTTACTACTAGATTATTTTGAAAGATTTATAATGTCTTAAAATTCTGTTACCAGAATAGATTTTGCCTCTCTCTGATGAGGCAACGCTGGATTTGGAATAGTCAACTTTATGTTAAGGTTTTCTCCATCTCTCATACTTTTAAATCCCAATGTAAGAAGTACATACTCCCTGCAGGGGGCAAAATTGAGCCAAGAATGTTTATAATAGCTTCGAATCTTGGCTTGGTTACTATGTGGTAAACTAAGAAATAACCCAAATAAACTTTAAAAATAATATGTAGAATGACTTGTAAATGAATGGGAAGCTTTATCTAGTTTTTTAAAAAGGAAAATCCTACTCGTTTGAAGGAAATTAATGACAAATCTTGCTAAAACTAAATCTGTATCTTAATCAGTTATTACATTATAGATTTGTAGATTATAGTAAGATTGTAGAGATCATAGTGAAATATATAAAGGAATGTAACCCTGCACACTTTTTAAGTACTACTTATATAATACTTCTCTTTTTAGAATAATTACTGACATTCATAAGTATTCATTTCTTATTTCACAGTTATGTATTTTCTATTGTTTATGACTCTACAAAGCTATAAATAAGTATAGTTTATTTCCCTGCATTTGAGTGAAGCCAGAGGAACTTGAGCTCTCTCTTGTAAAAATATAAATAATTTGTGAAGGAGGTGGTGTCTGAAGAGTCGTTTGATAAAAAGACAGTTTGAGGGCTTGGTTGGTGCTAGGGAATACCAAGGTCCATTTTTTCAGGCACAGAGCACTTGAGGATAAAAACCTAGAGCTGAACTAGACAAGATCAAAGAACAGCTGAGCAGATAATGGAGAAGGAGTTGGAGGAGTGAGGAAGGTACTTTGGGAAATCCCAGTGGAAAGTGCTATATTCATTAATTATCCCGTGACTGGTGAGATGTTGGAGATTTTTGCTTCCATTGGCTGTTATGTATGAACAAGAAAATATATGAGATTTTGCATAAGCCCTAGCCAGACTCTTCAGTAACTTCCAGGTCCCTGTGGGGCCATGCAAGAATCACTTTGATGGTGTCAACCTTCAGAATGGTTTGGGTTTGAATGGTCATCTCTTTCTGGAGTCCCCAAAGGAAGCAAATGTGCTCTGCCCTCTGCATTCCCAGTAATGTGTCTGACACACTGGTCCAACTCTGGGCTCTGCCATGCCTCTCTCCTGCCTCCCTCTGATGTCTCACAGTCCTCCTCAGGACAGAGGGGTTGGGCTTCCTTTTGCTTTTGCTTTTCCTTTTCCTAGTTTCAGGTGGGTGTCAGAAAGGGATAAATTGGTTGAGGCATGAGGGGTTCTAAATTGGGAGTTATTTCACTAAGTATGTTCTGGCATATATAAAGAATTTGGTACATTGCATGATACAAATGGCTAATAATTTTTTTCTGTTACTTAACTAGAATTATGAAACAAACTCTCCTAATCATTCAGTTAAAACTGTTTGGAGATTTTGTGTTAATTATTTTAACTATCACGTTACCAGGAATATTGAAATATGGCTCCACCTCTTCCACTAGCTCAGAGACATCACTGTGAACTAGAAAAAACACCCCCTTTTAAAAACACTTTATTGCCAGAAATTTGTCATGATAAAACATAGAAGTCTAGATCGACTATACTTTGAATTACCTGTGCCTGGAGACTGCAGTATGCCTTTCCTTTTACGTGCTGGTTCTGGATGGTTCAGGCCACTTTCTTGAGTGTTACGATGACAACAAAGCAAATCCCTAAAATTACTTAACCACTTTGTACAAGTTTGAAGTGGACTTGTTGCCCCCACTATTTTGTTCCTCATCCATTTGGGATTAGATTTGTGATGATTATCAAACCAGATCCTAGAAATTCAGCTCATAGTTCAAAGTGGCCCAAGAAAGTGTAATCCACAAATCTCTGAGGATCTAGGATTTCTGGTGTGTACTCATCCATGGTACATCCACATGTGTCATTGTTAAGTTTTCCTAAGTCTGGTGTTTGGTATTCCAGGTGTTGACATGTCATCAGGCTGCCCTTCATTATAACTCAAAACAAGGAACCTATTTCTGTACCTCACTCCCATCTGTTGAAGACACTTAGGAAAGGATATCCTTCAGTCTTAAATCATTGTTCAATTTGTTCTTTTTCTATTTCTTTCTTTCATGGAATATCTTTTCATTTATATTTTTAAACATTTATTTCAACAATGTTTTATACATTTCAGAGTATAGTTTCGTACTTCTTTTGTCAAATTTATTTCTATTTTATTCTTTTTAGTGCTATTGTAATAGAGTTGTTTCAGTTTTATTTTTGAAACATTTATTTCCAGTGTACAGTAATGCAGTTGAGTTTTGTGTATTGATGTTGTATCTTGCAATCTTGCAGAACTTGTTAATTCTAATAGTCTTCAATGGATAATTTAGGATTTTACATGTATTATATATTAAATATATTTTTTCATAATGTATATTTTATAATATACATGAAATGCGTGAGTGTTGCCATCTACAAATAGAGATGGTTTTACTTCTCTCATTCCAACATGGATGCTTTTTCTTTTCTTTTCTTGTCTGATTCTGGCTGGAACCTCTGGTACAAATGTTGAATAGAAGTGGCAAGATCAGATTTCCTTGTCCTAGTCTGATCTTACGCGGAACGTAACAAGTATTTCACCATTAAATATGATATTATCTATGAGTTTTTTGTAGAGGCCCTTTATTATGCTGAGGAAGTTCCCTTCTACTCCTAGTTTTTTAGTGTTTTTATTATGAAACTTGTTCTTTTCTGTGTATATTGAGATGCTCATATGGTTTTTGTCCTTTATTCTGTTGATATGGTGTATTACAATGATTGATTTACATATCCTCAAATTCCTTGGATTAATCCCACTGGGTCGTGGTATATAATCTTTTTTATATATTGTTGGATTTGGTTTGCTAGTATTTTGTTGAAGATTTTTGCTTTTATATTTACATAGAATATTGTCTGTAGTTTTCTTTTCTTTTGATATCTTTGTATGATTTTGGTATCAGTGTAATTGTGACCTCATAGAGTGACTGGAGAAGTGTTCTTTCCTCTTATTATTTTGGAAAAGTTTGTGAAAAATTGGTATTGTTATTTAAATGTTTGGTAGAATTTACCAGTAAAGCCATCTGGGCCTGGGCCTTTCTTTGTGGATAGTTTCTCTATCCCTAAGTGAATCCCTTTACCTACTATAAATTAGTAATTAGAAAATAATTACTCATTAATTGGAAAATCCAATTTTCTAATTACTCTAGAGTCACTGTTGGTAATTTCTATCTTTCTAGAAACTTGTCCATTTCATATGTCTGATTTGTTGGTAAACTTGTTCACTTCATGTTCAGAGTATTACTTCATTATCCTCTTTATTTCTGTAAAGTCAGTAATAATGCTCCCTCTTTCATTGTTGATGTTAGTATAAATAATTTGAGTCTTCTCTTTTTTATAGAGGTGGGGTCAGTCTAGCTAAAGGTTTGCCAACTTTATCTGCCAGAGAACCACCTTTTGATTTTGTTGATTTTTCTCTTACTTTTCTATTTTCTATTTTATTAGTACCTTCTCTGATCATTATTATTTGCTTCTTTCTGATTGCATTAGGTCAAGTTAGCACTTTTTCCAGAGTCTTAAGGCTTTTTATCCTTAATTGTTATGATAAAAAGTCAGCTGTTGACAGTTGTCTTTTTGTCTTTAATGTTTTTACTGTGATATGTCTACATTTGGATATCTTTGCATTTTTACTACTTAAACTTTGTTAAACTTCTTGGAGGTATAAATTAATAGTGTTTCATCAAGTTTGGAAGTTTTCTGCTGTTTCTCTGAATATCTTTTACTGTTCTTTTCCTCCTCTTCCTCTGGTATTTCCTTTATTGCGTATTTTTGGTGTGCTTAATGGTGTCCCACATTTCCCTGAAGCTTTGTTCACATTTCTTCATTCTTTTTTATTTTTTTCCTCTGCTTTTCAAATTGTATACTCTCTATAGATCTATCACCAGAAATTCACTGATCCTTTCTTTTGCGAGTTCCAATCTACTCTTGATTATCTCCAGGGAATTTTTTATTTCAATTATTGTACTTTCTATCTCCAGAATTTCTACTTGGTTCTTTTTATAGTTTGTCTTCTCATTGATGATATTCTCACTTTGACGAGACATTGTCAGTAAACCTTGTTTTTTCAGCATGGCTTCCTTTAGGTTTTGGGACATACTCATAATGACTGCTTTGAGGTATTTGTCTGTTAAGGCTGGTCCTGAGTTCTCTCTAAGGACATTTCTGTTGCTTGCTTTTTTTCCTGTGTACTATGGACACACTTTCTGTTTCTTCACATATCATAGTTTTTTTGTTGAAAACTCTACATTAAAATAAGATACTGCAGCACCTTTTGATACTGCCCACACCCCAGGGTCTTGATACTATTGTTTAATTATTTTGTTTAGTGCCTTGGCTGGACGATCTTAGTGAAGTCTGTTTCTTCTGCAGTGGAAAGCCTTTCATGCTGCCCCCCAGAGGCACAGTCTTGAACATGTGCCCAGTTAACCTGGGATGACAGTGGTTTTAACAGTGCTCTCTTTTACTGTTCTTGTCCCTGATCTGTTAAGCTGTTGGCTTCTGTTAGTATCACACCCATCTGTTAGGCCTCACTAATTTCTGACTGATTTCTTAATTGTTTTTTTACAATGCCCTGGGGTATAAATTGCTCCATAGTCTGATCCAGTTAAATCCAGGACCCTTTGCAGGATAAATTTTTGGGGCCAGCCTTTGAGCCTCTGACTCCAAAAAGACTTCTTAGCTGTCTCTTTCTCTAAACTAACTGGCCATGGCTTAGCTGAATGCCCTCATAAAGCTACCAGCCTCCTTTTAATTGCCTACCATCAAAATCTCCATTTCCAAAGCACTTTCAGATTTGAACTTCCCTACTTTATCTATTTTAAATAAAGTCAGTTCCTTTGGAAAGAGTTTCAGAGGTCTTTCTTCTTATGGGCCTGCCTTTCTCTTTGGGTAAAATCTCTGAGCCACTCCTCTGGACTGAAGGCGGAGACAATGGTCTATCTTGGAGTGACACTGCTGCTTTATAAATAGGATGCAGGGTAGGGCTGATCACCTCTAGTCTTCTTGGCTTGCCTCTCCTCTGAAATATCTGTGTCTCCAGCTTAAACTGAGTCACAGACCCATATTTGCTATTGCTTGCGTAAACAAAGCTCTCTGTCTCGCAGAAACCTTGCATATGACATGTCTTACATTGAACCTGCTGTCATCCCCTGGTTTTCTCTCTGTATTCCTTATGTCAGATAGGGTCATTAGCATTTACCCAGTTATCCAAGCTAAAAACCTCACAGTAATTCCTGACACTTCTCACTCCTCCACCATAACAGATCTGTCACCAAATCTTGTTATTCGACCTCTGAAATGTCACACTAATGCATACCCTCCTCTTCAGTATGATGCTAATTTAGCCCTAGTTGAGGTCTTTTTTTCTTTCTTAGACCATGTAGCAGTCATCCTTCCAGTATCACACAGCCTTCAGAGTTTATTTTTTCCTACATTCTTCTCAGTTAAAGAATTTTTGAAAGTGCTAACATAAAATATTTTCATGGATTTCCTGTTAGTATATAATAAAGCCCACATTTCTTAACTTGATATAGAAGGCCCTTTATGAAGGATTATACCCCATTAATATTTCTGAACCCTAGATTGTAAGTGAGGATAATATGCATTATGGGAGTTGTGAGGTTTTGATGGCATGATATATGTCAAGTGCTTACCCAGTGTCTGAAACACTGAGTGCTCGATAACTGTTAGCTGTTATCATCATTATTATTATCTTTTCTCTCTCATAACTGAAAATGTCTTCAGCCTCCCCATCCCTAACACATACACAACTCCAGCCACAGTAAACTGATTTTTTGTTTTTTCCCAAATACACCTTCGCTTTTCACCCCATAGCTTTGTACTTGGTGCCATCGCTGCCTGGATTTCCCACTGGAGTGCATCATGGTTGTAACTGAGGATTGAGAGTGAGTCCCCCTCTCAGAATCCCTCATTACACTTACTGTGTACATCTAGCATTCAGTATTTCTGTATTTGTCACTGTTCTTGCCTTAACAGACTGTGAGTTCATTAAGGCCAGTGGTCATGTTTTATTTGCCTTTGTATCCCTAGATCTCTACTAATTAAGATGGATAAAGCCTCGTAGCACTTGCCCAGGAAATTTTTGTTTAATGTACATTTATTTTTATTGCTAGTCTTTGTATTCTTTTTCATTATATGGTTTTGCACTGAGCATTGATTTTTTTTTTACGCTTTACACTTTAATTTTAATTCAAAATAAAGTTTTATCTAATCTGCCAGTTTCCCCCATATGCCAATAGGTATTTCTTTCTTCCCTTTTTTTTTTTTTTTTTTTTTTTTTTGAGATGGAGTTTCGCTCTTGTTGCTCAGGCTGGAGTGCAGTGGCACGATCTTGACTCACCACAGCCTCTGCCTCCCAGGTTCAAGTGAATCTCCTGCCTCAGCCTCCCGAGTAGCTGGGATTACAGGTGCCTGCCACCACACCCAGCTAATTTTTGTATTTTTAGTAGAGACAGGGTCTAGCCATGTTGGCAAGGCTGGTCTTGAACTCCTGACCTTGGGTGATCCACCCGCCTCAGCCTCCCAAAGTGCTGGGATTACAGGCATGAGCTACCGCGCCCAGCCAGTATTTCTATATTTTAACAAAAGTTTGACCCTGTTTATTAAATGTTGTAAAAGGTCTCTGATGTCATGGAAATAGTTCCATGATAGTTATGTAGCTGCCTCTTTGTGCAGAATAGGTGTGCTCTAATTCAGAGGTCTCCTTAATCATATTTATTACCTACATGGCTCATTTCCTTCTGACTTTTAGAAATAGTAGGCTATTGGACAGTGAAAAAGAAAATGATTCTTGGGACTGGGTGTTTACCCTCTTTTAATGAGGATTATCTTGGGTTATAGTGAGTAATAAAACTATATTCAAGGAAGAGCAAGAAGAGTTCTGAGAGAAGAAAATAGATTGAACATATATTAATACTATTTTCACTGAATAATTGCAGAATAATCTGCAAATTATGAAGACACACAAGCACCCTCAGAAAGGCACTGGAATGCCTTTCTAACTTTGACAAAGTGAGAGGGAGGGAAAACTTAACCCTCATTTAGGTATGAATCTCAATATCTTTAACTGATTTTACAAAAGGAGAAACTATATTCAAATTATAGCATAATAATTAAAGAGAATTTATAGATCATAGATCAAAATCACAAAATGGTCAAGCTGTTTATTAGAAGGAGTTTGAAAAAGAGAGAATAGCTCAAAAAAGTACCTCTTTTAAAGGTCTTTCATTAATTGCCCCAAACGAATATAAATATTTGAATAATTGTGGTTCTGGTTGAAGAAAAATGCCCATGATCCAAAGATTGGCCATTCAATTTTAATATGGTGATATATTTCCTTTATTCATCAAGGTAGACTTTTTGTTGACTTGTTTTTGTTGTTGCATTTTTCCTCTTTATGCTTAACATGAGAAAATTACCCTCTTCAGATTTTGGAGCAGCTATGGAAGAAATAAAGTTAATTCTATTAAAGAGTAAGGAGAAGCTTTTCTATCAACTAAGTGGCAGCATTGTGTCAAAGCCGTAAGCTTACAGTGGGTTGTGGTAGTGTGAATGACAAGCTAGCCCTGGCAGTCTTCTGTTGCTCCACTTCCTGTGTAGACAAAACGTGATTACTTCCTAAGCTCAGTTACCATCTGACCCTGCAAGGAAGGATGCCAGCACTGTTTTTGTCAGTAACCTGCCTTTGTTCTCCATCAGTTACAGAATCACAAGGTCTATCACTGCCTGGAGAAAAGTTTACAATGTTCTAAAAAGCTCTTATTGCGTTACAGAAAAGTTGTCTGATGAAGAAAATCCTAATTATACTTTTGAAAGTAAATGGCTTGCTGTCCTTTTCAAAAGTTTTTCAAGCTTTTAAAAGCCAGTTTTAAAGCTAGTACAGACTGTGTGTGTTCTTTCTTAATTGTAACTTGAAAAAGAAGTCCTTTCCTTTTTTAGAAAATTAATTTTCTCGTCTCCTTACCTGAAAATCTGTAACATTAGGTTTTCTCTGTTCACATCATATTATGTTTCTCTGAACTTAAGATGCTATCCTCACAAGTTAAACATTTGGAAAAATTACATATGATGAAGGCTTTTCTGAGTATTGGGTCAAATAACAATTATGGAAATAGATCAGAGCAAACTCAAGAGCACTCTGTACTTGGAAGGAAAAAATGCATTCCAAAAATTCTGCATTACTGGTTAAGAAATTGATGAGTAACCTCTTTGTTTCTCATACAAGCCACTGATCAGTAAAGTAGAAATTTTACTATTTATTGTTCATGTATTTGTTACTGCTAATATTAGGAACAAAAAAGAGATGAATTTATTTTTTAGATTTCAGCATTTATCATTAAGAATTTATTGAACATGTGCCATGTGCCAAACACTTTGCTAGATGCTCAGTGTTTTCCTTGTTCTAAAATTAAATTTTAAAAAATCGTATTAACTGGAGGTAAATGGATAGAATTCGAAATAAAATATGTGTCCCTTGGGGACATAAACCTGTGTAATCACTTATGCATTACTATATATACTTGATATTACAATGTGAGCATTAGAGTTGATGTTTTCACTTCCCAGTACATAAAACTTTTTCGATTATAGAGGTGTAAACTCTTGTTTTACAGTTTTCATTTAAGAGAATAAGCTGTGGAATTTTGAGGAACAGGTTGGCTATTTTTATGATTCAATTATCTTTGTTCGCTTTGCACTTGCTGTGGCTTCCATGATTTATGCCAACAGTCTTGGTTTTGTCTTCAGCAGAAACACCAGGGGAAGTTCTCATGACATCTCTCACCATCAGTATGGCTAACATCTGTTAAAACAGAGTTGATATGAAATTGGATAGTTTTTCTTTTTAATACTTGATCTGGGTATGGCTCTGATCTCAAATTGTTAAAACAATAAAACTACATTTTATATGATTTATGTTTTTTCTGATTATAAGAATAATACATGCTTGTTGTATAATGTGTGGAAAGTGCTGATCATTAGTGGGAAATTGTTGAATTCATATCTAAGTAATATGATAGCTTTCCTTTAATGAGCACCTACTATGTTAAGGCTCTTTCCATGAAATGATTTCACTGAATTAGTGTCAAGCAGCTAGTAAATGATTGCACTGAGATTTAAACCCAGGTCTGCCTCATTCCTACATATGTGGTCTTTGTACTGTAGTCTATAGTACATCCGTAGATGTATGCTCCTACATCTGTAGTCTTCATCTGTAGTCTATACAATATTGGCTTCCTGGTTATAAATTATAACAAGTGAATAATCACAAACACACATCCTTTTTCTTTATGTTGCTGTGTTGCTTTGGATATAGCATCTAACCTCTGAGGTCTTCTATTTCCTTAGGGGTCAATTGAGTATAATAATTACACCTACTTCACTGTACAGAGTTAATGAATCATTTTTCACAGAGTGGTTAGAACAGGGCCTGATGCATGTATCTTTTAATTGTTTCCTAATGTTTTTATTATTACAAATAATCATAATTCCTTTCATTTAAAAAATCATTTTATCATTTCTCATTCATGAATTCGTGACATACTTACAAACACATTTACCAGAAAGCCTGAATACATTAAAAATTCTTAAGTAGACTAGAAGGAAAAATGTTTAAGTGAAAAGATATGAGAAAAACAGCCTAAAAGCATGTAAAAGAGAAAAACAAATTCAAATAAGAAGAAACAGCTAAATAATTTCTATAAAGACAAAAATTCCAAATAAAATTTGATCAAAAGTATTTTGTGGGCTGTCAGATACTTCTTAATGGTTAGGAATCCAAACTAAATTTGTAACAAGTTTAATTGCCATTATTGACTTCGATCTAGCATGACTGCATAGAAATATTCATTTCTAACAAACTTGTCTTAATTTGCTTCTTAGAACTGGCCAGTTAGAATGGCAATCATTAAAAAGTCAGGAAACAACAGGTGCTGGAGAGGATGTGGAGAATAGGAACACTTTTACACTGTTGGTGGGACTGTAAACTAGTTCAACCATTGTGGAAGTCAGTGCGGCGATTCCTCAGGGATCTAGAACTAGAAATACCATTTGACCCAGCCATCCCATTACTGGGTATATACCCAAAGGACTATAAATCATGCTGCTATAAAGACACACGTGCACGTTTGTTTATTGTGGCACTATTCACAATAGCAAAGACTTGGAACCAACCCAAATGTCCAACAATGATAGATTGGATTAAGAAAATGTGGCACATATACACCATGGAATACCATGCAGCCATAAAAAATGATGAGTTCATGTCCTTTGTAGGGACATGGATGAAATTGGAAATCATCATTCTCAGTAAACTATCGCAAGGACAAAAAATCAAACACCACATGTTCTCACTCATAGATGGGAATTAACAATGAGAACACACTGACACAGGAAGGGGAACATCACACTCTGGGGACTGTTGTGGGGTGGGGGGAAGGGGGAGGGATAGCATTAGGAGATATACCTAATGCTAAATGACGAGTTAATGGGCACAGCACACCAGCATGGCACATGTATGCATATGTAACTAAGCTGCACATTGTGCACATGTACCCTAAAACTTAAAGTACAATAATAATAAAAAAATTAAAAAAAAGAAATAAAATCAAAGAAGCACAGAAAAAAAAGAACTGGCATTTTGCCTTATCTAAAAGGTAGAACTTGAAATTTTATTAAGCTGAGACCTCCAGTCATGCTAAACTCTACCATAAGATACACGATAGATTGAAACTTACGGACAATTCATGGTTGATATATAGTCACTGGCAAAAGGGTGGCAGCTGACAAAAACTGCTAGCACAGCAAGCCTTAGTCCCTTACACCCTGGCAGTTGGACCAGAAGATTTAGTGTTTCAGTGAATGCCAGCTTAAAATTCATTTTTGTAATAGATTCTTGAGTCTGGGTTCATTGAAGCGTGAACTCCCAAGGTTTTATCCTGGCAACAAAAGATACGTGGAAAATGAAATAGTCATAAATATGACTGAAACATTTATTAAATTGCCAGTAGGAAAGTAAGGACCCTAGCTTAGTATATGTGTTCTTTATGACTTCAATAAAATATCATTTTTATAACTCCTATGACTTTTTATGTGTTGGCTAAATTTAAGTCTACATTCTGTTTACATGAACTGTGTATCTGAGTTTATCTGAAATTGGTTTTTGTGATAAATCAAGAAATCTCCTTTAATGATCTCTAAATTTAGGGACATAAGGGGTTATGATGTAATGTGAAATATATAGTTTATATGTCATATGGATGCTCAAATTTGGAAATTTTACATTTGTTATAAGAAGTTATTGTGCTGGATAATTTTTTCTTATCATTGGGTTTTCTTTGCATAGGCATGTTTGTGTATTAAAATTTATAAAGTACTTAATGTATTATTTTAAATTAAATAAAGTGAAACATTCATTGATTCTTCAAATTTACTAAGAAGCTCTCATCTGCTAGTCACTGTGCTAGGTAATAGAGAAACCACCATAACCACATTTAAAATCCTTTCTATATGTACTTACGGTCTTTTTGGGAAAATTTAAAACAAATATATTTTAAAAATGTGTATTGTGATAAGTGCCCAAAGAAAACAGAGAGGTTTTTGAGATACTGATTTAAAGGTATTTCCAGTGATTGTGTAAGAAATTTCACTCTAAAGAGAGACCCTTTAATCTGAGACCTTGTATTAGTCAGTATGGCCTAGGTTATGCTATCATAACAACCAACCGTAAAAATCTCTGTGGCTTGTTTTACTTAATAAACAAAGGTTAATTTCAGTTCATCTTACATAACTAAGTGTCCAGTGTAAGTTGGCAGGGGAACTTTGGTCATCATAGTTACTAAGGGACTTGGAATGAAGGAGGCTCTATCTCAACACATGCCTCCATGGCTACCAAAGCAAAGAGCCGGATGGTGACTTGCACATTGGTCCTTAAACACTTTGGCCTGGAAGTGACACTTCTGTGTTTTCATATCATTGGCCATAAAAAGTCACATGTTGTGGCCATACCTAATTTTAAAGGGGGCAGATACGTACATTTTTCTATGTGCCTGAAAAGAGAGGAAAATTGGATATTGGGAACAGCACTAATGACTTGTACAGGCCTGAGGAATGAGAAGAAACTAGCCATTCTAAGAGTTGCATGAGTTCATGTCCTTTGTAGGGACATGGATGAAGTTGGAAACCATCATTCTGAGCAAACTATCACAAGGACAGAAAACCAAACACTGCAGTTCTCTCTCATAGGTGGGAATTAAACAATGAGAACACTTGGACACAGGAAGGGGAACATCACACACCTGTCATGAGGTGGGGGGATGGGGGAGGGATGGCATTAGTAGAAATACCTAATGTAAACGGCGAGTTAATGGGTGCAGCAAACCAACATGGCACATGTATACATATGTAACAAACCTGCACACTGTGCACATGTACCCTAGAACTGAAAGTATAATTTAAAAAAAAAGAGTTGCAGGAATAGAGTTCTTGTAAGAAGTCTACTCGGTAAGGGGCCCTGCATAGGAAAAGGTTCTGAGGTAGGAAAGAAGTGAGTGTGTTTTGAAGACATACAAGAACAACAGTGGAACTAGAGTGTTGTGAACAATAATTTTGTATACAGCTAAATATTGATTAGGTGAGACATTATTTTGAATATTTTTCTGTCTTCCATTTAAATATTAATATGGTAATGGTGACTAATATGCTGGAAATATTTTGATTAGTTGTCAATGGGGTTATCTTTATAGATTGTGGAAGTTTGTCATATTGTGTTCCATTTATGATATGGGGGTACAGTGGCATGGGATGTCATTATATACTTATTCTTTAAAGGGCTCTCATTTAATGTTAAGGCGTCTGCATTTATAAGAAGAACTGTGTTTTGTTTCTTCTAAGATTTGACGGGTTTATGATAGTACTAAGAAGAAAAAGAGGTCTAAGGAGTAAAAATTGCAGGGTAAAAAACTATAGGGCAGATAACAACATTCTGAACATACTTTTATATATGGGCATTAATGAGATATGTCTGATTTTTTTGCAGTTAAACTCTGAGAAATGCCTCCAAATAAATCCTGTACTTAAATGATAAGTTTGATTTAGTCCTGGAAAATAGGACAGAATTCCCTGTGATCACTCAGTTGTTTAGAAGCACTGTGTTCTTAATTAAGAAAGGGATCTTTTAAAGTGTAATATTTTGGATAGCTTTAAAAGTCTGGAATATAATAAAGGCCACTTCAAGAAGTCCTTTATGTGCCTACCACTCAAATTGAATAAAAACTTTGAAAACTATTGCTTCAGATCACTTCTTGCCCTTCCTCCCTTCCTCTTTTAAAAAGAGTAAAGCTTTAGAGATAAAACAGAAATCCCTATATTCTTTTCAATTCCTCCTTTTCCAGAGTGTAACCGCCCTCATGAACTCATAATGTATTTAGTACATGCTTATACATTTACTGTATCCGGTATTTCCATAAATATTATATATCATTGTTTTATATTTTTAAGGAACATAAATGCTATCAGTCTCCATGTATTATGCAACTTGCTGTTTTCATTCAACATTGAGTTTGAGATCTTCCCTTGTTCAAACATATTAGGACTAATTTATTCATTTTTAACTACTGTCAAAATTCTATTGCATAATTGATTCTATTGCATAAATGTACAGCAATTTGCATATTCATTCTTTCACTAATAGACATTTAGATTATTTTTCATTTTTCACAATAAAAAAATACTACTATGAATATCTTTTTAAATGTTTCCTTCTGCAGGCCAGGCATGGTGGCTCATGCCTGTAATCTCAGCACTTTAGTAGGCCAAAATAGGAGGATTGCTTGAGCCCAGGAGTTGGAGACCAACCTGGGCAACATGGCAAGACCCTGTCTCTACAAAAAATAAAAAATTAGCTGTGCATGGTGTCTTGCACCTGTAGTCCCAGCTACTTGGGAGGCTGAGGTAGGAGGATCACTTGAGCCCAGGAAGTTGAGGCTGCAGTGATCCCTGTTCGTTGCATTGCACTCAGGCCTAGGCAACAGAGCCAAACCCTGTCTCAAAAAAAAAAAAGTTTCCTTGTGCATTTATGCAAGAGTTTCTTTTAACTAAACATCTAGAATTGAATGTGCCAGGTTATATGCGTATGTATCTTCAACTTACTAGGTATTGTCTGATTGCTCTCCCAGTCACATGCCCGTGGGTGTGATCGTATTGTCACTGAAACTCAGTGTTGTTGGGTTGAGTAGTTGGGCTACGGAGTGCACAAGAGCCTGGACTCTGAGTCTCAGCCCTGTTGCCACCGAATAGTGCATTGACCTTGGGCTTTACCATACCTTTCATACCTCTCTCTGTGTCTCACTTTCCTCCACTGTGAACAGAGGGTAAAAATAGTCATGTCTTATAAGGTTTTCTTGAGAACTACATGACATAAAATATATAAAGAGCCTAGACTAGTGCTTGCCACATTTTTTGGCCTGTCAGGTAGGTATCCAATGAAACCTCATTGTTGTTTTAATTTTGTTTCTCTGAAGATGAGTTTGCACATCTTTTCACATACTTACCAACCATTTGTATTCTCTTCTGTGTCTGTAAATATATTTTTCTGTTTTTCTAAAGGTGTTTGTCTTTCTTGTTGATTTGCATGCTTCCTTGTGTATGATTGGCATTAATTATTTATGGCAAATATATATATTTCTTTCTATGATTCAGCTATCTGCTCTTAGACTGTTGCTGGCCTTTGCAGTTTTAGTTAAGGTGATTTTCTTATACAAAACATTTTAGCTTTAACTAATTCCCTTTTTACTAATCTCTTCTATTATGACTTTTGCTCAGAAGCAAATATTTAATTTCTAAGTACGTGAAAATAATATCCTTCATCTAATGCATAAGTAATAACTTAGAAGGACTTGGTTATCAATATTACTGAGAGAGATATGAATGAGAATAAATGTACTCAAGTATGGATAATTTGTGAAAAATAGCTATAATTCTATGAAAATCTGTTAGAAAATGGAAGGGAATTCTGCATTAAATAATTGGTTTTTCTCTCATTTCTGTCTCTTGCCCATTCCATATGTAATTCGCTTTCTGGAAGTATATTAGGCAGCCCAATCCATCATAGACTTCCATCACATATGTGGTGGAAAATGTTACAACACAGCACTGAAGTCAGACACCAGAGTGGGATTGATATGCGGTTAAGTAGTCTCTACTGGCAACCAGATTTGTCTACTCTATAAAGAGGATTATGCTTTTGAAGAGAATTGCTATATACTTTAACATTTTTTCCAGCTATTATCGCTTAAAATGTTTTAAGAACCATTGATTTATATGAAATATGAAAATTCCTTGACATGCCACCCCCCACCCCTGATTGCCAACCAGACAACTCATTTTCAATACTTGAAATACTTTTATGGGTTCAAAGTCATTACATTTTACGTGTCCTGAATATTTCATTAAGGCTTTAACATAGAATTAGTGAAAATTCAGAACTTGAAAATGGGCAGACTTTAAGCTTTCCTGAGTCTGCTGCCCCAAATCTAACAGTTTGCTTTGGGACTGTCAGCCTCTTGCAAGATTTAAAAAAAAAAAACTCAGCCAACCTCAGGTAGTTTTCCAAAAGGCTGTCTGTGATTTTCAGCTGGTATGGTTTCTCTCCGTAACTTGTTGGATGTCACTTCTCATAAAGTGCTTTTTATTCATATCAACCCTAAATCAGTGTGGCCCATCTAATTCCTTGTTCATATATTTTATTGAGCTGTTATTTATTTTTATAATTTCAACTTTTATTTTAGATTCAGGGGGTACATGTGCAGGTTTGTTACCAGGGTATATTGCAAGATGCTGAGGTTTGGGATATGATTGATCCTGTCATCCAGGTACTGAGCGTGGTACCCAATAGTTAGTTTTTCAACCCTTCTTCCCTTCCTCCCTCATCTATTAGTCCCTGGTGTCTATTGTTCCCATCTTTATATCCATGTGTAGCCAATGTTTAGCTCCCACTTGTAAATGAGAACATGTGGTATTTGGCTTTCTGTTTCTTCATTAATTCACTTAGGATAATGGCCTCCAGCTTCCTTTTTATGGCTGTGTAGTATTTCATGATGTATATGTACCATATTTTCTTTATCCAATTCAGCATTGATGGCCACCTAGGTTGATTCCATGTCTGTTATTGTGAGTAGCACTGTCATGACCTTGTTCGTATATTTTAAAAACCTTGTGGCTGGTCTCACATCTTGGTAAGTTAGTATGAATGAGACCAGAACAATTTTTCACATTATAATGATGATAAAAAAATCTTTACTAGAATAAGTAGTTATACCTTTGTAAGGGTTAAGCCTCATTTAAACATATTAACTTAATATTTGCAGGTGACATGGAAAAGATTAAAAAATGGGACTCTAGTGGAGAATATTAATATAGCAATTCTAAATTGATATTAATATATCAATTTTAAAACTCTAATCTAAATGCAGACACACATGCAAAAAATGATAGCTCCCCATAAACTCCACCTCCTACCCACAAGTGAACAAACTGAAAGAATTAAATTCGTATTGCGAATAATGTGTCACCTGTATCAGTTAAGGGTCTTGGTTGCAAAAAAGACAAAACCCAAATCTGCCTCATTGAACTAAAAATAATAAAAGAATGCATTGGGTAGATCATTGAATCTTCAGGCAGTCTGGAGAAACAAGCTTAGAGAATAGGTGAGAGTGAGGGGAAGTTGCCAGCAGTAAACAACAGCTAGCTAGTCCCTGCTTGGCCCTTTACTGCCTTCATCGTCCTCTTGCTGGGCGGGGGAAATTTCCAAATGTGTGTCTTTGCATCAGTTTCTCCCACCAAGACTCAGACAAAGTAAACATCCTCCCAATAGGAAGAAGGCTTGAATGCAGAACAGAACCGGTAATATCCACATTTTCTCTCCATAGCTCATCATATATTTTGACTATGGTTTTTATGAGCTCTATATATCCATTTTTGTTGAGAGTTCAGCTTTAGAAAAGGAAGCAATATTGAAAACAATGTTAGAACAATCCTATGGATCTCAGCTATTTAGACTTCCCAGAAATTGAAGTAGAGCCTTTCTAGTAAGTAACAGTTTAGTTTGCCCCCAAAATGTATAATTACATATGGAACCCACAGTATAAGATTTGCTATTTTCTGTCTCTATATGAAGGCGTGCATTCTGTAATTACCTAAGAATGGGAAGAATCTGCTTACCGAGCAGAAACACGATAGGTACAACTATTCTATATCAAAAATGATAAATGTGAAATGTGTGAGATTTATAGAAACTCAAGTAAAGTGTTTTTTTTCCACTAAAAATTTTCTAGTATTTTTTTGTAAATAATTAGGGACAGAAGATATAAATAGATAATACAAATAATAAGAATCATATTTCTCTAATTTTTGGAGGCTGTTTAAACAGAGACACATACTCAACCTAGCAAACATCTGGTTGGAAATTTAAAATTTTAGTTGAGCATCAGAATGTTTTTCTGTATCTGGAATGTTAGCGGAGTTTGGAAACATGTGGACACTCAACTGGGGTTTCTTTGGATGTTTATCATTAGGCATTCAGAGCCTCTCCCATAAGTTCACATACTGACAAACTTGTACTCTGTGCCATAATCCCTTCCTACCTGGGCCTCCTCTCAGTGGCATGACGCATAGTCTCCTGGCAAAAAGTTAGAGGCTGCAGGTAGATAATCTGAAAAACAGATAATATCACGGCTGATCAGAAATTGATGACAGCACTTTTGTTGCCAGGTCGGAACAGTACTGCTGGAATAAAGGCTAACAGTCATGAATCAAAAGGGGTCTTTTACAGACCACAGAACTGGATAAATGCTATGCTTTTGTATTTGTCCATTGTACTTCCTGGTGAGGTAAAAAGGGATTTTTTTTTTTCCCTGAGTAAAAATTATGTGGGTCTGGTATTTCTCTTTGCTGAATAATTTATTTCTGGCTGCACAGTATTAATTTTCAGGCTGTGAAACCTGGCTTTGATTCCAAACAGATCTTTGGGAAATAGGGAGCTTGAATAATAGAGAAAATAACTCCGTGAGGAAGTATATTACTTCTTGGAAGGATCCTGCTATCCATTTAAGTGGTTTCTTGCAGCTTTCATATCCAAGAAAGTTTTATCCATATGTAATTAGGAGGATCAAAGCCACAGTGAGGTTTATGTAGACTTTTCTGCCTCTCTCATCTTTAGTCTTGCGATATCACTGTCATGACATAATGAAATAACGCATAGGAAAGTGTTTTGGAAAACCAGAGAGTTCTTCAAAATGTTAGTTTATTAATGGCCACAATAATCACAGCTAACCGGTGCTGAGGATTTATTTCTTTATTTATTTATTTGAGAAGGAGTCTCGCTCTGTCGCCCAGGCTGGCGACAATCTTGGCTCACTGCAATGGCGCAATCTTGGCTCACTGCAACCTCTGCCTCCCGGGTTCAAGCCATTCTCCCACCTCAGCCTCCCGAGTAGCTGGAATTACACACACCCGCCCTCATGCCCAGCTAATTTTTGTATTTTTGTAAAAGCCAGTCATTGTGCTCATTACTTGAGAGTTTTATCTCATGATATTCACACATCTACATCATACACTATAAGTAAAGCTCCCCTGTTATATCCATACTACAAATGAGGAAACTGACTTAGCCTATTCAAGACCATAGGCGTGTAGCTGGTGAAGCTAGAATTCTGGCTGTGAATCCAGAGCTGTCTGACTGCAGCCCTGTGCTTTTAGTCAGTATGCTAAGTGCATATGTCTATAATGGCAGAGACACAAAATATGACACCTTACCTGTTGAGATTCCTAGATAGAAGATAAACTGCTTGAAAGTTTTAATACCATGTGGAGTAAACATAGATGCTTCACCTCATTATTATATATATAAAATATATAATATATATATTCTCTCTGTGAATACTATGTATAATATATATGTATATAGAGAGGATATATATATTATATATATGGAGAGAATATATATATTATATATAGAGAATATATATATTATATATACATAGAATATGTGTGTGTGTGTGTGTATATACATATATATATATATATATATATATATATATATATATATATATATATAGAGAGAGAGAGAGAGAGAGAGAGAGAGAGAGAGAGAGAGAGAGAGACAAGGAGACAAGGTCTTGTTCTGTTGCCCAGGCTAGAATGCAGTGGCATGAACATAGCTCACTGCAGCCTTGAACTTCTCGCCTCAAGCAATCCTCTCACTTCAGCTTCCTAAGTAATTGGCATGACAGGCACATTCTACCATGCCCAGTTAATTTTTTAATATTTTGTACAGATGGAGTCTTGCCGTGTTGCCCAGGTTGACTTTGAACTCCTTGCCTGAGGCTATCCTCCTGTTGCAGCATCCCAAAGCACTGGGATTTCAGACATGAGCCACCAGGTCTAGACCATTAGTAGCTTTTAAGAAGAAATTTATGTGAATCTTTATCATGTCTTTTCACCTGGTTCAGCCATTTATTAGATTTGTAGTCTTAGGCAAGTTACCTTATCTCACTGTGCTTGAGTTTCCTCATCTCTAAAGTGGGCATAAGGATAGTACTTATTTCATAGTGTCATGATGATTAAAAAAGTAAAAATATGTAATGTATTTAGAGTAGTGATATAATATTACTATATACGTACATATATGTGTGTATATACATATGTATATGCATACACACGTGTCACTATTTCCTCTACCCTGCATTGCTGATAAAGGCCTACACAGGAATATAAGACCACGTGCTTTTTATCACCACTTATAAGACGTGAGATTTTAGGTTCTATGTGACCTTTGGTATAAAGAAGAACAATGCAAAAAAACAAAGGAACTTTGGGACTGTAATTGCGTACAAATAGTTTCAATACTATTATCCATTTAAGCAATAGTTTGGCAACTGCTAAGAAAGTTTGAGTGTTACGGTCATGTCACAAGATTCTAAAGTTCTCCAAGGTACTTATGGTAGTAGTGATGTCATCTGGAGGAAAGCCAGTTACACAAAATATATTGTTTTATTAAATCTATTTCAGGCAGCCATGTTTGAGGATAATGACAAGGGATCCCATATACTGATAAAGTTAGATAAGTGTTTGCCAAAGTGTGTTGCATCCCACACTTGTCTTCAGGAATGCTATCGAATAAAACTATTTTATGAGCAAATAAATTTTGAAGGCTGCCTACTATAGCCTCCTCTTGGCAGTTAAGAATGCACAAGAGTACATTAAGGGCCCCTGAAAGTCATGTAGTTTCACCCAATTCTGTCTTTTTTCAACTTGTAATATATTTGACCACAGAATCCTGTTTTGGCATAGTTCTCCTAGTGTTCTGTAGAACTGATAGTCCATTGACCACATTTTGGGAAATACTGAGTTAGACCATATTTCTGGATCTAAACTCAGCAGGTGCATTTTGTCCTGAAAAGACCTTGACATATCAGATTCATCAGTTGTAGGCATTTAATTACCATTTTATGTTGTGTGCTACAGGAGAATTAGTCAAGAGCCCTAAGCAGTTATGTCAACTCGTTTTGACTTGGGGCCAGTTGCTGAAACTTTCTGGATTTTATTTCCTCATCTGTTAATCACATAATCAGATCAAACAGTTTCTAAGATGGTTCATGTTTAAAGGTTACCAAAAGAAAAAAATAACAATACATTTCTGAAAATGCTTTTATACATGCCTCATCTAGGGTGAGCTGGATGACTTTTAAAAAGCTGACAGCAAAGCCCAATGCCTACCCAGCACTGCAGATTATATTGGAACTTTTTTGAACAATTAGAGTTTACCTTCCATAGGTAGTGTGTGTCTGGCTTCTTAGACACTTGGCCAGTATTGTCTGAAGTCCAACAGCACCACTGCAACCTCCCTCAGCGTTGCAAAAATACTTACTCATAGTTCATCCACTCAGAGAAGAGAAGCTAAATGCCGATAAGATTTGAAGTGGCTTGGGCTGTAATGCCGTGGAGTACCTACTGAAAGAGAATTTCCATAGCTGAGAAGTACTTGCACACAAGAAGTGAAAAGTCTGAATCGAGGAAAACATTCAGCAATCTCAGATGTCGTGGTTCTATTTAGAGGTTATATCAAAGTGGCCAGTGAAGCATTGAATAAACCAGGCTAATTTATCAACTGAATAAAACGGTTACAGTCTTAAAACAAGGGAAGGGATAAATTAGTACAGAAAAAGGCATTTCATTCAGTGCAAGCACTATTGATCAAACATGGATAAACTCCCCCCAGCCCCCTCGCACCATGATGATCAGTGCCACTGAGAGATGGCAGAGTGAGATGGTTAAGAGCATGGATTTTGGTGTCAGATACACTTGTACTTCAGACTCGGGGTCTGTTGTGCATCATCAGTGTGACTTTGAACAATTTTATTTAACCTGTCTAAGCCTACTGTCATCATTTGTGGAGGAAAGCTATTCATGCTGACCAAATACGGTTATTGTACAGATTAAGTAAAATGATGGCTATAAAGTACTACGCAAACTTCATGGTTGTGTAGTTGTGTTTTATATATATATAACATAATAATAATAAAAGAAGTCATTATAGCAGATTCTTGTCTCTAAAACTTTTATCTTTAAGTGTTTTATGGTGCTAGCCAACTCGTAATTCCAGGATGCCTTTGAATTTTATTGCAGTTTATATCAGAATCTACCCAGTTTCAAACATAACTCCTTAAAGAATCATTACCTCTACACCAAATGCTGTGATATTCCCCATTTCTCTGTGGTACTGGGAGACAACTACTCCAATATGCATTGAAAGAACTTTCTGGGATGATGGAAATGCTCTTTGTGCCGTCCAGGACAGTAGCCACTAAGCACATGTGGCCCTTGAGCACTTGACATGTGGCTAGTGTGACTGGGAAACTGAATGTTTACTTTATGGAATTTAAATTTTAAGTTTAAATTTAGAAAACCACATGTGGCTAGTGGCTACTGTTTTGGATCACACAGCTATACATGATTTAAAAAAACCCACATTGGTGTAAGATTTTAAAACTGCTAAAATTGTCAATTTCATGCCACAGATTCTGCAGTTAAAAAGCTGTTATTGATGCTTTTTGAAAAGAGACCACAGGGTGTTCTTTTCTGGTGGTAAGTCATCAATCACATTAGTTAAAAGCTTTCTATGCATAGACTGTGGAAAGTTTCCCACTTTCACACTGTGGAAGACAAAATCTTCTGTAGAAACCTCACGGAGCTATTGAATCTCATTGTAATAATGGTGTGCTGTGACTAAGGACTTGATCCCCTGCGAAGCTGAAGGTTCCATGAAAACAGAAGTAGAATATACATTCTCTGTTTATATGGTACAAAGCTGTAAACCTGTCTATTAAGACACGCTTTTTGATTATGTTCTTATTTATTTTTTTTTTGTCTACTTGCTCTGTCAAATTTGACTTGTATTTCTAAAAGTTTTTGCTCTTTTTATTTCACTATATTTTTTAGTTAGATAAATCTTATATCCTCTTAATGGATTTTAGTTTTAATCCTTATAATACTCTTTTTTTGACTCAGTTTAATACTTTTGGAATTACCTTTTGGAATTCCATTCTGATATTGATTATTACTACTTCTACTTTCTTTTGTATTTTCTTTGGTTTTTCTTTGCCGTTCTGTTTATTTTCTACTCATTTTATTTTGATGGTTTTAATATAGACAGGATAGGGCTGAGTTTTGTTATTTTAGTCAGATCTATTGATGACTTCATTGTTTGATTAAAATCTAAGCTTATTCATATTTATTGTGATTTCAGTATATTTTATTCCCATCATTTTAAGTATATAAAGCATTATATTTTGTGGTTTTCCTTTTGTCATTTTTATTATCATTTTGGTTTAATCAATTATACTTCAGTTATCTATTTTCACCACCTTTCTTTAATTAAGAAATTCTGTGTCCTTCATTGAACTAATGGTCACCTTTTTATCTTTCACCATTATTTTGAAACACCTGTACCTCTGTCACAACTTTTGCGTAATGTCTAAATTGTACAAAATGTCACCCCAAGACATTTTACTTATTCACTCATCCTGGTCCCAAATTGAGATTGTAGGAATAATTTACTAGCGAGTCTTCATATGGCAGATACTTTTGCTATCTCTCAGTTCCTGTTGTTATCATTTCAGGCTATTATTAAGTTTTATCTTATCACATGGCTCTTTTGTTTCAAGAATCCTTTCTCAGAAGTGTAGCCTGTGAATGCTATTTCACTGTACTTTAACTCTCAGGAAACACAGGAGAAAACGAATGCTAGCCTATTTAATCTCCTTTGTAGGTAGACTGTTCTTTCTGGAAATGGAAGGATTTTTCTCTTTTTCTTTTATTTTCAGAGTTCAGAAATTCAGAGATCTCATGAAGCTTTTTCGTTGAGTATATCTTTTTTATTATCATTATTTCTGTCTAGGATGCCATGAGCCATTCTAACCTGAAAGTGTGAAGTTATTTTTCATTTAAACTTAGGATATTTTTTCCAATTACATCTTTATTACTTCTGTACTTGTTTTTTAAATCTTAGTTTGGAATTCATATTACTTACATTCCAGTTTCTAGGCTCTATGTTGTGACCTGTTTATTCTCACTGACTTCCAGACAACTAATTTAGCTTGAAGCAGTGACCATCCCTTTTTTTGCACTTCTGTTGAGTCTAAATATTGAAAGGATTCACTCTCCTGAACTAAAGAGAGACTTTAGTCTTTTAATTTTTGTCTGTGACATGAATTTTCTCACTACCAATACTAGTAAGTTATATGGGTTTCCCTGACAATAACACATTTTCAGGCTGTATAAAATAAGGTCATTTTTATTTTGCAAAGCAGGTAACACAGTACTAGGACCCTTCTGTTGAGATGAGACCGGGGGATGTCTTTGCTCTTGCGCCTCTCCTGGTGCTAATGTATAAAAGACAGGCATGGTATAAGGTTCTAATTCCAGGAGCCAGGAATGGTTCACCTCCTTACAGACCACTACCACCACCACCACTGGGCCATCAGTGCCAGCAGGGTCACTTGATTATCACTGTTCTTCATGCAGCAAATAACTGGGAAAGAGCTTCCCCTGTGCATTTCAAATGGATTTATTGATAGATGCTACCTGTGTCCTCTTAGAATGTCCTACGGTCTAATGGTTTTCTAACTTTTCAGCATTTCCCTAGAATTCTCAAGTAACGACAACCCCAGTAATGAATCACATGGCATTTGCTGGCTTGGAGAATCTCAGCACAGTTGCTTAGATGTTGTATTGGAAGTTACATGCCAGGACAGAATCATAGAGAGAGGTTTTTGTTTTCCCATTACACATTAGTTTCCTCGGAAAGGTGTTATTTACTAAGTTTGATTGACTCAGTAGCATGTATTTGGCTGCTTACATCACTCAGGAGGCATTGATTTGGGCAGAAATTTTAGTAGGAAAATACTACATGGAATCCATGGGCTCTGTCAGCAAAGTGTGTGTAACATTTTCATGGCAGCCACCATAATCCAGTCTTGTGACCATATTATTTTTGGACCAAAGATGCATTAGATCTGTTCAAGCACCTTGTTTCTATTGGTTCTATTTCTGACTTTATTGATAATGGATAAATGTTTTCTGAGTACGTGTCACTTTTCCCTGAAATATATTCAGGCCTACTTAACGATAGTACAGATTTTCCTAAGATACTATAAAATGTGGTACTTTTAAATTTGACTTGCTTATGATCCATCTTTTGTGTTAATCATTTATATCTCTGGCCCCCTTATTAACTCATGTCAAAATATTTTCATCTCTTTAACTTTCTTCTTCAAAAGTGACGATATCCTTCTGCTTAACTAATCTTACTAGTTTTTAATCTTCAGCAATTTTTGTTGTCCTTAAAGTAAGTTAATTGGTTTTGCTCTTGGGAGAGTGCACTTTTAGGGTTATAGGCTGTGAATTTGAGGACCACATCTTTGATGGCCTTCACCCGTATGAAACGTGACATCAAAGATAGCAATTTTGTTTGCATCACTGGCCAGCACCTAATTATCGTTACGGCCTCTTCATTCTTAAAATGCCCTTTGATGTCAGCAGTAGCCTTGTGCTTTGAAAGACTGCAGAGAAAGGTGAAAGCAGTCCTTTGGCCAAGCCCACATTCCACTGAAATATTACATGATGGTATTAGGTTGAAATAAAATGCAAGGCAACTGTGGTAATTAAAGTAATTACTCATTTATTTGCAGAAACGAAAGTCTTTAATGTTTCTCTCAATGCACAGAGATAATTTCTCCCTGGTGTAACACGGCTAGATGGAGACTCATCTTTGGGAGAAACCAGAAGAAAAGCAAACCTGGGCATGGTAATTGGGAGTTAGGAAATTATACATAGGAGGCAGGAGGAGGCATCTGTGGGGTTGTGACAGTACTCATTAGCACGGTGAAGGCAAAGTTACCAAAAGCTGAGAATGTAGAAAACCCATGTGTTGGGGTGAAGGAACATAGTGTAGGGGTAAAAGCACACAAGCACTTGGAGTGAAATGGATCTCAAAGGTGAATCTCACTTTCACTTGTCTTTAGCTCTGTGATTCACCATGTATTACTTAATCTGTGACTTTTAATTTATTTGTAAAAATGGCAAAAATATTTTTAGTACTTAAGATAAAAAGATATATTAAAAGGGCCACTACAAAGTAATATGTACCACATTGTTAATTTTTCTAGTTTTCAAGAATGGGGACAATGAGTTGCTGTCAAAATTCAACAAGAAGATATTGTTTTTACCCATTAAATGAATAAAAAATAAACTCTTTGCCTCTACTCTGCATTGGAGAGAGTGTGAGGGTACAGACTTCCTTGGGCACTACTGATGACAGTGTAAATTGGTGCCACCTATTTAGAGAGCAGTTCTGCAGTATTTTTCAAGCTGGACACTTGACCCAGCAGTTCCAGTGCCAGGAATTAGATTACAGAAAAACTTGCCAAAGTATAGTCAGTAAGTATGTTGAAGAGTGCCTATGTAGCACTGTGTGCACTTGAAATCAGTTGAAAACAATATAAATATCCATCACGAGGGGCGTGGTCAATGTCGCACGTGAATATTTCCATGCCCTCCATGGTGACTCTGCATCCAAAAAATACTCAGTTTATTTTTGTGTTAAATATTCAGGCTTGCTTTATTTAAATATGATTTCAAAAGTCTACTTACTCCCGGAGCTTTTTAAATATTTATTTTTAAGATTGTCGTAAAACACACATTGCATAAAATTTGCTGTGTTAATCATTTTTTTTTTTTTTCTGAGACGGAGTTTTGCTCTTGTTGCCCAGGCTGGAGTGCAATGGCGCGATCTCAGCTCACTGCAACCTCCCCCTCCCGGGTTCTAGCGATTCTCCTGCCTCAGCCTCCCGAGTAGCTGGGATTATGGGCATGTGCCACCATGCCTAGCTAATTTCGTATTTTTAGTAGAGATGGGGTTTCTCCATGTTGGTCAGGCTGGTCTCAAACTCCCAACCTCAGGTGATCTGCCTGCCTCGACCTCCCAAAGTGCTGAGATTACAAGTGTGAGCCACTGTGCCCAGCCTGTCGTAATCATTTTTAAGTTCAGGGGCTTGAAGTACATTCACATTCTTGTGCACCCATTGCCCTCATCCATCCACAGAAGTCTTTTTATCTTGTAAAACAGAAATCTCCTTACCCCTCAAACAAACAGTAAGCCTTCATTTTCCTCCCACCCCAAACCCCTGCCAACCACCATTCTACTTTCTGTCTTTATGAATTTGACTACTCTGGATACCTTGTGTAAGTGAAATCATGCAGTATTTCCCCTTTTGTGACTGGCTTATTTCACTCAGCACAATATGCACAAAGTTCATCCATGTTGCAACATGTGTCAGAATTTTCTTCCTTTCTAAGGCTGAATAATAGTTTTTGGTATGTATATACCGTATTTTGTTATCTATTCATCTGTCAGTGGACGCTTAAGTTGATTCCATCTTTTGTTATTGCAAATAGTGCTGCTGTGAACATGGGTAGATAAATATCTCTTCAAGTGCCTATAGTCTTAACAGATTTTAGTAGTCGCTTTAAGAGATTTTAAATAATATTTGTTTCTATTTTCATACCTAGTTTATGAAATAACTCCATGCCTTTTGAACTGTTTTGTTTATTAAATACATCAGATATCTTTTTAAAGTGCTTTCTTAGGTACTTCAGTCGTGCACCTTAAAAAGTACTCAACTCCTAAAAGCTAATAAATTAAAAACTACATGTATAAATACTCAAACTTATAATTTTATAAGACCTGAAGCTTAAATGATCCAATTCTATATATAAGCCTAATGACAATCATCATAACTCTAAATAAGTTACTCAATAATTTATTTAAAATTGTGGTTAAAAGGCAGTCTCTCATGCATTAAAAAGAGTTTTTTTTGTTTTTGTTTTTGTTTTTAAGGCCAGTTTCATGGAATAGGCCAAATGTTTTCAGGCATTACAGGTACATAATATTTGCACAGATCTCTTAAAATAAAAATATTAATTTAATGGCTTTGATTCTCTTAAACATTTTTGTACTTAATTCTAAAATTTCTGAGATTGAAAGATGCTTAACCTCAAGGAAGGCAATTATATCAGTTATTTGAGTTTATTTGATCTAAAGATTTAGACCCAGCATGAAGTCTGGAGCTGCAGACATCCAAGGCAAATCTTACTGAAATGAAGGAAATGTTTTTATTATCCCATATAATTTTGGGTACTGCCTTCTTTGCTTGCTGTGTTTATATCTGTGATTAGAGATTTTAGATTCTCAATTATAACCTCATCATTGAAATACATGGAACCTCATTTATAATAAGGACAGAATTGTTGGTCAAAAACTCCATTACTCGAAGGAATTAGTCACCTAGCCAGGATCCTTAGATTAAGTTACACATATTGCAGAATTCTTTATTTTACATGTTTATGTCTGTAACTCCCATACAAGATGATCACTTTATTAGTTACTGAGAACATAAATACCTTCTTGCCTAAGTTGAAAGACCATGCAAGTTGATAGGAAATCCTACATTTTTAAATGTACTTTCCAAGATCAGGTAATTCTTTTCTGTACCAAAGTGATAATGATACCTTATGGCGTTATCTGACTTGCAGTTACAGCATAGAAGGTCTCTAACATTGTCATTCCATTGCACAACTCCAGGGAATGACATTTACATTAAAGTATGTGGGAAGCTTCTAAGTTATGCAGGGCACAATCTATGCAGTTGTACACTGTAACTGCATTCCACTGACAGTCACATAAATGATATTATAGCCACATGGGCAGCTGATGTATTGTTGTCCCTCTGGCTGTTTCCCTTCTCAAGTAGGGCCTCATGGGGACATCTAGTCCATTGATCTCACTGCTTTCTTTCATTTCTTAATCTAGCAGTCCTTTTCTTACTTCCCGTCTTGTCCAGCATAGATTCCATGGTCTGTAATTTCAAAATATGCTAACATTCTACCCTGAGCTTCCTTGCCATTCTGTTTTTTTCCCCCACATCTGACAGACAAAAGCAAAACCCTGGATGAACCCTAATCTCTGAATGAGCTCAGCTGCCTAGAGTTGCTGGAAAAAGTCACAATAAAAACCTTCTTTCTTAACCCCAAACCCCCTACCAGACTCTTTTGTCTTTACCTTGAGGAAACTTCTCCAAAGGTTGTCTGGTTGTACTCATTGTCTTATTTTCTCATCTCCAGCCAGTTCCTTAACTCTCTCCAACGTGGCTGCAACTTCCATCACTTCACCAGAAGATCTCTTGCTAAGATCACCAATCACCTGCAGATGCATGGAACCAGCCTCCTGCAATTTGGCTGCTCAGCAGCATTCAGTACTGTTGAGCCTCCTTTCTACAGCATGTGCTTCCTATGTCCTGTGGGAGTACAATCTCCTGTTGCTCTCCCATCTCTCTGGCTATCCATTTCCTGTTTCCTCAGCAGACTCATTCCCTTCCAGCCCACTATCAAGTGCTGAAATTCCTCAGGACTGTATCCTAGACTCGTTTCTCTTTTAACTATATTCTCTCACTCCAAGGAATTTTATCCACACCCATTGCTTTGAAAACTACCCAACTCACATGACTCATTAGTGTGCATCTTCAATCCATATATTCTAAATTCTGTAACACACTGGACGTCTCCTGTTGGGTATCTAAAGGCACCTCAGTGTAACATGTTGAAAAATGAACCTAAAATCCTGATTGTCTTCTATTACCAGTATATCAGGAAATGACACCATCAGCCATCCTCATAAGTGAACTAAAATCCTGATCCTACTTTTGGTATCTCTTGCTTACTCATCTTCCACATTAACACATTCACCCGTTCATTTTTTGAATTCAGGAACTTTTATTCCAAGCTCTGTTCACCTGTACAATTTCTGGTTCCACTGTATCTTGTGTCTTGATCATGAGATTTCTAAAAGATTTCCTAGCATCTACTCTTAACACTTTAGAATACAAATATAAGCTTGTCATTCCATGCCAGAAAGAAGTCTCTCCACTGACTTTTTTTTTTTTTTTTTGAGACGGAGTCTTGCTGTCTTGCCCAGGCTGGAGCGCAGTGGTGCGATCTTGGCTCACTGCAAGCTCCGCCTCCTGGGTTCACACCATTCTCCTGCCTCAGCCTCCCAAGTAGCTGGGACAACAGGCACCCACCACCACACCCAGCTAATTTTTTTGTATTTTTAATAGAGACAGGGTTTCACCTGTTAGCCAGGATGGTCTTGATCTCCTCTCCAGCCTCATCCTTCACCAATCTCCTCTCTTACATGAGCCACACACTACCCTAGGTGCACCTTGCTTCCACCCCTTCATAGGGCCTTTGGACTTTATGCCCCGTTGGCCTTTTCTGTTTCCCCCAACAAACTGTAAATTAACTCTAAAAGGTCAAAGACATTGGTGCTCTCTTCTCTCACTTTCTTCTGTATGTCTCCTTCCTCCTCTCTTTCTTATTCACTTTTTTCCCCTCACTGTTACATCTCCAGAGCCCAGAACAATATCTAGTATATACTAGTCACTCAGTAAACTCAGTTGTAGACTTAATTTCCAAGTTATACAATTAAGAGAACACTCCAGGTTCAGAACACTGTATATAAATAATTCAAAAAGGTAAGTGTAAGAGATGATTAATTGTGTTTTTATTTAGAAAAAAGTATCACAAATCTCAACATGTTATGAAAAGGGCATTTTATTTTTTCCGTATGGTTTGGATTTTAGCAAGTGTATTATATTTTATTTTAAGAATGTTTAATTTTCTCAACTTGTATTTTCTATAAACAATAATGCTCAACTTTGGTTTTCTAGCATGATTTATCATCTCTAATTGTGTAAAAAGGACTTGTGAAATTACAGCAAAATTCCCAAGCAAATGTGTTTATTTAATGTAAAATGTGAACCCAGGTTATAATAAAAATTGTAGAAAACAGCAAATATTAACAAAGATGTGGAAGAACTAGAACCCTCATACATTGCTGAGGAGAATATAAAATGGTGAACCTATTCTGGAAAATAATTTGGCAGTTTCGTAGAAAGTTAAATGTATATTTGTCAAATAACAGTTTCTTAGAAAGTTAAATGTATATTTGTCAAATAAGTAGTTCCACTCTTAAATAACTACCAAGAGAAATGAAAACATATATCCACACAAAGACTTTCATGCAGATGTTCATTGCAGCATTATTTATAATATCCCAAAAGTAAAAACAACCCAGATGGCCACAGACTGGTTAACAGATGTAGTACAGCCATACAATGGAAATTTATTCAGCAATTAGAAGAAATGAAGTATTGATCCATGCTACTGTATGGTCTTGATGAACATTATGCTAGGTGAAAGAAGCAAGACAAAAAAAGACCACGTGTTATATGATTTCACTTATATTAATTGTCCAGAGAAATCAAATTTATAGTCACAGAAACTAGATTAGTGGTTGACTGAGGCTGGGACAGGGAATGGACACAAGTTCTTTTTGGGTGATGAAAATGTTCTAAAACTGGATTGTGGTGATGGTTGCATAATTCAATAAATTTACTAAAAACCATTGAATTTTACACTTAAAACAGGCGAATTATGGTACGTAAATTACACCTTCCTATAGTTATTTGAAACAACAAAACAATTAGCAGCCAAAGTTTTTGATGAGCTTGCTAACTGCACTAATTTTTTAATGTGAATAAAAATGGAAATTGCATAAGCAAATTAACACGCCATGTTGCACTTAGATATTAGAAAATCAAACTAGCAATATTTGTGTTTCACAGCCTAATTTTTAACAAAATTTTCTTGGTCATGTCATAACGTGTAACATAACTGTTTATAGGTCATTAGTTCCAACATACTAAGTGATAAGCAATTTTCCCCTTTTACACTTAGTTAACACACTGCAAGTATCCTTGTGACTATGAATGGTTAGCATGGTATACATCAGTATTTTTCCCACAGTGCAACTTTTAGGAAGAGAATGCATGGCCAATCACAATTAATTAAGGTATTTTAAGGACTCTTTTGTCCATAATTAAACTGCAGGTAGAGTCTGGGACAGGATGTTTTAACCCTATCAGGAAATTTAAATTCTTTTACAATATCTAGTATTTGTTCTTATTTTACATGGTAGTAATTCTTGAATTAGTAGATAAGATTGTAAGTTTAAATTTTAAAGTATTTAGTTACCAACCAGAAAGCAAATTGTCATCATATACAAACATAGGTTCAGCATATTTTGTAAGGAGTAAAATGTAAGCAAAACAAATAAGAAATGGTCAACTCTATTCCTGCCAAGTGGAAGGTTGCCTTAATTAGTGACTTCAACAAGAAAGGTCATTTGCAGAGGACAAACAGCTGTCCTTGTCCAGATATTCCCCTTCTCCACAGAGACGGTACTAAGAGGACATAAGTTTAAGGTGTAGTTAGAAGAAGGAATGAATCTACTGTCAAGTTGGTTTATTTATGAATTTGGTTATGAGGGAGACTGTGCAGATTTCATTCTGGGAATCCTAAAAGTGCATAGAATGTGAACATGGGTATTCACACATTGACCTAAAAACAATATGTGTTTTTATATTTTTTTTGCAAAAAAACAGACTTTTCCCCACGTATTCAGAACTTGATATAACTTATAATTAGGAATTTAATGTTTATTTAAAATGACAAAATATTTATATCTGAAGGACAATAGGATAGATTTTAAAAGTTTGCAACCTGACAATTTGCAGTATAGGAAGTGTGTTTGTTTATAAGGTTGCCATATCTTCACGTATACTCCAAAGATCTTTTTCAAAAACGAGACTTGCAGCCAGCACATCTGTTGTTCTTATGCAAGGGATTAAAATGAGCTATTTTTGTTGAAGTTCAGCTGCAGAGTAACAATGTTAAAATGGCTTGCCAAGAAATTACCTATTCTCGATTTTGTTTCTTAATATTGAACTTCTAAACTGTTCTTTGCTTCTGTCGGAGACAGCCTCATTCTTCTTTAAAGCAAATCGAAGTTTTATGTGGTTTTAAGGTTTTTGTTGTTGTACTGCAGCACGTATATGATATCTAAGGCTTCCTAGCTTAGCATTTTGAATGTTAAATTATATCCAAGTTTGATTTTCCTAGAAACAGTTTTTCATAAAAATTATACCAACATTATTGACTCTTCCTCCTTTAAATGTTAGGTAGTTTTGTTCTCATAAAACTATGAATTAAATCTGTGTAGCTTTCCCCTTGGAGTAGAATAATATCATTTATGTTAGACCTTATCAAGAAACCTGAGTGGTATTTTGTATTCCCAAGAATTAATAAACTGTATTGACATAATCCCTGTGTGTAAGGAAAAACACACAACTTTTTCATGTATTTCTGTTGTATTTTATAGCAAATGAGAATAATTGAATTGGTGAATCCTCAGAAAACTGACCTTTCTCTGATTTCTTGTATCTCTCAAAACAGCAACAACAACAAAGCTGAAATTAAAATTTATTTAGTTCATGATTCAGTTCTGTTTCACCGATCATCGAAAAGTTTCACTGAAAGTAAATCACAGAAGAAAGCAGGATAGAGCAGAAATACCCAGGGCTAACTTTCCAACTGCCTGCAGTCTATATCAGCCCTTCTGAAACTCCAAGGTGCATATTAATGCCCGGTCTTGTTAAAAAATGCAGAACCTGGGTTAGTGGGTCAGGGTAGGGCTTGAGTCTGCATTTCTACCCGGCCCCAAAGTGATGCTGTTGCTGCTGGTCCATAGAAACCTTGAGAGGCGGGGATCTAAATGGACTGTACTTAATATTCATAGAAGAATTTGCCTATGTATCACACATGCCATACATTTACTAAGGCTTTTGTTATCACCATAACAGAGCTGGACAATGTACAGTCACTTGCTAGAGAGGAGCGATCATATAATACTAACTTACGTGTAAGGAATTCATGACTATGTGCCTTATTAATGAGATCTTCCTAACTAGGCTACCCATAGAACTAAACTGACTGACACAGAAACAGAAATCAGATTCTTAGAACTGAATATTTACAGGCAGTTTAGATTGCCCAAATATATGTGTGATATGGAAGGAGCATATCTTTATTGATTTGTTTTAATTTTCTAAACTCTTGTTCACCTAGTCAGAAAAGAAAATCTCTGCTAAGTAAAGAGGAGTCATTAATGCTGATGCCTTCAGGGCCCAGGAAGGAAACATCAGTGAATGTACTGAGCTCGGATTTAGTGGTGTCCTGGAGAAAACACACTTCATCCCACCAGTGCTGTGTGACATGGCAGGTCTAGCATGACCAGAACTTCCAATTTTTCAAGAGAAGCCAGAAATACAAATTTCATGTGGAATTTCCCAAGTTTACAATGTTGGCTACTAATTTAAATTCTGTAAAAGCATTATTCAGGCCAAGAAGGCACATCTGTATCCCAGACACAGCCCTGAGCCACCCATTTACAGTGTCTAGTGTGGAATACATTGAAGTCTCTTAAGGTACTTCTCATGAATGGAAAATTATGAATTTTTAACATGAAACTCTCTAGCCTTCTGTCTTTGGACACTTTGGTCAGAAGAAATAGTCTCTGTTTTATGCATTTGGAGGCACTGGTATAAGATTAGTATATGATCATAAAACCTGTCTTTCTTTCTTCTCCCACATTCCAGATTACAGGACAGGCCCGTGTTTCACTCAGGTCAACAACCAGATGTGCCAAGGGCAGCTGACAGGCATTGTCTGCACGAAGACTCTGTGCTGTGCCACCATTGGACGGGCGTGGGGCCATCCCTGTGAGATGTGTCCAGCCCAGCCTCAGCCCTGCCGACGGGGTTTCATCCCCAACATCCGCACTGGAGCTTGCCAAGGTGAGTCAGCTGTCTGCCTGTGCACACCATCGCAGACCTGCCACTTCTCTTTTTGTTGGAGTTGGAGAATCTGGCACTGGATGGTAGCTTTTAACAGAATACTGATTTCCAAGAGTGGCCTCGTTAACAACCCTGACCAGAGAAGGTTTATCTTTTAGCCACCTAATGAATAATTGTTTCAACTGTTGACATTAATGGAGAAGAGAAAGAGATGAAGAATTGGGGGAAATGTAAAAATACAGTGTAAAATATTTAATACAATCAAAGGATGAACCACTCTATTTTTATCTAGATGGCATGACTCCTCCCTTAACTATACTCATGCAAATACCCAGGAAAAACCTATTTTTTCTCTTTATCTCATTCAAGTTATGAGAATCTGAACCCAAGTAACAAGGAGAAGAAAGCCACCTAATATTGGCCCTCTATCATTATTAATAGTGTCTTCAAAGACAAAATGTGAACTCTGTCTATGATTGCAGTTATTACAGACTTTGTAACCTGGGTTGGTCATGATCTCTGGGTTTTGACACTCCCTAACTGCATTCATGACACTGATTTCTATATTAGGGCCAGATCAGGGCCCTGAGGATGCTACCTTAGTAGACTGCAATCCAAGTAGCCAAAAATTGTTACCTATTTACTGATTAATTATTTTAATTAATTTTCAGCTGCCGCAATTCTTACCTTTTTCTAGCAACTTCTCTGATATCAAATGTCTTAAATCCATTTTTAGAGCTCGGAAATGGTCTCTCTAATGACTTCTTAAATGGCAGTTGCCTTCATATTGCATAGCAGTAAGATCACAGGAAAACAGAAATGATTTTTGTATTATTCACATAAATAATATTATTCATATTTGAGACTTTGAGAGTTAGGGTTATTTTCTATAATTAAAACATGCACAAAGTTAGATCCAAAGTCTTTCAAATTGATGTTAGTAAGCTGTGTCACAAGTGAAGATGTTATCTATTGGGCCTGTGTAAATCTTACATTGTAGCAAGCCTGGTCAGTGTCCTAAATCTCAAATGAGAATTACAGTTTGGGGAGCACATACGTAACTTTAGTTCATTGAATAATAAAATGTGAGTGTTCTGCATAATTTTGTAAATGTGTCCCTGACAGCAGCATCCACAGATTTTTGTTAGTGTTGTAGTTTTATAAAAGGTATATTTTTAAAATGGTCTATTTCTAAAATCATTTTGAATCCGAACTACGGAGATACCAAGGGGATGACTATATAACTAAAACATTTACCGACTTTATATTTAATCACATATGAAAGCTCACATATGTGAGCTGTGGACTTAGAATAGTTCTTTTTAGTGATGAACACAGCTCAGGCCTTAATGATGAAGACTGAGTCAAATGCCATTTTTAATCTATTGTTTACTATGGATAGTAAAATTCTGTATGTTTTGGTATGAATATTAGTCTGAATATATAGAGTTCCTGGTAGTGCAACAGTTTCTTCTATAGGAAGATATTCTATATTATATTGTATCTGTCTTTACTGTGCTCCATATGGTCTTTACTACATCTTAGTATACAGATTACCATGTAATTTATATAGTGGATATAGATTATTATTAAAAATAAAATACTCTACTATATTGATTTACTAGTTTAATAATGACTGGATTTACTATAGTACTACTTTTTGTTTATTCGGTACCCTTTATTACCTTCTAACATACTAACTTCATTTCTTTGTTGTTTTTAATTCTCTTTTGACTAGAATGTAAGCTCTATGACTGCAGAAATCTTTTTCACTTATTCACTGATGTCTCAGACATCTAGAACAGTGCCTAATATACAGTAGAAGCTCAGCAAATACCTTTTGAATTAATAAATGACATTAAGATTGAAATACTTCCAAAACCCACTATTTCAGAGAAAGAAACAGTTCAGGTTAAGAAAAGCCTTTAACTTCAACCAAAACATTCCAAATTATTGACTTTTCTCATGTTCTGTATTTATACTTATGCTTTTTTACTTTCATACTTTGTCAGAGGCCTAGTTTTTTTCCCAAACACAATTATAAAAAATGTGTCATCTGATCTCAAACTTTCTGAATGTCCTTTAGGGTTTAGTAATGTCTGAAGGATTACTTATTTGATTTGGTTTATGCATCAAAGATAAGTTTCAGGCTCCATTTGCCTAAAAATCTGAGGGATTAACACAGTAACAGGAACAAAATGAAATTTGCCACATGATTAAAATGTCTGGAAAAGCACGTTGAAAAGTTCTGCTTTATTTCAAAATCATGGCATAGTCAGAAAGTTCTCAATTAAATACTAATCCGTAGTTCAGGCTATTTTAAGACATCTTACTGTGATTTCATTTTTTTCCTTTAAATTCCTAGACTGTTTCCTGAATACTTATGCCAAATTAGTTTGGAAGAGATGGGGCATGAAAAAATAATACATTAAAACATGGTGCATATATGTCATTAAAAAAACAGTGATCTTTTTTATACGATGATTGAGAAGTGTTACAGAGTTAAAAATAAATTTCAACTATGTGGATGATAACTGTAAATAGCTTAACACTAGCTCTAAATCATGGTTCTTTTGAAGTTTGGAAGATAATGATATCCTGTAGCTGATGAAATTAGTTGTGAATGAAACATGCCCTTGTAGTAAACAGAGTAGCTGTGGAAAATGAGGGACAACAGGAAATTAAGATAATACTTAAAGAATTAAGCTGTGAGAAAATCAGTAACTTTATTTTATTTATTTATTTTGCTTTATTTCTTATTAAAAAAACGAATACATGTGCAGAATATGTAGGTTTGTTACAGGAGTATATGTGTACCATGGTGGTTTGCCGCACCTATTGACCTGTCCTCTAAGTTCCCTCCCCCGACCCCCCAACAGGCCCTGGTGTGTGTTATTCCCCTATCTGTGTCCACGTGTTTTCAATGTTCAACTCTCACTTATGAGTGAGAACATGTGGTGTTTGGTTTTCTGTTCCTGTGTTAGTTTGCAGAGGATGATGGCTTCCAGCTTCATACATGTCCCAGCAAAGGACATGATCTCATTCCCTTTTATGGTTGCATAGTATTCCATGGTGTATATGTACCACATTTTCTTTATCCAGTCTTATCATTGATGGCCATTTGGGTTGGTTCCATGTCTTTGCTATTGTAAATACTGCTGCAATAAACATATGTGTGCATGTGTCTTATAGTACAGTGATTTATAATTCATTGGGTATACACCCACTAATGGGATTGCTGGGTCAAATGGTATTTCTGGTTCTAGACCCTTGAGGAATCGCCATACTGTCTTCCACAATGGTTGAACTAATTTATATTTCCACCAACAGTGTAAAAGCATTCTTATTTCTCCACAGCCTCGCCAGCATCTCGTTTCCTGACTTTTTAATAATCACCATTCTGAATGGTGTGAGATGGTATCTCATTGTGGTTTTGATTTGCATTTATCTGATGATCAGTGATGATGAGCTTTTTTTATATGTTTGTTGGCCACATAAATGCCTTCTTTTGAGAAGTGTCTGTTCATATCCTTTGCCCACTTTTTGATGGGGTTGTTTGTCTTTTTCTTATAAATATGTTTAAGTTCCTTATAAATTCTGGATATTAGACCTTTGTTAGATGGGTAGATTGCAAAAATTTTCTCCCATTCTGTAGGTTTCCTGTTCACTCTAATGATAGTTACTTTTGCTGTGCAGAAGCTCTTTAGTTTAATTCAATCACATTTGTCAATTTTGGCTTTTGTTGCAATTGCTTTTGGCATTTTTGTCATGAAGTCTCCCCCCATGCCTATGTCCTGAATGGTATTACTTAGGTTTTCTTCTAGGGTTATTTTGGTTTTGGATTTTACATTTAAGTCTTTAATCCATCTTGATTTTTGTATAAGGTGTAAGGAAGGGGTCCAGTTTCAATTTTCTGCATATGGCTAGCCAGTTTTCCCAGCACCATTTACTAATTAGGAGATCCTTTCCCCATTGCTTGTTTTTGTCAGGTTTGTTGAAGATCAGATGGTTCTAGATGTGTGGTGTTATTTCTGAGGTCTCTGTTCTGCTCCATTGGTCTGTATGTTTGTTTTGGTTCCAGTACCATGCTGTTTTGGTTACCGTAGCCTTGTAGTATAGTTTGAAGTCAGGTAGCGTGATGCATCCAGCTTTGTTCTTTTTGCTTAGGATTGTCTTGGTTATACAGGGCCTTCTTTGATTCCATATGAAATTTAAAATGTTTTTTTTTCTAATTCTGTGAAGAATGTCAATGGCAGTTCAATGGGAATAGCATTGAATCTATAAATTACTTTGGATAGTATGGCCATTTTCATGATATTGATTCTTCCTATGCATGAGGACTGAATGTTTTTCCATTGTTTGTGTCCTCTCTTATTTCCTTGAGCAGTGTTTTGTAGTTCTTCTTTAAGAGGCCTTTCACATCCCTCGTAAGTTGTATTCCTAGGTATTTTATTCTCTTTGTAGCAATTGTGAATGGGAGTTCTCTCACGATTTGACTCTCTGTTTGTCTATTATTGATGGGAGTTCACTCATGATTTGACTCTCTGTTTGTCTATTATTGGTGCATAGGAATGCTTATGATTTTTGCACACCGATTTTGTATCCTGAGACTGCTGAAATTGCTTATCAGCTTCAGGAGATTTTGGGCTGAGATGATGCGGTTTTCTAAATATACAATCATGTCATCTGCAAACAGATACAATTTGACTTCATCTCTTCCTATTTAAATACCCTTTATTTCTTTCTCTTGCCTGATTGCCCTGGTCAGAACTTCCAATACTATGTTGAATAGGAGTGGTGAGAGAGGGGATCCTTGTCTTGTGCCGGTTTTCAAAGGGAATGCTTCCAGCTTTTGCCCATTCACTATGATATTGCCTGTGGGTTTGCCATAAATAGCTCTTATTATTTTGAGATATGTTCCATCAATACCTGGTTTACTGAGAATTTTTAACATGAACGGATGTTGACTTTTATAGAAAGTATTTTCTGCATCTATTGAGATAATCATGTGGTTTTTGTCTTTGGTTCTGTTTATGTGATGGATTACGTTTATTGATTTGTGTATGTTGAACAATTGAACCAGCCTTGCATCCTGGGGACGAAGCTGACTTGATGGTGGTGGATAAGTTTTTTGATGTGCTTCTGGATTCAGTTTGCCAGTATTTTATTGAAGATTTTCACAATTTGTTGTTGTTGTTGTTTTAGCAAGTTTTTTGTTGTTGTTGTTGTTGTGTCTCTGCCAGGTTTTGATATCAGGATGATTCTGGCTTCATAAAATGAGTTAGGGAGGAGTCCCTTCTTTTCAATTGTTTGAAATAGTTTCCAGAAGGAATGGAACCAGCTCCTCTTTGTGTTTCTTGTAGAATTCAGCTGTGAATCCGTCTGGTCCTGAGGTTTTTTTGGTTGGTAGGCTATTAATTACTGCCTCAATTTCAGAGCTTGTTAGTGGTCTATTTAGGGGTTCAACTTGTTCCTGGTTTAGTCTTGGTAGGGTGTATGTGTCCAGGAATTTATCCATTTCTACTAGATTTCTAGTTTATTTATGTGGGGTGTTTATAGTATTCTCTGATGGTAGTTTGTATTTCTGTGGGGTCAGTGGTGATGTCCCCTTTATCATTTTTTATTGTGTCTATTTGATTCTTCTCTTCATTCTTCTTTATTAGTCTAGCTAGCAGTCTATCAGTTTCATTAATTTTTTTCAAAACACCAGCTCTTGGATTCATTTATTTTTTTTTGGAGAGTTTTTCTTGTCTCTAACTCCTTCAATTCTTCTCTGATCTTAGGTATTTCTTGTCTTCTGCTAGCTTTTGGATTAGTTTGCTCTTGCCTCTCTAACTCTTTTAATTGTGATGTTAGGGTGTCGATTTGAGATCTTTATAGCTTTCTGATGTGGGCATTTAGTGCTATAAATTTCCTTCTTAACACTGCTTTAGCTGTGTCCCAGAGATTCTGGTACGTTGTCTCTTTGATCTTATTAGTTTCAAAGAACTTCTTGATTTCCGCCTTACTTTCAGTATTTACCCAGGAGTCATTCAGGAGCAGGTTGTTCAGTTTCCACAAAATTGTCTGGTTTTGACTGAGTTTCTTAATCCTGAGTTCTAATTTGATTGCATTGTGGTCTGAGAGACTGTTATGATTTCAGTTCTTTTGCATTTGCTGAGGAGTGTTTTACTTCCAGTTATGTGGTCAATTTTAGAATAAGTGGCACTGAGAAGAATGTATATTCTGTTGATTTGGGGCAGAGAGTTCTGTAGGCATCTAGTAGGTCCACTTGATCCAGAGCTGAGTTCAAGTACTGAATATTTTTGTTAATTTCCTGTCTCATTTATCCGTCTAGTACTGACAGTGGGGTGTTAAAGTCTCCCACTATTATTGTGTGGAAGTCTAAGTCTCTTTATAGGCCTCTAATAACTTGTTTTATGAATCTGGGTGCTTTTATGAATTCAACAGAAGAGTTAGCTCTTCTTGTTGAATTGTTCCCTTTACCATTACGTAATGCCCTTGTTTGTCTTTTTTGATCTTTGCTGGTTTAAAATCTGTTTTGTCAGAGACTAGGATTGCAACCCCTGCATTTTTTTGCTTTCCTTTTGCTTGGTAAATATTCCTCCATCCCTTTATTTTGAGCCTGTGTGTGTCTTTGCATGTAAGACGGGTTTCCTTAGTACAGCACACGCACACCGATGGGTCTTGACAGCTTATCCAGTTTGCCAATAAGTGTCTTTTAATTGGGGCATTTAGCCCATTTACATTTAAGGTTAGTATTGTCACATGTGAATTTGATCCGGTTATCATAATGCTATTTGGTTATTTTGCACACTAGTTCATGCAGTTTCTTCATAGTGTTATTGGTCTTTATATTTTGTTTTTTGTTTTTTTTTTTTGCAGTGTCTGGTACTGGTTTTTCCTTTCCATATTTAGTGCTTCTTTCATGAGCTCTTGAGGAACAGGCCTGGTGGTAATGAAATCCCTCAGCATTTGCTTTTCTGGAAAATATTTTATTTCCCCTTTGCTTATGAAGCTTAGCTTGGCTGGATGTGAAATTCTGTGTTGAGAATTCTTTTCTTGAAGAATGTTGAATATTGGACCCCAGTCTTTTCTGGCTTGTAGAGTTTCTGCTGAGAGGTCCACTGTTAGTCTGATGTGCTTCCCTTTGAAGGTGACCTGACCTTTCTATCTGGCTGCCCTTAACAGTTTTTCCTTCATTTCAACCTTGAAGAATCTGATGATTATGTGTCTTGGGGTTGATCTTCTCATGGAGTATCTTAATCGTGTTCTCTGTATTTCCTGAATTTGCCTGTTGGCCTGTCTTGCTAGGTTGGGGAAGTTCTTCTGGATAATATCCAGAAATATGTTTTCCAGCTTGTTTCCATTCTCCCTGTCTCCTCCTGGTACTCCAGTCAATCGTAGGTTAGGTCATTTTATGAAGTCTCATGTTTCCTGGAAGCTTTGTTCATTCCTTTTCATTCTTTTTTCTCTATTCTTGTCTGCATATCTTATTTCAGTAAGGTGGTCTTAAGACTCTGATATCCTTTCTTCCACTTGGTCGATTTGGCTGTTGATACTTGTGTATGCTTCATGAAGTTCTCATGCTGTGTTTTTCAGCTCCCTTAGGTCGTTTATGTTCCCCTCTAAACTGGTTATTCTAGTTAGCAATTCCTCTCACCATTTATCAAAGTTCTTAGCTTCTTTGCATTGGCTTAGAACATGCTCCCTTAGCTCATCATAGTTTTTTGTTACCCATTTTGTGAAGCCTACTTCTGTCAATTCATCCATCTGATCCTTCGTTTAGCTCTGCACCCTTGATGGAGAGATGTTGCAGTCATTTGGAGAAGAGGCACTCTGGCCTTTTGTGTTTTTAGGATTTTTTCATTGATTCTTTCTCATCTTTGTGTGTTTGTCTAGTTTCTGTCTTTGCAGCTGCTGACCCTTGGATGGGGTTTTTATGGGGGCCTTTTTATTGCTGTTGATGCTGTTGTTGTCACTTTCTGCTTGTTTGTCTTTCTTTTAGTAGTCAGGACCTTCTTCTGTAGGGCTGCTGCAGTTTGCTGGGGGTTCACTTCAGGCCTTATTCATCTGATTCGCCCCCATGACTAGAGATGTCACTCAAGGAGACTAGAGAGCCGCAGAGATGGGTGCCTGCTCCTTCTGGGACCTCTCACCTCTAGGGGCACCAATCTAATGCCAGTAGGATCTCTCCTCTATAAGGAGTCTGACAACCGCTTTTGGAGGGTCTCACCCAGTTGGGTGGCACTGGGAGCAGGATCCGTTTAATGAAGCAGTTTGTCCTTTGGTGGAGAGAGTGTGTTTTGCTGGGGGGAAACCCACTCGGCCGGGCTGCCCAGATTCCTCAGAACTACCAGGAGGAGAGGCTAAGTCTGCTGATCCCGAGACTGCAGCCACCCCTCCCCCTAGGGGCTCAGGCCCAGGGAGATCCAAATTCTGTCTCTGAGCCTCTGGCTGGAGTTATCGGAGATCCTGCAGGAAGGCCCCACCCACTGAGGAAGGATGGGTCAGGGTTAGACCTGAAGAGGCACTCTGGCCTCAGACTGCCACAGCCAGTGTGTTGGGCTGTGAGGACAAGTCTTGGGACCAAGCCATCCAACCTCCCTGGCTCCAGCAGGGGAAAAGCACAGCCGGGAGCTATAGAAATGGATGCAGCCCTTCCCCGTGCCCAGAGAGCTTAGTGTGTTCAGCAGTTGCTTTTTTTTTTTTTTTTTTTTTTTTTTTTTTTTTGTTGCTAACCCTCCCCCAAGGAGCTCAAAAGGCTTAGAGAGCAGACAGCAGCAGCTGGAGCTGGTCGCCACAACCCCCGGGGGGCTCCATAGGCTTAAGCAGATTCCTGCTCAGAGGCTGTAATAATCTGTACGTTCCAGGGTTGAGATGGTAGTCCCCTGTGGCTTGGGTTTGAGAGTGGGATCCTCCGATTCGTGGGTTGCACAGTTCCCTGGAAAAAACAGTTTACTAGGCTGGGTATCACACTCACTCATGACCTCCCTTAGCTGCGGGGAGGGGGTTTCCCATCCCCGTGTGGCTCTCAAGTGGGCCGTGGCACCACACTACTCATCCTTCTCTCTGTGGATCACGCCAGCCTTCTAGTCAACTTTGATGAAAGAACCTGGATACATTGGTTGCCAGTGAAGGATTCACACTCTTTGTTTTTTTTTGATGGGAGCCTCTGAGAGACGCTGCTTCTAGTCGGCCATCTTGGCCCCACATTTTACTTTAAACTGTTGCCATGCTAACATTCTGGACTTAAGTAGTGTCAGAAAGGTGTGCCCTCCTAGCGTGGTATGAAATCAGTCATATCAATTCTTGATGGCTTTAATATTGAGAGCCATTTGAGTTTTAGCCGTTGTGCTTAATCCACATTTAATCTACTTTCTTCCATTTTATTATACATTAAAGGACCAAAGTTAACTCATATAGGACTTAAAATTTAAGCTATCATAAAACAAGTGAATTAAAAATGTTAATAGTGTCATTAAGCCCTTTTCCAATAATATTTGTGAACTTTAAATATATAACAAATTGCCATGTGCATATGATGTATAATTTTCTTACAAAGTTTCTTCTTTTTTTGTCTTTAGTCTCATGAACCTACTCTAATTAGGAGTGACATTTTGTTTAAGATTAGTACTTGGCTTTGGATCTTTTAGGTTTTCAAATGAACAGGGTGCTCCTAAAATTTTTTTAAATATATTAAAATTAAACTGGCATAATTATTAATTTTTGTACCATGTGATATTTAGGGATTAGGCTTTTAAACTACTTCAAATGCTTCAAAACTGAAGGTATAGCAGAAGAAAATTGTTTGTGAAATTTCATCTCTTGCTTCATCATTGATGATAATAACATTGATGCCAAGCCTCTGCTCCTTTCCAGGTAATGTGAAATGCACAGGAATTCACATATTTGACACAGGCCCTAGCTAGGACACAGGATAAGGTCATGAATAAAGAAATAGCAATACAGACCCTAAATTGGTTTCTGCAAAACAAATGCTGGTGTGTGTTCTTTTCATATGGCGTTAGTGCACCAGAAACATAATTTCTTTAGTCTGACTGCATGTGAGAGAGTAGAGGACTTTAATCTCAGCTGAAATCAGGCAGATGTTGCTAGCTCCTCAATTGTTGAATGAGCAGAAGACGCCCTGAGTAGAAAGTTATTTCCAAGCCTTCCACATAGCCAAGTAAAAAGTAAACTTGGCTATTATCTGATTTATTTGATTAGAATAAATTATTAAAGATAGTTACAGCCAAAACAAATTCATCTTGGCTGCCTACATTAACCAAGTTAACGAGATCATTATAAAGTCTAACTTTAATTCATGCTGTATTAACACAAGTTATTCCTAAACAATTAAAAAACTTTAAAGCAAACTCAATTATAGAAACTCCTATTTAAAGATAACAGAATATTCCTCTTCTTCTAACCCCACAAAAAACTAACATGAAAATGAATAATAGAGAACAACACATCATTCTAAAACAAAATCCTGGAACAAAACCAGTGATGAGCACATGTAGCTGTTGGGAAGTCACTGGGACAGGGAGAGTTTTCTAAGCATTTACTCTGAGTGTCATAATCCTGAAAGGTGTTTGAACCTACTAAGAGCAGAGAGCTAGGATTGTGGATGTTCTATTGGAGAGGAGGAGATGTTCCCATAAGAGACAGATCTACTTCAGAACCTCACAGTAACAGAGGGTAATGGAAGGAGAAACTTGGGGGGGGGGCAAGCCATTTCTGAGTATTCTACTCCCAGTCTTCCATCCCAGAGACACTCCTTGAGTGAGGTACAGGAGGGTGGAAGGACAAAGAGGAAGTATGGACCACTAGCAAGTAATCTGTAAATATAAGAGTCACACCACCAACTGACAGTTGAAAATTGATGCTCAAGGGAAAAAAAAGTTGGGGGAGGAGTTTGGTGACAAACTGTTTCAGGACTATGCCTTGTGGAAGTTTCAAACCAACACGTTTCCTTTGAGCCTTCCCCACTCTGCATTTCAGCAGGAAATGGCTGCATTGAGAGATGAATAATAAAGAGAAAGGCCTGCATATAAAAACTGAAAAAAAAGAAAACCAACAACAAAAAAAGAAAACATAAGTAAAAGGCGGGTATGAACATGCTTCAAAGAATTACTACCCAAATAAATGCAAAGTTTATATACTTCTCTCTTATCTCAAGGAAATTAAAAACAACATTTTTAATGGAAATTTAAAGCAATGATGCTTTGTGGAGCATCAGTTATAGGAAGGCCAGAGTGGATGCCAAGAAGCCAGTTATAAAGTTTCTGCAGTAGTCCAGGTGCTATATGATGGAGGCTGAGACCGGGTAGTAGCAGAGGAAAGATTTGAGATATTCTTGGAAAGTAAGCAGTTGTTGCTGATGAAGTGATGTGACATAAGTGAGAGGAACATGCCAAGTTTCTCTCTTAGGCTTCTGACTTTAACAGCTGGAACACGATGGTGACATTTGTGAAGATAAGATCGAGATAGAACCATGCTCTGTTCTTGTTATTACAATTTCAGGGTCCTGCAGATATCAAGTTACCAATATATACTTGTTTTGATGATCATTTTAACATTTGAATTTTGTGTATCATACATGAGTAGATATTCATTCTGGATCAAACCATATTAAATGATTGCTAGGACACCCCATATGTTTCAGATTCCAAATAGAAATAGACCTATTATTTAGTTGCTGCCCTTAAAGTTAGACATTTGTTTTCATAGGAATAAAATATTATGTGTGAATATCTACAGAGTATAGAAATAAGAATTTCTGTTTACTAATGGAAATAATAAGCACTGGGGACTCCAAAAGTAGGGAGGCTGAGAGGAGGGATGAGGACTGAAAAATTACCTATTGAGTACCTACTGAGTTTTCACTATTTGGATAATGGGTTAACTAGAAGCCCAAACCTTACCATTATGCAATATATTCACATAACAAACCCGCACCTGTATCCCCGAAACCATAAAAATTGAAAAGAAAAAGCAAGTTCAATGTAAAAAAATTAAAATTAGAAATGGATCTAATTTGGTAACAAGAAAAGTTAAAAAACACGCTATGAAATATAGTAGTAATTTCTATGTCCCCTGGTTGCTACACATATAAATTAAATGAACCATTTTTATATGCCTATAATACTGCACATATTTTCCATATTTGGACATGAACTAAAAATAATATATCATCTAATAATAATTTATGTAATAAAATAAGTTTAATTTTTTAGAACAAGTTTACACGGAGAATTTGGAGAATAAATGAGGTTATAAACTAGAATTATTGTTGCTTTGTTACATTATTTTTAACCTTAATAGACATGGACTGACGTTATTGCATAAGGTATAAATTTCAAAATATATAATTGTGTTCTATAAAATTGTTACATGTGATTTGGAATAATTCAAAATTTAAAGAAATAGTAAGTTTTTGCCTGAATTGAAGGAATGAGCAAAGATAACATCTGTACAGTCTGGTCATTGGAGAATTAATCAATCATTAGTAGTTGCTTGTGATAGGACTTTGCAGATGTAGAAATTCTTGCATAGTTTGAAGGCTTGAGGCATGCTTTTTTATATTTATAAAGAGCACATCTTGGTCCAAAGTGGTTATTTTTTGGTTATTTCTATATAATTTCTTTTAAATTTTCTTTTTTATTTTAACTGCTAACTTGATCTAACTAAAAGAAATTAATTCTACATAACTGCAGAGCCTAGGAGACTTCAAAAATAAGGGTTTCGTTCTTCTAAAAAAATACTTTTTAGGCAGTTACAGAATAAATCCTATGATGCTGAATTGTTTTTCTTTTTGAAAAATCACTGAATCTACTATAATCCGTATGCAGCATACAATTTTATGAATAATGTTAAGGTTTTATAGACTTGGTCTCATTTTTCAGCTTTTACCATATTTTTTCTCTGATTTATCTGCCAGGAAAACAAGTTTCTAGAGCTCTTTTATACCACACTGTAATGAGAGTGGGAGTGTAGTACATTTAAAAATGAGGTTTAAGGCTGTGCGCAGTGGCTCATGCCTGTAATCTCAGCACTTTGGGAGGCCAAGGCGGGTGGATCACCTGAGGTCAGGAGTTCGAGACCAGCCTGACCAACATGGTGAAACCCTGTCTCTACTCAAAGTACAAAATTAGCCGGATGAGGTGTCTCATGCCTGTAATCCCAGCTACTCAGGAGGCCTGAGGCAGGACAATCGCTTGAACCCAGGAGGTGGAGGTTGCAGGGAGCCGAGATCGCACCATTGCACTCCAACCTGGGCAACAGGAGCAAGTATAATAATAATTTCTCAAAAAATAATAATAACAATAATAATAATGAGGTTTAAAATGTGCTGAATTAGAATGTTTAGTATATAGACTTCTTGCCATATATTGTATTCATAGTTGATTTTTGTTTACATCATGTATCCTTTAATAAGACACTGAAATCTACTTTAATTCAGTACAAAAATACTTTGGACTTTTGTAATTAGTTCAATAGATATAGCTAATAGGAGGAAGAAATAATCTGTAGGCTTGAATTCACTAATTTACACACTGAGATATACAGAACTTTTGAGCTTACCAAAAAATAATAGGGCAAATTGATATGTACTGACACAGAGATGTGTTCATGAAATATTTTATAATGAAGAAAAACAAGATGCAGAAAAACACATATACTATGGTTTTATTCTCGTTAAATAAACAGACCATCATCCTGAATATGTGTGTGAATAAAAGTCTAAAAAGACAGAAGCAAATTTATATTGATGGTTATTTCTTTAATTTTCTATTTTCTGTATCTTTAACATTTGTTGCAATGAGATATGTTATTTTGTAATTAAGTATATAGCATTAATAAATCTATTATGTAAGCTTGTAAGTTTGAAGAGAGTGTAACAAATTTGTGTAAATTCACATTTATTTTTATATACAGTGTTTATTATAAAAATCAACTGATTTTTTTACTTGTATTTCCAAAAGCCAGGTTTTATAGTAATTGATTATCTCTATTTTTTTGTATTTTATCATCATTATTTTATTGATTCCATTTACTTTGGGTTTAATTTGCTCTTCTTTTTAAAATGTCTTAATATGGAAACTGAGATCATTGATTTAAGAAGCTTCTCTTTTTGTACTATAAGCATTTTAATGCTATACATTTACCTCTAAGCACCACTTTAGCTGCATCCTGCAAATTTTGATATGGTGTATCTTCATTTTAAGTTAATTCAAAATATGTTCTATTTCTCCATGTGATTTTTTTTCTTTGACCTGTGCATTGTTTCAAAGTATATTGTTTAAATTTCAGATATTTGAGGTTGTTCCAGATTTTTTCCTTTATTACTTTCTAGTTTAACTCTGTTGTGTTTGGAGAACATATTTTGGATTATTTTAACTTTCTTTTACATTTAATGAACCTTTTACATGGCCTCAGAATATAGTCTTTCTTGGTAAATATTCTGTGGGCACTTGATAAGAATGTGTGCTCTGCTTAAGTGAGGTGGAGTATTCTATAAATGTCAACTAGGACAAGTTGGTTGAAAATATGGTTCAAGTCTAATATATCCCTGATGATTTTCAGTCTACTTATTCTTTTAGTTAAGAGAAGAATGTGGAAATTTCCACATACTTGCAGGTTATCTATTTCTGTTTTCAGCTTTATCTGCTGAAATTACCCTTGCTCCAGGAGTTTAATGCTTTATAATCATGCATGCACAGTTAGCATTATCATGTCTTCTTGATGAATTGACCCCTTTGTCATTATGCAATGTCCATTTTTATCCACACACTTTATTACTTGTCGTGATGAGTACTACTTATAGTATTAACATAGCCATTCCAGATTTTTTTAATTGAATTCTTAATATATCTTTTTCATCTCTTTACTTTTTAAGATGTCAAAGGAGTTTTCTTGTAGACAGCCTAAAATTGAGTCTTGCTTTTTAAAAATCTGACAATCAGACTTTTTAATGGAATTTTTCGTACCACTGACATCTCATATGATTATCAATTTTATTGTGTTTAAATCTGTCATTTTACTATCTCGTGTCTGTCTCACCTATTCTTTGTTACTCTTTTTCTCTTTGCCTGACTCTTAGATTAATAGTGTATATTCTTGTATTGCAGTTTATCTCCACAGTTGGATTATTAGCTATATCTCTGCTTATTTTTTAGTGTTTATACGTATTTAACTTACTACATTCTATTTTCAAATAGTATAATATTATTATGCCATAGTTTAATAGTATACTATTATATAGTATACTATATAATTATACAGTATACTATTATATAGTATACTATATAATTATACAGTATACTATTATATAGTATACTATAAATTATACAGTATACTATATAGTATACTATGTAATTATACGTATACTATATAGTATACTGTATAATTATACTATTATATAGTATAATAGTATAATGCCACTTCACTTATAATGTAATAACTTTACAATGGTACCATTTACCTCTTCAATTTTTCATGTTATTGTTGTTATGCTTTTTACTTCTATGTGTTATAACATCCAAAATACGTTATTGTTGTTGTTGCTTGGAAAAATCAATTCTGTTAAGGTTAATTAAAAAATAAGAAAATATATTTTATCTCTATTAACATATTACCATTCCTACTGCTTTTCATTTTCTGTGTGTAGGTTAGAATTTTAATCTCACTTTTATTTTACCTGAAGAGCTTCCTTTTACATTTAAAGTCCAAAAATTCTTTATTAATGCTTCGTGAATTTTATTATGTCAATACTAAGGATTTCTGTTCCTATGTGGATGAAATTAATAGACAATTTAAAGGATAGGATGATAATTTCAATGTCTAAAACTGAAATTTTAAATTTAGAGTAAGAGGACGACAATTCCAACAATTCCAATATAAGAGTGTTCAAGGAATATAGACAACTTTCACATGAGGAAATAAAAAAGCTAGTAAGTGTAGGAGCTAGTAATTAGAGAAATGAAAACTAAAGTAATAATTAGTATTCCTTTACAATATTAGGGTATTTATAATATTACAAATATTACAATATTTACAATATTACAATATTCCTTTACAATACAAGACAATTAGGATATTGGAGGCCAGGCACGGTGGCTCATGGCTCATGCCTGTAATCCCAGCAATTTGGGAGGCCGAGGCGGGCAGATCATCTGAGGTCAGGAGATCAAGACCAGCCTGACCAACATGGAGAAACCCCATCTCTACTAAAAATACAAAATTAGCCGGGCGTGGTGGTGCATGCCTGTAATCCCAGCTACTCAGGAAGGCTGAGGCAGGAGAATCGCTTGAACCTGGGAGGTGGAGGTTTCAGTGAGTCAAGATCACGCCACTGCACACTCCAGCCTGGGCAACAAGAGCAAAACTTGGTCTAAAAAAAAAAAAGAAAGAAAATTAGGATATTGGATAGTAATATCATGTATTGGCAGGAAAGAAGAAATGCAGGAGTCTTCATGAACAGTAGAGGTGTGTAGACTGCTAGTGGTATGAAGACTCCTGCAGGCATTCTGAAGGACCACTGGACACTATTTATTCATTATACCCTATGATCTAGTAATTCTGCTCTGGGTCTACAGCAAAGTGATAAAGAATCTGAGTCCTCAATGTCCATAGTCATTCCACAAAGAAACGTAGTGGAGACATTCACTGTACCATTCACTGAGGTTTTGAGAAGCTAAAGATAAACCAAGTGCCCATGATCAGGAGAGGAAACACATTAAGTGTTCTGCAGCCAACTGAAGCAACAGATTGTCCACATAACAGTATGGATGTATGGGGGAACCCGCCCCCAATAATTCAATGTTATTTCACGTAGGTTCTTTTCTATTTCCCTAAGTGTTGGCCAGTCTGAGAAATAAAGGGAAAGAGTACAAAAGAGAGAAATTTTAAAGCTGGGTATCCGGGGGAGACATCACATGTCGGCAGGTGCCGTGATGCCCCACAAGCCGCAAAACCAGCAAGTTTTTATTAGTGATTTTCAAAGGGGAGAGAGTGTACGAATAGGCTGTGGGTCACAGAGATCACATGCTTCACAAGGTAATAAAATATTACAAGACAAATGGAGGCAGGGCAAGATCGCAGGACCGGGCCGAAATTAAAATTGCTAATGAAGTTTCGGGCATGCATTGTCATTGATAACATCTTATCAGGAGACAGGATTTGAGAGCAGACAACCAGTCTGACCAAAATTTATTAGGCGGGAATTTCCTCATCCTGGTACATAGTACGCCTGGGAGCACTAAGGGAGACCGGGGCTTATTTCATCCCTTATCTACAACTGTAAAAGAGAGACAGTCCCAGAGCAGCCATTTCAGAGACCTCCCCCTAGGAACGCATTCTCTTTCTCAGGGCTGTTTCTTGCTGAGAAAACGAATTCAGCGATATTTCTCCTATTTGCTTTTGAAAGAAGAGAAATATGGCTCTGTTCCACCCAGCTCTCAGGCAGCCAGACCTAATGGTTATCTCCCTTATTCCCTGAACATCGCTGTTATCCTGTTCTTTTTTCAAGGTGCCTAGATTTCATATCGTTTAAACAATTTGTGCCGTTAACGCAATCATCACAGGGTCCTGAGGCGACCTACATCCTCAGCTTACGAAGATGACAGGATTAAGAGATTAAAGTAAAGACAGACATAGGAAATCACAAGAATATTGATTGGGGAAGTGATAAATGTCCATGAAATCTTCACAATTTATGTTCAGAGATTGCAGTAAAGACAGGCGTAAGAAATGATAAAAGTGTTAATTTGGGGAATTAATAAATGTCCATGAAATCTTCACAATTTCCATGCTTCTGCCATGGCTTCAGCCGGTCCCTCCGTTCGGGGTCCCTGACTTCCCACAACAGGATGGATCTTAAAAACAAAATTCTAAAAGGAAAATTAAGAAACAAACTAAGATATATAACATGATACCATTTACATAAATTAAAACATATGCATACAAAGGTGTTTTACTTCTCTAACCCCACTCTCTTGAGAAAAACTGAGTTTCTTAGAAGAATGTTTATATAAAGTTTTTATAGTAAAAAAAAGTATAGATATTCTGAAAACCAGTGTCATCTGTGTTCAAAATGTTTTCTTCTTGCAGATGTTGATGAATGCCAGGCTATCCCAGGGATATGCCAAGGAGGAAACTGTATCAATACAGTGGGCTCTTTTGAATGCAGATGCCCTGCTGGTCACAAACAGAGTGAAACTACTCAGAAATGTGAAGGTGAGTCTCTCTACTTTGGGAAGCATGCCTAATTGTGACTTTAATGCAAGAAAAACAGGACTTCATTTGAAATTTTGAAGACTACTGGTCACAATTAAAACTCTTTATCTACTATGAAAGCATAGGTTTAAGCCTAGAGTAGTTCTGTGTTTGTGTATTGTAGCCTTAGTGGGTTTGATTTGAAAAGAGTCAATGAGCATTTGCATCTAGTTTGTTATCTCAGTTGTGTTGCATTGAGAATGGGAGTAATCCAGCCATTTATGTTTCTTCTTAATAAAGTAGGTTTCCATTTCACTTATAAAGTTATATCAAAAACGAAAATTGAGATAGAAATAAGAAGTCCAAGTGAAATACAGTATCATGTGTAAATGATGTGTTAGTAGTTGGCACCGTGTCATATATTATAAAATAAAATACTCTAATTGGTATACTGAATATTGTTTGGCCATCAAATTTTTTTAAATGGATTATTGATTCAGGAAGGGTTTGGAAATTACCACTACAAATATCTCAATAAAGAATAGCTTGCTCAAATAAAGATATCAAAAAACCTAATACTTTTCTGCAATATTAAATATGGATTATAATATTGAAATGTAAATTCCATTAGCAGTTCTTAATAGAATAAATTTATTTGTTATATATATCTGTGATCAAAACCTGTATCATTTTTATAAAATTCAAGAAGTTTCTAAGTGCATGTGGCTTCAATGATCATGGATATTTAGAATAGTTTTGATGATTCTAGTAGTTTTGATACAATGTTTATCTTTTCAGTTATGTTACTTAAATAAATTTATTTCATCTAAGGCAGTTTTCTAAAGGCAATAGAGTATAACTGTTCTCATTTTTTGTGACATAAGCATTATCATCAAGTCAAATTAAGTCTTTTGCTCTTTCTCTTTCCAAAAGTAGTTTATTTTTTGTTGATTGGTTGTAAACAGCTGCATTCCTCTTTGTAAAAAAGAAAATGGGAAGAGGCAAAATCTAAAGTTTAATTATAGAAGATAAACAGCAGTATGAACTATATTATTTCATAAGAGATAGAATGTGGGTACATATGCCATTGTTTCAATGCCAGAAACCATAATCTTATAAATCCTTGAGACATGTATTATCCTGTTTTTTTTCATTTGCCCTGGTTCATGTATACTTAGCTCCAAATTAATTGTTATAGTTATATACATTTTATGTAATTACAAATTAATTTCATGCTCCCTCTAGGAAGAAAGTTTAAAAAAACATAGTTGATTATTTTAAGGACCAAATAAATTCTCTGTGAAATTGTTTACAAGAATGCCCAAGTGTCTTATACTACTTAAATACACTGTCGATAGTCAAAGTCAGCCTGTAGTGGAAAGGTGAAAGTAACACTTGGAAGACATGAAAAAATATCTGAATTACCTGAAGAAGCACCCACATTAGACCAAAAACTCAGGGATCTGCAGAAATTCTGGGTTGTGCTGCTTTTTCCTGGCCGCTTTTTGTATTTTTTCTCCTGGCTTTTTGTAAGTTGATTGTGTTGCTCAAACTTTTCTCACTCCCTTTCACTTTTTACTTCTGGACTAATATCTAAACTAGATGTACTTGGGAACAAAGTTTGATTATAGATGAGAAGGCACAGCCACTGACTGATTATAGTAGTTGTGACATTTCTAATGCACATCGAACAATGTATTTCTTCTTAGTTAAAAATGGAATGAGGCTTTTCTATGTTACATTTCATCAAAGCAGCATACAGAGCCAAGCCAGACATGGGAGAAAGACAGTACAAGTCTTTATTCACCACTTGCCTATGTTCTTTAGGAAAGAGGGACATTGATAGCACGTAGGCACCACCCAAAGCCCTGAATCCAGTCGTGCCTTTCTTTGCTTCCTGCCCAGGCAGCCAAATCCATTTAACCATTGCCCAGAAATAATTATGTGATTTAATATTTGGGATTGGTGGGGAATAGCAGAATTGGAAGAAGTAGTGATTAGAATTTGAAATATAAAGGTTTTATGAAGGCCTTACTTGTGTATAAGGCATATTTATTTAAATATTTCTTAAAAGCAGCTATTTTCAATTTTATTTGGGTAATATTGTTTCTTTATATAAAAGAACAAGTGGGCCGGGCGCGGTGGCTCACGCCTGTAATCCCAGCACTTTGGGAGGCCGAGGCGGGTGGATCTTGAGGTCAGGAGATCGAGACCATCCTGGCTAACAAGGTGAAACCCTGTCTCTACTAAAAATACAAAAAATTAGCCGGGCGCGGTGGCGGGCGCCTGTAGTCCCAGCTACTCGGGAGGCTGAGGCAGGAGAATGGCGTGAACCCAGGAGGCGGAGCTTGCAGTGAGCCGAGATCGCGCCACTGCAGTCCGCAGTCCGGCCTGGGCGACAGAGCGAGACTCCGTCTCAAAAAAAAAAAAAAAAAAAAAAAAAAAAAGAACAAGTGATATTTGCTTATATAAAACTATTTAATGTAATCAGTAGTATAATATATCTGGAAAAACTATAAACAGTTGCTACACTTAGTGACAGGTTTTGAATTGTAGTCAGTTTTATGGATAATGTAGTGTCTGTAAAAATCTTGCCATAAATGTAATGTTTGCTCTAAATAAAAATATAACTATAGCAATTACTTTTGATCAACTATCAAAGGTAAAATATTTTAATTTATTATGTGAATTACAGTGCAAATATAAAACATAGTACTATTGGCAGATTTAAGATGATGTTCTTCCTGTTTTTACAGTAGCACATTTCATGTTTCTGCTCACACAGCAATTAAATTCTCTTTAAAAACCTTTTTTGGTCTTTAAGTTACTAGGTCTGTTCAGAAATAAGAAAAGTAAGTTCAGTATTTTGGGTCTGAGTAATTAGGAAAATGGTGGTATCCTTAACAAGAAACTGCAATTAGCTTATTAATCGTTAAACATTATGTTATTGATATTTTCTGTGTGTATTTTTTTGTTAACTATCTCACTCCAACCCTTGAATGAGATCCTTCAGGACAGAGCCTCTGTCTTTAGTGCTGTATCCCAGAGCCTAGAAAAGTTTAGTAGGCTCCAAACAAATATATGTTGATTAATTGAGAGTAGGATATATAATAAGTTAGTTTATTTGACTTGGGCTGAAGGTCCAAATGGAAGGTAAAATGTGGGTCCAGAGTTAAAACTGAATTTGGAAAGAAGCTACTGGTCTTCCTCAAAGGAATTTTTGCTTCATCTTAGCATTTTTTGTTTTGTTAATAATTTGATTTTCCTTTGGTTGCCATTGAGAGATCAAGAGCATGTAAACATTAAATGCAGTTTCAAATGTTTAGATCTTCTGTGTCATGGTTCCTCTTTGGTCACCTGCAGGTAATGCTTCTGATGTCAAGGACCTTTGCTTTTTAGCTAAAAGAAAGAAATGTCTTCTGCTCATTCACTGTGATGTCTTCTTAACAGAAATCTTATTCTGAAAGGCTTATTCTGCCAAAAAATCAAGTTTGAGCATATATAGTTTTTATTAAAAATGTTTTAATGCTGGGGGCAGCATTCATCTCCTAACTTAATGTTTGAAACATGTCTGTCACTATCTATCATGGAGGCTTATGTTGTTTGATTCTCCTGCGACTCTTTTTTTCCCTCATATTCAGATATAGACAACTAGGTAAGCTGTAAATCTGAACCCAAAGCAGAAAGAAATACATATTTCTCCCTTTTCCTCTCTCTCTGTGTGTGTATGTATGTATGTGGTGTGTTTGTGTGTGTGTGTCTGTTTTAAGGAGAACCAGTTATTATCCCCCTTTGCTCAATTAGGGTCCTGGATCTCAAAAAAACCTCTCATGATGCTCACTGCAGCCATGTTTATTTCTGCTGTGCCAGTTTGGTTCCCAAATCTAATTTCCTAATTCTGTAATACAGCGGATAAAATTATTCTTTGGTGGAATAAACCATTTCTTCACATGCAAAGAGAAGGTTGTTTCAGTTAACTTCCTCTGTTCAAACATCCATTAATTTAAATATCCATTTAATTTAAATGAAGAAGGGAAGGAGAACACATCAATATAATATGAAATGGTACACTAAAAGACAGCTCAGCGTTTTTCTTTTGTACAATAAAGTATTTTCGTTTGAATTTCAGTCCATGTGGATAAAGCACAAGCAGGAGCCAGATGTCCTTGCGTGATCCTCCCTTCCAGACTATACCTTCGTTAACATTCCTTGAGCTAGTTATTCTTTCCTGGCTTACATGGGAGGCAGAAAAAGAACATCATTGTATTGGAAAGTTTCCCTTAAATGGCTCTTTATGTGGCAGATAGTTGTTTGCAATTTAGTTTGAAGAGTTTTCAGCTTTGTTCCATTAACACAGCATTTTGTTGTTTGAGACTTGTGACAACAAATATATTTATTTAGGCTCATGAAACTCATAAAAGTTGTTGGCACAGTCTCCTCTGCTGCTGTTCCAACTCTGCTTAGATAAACCATGGAAAATAAACTTTCTGTACTAAACTGAAAAGTACTTGCTCTTATTCATATTACATAAAGTATATTAATTTTAAAATAAATAAAAATAAATCCATTAACATTCTCAAGGGGAAAACTCATTAAAATGGAGAGTGAAGCAAGGGGATTGCTAACATTGGAAACAGATAAGACTTTTTGGGTCATAAATTTAAAAACCATGAAAATCATCTTAGCTTAATTTATAACACTGTAGTTAAAACATATGTATTCCCTCTCTCTCGAATAAGAAAGTCAGGGGTGCTACACTCAAACCTGCTTTCTGCCCCCATCACAAATAATTTATTCCTCACTTACCATATTGTATCTGAACTATTTTTCTTGCCTGACTCTGCCAGCAGGATATATGTACCAAAATAAAATTAATAAAAGCTGTATTAATTGAACATTTTCTATAGTCCAGACAATATTTAAACTACTTTACATGGGTTATCTTATTAAATCATCACCACAGAGCTGTGAGGTTAGTTACTATTATTAACTCACCTTAGAGATGAAAAAACTGAGGCACAAAGAGGCCAAGTAACTTTCTTAGGATTATATGGATGAGAAACAGAAGAGCCAGAATGCCAGTGTGCTAGATTGACTCCAAAGCTTTTGCTCCTAGCCAGTGCTATTGAGCAAACAAAGGTGTTGGATGACCAGGCGGCACACATCCCAGCCTGGGACTGCACTGACGGGGAAACTCATGGAGACAGCAGTTGCAGTAAGAGTGTGATTCTCCCTTTGCCCATTGCATTTTGTGGTAGTACCCTGGCCAGAATCTACCAAGGCTGGAAGTAGATCCAGTTTAAAGATCCTGGCACTGGCTGTAGAGATTATAAGCTGCGTGATTGGAAAAAGCATCATCTGTCTGCCCTGAAAAAATGAAGGCAAAAAAATACAGAGCCTTGACCTTCATTTCTGTTTCTTCACTTGAGCCTTCCTGGTTGGGAGAACTTTTTATTTGTATCGTCAGGGATTGCAGATGTATGACCTGGCAGTTCACTGGCTCCAACCCAAATCTACTGCTTCAGGCCCCCTCCCCAGATTGACCAATTTAAGCACTGCACTCATAATAGCTGGTTTCCATGGAGCCTTTTAAGAAGTTAGCCCATGAGGGCTAATTCCTGAAAAAGTAAACGTTTCTCTCCGAAGTATTCTATGCCGCCTCTCTGGCTGATATGTTAGATATTCAGTTAAGGGATTTTTGTTATATTTTCTGTTAATTAAATTAAAATGTATTCTGTGCCTAAATAATTCATTCATTATGACTTTAGAATTGTAATTGCAGGTCTTGGAAAACAAAAGTAGGTGTAAGAAAGTGGAACTGAACTAATTTTATCTTTGTTCACAGAAGGTAGTTGATATGGCTTGGCCCTACGTCCCCACCCAAATCTCATGTCAAATTGTAATCCCCAATGCTGGAAGAGGGGCCTTGTGGGAGGTGATTAGATCATGGGGGCAGATTTCTTCCTTGCTGTTCTCGTGATAGTGAGTGAGTTCTCATGAGATCTGGTTGTTTAGAAGTGTGTAGCTCTTCCCCCTTCTGTCTCTCTTTCTCCTGCTCTGGCCAGGTGCCTGCTTCCTGTTCACCTTCCACCATGATTGTATGTTTCCTGAAGCTTCCCTAGCCATGCTTCCTGTACTGCCTGCAGAACCATGAGCCAATAAAATAAAACTTTTTTTCTTTATATATTACCCAGTCTCAGGTAGCTCTTTATAACAATGTGAAAATGGATTAATACAGGAGTCAGTAGCAATAGTCTAAAGAAATAGTTTTAAAATAGCCAAGAGTGTACTTTACTATTCCTATGGAAAGATAAGACAGCAAAATATTTGAAAGACTGGAGAACAGGACATTTTAGATACTAAAACATGTTATAAAGCGAAAATATTTAAATTACTATGGTACTAGCATGTAAATAGCCCAATGAAACACAATAGAAATTTCAGTAAAAGTTGAAATTGTGCCATTTAAATCAATAAGGGAAAAGATCAAATATGCAGTGAATCATGTTGAGATGACAGGGTATTATTTGAAACAGATAAATTTGGATCTATGTGTCACATCTTATACCAGGATAAATTTTAAATGAATCAAAGATACAAATATTATCTATACAATTTTGTATAAAATATTATGTATACAAAAGAAAGTGATACTAAAAATAATCATGAGCATTTTTATATAGTCTTAGACCTGAGAAAGCATATTTCAGTGTGTTGGCCACTTAAAAGTTATAGAGAAATAGATTAATAAATTCAGTTACATAAAATAAAATAAATTACATGGCAATAAAAGAAAAAAAAATTACTAACCAGAAAAAAAGACAAATGCTAAACTGGGAAAAGCATTTGTAACTCATAACACACAGAAAGACAAATTTTTCTAGTACAAAGAGATTCCACAAATCAGTAAGAAAATATCCAATAAAATGTTCAAGGATATGAATTGACTATTGATGGCAAGGGAAATACCAGTGACTCGCAAAAACATATTTATCCTTATTTATATAAGCAGAGTGTATTTAGAATAAGAGAGTGTAATATAAAACTGTGAGACACTATTTTTTACTTCTAAATGTTGATAAAATAAAAATTCTAATGGCAAACTGTATTGGTGAGGGTGTTAAGAAATAGACACTCTCACAAATTCCTGATAAGAGTATAAAAGTGCCCTATATAGAGGGCAATTTAGAAATATCTATCAAAATTACAAATATCCATACTATAATATTTAATCACTTAGTTTTAATTCTAAAAAGTTGTTTTGTCTATACTCATAATCAAGAAATGATGGATTTTAATAAGGTTATTCCTTCTGTCTTTTTTTTGTAATAGCAAAATATCATAGACCTATATAGGATAGTGGACTGATTCAATTAAAAACATGCACACAGTGGGAAACTGTTCATCCTTACGAAAAGATAGCAGACACTTTATATATTGATATAAACGTATGTTGAAGGTATATTGTTACATGACAAAGGCAATTTGTAAACATTTTCATAAAAAATATTAAAAAGTGTGTGTGTGTATGTGTGTGTGTTAATGCATAGAATGTCCATGGAAGGACTAGAAAGTCTGTGGCATTGGATATTGTTGGGGGTGAAATTGTCTGGCTTGGAAAAAGGAATGGAGAGGAGATTTCACATTGAGTGCCCTAACCTAAGTTTTTGACTTTGAACCATGTAAATGTATTACTTATTCAAAAAATTTAAAACAGAGAGTAAGGTTGGGGGTGGGAAGACCCATTTATTTGGCAGTTTTTTTCTTGAGCCCTCAGTGAATTTCCGTCCAGAACTCTTGTCTCCCCGGAACAATGTATACAAAGCTGTTAGAGCCTCTGTCACAGGGCATTGCAACCTTTATCCCCCAGAACAGTAGGTACATCTATGGCACATTATGTGCTGCCAAGTAGACAATATATGCACATCTAAAGCTTACTGAATGTGGGATGAAAATATGGGACCTTTCCACTTACCATAAAACTATTACTTTTATAAATCAATAAAAGTTTAAGAGTGTCAAATGAAATGTGTTTGATTTTAATGATCCTCCCATTAATTGCTGTCAGAGAAAAATCTCATTAAAATATATTTAGTGACTTGAAGTAAAAGTAAAACAGACATTAAGGGACAGATCAAAGATGGTTATTACAATGAAGCTGATTATAATATGCTTTTGGAAAAAATACAAGACTTAAATGGGTGAATGTAGCCGGGCACGGCGGCACACACATGTAATCCCAGCACTTTGGGAGGCTAAGGCAGGCAGATCACTTGAGGCCCGGAAGTTTGAGACCAGCCTGGCCAACATGGTGAAACCCTGTCTCTACTAAAAATACAAAAATTAGCCAGACGTGGTAGTATGTGCATGTGGTCCCAGCTACTCCGGAGGCTTGAGGCATTAGGATCACCTAAGCCCAGGAGGCGGAGGTTGCAGTTACCTGGGATCATGCCACTGCACTCCAGCCTGTAGTAGTCATGTTATGAAGAAAAGAGATGTTGTTAAGTCATTTTGAAACAAAAAGCTAGTAAAATCCTGGTCACCAACTGCAAACAAACTACATGGCCTACTGAAATTAAGACTTTCAAAACAGAAAAACAGATCAATTTCTTTTTCTTTTTTATGATGCTTTCATTTATTTATTTCAGCATTTCTCCTGTCTTTCTGTCTGTCTGTCTGTCTATCTATCTATCTATCTATCTATCTATCTATCTATCTATCTATCTATACATACATACTATTTATCTATCTATTTATCTATCTAGACTACTCTCTCTATATGTGGTGCTCCCCTTTTCTCTTTCAGGTGCATAATATTGTATTAATCATAGTATTTGATTCATGATTCTTATTATTATTGATCCATGACCTACTTTTGCTTTGCTATTACAATGTAATAAGCACCCATGAAGCCACCAAAACCAAAAGCTAGGACCATGACAATAACCTGCATCTACCCATGGTGGTTATGAGGCCCCCATATAACCATCACTTTGTATAGGAATCTCACATTTTCTTGTTAATTTTTAGATAATTTTATTAAATCTAGAGATACTCCATTCATCATCATAATCATTATTGCAGTTGTTAAACGTTACAAAAGAGTTTTAATGCTGTGTGGAATTTAACTTTTTCACTTCATATTATAATGATATGATTGATCTATGTAATTGCATGCTGCTCTAATTCATTCTTTAGAGTGGGATACAATATTCCATTATGTAGCTATACCATAGCGTGTTTGTCAGCTTTCCCATTGATGGGCATTTGTTTCCCCATTTCTTTTCATTGTGAATAGTATTCAACATACTTTCAGGTACAAAGACTCTGTGCAGTGTTGTACCAGGTATCTTCTTCAAAGTAGACTATGAACTCCACCCTGGAGCGAGTCATTTGGATTTTCCCAAGGAATATGTCTGTCCTGTCTTTTGATCTCTTCATTACCAAAAGGTGACTCATTCACATTTCTATCACGAGAGATCTCTGTGTGAGCAGCTTAGGTCATAGCAATGTTAGCATGCTGGAGCCTTGTTTTGGCTTACTGTTGCTGGGTGCCTGATTGAAGAACAAAGAGCTTGATATTCCCCGCAGTTAGGGTGAGTGATCTACATCTCCACCTCAGCCCAGGACTGTGTGTCTCCCAGCCCTCTGTCCAGATTGGTGAGGGAATAACTGCCAAGGGATTCTGCCCTGGCTTAAAGGACTTTGTCTTCTGGGTTACTTTTTATGTCTCTTCCATGAGGCGCTGGACACATCGTTCAGATTAGGAAATCATACAGGAGAAACGAAGATACCGCAAATATTTCCATACTTTTTTTTCTTTTTTTTTTTTTTTAAGTGGAGCCACTGGGTTTAAGAATCAAAGCCTTTTTTGACTTTTTCTTATTTGTGCTAAGCAAAAATGACATCACTTAGGGTTACCGTTTTCCTATCTTTCTCCATATAAAATAGACAATTACTTGTAATCCAATGAAAGTTCTTTGCACTAAGGAATCTGCTTTTTATGATACATTTATGTTGGGAGGCAGAGCATAGAGTAGTTTGGAAATTTAGTGCAGAGTCATTTGGAGAATATATATCAACAGTTAAAATGTGAAATGGAAATTTGAAGTATATATGCTTTTATAAACTATTTGGGAAGGGCATACTAGCAGTGATATTTTTAGTCTGATTTTTAGAAGCCCATGCTGTGTTTCATAAATGGAAACGTCACATCCAAGAAAGTGAGACCAGCGGGGAAGAGTGATAGGAACTCCAGAGGGGCAGCCAAACAGCAGCTCAGAGCTGACATACGAGGCAAAATGAGCACTTAGCACCTCCTAGCATATTTATCAGAAGTTGCCAATCTAAACTATTTGAGTTTCTTCCCACAAATGGCGTGCACTAGTAAAACACATGTGTTAAGCAACTTGGACAGCACCTTGACGGTGTTAGTTAACTAACAGCCATATTTCATGGGGAATTACTGAAGTGACGTCACTCCTTTAATTTCAACCTAAACAAAACTGTTTACATGGAAAGTTGCATGCATAGGTTTCTATAAAAGTCTAGACCAGAAAGAGTTCTTTATTTGAGGCACAGTGGGTAACATCATTGTCATAAACATGAAATCTGTGAAAAAATACATATTCCAAAAGAAAATTATTCAGCAAAAGGTAATCTTTGGCATGTGAAGACAGGCTTTGATCTGGATTGTGATCTGGAGCAAAGTTTGAAATATCCAGATGACATTTTAACTTTTTAAAAATCTATTTTATTTTCAAACATATTTATCCCAGTAACAAGAGGAAAATTATAGAGAAAAATGACAATTTAAGTTTTCAGTAAAATTAAGGAAATAAATTTGGGGAGGGAAGAGAACATTTGGGACCCAAATGTCCATCTGTGCTCCTGCTGCACCCCATATGAATTGTGTCATCTCAAGAAAATTAATGCCTGCATCTTTACAATAGGAATAATAATGGTCTTTTCTGCTTAAGGTTTTTATGCATAACATATAAAGCATTTGACACTTTGGGTCCTTGTTAAAGACAAGGATAGCAAAGAAATTAATTGTGGAAGAGTTCTGATGTGTAATTTCAGTGATGACTTTTAGTACAGTTTCTAATAAATAAATTCTTTTAAAAAGCTAACAAAAATCTTGAAAATAACACAGTTGACTTACTAGAGCATATATTTGCCTAGTCTGATGAAAGTATTAACAGGCAATGAAATGACCCCAAGTCTATCATGAGATGAGAAAATGTGGAACTAGGGTATCCATTAATTCCTGACTGGTCTCAGCCTGTTTTTATTCCCCTGCTCCAGTTCCACCTAAATTACAGCAATGGAGAGTTAAGACCCAGAGGGCTTGATTTATTTAACATAAGACAGTGGTCAGGAAATTGCACTTTGATGGATTCAGGAAAAATTTCCCAAATGCTGAGAACCAATGTTGTTTCCCTAGTGCCATTGTATGTTTAAATTCTTTTTTTAAAATTATGAAAAAAAAGCATGGTAAAGTAATTCACATGATTCTTGCAATTCAGTGTCTGCTAAAGATGACTGGAAAAATTGAGAGCCTCCAAGACATCTTTCTCAGAGACATAAAATTAGATGTGTGTTAATGATAGGAAAACCTATTCTACCCTGAATGAAAGGATCAGGTGAACATTTTGTTGAACTTTGCCATTAGAGGAAAAAGGTATCTGAAATATTGCCTCCCTTTCAGTTACTAAAAAATTGCTCGATAAATTTTTATTTTGCTTAACATATAATAGCCATTTCATAGTAGAATGAAAAAACAATAATTCAGGCCAAAATAAAATGCAAGTTCTATAATATTCATATGTATCTTTATATTCTCTTGACAAAATGAGGAAGAAAGAAGGAGAGGGACAGGGAAGAAGGGTAGGAGGAAGAGAGAGAGAGAGAGGGAACCTTTCTCCATCTCACAAATTACCTTGGCTCAGTGCCTGAAAGAAATTAGTCTACTCTAAAGAAATCCTGCTGTAGTCAAATAAAAATGTAACAAAACTTGAAATGTAATACCTAGATCCAAGACTGCAGTTCTCGCCAGTGCTGTCACTTACTGCCCATATATATATATATATATATATATATATATACACACTTTATTCACTGCCAGGCATTGAAAAATGTATGCAGGTCTGGAGACAAATGTTATGGGCTGCCATTTCTTTTAGATGCATCCTTGGGAGTATATTATGGCAGGATGTAAATAAACAAAGCTGTGATAATGCTTGAATTGTCTTTCTTTCTTAATCCCAGACTAAATCCCCTTATCTTAATGCAAACTTTTCTTATTTTAATATAGTGTTTCTCATCCATACTTTGCCTTTACTGGATTTTAGTACAAATAATTATATTTTAAGGATAATATGAAGGATTCTGAGAATTTTAGTTCTAGTCACCTGCTGTATTGGTCGCAAGGTTAGGTAAATTGTTTCTCCATGTGCCAGTAGTTGTTTTACCTGCTTCCAGAAGACAGCTATTTAAAGAGCCCTTATTTTAGAAGACACAAAATCAATATAAATAAACAAATTTAGTTATAGTATGAGAAGGTTTCTTTTAATGTCATACAGATACTGAGTGAGTTGCTATGTTTTTATGTAAGCTTTGATTTTCCTAGAGGGCTGTGGTTTCATATTTCACATATTACTGTGTATTTTCTAGTTTAATTATAAAACTATCTGAGGTATATTTTTGTCCCAGTCTAGCAGCAGCTAACATAGGACAAATGAAGGGTTGGGTTGCAGGTTTGTGCCTTTTGGTGAACGGCAGAGGAAAATTTGGGCATTATTAACCAACAGCTGTATGCTATCAAATTAAATTTTGCATAGCTTGATTTAACTAGCCATATAGCTGATGCTAATCTGAAGCGTAAACATATTCTTCAGCTATAGGTTTCATCTTCCAAATTCTCAGAAATGCTACCAGGACTATGTGACTATAAATCAAAGCTTTGCTTTTCCCATTAGTAATAGTGCATTATAATAATCTATTATGTTTTATTACATAGAAGAAAATTGCTTTTTGTATTGTTCTTACCTGTTTTAAGGATTATAGTAAAAACCTCTTATGTTGCAAAATCAATATTAAGTATTTGAATGTTATAACAAGTTTGTAAAAGAGAGGATCGTAAAAATTATTTATCTTTTAGTACTGCAGTCTAACTTCAAACTTGTATGTTGACCAATATTTTCCAATCCTCTGATAGAGGAAGTAGGCCTTCTTTTAGAAAGTGGTTTCCCAAATAAGTTCCTGACCTGCCATTGTTGTGTAAACCTCACCCAAATGCTCTGATTTCCAGTTTCATTTCTTTAAATTGGAGCAAACCCCTAACATCTTTTTTTTAAGGCATCTGATATGGTTTGGCTGTGTCTCCACCCAAATCTCATCATGAATTTTAATCCCCATAATCTCCACATGTTGAAGGAAGGACTTGGTGGGAGGTGATTGGATCAGGGGGTGGTTTCCCCACTGCTGTTCTCATGATAGTGAGTGAGTTCTCATGAGATCTGGTGATTTTATAAGGCAGTTTTCCCTGCTCTTGCTCAGTCTCAGGCTTACTCTCCTGCTGCCGTGTAAAATGTGCCTCTTCTTCTGCCATGATTGTAAGTTTCCTGAGGTCTCGGTAGCCATACAGAACTACAAGTAAATTAAACCTCTTTTCTTTATCAGTTACCCAGTCTCAGGGAGCTCTTTATAGCAGTGTGAAAACAGACTAATACAACACCCTAAATGCAGGTCAAAATAAAATACTAGTTTTATTAAAACTTTTTTTTATCACTTATGACTATTAAAATAAAATTTATTTGTCCACAGACCACCTAAAGTCATCGAGCCAGTCACTAAATGCAGTCTTTCTAGATCCGAACACTAAATGCAGTTCTTCTAGATCAGGGCTTGGCAAACTTTTCTGTGAAGAGCCAGATAGTAAATATTGTAGGCTTTGCAGGTCATACTGTCTTTGTCACAAATAGACAGCTCTGCCAGTGTAGTGCAAAATCCGCCATAGACAGTAAAAACGAATGAGTGAGGCTGTGTTCCAGTAAAACTTTACTTACAAAAACAGGCTGTGGGCTGTAGTTTGCCAACTCCTGTTCTTGATTTCACTATTCTTACTCTGTATTTCAAATGGTGTCAATTTTACTTAATTTTACCACTATTTTCTTAGTGACTGGCTAGTTGATTTTAAGTGGCCCACGGACAAATAGGTTTTATTTTAATATTAATAAGCTATAAGAAAAAAATTTAAGAAAAAATACAACCAGTGCATCAAAACTATGTGTTTATGAATGTTATTCCTGAAAATATTATTGATTATCCCAAAGTTCATATTAAATTTTTAAAATAAGTATACATGTAGAAATAGAGAGATGTAATTTAAATGATTCAGGGTATTTCAATAGGTATGGAGGTGAAGTTTTAAATGATTGGAGTTTGGGACATGTTATTGTAAGATTTATCATTATCATCATTATTATTACAGTAGTCCCCTTATCTGCAGTTTCACTTTCTACAGTTTCAGGTACCTGCTGTCCACTACAGTCCAAAAATCTTAATGGTGAATTCCAGAAATAATCCATATGTTTTAATGCGTGCCATTCTCAGTAAGGTAATAACATCTTGTGCTGGAGATGTGCCTCATCCATCTGTCCAGCATATCCATGCTGCAGACACTCCTTGCCTAGGAGTCACTCAGTAGCTGCCTCAGTTATCAGATTCACTGTCACAGTATCTTAGCGCATGTATTCAAGTGACCCTTATTTTACTTAATAATGCCCCAAAGTGCTAGAGTAGTGATGGTAATGATTCAGATATACCAAAGAGAGACTGTAAAGTGCCCCCTTTTAAATGAAAAGATGAAAGCTCTTGACTTAATAAGGCAAAAAAGTCATATGCTAAAGTTACTAAGCTCTACAGTAAGAATAGATTTTTTTATCTGTGTAATTGCGAAGAGGGAAGAAGAAATTTGTGCTGGTTTTGCTGTTGTACCTCAAACTGCAAAAGTTATGGCGACAGTACATGTTAAGCACTTAGTTAAAAATGGAAAAAGCACGAAATTTGTGGGTAGAAGACGTGAACAAAAACGTGTTCCTGATTGACAGCAATCAGGTTCAGTACCATGCATGGTTTCAGGCATCCATTGAGGGTCATGGAACATATTTCCCAGAGAAGGAGAGACTGCTGTATTAGAAAGCGATTTTAATTCTTAAAGTAAGTGTTGTCAAACAGGAACTCAGGATCTTATTATTTTTGCCAGAAAGTTCCAAAGGGAAAGGAATGGCCCACTAAGATAACAATAAATTTGGCTCTACTGTTTTTCTTTGTAGATCTACCTTACTTATTCCCAACTATCACCTCCTATTTTTTCTACTCTTCGTTATATTACTTCTCTTTCTAATCTTCTCTACTATTGTCTAGACTGCTATTAAAACCTGGGCATTCCTGAAATTAGAAGACATGAAATTCTCTCAACATTATCCAAATCATTTCAGTTGTTCTATGTTTATGAGTTTGTCTACCTGTACACTACATGGGATATGAGTCAGTGTGGCACTTGAAAAGAAGTTCATGCTATTGCAATCAGTATTTTGTGTTATTTATTTATTTATTTATTTATTTATTTATTTATTTATTTATTTTTGAGACAGGGTTTCACTCTGTCGCCCAGACTGGAGTGCAGTGGTGCTGGTGTGATCTCGGCTCACTGCAGCCTCCGCCTCCCAGGCTCAAGGGATTCTCCTGCCTCAGCCTCCCGAGTAGCTGGGATTATAGGCCTGTGCCACCACACCTGGCTGATTTTTGTATTTTTAGTAGAGACAGGGTTTCACCATGTTGGTCAGGCTGGTCTTGAACTCCTGACCTCAAATGATCCACTCGCCTCAGCCTCCCAAAGTACTGAGATTACAAGCGTAAGCCACCTCACTGGCCTGTATTTTATTTTTTCAATATGATTTTGCAAGAGAAAACATATAAGCAACTACTGCTATAGGCTTAGACATAAATAGGTTCTGTTTTAGACACGAATGTGAACAAGAAAGAAAGTGCTTTAAACATAATGCTATGTTTGAAATATGAATGTAAAACATAAGGAAGTAAGCCAAATATAACAAAAAAGTAAAGACTTAAATTTTAAATAGAACAATAAATGTACAATAATACAACATAAGAGAATTCTTTTATGTTCAAAATCCAGAAATTATAAAAGAAAATAAATGACATATTCAACTACATAAAAGTTTAAAAAAAATGAAAAATGAAAAAACTACTGGCAAAGACATCAAAAAGAATGTCAAAAGAAAAATGCCAAAGAAAAAATATTTGCAAGTAATATTTAAGGCAAATGACTAAATTAAAGGCAAAGCCCTAGAAATAGGTAAAGAAAATGGCTAACACCTAACAGAAAAATAACTAAAATATTAGAAGGTAACTCACAGGAAAGGAAATGCAAGAATAAAAAAAGTGCTTTAAATGATATGTGAAAAAAGTCTCAGAGGTTGCTTTCTTGTTTTGTTGAATTCTAAGTACAACAGATTTGTAGTGCTTGAAGATGTTTTGTAACAGAAAACTTGAAATTTGCAAAAGAAAAAAGTTCTCATTTAGCTTTAGTGAAACCATACTGTAAAAATTTAATTGTAGGCTTAGAAATTAATTCAACTTAATAAACTCGTAGCATATCATCTTTCACAAATTAAATTATCATAATTTTTCTCCCACATGGAATGTTTTTCTTAATTTACTATGATAGAAGAAATATTTCTCATAATTAACAAGTAAAGCAAAACAGGAAGTATAGTATCCTGGCATTAATGTAAAATTTGATTATACATTTTAAAATATTTCTTCTATGTCTTCATTTTCCTTGTTTGAAGGTGGAAGATTGTTATTTTGATGTTTTTTTCCACAAAGTATAATGTTACGTTGTGTATAGATCCTTTATGCCAGTATATATAAACACTATTTGCAATGGCTAGTTAATTACATATTAATATTTCTACCTGGAATTTAAAAATGGTGTGGATTTCATGAATAAAATATATTCTCAAATCTGTTCCTCTTTAAGAAGATAATTAAAATTTCATTTCCGATTTTTTTAGGAATACTGCTATACTGTAAACCATTGTCTTCAGTATTTGTATAGTGGGTGGGCAGTAGGAGTGGGAGGAGGGAGAACAGAAGTGACGAAAGGAAGGGGAAGACTGTTTTGCCTTTAGTGGCCCATCGCTCACCCCCAAGCTGTGTAAAAAGAGAATCCTTAAGGAGATTGAAGAGAACGGTATTGGGGATCTTTTTTGAAAAGTGTCATCCATGAACTAGAGTGTGGGAGAGGGAGAAGGTAAGGAGTACAGCCTGACTCACACCTGGAAAGGCTGTTCTGCGTTTCCAGAGTTTGAAAGGCAGAGGACATGTGAGTTTCCCATCTGCCAGGTGAGGGCCTCACAGAAAACAGATGAGTTGAATTGTCCTGAGAGGGGCTCTGTCCATGCAACTACCTGGAGGGTGGCTGATCCCAGCATGAGGATAAGCTGTCAGGAACCTGGGGCCAATGAGAGTGGCCAGGTAGAGGAGTTATTATCCCTAGAATCATCCGTGAGAGGTGAGAGACCTTAGGATTAGGAGGATTCTCAAAACACACTAGGCTTTGGACCTGCCACACCCAGATGACACTGATACCAGAATCACTCATACAAAAATATATTTACGGAGTTCCGTCACTGTTCTAGACCCTGGGAATAGAGTAATGAACAAAACAGATCAAAATCTTTGCTTTCATAAAGTCTACATTATAGAGGCAAGAGACAGTAAACAACTAAAGTCTGTGCTATGTCAGAAAGAAAATAAAACAGGATGAGAGCCTATAAAATGCTAATGTGGTGTGGAATTTTAAACAGGCAACCAGGGAAAGTCACTGACATGGCCTTATTTCAGCAAAGATCTGAAGGAAGTAAAGTGATAAGCCAGGGCTGAATTCCTGATGGGGGCCAGCAAGTGCAGTGCCCCTGAGGTAGAGGCACCCCTGAGGTATCTAGGGGACGACATTAGGAGTCCAGTGTGACTGGAGCTGAGCACTAAGGAGGAGATTAATTAGTAAGAGATGGGTTTAGAGATGTAGTCCAGGGCCAAATGGGGAGGGGCCTTGCCAGCCACGGTGCATACTTTGGACTTTAGTTTGAATTCTCAAGGATGGGAGCTGTTAGAGCTTTTCAGTTAAGAAGTATAATATTCTGACCTTCATTTTGGAAGGTTTACTCCAGCTGCTGGGTAGTAACAAGATAATAAGGGAACAAGTGGGGAAGCATGGAGACCACTTGGGAGGCTCCTGCAATAATCTAAGTGAGACTTGATGGTAGCTTGGACCAGGGGTTTTTGTGGTAAAAGTGATGAGAAGTGGTTGAATTCCAGATGTATTATGAAGGCTGAGCCAGAAGAATTTGTTGACAGATCAGTTGTGGGGTAGGAAAGGAAAAGAATTGAGTAATTTCAAAGTTTGTAGAACTGAAGGTTGAAATTGCCATTAACTGAGATGGAGAACATCTGTGGGGAGAACATAGCGAGGAGAAAAGTTATCAGGAATGTTTACCGAACCGAACTTGGGTTCACCTGCCCAATGCAGGTAAGCCAAACACTGGCATCGAGATTGCAGCAAAAGAAAATGAGGCATTTATTGCAGGGTGCCCAGCAGGGAAAATCAGGCAGCTCGTGCTTCAGACCCGGACTCTCCAATGGCTTATAGGTAAGGATTTCTAAAGGCAGGAAAGCAGAAGTTACAGGCAAAGTCCTAAGTCAATACATGGAGCTTATACATTGGTTTGACTGAAAGAGGCTGGGTATCTTGAACCAGGGGCTTACAGACCATAGGTAGAGCCAAATATTTTCCAATTTGCAATTGATTAATAAAGAGCAGCTTTATTTAAAATTGAAATCAGCAGAAAAGAATGTTAGCTCTGGCACGTGGGCATGGCTTTCTCCAGGTGCCTCAAGAAGAACTTTAGAAGAAAGAATGGCGGTCAGAGTTCAGTCCTCAGTTCCCCTTGGTCTGAGGTCTATGTGCCAGCAGATCCTTTTGGTGGGGGTCAGGGTTTCTGAAAAACAACTCAGGGATATAATGGTAAGGTGCTATATTTAGTTTCTATAGAGAACAAAAATCTCATTATTCTAACTTCCTTGGTTATTGTTTTAAGCTACTATTACCTTCTTGCTTATTAAGTTGCTCATTTACTTCTCAGGACTAGCTATGTGCCTGGACTTTCTCTCGAAGGAACTCAAGATTATCTTTTATTTCCATGCTTGGTGGGGCAGTGGCAGGGGGGTGGGCAGAAGCTCAGGCCCCTACGAGGGATCCCACCTCCATCTCAGGAGCTTAGTTTTAGAGGGTTAATTTGAGACATCTGTTAGACAGCTAGATAGATATTTCTAATTGCATATATGAGTCAAGTTCAAGGGCAAGGTCAAGGTTGGCAATATAAATTTGGAAGTCTTCAACTTAGAGTTGGTCTTTAAAGCCATGAGACTGGATAAAGTCAGTCAGGGGAGGCATTTTGCTAGAGAAGTCCAAGTGCTGAGCCCTAGAACATTTCAACATTTAGAGGTGCAGGAGATGAGAAAGCACCAACAAAGGAGACTGGGAAGGAAAAGTCAGGGAGATTATAGCTCCATAATCAAGAAAGATCTTCGTTCCTAGTACCTGTCCTCTCACGTCCTTACTGCAACCTTGAAAGTGCTCATAGTAGTTGCCAGCTAGAAAGAAAGGACTGGAAAGATAGAAGAAAGAAGACACCATGCCCCTTCATTACTGAGGGCTTCTGAGCCTGGGGGATGCTCACCCTAGGAAGAAGGGAAGCTTTAACTGAATGAAAGATTAGACTGTTAGATTTGTTACATTTTATTTATCTGAAGGGGATTGGAAAACCTGTGTGAACTGCATGAGATTTCCTAGGGTCAAGAAAGAACTGGTCAAGAGAGAATATGCAAAACAGCAGTGGGAGAAATAGTTGCTTTCTGCTTGCACTCTAGCAGTTTCAAATACCCATTTACCATATATTCTCTCAGTTGACATGAAACTATTCAAAACACTTTCAGCTTCATGACTTATCGTCCTAAGTCTACAGGCAAAAGTTTAACTTTTGCATAAATCATCAAACAGCAGGTGCTCTGAGTAACTTAAGGAAAAGGGAATTTCAAATATGAAGGTTTTCGAAGTCTCGGTCAAGATCTCTGAAGTGTGTGGGCGCACTTGAGAATTGTCCAGATGTGTAATGTGAATGTGTCTGTGCTGTATTAGCATAGTTAGAGTGTGGTCCTAATGAGGTTCAGCCACAGAATTGGTAGTCTCCCCATTCAGCTATTTTGAATTTGTCGTTTTGCATAGAGAATGCCAGTGAATGGCTTGTTGGGTTTATGCAATTCCATCACCCCACTGAGAACATCAAAGTGTGTGGTTTACAGGCAAAGCATTAGGAGTGACTTCTCCCTACTCACACCTTCACACGTACAGGACCTACTTTATGCATATACACAGCTAGGTCTATGTAGTTCAATGTATATGCAGCTACTTTTTAAATTTAAATAGGGTACATATGAATGTAAACTGTCAAGAGAATAAGAAAATCAACCAATAATGAGAAAATTCAACTCTATGAATTTGAAGATTAACATTCTTCATAAAAATTGCACATGTATGTGTCTCAGTGAATGAGGGTACCATTTTCATTGAGTTTCTTTCTTTTTATGATATTAAGTGTGAAAAACACAGAGGCTAATGCTCATTTATATGATAATTCTATAGTGGAATGTAGGGTGGATTTCTTTTTCATTTGGTGCCATTTATTTAGAAGATACAAAATAAATGATTTTTAGATGCATCCTCAGAGTACTGATAAAAGATCAATACTTCTTAAATTAATGTTCTTACTGCATTATGCAAAAATTTGTTTTAAAATCCTCAGGATTTTATGATCACACCTTCATGTACTGATGCTTAATGGGAAAATATTAAATTTTCCCTATTAAATACTACATTCCAAATTCTAAATTCTTGCAGCTTTGCCAAGTTCAAATAAGTATAGTAAATTTAACTTTGGAATTTCCTGACTTTTGCATTGCTGAAATTTTAGATTTTGCCCAACATTAAGGGAGTCTTTCAATTTAAATTCCCTTTATTTAAAATGTTTAGGGCAATTGTGAAAAGTGAGGAAATTGGATGAAAGAAATTTTCTGGAGGACATGGTTTTCACAGCTTGTCACTTAATTGTTAAAAAATATTCCCCTGTAAAGCTTAGTGTCATTATGTTAAGTCTTCAGTATTTTAAAACATAAATAACTTGATCTCACTTGTCTTAAAGGTCTATGTTTTAAGTTTTAAGTTTGTCCTAATGTGTCTTAAATTTGGACTAACAAAAGGTGACAAAATACTTCCACTTGAGTAAATTACCTCCCCCCGAAAAAGACAGAGGGACAGAGAGAGAAAAAAAAAAAAAGGAAAAGGAAAAGAGAGAAAGAAAAACTACTGCTGGCAAACAGCTATGCCTTCCAAGAAATATTTGCTTTGGAATGCAGACCAAATATTCAAACTCATATTGTTTGACTATGTTATCAGTAACTTTTATGTATTTTGAAACAGAGATAGCTTTCAGACTGTTATAATGTTAAAAAGCACTGTGATGGAGCTGCCTCTTGCCACCATTATTACTTCATGCCTGAGTTACTGCAAATTAGTGTTTAGAAAGATGCAGTATTGATTTCAGGCCAAAAGGGAACCTTTCATTACTTTGCTGCAGTAGTAGCCTTTCAAAAATGCAATTATTCAGCCTAAGTGAACAAAAAGCTCTTAATTAAAAAGTTCCCTTAGTTCCTATTAATGATAACAAAGACTATTTTCAATGTATTTCCTTAGACTAATAACAATAGAAAAGAGGGACAAGAAAGAATATATATTGTACTATAGTAAAATCCTGAAATAATGCAAAAATAATGATATAATGTGACAGACCACAGGCTTTCATCCTCTGCATAACCCTTGTTGTTTTCCATCATTCTAAAAAATATCCTTCCCTTTCTATCTTCTCCTTGGGTAACTGCCCTCGCTTTTCCTTCTTGTTCACATCAAACTTTGGAATTATCCCTAATCATTCTCTGTTTTCTTTCTTCTGATTAACTCCCGAACACCTTCTAATCTAGGGATTATTCTCACCAGTCAAGTGAAACTAATTTCATCGATGTCACCAGATGGACCTTTTGCATTTTTTATCTTACTGAAACATCCCTGCGGAACAATCATCTATAAGCAGTTGGCTCCCAAAACTACAATACAGCTCTCTCTTCTGAGTTCCCTACCTTTGTCTGGAGCTGCCTGCCAGGCACGTATACTTTAAACATCCCACAATTATCTCAAACTCAACATACACAGACCGAGTCTTCAGCTCCACTACACCCACCCCACGTATACCTTATCATCATTTCTCACGTTCATCATGACAGTGATTGGCACAATTATTCATTCTCTTTCCCAAGTTATAAACCTGGGTACAAATCACCCATTTTATCATCAAGACATTTAGGTGGAGTCTAAATATATTTCCTAAATATATTTTGAATTCATCCACTTTCCTGCCTTTGTCACTAACGTCTCTCTTCTAGATTTCTGAAACAGCTTTCCTTCAGGACTCCTATCTCCTACATGTTCCACTGCAATCCTTTCTCCACACTGCAGCACAACTACCTTTCTAGATCACAAGTTTGGTCATGTCACTTTCCTATGTGGATCTCCCATTCTCAGGATAAAGTTCCTGCCTGATCATTCTGTTTACCTCTCCAGCCTAACTTCTTTTCACACATTCTGATTCAGACACAGGTAGATTTATTTAGTTCCTTCAATAAATTATGCTCTCTCTTGCTTTGTGATATGGTTTGGCTGTGTCCCCACCCAAATCTCACCCTGAGTTGCAATAATCCCCATTTATTGTGGGAGGGACCTGGTGGGAGGTAATTGAATCATGGTGGTGGGTTTTCTCAAGCTGTTCTTCTGATAGTCAAGTCTTATGAGATCTGATGGTTTGATAAAGGGGAGTTCCCTTACACATGTTCTCTTGCCTGCTACCATGTAAGATGTGACTTTGCTCCTCCTTTGTCTTCTGCCGTAATTGGGAGGCCTCCCCAGCCATGTGGAACTGTGAGTTCACTAAACCTCTTTTCTTTATAAATTACCCAGTCTCAGGTATGTCTTTATTAGCAGTGTGAGAACGGACTAATACACCTGGCCTTTGTGAATGCTCTTCCTTCTACCTGGAGAAGAATATTCCATTTGATTTTCATGGCCTGTTTATCTGTTTCAATTTAACTGTCACTTTCCCAGGGAAGTCTTTCCTGGCCCCTTTCTCTTCTGCATTCTCTCACTACCTTTCACTATTTCTGCTGTAGAATTTATCTCACCATATTGTCATCAGGTATAATCTCAGTCTCTTGGCCACCACTGACGGCTTCTGGAGAAGGAGTCCAACTAGTTTCAGCTTAGCTCACTGTTTTTCAATACTATTTGTGGTCTAAAGAAATATTTATCTTTTATTTTGAAACCAGCTGCATCTTTTTTTGTTTTTCTCTTTTTATATGTCATCTGTCAGTGCTATGTGTTTGGAAAAAAAGGATAGTACCAAAGCTTTTTGACTGGAAGTCAAAATCTGCATGTTTAATAAGCTGTCCATGTGATTCTTACACACAGTAAAGTTTTGTAACATCTGTACTCTGTTTTACTCTCTTGAGAAGAGTAAAAGATATCTGACATGAACTTACTCAACTTCAGTTCTATTACTACATATTCATTCTCCATTTCCCCTGTCTTTGATGAAGTGTCTTCACATTTTTCCAGAGCAAAATGTTCCAGCTCTGCACATTAATTCCATCACCTTTCTGTACTCCTTTTAACTCTTGCCATTAATTAGTTCATTTTCTAGTTGGGATCTCTTCTCTTTCCTGACTCTTCCTCTTTACCTGCAAAGCCATCCTAAAACACATTAACCATAAAACCACTCTTTCAACTCTTTAGTCACTTCTCACTATACTATTTCTTGCTGCCTTTCTTCACTGTAAATTTTCCCAAAAGCTTAGTGTATACCAGTTATCTCAAGTTTCTACTTATTTCTTATCCTTTTGTAAAATTGCTTGTGTTCCCTAGAATCCCTCATTGCATTTGGTGTTCTTGCTTATTCTGTTTCTTCTTAATTGTTTTTCCTCAACATACTAGTTTCTTTTTGCTGTCATAACATGTTGCCACAAACTTTGTGGCTTAAAACAACAGATTTATTGTCTTACAGTTCTAGAGATCAGAAGTCAGAATGGTCTAACCAAGCCCAAATCAAGGTGTTGGCAGGATTACATTCCTTTTGAAGTGTCTAGGGTACAGTCCATTTTTTTGCCTTTTCAAGTTTCGAGAGGCTACCCTCGTTCCTTGGCTTGTGGCCTCTTCCATCTTTAAAGCCAGTAGTGTAGCATCTTCAAATCTGTCTCTCAATCTGACACTCTATTTCCTTGTTCTACTGATAAGGATTCTTGTAATTACATTGGACAGAGGACCAGATAATCTAGGATTATCTCTGCATCTCAAGATCAGCTGATTAACAACCATAATTCTCTTTGTCGTGCAAGCTCACATACTGATAGGTTCTAAATATGATATCATTGGGTGGCTATTATTCTGCCTCCTGCTATTGACTTTCTTAAAACGTAATAGCTTTTCAGTAATACTGGTGACTCTGTTTACCTTTTCTTTATCTTCACTTGCTTCCCTTCTTTCAAATGAATATATCCCCTTAGGACTTACCTTTAACGTTTTTCTTCTCGTGTGATCTCTTCATTTTATATTATTCATCTCAACTGATTTTATCCACATTGATGGTTTCAACTGTCTATACCCATAGATTCCAATCACCTTGCAAAGACTTACTCTAGACAGTCAACAATTTTTAGATATTAGTAACTCAAATTGTTAATCATGAAGCCATTAATTTTCCCAGAATATATTTTTTACTTTACTGATTTTATTAATATTAGCTCAATAATGAAACTTATTGCCATTTCCCCTTATTCTTGCTTTTACTTTCAGGATATTTTTTCATGTATTCTTTTCTCTCCCAGTCCCACCTTCATTAGCTGGAACTGAGACTGTGCCATCATCTCTGCTGTCCCTGACCCATTTCTACGTCAGCCCTGATCATCTTTATCGACATAGGTAGAAATCTTTGCCTAAAGTGAAGTTCTGATCACTCTCCTTGCCTGCTTAATGATTTGGTCACTCCTCATTGCCTACAGTGCAAGGACAGATTACTGAAAATGGCATTCTAGGCCTGTCACTTAACTTTCTAGTTTTATTGTTTTCTAAGTAAATGCCCTCAGGTCATGGAAAGCTGCCCATTTCTCATCCATGCCTTATAATTGGCTACCTCCATACTTTAGCTAGAGTATTTTCATTGTCTGGAAGAACTCCTCCCTCCTGTCTTCCTTGCATGCCAAAGTTCCACCCCATTCTTTAGGGGCCTTTATCAATCAATAACTATATCTGCCAAGAACTTTTGCCGATTCTCATGGTTGAATTGAGGTAACATGTTGTTAATCTTCTTTGATGGAATAAATTATATTGTGCCTTGTTTCACATTTAGGTATTTGGTATGTGGCAAATCAAAGGCCTTTTTAATTAGCAATTACTTAATGAGTTCATGAATGAATAGTATATGCCCAATCAGTATCTGTTTATTTGATTTCTTAAGAGAAGTTGAGAGTTTTAAAGAATGAATAGCATAATTTTCATTAACTATTGTTTCTTTTTATTTCAAACAAAATATTTATTTAAGAGATATACCCATTTATGGCCATTTAGTTGTCATCGGTAAGCTAAATTTTCAATGTGTTTAAATTTCAGTCTGATTCAACCCTTTTCTATAAAAAATACCTTTGATCAATGTATATACTATAGCTAAAGCTAACATTTGTTTTTTGAAGCTGAAGGTAAAACAATGATAATTCAGAAATTTCATAACTATCCTTGCCAGCTTTGATGTATACTTTTATGCTGTATGGGAAAAAAATCAAAAGAAGATCCTGGGGATTACATTTGCCCCCCTTCCCAAAAACAAATTATCTATTAGAGGAAAAAGTTTTTATGTTAAGTGGCTGGTCTGGAAAAGTTAGTATGCCAGATTTCTTGTTTATAATAAGAATGTAATAAGTAAGATCTCTTCCAATGGCTAATGGTTCATATTAAATTAGAAAACCTGAATTCAGTTAAAAAGAACATGGAATGGGAGGACAAGGCTTTCAGAATGGTGATATAAGCACCTTGGTAGACTCTCTCCCAAGTAAAATAAGAATTTAACTCATGAAATACATTTTTTAAAAAATACCAACAATATAAAGTCTCTGAAAATTGAAGAAAAAAATCCAGCCCCATATAGAAAAGACTATACATCATTGTCAATTATCAAATTAACCCCATATAAAAAGAAGTATACATCAGCCGGGTGCGGTGGCTCACGCCTGTAATCCCAGCACTTTGGGAGGCCAAGGTGGGCAGATCACCTGAGGTTGGGAGTTTGAGACCAGCCTGACCAACATGGAGAAACCTCATCTCTACTAAAAATACAAAATTAGCCAGGCATGGTGGCGCATGCCTGTAATCCAAGCTAGTACTTGGGAGGCTGAAGCAGGAGAATCACTTGAACCTGGGAAGCGGAGGTTTTGGTGAGCCGAGATCATGCCATTGCACTCCAGCCCGGGCAACAAGAGCAAAACTCTTGTCTCAAAACAAAAAAAATTATACATCAGTATCAGTTGAGATTTATCTCAGGAATGCCAGATTGGTTCATCATCTGAAAATTAATTGATGTAATATATTATTTAAATAAAAGACAAAAGCCGTGATCACCTCAATATATGCAAAAAACCAAAAGCATTTGAAAAAAAGCCAATACCCTTGTATTCTAAAAATAATCAGAAAATTAAGAATAGAAAGAAAAAAATAAGAATAGAAAGGAACGTACTCAACTTTATAGAGGGCATCTATGAAAAACTACAACTAACATCATACTTAATGGTGAAAGAATTAATGCTTTCCCTAAGATTGGGCACAAGACTGATGTCTACTCTCACCATTTCTCTTCAACATTGTACTACAGGTTCTAGCCAAGGCAATTATGCAATTAGGTAAATAAAAGTTACCCGGACTGGAAAAAAAGAAGTAAAACTATCTCTATTTGTAGATGACACGTGTTTAGTGGACAAGGTAACAACTGAAGTGAATAAGGAATACACTAAAGTGGCTATGGTGTACTCTAAAAACTATTAGAACCAATGAATGATTTAAGCAAAGTTGCAATTGTACAAGATCAATGTACAAAAATGAATTTTATTTTTATACAAAGAATAAATGGCTTAGGAATAAATTTAGCAGAGTAGGTGATAGATTTGTACACTGAAAACTGTAAAGCCTTGTTAAATTAAGAATGATCTAAATAAACAAATATACACCATGCTTACAGATTGAAAAACTTAATATTGTTAAGATGGCAGTACTCTCCAAGTCGATCTGTAAATGCAACACAATCCCTGTCAAAAATGAAGCTTGCTTTTTTGCAGAAATTGAAGAACTAATCTTAAAGTTCATATGGATGCAAAATACACATTTTTCGTAGCAGCACATAGAATATTCTCCAGGATAGAGACCATATGTTAGGTCACAGAACAAGTCTCAACAAATTTTTTAAAAATCAAAATCATACCACATATCTTCTCAGATCACAATAGAATAAAACAAGAAATCAATAAGAAGAGAAACATTGAAAAATGTACAAATAAATGGAAATTCAACAACATGCTCCTAAATGACCATTGAAGAATGAAATCAATGGGTCAATGAAGAAAGGAATAAGGACATTTTAAAAATGTCTTGAAACAAATGACAATGGAAACGCAACATACCAAAACCTATGTTATACAACAAAAGTAATGCTAAGAGGAAAGTTTGTAGCAATAAATACCTGGGTCAGAAAAAGTACAAAGATTTTAAGTAAAACAATTAATGATGCACCTCAAGGAACTAGAAAAGCAAGAACAAACCAAACCCAAAATTAGTGGAAGGAAAGAAATAAAGATCAGAGCAAAACTAAGCAAAATAGAGACTGAAAAAACAATACAAAGGATCAACAAAATGAAAAGTTGGTTTTTCTGAAAAGATAAACATGATTGATAAACCACTAGTTAGAGTAATCAATAAGAAGGAGAGATGACTAACAAAATTAGTTGAGATGACTAACTAATCAAAATTAGAAATGAAAAGGGAGACATAACAACTGATACCACAGAATGCAAAAGATTATTAAAGACTATTATAATCAGGTATAACTAAAAAACTGGAAAGTCTAGAAGAAATAGATAAATCTGTGGACACATACAGCCTACCAAGATTGAATCAGGAAGAAATTGAAAACCAGAACAAGCCAATATAAGCAATAAGACTTAATCAGTAATAAAACATCTCCCAACAAAGAAAAGCCCAGGATTGGATGTATTCACTGCCAAATTCTACCAAAATTATAAAGAAGAACTAACTCCAATTCTCCTCAAACTATTCCCAAAAATTGAAAAGGAAAGTACTGTCCTTAATGCATTCTACAAAACCAGACAAGGACAAAACAACAAAAAAGAACTACAGGCCAATATTCCTGATGAATATAGACGTAAAAATCCCCAACAAAATAGTAGCAAACTGAATCCAACAGCACATCAGAAAGATAACACACCACAATCAAATGAGATTTATCCCAGAGATACAAGGATAGTTCAACATATGCAAATCCAGAAGCATTATACATCACATCAGCAGAATGAAGGATGAAAACCATATGATCATCTCAATAGATGCAGGAAAAGCATTTGATAAAATCCATCATCCCTTCATGAAAAATCCCTCCACAAACTATGCATAGAAGGAACATACCTCGACATTAAAAATGCCATGTATGACACACTCACAGCTGACACCATACTGAATGGGGAAAAGCTGAAAGCCTTTCCTCGAAGAACTGGAATAAGACGATGCCTACATTCACCACTTATATTGAACAGACTACAGAAGTCCTAGCCAGAGCAATCAGACAAGAGAGAAAGAAATAAAAGGCATACAAATTAGAAAAGAGGAAATCAAATTGTCTCTCTTTGTAGATGACATGATCTTATATTTAGAAATCCTAAAAATTGCACCAAAACCTCTTAGATCTGATAAATAAATTCAGTAAATTTTCAGGATAAAAAAATCAGTGCACAAAATCAGTAGCATTTCTATATACCAATAATGAAGTAGCTAAAAAAAGAACTCAAAAGGCAATTCTATTTACCATCGCTGCAAAAACAATAATAAAATACTTAAGAATAAATTTAACTAAGGAAGTGAATTCTTCCATAAGGAAAACTGCAAAACACTTACGAAAGAAATTGAAGGGGACACAAACAAATGGAAAGACATTCCATGCTTATAGATCAGAAGAATTAATATCATTAAAATGATTATATTACCCAAAACAATCTACAGATTCAGTGCAATCCCTATCAAAATATGAATGTCATTTTTCACAGAATTAGAAAAAACAATCCTAAAATTCATATAGAATCAATGGAGGCATCACACTAACCTGACTTCAAAAATATATTACAAGGCTCTAGTAACCAAAACAGCATGATACTTGCATAAAAACAGATACTAGACCAGTGGAACAGGAGAACCCAGAAATAAATCCTCCTATTTACAGATTTTCACCAAAGGTGCCAAAACAACATTGAGGAATGGACATCCTTTTCAGTAAATGGTGCTGGGAAAACTGGATATCTATATGCAGAAGAATGGAACTAGACCCCTGTCTCTCACCATATACAAAAATTAGCTCAAGATGGATTAAAGACCTAAACATAAGACCCGAAACCATAAAACTACTAGAAGAAGGCATATGGGAAACACTCCAGGACATTGTCTGGGCAAGAATTTTATGACTACGACTCAAAAGCACAGGCAACAAAAACAAAAATTGACAAATGGGACTCTATTAAACTAAAAGCTTCTGAACAGCGAAGGAAATAATCCACAGAGTGAAGAGTCAGTCCTGTTAAATTGGATAAAATGTTTGCAAACTATGGGTTCGGGCTCAGTGGCTCACGCCTGTAATCCCAACACTTTGGGAGGCTGAGGCGGGCAGATCACCTGAGGTCAGGAGTTTGAGACCAGCCTGTTCAACATGGAGAAACCCCATCTCTACTAAAAATACAAAATTAGCTGGGTGTGATGGTACATGCCTGTAATCCTAGCTACTTGGGAGGCCGAAGCAGGAGAATTGCTTGAACTGGGAGGTAGAGGTTGCGGTGAGCCGAGATCGCCCCATTGCACTCCAGCCTGGGCAGCAAGAGCAAAACTCTGTCTAAAAAAAAAAAAAAAAAAGTGCAAACTATGGACATTTCTCAGAAGAAGTCATAAAAATGGTCAAGAGATACTTGAAAAAATGCTCAGTATTACTAATCATGAGAGACATGCAAATCAAAATTACAATGAGATGTCATCTTATTCCAGTTAAAATCACTATTATTAAAAAGACAGAAAATAGCAGATGCTGGTAAGGATGTGGAGAAAAGGGAACTCTTATACACTGTTGGTGGTAATGTAAATTAGTACAACCAATATGGAAAACAGTATGGATATTTCTCAAAAAATTACAAATAAAACTGCCATGTGATCTGGCAGTTCCACTACATAGCATTTATTCAAAGGAAATTATTATATCAGAGGGACACCTGCACCCTCATGTTTATAGCAGCACTTTTCACTGTAGCAAAGATATGGAATCAACCTAAGCATTCGTCACTGGATGACTGGATTAAAAAAATGTGATATATATACACAATGAAATACTACTTGGTTATAAAAAAGAATAAAATACTGTCAATTGCAGCAACGTGGGTGGAACTGGAGGGTATTTATGTTAAGTGAAATGAGTTCAGAAGATAAAGGCAAATATTTCATGGTCTCACTCATATGTGTATAAAAATTGATCTCATGGAGTGAGAGAGTAGAATAAGAGTTACCAAAGGCTGGGAAGGATGTTTGGCCATAGTGGAGGATGAAGAGAAGTTACTTAATGTGTACAAACATACAGTTAGACAGAAGGAATAAGTTCCAGTGTTTCATAACAAGAGTAGGGTGACTATAGTTAACAACAAGGTATTTTATATTTCAAAATAACTAGAAGAGAGGACTTGAAATATTTTTACCACATAGAAATGATAGTCAAGATGTGAGGGATACCCTAAATGCCCTGACTTGATCATTACACATTCTGTGCGTGTAACTAAATGCCATGTGTCCCATAAAAATGTATAAATGTTATATTTTAATGAAAAACTTTTTTAAAAAGTTTACATGGAAATTCATAGGCAAATCATATAACATGTGGGACATATGTAAAGAATTTTTATAACTCATTCGTTAAAAACATAAGTAACTTAATTAAAAACTGGGCAAAGGAATTGAACAGATATTTCTCCAAAGACAATACGCAAACGGCAAATAAGGACATGAAAATATGCTCATCATTATTAATCATCAGGCAAATGCAAACCAAGTTATAATGTGATACCACTTCACACCTACAAGCAAAAAAAAAAGTAGATAATGAGTGAAGGTGAGGATGTGGTGTGTATGAAGGACTCCCTCATATATTGCTAGTGGGGATGTAAATTATTACAGCTGCTTTGGAAAACAGTTTGTCAGTTCCTCAACAAGTTAAACATAGAATTACTGTATGACTCAGCAATTCCACTTCTAGGTGTATATCTAAGATAAATGAAAACATATGTCTACACAAAATGAATACCTGAATGTTCATGGCAACTTTATTTATAATAGCCAAAAAATAAAAAATGGAAATAACCCAAGTATTCATTGACTGATAAATGAATAAACTGTGGTATATCCATACAATAGAATATTATTTAGCAATTAAAAGGAATGAAGTGCTGATACATGCCCCAACATGAATGAACCTTGAAAACATAAACTAAGTGAAAGAAGCCAGACACAAAGGACCACATATTTTATGATTCTATTTATATGAAATGTCCAGAATAAACAAATATATAGAGACAGAAATGAGATCAGTGGTTGCGTAGGGCTTGGAGAGGAATAGGAGGAATGATTGCTAATAGGCTGGAATTTCCTTGGGGGGGGATGAAAATGTTCTGAAATCAGGTTGTAGTTATGGCTGCACAACCTTGTGACTACACTAAAATCATTTGAGTTTTACACTTTAAATGTGTGAATTGTATGACATGTGAATCATGTCTCAGTAAAGCTGTTTATAAATTGAAATTCTGAGTACAGTTGATACACACCATGCTTTTGAAATCTGAAAAGAGGAAAGCAGACATCAATTTTCCATTGCAATTTGTAATATTGATATTGCCTGTTGTCTTTAGAAAAGCTGGAAATAGGCAGCAAATTATTGCACTTAACACTTCAATCATGAATTTTCCTAGTGTCAAACAGTATACGAATAAGTGGAAGTTCAGTGTATGCAAAAATATGCTTACTTTTTTCTATATCAAAAAGATATTATACAGAATATTCCAAATATGTATAGTTCTTGGCATCAGTGGAAACAAAATGTTCTAAGAACATGTTTTTAAAACAAAATTTCTTGTTTTATTTGTACTAAGCTTCTGTAACATAATTGTTACATGGATGGCTTTTTTTCTGTGACATGTACCTATAAGAATGGACAGTCTCTCTAGGGTGTTCTTAGAATTCATTGATATCTGAGATCATGTTATCACTACTTATCAAATTATTCATTATATTCCGTTTAGTGTAAGATTTACAGGAAATGTTGGTTGACAAATATGAGGTTATGTGGTTTGGCAGTCAGAAATCTGTCAGATGGTTTTGTTTAGATTGGATTTCCTTTTTTAAAAAACCTGTGTTCAGAGTCTTCACATTACTGAAGACTTCCCAGTCTTTCTCTTTTTTTGCCCTTTGAAGTCACACTTGACAATCCCCCTGTTTTCACAGTGTTCTTCCTTAGCCTCCGTTTTTCACATTCTTCCTCCTTCCTCCATGATCCTTCCTTCCCAGACTCCTATTCTGCTTTTCTTCCTCTGACTTTTTCTTAGATGTTGATAGTTCTCATGGTTTCCTCCTTCAATTCCAGTCTTTTCATTTGTCTTCTTTGGAAATCTCATATGTTGCCATAACTTCAAAGGCAATCCTTATACTTGGTGATAAACCACAAATGTCCATCTTTATAATTTACCTCTTTGCTAAGTTTCATACCCAAATTTTTAGCTCTGTAGATTAGAATTTTTACTGGTTTCTCTCAAACATCCCAGGATCAAAATGTCCAAAGCTCAACTTAACTGTAAAACATGTTCTTCCATTCGTGTTCCATTCTTTGTTAATAGCACTATGTCATCATCCTTGTCAATCAAAATAGTAGTGTAAGATATCTTTCTGGTGACAAAGTCCTTCCTGTTGATTTTTCCTTCAAATTATATCCTGAATATATGTTCCCTTCCTCATCATAAAGCCTTACTTCAAGTTCTCAACATTTATCCCTGGACTATTATATCATCTGTCCACATTAAACACAAGGACTATCTTTCTAAAATATTGATAGGCTTATGTAATTCTTTTGTTTAAACTCCTTCATAGACACTATTCATCACCTTCAGAATAAAAGCCACAGTCCTTGGCTTGGCTTTTCAGGATTTAGCATATGCCTAACTAGCTAAGCTTATTGTCCATCAGTTTCCCAGCTGTTCTAGTACACTGTGCATTCTTCAACTGTGGTGTATTTTCAGACCCAGTTGCCCATGCTGTTTTTTGTTGTTGTTGTTGTTGTTGTTTATTAGTTGGAAGCTAACTTCACTCGACTGGCCACAAAAATTCATTCAGGACTCCAGGCCTATGCCAATCAGAACATTTTCCTGGCCAGAGGCATCATTCAGAAATTAGCATGTGACCCAATTCTAGAAATTAGGACAAAAGGGATGATTTGCTGGGGGCTTCTGGAAAAAGTTTTCTTCCTCTCAGGAGAGAGCACTGGAAAAGACACTCTCTTCCACTAGGTGTCCCAGTCAAAGGAATAGCCTAAAGCTGCTGTATCCATTTTGCTCCCATCAGGGAAGGCAGCTCAAGTCAAAATACAGAGGAAGGCCTAGTTGAACATATCTCACAGAAACTGAACAAGACACATTGGTTGAAACCACTTCTAGACTTCAGATATGACAGCTATTAAATTTTTGATTTATATCAGTTTAAATCAGTTTTTCTGATATTTGCAGACCAAAGCTGCAAACTGATATAGTTTCAAAAAAGATCAAGGAGAGATGGGTGGCAGTATATTCAGTGTGCAGAACATGGATGAAACCAATTCCCATTGTTAAGACTCTGCTTTTTCCCATGAGCAGACTTGTCACCTTTAGGCACACTTGTTTATACATAGATAATATATGCTTTATATTTGTGGATATAATACTTCCAAATCTGATTATGACATACAGTATTGAAGAACTAATATTCAAAAGAGCTAAATGCATGTATCCTTCTGAACATAAATGCTAATGCTAAATTTAAATTGATGGATAAACATTGTGATACAGACAGGAGGCAGGGAAATACTAGGTCGAAGACGGGGTGGGGGTCCCTGGCGAGGGCTCCACCCTCAAGCCTGGACCTGCGACCCTAAATGAGATCATGAATTCCTGCTTTCCTGCCCGAATGTTGCCTTTTCCAAAACCACCCTGGCCCACCATATCCCCTACCCTGTACCTATAAAAACCCCAAGCTCCACTGGCAAAGGAGCAGAGCACCATGGCAAGGAAGGAGAGAAGAAGCATCTGAATGTCGAGAGGAGAAGAGGCAGCTGGACATCAGAGACTACGGTTGGAGAGGAGTTCAGCTGGGGACGGTCAGAGAGGAGTTCCGCTAGGGATGACCAAACTCCAGGGGAAGATAATCTTCCCACTCCGTCCGCTTTCCACCTCCCCATCCCACTGAAAGCCACTTCCATCGCTCAATAAAATCCTCTGCATACACCATCCTTCAATTCATTCACGTGACCTGATTCTCCCTGGACACCAGACAAGAATTTGAAAACACTGGGCATGAGCTTTTTAACATTTAAGCCATCTGCAAATGGCAAAGCTAAAAAAGCATTGTTTGTAACACACACCTTCTGGGGCTCCACAGGTCACCGGCAACACCTAGACACTGCCGTGGGCTGGTACAGGGTTTGTTCCTGCCGGCATCCGGAAACACTCATCCTGGCTCCTGCACCTGCTCACCTGTGTGCTCCCCTCCAGCAAAGGGTTTGAGCATGGCAGCCAAGTAAACAAGCCACCCCTGTCTCAAGTCCTGTGAGGGGCTCGAGGGAACTCTCCCATCTCAATTGGGCAACACTGTATTAAAATGCAGGGGTTTTGGTCAGTATTTTGGGGTTTTGTTGTTGTTGTTTTAAAAAAGCACCTTATTTTTAAATTTTTAAAATATGGTAGATGTCTAGCCCAAAAATGAATTAAAAGCATTTCTATTTTTTATACAAAACCTGAGAGCCTTTTATGTATAATTATTTTGAAGCTAACCTTTTAGGGTTCCTACTCAACTGTAAGGAGAATTGTGAAACACATAGGTTTTTTTTGCACAATAAAATTGTTAACAGAAAAACCACAAATTTAATGTCACTCCACATGTCCTTCTATGTCCCAGATTTATTTTATCCAAAAAAAGAAAATGTCAAACATCTTTTAATTTTCTGTTCTTTTTATTGTCAGGAAGAGTTTTAAGACTAGGGCATAGGGAAGTTGTTTATTATGAAACGAAATGCCTAGAAATAAAAGCCAATGTTTAAATGAAAAAGTTGAGTCTCTTAATGTTTAATATTTTGCATAAATCCTGGGCTTCATAAGCACCTTGATAATTCATATAATTTTAGATGTTAAGAGAGTGAGAAGGCAAGTTTTAGTTCTTCACTTTTTTAATGCTTGCTTTACCTTGTATCCTTCTTTTCTTTCTTTTCTTTTTCTCTTCCTTATCCAGAGGTGATAAGTTTCTGTGGTAATTAAAGTACAGCTGTTTAGTTTCATCTCTCTTTTGAATCCATGCTCAGTTGTATTAAGATGCACTGCACTAAGATAGCAACACAGGATGCAACAGGACCTAATTTTGCACACGTGGTTTTATTTTGTTGGATTAAGTCTGATGGCAGCTCTTTGACCACATTTTGTATTTACTCCTCATGTAGTCAATTCATGTTAGAATTCTGATCTCTCTTGGGAAATTGGTAGATTTTTGATTTGTACCTCTGTGCCTTCAGTGGCTAAGTGTTAAGCCTCAAATGAAGATATTATTTCATAGAATGTCTGAATCTGGTAACTTTTTTTATAAGAACATGCCAAGAAGACACACAGCGTATAGTTATTTCATGATAAAGCTTGTAGGCAAGAGTGACTTGCCAGAATAAATGGAAAAAAATAATGAATAGACCAATAAAAGGATGTAAGAAAGGCATTGGCAACCTTTTTCTTTTTAAGCGTGGGGTTAAACATATTTTGTGTGTTTATAATAGGAATATAATTATTTTTCCTTTTTTATTGGACATTTTAAAAGAATAAATGCAACTGAAAAGAGAAAAACTAAAAGTCAGCTTATTTTGACTTTTCAGTAATTATCTGTATGTATGGCTTTTATTGTTGTTTCTTCTAGTTACTGGCTTTTGCTACCTCTGTTCATTAAAAAAGACAGCCACCTCCCAGGAATTTGGGTGGATTTTTCTCACAATGACTCATTTCCTTTTTAAATGTATTAGCAATTAGCTCCCAGTTATCCCTAATTGCAGCTTTGTTAGACTTCCCACCTCTCTCTGCTTACTGAACTAGAAGAGAAGTACATTAAAAGTTTATATAAATGACTGGGTTTTCTGCTTTAAGGAAAATTTTAAAGAAAGCAGACTTTTCATTAATGGGAAAGGAAATAGACTATTTCCAGCATTGAGTATGCTGAATGGATAAATGTAGGGAGGTACAATAGGAAAACTGGACACTTCCCAAAGCCTCCCAAGTTTTTGCCCTTTACCATGTTTCTGTATTATTTTAGATTGAAGTTGTTCCCAGAATGTCAAATACTCCCATATTCAAATGTAAGTACAAAAACATATCCTGAAGCCAAGTTTAAAAAAAAGTTATTTGCCACTCTTCATTGCTTCAAATAGTGTGAAAATTAGTTATACATTTTCAAATACAGTTATTCTATATTTTAAAATGTAATCCATGTATGTGTTTTTTTAAAGGCTCTAGTAGGATAATTCCCTAGTTGATGTAGAATGGAAACTAAAACATTGACATCTTTACTTATTTCCAATTTAAATTGCATTTTTAAAAAAGGGTATAGAGTTCTGCTTTAGTTGGCCTTGTTTTAACTGCCATGGGAGTTTACTTTCATCTCAGTTCCCATAGATATGTGTGAGAAATTCTTTGGGGCCTGAAACAAGAGTATCTTCAGGGTTATATGATCTGACCTAATCAACCATGAATGCTCTCATACTCTTAAAAAAAAAATCTCTTTTAAAAGCTATTTAATGAAGGCCTTTCTCAATCATCTTCTCCTTCTTCCCTTGATTAGACATTGATGAGTGCAGCATCATTCCTGGGATATGTGAAACTGGTGAATGTTCCAACACCGTGGGAAGCTATTTTTGTGTTTGTCCACGTGGATATGTAACCTCAACAGATGGCTCTCGATGCATCGGTAAGCCTCGCATTTTGAAGGCTCAATACACTGGGTCTTTATAATGACAAAACAGCCCAAACAGGTATGAAGATGGCAACGATTATAAAATATTGAAGAAATGGCTGAATGAGTTGTTTAATGTAAACGGTACCAGTATTGAGGGATTGATAGACCAGGTACTCTTTGCAAAGACTTCAGTTTCAGAATCCAACTGGGTTTGTTTTATGTTGTCAAAGTCATTTTGGGAATAAAGAAAGACACAAAGGCACGAGAAAAATTTTTTAAAATCTGCTTTGGGAGACAGAATGTAGTAATTAAAGCTTCTTTTGTGCTATGAATCATGAATGTTATTAACATCTTATTTACTTAGAACTTGTTTATTCTATTGAAAATAGTTACTATACAAAAAAGACACCTTTAATTTTGTGTTTAAATATATTCAAATTAAAACCATTGTATGCTCTCCCTTGTTTATTTAGAAAGATGCAATAGTGCTACAGTCATGGTGAAGGTAATCTGTTATTGAGCAAGGCTTAGACATCTGTCTTATTGCGAGCATAGAGATTATGAAGTGTCTTTTGATGCATAATCACAGCACAGTGAGCTACCCTCACATTTCCCTTCCTGAGCTTTTAACCTAGTCTATTCCAATTTTAAGCTGACAATAGGTAAAAAGAGAGGAAAAAAGAGGCACTGTTATCTTTACTGGCACTAAAGATTCATGTAGTGCAGGAATTAGGAAAATTAATCCAATACTTAAAGAATGGTGTTGTTTGGTCCACTAGAGGGTGGCCGTTTGGGCAGTGTCTCTCTCTCCCCAAACCAGGCAGTTAGTATGTCAGCAACCAACTGCCAGGATCTCTGTAGGTCTTGATGATTCCCTGATGATTCTCATGTGCCCAAGAGAACTGAGTTGATGAGATGGAAATACAGAGTCAAGGATGTAAGCTAGAAGTCGTAGGCCACCAATAAAAGGACTGTGGCCTGAATTCATTTGATTAAATGTACTGATATATCAGGTCATCCAGCAGTGAACATAAGAGATACAAATCCTGCCTTCAGAATGCCATATTGTCATCATAAATAACAGTAGAAGCCTACTAATAGCAGTAATAGAAGAAACAGTAGTAGTAGTAAAAATAATAGCTGTCATTTAAGATATTACACATACCGTGTGTAAGGCACTGGGCTTCTCCACTACCTCATTATCTCATAGCTGTGAGGAGTCAGGCAAGCTACCATCTTCTCTACACTTCAGTTTCTTCTAATAAGTGTCCAATAAAATATTCTTCATTATTATTCTTATTAAGAGGAGGAGGAGGATATGCCTGCTCTGGACCTATATAAATATGTCATATGGTCCTTCTAATAGCCCTGTGTGATAAGTATAGTTATTCCAAATTTACAAATAAAAGAAATATGGTTTAGAGAGGTTAAGTGACTTGCCCAGTGTTTTGCAGCCAATGAATGGAGCCAGGATTCAAATCCTGACCTCTCTGACTCCAGCCTCTTGTGCTACTGTGACACTGAACTACCATTTACCCACTTTAAGGCTGTGGAGATCCTGTGGCTAGATGTCAGGGCCTCCAGCATGACTGATTTCTTCACTGTCATGCTAACAGCCTGCTTTGAGAAGTAAGATGTCTGTTGGGAGCCTCATGTCGTGTCTTTGAATGAGAATTGTTTGTGTTTTACAGATGAATCAGAGTTTCTATCTTGCATTAGGTAAATCATTTTTCGTGAAATATTAAGTCTGTATAACTGAGCAGATAAACTATTTTAGGGTTACTGTTGCCAGTTGGCTCACTGTGTAGTAAGTTTGATTCATTTAATACTCTAATTCCCCCTTATCCACGGTTTCACTTTCCATGGTTTTGTTTTCTGCAGTTCCCACTGTGATTCAAAAATATTAGATGGAACATTCCAGAAATAAACAATTCATAAATTTTAAATTGTACATCATTCTGAGTAGCACAGTGAACTTTCACACCAGCCCGTCCAGGGTATGACTCCTCTTTTTCCCAGCATATCCATGCTGTATAGGCTCCGCACCCACTAGTCACTTAGTAGCCATCTCAGTTATCAGACCAACTGACAGTATCGCAGTGCTTATGTGCAAGTGACCTTATTATACTTCATCATGGCCCCTGAACCCAAGAGTATTGATGCTAGCAATTCAGATATATATAAAATGAGAAGCCATAAAGTACTTCTTTTAAGTGAACAGGTGGAAGTTCTCTACTTAGCAAGGAAAGGAAAGAAATCGTATGCTGAGGTTGCTAAGATCTATGGTAAGAACAAGTCTATCCATGAAATTGTGAATGAAGAAAAAGAATTTCATGTTAGTTTTGTTATTGCACCTCACACTGCAAAAGTTACAGCCACAATGTGTGATAAGTGTAGTTAAGATGGAAAAGGAATTAAATTTGTGGGTGGAAGATATGAACAGAAACGTGTTCAAATTGAAAGCAGTTGGATTCAGCTCCATTCAAGGTTTCAGGCATCCACTGGAGATCTTAAAACGTATCCCCCGCAGATAAGGGAGAACTACTTTATAATTTGGCTGTCAGCTTTCTATGAGAGTTGAAAATTAGTGCAACTACCTACATCTGGCTTGATTTTCTTGAACTCTATAGGAAAATAATATGTTTATGCACACGTGCATATGCGAACACAAAATAATCAGCTTGGAATAGGTATAGATTCAACTCTTTAGGAGAAACGTCGCCGTGGGAGTCGTCATTGAACACTGTTGTCTGGGTGCTGTAGAACCTGGCTTCCGGAAACTTGTCTCCTAGAATATTGCTAGAAGAAATATGCCTGGAGAAGGAAGTGAGGTTATTATTGTGAAGTTCTGGAAATACCAAATACAGCACATGTATTTTATTTGGTAATCAATGTGGAGTAATTGAAGGCTTTTGAGAACAAATTGTAATGCAGGGTTGGGGGCTTGAGAATAGAGAGAAATGAAACTAGTTATGAGGTAGAATTGCCAAAACAAGTTTCAGCGTTTTATTCCCCATTTCTAAATTACTTCTTTTTATTTACTCACTTACATTTCAAAATCTTTCTCTAGTCAAACAAAACTTGCATTCATATTTTTGTTCTGCATTGGAAAAGAAGCATGAATCCTCATTTTATTCAGATAAGACCAACGTACCTAATGATTTACTAAGGTGGGTTTTCTTAGAGGAGAGTTTTGATTTACCAAAAAATTATGATAAACTCTTTTTATCTCTTGCCTCCTTATGTTATAAAGTCCTAAGTCTCTACCTGAACATTCAAAGCCTTACCTAACCTGTATTCCTGAGTCATCTCTAACCACTTGCCACCTCACACTTGTATTTCCCTCATTGTTGTACAAGACCACACTGCCATGCCTTTGCCAGCAGTACCCCCTCTGCCCGAAGCATCTTGTTTTTCCCCTTCTATGCTCATTAAAATCCAGCTCACCCTTTAAGTCCCAAAATAGGTATCACTTTTCCTTTTTTGTTTTTTAAAGATGGAGTCTAGCTGTGTCACCCAGGCTGGAATGCAGTGTCACCCAGGTTGGAATGCAGTGGCACCATCTCAGCTTGCTGCAACCTCTGCCTCCTTGGTTCAAGCAATTGTCCCACCTCAGCCTCCTGAGTAACTGGGATTACAGGCACCCACCACTACGCTGGCTAATGTTTGTATTTTTAGTAGAGACAGGGTTTTCCTGTGTGGGCCAGGCTGGTCTCGAACTCCTGACCTCAGGTAATCCACCCGCCTTGACCTCCCAAAGTGCTGGAATTAAAGGCATGAGCCATGACCTCTGGCCAGTATCGCTTTTCTTTGTAGCCGTTTCACCTAAACTACATTTTCTTCTTGGGCAAAATTAATCAGCCCCACCATTTTGAAATGAAATGAAATATGTTTTCATTTGCTTCATTTTAGGGTTTACTGCATTGTCACAGGTACTTCTGCGTTACTCACTGGCTAGACTGTGGGCTTTGTTAGGCCCTGTCTTATGCAGCTTCATGGACCCTGGGCTTTATGTAATAGGCATCTTGCATAGAAGTTTGTGCTGAGTAAATCTTTTCTGAATGAACAGGAAAACCAGCAAATGAATGAATGAGATGATATTGAATGTAAGAACTTCATGTTGATTATAGCGGCCTTGCAGCCTTTGGCATCTCTTTGGACATGATGTCGTGCCACTGAATTACGGTCCTGGATGCTCATAAAGCAAGAGCTAACTTGAGGTTCGGAAAGCTAAGTCCTGCACTAACCAGGAGTCCCATTCATTTCACTATCAACATCCTGAACACTAGGAACAAAGGAAGGTCTCTAGGGAAGGGAGAATGGCTCTCCAGAATTACAAAACCAGTGTTATAATTAAGTAAGCAGCTTAAAAATGTTTTGAATAACTATGTTACATTTGGAATAAGTATGTGTTTTCCATACATGAGAAAAAATTAATCTAACATATTAATGTGTACGAGATCTTTGATTTCTAAAATTCTGAGTCTGTATTTTCTCAGATTGAATTTATTTGGTTGAATTATATATGTTGGAGATATTTGCACGCTATTTATTTTCTAACCACATGTATGCTAATAAAGAGTTGGATGAACTTAAAGCTCTTTTTAATACTAAACTGCGTGTTATCTGCAGCTTTATTCTGAGAGCTCACATGTGCTGAAAGTGACATTTGCTGAATTTTGTCTTAATTTCTTATTCTAGTTAACACAGATATTCTGAGTGTATACCACATGACAAAGCATCAGTAAACTTGATCCTATTTCTTTTGTGTGCTGGAAAACAGTTTCACATGGTAGGAGAGTTTAACCAGGCAATTTAATTATAAGACACGATAATTTTCCGCTTTCATTGTATACTAAATATAAAAGTCAAATTTCTGATTTGTTTATCTATCTAGTGTGTTTAATCATCTTTTTATATATCCAGGAAAGAACTGTTTTTTAGCATAGAGCACTAACATGTGCCAGTTCCAAAAAAAAAAGGAGTTAAAACGTACCTAATAATATTTCTCTAAAAAGCGTTTTAAATAGCACTACTTAATAAGCCTTAAGTCATTTTGGAAGTAACTGTCATGGTCATGTCCAAGGAATGATTAATACCTAATTTGCACATTGTTATATAGGCACAGAAGAATGGCTGGCAGCCAGCAATAAATAACGCGTTGGCAAAGAGCAGTGAGCAACTTCTGTGTGCAGGATAATGTGTCTGCTGCTATTGTGTACACAGGGTGAGAAAGGACCCTAAGCACAGGGACCCAAAAGGGCCAGTTAAGTTCAGAAAATGGGATTAAGCATTTAGAAATTCTTCCAGTAATATGATGGTGCCACAGCATGCTAAGGCATTTCCTCAAGCTTTCCAAACGTGTTAGTGCACAATACTGCTGTGGAGTATTCTTGAAAAAACAAAACCTGAAAACATAATGTGAAAAAATATAATACCAATATAAAAGAAAGTTTGAGGCAGAAGTGATGACCAGTATATGGGTTTTTTTTTTCCTTTTTCAAGAAAAGGGCAAGGTACAGAATTATTTATGTATTACACAGCACTCTATGTAACGCTGGCTGTTGATTCCACATGCATGTGTGCATTTGAAACAAAACACTTGGAGAACCCAAAATTATTTAACTAAAGAGGGAACCAGAAATGAAAGAGTATGAGGATATCAGTTTTAATTAAGAAAGGAAGAAGTGTGTTAGAAGGAGAAGTTTTCCTTACAGTGAGGAAGAAGCCCGTCATTCACTATTTTAAAGGAAGAAATAAACCTGGGATCCACAGTGGTTCCTTTTCATTGCTCCTAGTTCTATAGTTACTCTTAAACAATGTAAACATGAAAGTATTTTAGGAATAGTAAGAATCCGCAAAATCAATCAAGGGGAGCCCAGGCTGGAACCAGACCATCAAAGAGGTGAGTGCAGGCATCCAGTCTCAGGAGACAAGCATGAGACAATGGCTGCTATTTACCGAACACCTACTGTCTATCACTATTGTTCTGACCTGGGCTAATCTCATTGGTGTTTTCTGGCTGAACCCTTCATTTCTTAATGAGCAAACCTAATTCCACAGGAGACATTTATTTCAACATACAATCCCCAATTTTTGCCAAGTTTTCATCACATTGTATAATTAACCATTAGTTCTCTTAAATCAAGTTTACACAAAATGTCAAGCTATGAAACAAACTCTGATAAGTGTACCTTTATTACGTTTCAAAATAGATTTATATTTTAATCAGAGGAGATGAATTACTTCCTGTTTCTCGGTGTGACTGTAAATATGACTCCTTGTAAGCCTTGTTCAGGAAATGTAGTAAGGGCGATAGAAAATGATTAGAGGAATAGACTTGTTTTCATTACTTAGGACACATTGGTTCTACAGTTAAACATATAGCAAGCATTAGAGGGATTTTGTTTTTACAGGCTTTCATCTGGCTTTGCCCCTAATGATTCCCTGTTTCAAGGAATAGTGTGCCTGGACAACTCTTGTTTCTAACAGGTGCCTCTTTTTTATTTCAAATATTTTTCCACATGATACATTTTTTAATACAGTGCTTTCTAAGGGCCATGAAATTTCATACAAAGGAAAGAGAGGTAATTCCCAGCCTCTGATTTGCTTTGAAATATGCCTTTTTGGAGACCTTAACTGTGAGATGCTACACCAGTGTATGTCTCATCCTGGTAGGTTTTGGCTCAAGAAATGAGAAGTAGGTTGCCTGCCTCCTTTTTGTTACTAGAAAAAGCTAATTGTAGAATTTATGAAAAAAGTTACAATTTACTTTGCAGTCCTCTGTTGCTGCCTCTCTACCCTCTCACCTATGACTTAGTTTCCTTCAGTACATGTATTACAGGACTGACCAGAGGTTTCCAAACTGTGTAGAACAATGGTTATTATTAGTATTATTTTTTCTTTGAGACGGAATCTTGCTTTGTCACCAGGCTGGAGTGCAGTGGCGTGATATCGGCTCACTGCAAGCTCCACCTCCCGGGTTCAAGTGATTACCCTGCCTCAGCCTTCCAAGTAGCTGGGACTACAGCAACGTGCCACCACGCTGGGCTAATTTTTTGTATTTTAGTAGAGATGGGGTTTCACCATGTTGGCCAGGATGGTCTCTATCTCCTGACCTTGTGATCCACCCACCTCGGCCTCCCAAAGTGCTGGGATTACAGGTGTGAGCCACTGTGCCCAGCCAGCTATTAATTTTTTTAATTTAAAGACCTCTCTTTAACATAAAAAATGTACTTCAGATCCTCACATTATGATAATTTAATATTCGTGAGAGCATACATAATGAAAATGTTCTTGGATATTTAGTAATAATGATAAATGAATTTGGATTTTATTAGCTATAGTGGCATATTCATAAATGTGAATCATGGTAGTGCCAATAAACTGTTAAGTGTTACATTGCAGTGTTCAATGAAAATATGCATTTGTGAACCCCTCTCAATATCATTGCATACTCCCAAAGTCTGGGGATTGGTATAGAATGGATTCCTGATAAGTACTTGCAACATTTTGATTGACATTTATATTAGTCTGTTTTCTCACTGCTGAGAAAGACATACCAGAGACTTGGAAGAAAAAGAGGTTTAATTGGACTTACAGTTCCACATGGCTGGGAAGGCCTCAGAATCAGGGCAGGAGGTGAAAGGCACTTCTTACATGGCAGCAGCAGGAGAAAATGAGGAAGAAGCAAAAGCAGAAACCACCGATAAACCCATCAGATCTTGTGAGACTTAGTCACTACCATGAGAATAGCATGGGAAAGACCGGCCCCCATTATTCAGTTACCTCCCTCTGGGTCCCTCCCACCACATGTGGGAATTCTGGGAGATACAATTCAAGTTGAGATTTGGGTGGGGACACAACCAAACCATATCAGCATTTTTATACATATTACCTTATGTATAAAATGTGTTACTGTATTTGGTCCATGAATTGTTTAGAAGTATAGGATGTTTTCTTGTTTATTTTGTTATTGATTTCCAACTTCATTTCATACATTGTGGTCCAAGAATATTACCAGTTGATACCAATTCTTGGAAATATTCTGGTACAGTATTTGCTTCATGGTTTAACAAATGATTTATTTTTATAAATCTTCCCTATGGACTTGAAAAAGATGGGTGTTCTCCAATTGATGGGTGCCAGATTGTAGATATATCCATTAGATCAAACAACTGTACTATTCAAATTTTCTTTGTACCTACAGAATTTTGTCTACTATATCTATTACTGAAAAAGTCATGTAAATATTCCACTGTGGAGGTAGATTTCTCAGTTTCTCCATGTAGTCTAGTAATTTTTTATTTTATATAGTTTGATCTTATGCTATAAGTGATAAATGTTTAAAAGTATCTGCCATATTTTCCTGGTGAATTGAACCGTTTTAAAATTATGTATTGACTCTATTTTTTTTTCTTTATTTGTGGTCTATTTCTAAATATTTTCTTTTGGTTTATTTTGTATCACAAAATATCTTAGTATACTCTGGTTTGTTTTGTATCACAAAATAAACCAAAAAATAAAGCTTCTGGTAGCAGAAGCTTTAAGTATATACCTACTATGTATTTTCCCTCTCAATCTTTCCTCTTCCTTATGTTTTAAATGCATTTCTTTTAAACAGCCTATATCTATTTTTTGTTTTATTTTTACAGTCTGTAAATCTTTGTCTCTTCAGTTGAGATTTAAATCCATGTGTATTTATTATATTACTGATATATTTGTTTTTATTTTTACCATAGTCCTTGTGCTTCCTACTTATCTTACTTTTTTTGTATTTTTTTCTCCTTTCTTGGTTTCTTTTAGATTTGTTCAGGATCCCCCCGACCTGCTGCCGTGAACTCGATTCTCTTTCTCCTATTTGTTAAGAAGTTATGTACTTTATTTCTGTTGCTTCAGTGGCTATCCTAGCTGTTTTAAGATGCATATTTAAAATTACCTGTATGTTTGCCTATATATAAATAATAAAAGAATATTTAAGTGGTTAAACTTTGATCTTCCCCTCACAACTTTTTAAAATCTAGTATATTGCCATTCCTATGTGTGACAACTTAATCATTATTGTTTAATATGTTAGTACTTATTTAGATTTACCCACTTATTTAATATTTTTTGCTCATCATTTCTTCCTGCATCTCAAACCTTCCATTGGGATCTTTTTCTTTTGCCTGAAGTGCCTCTTTCAACATTTTGTTTATCAAAAAAACTCTTGGTAGAAAACTCTGGTTTTGTTTTCTTGAAAATTACCTTAATTTGCCCTCTGCAAACATGATTTATCACAGTACAGAATTTTAAGTTGACAGTTATTTTATCAGAGTATACTAAGATATTATTTCATTGTGTTCTGGCATCCATTGGTGCTGCCAAAAAGTCAGCAATTTATTTTTTTAAAATACCGTTTCTCAGCAGGTGATCTGTCTTGTTTTTCCACCTATTTTTAAGATCTTTACCTTTGTAGTTCTGCAGTTTCACAGTGGTATGGCTAATTGTGTATCTCTGTTTATTTTTCCTACTTTGAATGTATTGGACTTCTTATATCTGAGGTCTTACAACATTGCTAGAAAGTTCTAAGTTAGTATCCATTAAATACTGCTTCTTTCCCATTCTGCTTATTACTCTTCCTAGTACTCTTATTACATGTTGTATTAGTCTGTTTTCATGCTGCTGATAAAGACATACCCGAGACTGGGCAATTTACAGAAGACAGAGATTTATTGGACTTACAGTTCCATATGGCTGGGGAGGCCTCACATTCATGGTGCAAGGTGAAAGGCACGACTCACGTGGTGGCAGACCAGAGAAGAGCTTGTGCAGGGAAACTCCTGTTTTTAAAACTATCAGATCTCTTGAGACTTATTCACTATCACAAGAACAGCACAGGAAAGTCCTGCCCCCGTGATTCAGTTACCTCCCACCAGGTCCCTCCCACAACATGTGGGAATTCACGATGAGATTTGGGTGGGGACACAGCCAAACCATATCAGATGTACACAGGTGTACATCTAATTAGCTTTTCATTCTCACCTTCATATTTCTTAACCTCTTTTTAACGTTTCAGTGTCTTTGTCTCTATGTGCTAATTGAAGATAATATATTCATATATATCTGCCAACTCAGTAATTTTCTTTATCCATGTGCAATACACTTGTGTAATGTATTTGTCAGATACTTTATTTCATTTCATTTATAGAAGTTTGATCTCTTTTAAGTCTGTTCCTATTCATTGTTTATGGGCCTTTTCCCCTTGTTCATGTCTTCAGACTTGAATTGCTTTAAATATATTAAATATAATTTAGTTATTAATTAATATTTAATTATTAATAATTTAAAATAATAATTGTCAGAATTGATCTGACCATTTCAATATCAAAAATATACTGGTTACTTAACTAGTTTTTGTTCCTTAGTGTGTTATTAATGTATTTTCCTGTTAGCAGCTCTTTTTTCTAGGAACTTTATGAGAATTTTTTGAGACTTTCATTAATATTAGGTCCTCTAATTGTGTTGGCTCTTGTGAGTTGCTTGGAGTGTCTCTAACCTGAGAACCTCTTTACGTTATATTCTTCCTTTGAAGTTCTTCAGACCAAAAACCTACTATGAATTGAGGCATCAAAGCTATTGATGTGAGGAAGACCTTGTGGTTACAGATTCTTAAGAGAGATCTTTTTTTTTTCCTCCACAGAGCATCAAGGTAGAGACAGGCAAGTTTCTTAGTTGCCTCCATTACCTTATCCATATACTATATCCATAAACTAAGCATATGGCTCTTTGGAACCCTACCTTACGAGGGAGTTTTCTGTTATGTATTGGGGGAGAGTGGAATCTGGGCTTTTTATGTCTTATGCCCCGGGCACTGTGAAACTATCAGAGTTGAAATTCACAGTCTCCGGAGTTTAATAGTAGCCTAAAGGTGAAATTAGTTGTTCAAATACCTCCTAAGATTCTCATTTCACCTCATTTAGGGACTCTGTTTTATCCTTCATTTCATGCGAGCTGGATGATGTGTTTTTAAATATTTTTTCACATTTTATCCAGGATATTTTAATTGAGAGGAACATTCAGGGTAGCTAATTCACCATGAAAGCTGCAAGAAATAGAGCATATGTTGTTTTATTTCATTCTCCCACCAACCATGTTCTGTACAGAAGAAGAGTTAAATACGGTTGAAAATCGAACAATTAATAATATTTGAATGTAAAACTAGGTCTCTTGACTCAAGGCTATGGTTTTGTTTTTTGTTGTTTCGTTTTCAAATTCTATATTACAACCTCCTTCTTGTAGAAGCCTTGAAGAGATAAATATATTCATCCTAACTTGTAGCACTGATTGTGTTTTATAACGTTAGTGATTATTGTTAAGAGTTTGGAACTTTCTTATTTTAATTTACATCCTGGCCTTGAGGAGGTAGTATATGATACTTCGGGTTCATAAAATGAATATTCCAAAAATTGTTTCCTGTGATTATTCTTAGGAATAGAAACTTAGTTGTGAAATTATTCCTAATGACAGCCTGTCCAAATCCAACTCAAGTTTTTGAAATTTCTGCAGTGCCTTTAATTATGTGTGCATACATCACATTTAGTGCTCGGTTTTGGGTCTTACTGGGATTTTGGGGAGAAATAGAAGGAGTTGTTCGATTCTTATACAGAGTATCTTAAAGGTAATTCATTTATTTTATGATAGCTTAAAAGCAATCTGAGGCATGCTATATATGGGCCATTAGAGGACATAATGTGCTTACTTTAAACTCTGTATCCAGTGCTAAAAATTTTAACTTTACCTGTTAATGGAATTATAAGCAATTAACAGTTTCATCTTCATTATTGATATGCAGATCCTGATTGCTGTGGTACATCTTTCTTCTTGTGATCATAGACAAAACAACTTTGAAAGCATCTTGATAGGGTTGAATAATATGTTGTTAATGAAGCTCACAGTTTTTTCCATTGGTTACTATAAAGGCAGTTTCAGTTATAACCCATAAAGTTTACAGATGATATTGATAATTTATCCCTATGCAACTTTGCATTTTATGCAGTCTTTTGCAATCATCATAACCTGTCTTCTAGCCTTTATCTGATCATTTTGATCCATTGTGTATTCTGCTATCAGATTGACCTCTATTACAGTCATATTTGATCATGTCACTTCCTTACATCAAATCCTACTGGATAATGCACAGACTCTTTACCATAGCACTCCTGCCAAACTGTGCTTACCTCTGAGTGGTCACCTTATTTTGCCTCTCAATATCTAGTTTGGCACAGTCAGTTTTCCCTAGTTCTTGAAACTGTCTCATCTGGCTCTGGCTTAGAATGACATATATACACTGACAATTCACAGATATATATGTTCAGCCTGACTATGCTTCTGCATTCCAGGCTCATTTATTCAACATTCCAAATATAACATGTTTTAAAGAGGAGCCTTGTCTTGTGTTCTCTAATCCCGTTTCTTCCCTCGCCATCCCCATCTCAGCTGTGTAAGTCAAAAACTTAGGAAATGTCTAAGACTCTCTTTCTTCCATACCCCACACCCAAGCAAGTTCCCATTGGCTGTACCTTCAAAACATGTCTGCCCTCTGCTCAGCCTCATCATCTCCACTGCTGCCACCCTCATCAAAGCCACCATCATCTCTCACCTGAATGTCTTCAGTGTCCTCCTCACTGGTCTCTGTGCTCTGGCTACAGTCAGTTCTCATCGCAGCCAAAGAGATCTTCTTAAAAATGTAAACCATTGTCTTCTCTCATTGTAACCATCCAGGAAATCTCCAAACCCTCCACTCGAAATCCAAGTGAAATCCCAAGGTCCTTTCCTAATGGCCTATAGGACCATCCATGATAGCCTCTGCTGTCTCTCTGAGCTCATGCTCCTGCACTTTCCCTTCCACATGCTGTTCTCTAGTCATAGTGGCCCATCTTTCTTCACACACATGAAGCACATTCTCTTCTTCCTCAGAAGCTGCTCTTTCCTCAGATACTTCCATGGCTCATGCCCTCATTTTAGTCAGCTGCCTTCTCAAATGTCACTGTTTCAGGTTGCATCTGATCAACTTTTATAAAATCATCAGTCAGATGTTGCTGCATTACAGACAACCACAAAATCACAGTGACATACAACAGTGCGCATCTCCAGGCTGAGGATTGGGACTGGGTTGTTGCTTTCCTTCAAGCTTCAGAATTGCCTGACTTTAGCTTCTTACTGCAGTCTGTCCTCCTATCTGCTCCACGTCTTTCATTGTTCTGTCCCTGGCTCAATGAATGTCTGAGATATTAAGAGAGTGAAGAAAGGAATAGATAACAGAGATTAAGTGGTATGAGTCACTTCACCTACATTCATCTCATGTACAGTGATTGTTGTAAGAACCTGAGGTAATTCTGCCATATCTTCTGTCTTATTTATACATGCACAGATCAGAGAACAGGCATGTGTTTCTCGGGCCTGGTGAATGGCCGCTGTGCACAAGAGCTCCCGGGGAGAATGACGAAAATGCAGTGCTGCTGTGAGCCTGGCCGCTGCTGGGGCATCGGAACCATTCCTGAAGCCTGTCCTGTCAGAGGTTCTGGTACGTGGCTGGCTGTTAGTCTCCTCAGCACAGACACTGTTAGGAAAATTAGTAGCAGTACTGTATTTTGCTCTCTGGGAGACCAAGGCAGGTGGATTGCTTGAGTCCAGAAGTTCAAAACCAGCCTGGGCAACATGGCGAAATCCTGTCTCTACAAAAAATACAAAAATTAGCCGGGCATGGTGGTGCATGCCTGTAATCCCAGATACTTGTGGGACTGAGGTGGGAGAATCACATGAGCTTGGGCTGTCGAGGCTACAGCCATCCATGATCATGCCACTGCACTCCAGCCTGAGTGACAGAGCGAGACCCTGTCTCAAAAATATATGTATATATTTTGCTCCTGTCCTTGAAGTCAAGTCATATTTGTTTTCCTTTGTGTGTTTTCAGTATGACTTGAGTGTTTTTGTGGGGAGTGTGATAGCATTGTTATTTAGGATCAGTTTTGATAATATCTAATTTAGTAACATCAGACAAATACCTGAAAGCTGTTTGACTTGTTTTTGTGCAAGTGTTGTTTTTTAAATTATTTTGAATGTTAGTATTTCAATTCAGTTTTTAAACCTCCTGATCTTTCATCCAGAGCTCAAATATCTATGAGGAAGAAAACTCTGTCTTCATTTATACTTTATTTCAGGAATACCTTCAGCTTATAATGTCTCAGTCCTTGAAGATATTTCCTCTCTTCTCATGATCTTGAAAATTAATCATACAAGAGTATGATGATGGCTCTCATTAACTACGCTGTGGTAACTGCCATATAAATGATGCTATATTGGGAAATTAGGGTTAATGAGAAGTAGTTCCTCTTGTTACGTGTAATATGAGTAGTAAAGTACAAATTAATGTTTCTCACATAAAGATATATTAATATATTCAATTCTATTATCATTTTCTCATTGAATTAAAAGCGTGTAAAATAATTAAAGTTTTCAAATATACTTACAAATATTTATGCCAATATGTACTGTTAACAGAAAAGATATCATGACACATTAATCATTCTTACAAAATCTCTAAGTCATAAAATACCAAAATCTATTAGTAAGACAAAAAGGGGCAGAATTAATGCCTAGTAAATAATTTTGGATTCTCCCAGTTCCACTAGTAGTATATAATTAATAATTTTTTTTCCTTCTGATACAGTGCCTTAAGTCTGCAAACAGTTAAGGCAATAAGGCAATTGCTATCTTCTTGCTTCTCTTTACTCAACTTTGTCACCTGGACAAAAAGGAGCAGATTTTAAAGCTTACTTGATATTGTCTACCGTTAAAATCCAAGTTAGAAAAAAATATCATTCTGGAGCAATATTAATACCTAATCTCCTGAAAAAAAATGGACAGGAAAAATGTATAGGTATAATGCTGAAGAGAATGTAAGTAAAACCATACAGATAGAATGAATTAGCATAAAGCTTTAACTTTTATCTGTACAAGTAAATTTTCTGTATTTATAATTATGTCTGGAATTTTATGAGTTGCACTTAGGTGCATAAAATAAAAATACACATGTAAATGATTGTTTATGCAACTCAGTTAAAATAATGTGACAATATAGGTTTTAAATTTTTTCTAAAACTTCTATATCTTTTTCTTGCTACTGCCAGCATTAAAAACATGTATTGAGATAGTAACCTACTTAATCATATTGTGTAGTATAGGTAACCCAAAGTGACTTAGTACAGTGTACCAATGGCTTTTGTTATGCAGAAAGACATTCACCTGTGCTTAATGCCAACTTTCTTTTCTTCTAGAGGAATATCGCAGACTTTGCATGGATGGACTTCCAATGGGAGGAATTCCAGGGAGTGCTGGTTCCAGACCTGGAGGCACTGGGGGAAATGGCTTTGCCCCAAGTGGCAATGGCAATGGCTATGGCCCAGGAGGGACAGGCTTCATCCCCATCCCTGGAGGCAATGGCTTTTCTCCTGGCGTTGGGGGAGCCGGTGTGGGGGCCGGGGGACAGGGACCTATCATCACTGGACTAAGTAAGTGGTCAGTTTTCCTGTGGACTCTTTAGTTTCCTGCCTCAAGTGACATTATAATATCTAACATAATTTTAATTTTTCAAAAGGGTTGTATGAACACACTTGCACATGTGTGTGTGTGTTTGTGGGTGCGAGAGAGAGAGAGACAGAGGGAAAAGTGTTTCAAGGTCTGATACATAGTAATACTAAATTTGGGAAAATGTAATAGGAAAATATTACTTTTATGTTCTGTAAACTTTCTGTTAAATTAGAGAAAAGAATGTGTGACCCAGGTCTTCGCAAATACATATGAGAGCCCAGTAATACTCCAATCCAGTTGACACCACCAAAAAGCATGTTTTTGGTTTCAATGTATTTCATTTGGCTGTTTAAAGCTGCCCTGTTCATGCACCCCTTGAATTATTTTCCAGAACCATTTCTCCACTGAGATAAACTGAATATCTTGCTCTGTGCAGATCCAAATATTGTAACGTACATATCTTTCCTTTCCTCACCCTTTTTTGTTAAATTGCTTAAGAAATTGAAAACCGTGGGCTTCAGACCAGAGTTGGCATTTGTGTGCTTGACATTTAACTTCATTCTTTTTAAAAGCCCTCTCTTGCTAATAATATTTAAAGATGTCCTACAGTGTTATGTTTATTCTTTTTGGCATATTGCCGATTTACTATATCTGAATATTCAGCAGAGTTACAAAGGAGAAACGGAAAGCACTCAAACGTATGGTAGAACATTCCTGTAATTTTAAAAAGACATGATTAAGGGCAGCATTTTCAGATCTGTAACTTAACAGATACAAGTTGCAACCATGTGTCTCAGTAATATTTTTTAGATTCTCCACATTAAAGTTTTAATAAAATATAAAATATGAGCTTCTGATATACATCTAATTAATTTACTATTAAATGTCCTTTAAAAATCAATTCAGAAAAGTAATGCATGTTGTAATGATTAAATATAATTGTGCTTTAATTTTCCGTAGCAATTCTGAACCAGACAATAGATATCTGTAAGCATCATGCTAACCTTTGTTTAAATGGACGCTGTATACCAACTGTCTCAAGCTACCGATGTGAATGCAACATGGGTTATAAGCAGGATGCAAATGGAGATTGTATAGGTAAGTTTGTGATTCTTTAATAATCCTTCTTAGTTTTTTTAGTAGCTATTAGATTACAGGATCAAATTGGAATGAATATGATTTTTTTAAGTCTTTTGAAATACAGCTAATTTCCAAACTGTCTCTTCTGTGTGTATGCTATTCAGTGTGCCCCCTTAACCTATGCTGAGCTAGATCACTTTAAGAATTTCCTACCCTTTCAAGTCCTAAATATTGTGATTTCTGTCTCTGACTCTCCCTTTCCATTCTCCTTAGAAATGCTTACTCTTAATATAAACTAAAAATAAAAAGGAATCTATGTAACAATGAATATATTTTAAAAACAATTCGTCAAGCATGAATCCATCTTTAAAAGATGACAAGACACCAATGGACTAAAATCTGATATGTCAGGGCAGTAGTTTTCAAATATGTCGGTCTCAGACTCATTTCAACTCTTAAAATCATTGGTTATCTCTACTTTGATAATTACCTAATTAGAAATTAAAGATGAAAATATTAAGACATTTATTGATTTATTCAAAAATAACAACAATGAATCCATTGCATGTTGACATAAGTAACATTTTTATGAAAAACTACATTTTTGAAAACAATGTGTGGAAACAAGTGTCGTTGTTTTACATTTTTGCAAACCTTTTTAATGTCTGCCTTAATAGAAGCCAGCTGGATTCTCATAGCTGCTTCTCTATTTAAGGTTTGGTGATGTTTTGTTTTGTTTTGTTCTGTTTTGTTGAGGAATGAAAATCTATCCTCAAGCAGATACATAGATGGAAAAGAAGAGGAATATTGCATAGACTTTCAGATAATTGAGGTTATTCTTTGATATTCCACCAAAACTTACAAGGAGTAATTCTTAAAGTTTAGTTAACCATGTAGAATCTGAAACCATATTAGTACACTTTTTGTACTCTGTTACATAAAGTCCATTGGTTTGTCTAATGCTTTGAGTGGATTTTGTAACATGCATTGGTCATTTGAAATATATTGATGCACTGTATTATGCACATCTTTCCAAAGTTGAAATATTTTACTATGTACTATCAAAAAATCATATTTGAGAATATCACCATCAAACTCATAAAAATGCCTTCAAATTGCTGAGAAACAATCAAGCATACAGTGTTAAATAATCTTTCTGAATTCTGTCATTTTTAAGCTTGAATGTTAACATTAGCATCAAATATACAGTCTGTTCCTTTTCTTAAAGTGACAGGCTCACTGCATTATTTTCAAGAAAATGTCTGCCAGATTAATAACTCTGAATAACTATAATTTGTCAGTCATTCTTCAAGTAAAAATAGTATTCTGCAGAAAAAGCTGCTAATGGAGTGCACAACTCAAAACAACTACGCAGAAACTTTTCCTTGAGACAGGCACTCGTGGTGCTTCAGTCAGCAACAATGTGTAATGTACATTTTGTCACAGAAGTATTTTAAAAATGTATATTCAAGGGCCAAGATTATTATTAATTTTGTGGCTTCACCAATTATATTCTTAAGTGAAAATGTCTTTTTCAAATACCCTGTGAGTTCATTGTATTGACTGGTAGGACAGTTTGGTGCCATTGCCTTAACCTGTGCTAAGCAACTATCATTGCTCTTGTGCCATCAGAGAAAATGTTAACATGATTAAAAAAAAAAAGTAAATAGCATCTTAATATGATTGTGAAAATAGTTTTGAATCAAACTCACTCTGAAAGGATCTCAATGGTCTCCCAGAGGCCACACCTTGAGAACAGCTGCTATAAAGAGTCCCCAACTTTCTTGTAGGTCATATACAAAAAGTTTAACAGTGAGAGAGTTAGTAGTGGTAGACTTGAAAGTTTTCATTCCTTAAATGCCATTTAAATTGATTTGTGCTCAGTAACTGTGATCTGTATGCTAGCAACGTGGTGAAAGAAGAGACCATCAGGAATATCCAATCTAGCAGCAGGATCTGCAGTAGTTAGGGGTTACATTAGTGTCTGTGAAGGATAAGGGATTTCCGCATGGAGTTAAAAAAAAAACTCCATAGAGAAAGGCCAAGATGGCTCAGTAGACACAGCCAGGAAGAGCATTTCCTACTGAAAGATCAGACCATCAAGAAGACTGGCACACTCTGAGAGGATCTTCAGAAGGAAGGCATTAAGAATGTATGGAAGGAGCACACAGACCCTGGACTGAAGTAGGAGGAAGCTGGGAAGCCTTCATGGGGCTGCCAAGTGCCAGGACTTGTTCCTGACCCTGAGAAGTGAATTAAATAGTTGAGGAGTGGCCCACTCTTTGCAGGGGTCTCTGGAATCCTACCTGCAGAAGATCTTACAACCTCCATGGACATTTGAGACATGGGAGAGCTGCTTGGATAGGGGGCAGGGACAGGACTCCAGCCTGTGCAGAGCCCAGAGGGTTTGGCACCAGAGTGGCTACGATGCCCATACCCCAGGGCTTGACATCCTCCTTTAGGGGGCTTTGGCCTTGGTTGACTGTTGGACCTGGACAGAGCAGAGCAGTCTTGCCCATGGGACAAGGCCAGTCTGATCTGAGTGTCCCCCATCTGCCGGCCTCTGCCAGTGTCCCTGCATGGCTGTGTCCACTTGGAGCACAGCCTCAGATGCCCATCTGGGGCTCTTCCCAGGTGTCACCACCATAGCTCCTTTGCCAGCAAACCCTGCCTAACCATTGGAGAACTTCAGCAGATGGGCCTCTGCCAGCATTCTCCCACCTGCAGCCTCTCCCCACAACTTTGCTGGCATGCACTTGCCCACAGCCTTCCCCCATTGCTCTGCTGGCACACATGCACATAGGCCTCATCACCCCATCACCACTGGCATGTTCTTAAGAAGCAAACTGATCTGATAGAGCTGAAAAACTCACTACAAGAATTTCATAATACAATCAGAAATATTAACAGCAAAATAGTTCAAGGTGAGGAAAGAATCTCAGAGCTCAAAGACTGTTCTTTAAATCAACTCAGTCAGATGAAAATAAAAAATAATTAGAAAGATTGAACAAAACCCCTGAGAAATATGAGATTATGTGAAGAAACCAAACTTACAACTCATTGGCATCCCTGAAACAGAGGTAGAAAGAGCAAGCAACTTGGAAAACATATTTGAAGATATTGCCCACGAAAAATTATCCAACCTTGCTAGAGAAGGCAATATTCAAATTCAGGAAGTCTGGAGTACCCCTGTGAAATACTGTACAAGATGACAAACTTCAAGACATACAATCATCAGATTCTCCAAGGTTAACAAGAAATAAAAAAATTTTAAAGGCAACTAAAGAGAAGGAGCAGGTCACCTACAAAAGGAACCCCATCAGGATAACAGTGGACCTTTCAGCAGGAACCCTACAAGCCAGAAGAGTTTGGGTGCCTATATTCAGCATTCTTAAAGAAAAGAAATCCCAACCAAGAATTTTATATTCAGCCAAACAAGCTTCATACGTGAAGGGGAAATAAAATATTTTTCAGACAAGCAAATGCTGAAGGAATTTGCCACCAGACCTGCCTTACCAAGAGGTCCTTGAGGGAGTGTTAAACATAGAAATGAAAGACTGTTACCAGCCACCACAAAAACAAACTTAAGTACATAGACCATTGACACTGTAAAGCAACTACACAATTAAATCTGTATAACAACCTCCTAAATGCAATGGCAGGATCAAATCAGCACATACCAATATTATCCTTGAAAATGAACGGGCTAAATGCCCCACTGAAAAGGCACAGGGTGGCAAGATAGATAAAGAAATAAGATTCAACTATATGCTGTCTTCAAGAGACCCATCTCACATGCAGTGACATCCATAGACTCAAAGTAAATGGATAGATAAAAAGCTACCAAGCAAATGGAAAACAAAAACAGTGGGAGTTGCTATTCTAATTTAAGACAAAACAGACTTTAAACCAACAATGATCAAAAAAGACAAAGAAGGCCATTACATAATAATAAAGGTTCAGTGCAACAAAAGATTTCCCTATCCTAAACATACATGCACCCAACACTGGAGCATCCAGATTCATAAAACAAGTTTTTAGAGACCTACAAAGAGTTGTAGATAACAACACAATAATAGTGAGAGGCTTTAACACCCCACTGACAGTATTAGACAGATCATCAAGGCAGGAAACTAACAAAGATATTCAAGACTTAAATTCAACACTTGGCCAAATGGACTCAACAGATATCTACAGAACAGTCCACCCAACAACAACAAAATATACATTCTTCTCATCTGTAACATAGCACATACTCTAGATTAACCACACACTTGGCAATAAACAATTCTTAGTATATTCAAGAAAAATGAAATTATACCAACCACACTCTCAGACCACAGCATAATAAAATTTTAATAACTAATAAAAGCAAAGATACAACATAACAGAATCTGTAGGACACAGCTAAAGCAGTGTTAAGAGTAAAGTTTATAGCACTAAAATCCCACATCAAAAAGTTAGAAAGGTCTCAAATTAACAACATCACACCTGGAGGAACTAAAAAAATAAGAGCAAACCAACCCCAAAGCTAACAGAAGAAAAGAAATAACCAAATTCAGAGCTGAACCGAATGAAGTTGAGATGTGAAAAAACATTCAAAACATCAACGAAACCTAAAGTTGGGTCTTTGAGAGAATACATAAGATTGATAGCCTGCTATCTAGACTAATAAAGAATAAAAGAGAGAAGACGGAAATAAACACAAACTGAAATGATAAAGGAGACATTACCAACAACCCCAAAGAAATACAGAAATCCTGAGACACCTCTATGCACACAAACTAGAAAACCTTAAAAATACCTCTGTGCACACAAACTAGAAAACTTAGAAGAAATCATAAATTCCTGGAAACATAACATCTCCCAAGATTGAGCCAGGAAGAAATTGAATCCCTGAACAGACCAAAAATGAGTTCTGAAATTGAATCTGTAATGAAAAGCCTACCAACCAGAAAAAGCATGGGACCAGAAGGATTCACAGACAAATTCCGCCAGATGTATAAAGAAGAGCTGGTTTCATTCCTATTGAAACTATTCCAAAAATTTGAAGAGGAGGAACTCCTTCCTAACTCATTCTATGAAGCCTGAATTATTCTTATACCAACACCTGGCAGAGATACAATAAAAAAGGAGAAAACTTTAGGCCAATATCCTTGACGAACATAGATGTAAAAGTCCTCAACAAAATGCTAGAAAACTGAATCCAGCAGCACATCAAAAAGCTAATTCATCGCAATCAAGTAAGCTTTATCCCTAGGATGCAAGGTGAGTTCAGCATATGCAAATCAATAAATGTATTTTATTAGAGATTTTATCTCTGATTTCTTTCAGAGACAAAGAAATCAGAGACAACACAAACAAATGGAAAAACATTCCATGCTCATAGATAGGAAGAATCGACATTATTAAAATGACCATAGTGCTCAAAGCAATTTACAGATTCTAGCTATTCCTATCAAAGTATCAACATTATTTACAGAATTAGAAAAAAACCTATTTTAAAATTCATGTGGAACCAAAAAAATGGCCTGAATAGCCAAAGCAATCCTAAGCAAAAAGAACGAAGCTAGAGGCATCACACTACCTGACTTTAAACTATACTACAAGGCAACAGCTACCAAAACAGTACAGTACTGGTACAAAAACAGGGATATAGACCAATGGAACAGGTTAGAGAACCTAGAAATAAAGCCACACACCTACAACCATTTGATCTCTGACAAAGTCAACAAAAACAAGCAACAAAGAAAGGGCTCCCTATTCGATAAATGATGCTGCAATAGCTGGCTAGTCATATGCAGAAGATTCAAACTGAATCCCTTCTTTTCATCATATACAAAAATTAACTCAAGATTGATTAAAGACTTAAATATAAAACCTAAAACTATAAAAACTCTAGACGAAAACCTAGGAAATGCCATTTTGGACATAGGCTCTGGCAAAGATTTTATGACAATGATTCCAAAAGCAATTGCAACAAAAACAAAAATTGACAAATGAGACCCAATTAAACTAAAGAGCTTCTGCACATCAAAAGAAAGTATCAGAGTAAACAACCTACAGAGTAGGAGAAAATATTTGCAAACTACACCTCTGACAGTGGTCTAATATCCAGAATCTATAAGTAACTTAACAAGCAAAAAAAAAATCTCATTAAATAATGGGTAAAGGACATGAGCAGACACTTCTCTAAAGAAGACATACATGCAGACAAAAAGCATATGAAAAAATGCTCAGCACCACCTCTCATTAGAGAAATGTAAATGAAAACCACAATGAGATACCATATTATACCAGTCAAAATGGCTGTTATTAAAAAGTAGATGCTGGTAAGGTTGTGAAGAAAGGAATGCTTATCCACTGCTGGTGGGGGTGTAAATTAGCTCAGCCACTGTGGAAAGCAGTTTGGAGATTTCTCAAATAATTTAAAACAGAGCTACCATTCGACCCAGCAATACTGGGTATACACCCAAAGGAATATAAAATGTTCTACCGTAAAGACACATGTACACATATTTTCATCACAGCACTGTTCACAATATAAAGATGTGGAAACAGCCTAAATGCCCATCAGTGGTGGACTGAGTAAAGAAAATGTGGTACATAGACACCATGGAATACTATGTAGCCATAAGAAAAAGAATGAGACCATGTGCTTTGCAACAACATGGATGGAGCTGGAGGCCATTGTCCTAAATGAATTAACACAGACACAGAAAACCAAATACCATATGTTCTCATTTGTAAGTGGTAGCTAAACATTCAGTACATGTGAACACAAGGGAACAAGAGACACTAGGGCCTACTTGAGAGTGGAAGGTGGGAGGAGGGTGAGGATCGAAAAGCTACCTATCAGGCACTAGGCTTATTACATGGGTGATGAAATAATCTTTACAACAAACCCCTGTGACATGCAATTTTCCCATGTAATAAACCTGCACTTGTACTCCCTGAATGTAAAATAAAAGTTGGAAAGAAAAATATATGTGTATATGTAAAACATATCTTTCTCCATGTCTGAGTTCTGAGCCAATTGAGGGATAGCCAAAGAACCCATTTCATATGGAGTTCTAAAAATTTTGAGAATTAAAGTTGTTTGTACTGTCTAGGCTCCCTATTTGTGCTTGCTTAGTTCAAAGTCTTAAAGAAGTTGGTCATGATCCTAAGATGTACTCCATGTTTGCACATACTAGTCAAAGCTGGGATTAATACTCCCAGCTTTGGGCCCATGTCTGAAAAAATCCAACTATAATTTCATCTAGAGCCTTGGTTTTCCCAAGTAGATTTTTGGTCCCCAGGTGCCACTTGAATATTTTCTCCAGTTTTCCCAGCCCATGTACCCTGTGTTGAAGAATAGAGGCATTCTAAGCACTTATTTCTAAAAGACAAGGAGGAAAATGAAGCTCTTAAAGATATGCTGTAAAACAGCCACAGAGTTCACAACACCTTATATCATAGGTGTTCATGACTCCTAAAAGTCTGTAAGCCCAAGAAGACAAGACCATATCTTTTTCTTAGTTAATCATGATGGAAGTATTGTGCAGATTTTTAAACTAGCTTTATTGTGGTTTAATTGACATACAATAAGTTGTATATATTTGAAGTATATAGCTTGATAAGTTTTGATATGTGTATACCAATAAACTCATGACGACAATCAGATAATGAACATATCCATCACCCTCATAAGGCTTACTTTTGTCCCTTGTAATCTCTCCATCTTGCTCCTCCTTTCATCCATCCCCAGCCCCCATCCTGTCCCCAGGCAATCCCTGATTAGTCACTGTACATTACTTTGCATCGTGTAGAATTTTATATAAATGAAATCATACTGTTACATATATGACTTTTGTCTGATTTCTTTTACTCAGCATAATTATTCTGTGATTCTTCTGTGTTGTGGTGGGAAAAATCATTTATTTCTTTTTGTTGTGGAATAATATTTTATTGTATGGATATAGCACAGTTTATTTATATATTCCCAAGTTGATGGGCACTTATTTTGTTTCCAGTTTCTGTGTATCACAAATAAAGCTCTTATGAACATTCATGGACAAGTGTTTGTATAAGCATTTTAGTTTTGAGTATATACCTAGGCGTGGAGTGGCTGGATTGTGTGAGAAGAATATATTTAATTATTTAAGAAACTGCCAAAATGTGCTATTTTACATTTCTAGCAGCAGTGTATGAGAGTATCAGTTACTCCATAACCAAGCCAGCACTTCGTATAGTCAGGTTTTTACACTTTAGCCATTGTAATAGGTAGGCAGGGATTTCTCATTGTGGTTTTAATTTACATTTCTCTAATGATTCACATAAAAAGATGTTGACCATCTTTTCATGAGTTTATTTGATCTGACACTTCTTTGGTAAAGGGTCAGTTCAAATCTTGGTCCATTTTAAAATTATTTTCTTATTGAGTTTTGAGGGTTCTTTGTTTACTCTGGATATAAGTCCTTATCAAATATATGATTTACACATGTTTTCTCCTAGCCTGTGGCTTGCCTTTTCTTCTTGTAACATATCTTTTGAAGTGCTGTAATTTTTAATTCCGACGAAGCTTTATTTATTAAATTTGTTGTTTTATGGATCACGCTTTTGATGTTGTGTCTAGGAAATCTTTGCCAAATGTAAGGTCACAAGGGTTTTCTTCAGTTTTTGCTTCTAGAAGTTATCTAGCTTTAGGCCTATGATCCATTTTGAATTCATTTTTTTTAATATTGTATGAAGTTTATTTTTTGTAGTATATTAATAACCATCACCCTTTGTTGAAAAGAGTGTCTTCTCTCTATTGAATTGCCTTTGCACCTTGTTGAAAATCATTTGCTCGTATATATTGGGTCTGTTTCTGGACTCTCAGCTCTGACTCACCTACTTAGGGGCTTGCTGCATCCTGCCAGTGTTCCCCCTGTCTGCATCGTGGTCTGAAAACCCTCTTAAAGCAATAAGCTGAAATAGTTATGATATTCACTGTGTTTGTTTTCCTTCTCTTAGGGATCTATATTCTTTGTTGCCTGATGTCAAGTTTCTTGAAAACCATGATTTCTTATACTTTGTCCATTTGTTTGTGTTTTGAGGAAGGAGGGTAAATCTGTCTTGGCTGGGAACAGAAGTGTCCCCTATTTTCTTAGTGCAAAGATTGTGGAATGAAAAAAATGGGAACAAAAACGCCAGCTAGTAAATTTTTATATAAGTCTAGGCAAGAAATTATGACAATAGTGATGTAGGACTGCAGAAAAACTTAATGATTCAACAAGTGCTTGGGAGGTTAATCGATAGAATCTGATGACAGATTAGTTGTGGGGAGTCAAAGAGTAGAAAACTACAATGATACACAAGTTTCTGGCTGAGCAAAACTGGACATATAGTGGTGGTGTTAACATGTATAAGAAGGTGCAGATTGGGAGGAAATAGTTGTTGAGTCTTTCTTGGACATGCTGAGTTTTAGGTGTCTAGGGTATTTAATTATAGAGCTCTAATGCTAAGAGGAATGTCCGGGGTAGAGTTACAGATTTAGGAGTCAACAACACACAGGTGGCTCTTAGAACCATGAGGATGAATACTGTGTCCCAAGCTGAACAACAGGACAAGTGAAAAGATAACAGGAATACTACAGCTGGAATCTTATGGAACAGACACATCGAAGGCCCTTAGTCTAGCTCAACTCAGACGCACCTCGTTCTAGCTCATAGTGTTAGAGAGATAGCAAAATAATATGGAGAATTATGTTCCTGAAGTTAGGGAAGGGCACACTTTCAAGAGAAAAGTAGTGTTAGGTGTTAAATGCAGTAGAAAAATCAAAGGCAGTGAGGAAAAACATCTGTTGGATTTGGTAATTGGGGGGTTTTATTAACTTTGAAGAGTGGTTTTAGGATGGTAATTGAGTCATTTTGAGGTTATTTTATTTATTCATAATATTAACACACATGTGTTTCATTAACTAGCTTAACCCTAAATAACAGATTTGAGTTCAGGTCTTCCATTAAACAGTATAGATGAGAGGCCAGGTATAGAGAGAGTTAGCATCATAATTTTGCCAAAAATGTCTTAGGTCCACTATGATTATAAAAGAAAATGTGGGCCAAATATGATGTTTTGGAAAAAACAATCATTCTAAACTAGGTACAGGGCTACAAGATCAGAGTTATTAAATTAGGCTTAGCTCAAATTTTGTCTGTACAAACCTAAAGGGTATCATTCAAAGAGTCTATATAAGTGGTATGCCCTAGGGTTGTACACTATATAACCATATGCAGCCTACCTAGCTTAGCTGATACCACCTGGTGCTTCTTTAAGTGATAGATATACCTCATCATTTAGCCCTGCAAAGTTAAAGCCCCAGCAGCAGGCTTGTCTTTCTGACTACTGTAATTCATAGAGACTTAGCTTAGTAATGGAGCACATTTTCAGAAAATGAGTTTTAATATTTTTAATCCTATACTCTAATTCAATTTTTGATCACTTTGAATTTATAAACAACAAATTGAATTTATAAACAACACATCAGAAAAAGTGAAGAGGATATTAATTAACTAGTGCTTTAAATTATAAGAGCCCAAGATAACACTAGTAACTATGTCAGCTGCGCTAATGTTTTGAGGAATAACAAACTGCCATTGCTGTTTGGGAACTTTTATGAGATACCTAATGAAGCAGTATAACTTGAAAGGCAATAGATTTATTAAAGGATCAGTGACAAAGAAAATAGAATTGGGTCTATTTTGCTATTATGAGAATTGCTCCTGATGCCTGAAAACAGTTATATTTACCCATTATATTTTTCTCTTTTTCTTGAGAATTCTACTCTAAAATTAAAATTTGTAACTCTCCTAGTGTCTGTATAAGTCAAACTGCTGTTAGCAATGTTTTTAATTCAAGTCACTCTATTTTGGAGTAGTAAAAAATAATTTAAATTTCTATTGGGCTACAGGTAATCCTCGAGCCCTTGCAAACAAAAAACAAAGCCTTTTCTAAGTTGGCATATAAAGTATTTTTCAAGGGAAAATATTTCTTAGCTATATAGTAGTATTTGAGAAATTAACAATTTTGATAATCAACATTCTCCATAATTTTAAAATTTATTTTAGGAGGTTAAATCCCATGAATTTTGCTTAAAAATACCCATCCCCCCAATGAAAACATACTAAGAAGTCAAAATGTACAGAACGTAGTATTTAAGTACTTTCTGTTCCTGTAAACAAGACAAAACGAACATGGTCTCTTGGAGGTCCAGGACTGTGAGACTCAGAATAAAGAGGAGACAGAAGTGTTCATGTAGAAGTTGGCAGTGGTCGTTTGTGACTAGTCTAAAACTGAAAATCCCAGAAAACAAACGAAAAACAACAAATGGGTTTTAAAGTCATATGGAATTGTAAAGTCACTAATTGCTTTTTTGGTGATTGTTTTGACCAAAATTAAGTGAACGATTACATCTTCTCTGTGTACTAGACCCTTGATGAGTCCCTGAGGGGCTCAGGAGACAGAAGTGAATTGTGGTTGTAGTGGCAAAATAGCTGACAGAGCTGCCATAGTAACAAGGAGCCTTAGGAGCAGACTCTCCAGGGGAGAAAACAGTCCTGCAGAAGTGGCTTTCCTGAAACTTTACCTAAAGAGAGGGGAGTGGATGCGTGGTTTCTCATGTTCTTCAAACAGAGCTTTATGTTGAGGCTGCTGTAAAGATAACAGCTACAACACATTTTTAATTGTTGCATTTCAATTATGTAACACAAAATTGAAGTGATCTTCAACACTGCGAACTGAAGGTGGTATTTCATATTGGAAAGTCTATTTATTATACTTTATATGCTTGCTAATGCTCTCTCTCTTTTCTCATTTTGCTTCGTTCCTTTGGCTCAGTAGAATTGATGGTATCAACTAAAACTTTAAATGTAAGTGAGTCTTTATGGGCTGAAGGGGTCCTTGGATGGATGGAAAAGGATTTAGTCCTGTTATTCTTTGTTGTTTTTATTTTATTTGCTATGAAGTTTATTTCCTTTACCAGAAGGGGCTTAATTGCATTCAGTCTGAGTGTTTACATAAATGAAGTTGGTGGGTTTGATACAGTACAGTTCCTCTTTTAAGAACATCTGTGAAAGTAGGAATCTGCTTATTAAAATGGTAAACCTGTGAACTGATTTTATTGTTATGTTCTCCAATTTAGCTGAAATGGTATATGTTAATGGCTTCTACACATATATGAAATGGCAAATCATTATGCCCTCTACCAACTAGCCAGGTTTTTAATTTGCAAGGATTGAAAATAATATTTAGTGGGCATTGCTGAGAGAAGATGAATTAAACTTCTTATACTGGCACACGTGATTTCTCTGGGATTTAACTAGTCCAGACTGTTCAGTCTGTCATTTGGTTTTTCAGCCCCTGAATCCTGCAATGGGTTTGCATTTAATTAGGCTTTAGGAGACCTTGAATGGAAAGCATGACTTTCTCACTTTTTGGTCACGACTAGTATTTGCATAAAACTTCATTTTATGCAACAAATCACTGTGCCAATTTTAAGATCCTAAAGAAACTTGAAACTGCTGAAAAAAATAGGCTTTGTTTAAATGTTTTCATTTTCTACTCCCTCATGTTTTTTTACTTCAAAATATTATCCAAGCTTTAGTGTATATATAGTTGTATACATAGATGAGTTCACCAAAAAAAAGTTATACCAAAGACATTCCATAATCCATCAATCTCTTTCTTTAAAACTAATAGCAGTGACAACATGTAACATAAATATATATCTTCAGAATCCTTTCATTGTTCTTCTGGCACTTTACTAAGCCTTAGAGAGGTTATTAACTTGCCCACATTGGTGTAAGCAATAAGCATTATAGCCTATTTCTCTTTTCAGGGCACATGCTTTTAATCATTGGCCATTATTCCAACTGAAAAATCTTTAATTCTTGATTAAAGCAAATTCCCATGGTACTCTCTAAAAGGTGATATTTTTGTAAATCCTCAAACTGGCCTCTGAGTGTATTTGAAGAGAGGAATTTTCATTCATTTATAAATACTTCGCTATTTAGACTATTACCACTGACTGGCCTTCTCTCAAACTTTAGAGGACTAAATGTACTTTAAACAAACATTTCTACAAATGGAGTGAAGTCTATAATGGTTTCTTTTGCTGCTCACAGATGTTGATGAATGCACATCAAATCCCTGCACTAATGGAGATTGTGTTAACACACCTGGTTCCTATTATTGTAAATGTCATGCTGGATTCCAGAGGACTCCTACCAAGCAAGCATGCATTGGTAAGGCAGTTTGCTTTCACATATGAAAATGTTCCATGAAATATAGTGACCAAGGCTGTTGAGGTTAAAAGTAAATTTATTAAAACATGGAATAAAATAAGTGTTACATTATTACAGATTTATTTGTAATACCCTCAGAGATTCTCCTTTAAACATAAACAATGTTTGCATATATAACCCAGGCAACATGGTATCTGTTTTCACAAAAATTCAGTTTATCTTCCTTCCTTAGATCAGAGCTTCCTTTCTCCAGATAACATCAGTAACCTTCTCTGATTAACTGAGTTTAAGATTTATAGTCATTTTAAACTACTGTTTTCTTTGAATCCCACACATAGTCCAACACCAAGTCATGCCTGGTCTTTATTCACAGCTTCAGTGCTACACCCACCACCCTGGTCCAAACGCGCTACCTCATTGCTGATTCATCTCAGAATTCTTTTAGCAGATGACTGCCTGTCTTCTTTTTCATTTCCTATTCATCCACAGGTAGTTGCTTGAATCAACTTTCCAGCAGTTTTCATTGTGTTACTCTTAATCTAGAAATTCTGTAGTTACTTTACACTTATCCAACATCTTGTTCTGACTTTTAAGGCCTTCATCCACTATGTGAAAAACAGCTGCAACCAGTAATTCCAGCTGTCTTGCCCACCCTTTCTTAGGTTTACTGGATACCCTCTTTTTTTTTTTCCTTTCCCACTTCAGCTACTATAAGAGCTGTAAAATTGCTTGCACCTACCTATCCAAAAAAAAAAAAAAAAACTGCTGAGAGACAGAAATTTTGCTAAAGAAGTAACATGATTTTGAATATTTAAAATTCCATTTCTTATCTTACTGTGTTTATCTATAAGTATTGTAAAAGAATGATGTTTGGCCATTCTCAATCTTCCTAGATATTGATGAGTGCATCCAGAATGGGGTTCTTTGTAAAAACGGTCGATGCGTGAACACAGATGGAAGTTTCCAGTGCATTTGCAATGCCGGCTTTGAATTAACTACAGATGGAAAAAACTGTGTTGGTATGGAAATTGCCTGCTCCCTTGCAAAAGATTTTAAAAGGATATACATTTTTATTTAGAACCATGTACTATTTCCATGAAAGCTCACACACCACGTATGTGAGATCTTCAGGTAACTTAGGTAAAATGCAAATGCATTTAATATAAGACTGTTAAAGCAAAAGGACAGGTTTTTTGTTTGTTTTTTGGTTTTTTTTTTTTGGTGGTGGAGGGGAGGAGATGTTATAACAGTGAATAATTTACTGCTTCTAAAAATTTCCTGTGTGTTACAAGTTAAATTGTAAGTCGCAGTTATTCTTCATAAGTTTAAACAATTACTGACCGCTACTGTATTTCAGGTGTTGGGGTTACAACACTGACAAAATAGAAAAGGTCTTCCCTTCCTCCACAAACTGGAGGAATATAAAAATGTTTGACATATGCAGTACACAAATCTCTAAAACTGTGGCTTGTGATATCTAGCAGTGCAATGGATACCAACACACCACAGAAATATTGTTTACAAGGTAACACATCATATTCATCTACTAATGAAAGTCCAGATCATTTCATTTGCAGTGAGGTCTGCCATTGCCTTATTTTCTTATAAAATAAACACTCATTGAAATTATATTATCTTTTTGGTACACAAAGTAACACTACTCATGGTTTATGTGGTTTTAACAGGAGCTAAGCACAAAATTTGATTATTTTCCTTTATATCCATATACTGAAGGTCCTTTCCACTCTCCGCACTATTTTTTCTCATTCAGTTGGCGTTCTTTTTTTAAAAAAAACTAAAAGCCATGAGCACATGGCTCATTTAGGTAGTGGAATTTGACTGGGGGTTGTTTATGGAAGAAGAAGGAATTGGTTCCCTCAAGGCCAGTGTTCAAAGTCACTCAATCCTCTTCTGCAGATCATGATGAATGTACAACTACCAACATGTGTTTGAATGGAATGTGCATCAATGAAGATGGCAGCTTCAAGTGCATCTGCAAACCAGGATTTGTCTTGGCTCCAAATGGGCGTTACTGTACTGGTATGTGTGGCTTTCAGATAGGAAAGTGACCATGATTGAAACCACCTTTTTTATTTGAATGAACCATGGAAGAATTACTTCAGCTTCCCCATGTGGCTTTCATATTATTCACATTTCTTGCTAATTCACTAAGGCAGGTGTCTAAAGCTTTCTAGAAAAACACACATTGTGGTCTAGGGAACAGTCATATCTTAACAAAAATAATAATGGTATAGGAAAAATTAAGGAACTGACAGATTGGTTTTAGCAAGTCTTGTGGAAAACAACGTAGAAATAATTTCTCTCAACTGCTTGGCTGAATAAAAAAGAAGAAGAAAAAATCTTGAAAGGTTTTTGTTTTTTATGCATTCTCAGAACTAGATTTTCCACTGTCATTCATTATGGGTTTAGCATTACATCTTTTCCATAAAGCTAATATACAGACCATTTGTAACTGTGTCATTATCTAAAAACCTTACATTGATTTAGTGAAGACATAATTTTAATATTTCAATTAATTATTTTGTTTACAAAGCCATTTTGAAGACCAAGCTCTAATGATAACCTTAATAAGCTAAAGTTATACCTCTTGGAAATAAATGAGACCTTATTATGTTTGTACTCACAATTGGAATTTAATAAAGTGGAATAATACATTTTGCAGCTTCTACTTAGAAGCACATTTTTCCTTTTCTTTTTTAAATTTATTTATTTTTGAGATAGGTTTTTGCTCTGTCACCTAGGCTGGAGTGTAGTGGCACAATCTCAGCTCACTGCACCCTTGACTCCTGGGCTCAAGCATCCTCCCACATCAGCCTCCCAAGTAGCTGGGAGTACATGCATGTGCCCCCATGCCCAGCTAATTTTGTTTTATTTTTTGTGGAAATGAGGTCTCACTATGTTGCTCAGGCTGGTCTCAAACTCATGGGCTCAAGCAATCCTCCTGCCTCAGCCTCCCAAAGTTCTGGGATTACAGGCATGAGCCATCGCACCTGGCCAAATTTTTGTTTTTCTTTGTTTCCTTCCTTAAGACAAAATTAACTCCATCAATGATGTTCTGCCTTCAATTGCACAAACTTAATCTAAGTACCAGATAAGGATCATGCTCAATTCTTATAATTTCAATGAATTACAATGAAATTCTAGGGACAGTAGAGGTTAAAAAATTGAGACTGAATTCTTATGTTTCTGAGTAAGAAACAAATTTTTGACTCTCCAAGAAGGAGGAGTACTGTAGTTTTGCTGGTTGAACTCATGACTGGGATGTCATCTCAGGGTTAGCTGATTTAGATTTAACACAGGATAGGAAATTGTCATTATGCTTCAGTGTGTAGAATTATGTTACAGTATGTGACTTTATTTCAGCCTTTTTAAAGAAACTTCAATATACATCTAAAGATGACTTCGACCTCACCAGTTTCTGCTTTCTGGAAATTAGTTCTTATTAATTATTTAATTACAAATGTTGTGAAGATTTTAAGTATTCCTGAGTCGGCAGCTCTGTGTTTGAAGTCTCTTTCATCTTTTGGGGAAGTCATTTAATGCTGGGTTACGTTTGATAAATTCAAGTGGATTGAAAATTAGAAGACATACCTCAAGTTATTTTGTTATTATCAAATGACCAAATGAATATCAGCATAGCATCTACTTCTAGTTAAAGTGTCTTTGTGTGAAAAAAATTACAGAAATTTACCTTAATTTTTAAAGAATTTGTTTTACTTAACTAATTTGAATTATTTAGCGTTAAATGGGATTGTCAAATAAATAATGAAAAAGAAGATTGTGAGGCTTTTTTTTCCTCAGTAGGTAAAGTAAAGCATTCTGAAATGTGTTGAAAGGATTGCATTTGTATATGATACCTGTTACCACACTTATTTGTTCTTCACAAATTATAAAGTTATAAACAAAAGGTTAGTAGTATAGAGCAGTGGCTGCAAGTAAACCCTGTAATAACGTTAAATTTACCCAGTAACTGCTTGGCTTCTGTCACCCACTGCACAGATGTTGATGAATGCCAGACCCCAGGAATCTGCATGAATGGGCACTGCATCAACAGTGAAGGGTCCTTCCGCTGTGACTGTCCCCCAGGCCTGGCTGTGGGCATGGATGGACGTGTGTGTGTTGGTAAGTGAAACATTTTATAATGGCCCCACTGTGCAAAATGATCTTTGAAAAACTGACAGAGATATTTCTATACAGTGGAGTAATATTCACCATAAGAAGAGTACATGCTAAAACATGGATAAACCTTGGAAAGATTATGCTAAGTGAAAGAAGCCAGTCACAAAACACCATACAGTGTATGATTCCATCCATATGAAATCTCCAGAATCGGCAAGTCCGTTGTGACAAAGTAGATTCGTGTTAGGACAGAGAGGATGGGGGTGGTGGGAGAATGGGGTGGGAGCTAAAAGATATTTTTGAGGTGATTAAAATGTTCTAAAATCATCTGTAGTGATGGATGAACACATCTGTAAATATGCTAAAAACTATAAAATTGTACACTTTAAAGTGATGGATTCTATGGTATGTAAATTGTATATTAACAAAGCTATTTTTTAATGGACAGGAACCCCCAGATAGCCCCCTTCAGAACCTACAGAAGGCTCTGATGACATGCTGGAGAAGAAAAAATATATTTTTAAACTAGCATACTTGATAATATTAGATAACTGAATCCTAAACACAGTGCATTTCAGTTTTATAATTAATAACAAATAAGATATGTAATGGGGATTATAGTTATAGGTAAGTAAACTTGGTTTCACCCTAACAAAACTTAAAATATAAATATTGGACTTGCATCAAAAGCTCAAAATGTTACTCCTCATCACCATGCAACTAGCTGCAGAAGCAAGAGTATAAAGAAGTATGAGCAAGAATATATATTTTATTCTAAGCCATTCAGATTCCTCTAGGTTATTTTTGTCAAATTGATCCCATGAAAATCAATCAGAAGTACCAGGCCCAGCTTTGAAGAGGCAGGCAAAACAGAAGCGTCACTGGCGTTTGGGAACCCCAGCAATATATTCCAGTGATAAGGATAGCAGAATGAGTGGTAAAAATACATTTAATGCAGTTTTCTCTCCAAAAATGTTTTCATGAGGCTTCTAGGGTGAATTAGCCATTGTATACCCTCTATTTTTCATGTTGTACAGTAAAACACAGAAATAGGATTTCAAAGTATATTTGAGAGATACCATATTCTTAGACATAGTTAATACTTTACTCCTACCTATGAGAATCAAAACATATGGATCCCAAAGGTGGAGGAGAAGAAGTAGAGAATTTGCAGATGGAAATAATCTGTTCACTCAAATTTATCCACTCTATCCAGTCAAAGATTTATTTCACCCTACAAAGTTGTCAGCACTTTGTTCAGGGATATTTCAAATACAGCAGCTAGAAGAATATAACTTCTTCCTGCTTACAGAGCTAAAATATTTTCAGTTGCTTTAATATATTTACTTGCTTTTTTCCTTTACCTAAATGATTCTGTTGAAATCTACCATGAGCACAAAGCCAGTTTTGGAGGGAGAAATTATTTTTCTCTTAAGTAACCAACATGCGAGTTGTTGCTAGGAATTCAGTAAAACATAAAATTTCATTATCTTGTTCACAATCCAGGAAACACATTGGAAATTTTCAGAAAGCCTCCTTCAGTTTTTCATCATTGTGGTCATTTAAACTTTTTAAAATAAAAACATTATTTCTCATGTGTATAAAATTATATATTACTGTTTCTATAACATGCTAGATGTTTTCTTCATGTCTTTTGACTTGATGTCACTTTTTAGACCCATTGATTCTTTAAGTTTGAGATGAGGCCTGGCGCAGTGGCTCATGCCTGTAATCCCAACACTTTGGGATTCCATGTTGGGCGGATCACTGGAGCCCAGGAGTTCAAGACCAGTCTGGCCATCATGGTAAAACCCTATCTCTGCAAAAAGTACAAAAATTAGCCAAGTGTAGTGGTGCATGCCTATAATCCCAGCACTTTGGGATTCCGAGTAGGGCAGATTGCTTGAGCTCAGGAGTTCAAAACCAGTCTGGGCTCCATGGTGAAATCCTGTGTCTGCAAAAAATACAAAAATTAGCCAGGCATGGTGGCATGTGCCTATAATTCCAGCTACTTGGGAGGCTGAGGCAGGAGGATTGCCTGAGCCCTGGAGGTGGAGGTTACAGTGAGCTATGATTGCACCACTGCACTCCAGCCTAGGTGACAGAGTGAGACCCTGTCTCAAAAAAAATAGAAAAAATAAATGAATCACTGTTATGAAAAACTATTAGGATAAGCATTTTAATTTTAGATCTATTTTTTGTTTGTTCATTTTTCTTCTGTAGATATTAAGATGTGTTTTTGTTTTTTGTTTTAGTCTCAGGTAATTAAGCTATGATTTTAAGTAGTATATTGAAATACAACTCACAAGCAAGGTTGTAAACAAAAGGCAATCATATCTTTATCTTTCCCATTCATTCAAAATTTATTTTTAAGTTTATTCAGTGATGCAGTTTAGTAAGTAAGGAAGAAAAGTCAGGCAACATGATAACTACTGAATATTCTTAAGTGACAAAAAATTATAAGATGACAGCAAGATACAGGACCTCTCTGTTCCTCCTTTCCTCTTTTGTTGTTTTGAGAATTAAATAAAGCTTTGAATGGTGTCTAGCACATAGCAAATGCGCAATAAGTTAACTACTACTGATATTATTGTTATTAAATTAGAATAGTGGTATCATATCTAGGTCATAGTCTTAAGAGTTGCTGCTTTAAGTTATAAATAAAAGTTGATTTTAAAGAAAGAAGAATAAAATAAAGTTAGCATTTTGCATACATACATATTTTACTCATGGTATGTAGAATCTGCTAATTACCTGAAGAAATTTTTAAATCTTTTCATTTTTTAAGAAAGAAAAGGGGACAGGCATGGTGGCTCACACCTGTAATCCCAACACTTTGGGAGGCCAAGGCAGGTGGATCACCTGAAGTCAGCAGTTTGAGACCAGCCTGGTCAACATGGTTAAACCCCATCTCTACTAAAAATACAAAATTAGCCGGTTGTAGTGGTGTGCACCTGTAATCCCAGCTACTCAGGAGGCTGAGGCAGGAGAATCACTTGAACCCAGGAGCTGGAGGTTGTAGTGAGTCAAGATCATGCCACGCCATTGCACTCCAGCCTGGGCGACAGAGCGAGACTCCATCTCAAAAAAAAACAGAAGGAAGGAAGGAAGGAAGGAAGGATGGAGGGAGGGAGGGAGGGAAGAAAGGAAGGAAAGGAAGGAAGGAAGGAAGGAGAAAAAGAGAAAGAAAAGAAAGAAAAAGAGAGAGAAAGAAGGAGAGAAAAGGCATGCAGAAGTCTGCTAACATATGGAAAAGATGCATTTAGGTCCAGTCTGTCACCAGATCATTCATGTGAGCATATTCTCATGGTGCTACCGGTATTGTTCCTTTTATCCTATCCTGTATACAGTGGTTCTGTTATATTTGAATAGTATAATATGAGCTAGGTTGCCAATTTGGGGTCTTTGAACAGGAAAAGGTCAGTAGGGAAATAGTGAGTTATCTCAACTGATAGTTCACAGTATCAGTTACAGATAGAACTCCTTGTTCTACTTTTCCTCCCTTCTCACTGCTGCACTTTACTAGTCTTAGAAAAAAAAATAGAAGAGGGAAATAAGGTGGTCACCATTTTTTTTAGTATTTCAGGTGTGTCCTAGGCAGTGTGCTTAGTGCTTAACAAATATACTTTCATTTACTATACAAACTGTATCCTTATTTAATGAATAAGGAAGATGTTAAGTAATTTATGTAAGATCATCTTGTGGGGATCTGAACTTTGGGAAGTTTATGTCCGTAAAACCTACACATAAGTTATGCTACTTTCTTTTTCATGAAACTTCTGGTGTTGGGTACTCTAAAGAGATTGGTTCACCTGTAATGCAAACTACCATATAACATGTCTCACTCTTCCAGTGAGCTCCATAGGCCTTTTATCTGCTTGCTTTTAAAAATTCTGCATGGCATATGCTCTAAACCCAAAAGCAGAAATAACTTTGGCTGTTCATAGATGCCTTCCAAGATCATCAGTAATGTCCAAAGAACTCACAAAAATCATATTGGAAATGATGAACCATGTTATATTTGTGCAAATTTGCCTTCAAGTCAAATCTGTGTTTGTGTAACTCAGAAGATACACTGCCAAACTCAGCCACAGCAGAGGCAGCACAAGTTTCTCTGAGTTGACTCCTCAGGGATGGGGTTGGTGAATTCCATGGCCTCCTTCCATTTAAGCACACACGTATCTCATTTTTAATGCAGCCATAAATCACTGTTTTAATCAGAAATGCCCCCAGGTCATAAGAAATTATTGGATGGCCATTTTGCATAACAAGCAGATGAAATTTTTTCCAACAAGTTGTGAATAGTTACAGATATTTATAATAGAGGTTATCTCTGGAGGTATACTGGAGTATACCAGGTCAGTATACTGCTTAAAAATTGCATGGGTTCTCTGCCCTTTATGATCTGAGTTTTTTATAGTTCACCATTTACTGTCTTATAAAGTTGTAGGGTATTTTATGAGAATTAAGAGTGAGAGAACTAAGCAGAATATGCTTCTTTGGGGTATAGCATTACTTACTAGAAAGAGGAAGAGTTTTAGAAGTCACATAAACCTTGTCTGAACCCCAACTCAGGCACTGGATATTCAAGGACTTCAAACTACATAGGTAGCTGTGAACCTCATCTTCCTCATCTATAAAATGCACGTAATGACCACTCCTATAGAGCTGTTGACCTGACTGTTCAATGAGATAATGTCTGTAAAGCAACGAGCACAATGCCAAGAGCACATATGGTAGTTAACTATTTTTATAACTGGATTTACTGAGTTTCTGAGGTTAAAACAGTCACAAGCAGTATCCTGGGGGTTGAAAAGAAAGGCCTCCTAACTCGGAAAGTGGGAGTAAGAAATCTCACGCCCAAGCCAGTATCACCTCAAGGTAGTTTAACTTGATTGCACTTCATTGTTCATGAGAACTTCCAAAATTGAAATAAGAAGTGTCATTTTGAATATAGCATAGCCAGTGATTAGAGCTCCAAGTATTCTTTATAACTGTGGAAATATCCTAGGTTTCACAAAAGGTTTGTAAGAATACATCGGACAATGGATACTGTGTAGCTCATAAAACTTATTAAAGAAAACAGAGTCGGTGATATGCATCCATTCTTTTCCTCACTCAGAAAACATTTGTTGATTTCCTAACACTATTAGATGCTAAAGATGCAAAATAAAAGTCTCAGATGCCCTTGAAAAGCTTCCAGTCTAGTGGCCACTTAGGTTAAAAGAAGCCTTCTGTTTCGAAATCTCTTTGTCTCTATCACTGCCTCAAGTCATTGTTTTTGTATCTCCTTTAGATACTCACATGCGCAGTACCTGCTATGGAGGAATCAAGAAAGGAGTGTGTGTGCGTCCTTTCCCCGGTGCAGTGACCAAGTCCGAATGCTGCTGTGCCAATCCAGACTATGGTTTTGGAGAACCCTGCCAGCCATGCCCTGCAAAAAATTCAGGTAGTCACATGTGCCATTTTCACAGTTGATAAAGAATCAAGAAATACAACCTTAGATGTTTGGCCAAAGAGAACATCAGCTCTTAAGTGTTTCATCATTAATTTTAACTGAAGAAGAGAAATCCAATCCTGTATTGATATGTGAGGCATATAATAAGGAGATTTGGCTTGTGTTTATATACGATTTCTAGGCCAACAGAACACACAGTGAATAAAAAAATCTATTTGCTGGCTGATTGTGGTGGCTCACACCTGTAATCCCAGCACTTTGGGAGGCTCAGGCAGGAGGATCACTTGAAGCCAGGGTGAGACCCTGTCTTGGTAAAAAAAAAAAAAAAATCTTAATTAGCTGGGTGTGGTGGCACACACCTGTAGTCCCAGCTACTAGGGGGGCTGAGGTGCAAGGGATCACTTGAGCCCAAGGGTTCGAGGCTGCAGTGAGCCATCACTGTGCCACTCCACTCCAGCCTGAGTAACAGAGCGAGATGCTGACTCTTTAAAAAACAATCAAAAATCTATTTTCTTATACAGTTATGATTATTATAAGAGGGTTTTTTTACATGAACATGATAGCCTCAGTTTCCTTGATCTGTGCTGTCATGGTGAAGACAAATAGCATAAAATTTACTTACCACTTTCAAGGTTATAAACACAACAAGAACTCAATTTGATTATATATATATGTATATATATGTGTATATATATGTATATATATGTATATATATGTGTATATATATGTATATATGTGTATATATATATATACACACACACACACATATATATGAAGATCTCTCTCTATATATATATCTTGACACCAAGTGGTCTCAAGTCACAGTCTCAGGCAATAGTTCCAAACTCTTAGGTCAATAACATTGACTCTTGTCTGTTCATAGTTTAACTAAACCTGTATTGAATATATATTGAATATACGTAAGTACAGTAGGGATTCTAACATAAACACAATCTGTGTTTTTCCTTAAAGTTAACAGTAGTTGAGAATACAGGCAGGCAAATGTATAAATTACAATTTAGTGTGATTAGTGCCTTAAAAGGTTCAAGTATGGAGAGAGCACAGAGGAAGGAGCAATTTGTAGCCCAGGGAAGCTGGGAAGGACCTCAAAGAAGGGGCACGTTTAGTTTGGTCTTGAAAAAAATGAGTAAGAACTTTCCATATGGAGGATACAGGAAAGCATTCCTGTAAAGGAAATGTCTTGTTATTCCCTTAAAAATCCTGAATGGAGTCTTCAAACGTGGAAATAATGATTTGAAGCATCCAGAAGAATTACTGAGTGTGACTTTTTTTAAAAAAAAAAGAAAAATAATGAGGAGAACGTAGTTCTAAAATGTACCAAACTGAATTATGCATATTATCAAATAAGTTCAAAAATTGGCATAAGACTAGACAAAAACCTAAGTGAACTAATAAAATGAATCTAGAAACCTGAATATGAATAGGAATTAGGATATAACAAAGCATTTTGGAGCAGCAAGGAAAAAGATTAAATAATAATTATTGTTGATAACTTTCAGAAAAAAATATGAAGTTAGGTCCCTACACTAAACATTAAAACATAATTTTCATATAGAATATAAATTCTTTTTTATTTTGTAATGGTAAAAGACTTTCAAAGCAGGCCTAAATAGTAAAATACACAAGTAATCTGGAAAAATATTTTTATTTATCATTTCTTAATCTTTATGGAATTTACATTAATCAATAAGGAGAGTTGAAATCCTCTATAGAAAAAACAGCAGTGTACATAAACAGGATTTCAGAAAGTAGAAATGCAAATGGAAGAATACCATGTAAAAAGATGCCCACTCTCCGTATAATTAAAAATAAGGTGCCATTTTTGTTTAGCAGATTGGTATAAACGATTGATTCTTCCCGGTGATAATGAGGGTATTAAAAAAATGAATACTGTCTTATACCGCTGATGGAGGGGTAATTTGGGGGCGTTTTAGGAGGGGAAGAACTATCTAAAACCTTAAAAGGGGCATAAACTTTGAGAGTTTTACTTGTAAGAGACTATCCTAGTGATATAATTAAACTTCATATTATTTATGATAGTTGCTAAAAGTTGGACAAACCTAATTTCACCAGTAAGAGATTGACTGAATAAATGTGATACCTCTATGTAACTGAGAAAACAATATTAAATGGCCTATTAAATGGGACATTGACATGACATGCCTGTGATAGAGTACCCAGGAGCCAAGTCGGCTTCTCCACTTACAACCTCTGTGACTTTGGTCAAGTTACTGCACTTCTCTGTTTCCCCCTTTTCCTCAGTTGTAAAAAGGAAAATACAATAGTATTTAGTTTGTGGTATTGGGAAGATTAACTAAATTGATAGATGAAAAATGTAGAACAATACCAGGCACTTGGTAAGTACTATAACCTATATTTTGGCTGTTATTATTTTATTAGTGAGGAAAAAAAGTTAAATATCAAGCTCTTTAAGACCATTTATATTTTTCTTAAAGTTTCCTTATGTAGAAAATATTAGTAACATTTATATGTATTAATAATATTCAGGATGATGATTACAAGTGATTTTTACTCTTTTATGCTTATTTATAAGTTCAGAATTTTATAATAATTGTTTGCTAGAAAATGGTAATTTTTTTCACTTTAAAAACTAATGCACAAATAATTCTTCCTAATGGTAGTTTTGGAGTTATGAAATGACTTGTATATGGAATAGGTATAGTTAAGTTTTTAATTCTTCTATTTCTTTTTGTCATACAGCTGAATTCCACGGCCTTTGTAGTAGTGGAGTAGGTATCACTGTGGATGGAAGAGGTAACTCTAGTTAATCTCAACTTTATAATAATCACGTGACATAATCGTATAGCTTTATAATTCTAATATTAATATGAGTATATTTAATATGAAAATGTAGTATTATAAAATAATAAGATTAATTATCTCCTAGAGCAGTGGTTATAAGCTAGATGATATTAAGTGATATGTAGATACACATTTTCATCTTGGATAAATATTTATCTGTTAAATATGCATTGTTAAAAATGTCACTAACAAACTACTCTCCTGATTTCAGTCAGTCATTGCTTAAGAAAAGAATAATGTGACATTTAAGTTAAAAAAAGAAGAATAAGTCAATTTTATGATAAAACATTAAGTAATGGTGCAGATAGGGTTAGAAAAATAAACAGTATTAAAGAGATATTTGATATGGATCAAGTTTGGGATATACTGGCTGAAATAATTTGTTAAGACTATTTACACCTAAGAATAATAAAACATTTCTCTCCAAGTAAAGAAGTAAGATTCACTAAAATTTTTCTTGCTTTCAATTTTGTATTATGGTTAACAAAATTCCAATATAGAATCTTGAACATTTAAGTACATATGTGTTTGTAATTTTCAGATTCTTTTATATTTTAATATACATATAGATTCATTTATACATAAATAAAACTTGGGTGTTATTAATCTTCACTATATATATGAATATGTATATATGAAGAGTATATATAAATATATATACGGTTATATATATATATTTATGTATATTCTTCTACCCTTGTGTTTGAGAAAGCTTTAGTCAAATTATAGATGGTAGGCAGTAATGTTGAATCTTTATAATAAATATCCAAACCAGAGTGAAAAGTAAACTTTTAAAAGGATGTTTTTCCCAAGTATAAAATGAAAGACATTTCCAAAATATTTAAGGTCTCCCAAATTATTGAAAACAATAGCATCAAAATTTGAGCATAGTGACCAAAATTTGACTTTGGGCTTACTCTTTCATTATATTCCCTGTCAGTACAGCCTTTCCAGCAGAGCCAGCCTCTATTGGAAACTACTTGATCATTCATACAAGCACATCAGTGCACAAGTTCCACTGCCCCTCGGTGATATAGTAGTAGTAGTCATGTTCACGGCTCGTTATAAAACGTCATGTTCTGAAGCATCCATGTTTAAAGTGTCCTCTCCAGTAATTTCAAGTATCAGCAATGAGAAACACTTATTAAATATTAGTAACTGGACCTCAAAAATGTAATAAAATAGAAATATCCTGTACCTTTGGGGACCATAAAATTATATGGGCCACCCTAATAAATCTGTCTTTTAGTTAGATGATTACAATATCTATCAACTCGAGTTTTCCTTTGGATTTGGAGCCAACAGCCTATAAATTGTCTTTATTAATGTCATCATAAATGCTGGCATATTTCGTGATTTAACTCTTTGAATTTCTGCCAGCGTCTTTCATTTTTCTTTTGATTTACCAGTGAAGTGTCCTATATCTTTCAGTTTTATTTTCTTACTCCTTGTTTTCAGTTCTTTTTCCTTTCTGAAAGGCAGGCAAATTGTGAGTTTGCAGAGTTAAACACTTCATATGTTGAATGGTCTTTACTAGACCTGCATTTATCAACAAACAATAACATGTTTGTTGATAGCACTAAACTTTCAATATTTAATGCAGATATCAATGAATGTGCTTTGGATCCTGATATATGTGCCAATGGGATTTGTGAAAACTTACGTGGTAGTTACCGTTGTAATTGCAACAGTGGCTATGAACCAGATGCCTCTGGAAGAAACTGTATTGGTAAGTTATTTGTTATATTTATGCAAGAACATTTCATATAGTTTAATCCCATGGATTATATTAGAATTAAAAACACAAATGACTAAAACTAAAAATTGTACAGTTTTTCTTGTTTTCTTCATATTACACATTGACAGGAAAATATCAGAATCAAACAAATTTTGTTACACAGTAACAGACTTCTTGGTGGTACCAATTCGTTTTTAAAATATTATTTTCCGGAATTAACATCCTCAATTATTTGCCTATTGTTTTCCTGCATATACCTTAATCCTGTAATTTTTTACGAAGAATTTGATTTCAAAAATTAACAGGTCAGTATGGATAAAAGTAAGTCAAGAAAATAAAGTGTTACAGGTTGAGAGAATTTTAACTTCATAAAGAAACAACCAGTTGCCACAATATACCTAAACATGACAACTAAGACAAAGGTATTTCCTTTTTTAATTATAAGAGAATGATTGAAAAAACTGAAGTATGTAATTTATGTTTAACAAATGCAAGAGGAGGAGGATGAAAAGGTTTGACAGTCTTATTTCCTATTAGTGCAAGATTTTCCCATAAAGCACTTGAGTGGACTTTTATAAAATAAATGTTATTCAATCCATCATTGTGCATGATAGTTTTACAACTAATCACTTATGGCTTTTACAACCAAGTGTTAATGATTATGATTAGAAAAGGAACAGATTTTTCTGTGTTTCTGGTAGTGGCTTTTACTATTGAACATATTCGTTTGATTTGGAGTTGAAGACATACATACAGATGGATGTAAAAGCTATATTTATATTACGTGCTATAATAGATTTTGATAACTACAGGGAAGAGTACCAGGCAAAGATTATTGAACATTTCTAACAACATGCAAACCATGCTAGTTTTTATTCTCCAGAAGTGAAATCCAGATTTCCCCTTTTCACATGGACACCGGTCATGTTGACTCACAACCTACCCTAACAACCTCATTATAACTTGATTACTTCTATAAAAATCCTATTTCCAAATAAAGTCACATTCTGAGATACTGGGTTTTAAGATTTCAACATATCTTTTTTAAGGGACACAATTCAATCCATAGCTTAGAAAAATGGGTTAAAAAATTGTGATGCAAGCTGGATGCAGTGGCTCACTCCTGTAATCCTAGTACTTTGGGAGGCTGAGGTGGGTGGATCACCTGAGGTTAGGAGTTTGAGACCAGCCTGGCCAACATGGTGAAACCCCCCTCTACTAAAAAATACAAAAATTAGCTGGGCATGGTGGCACGTGCCTGTAATCCCAGCACCCAGGAGGCTGAAGCAGGAGAATCGCTGGAACCCGGGATGCGGAGGCTGCAGTGAGCGGAGACCTCGCCACTGCACTCCAGCCGTGGTGACAGACCGAGACTCCATCTCAGAAAAAAGAAAAGAGAAAAGGAAGGGAAGGGAGGGAAGGGGAGTGGAGAAAGAAAGAGAGAAAGAAAATTGTGATGCAGTCACAATTTGTACACATATTACACTATTATGGGAAAAGCTATGGTAGTCTAGTCCTTAAAATATAATGTTAATTTTTAAAGTATCAAGATTAAGAGTTGGAGCAAAAACAAGATCAAGAAAGGAAAGGGTCAGATAATACACAAAAGAATATTATCAGTGATGATGGAATTGCAGATGTTTTTCTGATCTGTTTTCAAAATCTCCACAGTATCAGTATATTATTTAATAAGGGAAAATTGTTATTTGCAATACTAGAAATGTAACTTTAAGTGAAAGAGCTCTTCACTCTAAACTACAGGGTTTATTTCTTTTTGTCACTAACTACACTTGCAAAAATGGAAGAATATGAAGATTAAAATGTGAGGCCAGGTGCGGTAGCTTATGCCTATAATCCCAGCACTTTGGGAGACCAAGCTGCGAGAATCACCTGAGGCCAGAAGTTCCAGAACAGCCTGGGCAACATAGTGAGATCCCATCTCTAAAAAAAATTGTTTTAAGTTGGCCAGGCGTGGTGGCACATGCCTGTATTCTTAGCTACTTTTGGAAGGCTGTGGCAGGAGGATTGCTTGAGCCAAGAAGTTCAAAGCTTCAGTGAGCTGTGATCGCACCAGTGCACTATAACCAGGGCAACAGAGTGAGATCCTGTCTCAAAAACAAACAAAAAACTCATTGTGGGCTTTTTAAACTGGAGTTTTAGATGATATTCTCTAGGCTGTTCTGGACTGCTAAAAGAGTATGCAAAATACATCATTTTCATTAATAACTGTTTCTGAGATAAAAACATAGTGGGAAAAGATTAATGAATGTCTTTTAACTGCTGTTTAATGCATTTTTTAACCATCTGGGACATGAAGACATAAGGCATTCTTTTTAAAAATTTTAATCATAAAAAATGCCTTCTGTTACTTTTATTATACATAAGCAAGTATACAGGCAAATGAATTTAACCTTTTGATATCTTTTATGAATGCTTTAAAAATATATCTAACATAATATCATTACAGGACTAAAAGCAAGTGAAGTAGAGATGTGCCTTTCCAAGCTAGTGCATACTTTCCAGGGATTTAAAAGCATCTTAAAATTAGCCACTAGCATAAGAATATCCCATTTGAATAAAACTAAATATATTTTGCTTAGGATGAAGAGTGCGCTGTGATACAGAGACTATGTCACAGAGAAGAAAGAGGGAAATAAAACAAATAACAAAATTAAACATTGCTGCCCACTGTAATAGATGCTTAAATATGTGTATCTCCTATCTTTCAATCGTTGCTTTCAGACATTGATGAATGTTTAGTAAACAGACTGCTTTGTGATAACGGATTGTGCCGAAACACGCCAGGAAGTTACAGCTGTACGTGCCCACCAGGGTATGTGTTCAGGACTGAGACAGAGACCTGTGAAGGTAAGAGCTGTCTTCATCGCCTTATTTGTGCATAGTGAGTACCTGGAGTTGTATAAACATCAATTACAGTGATGAAGCAATGTAGTGAAAAGAATATTGTTTGAATATTTTATTTTATAATCTCATTTAGCTAATCTGCCAGTTTTTGAAATAGTAAGGACCTAATACAGTTTACAAACACCATCAATTTTGTTCCACTCAGACAAAATATCAACACACATTTGGAACAAACATTTTAAAGCGGATAAAAAAGAAACCAACTGGAAGGAGCCATATTGTTTTACTTGCTGAAATACAATGTCAAATATTTGTTTACTGTGTTTTCCTCTTTTCAGAACCACTATGATCCATTAATGTAGGAACCTGAATCGTAATGGAAAAGTTAACTCTTAGGCATTTTATTTATGAAATGATTGATATACCCAAGAAGTCAGCCCACAAAATATTTGAGAACTAAGTAAAAATGATAACTTTAATAGGTTTTTAGTCCAAGAGAATTGTCCTTTCCATTTGATAATTTAAAAGTTGTCATTTGAGTTTATAGACCATAACTAGTGTTTAAAAGCTTCTTTGTTTTCTTCTAATCACATATTTTTGCAGTGGAAGTTACTTAAATGAGTTAAATGGTTAGAGAAGTCCTCATTTTCAGTGAGATACTGGCTGAGCAGTGAGTACACTGAATTATGTTTTTGTATCTTGATCAAAGTACTGTATATTTCAGAATAATCTGTGGTATGAATACTAGTCATTGTTCCTGTTTAAATCTCACTGTGTGGGCCTACAGAAGGGTCCCATAACATTCTCAAATCCAATTACTACTTTGTAATAGAAACTTTTAAGAAAAGATTTCATCTTTGATGACTGTGGAATAGCCCTTTTTTTTTATCTGTTAAAGTATTTGGTTTTTTTTTTTGTGATGCCACAGCCAAGAAAACTGCAGTAGTAATAGTATGCAAAAAGATGTAACATTCTCTCTTCATCTTACTGTTTAACTTCAAAGCATTCTTGTGAACAGAAACCAGTTAGGACTATAGAACAAGATGCCAAAACATGAATGACTCTGCTGAAGTCAATGAAATGCAATTACAAAGTGCAGTGCTAACTTTGAATTGAATCAGAGGGGCCACTAAAAAACAGTAATTAGCCTAAAGAAAAAAAAAAGAAAACTTCAGCATAAAATCCCCTTTTTCTAAACTTACTTCTGGTGACAGTTTCCCCTATTGTCCAACATCTTTTCAGGAACTCCTCAAAGAGGAGTGCTCATTCCATTCCCACTGAAAGTACTTGAAGATTTATCTTTTCAGTAGGTGAGAAGGGGACACACTTAAGAGTTTGAAATATCTTTCAATAGGTTATGAGAGTCCTCTTTTTAAGCCAGCTCTGGCTTCTCAAATGTATTCAACTACAGAGTCTCTATTTTCTAGATCCTGCTCCCATCTCTAACACCAATTCTTCAGAAATGCTCTGAGAAATGTACTTTATGAAAAAGTATCCTAGCCATATTTCCTCCATGATTTCCTTGGACAGATGGAAGAAGGGATTTCAAAGGTTTTTGTTTTTCCTGATTTTCTACACTTCCTTCCCGTAGTCTTTTTTCAGTTTTGTCTGTTGTCTGTTGGAGGATAAGCTTCCGTTAAATCTCAGGAAACTTAGAAAGCAAGAGCAGGGTAGGACGTCATCTTGATTTAACTAGGAAACTGATGATTTTTAGAACTGGTTTCTCTGTCTAGGAAAATACTTTCTGGTGCTATTGTGAGAGACACGTAATGCGGAACTAAATGGATAGTGTCTGGTTCTATTTGCTATGTACACTGAATTATCAATGATTATTTATAGACAAGTAACAGAGTACAAAGGTTCTGAGAGTTGAAATACCAAAGAAGGTAAAATCAGAGACTCACCTGCTTACATGAACAGTTAAGAGTAGGAGCTGGTGGTGTTTAATAGTGTAACATTTGGTGATTATGTAAATATTAAGGCACTTTCATACCAAATCAGGCAACAGTGAGGGTTAGAAACAGTGATCTTCACTTATTACAAGCATACTTAATCTGAGAGATTTATTTAATGTAAAAACAATTTTATGTCTGTCATTCATAGGAAAGAAGTTCATGTTATGTAAATAAAGAAGAAATGATAGACAACTCTTTTGGCTCCAGCCTTATGACATTGGAGGAAATAAAAATGATTTATCATGGGAAACCTAACCAAATAACTGTTATTTCTACACTTTCTTCCCACTGTTATTTGCATTTTATTAAGAGTTTTGCAAAGAATAGACTTGAAGGCTACTAATCTCTTTTTCCCTTGGGTCGCTTTCTTATTTCCTCTGTTGCATTCAAACAGTAAGTGTTTCTGTCTGAAGCAGTTCTCTTCATTCTCTTCTTTCTGAATTAATTTCCAAAGACTAGACAGGGAATTATTAGCAGATTCATTGCAAATCTTAGCTTTTTCTTGTATATTTGTCTTGTGCACTAATTTTGTTTGTCAATCATGTTTTCAGAGTATTTTAAATATATAACAAATAGCACTAATAATAAAGAGAGTAAAGTTCTTCTATATTTCAGATTGAAGTTACAGAAACTTTATTTTACTTTTTTTGTTTGAGCTCTGAGAGTCTGTGAAAGTTAAAATTTTTACAGCAAGCACTGTGGTTTAGATTGTGTTTCCAGTGACATAACTAGTTAAATGTAAACCAGATGTGCTTTGAAGTTTATTTCCAGGAATGTACAGTGAACTGTTTCAATTCCTGGTTCCATGACATTTATAACATAACAACATATTATTTAAAGGAAAACTAAATAGTTGATATTTGTAGTTGTCAGCGCATATGTTTATAGTTTCTGAATTCATAATTGCTTAATTTAAAATAGAAATTTTAAAAACACACAATATTGAAATTCTTCTTTTTTCAGGCTTCTTACAAATGAAATTAATAGGAGAATTATATGTGGTCTGTCCTTAGATTTGTTATCTGCTTCTTTTATGGTTAGCTAGTTTCTTTTTTACATTGTGTTTTTATGAAAAAGTTTCTCTACTCGGATTGATGTTTTCATTAGAAATCTGTGCTATATTTACAAAATCTCTTCTTGTATTTTTAAGAGGTTTTCTCAGTATAAACAATCTGAAAAGCAAAATACATTCATATTTCTTCAAACAATTTCTATTTCAAGAATTAAATTAGCACCTGGATATTCCGCTGCGAGCCTTGCTCTTTCAGGATTAGTTTAGTTTAAAGTCCTCTAGTTATTTGTTTATGTGCTTTCCTCAGTATAGTAAAGTGCTTTATAATAAATTCAAAGAAATATTTAGAGAAAGAAAAAGTATTCTTGTGAACCTAGAAACCCCAGTGTTCAATATAAAATGCCTTGAGGACTATTGACCTCTTTCAGATAATTTAGTAGAGAAGGAAAACTGTGTGCCACTTCTTTAAAGTGTACCACTTTAAAAGTGGTTGAATTTATACTGAAAATGTCTTTGATTTTTTTTATAGTACTTTACCTGAAGCTTGTATTTCTTTTTCATTAACTCATGTGTTAAACTATTTCACATTACAGGCTTGACATTTTCTGTAATCACCATTTGAGAACATAGGCATAGTGCAGTTCTGCTTACTTCTGACCATCAACAGGAATTGTTTAGATTATGGTATATGATTTCATTTAGGACTCAAATCAAATAAATGGTAGAGTCCCATTTAAAGCAATTATTTCTACTTGATCAAGTATTTCTAATTTTTATTTTACCAAAATTAGTTGTATTAAAAAAAAACTAAGCAAACTAAACATGTAAATGTGAACAGCTAAAGACAGAGAAGGTGGATAGGGACTAGAGGAGAGTTATGTACCCACCATGAATGTTTCAGTCCTTATTTCCTGATTCATACCCAAGAGCTTGGAATTAAAGCAGCATTGTGATATTTTGCATCTAAGATAGACTTTTTAAGTTTTTCAGAGCCTCATGAAATCATCAAAGCAATCAACCTTTGTTTGTGCACAGGATGTTGCACCTGGAATTGCATCTTATTATGTGGGAAAAAAAAATCCAATTTATGTAAAGTTGTGATGATGTATTGAAGGAGCATGTAACTGAACTCTTTCCCAATAGGCTGATCACTGTGGTCCTACTGAGTTCCCAGTCCTATAGATGTGTATCCACGATGTAAAATGCATGTCTCCATTCCCCATTCACTTTATGCTTCATAGATCCATATTAAAATTACCAGAGCCAAGTTTACCAGACATTCTGGCATTGCATGGCTTGTTGGAATAATATTTTCCAGAAACACATGGCAGTTCTAACAGAATCTTTTCCTTCTGGATTGTAGATATAAATGAATGTGAAAGCAACCCATGTGTCAATGGGGCCTGCAGAAACAACCTTGGATCTTTCAATTGTGAATGTTCGCCCGGCAGCAAACTCAGCTCCACAGGATTGATCTGTATTGGTAAGATTCATACACAATACTGATGCTTCAATTTCACTGCCAAGATAAGCACAGATCTCAGGCCTTACTACGGATAAAAACAGAATATGATTCCAAAAAGCAAAGAATTACACATTATGTTAGTTGTTTTTACTCAATATCAATATAGAGGTAAAACATAATAGCATTAATTAGGCAGCCTATTCAATTTTTGTTAGATTCTAGAAATCTTCCTTTTATATAAGTAGATATATTATGCTATAACTTATAATCATTTCCATACCACACACATATGTATATCCGTTACCCTAAAAATGCCTTGGGCAGCAATATAATCAAATCTCTACTCCATACTTTTTTATAAACAAACTTCAATGGCAAACAAAAAATGTGATGAAATTTGGATTCAGTTAACAGGACAAGAATTTGAAGCTTTTAAACACATAGAGGGAATTTATTATTTTTTCTTTTTTCCATCAATCATAAATTTTGGGGCTCTAAGGAAGAGAAGATAACTGTTCTCTTGCTTTTGGAAATCTCTAGGGGAAATTATTCTAAAACATCTAAACTAACATCTTTCAATATGTCTCAAAACATTTAAAGTCAGTTCTTGATAATGACATGGGATGTATATTAAGGGAGATTGATCTGTTACTGCAAGGAAAAATCCAGCACGTAAAAGGGAACAAAACTGTCCCAGTAATTTTTCCCTACTTCTAGCCTCTGTGGTTCCATTCACTAGGCCTACACAGTTCACATCATTAGCTAGTATCCACCTTTAAAGTGAACTAAATATATATTCCAAATAGGAAGATATTTCAGTTTTACATAGTGCCAAATTAACTGGCAGTTTTTATTATCTAGCCAAAATGAATCTTTAGTTTCATATTTGTCGAAGACAATAGCTTTTTCAGTATTATGTCTGACATTAACCATATTTAGCTGGATGCTAGAGTACCTGTTTGTTACATAAAGACAAATGACCAAGTCCAAAATTATCAATGAAAACCTTCTCTTTGGAAACACCAACTCCTCGTTTCCCAGTGAGGTACAGCTGGTGAAATCTGAGCCTTGTTCAGCTCTTCATATTAGGAAATAGACTGCCATCTGCCTGGGGCATTACTTTTTTTCTTATAGAATTCCGGGCTGGGTTGGGGGGGCGGTGGGGTGTGTGGGTTGGAGCCACTAAAGCAGAAATATTTTTGCTAAGCCACAATTTCCAATTGAGATGGAGTCATTTTATTATGCAAAGGAAATGAATTCAGCATTAATCAATTAATGTCTCAGAAAACTAAATCTGCATGCCACTTGAGCATCAAAGATAGTTTTTGCCTCATCATGTAGACTTCCATTATTTTGGCCTTTTGCCCTTATATTTATTAACTAAACAAGAACAAAGACTTTTTTACCCCCAAGTCTTTATGTCATTCTTCCAATTGCCAACAACTAACCACCACCATATTTTTCTCAGCCAGTGTATTGTGTGCTTTCATTTATTGTGATTAAATTTGAATATCCCAGTGTAGAGCAGCTCAAAATGAGATTTCCCTAATATTTTTAAAGTTTAGACATTATTTCATGTACTTTTTTATTAAAAAGAGAATCTAGTTGAAAAAGAAAATAACAAATAGTAAAATATACACAGGACAAGTCATGAATGTATAATAGGACTGTCAGTGGCTCTCATCAGTGGTTAGCCTGCAACTTTCTCTTCCACAGGTCCAGGTCATTACATTTTGAAATTTCATGATGTGATTACTAATTTAAAATTACATTAGATTATATATGAATTAGTTGGATACTATGAATATTTAAAGATTTAGAATCTATTTTTCAAGCTTTCTAAATATAAATTAATCTTCAACTATTCTGCAAACTGCTTAAAAAGACTATGGTGTTCTGGTTGAATATGGTTAAATGTAATAGAACAATGCATTTGATTAATATTTCCTGCATTATACTGCTGTGGTTTGATGGTTCTATATAATCCAGACCAGTTTCCCTCATCTTTGGCTTGGGTCTGCGCTCTGTCTTCAACTTGCATGGATATATGGCTGTGACCACTCTGCTGTCAAATCCAATGGTCTATTCTCATTCCTCACCTTAGATTATTAGCAGTATTTGTCACAGTTCATTAATCATTCTTTCTCAAGAAATTTTGCATTTTTGGCTTTCCAGGCACAACTATCTTCTTCTTCTTTCACTTTTATGGCACATTTTCTCTTTCCTTTACTGAGTCCTCCCTATCCTCCTAACCTTTAACCTGAAGTGTTCCACCAGTCCGTCTTTGGACCTCTGTTTCTCTTTCTACACTCATCCTCGAGAGCCTCTGTGTTGACTCTCACATTTGTCACTCTAGTTGATAATGAAATTCTAGGCCTCAACCTTGCCACCAATTCCAGATTTGTGTTTCCAACTGTCTGTACAGTGTCTCCACTTGGATGGCTCATCGATATCTCAAATTCCCATGTCTAAAACCAAATTCCTGTGTACTGGCTTGAACCTGAGTCTCCCAGGAACATTTCCATCTCAGCAAATGGCAAATTCATTCTTCTAGCTGCCACCCCTTAAAACCTTGGCAGCATCCTTGATGTCTTTTTCTCAAGCTGTATATGAAAGTCATCAGCAAACCTATTGATTGCACTTGAAGTTTATCCATATTTCAACCCCTTCTCACGATCACCACACCAACCCCCAATCCAAGTCACCATCATTTCTCTTCGTAATTACTACTGTAGCCTCTACCTTACCTTCTTTTCCTCATACTACACTCAGTTCTCCACATAGCCACTAGGCAGCCCTTTTAAAACATAAATCAGAGCATATCATTCTTTGTCCAGGAACTGTGTCTAGGAAATCCTAGGCTTCTCATTTCATTCAGTAAAAGCTCAAGTCCTAACCGAAGCCTGTGCTCCCCTCATGATCTTGCTCCTGCTGTGACCTTGTTTCCCTGTGCCTCCCACCCCCTCAGCCTGAGCCAGACTGGCCTACTTCCTGCTCCTGCGTCAGACACATGCCCACCTGAAGTCCACTGATCTATCTGGCAGGAATGTTTTTCTCTCGGGTTTGCAGGGTTCTCTTTATGTCTGTATTCAGGTGCCACATTGTAAGTCACGATTTCTCTGACCATCCTACATAAAATAACAGTCTTTCTCCTGTTTCTCCCCTCAAGCTAATTACCCTGCTTTATTTTTTGAGAGTTCTTAACTAATTCCTGACTATCTACATCTGTATCTCAGTTGTGTGTGTGTCTGGGGGCCGGGATGGGCATACACACACAACAGTGGGTCAGTGGGGAGACAGGGAGGGAGGATGGAGGAAAGGAATCGGAGAGAGAGAAGGATGAGCCTGTAGGGGGGTGCGGGGTGCTATCAATGGATTTGTAGCTTTTCAAGTGTTGATACAGCACCAGCCTAAAGAATCACAGTGCTACAGAGTGAGGGCTTTGGAGTCAGACTGCATGGGCTTGAATCTTGATGCTGACACTGTACTAGCTGGGTGACCTTGGGTAAATTGGTTGACCTCTGTGTGCCTAAATTTTCTCATCTGCAAATTGTACATAATTCACAGGGTTGTTTTAATGAGTAAATAAATTAATACATAGAAAGCCTTCCAGTTCCTGTCACTATCTTGATAAATCTTAGCAATAACTGTTGTTTATCTTACTTAAAATGATGACAAGGTGATAAATCAGAACTAGTCCAGGTCATTAAAAGATCATTTAAATACACAGTAGCTTTACACAAACATCTCTGTTTCCTCTGTGCTATGGAATTTACAGATGTAAATCTATAACAAGCCTGCAGTTTGAGACCTGACACAAATGCTTCTCTACAGTTTTATCCAAACTGAACATTCCAGCCAGAGTGAAAAAGCAAAGTGACTGTCCAGCTCTTTTTCACACCTTTGCCCTGTAACTTTTTATTCAGTACAGGAGAGAATTGTTTTGTTTCAACCTCTGTCTTGGTGTTTGGGTTGTTGGTAACTTCTTGTGTTTCCTAGGGAATCAGAAATTACTATTTCTGCCATCATAGGCCCATGGTTTAATTGTAATTCCCTTTCTGTGTTTGGGGGCAGGGGGGTATTTTTGTTGTTGAATTTAGAAGTAAAAACTTTTTTTTTTTTTTGGAAGACAGGGTCTCACTGTGTCACCCAGGCTAGAATACAGTGACACGATCTCACTGCAGCCTCTGCCTACGGGGCTCAGGCAATCCTCCCACCTCAGCTTCCTGAGTAGCTGGGACTACAGGCATGTGCCATCACTCCCAGCTAATTTTTGTGTTTTTTGTAGAGACGGGGTTTCACCATGTTGTCCAGGCTGGTCTTGAACTCCTGGGCTCCAGCGATCCGACTGCCTCAGCCTCCCAAAGTGCTGGGATTATAGTCATGAGCCACTGTGTCTGGCCAGAAGTAAATTTTATCTGTACATATTATTAAAATGAATTTTCAAATAAATACTATAGGAATACACTTATTCTTTGTTTTCTTCCAAGTCTTAATGCCACAATATGCTGTTGAGGTTTTGGTAAAGTGTTTTCCACATCACTCACATCAGAATCACCTGAGGAGTTTGTCAAAATTCAGATTCCTGGGCTGCATACCGGGAAACTTATGAATCGGCATTTTAACAAGTGTCTTGGTAATATTATGCACACTTAACTGAGAGCCACTGCTCTACAAGGAAAACATGACATATGATTTGTTTTAGCCAATTAGTATTTGCTATATCAGCTTTGACTGGATTCCTTATCACTGCTTCAAAATCAGTTAACAGTCATTTATTATTTGTTCATTTGAAAAACTTTTCATTATGCCACCAAAAATATACTAACCATTCGTTATTCCCTTTAATCCACATAAAATAAAAATTTTAAAGTGCATAATATTTCACTGGGTACTCTACCATTCAAAAGGAAGAACAAATTTGATGTGGAGTCAGTCTAAAACGTTAGGAATGGTTATCTCTAGAGGGTTACAGGTGATTTTTACATCTTCCTCATACTTCTCTATTTCTTCAAATTGTTTACCATAAGTATGATTTACTTTTTGAACTAGAGATAAATCTACACACACACATACACACATTTTTTAAGTGCCTGAAAGAAAATACATCAGATATTAGCCCTGGGAATGCATTAGTGAGGGTTTTATAAGTGATGTTTATTCCTTCTTCGTTTTATAGGGCTTTTTCTTTTAAATTATTCATCAAATAATTATCTTCAGCTGGAGAAATATTGGCCTTTGCATAACAGAACATACATTGTGTGTGATTTATTTAGTAGGGACTTAAGGTAGAAGGAAAAGGATTTTATACGATAAAATCTTAAATATCAAAGCATTTGTCATTAAGGATATATCTTATGAATACTTTTCACACAAGTGATGGTCTTATCATGTTGTTATAGTATGTTAAAAGAAAAAAAAAAAGAAGGGCGGGGCGCACTGGCTCATGCCTGTAATCCTAACACTTTGGGAGGCTGAAGTGGAAGGATTGCTTGAGGCCTGGAGTTCCAAACCAGACCAACCTGGGCAACATGGCAATGCACTGTGTTTCTGAGTACCAGCATAAAATCTTGGACAACTCCTCTTAGAATATCAATAGATATAATTATATTAATTACCATATTATGTGAGAGAGATACATAGTATAATATTTTATTTACATATATGTAATATACCATATTTGAATGCAGGTACATGAAAGTATTTTCAAAGTATATGCTATTAAAATTTTTTCTTTTTTTTTTTTGAGACGAAGTTTCACTCTTGTTGCCTAGGCTGGAGTGCAATGGCACAATCTTGGCTCACTGCAACCTCTGCCTCCTGCGTTCAAGCGATTCTCCTGCCTCAGCCTCCCGAGTAGCTGGGATTACAGACACCTGCCACCAAGCCTGGCTAATTTTTGTATATTTAGTAGAGACGGGGTTTCACCATGTTGACCAGGCTGGTCTTGAACTTCTGACCTCAGGTGATCCACCTGCCTCGGCCTCCCAAAGTGCTGGGATTACAGGCGTGAGCCACTGCACCCAGCCCCACTATTAAAACTTTTAAAGTATTCTTTTTTTTTTTTTTCCTCTGGTGGAGATGGGGTTTTGCTATTTTCCCAGGCTGGTATCGAACTCCTGGGCTCAAATGATCCTTCCTCCTCAGCCTCCCAAAGTGCTGGGATTACAGGCGTGAGCCAGTAATCTTTCTTTTTTAGAATACTGTAACAAATGCCTTTTGTGTACACAGCTGAATTCTATTTTCTTCAGAGGTAAGAGCTCCCCAACCTTTCCTGTTCCTTTTCAGACAGCCTGAAGGGGACCTGTTGGCTCAACATCCAGGACAGCCGCTGTGAGGTGAATATTAATGGAGCCACTCTGAAATCTGAATGCTGTGCCACCCTCGGAGCCGCCTGGGGGAGCCCCTGTGAGCGGTGTGAACTAGGTAGGAGCCTTATTGGGAGCTTCTGGGCTTCTCCTTGGAAACTTCTCCTGCCACTAGGACACCTCTTTCACTACGCAGTTCCTTAGTGAAGAAGGTCAGAGATCATTTACTTTTGCTAAAATGTTATCTTTCCTGGCTAATGTTTTTTACCTCTTAAAATGTGTATTTGTTTTATCCTGGTACATAAGCAGGCCTTCTAAATATTTTAACATGGAAGGGAATCAGCTAGAATCTATCTGCTAGATGACTGTATCCTCTGGTATCCTTGTTTGCGTGGTGGCTGTTTTCCTCAAATCTTTTGTTTACTTTTATTTTTTTGAGACGGAGTCTCGCTCTGTCACCAGGCTGGAGTGCAGTGGCGTGACCTCAGCTCATTGCAACCTCCACCTCCCGGGTTCAAGCGATTCTCCTGCCTCAGCTTCCCGAGTAGCTGGGACTAGAGGTGCCCGCCACCATGCCCAGCTAATTTTTGTATTTTTAGTAGAGACGGGGTTTCACCATGTTGGTCAGATGGGTCTCCAACTCCTGACTTCAAGTAATCCACCCTCCCAAAGTGCTGGGATTACAGGCGTGAGCCACCGCGCCTGACCTGTTTACTTTTAACTCAGTTGTCAATGTGACAGCAAAAAGAAATTGTAGGAAAAATTATGAGAATCTCAATACAGGTCAATACCAATGGAGTTACCACAGAAAGTCATGTGCCCTACTGAATGAAGAGGGGACAATGATGTCCTTGGACCCTAAGACCCTGCCTTGCATTTTTTATTTAGTTCCATTTAGATTTCATTATACTTCTTCTTGAGCATACCATGGTTGTATTTTATTCTATAATGAAGTAAAATTTGTCCTGTTGTTGTTACAGATACAGCTTGCCCAAGAGGGCTTGCCAGGATTAAAGGTGTTACGTGTGAAGGTGAGTGTATCCTTCCTTGGAAGATACTATACATCTTTTGAGCAGTAAGTAAAATTAACATTCACTCTCAAACTTTGGAGATATTTATCATTTTCAAAAACCTTGACATTTCAATAAAAATACTCGATGTAATCAACAAATGCTTTAGCATAATTCTCTTAGGAAAGAGCTTAGAGTTTCCCGTTTCTCCTCTTTATGGAGTTGTGTAAATTTCATGAAGACATCGCTAGCCTTTAAGGCCCAGAACAGCTGGGAAAGGCACATGTCTGGGCCATGTTTTATGGACAGGCAAGGCTGTGGTAATTTTCACAGCTGGTACCTAGGAAAGCGGGTGGCTCGGTTGTGGAATATTTCTGTTTAACTCAAGTAATAATCCACATTGTATTGAATGTGGATTGAAAATGCTATACAGGAAGTAGGACCACACCTGCTTTTTCTATTTGTAACATCTTTGCTCCTCTGCTTGCTGCATTTCCCTGCAGATGTTAATGAGTGTGAGGTGTTCCCTGGCGTTTGTCCAAATGGACGCTGTGTCAACAGTAAGGGATCTTTTCATTGCGAGTGCCCTGAAGGCCTTACGTTGGATGGGACTGGCCGTGTATGTTTGGGTAAGATTCACACCCTCATGTATTCTATGTATAAAACAAGCCATGAATTTCCTTGTTTAAGCAGTGGCTAGTCCAAAACCACAAGAGTTTGTACTTGAGAAAACTTGCTTTAAATGAGATATTTAGGGGGAAATCACTAGAGGCTGTTTTAAAAGTGAATGTATTTATGCGAAATTGTTTCTGTTTCATGCCAAAAGTTGGGACTGCTCAAAAATCTATCTCAAAATCTTCCATTTCTTTAACCAGATAATTTAGACAGGTTCAGTCTTTCACACTGAGTTAATAGAGTAAGAATATGTTGAACACAGCAGGAAAGTTGGAGACTAGGATTTTAAAAGTTTACATTTGTCAGCTCATTGCAGCTACACCCTGAAGACAGTGGGGAAAGTCAAGAGCAAAGATATGTTGCTTCTGCTTGAAATCATTCACTGATCCTGGTCCTTCCTTTATTGCTATTAGAGTTTAAGTTTTCTTAATAGTTTATTTTTTAAAGATCTGTAGTGATGAATCTCTTTCTTTCAACAGCATATTATAGGAATAGTGATTTGACCTTTTTCTTTATTAGTGTCATGTTTGAACTTGAATTTCATGATTGAAAAAGAAATTTCTATTAATTTTCATTGTATGTAACAATAATTTTTCATTTACCTACAGAGATTTTTTTTCCCCCAATAAGCTATGGAACAGTAAATTTTTAGTTTATAAAAGAACTTTACATAGATTTGTATTTGAAATTTAGACATGTAGACAAAGCATAAATAATAGTGGTGGTGTATGCAATCACCTTTAAAGTATTTACATATCAGTGATTTTTAAAATTTACTGTAAGAAAAAAGTTTGCAATACCATACAGTTATTATAATTAAAACAGATTTCATTTTTAACTCAGTTTTTGATAGCACATTTAAATCTGGATTGGAAGCATGACTGTAAAATCATACAAAATTATTTAGAAAACATAATATCCAAAGTACAAAAATAAAGAAAATGTCTTTCAGATTTTTAAATATTTTAAAAATTATCTTTAAGTGATCTACAATGTTTAGAAATAAGTATCATTTGAAAATGACAAAATATTCCCCCAAAACTATCGAAATTTTAAAAAAAGAAAATGTCAAAAATAATAATATCAGTATGGCCAAATGACTAATGAAATCAAGTTACCTTCTATAATGAAATGCTATAATATATGAAGATATATCATTGATTGTAAATTATTACTCAGCAAAATAAATTTTCAATAACATTATTCAAAATTATGGCTGGGAGTGGTGGCTTACGCCTGTAATCCCAGCACTTTGGGAGGCTGAGACAGGTGGATCACCTGAGGTCAGGAGTTCAAGACCAGCCTGGGCAACATGGGGAACCCCCCCCTCCCCGTCTCTACTAAAAATATAAAAATTAGCTGGGCATGGTGATGCATGCCTGTAATCCCAGCTACTCGAGGGACTGAAGCAGGAGAATCGCTTGAACCTGGGAAGTGGAGATTGCAGTGAGCCGAGGTCGCACCACTATACCCTAGCCTTGGCAACAGAGTGAGGCTCTGTCTCAAAAAAAAAAAAGCATTTTTTAATATTCTAAGATGATATATTGGATTCTTCATCCTTGTACTTTGCTTAAATGCTTTTGTCACCACTTGAATTATGCTATATTAATTAATTCTGTCTGGGGATGTGAGAAAGTTTCAAGAAGCAACTGGCACATGAAAATGTAAAGTATTCTGAGAACTAAAGTTTTGGTAAATGCTCTGATAGAACCTCATCTGAATCAGGGATCCCAAACTCAGATGCTTGCAGGAGCCAAGCATGTAACATATAAATGAGTGACGCGACAACAGGGAGCAGTGGGGACTGCAGCAAACTTCAGAGAACATGGACCATCCAAAGGTTTCCAAATTCATATTTTAATTTCCATGCAAGGACAATCGCAGCATTGATAGGCCTTATGTGGCCAGTGTACTGACGTTTAATTCCTGATATAAATATAGAGTTCTCAGTAGTGTGCTGACTTTTAATTGCCGATATAAACATCCATAGAGGTCTCAGTATTAAAGACAGGATTGCTCTTCCTGGCTGTTATAACTTTTTACATGCATAGTTCAGATGCCTTTCCCCTCTCACCCTAGTTTATTCCAATAAGCTATGAAATGGTACATTTTTAGTTTGTCTTGAGCTTCTTGAGCAGGTTTCTTCAGTAACCTCACAGTATGACTCAGGCCAGAGTTCTTAGGCCACCTGTACTTATATAAGACTTTCACATCTTGAGAAGATTCTTACTTAGCTGCTGACATATGGGACGGAACCAGCTATAAGGAGACTAGCCCCTCAGAGCCCTGTGATAATGAGACGCTGGATTACTATCACACTTCACACTGGCAAAGCATGTGGCTTTTTGGTTTGTGTTAATGTAGATATATAAGACAGAATCACCTTCTGTAGATATCTACATTCAGTCTGCTGAATCAAAATAAACATTTACCACAGTTATTTTTTCCTTAAAAATAGGACTTTTTCTCAGGTAGCTGGGATTACAGGTACCCAGCACCATGCCCAGCTAATTTTTGTATTTTTAGTAGAGATGGGTTTTCGCCATGTTGGCCAGGCTGGTCTCGAACTCCTGACCTCAGGTGATCCAGCTGCCTCAGTCTCCCAAAGTGCTGAAATTATAAGCATGAGCCACCACGCCACACCTGGTCTGGGCAACAGAGTGAGACTCCATCTCAAAAGAAAGAAAGAAAGAAAAAAAATAGAACTTTTTAATTCCAGTACTCAGAAATGTAACTCATTACCTTTTAGAACTTGAAAGAATCAATATTGACAGTAACTAAAGTAGTAAACATTAATTTTTATGTGTACATTTCCATCAGGGATCTCATTCCCTCCGTTAGACAGTTTTCAGCTTCTGGAAAGGATTTAATGTCTTAAAATGTTCTTATCAAAGAAATCATGCTATTTGATTAAGGAACCGTTTCCAAACTCATTATCCATATTTGTAATTAAACAGCCAAGTGCTTTAGTATGATTTGAAAATAAATCTATTTGCTAACAGATGAACATGTTATTTATAGACCATTCTGGTCTACTCTATTTTTAGATGTAGGCGACTGTTTATAGATATTCTAAGGTCCTGGCTAGCACAGGCTAAGCACTGAAATGTTGGTCTGTTTTGAAGTTGGAGGGAAAATGTGACATTTAAACAAATAATTGGTCCCTTAAAACGGAAAATTCACATAATCCAGGGAAAAACCATGATGCAAAAGGTAAAGTTGGCAGGAGAAAAAAAAAAACTTTAAATGTAATAATATTATAACACTTTCTTTTGTAGTGATCTTAATAGTTGTAACAAATTGGCAAATAGATTATAGCCGATCATTTACTGTTTATGAATGGGATCTGACAGGGCTGCTTAAAAGGCACTTGAAGCAATTCTCTGAACAGGAAGAATTATCATTAAAATTATCTTACCTTTTCTAAAGTGAACAATACAAAAAAGGAGTAATAGACATGAAGCAGTCATCTCATGAGAGGACCTTTTCTTCCTGAGGGTTTCTTGTGAGAATTAAGACTGAAGAGGATCTCACCTTTGTTCTCCTTAAATGACTGTCATTATGGAGTCCATTCCAGGAGGTCAGGGACTGCATCTTGCCCACCAGTACACCGCAAGGGTCCTGCATGATGCCTGGTGCTGAGCAGACGCTTGACATGTGACTGTTCAATGGATGTTTCAACTCATTCTCACCCTGTGATTTCGTTCTCGGTGTAGATATTCGCATGGAGCAGTGTTACTTGAAGTGGGATGAAGATGAATGCATCCACCCCGTTCCTGGAAAGTTCCGCATGGATGCCTGCTGCTGTGCTGTCGGGGCGGCTTGGGGCACCGAGTGTGAGGAGTGCCCCAAACCTGGCACCAAGGAATACGAGACGCTGTGCCCCCGCGGGGCTGGCTTTGCTAACCGAGGGGATGTTCTTACTGGGCGGCCATTTTACAAAGGTAACTGCCTGCGGCCAGCGCCTTGGTCCTTCTTCACCAACAGGAAGCCTTCCACATTCTCTGAGAATTGGTTTTGCTTTAAATGTTTGACTTCCCACTTTATTTTCTCAGTTAAACTTAGGTTTTGTGACCAATGTTCTGTCCCAAGAGTATAAATCCCCTATAAGATGGCATTGAAGTAAAGAGATAAAACAGATTGCTTATCTTTCTCTTCTACTCTTTGTTCCTCTGCAACCGGAGATGTCGCCCTGATAGCTACATCTGTAGCAAAAAGTTACCTATTCCCACTTATCTTTATAAAACAAGTAGTGAGAAATAAAGGAATCAGAACTCTTTCTTAAGCATATAGAATCTTTGGCCGGGCGTGGTGGCTCACGCCTATAATCCTAGCACTTTGGGAGGCTGAGGTGGGTGGATCACCTGAGGTCAGGAGTTCAAGACCAGCCTGACCAACATGGTGAAACCCCGTCTCTACTAAAAATACAAAAATTAGCCGGGCGTGGTGGCTCGCGCCTGTAATCTCAGCTACTCGGGAGGCTGAGGCAGGAGAATCGCTTGAACCTGGGAGGTGGAGGTTGCAGTGAGCCAAGATTGTGCCATTGCACTCCAGCCTGGGCAACAACAGTGAAACTCTGTCTCAAAAAAAAAAAAAAAAAGAATATAAGATCTTTTTCACCATATTGAAACTTCCTGTGTGATATCAGTGTGATCACTGAAACATTTAGTAGCCCTGTTTTTTACTTGGATGCATTACTGTTGTCCATCATGATAGATTTTTAACTTAAAGTGATGGACCTAATCGTTTATATCAACCGGCTCTACATTCTGGCTTCATTCTGCTTTTAGACATCAATGAATGCAAAGCATTTCCTGGGATGTGCACTTATGGGAAGTGCAGAAATACAATCGGAAGCTTCAAATGCCGTTGCAATAGTGGCTTTGCTCTAGACATGGAGGAAAGAAACTGCACGGGTAAGATGGTTCTGCTGTTTTATTTGATAAACTCTGGCTGTCTTTCCTTTACTCTGTTTGAAAGGACTGCCCTAAAAAGCTAATCCTCTCATTGAGAACATGAAAATTTTTATTTATTTATTAATTTCTTTTTAGAGAAAAGGTCTCACTTAGTCGCCCAGGCTGGAGTGCAGAGACATGATCATGGCTCACTGTAACTTCAAACTTCTGTTCTCAAGTAGTCCCTCCACCTCAGCCTCCCAAGTAACTGGGAGCACAGGTGTGCGCCACCATGCACAGCTAATTAAAAAGTTAATTATTTATTTATTTATTTATTTTAAGAGATGGGGTCTCACTTTGCTTCCCAGGCTGGCCTCAAACTCCTGGCTTCAAGTGGTCCTCCTGCATTGGCCTCCCCAAGTGCTGGGATTACAGGCTTGAGCCACGGCATCCAGCTCTGTAAATTTTTTAAATTTCTTTTCTCTACACTTAAACCAGTTCTCCAAATAAACTCGTTGTGAGAGAACTGCAAAACATCATGAAAATGCTGTTTGTTTTATATTTAGGAACAGCATACAAATATGATTTTCAAAATATATGACTACTAAAGAAATACAGTCATTAAATCCACAAGAATTATATAAACTTGAGTAGTGTTCTCTTAAAGATTTTAAGGTTTGTGATATAGAAGTTATTACTTCTTTTCCTCATCTGTGAACAGGAATCTTAATATTAGTTTTCAGTCACCATCCATACCCATAACATTCTCTTTGAACAAGATGTGAAGTTCTAACTTTTTCTATTAGTATACCATGTTGTTCCAGACCCTTGAGCTGTGTCTTCAGGATCTCGTTCTCAGCACTCTCTTTGTTCGTATTCTCCATGGGATTTCCCCTTATCGCACTCCCTCCTGCCTGCTCCTTCTTCCTGACCTCACGGCCACATCTTTCTTGGCTCTTTCCTGTGCCTCCTCAGCCAAGGCTATCTCTGAGCTTTTCACAGCTGTCCATCTGGCTTTCTGAAGTCCTGCTGCCTTGAAGTCTGCTCAAGCCCTGTGCCAGTCTCCAGAGCTTCATCCCCTCACCTGTTTTCTCCACTCTGGCTGTTGCACTTGGCTGGGAGAGTCTGAGGAGTGCTGCCTGAGATTACTGCATTCACCTCCAAGTCCTTGAAGCTGCTTGACAACACTCATATTCACCTCCATTCATCACTTTCTGAATTCCTCTCAGCACTGCTTCTAAACCTCTTCCCTGACTTACATGCCCTCTCCTCTACCCTCCACCCCCATCTATTACCGTTCTCCTTCATTGAGAATAAATCTGATTGCCTGCATCCTTCTCACACAGCCTCCTCTCTAGTGATAACATCTCCTTTATCCCGCTGGGCATGGTGGCTCATGCCTGTAACCCCAGCACTTTGGGAGGCCGAGACGGGCAGATCACCTGGGGTCAGGAGTTTGAGACCAGCCTGACCAACATGGAGAAACCCCGTCTCTACTAAGAATACAAAATTAGCCGGGCATGGTGGTACATGCCTGTAATCCCAGCTACTCGGGAGGCTGAGGCAGGAGGATCGCTTAAACCCAGGAAGCGGAGGTTTTGGTGAGCCGAGATCGTGCTATTGCACTCCAGCCTGGGCAATGAGAGCAAAACTCCATCTCAAAAAAAAAAAAAATCTCCTTTATCCCCCACTCCCTCTCCTCCGGTGACAGAGAATGAGGTGTGATGCTCTACCTGGATTTGGGGTTAACTCCTCTTTTCCCTCCTTCCCAGCTCCTGCTCTGGGTTGTCTCAGCAGGTTCGCTCCTCTCTCCTCTCTCTAGCATCTCCTCTTCCCTGCTTCCTGTTCCTCAACTTATACACAGGTTCAAAATATCTCCTCAGCCCTTCTTTTCTCTCAAGCTACCATCCCGTTTTCCTGCTGGTAAGTCTCACCCCTCTCTTTCAACCAGCCATTTGTCCTGTAATTTTGACTTTTGCCCTCTGTCACTCAGGCACATACATGTATACTCATCTACTCTTGCAAAACATCTTTGTGGTGTTAAAACATCTCTCCTGGACCTCTGCTTGCCAAATCTCTCCTTGAGATTTTCTTTTCTCTTAGTTTCTGTGGTATTTTCCGGTCTTGATCATCCTTCTATGCAGATGATGTTTCTTCTCTAACCTCTACAGATTCTTCTTGCCTTTCCCATTTCTTGGGTGTTGCCAGAGTCCTCTACTCAGCGTCTTGCCTCTCAGAGTTTCATCTACCATCATGACTTCAGAGATGGCCTCTGCTGAGCTGACTCCCAGACCCTGTCTCTAACTCTCTCTGTTCTTCCTGAGTTTCACTCCCACATTTATAACTTCCCATCTGGAAAGTTTGTCTTTGTTTTGATCTTTCTTTGCTCTTCCCCCTACCCTGTACTTTATCCTACTAGGGACTTCCCTGTATGCATTAGGAGTATAATTTTGAACAGGATTGAAGCCTCCAATTGAATTTTGATGTCTCTCTCTCCCAAAGTGAAAAAGTTATGCGAATTCTTTCATTAAACTGGCTATTTCAATTACCTGTGATATTTCTTCAGACAGAGGCAGGTTAAGCTCCTCAGGAAACAGACTCCAAGGCAGAGAAGAGCATTCAGGAAGTTTATCGGGGCTTGCTCCTGGGATGAACAATGAGGAAGGGAAGGGAGGAAAGCAGAAGTGGGCAGAGAAAGAAATGGGGCTATGATGCAGTCCCACTGAAGTCCTCAGCCCATGCCACTGGGAGTTCTGGAACTGGGATGGCCCATCAGAGTTGCCTTGAGTAGGGCATGGAAGCCATGCAGTTAGGTACCTGCAGGACCAATCTTGGGATACAGCTGCCCAGGGAATGGGGGAAGAGGTCCTCTTAGAATAGTGGGCATCTGAGGGCTTTCTGCCAGCGACACTACCAATAGCTGACGGGGAGGGGGAGTAAGTCCTTCTTTCCTGAAGAGGGACCTGGGTGACATGTCACAGTATCTACTGTATCACAGACTCCTCCAGGATCTCCCAACCTGTTAAGTTCCCACGGTCAAATCCTTCACTGCCACAACCCAGGTTAACCATCCAAGCAGGGCTGGATTGTGTAACTTCCCACTGAACAACTTCCACTGGTATAGGCAATCCTGGTGCTGGATAAAGAAGCTCAGGGTTCTTCCAGTTCTGACCCCACCTCTTCCTTTGTTGTGAAATTAGCCAAAGTTGCTTAATGTCTCTAACACATTGACAGGGCTGCATTGCTCTGGATATACTGTGAAGTTCTGTGGAAAATTGTTGGCTCTCATCTTCACAGCAGGAAGGGCCGGTCTCCTCCCATGCTGGGGGCTTTTAGTAATCCTACCGGTCCGTCCTGTACCCACACTCATTGTCAGCCTCTCCAGTCCAGCCAATCTGTGGCTTACTGCTCCCTGAAATGCTTCCTTTCTCTTCACCGGTGCGCTTCATCTCTTGCCTCTCTATTCTGTATCTTTAAAGCTAGCATTTCTGTACAACCTTCAAGAACCAATTCAAAAGCCACACCCTCCAAATTACCCATTCTTAGCAGAGAAGTTTGCATATATATATAGAGAGAGAGAGAGAGAGGGAGAGAGAGAGAAAGAGAGAGCACTTTCTATGAGACAGGCACTGTTCTCAGCACTTAACAAATAGTCATTTAACTCTATGAGGTGGATTCTATGACAAATAAGGAAATTGAGGCACAGAGAGACTAAATGATTTTCCCAAGGCCCTGTTCTCAGTAGATGACAGACTGGGATTTGTAGCCAGGTATCTGGTTCTAGAATCCACACTGTTTATACTATGAAACTCCCACCACATCACATTAGCCAAAGATTGTCCCTGCTCCACCCTAGAACACATTCCTCATATGACTCTTAACACCAGTCCTAGATACTGATAGATAGAAAGAAAATTAATATACATATTGTTAGCTACTTAATTGAATCAATAAATTCTGTTAATATGTTTGTTTAAAAGAAAGTATTTACATTTTTTTCACATGGCCAGTAATGAGGGAAATAAATAAAGACTCCTGTAATTGGAGAAATAAATACAGAAAAACTAAGTAAAAGCTGGCAGAAAGCAGAGACTGAGACCCCCCTCTCAAGAGAACATGCACAAATTATGCACTAAATCCTGTGATTTTAAAACTTCAAAATTAAGTTCATCAAAATAAAGAGATCGTAGTGGGGCATTTTTCCCCACTGACAGATTTTTAGATTAAAAACTTTTGATTTTTGGACTAAAACATTTGTAAATAGGTCATGTTTTCTTAAACATATTTTATATAGACATGACTTCTCTATTAAAAATCTTAGTTATAAGCATAGGAGATTTCTCAGAGAACCCTGTGTTTGAGAATATAGTTGCTGAAGATTATTTACTGTAATATATAAAAAGAGGAAACAAACTCACCCACACAGTCCTCAGGTGTTGGTGACAGCTCATGTCACCAAAGGGCTTACTAAATCAATAAGCTCTTTACATCTGAATATGACACAAAAACACAAATTGGGGCACACACCATGGCCCTGCCCTATGTGTGCTCTCTGGCTCAGGGTTGGTCCGTCGTGGCTGCCTGTCTCTCTGGGGTTTGCCAGTCCCTCCTGCACAGAGACAGGGGCCCTGCCTTCACATGCTGCGACCTGGGGTGGCATGGGCTAGTGTAGTAGACCAGCACTGTCTTCCAGTCACACATGAGGTTTCATTCCATGGGGGCCTGGCTGCCTCATTTACCACCTGCCTCATTCAGCCCATACCACAGTTGCAGGGTTCATCCTTCTGTTAACATTTCTTTCTTTTTCTTTTTCTTTTCTTTTTTGAGACAGGTTGTCCCTCTGTCACCCAGGCTGGAGTACAGTGGTGCCATCATACATCGTAACTCCGTGCAGCCTTGACCTCTTGGGCTCAAGCAATCCTCCCACCTCAGCCTCCCCAATAATTTTTTTTTTGTAGAGATGGGGTCTCCCTACATTGCCCAGGCTGGTTGCAAACTCCTGGTCTCAAGCAGTCCTGCCTGGGCTTCCCCAAGTGCTGAGATTACAGGCATGAGTCACCATGCCCCCCTTTTCTGTTACGATTTCTAAGCCACAAAAACAAATACACAATTCAGAATTTTTAAAGGTGAAAAGGCACCACTTGCCTGTTGGCATGGCAGTTTTGGCAGTTGGGGAAAGGAATGTGCCTCAGGTCCCAGGCCCTTCTATCTGGGTCTACTGAAAACATACCCTTGTACTGTTAGCCAGCAATTTCCCCAACTTTTCAAGCATGCAGCACCTTCGCTTGGAAGGCCAAGTCTATCTCATTCAATTTTTAAATTTCTTTTAAACCCTGTGAATTAGACATCGACGAGTGCAGGATTTCTCCTGACCTCTGTGGCAGTGGAATCTGCGTCAATACACCGGGCAGCTTTGAGTGCGAGTGCTTCGAAGGCTATGAAAGTGGCTTCATGATGATGAAGAACTGCATGGGTAAGCACCGTGAGCTCTTCCTCGCCAGCTTGAAACCATACTAGCACAGACTCATTCGTGCGCATGACCTTTGCTTATCTCTGGGCTGTGAACGGCATGTGTGGCCAGCATCTGTGGTGAGAGAGAGAAGAGATTTAAATGTCAGACAGGAAATGCGCTCCTGGATAGCTCTCGGGGAGCCCCAACCTCTTGGCGCCTTCATGGCAATGAGATACTCAGATTGGATCCTGTTTATTCATAGAATCTAAAATCACACAGACTGTTTATTTAGGTGGGACTACTTTAAAATGCATGGCATCGTGTGGTGGCCCCAAGATTTGTATTCAGTCATGCCAATCCCATGTTATTGCTCTTATTTGTGTACTATTACAAACTCTTTTGGTATTCCCAACCTTTTAGCCCACTGTTTAATTTTCAGTATGATATAAGACCTACCTCATAGGATATAGTAGGTTATAAGTCTAAGATTCTCCTTCACCCTGATTAGCGTTACAGACACCAGGATAACTGACAACAATATATCATGAGTCCGTGGTGATATAAAGCAAATATTATGTATTTCTACCCCTTGTGAGCCTGCTGATTTCATGCAATTAAATTTCTTGAAAGCTTACTACCTTTAAGAGTAGAAATTTTAGTTTTTCTGTTGGTCGTAGGAAAAGTGAGGAAAGCGTTATCCCATCTCCTATGAAGCATCTCTCTTCCACTAACTCACACTCTCACATCAGATAATATTCTTTCTCCCACGCTGTATGTGTGAATATTTTTCCCTCAGAGTTCTTTAATGGATCTCACGTTTTTACCTTTCAGACATTGACGAATGTGAACGTAACCCTCTCCTTTGTAGGGGTGGCACCTGTGTGAACACTGAGGGCAGCTTTCAGTGTGACTGCCCACTGGGACACGAGCTGTCACCATCCCGTGAGGACTGTGTGGGTGAGTTTATCTCCTCAGCACATAAACCTGCCCAGCACAACTGGTAAAGACCAGGGATCAGTTCTGACAAACCTGTTGTTTGAGGAGCACATGAAATCTAGCTTATTAAAAGGTGGAAATTGAGATTCCCTACATCTGGATGCAGGCTGTGTCTTTAGTGGATGCTTGGGTGACACACTCGAATAAGCTGGCATTCTTCTGGTTGGCCTCTTTTTTTATAACAAGCCACGTGATTGGTCCCTGTGTGAGGAGCCCTGTGGAAGTCCTTGTGGTCTCATCCTCCATTAGGAAAAAATGGGAAAGCTACTGTGTGCGTTGTGCACCTTTGCCCAGCGTCTTCCCATCCACTCGGCAGACTCCGCTCTACGCCCCTGTGCCTGCTCACGATCGGCTTGCACATGTGTGAACATGGCGCTCCCTTAACCCACTTCTCATGGAAACACTGGGTTTCCTCATTTGCCCTGAGCTCTGTAGGGCTGCCAGAAAGGATATGAGAAGACTAATGACTGGTCTTTGGGCGTTGCAACCTATTGCTTTTCACAATACATGAAGATCTCTGGACTTACTATGTTCCTAGTATACTGGCTTTAAAACTTTGTTTTAGCCAGAAAGCATGTTCTTCATAGGAACTCTTTCTTAAAACCGTAAGCAAATAAGACAGCCTAAAATAGAACAGATTGCACACCAAATTTCAAAACATAATTTGAGCACACCTTTCCAATACACATATATTTATTTATAAGCCTTATGTATTGCTTTGCTAGTATATGAGGTGAATTTTGTCATAGATAAATAGATATTTTAAAATGATAAATGAAAAGGTTTTTATGTTCTTATTTCATTTTAATAGCGGTACAAAAGGCTTTTTCACACTAATAATTGCAGAATATTTATTCATGGTTGAACATATTGAGGTATAATGAGTCACAGATCTAAGTTTACTTTGTTATTTAGTTTTCGTGGATCTTACAGCTTAAAAACGTATCCCCCAAAGGAACAATGCAGAATATAAAATATATATTTCTGTATAATATACACTTAGTGATCATAAGCATAAACCCATGCCATATAATCTTCTTGGTTATTTTGAGAATTTGGAATAAATTTCTTGTTATATCTGATTATACTGTACTGTTTTTTACCTTACCTTATACCTGACAAGTAGTTTACATAAGGAAGTGTATCACCCTGCCATTTTCTTCTGTTATCTTGTGATTACATTATTGGTACTAGTTTATTTTTAAGGCACCTGCCCATATTATAGGGGTTAGTTTATTTTTAAACAGGCAGTGTGATTTGTAGATTACTATCCCGACACACAAAACATAACACAGTGTAAACAATTAAATACATGAGGGCCCTATTGTCATGCCTCTGTCTTGTGGAACCATCAGTCTTCCATCAGTATACTTCAAATCATGTAGGCAACACTTCACCATCTAATATAGACCAGGTGAGCGTGCCAGTGTAAGTTCATATATTAAGTAGTATTTAGCTTCAGTTCTGGCATATGTGAAATCTGTGTGGTCTAACATGATAGTCACTAGCCATATGTGGCTATGTAAATTCAGTTAAAATTAAATAACATTAAATATTCCTTAGTTATACTGTCCATATTTCCAGTACTCAGTAGCACATGCAGCTGTGTATTAGACCGCATAGATTTGGGAGCAGTTGCATCATTGTAGAAAGCTTTACTCAACAGTATTGTTGTAGATGGAAATAGAGAATCCAGCATTTTCTTTCAATCCCCCAGGAGAACATTTTACTTCCTCGTGAAGTACACAAACCCCTTTGGAGACCACTGCTCTGGTGAAGCACCTTTCTGATGGCTTTAGTGAGTGGACATTGTGTAAAGCATTACTTCTGTGTATCTTTTATAGATATTAATGAATGCTCCCTGAGTGACAATCTCTGCAGAAATGGAAAATGTGTGAACATGATTGGAACCTATCAGTGCTCTTGCAATCCTGGATATCAGGCTACGCCAGACCGCCAGGGCTGTACAGGTAAGGGGAGACCAAGCAGGCCTGAAACTCATATGTCTCAAATCAGCCTAGGAAAACTTTTGGCGCTGAATTATAATGAAGGCTATGCAAATCCTTTGTCCCAAAAATGAATGTAAGACTAGGGGCAGATCTCAGTTATTGTGTGATCTTGCAGCAGACTCACTCATCTTAATGTAGAAAATGCTCTAATCCCCATAGTTCTTCTATTTCTGAGTTAATCTTAGGGTACTGCACTTAAACATGGAATGCTGCCTAAAATGAAGGTGAAAGAACTAAGAAAGATAATGTTCAATCAACACACATAGTGGGGAGAAAAATTCAAAGCCACATTAGCATTATCTGTTTAAAAAGAAGAAAACTCCTTTTAAGGAAGCAGACCTGACAATGTGGTTGCAATGCTGTTTTCACAGATATTGATGAATGTATGATAATGAACGGAGGCTGTGACACCCAGTGCACAAATTCAGAGGGAAGCTACGAATGCAGCTGCAGTGAGGGTTATGCCCTGATGCCAGATGGGAGATCGTGTGCAGGTATAGAAAGGAAAACACACAGGTTTTGTACATCTAACTAATTTTTTCTTGAAAATATGGCTCCAGATATTACCAAGTGGAACCAGATAGAAAACAAAAACATTTGAGATTGATGAACGACATTTTTATTTTCATTTGATGCTAATTTTGTATCATCAGACATTGATGAATGTGAAAACAATCCTGATATCTGTGATGGCGGCCAGTGTACCAACATTCCTGGAGAGTATCGCTGCCTCTGCTATGATGGCTTCATGGCTTCCATGGACATGAAAACATGCATTGGTGGGTATCATAAGAAAGGATAAACATTTATACACACACATGCACACACACCCACATGCACACACAAGCGTGATAAAAGGAAGGCTTTTTCTGTTGTTATTTTAAAAATTCAAATCATTTTACTAGAACTGTAAAATCTCAGGAAGAATTACTTTTAAAAATGTCTAAAGGCAGGTTGTATATTTATCTATAACACGATGATTTGCGGATGGATTATATTTTAGATCTTGCCTGTGTATTTCAGTATTATGCTATTCAGTGTAGAAGATAGCTTTTAAATTACTGTGATGAGCACATACTAAGATATTGAAAATAAATTTTCTAGATGTCAATGAATGTGACCTAAATTCAAATATCTGCATGTTTGGGGAATGTGAGAACACAAAGGGATCCTTCATTTGCCACTGTCAGCTGGGTTACTCAGTGAAGAAGGGGACCACAGGATGTACAGGTAGGTTTCAAGCTTGTGTTCTCTGTATTTCAACTTCTCAGATGTCAAAGGCCAACTTTCAACATCATTTGTTCTCTGGCATCTCTTAGAGCGGTTACCTGCCACCAGACTGTGACTGTGTGTGTGATGAGTGTGTGACCTATAGGATGTGTGATGGATTTGGCTGGTCTCTGTGGTAGCACGCTGTCTGAGCCACCCACCGTGGGGCTGGCTGTGGGCTGTGACAGAGTGAGTGAGTAGGAGTACAGTCTGGTTCCCATGGCCCTGACCACTTATGGTCGTTCATGCAGCATCAGTCACTTTCTGAGTATGACTGCTGCCCGCTTGGAAGACATTCATGTACAAAGAGCACCAAAAGACCCGAGGATCCCGGTTGCCATTTACCTCTGCACTTCTTTTAAACTAGTAAAAATTAATCAAGTTTCATTGAGACTCTTTCCCTTTCTTCCTTTCTCCCATCTTTTCCTTTCTTGTTTGCTCTTCTGTTTGCTTTTGTCTTCTCTTCTCTGTGCCCAAATTGCCTTTCTCTTTTTCCTCTCTTCACTTTCCTTCTTTGCTCACTTTGCTCACTTTGTCTTTTGTTCCCTTTCTCTACTACTACTACTAACTAGTTTTAGCCTTTTGCATGCAGGTGGGGCTAGGATGTGCCGGGGTCAAGGTTTTGGATCACGTATTCCTCAGTGCACAATTTAAGACTTATGTGTGATATTTTTTCAAGGCAGGTGGTGGAAGACTTAAGAGTCCAACCCAGCCCTTAAGCTGACCCCTCCAGTAAGGGGCAGATTATAAAAGAAGGTGTTCTTTGCATGTTCACCACTGACAGGGTTGATGTGAAGCCAGTAGTGTGTGTGTGTGTGTGTGTGTGTGTGTGTGTGTGTGATTTCAGCATCTATAATATGTAATCGTTGAACTAGATAGAACACATTACTATTTATAGTCAAGAAAGCTTTGGAGAACCAAATCTACATAGGTTATACATACATATATAGGGATATGTGTGTGTGTATACAGACACACAAATACACACACACACACACGCACACACACACACTGGCGAAAGCATCTGGCTACTTTCCAGATAACATTCCCAGTGAATATTTTTCTATAATCTCAAATAAGTAGAAGAAATAAAAATATACACCTAAATGAATAGTTTTTTTTAAATTCTGTAAAATATTTATATTGATTTTTTAAATGACAAATGATCATGTAATTTTAAAGAGAATAAACTATTACTTTTTTTAAAAAGTTAGATTCTTATCTTCATGAAAAATATGTAATAAATATCAATAGGAAGGAATAGCACCATCTATTATTGGAAATAAGATTTCTCTTGATCTGTAATCGAATGTCCTCTTTATGGTGTTGTGTCTGAATCTGGGCAGGGAAGAAGGCCCCAGGATAATACACATACCTGCCGGGGAGCAACACTGCTGTGTCTCTCTCTCTTCTACTGGAAAGTGGCTGACAGTTGTTTCTAGGGAAGAACTTGTTTTATTAGGATCATGAATTTTCCAAGTCCTCTTGGAGCCTACAAAAATTAAAAATAAAAGTTAGTTAGGCTACTCTTTTCTCCATACGGTTGCATCTTTACTTTAAAATGTTACCTATACAAAAATATACTTGGAAGTAGAATTAATTAGTTTGTATTTTGATTTTCTTCTTATGAATTATGGTTTATCAGATGTGGATGAGTGTGAAATTGGTGCTCATAACTGCGACATGCATGCCTCATGTCTGAATATCCCAGGAAGCTTCAAGTGTAGCTGCAGAGAAGGCTGGATTGGAAACGGCATCAAGTGTATTGGTGAGTTTGCAAATGTAAATATCCTTTGCTAAGGCACAAATTTTTAAAGGCTCTTTTTTGCATGGTTGTAGAATCATGCTCTTCACTTTTATTAATTCCTTTATAAAAAGGTTATCTTAGTTGCAAGATAATTCCTGCCTAAGGGTGTCCTTTACCCTTAATATAAATTATCAAAATTTCAACAGTATGCCTTGGCACCTGTTTTTTAATGTGTTTTTGTTCAGTAAAAATTGATATGCAGCTGGTGATCCAAACACAGCTGTATGATGAAAAATGACTAGTATGTTCTTCCAATCTTTTCAAAGAAGTAATCAGTGAGATTTAAAATCCAGTGGAATAAATGGAGAGCAATGAAAAGGTTTTTTCAGATAACCTAATTTTTTAGTAAGTCATCAATACCACCATCTTATTAGAAAATAGAATTCTTCTTACAGGAAATTGTAAATGCTTTCTTGCATTCCAAGAGGTCTTATTTGAAGAAAAAAAATAGGCAAATTCTCCAAGTTTTATGGTTCTTGAGCCAGAGTCTAAGAAGTCTTTTATATCTGAGAGGGAAGGGACTAGAATATACCCTGAGTGTCATTCACAGTTTTGTGTAATATGCTTAGTGTTTCACATGCCTTACAATAAAGCATTTTTCCAACTAGTAAGAATTTCTAGGTCAATTTAAAACAGAAAAGAAAGCAAGCTAAACTCACTTCCCCCTGATAACTTACAAAAAATATATAGGCCCTCAGTAAGGATTAAAGAATAGCTTTAAGATCTCTTACCAAAACTATAAGTTAATTTGAATATATACTTTTTTATCCATTCAAATATTTCATACTTATCAAAAGTTTATGTACTGACTATAGAATTTGAAGTATCAGAGCTTCCAAATAACTGCTAAATAACATCCTGCAATGGCTTAGTGAAGTGCCAGCCTCTAGTCCAGCCATCTTTCCAGGGTTACTATCATAACTTTTCAACCATACCCTCATTCCCATTTTCGTAGCCCCATGTGCCTACTCTTTTTCTCTTTTTGGCCTCCCATTTTTATGCTTCTTGTCCATCTGTCATTTTGGCCAACTATTGCAAAACAGCCTGCCTCTGATACAAGACATTCAGCTGTGTCCAGCCTCCTGTGCTCCAGGATGTCACCCAAATTCATCCTCTCCTTTACATCTTCTTTCCCCTACTCTAGTCCCAACCAGAGAGAGTTTCTGTCTCTCTCACATGCCCTCGCTCTTCGTGTCTGCTGAATGCTAAAAGAATCCCCTCTGGTATGTTGGCTTGTTCCCTCTCTGGCCCTCCTGCAATCCATTCTCCACGTAGCAGCAGGAGGAAGCTTTTAAACCATGGATTCGATCTCTTCATAGTCTTCACTATAACCCATTGAATTCGGGATAAAATTCAGCTTCCCTCCCTTGGCTGCGGGTTTCCACTGTCTCTCTAGCTTCATTGTCCATCACCCTCTGTCTGGTGCATTCTGCTTTGCCACTCTAACCTCCTTTCATTTTTTCAGTCACACTGAGCTCTTTTCCTCCTTGGTGTCTTACCATGCACTCGTCCCTCTGCAAGGAATATCCTTCCCCACCTCTGTTCAGCAAGTTAATTGTTTCTCATCCTCAGGTCTGACCTTAACTAAAAACTACTTCCTCAATGGGGGCATCTTTGTTCCTGCAGCCCAAATCAGATGCCTTTTTTATTCTCTCATGGCACCTTGTAACTTTTCTTCATGGCACATATAGCAAGATTTAGTTTTTTTCTGTGTTTAACATCTGTCTTTTCTGCTCAACTAAGGGATTCCATGAGGTCAAGAATCATATCTCTGTTTCCTCATCTATTAAATAAACTTAAAAACTCTTTGTTAATTTTCCTGCTCTGAAATTCAGTATCACCTTCAGAATTGATTCTTCTACTGATAAGGAAACCACTAATAAAATTCACCCTCAGTAGAAGTCAGAATGAGATCTAACACTAATTTGCTTTAAGCTGTTAAAAAATTCACGTTGACTAGATATCTCACAAATTGCTTGAATTCATAATTTTGGCCCACATTTATAGCCTGGACATTGGACATTGGGTCTGAGAGCTTAGCGAATTAGAACTGTGATCCTGCAAACTAAAATGCCTGTCATTTATCCAGTTTATATGTAAATTAAGACAAACGATAATCTTTCCAGGTGCTTAAATGTTCCATTTTCATTTCTGAACTTTATTGCTGTGTTCTGCAGATCTGGACGAATGTTCTAATGGAACCCACCAGTGTAGCATCAATGCTCAGTGTGTAAATACCCCGGGCTCATACCGCTGTGCCTGCTCCGAAGGTTTCACTGGTGATGGCTTTACCTGCTCAGGTGGGTGACAGTCCTGAGGTGTGCTCTGACGGGATGGTCATAGAACACTCTATATGCTTCCTTATTTGAAGAAAATTATAATTAAAGGAGACAAAAGTAACTACCTCTTTTTTTATACTTGACTTGCAGGTGACTATGTATCTTTCTCTTACATTAAACACAAAAACCTGAATGACTTTCCAAATATATTGTTGGAAGTTTTCAAATAACGGCATTTGTAACAATCATGTACTGTTAATGACTCGCCATTTTATCTTACTCATTTGTAACACAGTGGTTAAAAAAACACAGGCTTTGTCTGGATCAGACTACCTGGATTCAAATCTTGCCTATGCCATTTTTTGCCTGTAACTGTAAGTGAATTACTTAACTTGTCTGTCCTGATTTAAAATGCAATAGTAATAATACAATTTTCTTTTCTTCTTTTTTATTCCTAAATGAATGGCATGGGAAAACTGTTCAGCTTTTTAAGATAGGATATATGACCTATCCAATCACTGCTATTTAATGTGTTTATCAAAGTCTCAGTAGTTTATCACCTGGCATTGAAAGGATTAAATGGAATAATACAAATAAAGGACTTAGAAGAACACATCACAAAATTTCAGTAAATAATAGCTTCTGTTTGGCTTCTATTCATTCATACTCTTTGAGGATAAAGCATCCTCTCATTATATGCATGTATAAGACTAGATAATCTTGCTGGACGTAAAGTTGAATACTCTTCAGTTTATAAAATAAGGGTTTCTCAATTGATTTTCAGTACACACTTTAAACCCATAATTAACGGATAGCCTAAATTTTTTTCAAATTGTGGACATCAAAAATGCAGCCTCATCATTTTCAAATGCCTGTTTAAGGAAACATGTTTATTCAGTTTTAAAGCTTCATAACTTGTAGCCTTAGAGTTTGCATCTTTCCTGGCATTTCTCCGCACTGTGGTGTCAAGGAAAGAGCATGGCTTTCATGTCAGACACATCTGCAATCAGATCCTGGCTCAGTCAACATGCATTATTAGCTCAGTGTGGCTGTGTCAGCTTACTTGGCTGCTCTTAGCCACAGGTTCTTCCTCTTCTAAACCTCAGGAGATTGGTGAATTCAGTGAAAAAATGCATGTCAGGCCACCAGCACAGCATATGGCAAATGACACCCTCACTAAACAGTGATTTTTCCTTCCCTCTTATTCTGCTTGATAGAATTAAATTATCTTTAAGGTCTGTGAGTAATGTCTGTTTGTGTAATTAAGATAGGAGTATTTTTATAAGATTGTAATGACATGAAAGAAACTTTCCCCATTCCCATAGTGTCTTTAATTTGCTTTAAAACACTTGAATTAGTGAAAAAGCCAGTTATTTATTCGAATACTATAATTTTCTCAAAGAATGATCACCATTTTAAGATTAATTCCAATGTTCTTTTTCATATCTAAATAATGTTGGCATACTACTGACAAGAGAAACAAGACAAATGTGAGAGATGTCTGCGTTTCTCCTATTAATAATATTACAATTGGATGTTAGGGTGCAGGTTAAATAGCTTTTCTTTAATTATATTACAATTGAATGTTAGGGGGCAAGATAAATAGATTTTCTCTCAGGTTGATACCCTCCTTTAAGTGAATGTGATTAACTGTTGTTTCATGTTAATGAGCATTAAGTCAAGCCAGTAAAACTGATCTATTTATAGAGCAAGGAGAAAATGTGTCATGAAATTTGGAACTTAACAGAGATGTAATTTGCTTTTTTGCACAGATGTTGATGAGTGTGCAGAAAACATAAACCTCTGTGAGAACGGACAGTGCCTTAATGTCCCGGGTGCATATCGCTGCGAGTGTGAGATGGGCTTCACTCCAGCCTCAGACAGCAGATCCTGCCAAGGTGGGTCACCAGGATTCCAACTCATTTTCAAGTTGGATCAACCACAGTAAATGAAACCACAACAAGGGCTGGAACAAGCTCCACCTGGAAGCAGAATACATAGCACATGCTGCACTATAAAAGTCATTCGTTTAAGCGTGGATTATTTTGCCGAATGAATAATGATGATGGCGGCTTTCATCTCTTATGAAGTTTTCCTGGCCAAGAGCCAGTAGTTGGAAGTTTGGATCATTCTTTTTTCTTTTTTAACCATTTCTTCTCTTCTTTCTCTTTTTTATCACTAAATGAATGACATGTGGAGAAACTATTCAGCTTTTAAAGTATGCTCCATTACTTGTCTCAACTACCACTATTTATTGTGTTTATCAAAATCATAAAAAGCTCATTTTTGGCATTTACCTTCGTGGTTGAGACTGCTGTCTGTATGTCTGGGAATGGAAGTCCTCTTCAGGGATTCAGCAAGGGCTGTACTTTTGCTTAATACTAGTGGTTCCTTATTCTAAGTGATGACATCATCCACCTTTCCTAGAAATGGGTCTTTGTGCCTAGTATGATATCTTTCCAAGAAAAAGAATTTGGATTTTCTATTAAATTAGAAACTCAATTCACATTATATATAGTTTGAGCCATCATTGTGTTATGAATAGGGACTATATGAAAATATAAATGAAGAAAGGAGAGATTGAAAATAATTTATACACCATAGGGCTTCAGTAGAATTTATGATTCACAGAAAACCTTTAAAAAAACTCAGTTTGGGCCAGGCGTGGTGGCTCACGCCTATATTCCCAGCTCTTTGGGAGGCCGAAGCAGGTGGATCACCTGAGGTTGGGAGTTCAAGACCAGCCTGAACAACATGGAGAAACTCCATCTCTACTAAAAATACAAAATTAGCTGGGTATGGTGGCTCATGCCTGTAATCCCAGCTACTCAGGAGGCAGAGGCAGGAAAATTGCTTGAACCCTGGAGGCGGAGGTTGCGGTGAGCCAAGATTGCGCCATTGCACTACAGACTGGACAACAAGAGCGAAACTCAGTCTAAAAAAAAAAACAAAAACAAAAACAAACAAACCAACAAAAGAACTCAGTTTTCCAGTCATGCAGCCTCATGAAAAAAAAAAAAATACCTAACTGCTGAGCAAAAATGATAAAATGAAACATATTAAAAACTTCCCCCTACATCAGTATCTAACCAGAATGAACAGAATTGGCAAGTACTGGCACACGTGCACACACACATATACACACACAAACACACAATTCATCAGCATCAACCAAACAAAACCAAATTATACAACCTGCGGTGGTTCAGAGTGGAGCCCAACTCTGCTCCACCATCAGAAGTGGCACTGAAGAAAGAAAGTGTGCCAAAAGTTCATGAAATTCTCCAGAAATAGCAACCAATTTGGAGAGACTCAGAAAAAGGGGATGAACAGTTGGCCGTAGGGAAGATGAAGTTGGAAACTGAAAGCGTTCGTGCTTCTACGTTGACCCACAAGATTGGGCAGAATCTAATCCATTTTATATAAGGCAACTGTAGGGTGAGTTCCTTTTTTTCCCAATCCTGGTTTCTTCTAAGCACTGAAGCTTAGTAGTAGAATTAGTAGAAAATGTGAATCAATGTAAATGTGGAATGACATGATTTATTATCTACATTAGCTTGACAAGAGTTAGTGGGAGAAGGAACAGGTCAGCAGTAGCCACTTTCAACAACATAAATTCTTTATACCCAGACAGGATTTTTCCTTCCTAATTGTGTATTACTTTATGGGTGGCATAGGCCCTTTCAGAACTTCCCTCTCCCCCAAGATGGTGCTAAATAGTTACTGTTTACTGTACTTCCTTCACATCTAGTTTTCTCATATGTCATTACCACAGAGAGAAACTCCTAACTGACAGGGAAGCTGAGGGTTGGCACACCTGTAGTTCACCCTCAGTTGGACCCTCTGCTCCATTCAGCTGAACACCAGCTTTTGAGATCCAAAAAATGTAATTCCATGGTTCTGGCCATTCTCCTTGTTTTTCTCTCCTCTCCACAAGGTCTGGGTCATCTGGACAGTTTCTCCTGAATTTACTATTTTAATCCCTTGTTGTCTACCCATCTTATTATAAATACATGATCCTCCGATGAATATTTTCCACTAAGCATCCACTTCTCACCAAAGTCTCAGAATTTCTATAGAATTCAAAAAATTATTGAAGTTGGCCATTTCCCAGTAAATTCCACCAAAATGGGGGAATATAAAACCTGGAGGAGCCCCTGCAGGAACATGAGAGAGGACTCCATTAAATGGAACAGACCTACATACAGACCATTTTCTATAATTTCTGAGGAGAGAGCAAAGGCTAAGTTCATCAACATAGAGCCCAGAGGAGCTCTCCCCATTCTCAATCTTCTCTCCCTCCACCTTACGAAACTTTGGGCGACTGAATACAGCTTTAATGAAACCGAAACCAGCTATCTTCCACATAAAGCTCTGATAAAGAAGGAAAGATATCAAGAGATGTTATTTAAACTGTACTAAAGTAGATAGAAGCTCTTGAAAGAGCAGACAAAGTAGTGTCTATACAAGCTGAAAAACAGTAGCAACTATGCAGGCATTCTGTGAAAACGAAAGGAAGAAAAACACAAAATCAGCTAAAGAACCAACCCACGATGGAAGAAAACAACTCAAGAAATAAAACAAATTTTCCATAGGTACTTTATGCCATATATGATCTTAATAAAATCATAAATGTAGTTGAAGAAGTTTGTAGAGATTATAAGAGCTATAGAGTAAAAGGGAGATTGTAGAATCAAGGGAAGTAAGAAATGGGGACCAATACAGCAAAATAAGAGGACTATTAAATAAAAACAGCAAAAAACAGAGGACATACAGATGAAAATGTAATTGCTAGCATAGAGAAAGGGCCTGAGATAATAACAGTGGAAAGAGGAAAGAGAAATTAACACTATTAGAGAAAAGACAAAAACTATAAACATCAGTATAATTGGTGTTGCTGAAGAGAGCCCAAAAAATCAACTAGAAAAAAGGTACTAAACAACCAAACATTTTCCTGCAATAAAACAAAGAACTGAATATACAAAGCCTAAATTGTAAGACAAAGACTTAGATTTGCTACATTTGTCAACTTTAATCATAGAGGAGGATTGAAGACTTCAGATAGAAAAGGCAACGCATCTCACGTGCAAAGACACACATAGGCTTAAAATAAAGGGATGGAGGAATATTTACCAAGCAAATGGAAAGCAAAATAAAAAGCAGAGATTGCAATCTTAGTCTCTGATAAGACAGACTTTAAGCCAACAGAGATCAAAAGAGACAAAGAAGGGCATTACATAATGGTAAAGGGATCAATGCAACAAGAAAAGCTAACTGTCCTAAATATATATGCACCCAATACAGGAGTACCCAGATTCATAAAGCAAGTTCTTAGAGACCTACAAAGAGACTTAGACTCCCACACAATAATAGTGGGAGACTTTAACACCCCACTGTCAATATTAGACAGATCAACGAGACAGAAAATAAAGGATATTCAGGATCTGAACTCAGCTCAGGACCAAGTGGACCTAATAGAGATCTACAGAACTCTCCACCCCAAATCAACAAAATATACATTCTTCTCAGCACCACATAGCACTTATTCTAAAATTGACCACATGATTGAAAGTAAAACACTCCTCAGCAAATGCAAAAGAATGGAAATAATAACAAACAGTCTCTCCGACCACAGTGCAACCAAATTAGAACTCAGGGTTAAGAAACTCACTCATGGCCGAGCGCAGTGGCTCATGCCTGTAATCCTAACACTTTGGGAGGCCAAGGCCGGTGGATCATGAGGTCAGGTGATCAAGATCATACTGGCTAACATGGCAAAACCCCATCTCTACTAAAAATACAAAAAAAGTTAGCCGGGCATGATGCCGGGCACCTGTAGTCGTAGCTACTCAGGAGGCTGAAGCAGGAGAATGGCGTGAACCCGGGAGGCAGAGCTTGCAGTGAGCCGAGATCACGCCACTGCACTCCAGGCTGGGTCAACAGAGCGAGACTCCATCTCAAAAAAAAAAAAAAAGAAAAAGAAAACAAACTCACTCAAAACTGCACAACTATATGGAAACTGAACAACCTGTTCCTGAATGACTACTGGGTAAATAACAAAATTAAGGCAGGAATACAGAAGTTCTTTGAAACCAATGAGAACAAAGTCACAACATGCCAGAATCTCTGGGACACAGCTAAAGCAGTGTTTAGACAGAAATTTATAGCAGTAAATGCCCACAGGAGAAAGCAAGAAAGATCTAAAATCAACACGCTAACATCACAATTAAAAGAACTCGAGAAGCAAGAACAAACAAATTCAGTAGCTAGCAGAAGACAAGAAATAACTAAGAGCAGAACTGAAGGAGACAGGGACACAATAAACCCTTTAAAGAAAATCAATGAATCCAGGAGCTGGTTTTCTGAAAAGATTAACAAAACAGATAGACTGCTAGTGAGACAAATAAGAAGACAGAGAAGAATCAAATAGACACAATAAAAAATGATAAAGGGGGGGATATCACCACTGATCACACAGAAATATAAACTACCATCAGAGAATACTATAAACACCTCTCTGCAAATAAACTAGAAGATCTAGAAGAAATGGATAAATTCCTGGACACATACACCCTACCAAGACTAAACCAGGAAGAAGTTGAATCCCTTAATAGACCAATAACAAGTTCTGAAATTGAGCCAGTAATTAATAGCCTACCAAACAAAATAAGTCCAGGAACAGGTAGATTGACAGCCATATTCATCCAGAGGTACAAATAGGAGCTGGTACCATTCCTTCTGAAACTATTCCAAACAACAGAAAGAGGGACTCCTCCCTAACTCATTTTATGAGGCCAGCATCATCCTGATACCGAAACTTGGAAGAGACACAACAAAAAAATAAAATTTCAAGCCAATATCCCCGATGAACATTGATGCAAAGATTCTCAATAAAATACTGGCAAACCGAATCCAGCAGCACATCAAAGAGCTTATCCACCACGATCAAGTCGGCTTTATCCCTGGGATGCAAGGCCGGTTCAACATATGCAAATCAGTAAATGTAATCCATCACATAAACAGAACCAATGACAAAAACTGCATGATTATCTCAAAAGATGCAGTAAGGCCTTCGATAAAACTAGGCCTTTGATAAAATAGGCCCTTCAATAAAATTCAACACCCCTTCATGCTAAAAACTCTCAATAAACTTGATATAGATGGAATGTATCTCAAAATAATAGGAGCTATTTATGACAAACCCACAGCCAATATCATACTGAATGGGCAAAGGCTGGAAGCATTCCCTTTGAAAACTGGCACAAGACAAGGATGCCCTCTCTCACCACTCCTATTCAACATAGTATTGAAAGTTCTGGCCAGGGCAATCAGGCAAGAGAAAGAAATAAAGGGTATTCAAATAGGAAAAGAGGAAGTCAAATTGTATCTGTTTGCAGATGACATGATTGTATATTTAGAAAACCGCATCATCTCGGCCCAAAATCTCCTAAAGCTGATAAGCAATTTCAGCAGTCTCAGGATACAAAATCGGTGTGCAAAAATCACAAGCATTCCTATACACCAATAATAGCCAAATCATGAGTGAACTCCCATTCACAATTGCTACAAAGAGAATAAAATACATAGGAATACAACTTACAAGGGATGTGAAGGGCCTCTTAAAGGAGAACCACTAACCACTGCTCAAGGAAATAAGAGAGGACGCAAACAAATGGAAAAACATTCCATGCTCATGGATAGGAAAAATCAGTATCATGAAAATGGCCCAACTGCCCAAAGTAATTTATAGATTCAATGGTATCCCCATCAAGCTACCATTGACTTTCTTCACAGAATTAGGAAAAACTACCTTAAATTATGGAACCAAAAAAGAGCCAGATAATCCTAAGCAAAAAGAACAAAGCTGGAGGCATCACACCACCTGACTTCAAACTATCCTACAAGGCCACAGTAACCATAACAGCATGGTACTGGTACCAAAACAGAGATACAGACCAATGGAACAGAACAGAGCCCTCAGAAATAATACCACACATCTACAACCATCTGATCTTTGACAAACCTGAAAAAAACAAGCAATGGGGAGAGGATTCCCTATTTAATAAATGGTGCTGGGAAAACTGGCTAGCCATATGCAGAAAACTGAAACTGCACCCCTTTCTTTCCCCTTATACGAAAGTTAACTCAAGTGGATTAAAGACTTAAACATAAGACCTAAAACCATAAAAAACGCCAGAAGAAAACCTAGGCAATACCACTGAAGACATAGGCATGGGCAAAGACTTCATGACTGAAACACCAAAAGCAATGGCAACAAAAGCCAAAATTGACAAGTGGGATCTAATTAAACTAAAGAGCTTGTGCACAGCAAAAGAAACTATCATCAGAGTGAACAGGCAACCTACAGAATGGAAGAAAATTTTTGTAATCTATCTATCGGACAAAGGGCTAATATCCAGAATCTGCAAGGAACTTAAATTTACAAGAAAAAAAACAACCCCATAAAAAAGTGAGCAATGGATATGAACAGACAATTTTCAAAAGAAAACATTTATGAGGCCAACAAACGTGAAAAAAAGCACATCCTCACTGGTCATTAGAGAAATGCAAATCAAAACCACAATGAGATATCATCTCATGCCAGTTAGAATGACGATCATTAAAAAGTCAGGAAACAACAGATGCTGGAGAGCATGTGGAGAAATGGGAACACTTTTACACTATTGGTGGGAGTATAAATTAGTTCAACCATTGTGGAGGACAGTGTGGCGATTCCTCCAGGATCCAGAACCAGAAATACCATTTGACCCAGCAATCCCATTACTGAGGATATACCCAAAGGATTATAAATCATTCTGCTATAAAGACACATGCACACATATGTTTATTGCAGCACTGTTCATAATAGCAAAGACCTGGAACCAACCCAAATGACCATCAATGATAGACTGGATAAAGAAAATGTGGCACATATACACCATGGAATACTATGCAACCATAAAAAAGGATGAGTTCATGTCCTTTGCAGGGACGTGGATGAAGCTGGAAACCATCATTCTCAGCAAACTAAGACAGGAACAGAAAACCGAACACTGCATGTTCTCACTCATAGGTGGGAGTTGAACAGTGAGAACACGTGGACAGGGAGGGAAACATCACACACTGGGGCCTGTCGGAGGGTGAGGGGCTAGGGGAGGGATAGCATTAGGAGAAATACCTAATGTAGATGACAGGTTGATGGATGCAGCAAACCACCATGGCACACATACACCTATGTAACAAACCTGCACATTCTGTACATGTATCCCAGAACTTAAGTATAATTTTTAAAAAATGCAATTCATGAGCTAAACAGAAATATTCAATATCAAAAGACATTAGATCCATGCCCACAGAATTCTGAGGAAATGTGAAAAATATTATACTTAATATTAATTGTAAAGATAATAAGCATTTTCTTACACATGAAATAAGTCAGGTAGAAAACACCTGTGATTTCATAAAAGTCCCACCCTTCTTGGAGAAAGAACAATCAGCAATGAAACACAGCCAATCAAGAAACAAATGGAGAAGTTGTCATAAAACCATTATTGATCCCTTTAAGTAAATAATTAGTACTAAACACTGTGGAAATTATGGTAAACTGCCATAGACATTAAAAAAGTGAACATAATTAAATAAAAATAAGGAGTTGGAAGGATACATGAGTGCTAATTTTCTTATAATTTATTGTATAGAATTCATTAATACTGTCTAAAAATTACATTTCAACTTTAGCATAAAGCCAAAAAATTTTTAGCGTTTTTTATTCTTAACATTAGAAAAGTATTTTAAAACTGTTGAGATGATGGTAAATTTATCTGATGCATACAAATTGTTTTAGCTTCACTGTCTAAATATGTATATAAAAATGTCTCATCATCTTAAATGATTCTTTCTAGATAGAAACATTTTTGAGTAATTGTTTTGCTGTTTTGTTTTCTGTATTATTTGAATTTTTGAATATTTATCACTTTTATAAAGGAAAGACAGTAATCTTTTAAAATGCGTTCTTTTATACAACAATTACATTATTTAGGTGGAAGAAATTTCTAATAAAGTTCATTTAAAAGTAAAATGGATCGGGCATGGTGGCCCGCACCTATTAATACAGTGCTTTGGAAGGCCAAGGAGGGAGGATCCCATGAGCCCAGGAGTTCAAGACCAACCTAGGCCACATAGGGAGACCCTGTCTCTGCAAACCTTTTTAAATTAGCTAGGTGTGATGGTGTTTGCCCATAGTCCCAGCTACCTGGAAGGCTGAAGGGGGAGGATTGCTTGAGCCCAGGAGATTGTGGCTGCAGTGAGCCATGATCGTGCTACTACTCCAGCCTGTGTGACAGAGCAAGAACCTGTCTGAAAAAAAAAAAAATGCATAGTCAGAAGGATAATAATACAATTCCCTTTTTGAGTATAAATTAACACAATTCAATTGTAATCTAGCTTAAAGAGTTTTTACTCATTTATATAAAGAGAATAACTTTCTTACCCCCAACACAATAAAAGACACCTTTGCACATGTTAAACTTTAAACATGATTGGAACCATACCTTAAATCTAAAATAGTTGAAACCAATATTTTAACTGGGAAGAATGACCAAAGAAGTCTTGTTTAGACTTAAGATATAACTGTCTGAGGACAGCAGTTTAGAATGATTTGTCTAGTCTAGCCTAAAATGACGTGCCTGGTCTGCATTCTCAGAGTGTTAGGCAATTTATATACATAAATATCCATCCTCTTTTTGAGAGTAGAAATTCAGATTATTTCCACAGCTATACATACACATTGATTTTCACCTGAGTGAGGAGTGATAACTTCATATTTACTAACTTTGAGTTAAAGCCTCATGGAAGACTCTCATAAACTTTTCATAAATGAATTTTTAGTCCAATTCAGTAGAGATATTTTAATGAAATTTACTAGAATGTGGGGTCAATGGATCATCTTATTAACATGAAATTAGGGAAGAAATTAGTTCTCTGTTTAAAACTGCTTTATAATAACAGATAAGATTACAAAATAAAAAGGAAGTAAAAACTAAAAAGTTAATATTTATTTAATTAACTAAATTTATTTAATTAACTAAATTAACTAAATTTATTTAATTAACTAAATTAACTAAAAAGTTAATTTTAATATCTCCAATATTTAAAATGATTATGTATTTGTTTTTTCATAATATAAAACATTTATTAACTATAAAATGTCTGCTGTTTGCACTAATTAGTTAGAATCTTTGAATTTGCTTTTATCTTTTTTTCACAATTTCATTTCTTTGACATGTTTATATTTAATTTTTGTATTTTGTGTGCCTTGAGCCAACTCTTCTTTAAGTATATCATAATCCAAGTCATTCAAAATACTAGACACTCATTTTACGAAGAAAACAGTATTCTTGTATATCTTAGTTCCATAGGTGAACATTAGTTGCTTGCCCTTTACACTTATCTACCTAGCCAAAAAAGAGAAAAAAAAAGCCTTACTGAATAAAAACATCTGAGGGGGCAGAAAAATGCGCTAATGTTAGACATTACATTAAAATTTTAAAATGTCTTCTTAAATAAGAGATTACTTTTTTTTAAAATCTTCAGATATTGATGAATGCTCCTTCCAAAACATTTGTGTCTTTGGAACATGTAATAACCTGCCTGGAATGTTTCATTGCATCTGCGATGATGGTTATGAATTGGACAGAACAGGAGGGAACTGTACAGGTATGGTCAGTTACCAGCTAAGTTGTGTTCTGATTCATTGAAATGAGTATTCTGTGCTAAGCATAAAAATTCCTGAGATTTCTGCTTAGCTAATCTATGCATTAGGTTACACATTTTTCAGAAAAAGAAAATTATATTCAGATGCATTTATTTGTAACTATGGAATTGATGCATTTTTATGTAAATAATATTAAATTGTTATCTGTATGATTGTTAAATATCTGACATGAAACTAGTAAAGTGTCTCTTTATATATATGTTCATGTATATGTATATATAGTACATGTATATATATATATACATGTATATATGTGATTTTTGTTAAGCAAATAGTGACATAATTTTTTCGTCCTCAGAGTTGCAAATTTTAATTAATTACAATGTATTTGTTAAGGATGTTAAACGCTGTCATAAATACTCTGTCCTTGATGTATGGAACCTGTTTTAGGTATATACCAAAATTTAAGATATTTATTTTATTGTGTTGAGTCTTTCCTAGTGATCTTTAATCTACTCACTTGCAAAAATTCCACCAAATTCTTTGGAACAGCAGTATGCACAGAAAAAGTAAAAATGGTAACCTGGGCATTTTAAATGCTTCTCCTAGATATTGATGAGTGTGCAGATCCTATAAACTGTGTCAATGGCCTATGTGTCAACACGCCTGGTCGCTATGAGTGTAACTGCCCACCCGATTTTCAGTTGAACCCAACTGGTGTGGGTTGTGTTGGTAAGTAAAGCTATATGAAACAAACAAATAGAATTATCAAGTTGAATATTCAGACTCTCTTGATAATGAACCGTGATGAGTGTTTGCTACAGTTAACTTAAAAACAAAACATTATGTGGTCGCCTTTATTGTGTTTCTCTTCCAAATCATCTGCTCCACCTTCCTCCTCTCACGGACTTGAGAACCAAGGCACAGAGAAGTGCAGTAATTTGTTCAAGGTCTCAGAGCTTGAAAGTGGCAGAGCTAAGGCAGTGGCCCAGGTTGCCACCTGGCTCCTTGTCCAGTGTTTGGCCAGGATAACCCAGAGTGGTGGTATAGCTGTTAGAATATCTATTTCTCCTGCCTACTGGAAGGGTCATATAGCAAAGTAAATGAAGTGATGAGAAGCAAGGAATTAGAGAGATGGATTTATGAGCCAAACCATTGGAGCAGAAGAAGTTGGAAGGTGACAGGGAGGAGGAGGAGGCCGTAATGAAGGTTCAGAATCTGTGGTCAGCACCTCTGATCTTAAAAAAACAATTGTCCAGCTTTTACTATCTGCACTGTTACTGTATTTTCCTAGAGAAGGAAATGGCCTGGAGAATTTTCTGGAAGTATACAAAAAAAGGGAGGGGTGGAGAATTCCTTGCTTGAGTAGAAATCTGCCTACTGTCCTCAGTGTCAGTTTTTGGGCCTGCAGCAAATGGAAGGAATATTTGCTGCTGTGATTTATACACAACTTATATACTGTTTTCAAGTTTTGGAGAATACTTTTAATTATCATTTACACAAACTCCAAGTCTGTGTTTTCCATTCAAAATAATTCATTTGGTAAAGTTTGAGTGCCTTCTGTCTAAGGGCTGGAGTTGCAACAGTGAACAGAACAAGCACATTCTCTGCTTTTGTGTTTACATTCTAGAGGCAGGGAGATAAATAAAAGCAAGAACAAACAGAATTGGCACTGGAGGTGGTTGGAGGAGAAGCGCTATGTTATATTAGGGATGGGGGAGTCACAGCCTTTAAGGAGGGGACAGACCAACTGGACCACTGAGGGAAGCCTCCAGTTACAAGGAGAAGCCAGTGCAAGGGGCATGTGGCAGGAGAAGGCTGGCGTTAGAGACACAGCACAAGGCTGCTTGTAGCAAGAGAGGAGTGAGTGGAGGGGACAGGGATGAGGAGAGGAATCAGAGGAGCAGTCGCCCAGTTCGCAAAGTGATTCTCAACCCAGGCTGCATAGTAAACTCCATTTAGAACCTGGAAAAGATATTGATGCCTGTTACACCCTCAGAAATTCTGACTCACTGGGGCCTCAATATTTCTTAAAAACCTCCTTGGAACAAAGGCTGTGAACAGGCAGCTCATAAAAGAGAATAGTCTAAACATTAAAAAATGTAAGCAAACAAATGCCCAAAATCATTAGGAATAAGAAATCCATTTGAAACAATTATATGAATGCCACTTTACACTTCATATACTGGCAAAAATTAGGAAACCTGGATAATGTGAAGTATTGGTGGGGACATGAGCCTTGAGGAGCATTCTGTTCTGCTGGTAGAAGTGTAGACCAGGGCAGCACTGCAGATAATATGTTTGCACAATGGTACACCGATTAACTGTCAGTGTATAATCAATTTTAGTTTATGAGTTTCTTTTTGAAGCAATTCGATTTGTATGGATTGACACTTTATTGCGTTCACTCATTCTTAGTGCCAAAAAAACAAGGACTTATTCTATCTCAAAAGTGCCATAGGAATCTATTGGAACCTTTCGTAGGTCTGAAACATTATAAAATATTAAGAGATCTTGTTTTTCCTTTGTCTTGAAACATTTTGACGTTTTATCATCCTAGCTGTTATTTTTGTCAATGTTCAACATTATGTCCAATGGATACAACAGAGTAAAATAACGAGAAGTGGAAAATTATGGCATCACCTAGAAGTAACATGCATTAGTGAAATAAAATGTCACTGTTTTATCATCCTTCAGTTTTCTTATTATATTGTCCTAAGGATTGCATCATTTTTCAAGAAAGTGCAAGAGAAGACTGGAGACACCTTACTTGAAATCTTCTTTTAGCATTTATTGAACACAGTTGAGAATTTAGAAGTTTTTACTTACTGGCCATAATTTTTGGCAAAGAGAAAAAAATGAAGTTGAGTCAGGTAACTACAAAGAGACAGAGAGCAGCTCTTTTGTCTAGATTCTAAAGGTGATGGTGAAGTGAATCATCTAAGCACAATCCCAGACTACGTGTCTTCAGAGACCAATATCCTAGGTGAATGTTTTCAAACTTCAGAATCAGCAAGTGAAAGGACAGTGTATTTCCGTAGACAAAGGAAATACAGTATTCTCATCCACTTAGTCAATAGAAAGAACTTCAACCCGCAATATTTGGTAACAAGAACCTGAACCATCCCAGGTTTGTGGATTCTTTCATATTTTCATGACGTTTCTGTACCAAAATTTAATTGATATGATTCATAAGCAGACAGAGATAAAGGCAGGTATGTATAAAAGGTTACTGGAAGGAAATATGTGATGTAGAAATACAGTCATTAGATTGATTGTTCTAATTGGTGTTGATAAATCTAAAAATGAAAACATTTTCTATTTGTGGAGACTTTAAAGAAGACGGCTGTCCTCTCATCAACAAAATCATGAACTGTTAATGTTTTCAAACATTCCTTTGGGTATTGCATTTTTATGAAGCAAGAACAAGAAGAACCAGAAATAATGATAAGCTAGAACCTATTAGAGATGTGTTTGAAACCTGGAATCGGTTTTTACAAACTGGATATATTCCAAGTTCATGAATGACAGTTGATAAGCAATTAGTTGCATTCAGAAGATCATTTTGAGTAGAATATCTTCAAAACCAAGAAAATATAGATTAAAAAATTGAGTTAGCTATCATTAAATTGTTATTAATATTGCTAATAAAGTTGTTTTCAACTTTTTTCTTCTGTATATTAGTTTTATAATATACCTTTCTTCTGTAAATTATTTTTTAAAATGACTTAAAAATATTAAAAATTAAAGGGTTCCTTGGATGTAGTTGGTAAATGATGACTATTTTTCCTGACTGAAGGCTAAGTATAGGCAAATCCTGTGAATCAACAATTCCTTTTGTGGCTGTATATGCCAATGGAATTAACTCACAGGCCCATACAGAGACACATATATGATGTTCATCACGGCATTCTTTGTGGTGGCAGGATTTTAGAAACCATTTTTGGAGAGGAGGGTTTTTTTTTAAAAGCAATTATACACCACGGAGTTGACAGACTGGAGGTTTACAGAACAAGCATGACTAGAAAAGTTATAAAAATGAAATGAGATGTATGACAAAAGACATTTGTGTACATTTAAAATGAACACATTAAAACAAAAATATTTATTTTGCAAGAGCACATGTAAAAAGTAATAGCATTAAATACATTTGGATGATCTGGTAGGGAAGGAGAATAGGAATGAAGAATAGGAATAAAAGAGAAAGGGAGGGGGAAGAGAGAGAAAGAACAGGTGAATAAATGAGGAATAAATAAACCTAATTAGGCTGGGCGTGGTGGCTCACGCCTGTTACTCCAGCACTTTGGGAGGCTGAGGTGGGTGGATCACAAGGTCAAAAGATCAAGACCATCCTGGCCAACATGGTGAAACCCCGTCTCTACTAAAAATACAAAAATTAACTGCGCGTGGTGGCAGGCACCTGTAGTCCCAGCTACTCGGGAGGCTGAGGCAGGAGAATCACTTGAGGCAGAGGTTGCAGTGGGCCGAGATAGTGCCACTGTACTCCAGCTTGGCAACAGAGGAAGACTCCGTCCCCAAAAAATAAATAAACAAATAAATATAAATAAACCTAATTAGAAGGGGGACCATGAGAATCTTGCAGCCTCTGAGATCTGAGATTCAGCAACAAAAACAAAATGCAAAATCTGAGACAAAAATAAAGTAAAATAAGTTTTTTTAAAAAGCCCAAATGATTCTAATATGCAGCCAGGGATGAAAATTACTTTGTAGACTGCTAAGAACTCTAGATTTTATTCTGATTGAGAAGAGAAGCCATTGGAGGTTGCCTGACCTAAGGTAATGCTATTGAAGGGTCACTCTGGCTTACAGAAGGTAAAGTAGACCATAGTTTAGTCAAGGATGGAAGTTGAGAAAAGAGTTAGAAAACTATTACATTAGACTAGGTAAAGGGATAATGATGGTGGCTGGAACTCAGTTGGTAGTGATTAAAAAAAAAAGATAGTAATGATAGAGGCAGTGGTAAGTAGACAGATTCCAGATATGTTTTTTTTTTTTTTTTTTTTTTTTGAGACAGAGTCTCGCTCTGTTGCCCAGGCTGGAGTGCAGTGGCGTGATCTCGGCTCACTGCAAGCCCTGCCTCCCAGGTTCATGCCATTCTCCTGCCTCAGCCACCCTAGTAGCTGGGACTACAGGTGCCCGCCACCATGCTCAGCTAATTTTCTGTATTTTTAGTAGAGACGGGTTTTCACCATGTTAGCCAGGATGGTCGATTCCAGATATGTTTTGAAGGTTGAGTAGACAGCCCTTATTACTGGATTGAATAAGGAATCATAGTAAGGAGTCAAAAATGATGTCAAAGCTTAGGGCCTGTGCAACTGAAAAAAAAAGTGAATTTCCTTTTATTGAAAATGCAGAAGACTGGGAGAGAAGACGGCAGATTTTGTACATGGAGGAAAGAGCATTGACAGTTTGATTTTAGATGTGTTAACTTTGAAATAATTATTAGATGTTTAAGAGAAGAAATGAAATAGGCAATTGGTAGAAGGGTCTAGAGTTCACGGGAGAGATGAGATACAGAACCATAAATTTGAGAGTTCTCAGCAAAAAAGTAGTATTTAAACCCATAGACTCAATGGAGTGATCTGGATGATAACTGTAGAGATAAAGAAAAGCCTTAGATTAGTTGATCCCTTAAGTATCTTCTCTAAGTTTGTTGCAGGCTATCTTTTCCAAAACCTGCAAAGTTAGCTATGCAAGTTGAAACTAAACCATTGGATAAACTCGTGATATAGATTAATTATACAAAAAATGTATTGTATTCCTATTATTGGAGGTCCAGTATGTCCCAAATGAGAAATTTCTTACTATCTTGTCCATTCCATGAGTATAGGAAAATATGGTCTATGTGGATTTCTAAATATAGGAAAGTCTGCCATGATTGGCTTCCTCTGACTCAATCTCGAAAAAGCTGAAAAGCAGGAGATTGCTTGGTACTTAAGGATTAAAAGGAACCTTTCATGTTAACGTACAAAATTTGAATTTCATCCTTTGAGTGACTTTTCCCTAAAATGGAGTCCTTACTATGTAAGCAAGGGCAACTGTAAGCTCCTTTGTTGCTCTGCAGACAACCGTGTGGGCAACTGCTACCTGAAGTTTGGACCTCGAGGAGATGGGAGTCTGTCTTGCAACACCGAGATCGGGGTGGGCGTCAGTCGCTCTTCATGCTGCTGCTCTCTGGGAAAGGCCTGGGGAAACCCCTGTGAGACATGCCCCCCTGTCAATAGCAGTAAGTACAAAGCTGAAGAAGAGGAAGAAAACCAACTGGTATCTAAAGATTTGTTGCCATTTTATTCCTGAGCTGGGAGTGAGGAGTGTTTAGTGAGGACAAAACAAAAAAACTGAATTTGAACTACTTTCAGTGATCACTCTGAAACCAGCCAAGAATGTTAAAGGATTTGAATTCCTCTCTTCCTATGTTTTATCATGATATGTTAAAAAAATAATTTTTAACTGTAATCATGTATGAATAGTACTAATATCAGTTCTTCATGATGTCACAGATAAAGTGCATTCCTGATTCTTCTCAAAGGTTATTTAGTTCAGCTTCATAGGTGTGTTGTATTCTTGAAGTCAATTATAGAATGCCTTAAATTGAAACATCTGATATGAACATGAACCAAAGCCTGTTTTCTCTAGTCTTAATTTACTAGCTAAAAGAGCTGCAAGGGAATTTTTTCTTTAATTAAAAACAAATGGTTCGTGTTATTCTACTGTGTATGTGATTAATAAAGTATGATCTTTTATGTAAAATATGTAACTTTAAATGTATTTGAAAGGGCACTAAGAAAAATTTGGATACACCCCTTAGGATGAGTATATTGAGCCTGTCATTTGCTGAATGCTTGCTCATTGTCTCAGCCACTTGGACACAGGTATCAAACCTCTTATTTTTCTATTGTTTTGTAGCTGAATATTACACCCTGTGTCCCGGAGGTGAAGGCTTCAGACCTAACCCCATCACAATCATTTTAGAAGGTGAGCTAATCCCATTGTCACCCAGATTCAAACAAGGTAAAGAGTTAATTATAGAGAAAAGCTGGCAGAAAACCTAGGGCAGAGCAGCCCCGACAAGATAATTTAGTAAAATTACAGATGGACTTTAATTACTAAAATGTTAAACTACTACTTTTATCAAGCAGTAATGATCCATTGCAGTGATTTGACGTCTGACTGTTCTGCAGAGAAACTCTTTCCCATTGTCCTCTACCTTGAATAATCTCCAACTTAACTTTATTCATTTTCTCAGATAATGGTAAAAGTTCTGTGACAAAGCCAAGAAGATATTTGAGCAGAATAAACTTGCCATCTAAGTGTGCGTTCATTTGGATGCATAGAAATCTGATTCTTACAAGATCACACTTTTGAAAGCTCTAATATTAACTCTTATCCTTAGTGAAGGTGTTTGTTTTAAGTGCACTGTCTCCCTTTTTGTAGACATTGACGAATGCCAGGAGTTACCAGGTCTCTGCCAGGGTGGAAACTGCATCAACACTTTTGGGAGCTTCCAGTGTGAGTGCCCACAAGGCTACTACCTCAGCGAGGATACCCGCATCTGTGAAGGTGAGATGAATTTGATGCCTAAAATGCTCAGTGCTGTTTAAAACAAAATGGCTGCTGAGGCCTGAGGGAAAGGCCCATCCTCACATTCTACAAAAGGCTCAATTAAGATTGGTTCATAGCTTTTTTTTTTTTCATATCAATGTAGCTAAGTTGTATGATGATAGACAAATTAATTTATGGCTCGTTGCCATAATTCACTGTATTTTTCCAGGAGGGTTGATTAAATATAAATTGGGAAAATGGGGTAGTGTGAAAACCTAAAATATTAAGTAAGTTATTAGTGAAAATATTGATAAGAATTACATTTTACATAGGAAAAATTGGTAAGCTAAAATGTGACCATTAACTTAATATTGATCAGTAATTTTTAAATGTTGGACTATATGGTATGAAGAAGTTCAAAGGTTATGCAGCTGCCATTCTTGCTTCCATCCCCCCACTTGATCACATGGTATTTCAATTCTTTTAGGGGCCTGTCTCACCACTAAACTGGGGGCTTCTGGAGACAAGGTCCACATCTTACTCATCATTACAGCCATAAGTTCTAGCTTACAGTAGAATCTCAATATTTTAATTGTGAAATGAGTGAATGCTTCTAACTGAACATTAAACATGTAGCGTAATTATTTCCATTATAACTTTTCTTTTGGAACATGTTTGATAAATGTATCTGGAAGAAATAGGATGTAATGAGGAGAACAACCAGCAGCTGCACTGCTTTAAGAATCTCTGAATAGTTACTAATTTGAAAGAAGCTACAAAGACAAAGGCTTTCCCAACCTGCATTCACTTTAAAGTTGGCATTAAAACTTAGCCTAAGTGACATAGGACAAAAGCAGGCTTTAAAGAAATTCCAATTGAAGAATGCGAATTGCAATAAAAAAAAAAAAAAAAAAATATATATATATATATATATATATATATATATATATATGTGCCAAGGAAATTATTTTTTGCCACTTTAGAATAATTTCTTTTGATGCTTTATATTTTTTAATATGGGGATTTTTTTCTTTTGAAGAAAGATGTATCTGTGTTATATAAATGCATATTTGGGATATTTTCTTTATTTCTAAGTTTTGCATAAATGGGGATTTAGAGAATCACCTATGCTTTGTTCAGTCATCTAAGTAATATAAATTCATTGAAAAAATAGATTTATTAATTAATAGATATTCTTGCCTACTCTAGATATTGATGAGTGTTTTGCACATCCTGGTGTGTGTGGGCCTGGGACCTGCTATAACACCCTGGGAAATTACACCTGCATTTGCCCACCTGAGTACATGCAGGTCAATGGAGGCCACAACTGCATGGGTAGGTAAAGAACTCTGAGATTAATTAGAGCACAGTTGTTGACTTCACACATAAAGCACTTACGTCTCAGAATTATTGTTTGGAAGTTTGGAAGTTCAGTCTTCGTGAATTGAGATATTTCAGAGTCTTGCAAGCTGCTGGCTTAGTATCAAGTTTTTGACCTTTGGGTATACATTTAAATTTTTAAAAGCATGAGTCTAATGTAGAAAATTTCCTCAAATGTTATATATTCTTAAATTTTTCATCTCCATTCATATAGTGTGAACATTAATTTACAAATAAAAGAACATTTAAATTTTAATGCTTTATTTTTTTAATTAAATAAATGATTTTGAGAGAAAAACAAATATGTATTAACATTGTCTCCCAAGAAAATTATAAGTGAAAACCTTTAAGGATAAAGGAGAGATGTTAATCTAAAAATGATTTATGTTTAAGGAGTTATTTTAAGATAGCTTCAAATGACTAAAAAGGGTTTCCGAGTTGTGTTCATCAGGAAAGCTTGATGTCTACAGCTGTGTGGGCTTCATTATAAACTACTCGTGGATACAAATGGCTAGTTTCTTTGTTTTTCTTTATATAGACATGAGAAAAAGCTTTTGCTACCGAAGCTATAATGGAACCACTTGTGAGAATGAGTTGCCTTTCAATGTGACAAAAAGGATGTGCTGCTGCACATATAATGTGGGCAAAGCCTGGAACAAACCTTGTGAACCATGCCCAACTCCAGGAACAGGTAAGCACACGGCTCGTGCATCTGCTGACTGCCACATCAGTGATACACGCATATATCTAACAGTATAGTCAAAGTCACTGCATGCTAAAACTAGAGATGCTCAGTTCCAAAAATTCCCAAGAGCATCATATGGTTCTGTTTCCCAAGTGATCCTCTTTGGGATTCAAACACTAACTTCTGAGACATTATGTTGGATAGGCTTGTGAATCCTGAAAATAAGATCCATTGCTGAAGAGTTAGAGTTGATAGCATTAGTCCATTTAAACTCATTATCTTAAACTGTGCTTGTCAATTATTGATTTATTCATCAAACAAATATTTCTTGAGTAACTACTGTATGTCACTGTGCTAGACATGGAAAGTATAATATTTGGAGAAAAACTAAATTCAATAAGGATTTTTTTTTAGTTCAGCCGTGGAAAATATGCAAAAAGTGTTTTTTATGAGCGAATTTTACATAAAAGCAACCCATTGTCATAATGTGCCTTTTACATCTTCTTCCTCAGACATCAGTGAAATTTTTAGGCAAAAAATAGAGCTTGTCTTCACTTGGTCATGTTTTTTTCACAAGACAGTTTCTTTTGAAAGAAAAAATGAAAGATAATAGAGATAAGAGCAAAAATGCTTGTCTTAAAATTGCTGTCCATCAGGCTCTCTTTTATGACCTGGAGAATGGCAACTTTTAATAACTATAGATACTAAGAGTTGAACCAGTAGGCCAAATAAGAAACAGTGATTATGCATTTGTTACCAAATATTACTTAGGGTATATGTATTTAAATGTTCCATTTAATGTATTGATGAAATTAAGGAGAGAAATGATGAAAAGCAACACATAGGCCTTTTTCAGTGGCTCCAATTCACTGGTCAAATGGATTTTCTTAGCCTTATCTTGCCATTATTATGTTCCATAAAATTAAATAGAAACATTCCTACAATTCTCAACTTTAAAACTCCATAGTTACAAATTTAAGATCATTGATTTGGGGAATTAAAATGGCACTTTCTTTGTGAGAAGAAGCGAAAGGCTTGGAGTTGAGAGACGTGTCTGTATTTAAATCAAAACTCTTAAGATACTTATTGTGGAACCTCCTGCAGAGTATGTATCCTTTCTGAAACTAATTTCTCATGTATAAAATAGGAATAATAAATAATTACAGTGACTAATTCATATGGGTGCAATGACAATTAGGGAGATTATACATATAAATTATAATTTGAAGATTTCCAGACAATTAGAAACCATTAAGTTGAGCATCTGTGGTCTTTCTATCTGTTCTCAATACTCGGTATATATTGATGGATGAAATATACAATATCCCTGACCTGATAGCACTTGGAATATAGTATGCAGTTTAAGTTTTATATAATACTGTTTTCAGGAGTTTTACTCACTTGTATAGCAGTGAGCGTCAGAAGCATTTTTCATCTTGCAAATTAGAATTCTTTTAAATTTCCATTGATTTGGTTAATTATGTGTAAGAATACTTCTTATAGTCCCTATTTTATTTCATAATGCATTGTTTTTGATGACTCAAATTTCACATTCCAATAGACACAGTAAAAAAAAAAAAGACAAAATTCGCATCTCATTCATTATACATTGTTTACCTATTTCCCCTCTACAACATTATTTTTGCATGTCTATACCTTTGTGCAATCTGTAATTCCTTTTTCAATTTGTACTTCTCTTTTTTTTTAATCTTTATGTATTGGATGTTTTTTAAAGCTCTGCATATTAAAAGAAAAAGTATTTAAATATCTAAATGGACATTTTGAATCTTATAATGATTTACTTGCCTTCTGATATCAGAGCAGTAAAAAGTTAATGAGAGTAATAGAAATAACAATGATAATAATGGTAAAGAATGCCTAGATCCACTCCTAGCAGAAGCTGGCATTGCTATCAAATAAATATAATTGAAATCAAAATGTCTGGTTGTGAATAATGTAAAATATATTTGTTTGTGAAAGTAATACAAAATGTTATTTTGAAGGAATTTGAGAAATTTAAGAGTGCATTGCTTTGTTTATATTTTAAAGCTGACTTTAAAACCATATGTGGAAATATTCCTGGATTCACCTTTGACATTCACACAGGAAAAGCTGTTGGTGAGTTTTTCCAGATTATGTTTGTTTTAATACATATGTGTAGCATTCTGTAAAAATCTATTCTATGTTTTTAAAATTCAAGAGTACCACAAAATATAATAATCTGGGATCCAATCTAATATAGTTAGATAAGAGAGAAATAACAGGCTTACAGACTCTAACCAAGTATTAATAATGATACTCCATCAGCGTAGTCTGGTGATTGGGTTATGGTAGTTATGTGACTCTCTCGATATTTGTCACATCCACCAAGCTAAAGCTTCAGTTGTCCTTGTCATGCACATTGTATTACATGACTCTAAATAATCTACCTTATTTTAACCTTTAGTTGCTATTTTCTTAAGTACATTTTTTAATTTTTGGTGTATTTTTGCAGTATCCCTTTTTACTGGTCTAAATATGAATGTGCAGACTTATTTTTCATATTAATTAATTCCTTCTAAATGTACATTGTGTTGCTCACTCTAGCTTCCTTCCTCAAAGATTTGATAAGCAATATAATTTTTTTTTTTGAGATGGAGTTTTGCTCTTGTTGCCCAGGCTGGAGTGCAATGGCGCGATCTCAGCTCACTGTAACCTCTGTCTCCTAGGTTCAAGTGATTCTCCTGCCTCAGCCTCCTGAGTAGCTGGGATTACAGGCACCCACCACCACACCCGGCTAATTTTTTGTATTTTTAGTAGAGATGGAAGTTTCACCATGTTGGTCAGGCTGGTCTAGAACTCCTGACCTCAGGTGATCCACCCTCCTCAGCCTCCCAAAGTGCTGGGATTACAGGCGTGAGCCACCACACCTGGCCTAAGCAATATAATTTTAAGTCTCCATTATGAATATATGATAAAATAAAATACATACAATGATGAAAACATAGCTTTTTAAACAAATGAATAGCAGCACTTAGGGTAACCTGAAGAAGGGGTTTGATTGCCTAGAAAGTTCATTTGCTATATTGACTCTGAAATTACTTGGTATATTTTATCAGCTACTTAGATTTTTTCCATCACTGTTTCTATTTTCTGGTATATATGTTTTTATAAACCAAAAAAATTAGCTATACTAGTATATAATAGATTTTTGTGACACTGAATATTTGTACTCATCCCAGGGTACATGTAGCATTATTCAAAGTTATATGGTAAGTATATTAAACAGAACAACATATATTTGACCAAATCTGTTCCATTTCAGACATTGATGAATGTAAAGAGATTCCAGGCATTTGTGCAAATGGTGTGTGCATTAACCAGATTGGCAGTTTCCGCTGTGAATGCCCTACAGGATTCAGTTACAATGACCTGCTGTTGGTTTGTGAAGGTAATCTGAATAAAGTATGTCCTTTATCCAGTATAATTTGGTATACATATATAGCATTTAGATGGTTTCTGATTTTTACTATTTCTTCTACAATTTTTCAAGAGTTGATCATCAAAGTGTGACGTGAATGTAATGCTAATACAATACTAAAAAGGACTCTTTAAAATGGAATTGTTGCTCTTTCAGATATAGATGAGTGCAGCAATGGTGATAATCTCTGCCAGCGGAATGCAGACTGCATCAATAGTCCTGGTAGTTACCGCTGTGAATGTGCCGCGGGTTTCAAACTTTCACCCAATGGGGCCTGTGTAGGTAAGAAAGAGGCTGACTCATTCTTTGGCACTGAGCACAAGATTCCTTAGATTTCCTATCAAAAAATACTTCAAGAATAATTTGGGAAAGATTTTCTCACTTAACCTGTTCATTTATAGTGAACCTATTTCACCATATCTTTTAGATGATTTTGTTAAGAAAATAGATCTCTTCAATGGATTTCCCCAGGATTGGACCTAAAATAAAATAATATCCTTCAGATACCAATAAACATAAAAAAATTTGCATGATTAAAAAAAGAGGGTTGGATACTTTGAAGTCCTGCTCATTTTGATTCAGCTGTTGTTATGGTTCATTTTCAGCCTGCCTATAATAATTAATAGCAGATTAGAGAAACACAACTGTGAAAAATGAAGAAATCTTAATAAAAATCAGATACATGTAACATTTATTTTTTTCTGTTTTAGATCGCAATGAATGTTTAGAAATTCCTAACGTTTGCAGTCATGGCTTGTGTGTTGATCTGCAAGGAAGTTACCAGTGCATCTGCCACAATGGCTTTAAGGCTTCTCAGGACCAGACCATGTGCATGGGTAAGAAGGGCATGTGGCTCCAGGGAGTGAAGTGGGGCTGGGGTTCCAGAACAGATCACAGTTCCATCAAGTGCCATGAGTAACTACTATGTCTCTGTCAGAAACAATCTTGCAAAAAATTAACTAGGTCAAACTATTTAAGTCTTGATTCAATATAAAATTTGCAAGCAGGGACATACTGCAATATATAAAATTTGCAAGCAGGGACATACTGCGATATGTTCGTCAGTTCAGTGATTCACAGCTTTTTCTCCAGAAGATGTTCACATGGCTTGACAAGAAAAAACCCTCTGAGCCACTTGGGCTTGTGTGGAACTTACCATAGCACCCGCTGCCCTTTACTTTCATGTTTCTACTCAAGACACCATTTTGGAATGCAAGAGAGTAGTAAGAGTGACAGCATTAAACTTAATAAATTTATACACATATGCACATACTTTTTTAAAACAAATTGTTGAATAGTGGGATTTATGTACATATTTTGTGTTTTATCCCTTAAAAATAGCTTTAGGAGCAAATATAGCCAAACTCTTTAAAAATTCCCAGTAGCTAATGTAATGGGTAGCCAAGTGGTAATAGAGCTTAGTGAGTACTTGCTGAGCTGATGATTAATAGGTTTTCAAAGACAGATGGGCTGGATGCCATGAAGCTGGGACTGAGTATAACCCCTTAAGTCTGATGTCAGCAGTTGGCTCTGCCTCTGCTGAAGAGTTTTCTTTCTGTGCTTTGCACTTGAAAGGGGAAAATTAAATTTAAAACTTGGCTACTTGTAATTAGCATTTTCTCAGTGTAGAAAAGGCTAGGGCTGTTCAGCTACTCTTGATATTCAAGATATTATCTATGTGAATATTAAAATCAGATTTCAGTACTGCAGGACTGGTTTCCTTCATGACACATCCATACAACAGGGAATACCTGGAGTATGTCTCCAGGTTCATCCATTGCCTCCTAAAGCCCTCCCTTTGGACTTCTCCTATAATGGCAGGGAAAATTCTCTAGGTGATGTTTATACAAAGGAATATACAGGATCTGGTCTTATTTGCATGAACTCCCTAAGAATGCTTGTTTATACATGCTTCTTCTTGCTGTACTCCCAGAGAGAGTATGATTTACCAAAAAAAAATATGAGATTTATGATTCAGAATTTCGTATGGGGAAAATCTGTCCACTCATAACAATTCTTCCATGATAAAAGCTAGTCAGATTCTTCAGTAAGACCTCCCTTATACAGAGCTTCCTTCCTAAAGAACAATACCAGCCCCCACCCTTTTTTTGGTGTGGTAGAGTTTCAGCAGCCTGGAATTCATAGTTGGGGAGTCTGCTGTCTCATATGATGAATGACCTTTCTAAATATTTTCTTAATTCAGTTTTTTTGAAGGCTAATAGTGAATTCTAATAAACCTCAATTTGGATTTCATTACTTCATACAATTAAGTAAACTAAAGTTTGTCTTTGTTTTTCTGCTCAAATTAAGGGATTTAAATTTCTGGGTAAGTGTTTATAATGCCTTTTATTATGAAAGAAATTGTTTCAGTATTTTAGAAGATCAGTTTTATTTACGATTATTAAGCAGACCTGCTCATTAATACATCTCTACTAGGGGGATGCTCTCTTAGGCTATGTCTGAGTATTGTCTGAGTACAGTCAGTACCTGTTAAACTGTACTATTTTCTTAGAATTTTACAATTTTGATTCTTGTAATTTTGATTTTTCCGTATCTCTTACTCATTTTCCTCAAGTAGATATGAGTTTCTAGTACTGAATGAGGAAAATCTAAGTAATTCCATAAGTTAAACATATAAAACGGTTAATAGCCCATTTTTTTCTAGTTAAAAATTGAATTTTTTGAGCCTATATTTCTTTATAGATGTTGATGAGTGCGAGCGGCATCCATGTGGAAATGGAACTTGTAAAAACACCGTTGGATCCTATAACTGTCTGTGCTACCCAGGGTTTGAACTCACTCATAATAATGATTGCCTGGGTAAGTACTTCATTCAGTCCTTTATTGCTTCTATTTCATTTCCACACAATGTGCTGAAATAAAAAACAAAACTAAAGAACAAAAAAAAATTATATTACTAAAATTGCAAATATGTGCCAAAAGATATATAATTTCATTGACTGGTTTCTAGTTAACTGAAACCATAGTATTGGCCTAAATTGTCACAAGACAATATACTCTTGAATCCTTTTGTCAATCAGCCAATCATTTCAGGAAAAAAAGGTCATTCAGATCACAGTAAACATATTTGGACTGATTTATGGTTTAGGGTATTTGTATTTCCTTAATGAGATCAAAAATAGACCCTTCATTGTCTCAATGTTATTACAAGTATTTCATTTAAATCCATTCTGGATTATTTACATTCAAGTACCAGTAGCCTCCTGCTTACACCTGTCATGACATTTCATTTTCCATCAGCTTTTGAAGCCAGAATGCCTTTCCCCACAAAAATAATGAATGGTGACTAGGTTTCTAGATAAGCCCTCAGAAATATCTCCTATGCGCCATACAGGACTTTAGTCTTTGGCCCACAGCAACACACAAATGTGAAATGGAAACATAGTGAGTGGGAGAGGGTCCTGAAGTAGTTGGAGGAGAGAATAAGAGAAATGACAGCAAACGTTTATTCCTTGTTTACTGCATGCCAGGAACTGCATGGGTAATTTACAGCATAATGTGTTGTAATTCGCATGGCCCTGCAAGGTATGTGAAAGAACTTAGGTTTTCTACCATTGTGGGACTACATCAGAGCTCATCCCCACGTCCTCATTTAACCCAACATAAGTTCCTCTCTGTTTTCTTTATTTTTCAAAATTCCACAATTGTGAAAAAAAGTAGAGCTAATTGGACATTTTATTCAACTGCTGCCTTCTTGACTAGTTTCTTAGAGCCTTTGTACAGTCAGGGAGAACTAAAACTTAAATGAAAACTTAATACTTAATGTCTTTTTTCTTTCAATTATGTTTGATATCAGCAATTCCAGTGTTTTTAATATCATTGATTTTCCAGTAATAAATAAGCTCATTTATTTGTTCTCTGAATATGCTCAGCTTAGCTCCAGGTAAAGTATATGCAAATTAGGCAATCAGATTAAATCCCACATATCCTCCTGCCTGTGGGAAAATAAATATTTTTCAGTTAGAAAGAATGGAAAGCTTCACCGTAAACCTTGATTTTTATCTGGTTCTAAATTCATGAGTTATATTAATATCAAAAATGAAAAAAATGTATCTTTATGGTTGAAAAATAGTAGGACTCTATGGGATCCTATTAATTATATGATCCTTATGATATGTGCCATTTTTCTCTGTTGATGAGGAGTTGTAATATGGGATTTCTTATAAATGCATGCCAATAAGTATGTTTTTAAGTAGCGTCTTGTGAAACAATATACATGTTAAGAGCTCTTTCTGAAAAACATACTCCTGTTTGCTTACAGACATAGATGAGTGCAGTTCCTTTTTTGGTCAGGTGTGCAGAAATGGACGTTGTTTTAATGAAATTGGTTCTTTCAAGTGTCTATGTAACGAAGGTTATGAACTTACCCCAGATGGCAAAAACTGTATAGGTAAGTATTTAAATAATAAGCAGTCTTTGTGGTGTTATGTTTTGTAAAATGATGATATGTGCCTCCCTCCTTTCACTTAAGAACTCATTAATATTTCATTTAATCATCAGAGCACATGACCAAGATAAGCTATGATGGAAAATTTTAGTATAAGGTATCAACAATGGGAATGTCTCATAGGCAGTGTTTTTACTGGGGACAGAGCTTGAGGCTGTCCATGTCTTAAGAAAAGTAAGCAAAGACAACAAATAAAGAAAATTAGCCACTTGCCAAATAAGAAATATCCAAGATGTCAGAAGAGTATCTTTGGTAATATTTGTTCATGGTGACCCAGTAGATCAGAGGACCCGAGTTGAATTCATGTTAATATCATTTGGCAGACAGATAAATCTATGTAACAATTATCTCATGCTTAAATTATTTTTTCTCTTCTTTTTCTCTAAAGACACTAATGAGTGTGTCGCCCTTCCCGGCTCTTGCTCTCCTGGTACCTGTCAGAATTTGGAGGGATCCTTCAGATGCATCTGTCCCCCAGGGTATGAAGTAAAAAGCGAGAACTGCATTGGTAAGAGTAACATTTATTCTGAGGCCCACTAGTAGTTCAGTATAGTAAGACATGGTAAAGACTCTGGAAACATACTAAGTGCCAACCACTGCAAGCATGCTGACCTAAGGAATTAAACATATAGCTGCCTACATCTGTTTTACTGAACCATCAGAAATGATGGTGAGAATAAAAAACTTAGGGATGTAGGATTTTTTCATTACCAGAAATCTAATGCTAGTCAAAGAATTTTCAGCATATGCTAATTAATCTTTTTTCCAAATGTCAGCAGCGACTTTCAGTGAATTTAAAGAGTGTCTACAAAAATTGTAATCTTTGGCACCCAGTTTTAAAACAGCTATTAAAGGTGTCTAGGGTCTTAGAAATGTGAAGCAGAAAAATCTCGACAATGCTGTTGAGACATTCTTTTTCTTGGGAAGGCCTCATGTCAAAGCAGCAAATATTAATCCATTTGTCATAACAGATGTTTTTCTGTTGAAACCCTTCCAGCACACACGAACACTGTAACCACATCAAAAGTGTGTCCCAGAATTGCCTAGTGGACATGATGAAGTCCGACCTTTTTTACAGTTCACTTTATTTCACTTTTATACAAATTATTTTTTACAGCCTTGTTGAAATTCAGAAGCACCAGCATTTTAGTGTGGTTTTTCTAACGTGAAAAGATGCTAAGGATATTTTCTGCCTTTGAATTATCCAATTCTATCGCCCTTGGCAAGATTCTACCTAAAGATATGTCATTCTACTGTTCATATTTAAGGGAGTTAAATAGGGCAGAAGGAAGTAGTTTACTTCATAGAATTTAATTATTCTTCAGACCACATAATTAGATACCATGGGTATCCCCTAGTCATTCTGATTTTCTGATTTGTATAGTTCATTATAAGACTAGTGTTTTTAATACTTAAAAAATAATAAACAATAATACTAGAATCATCTCAGTGAGAAGTTTCTTGAAAAGTTTAAGGGGGGAGGAGCCAAGATGGCCAAATAGGAACAGCTCCGGTCTACAGCTCCCAGCATGAGTGACGGAGAAGACGGGTGATTTCTGCATTTCCATCTGAGGTGCTGGGTTCATCTTACTAGGGAGTGCCAGACAGTGGGCGCAGGTCAGTGGGTGCATGCACTGTGCACGAGCCAAAGCAGGGCGAGGCATTGCCTCACTCGGGAAGCGCAAGGGGTCAGGGAGTTCCCTTTCCTAGTCAAAGAAAGTGGTGACAGACGGCACCTGGAGAATCGGGTCACTTCCACCCGAATACTGCGGTTTTCCGACGGGCTTAAAAAACGGCGCACCAGGAGATTATATCCCGCACATGGCTCGGAGGGTCCTATGCCCATGGAGTCTCACTGATTGCTAGCACAGCAGTCTGAGATCAAACTGTGAGGCTGGGGGAGGGGCGCCCACCATTGCCCAGGCTTGCTTAGGTAAACAAAGCAGCCCGGAAGCTCGAACTGTTTGGAGCCCACCACAGCTCAAGGAGGCCTGCCTGCCTCTGTAGGCTCCACCTCTGGGGGCAGGGCACAGACAAACAAAAAGACAGCAGTAACCTCTGCAGACTTAAATGTCCCTGTCTGACAGCTTTGAAGAGAGCAGTGGTTCTCCCAGCACGCAGCTGGAGATCTGAGAACGGGCAGACTGCCTCCTCAAGTGGGTCCCTGACCCCTGACCCCCGAGCAGCCTAACTGGGAGGCACCCCCCAGCAGGGGCAGACTGACACCTCACACGGCCCAGTACTCCAACAGACCTGCAGCTGAGGGTCCTGTCTGTTAGAAGGAAAACTAACAGAAAGGACATCCACACCAAAAGCCCATCTGTACATCACCATCATCAAAGACCAAAAGTAGATAAAACCACAAAGATGGGGAAAAAACAGAGCAGAAAAACTAGAAACTCTAAAAAGCAGAGCGCCTCTCCTCCTCCAAAGGAACGCAGTTCCTCACCAGCAACAGAACAAAACTGGACGGAGAATAACTTTGACGAGCTGAGAGAAGAAGGCTTCAGACGATCAAATTACTCCGAGCTATGGGAGGACACTCAAACCAAAGGCAAAGAACTTGAAAACTTTGAAAAAAATTTAGATGAATGTATAACTAGAATAACCAATACAGAGAAGTGCTTAAAGGAGCTGATGGAGCTGAAAACCAAGGCTCGAGAACTACGTGAAGAATGCAGAAGCCTCAGGAGCTGACGCGATCAACTGGAAGAAAGGGTATCAGCGATGGAAGATGAAATGAATGAAATGAAGTGAGAAGGGAAGTTTAGAGAAAAAAGAATAAAAAGAAATGAGCAAAGCCTCCAAGAAATATGGGACTATGTGAAAAGACCAAATCTACGTCTGATTGGTGTACCTGAAAGTGACGGGGAGAATGGAACCAAGTTGGAAAACACTCTGCAGGATGTTATCCAGGAGAACTTCCCCAATCTAGCAAGGCAGGCCAACATTCAGATTCAGGAAATACAGAGAACGCCACAAAGATACTCCTCGAGAAGAGCAACACCAAGACACATAATTGTCAGATTCACCAAAGTTGAAATGAAGGAAAAAATGTTAAGGGCAGCCAGAGAGAAAGGTCAGGTTACCCTCAAAGGGAAGCCCATCAGACTAACAGCGGATCTCTCGGCAGAAACTCTACAAGCCAGAAGAGAGTGGCGGCCAATATTCAACATTCTTAAAGAAAAGAATTTTCAACCCAGAATTTCATATCCAGCCAAACTAAGCTTCATAAGTGAAGGAGAAATAAAATACTTTACAGACAAGCAAATGCTGAGAGATTTTGTCACCACCAGGCCTGCCCTAAAAGAGCTCCTGAAGGAAGTGCTAAACATGGAAAGGAACAACCGGTACCAGCCGCTGCAAAATCATGCCAAAATGTAAAGACCATCGAGACTAGGAAGAAACTGCATCAACTAACGAGCAAAATAACCAGCTAACGTCATAATGACAGGATCAAATTCACACATAACAATATTAACTTTAAATGTAAATAGACTAAATGCTCCAATTAAAAGACACAGACTGGCAAATTGGATAAAGACTCAAGACCCATCAGTGTGCTGTATTCAGGAAACCCATCTCACGGGCAGAGACACACATAGGCTCAAAATAAAAGGATGGAGGAAGATCTACCGAGCAAATGGAAAACAAAAAAAGGCAGGGGTTGCAATCCTAGTCTCTGATAAAACAGCCTTTAAACCAACAAAGATCAAAAGAGACAAAGAAGGCCATTACTTAATGGTAAGGGATCAATTCAACAAGAAGAGTGAACTGTCCTAAATATATATGCACCCAATACAGGAGCACCCAGATTCATAAAGCAAGTCCTGAGTGACCTACAAAGAGACTTAGACTCCCACACATTAATAATGGGAGACTTTAACACCCCACTGTCAACATTAGACAGATCAACGAGACAGAAGGTCAACAAGCATACCCAGGAATTGAACTCAGCTCTGCACCAAGCGGACCTAATAGACATCTACAGAACTCTCCACCCCAAATCAACAGAATACACATTTTTTTCAGCACCACACCACACCTATTCCAAAATTGACCACATACTTGGAAGTAAAGCTCTCCTCAGAAATGTAAAAGAACAGAAATTATAACAAACTATCTCTCAGACCACAGTGCAATCAAACTAGAACTCAGGATTAAGAATCTCACTCAAAACCGCTCAACTACATGGAAACTGAACAACCTGCTCCTGAATGACTACTGGGTACATAACGAAATGAAGGCAGAAATAAAGATGTTATTTGAAACCAGCGAGAACAAAGACACAACATACCAGAATCTCTGGGACACATTCAAAGCAGTGTGTAGAGGGAAATTTACAGCACTAAATGCTCACAAGAGAAAGCAGGAAAGTTCCAAAATTGACACCCTAACATCACAATTAAAAGAACTAGAAAAGCAAGAGCAAACACATTCAAAAGCTAGCAGAAGGCAAGAAATAACTAAAATCAGAGCAGAACTGAAGGAAATAGAGACACAAAAAACCCTTCAAAAAATTAACGAATCCAGGAGCTGGTTTTTTGAAAGGATCAACAAAATTGATAGACCACTAGCAAGACTAATAAAGAATAAAAGAGAGAAGAATCAAATAGATGCAATAAAAAATGATAAAGGGGATATCACCATCGATCCCACAGAAATACAAACTACCATCAGAGAATACTACAAACACCTCTACACAAATAAACTAGAAAATCTAGAAGAAATGGATAAATTCCTTGACACATACACTCTCCCAAGACTAAACCAGGAAGAAGTTGAATCTCTGAATAGACCAATAACAGGTTCTGAAATTGTGGCAATAATCAATAGCTTACCAACCAAAAAGAGTCCAGGACCAGATGGATTCACAGCCGAATTCTACCAGAGGTACAAGGAGGAACTGGTACCATTCCTTCTGAAACTATTCCAATCAATAGAAAAAGAGGGAATCCTCCCTAACTCATGTTATGAGGCCAGCATCATCCTGATACCAAAGCCGGGCAGAGACACAACCAAAAAAGAGAATTTTAGACCAATATCCTTGATGAACATTGATGCAAAAATCCTCAATAAAATACTGGCAAACCAAATCCAGCAGCACATCAAAAAGCTTATCCACCATGATCAAGTGGGCTTCATCCCTGGGATGCAAGGCTGGTTCAATATATGCAAATCAACAAATGTAATCCAGCATATAAACAGAACCAAAAACAAAAACCACATGATTATCTCAAAAGATGCAGAAAAGGCCTTTGACAAAATTCAACAGTGCTTCATGCTAAAAACTCTCAATAAATTAGGTATTGATGGGACGTATCTCAAAATAGTAAGAGCTATCTATGACAAACCCACAGCCAATATCATACTGAATGGGCAAAAACTGGAAGCATTCCCTTTGAAAACTGGCACAAGACAGGGATGCCCTCTCTCACCACTCCTATTCAACATAGTGTTGGAAGTTCTGGCCAGGGCAATCAGGCAGGAGAAGGAAATAAAGGGTATTCAATTAGGAAAAGAGGAAGTCAAATTGTCCCTGTTTGCAGACGACATGATTGTATATCTAGAAAACCCCATTGTCTCAGCCCAAAATCTCCTTAAGCTGATAAGCAACTTCAGCAAAGTCTCAGGATACAAAATCAATGTACAAAAATCACAAGCATTCTTATACACCAACAACAGACAAACAGAGAGCCAAATCATGAGTGAACTCCCATTCACAATTGCTTCAAAGAGAATAAAATACCTAGGAATCCAACTTACAAGGGATGTGAAGGACCTCTTCAAGGAGAACTACAAACCACTACTCAAGGAAATAAAAGAGGATACAAACAAGTGGAAGAACATTCCATGCTCATGGGTAGGAAGAATCAATATTGTGAAAATGGCCATACTGCCCAAGGTAATTTACAGATTCAATGCCATCCCCATGAAGCTACCAATGCCTTTCTTCACAGAATTGGAAAAAACTACTTTAAAGTTCATATGGAACCAAAAAAGAGCCCGCATCACCAAGGCAATCCTGAGCCAAAAGAACAAAGCTGGAGGCATCACACTACCTGACTTCAAACTATACTACAAGGCTACAGTAACCAAAACAGCATGGTACTGGTACCAAAACAGAGATATAGATCAATGGAACAGAACAGAGCCCTCAGAAATAACGCCGCATATCTACAACTATCTGATCTTTGACAAACCTGAGAAAAACAAGCAATGGGGAAAGGATTCCCTATTTAATAAATGGTGCTGGGAAAACTGGCTAGCCATATGTAGAAAGCTGAAACTAGATCCCTTCCTTACACCTTATACAAAAATCAATCCAAGATGGATTAAAGACTTAAACGTTAGACCTAAAACCATAAAAACCCTAGAAGAAAACCTAGGCATTACCATTCAGGACATAGGCATGGGCAAGGACGTCATGTCCAAAACACCAAAAGCAATGGCAACAAAAGACAAAATTGACAAATGGGATCTAATTAAACTAAAGAGCTTCTGCACAGCAAAAGAAACTACCATCAGAGTGAACAGGCAACCTACAAAATGGGAGAAAATTTTCGCAACCTACTCTGACAAAGGGCTAATATCCAGAATCTACAATGAACTCAAACAAATTTACAAGAAAAAAACAAACAACCCCATCAAAAAGTGGGCAAAGGACATGAACAGACACTTCTCAAAAGAAGACATTTATGCAGCCAAAAAACACATGAAAAAATGCTCACCATCACTGGCCATCAGAGAAATGCAAATCAAAACCACAATGAGATACCATCTCACACCAGTTAGAATGGCAATCATTAAAAAGTCAGGAAACAACAGGTGCTGGGGAGGATGTGGAGAAATAGGAACACTTTTACACTGTTGGTGGGACTGTAAACTAGTTCAACCGTTGTGGAAGTCAGTGTGGCGATTCCTCAGGGATCTAGAACTAGAAGTACCATTTGACCCAGCCATCCCATTACTGGGTATATACCCAAAGGACTATAAATCATGCTGCTGTAAAGACACATGCACACGTATGTTTATTGCGGCATTATTCACAATAGCAAAGACTTGGAACCAACCCAAATGTCCAACAATGATAGACTGGATTAAGAAAATGTGGCACATATACACCATGGAATACTCTGCAGCCATAAAAAATGATGAGTTCATGTCCTTTGTAAGGACATGGATGAAATTGGAAATCATCATTCTCAGTAAACTATCGCAAGAACAAAAAACCAAACACCGCATATTCTCACTCATAGGTGGGAATTGAACAATGAGAACACATGGACACAGGAAGGGGAACATCACACTCTGGGGACTGTGGTGGGGTCGGGGGAGGAGGGAGGGATAGCATTGGGAGATATACCTAATGCTAGATGACGAGTTAGTGGGTGCAGCACACCAGCATGGCACATGTATACATATGTAACTAACCTGCACATTGTGCACATGTACCCTAAAACTTAAAGTATAATAATTAATTAATTAATTAAAAAAAAGAAAAGTTTAAGATCCTGTTGTTCTTCCATTTTCTTTGCTCATGCTCAATCTTGATTCTTCTTTGTCTCTGTGATCCTTCTCTTTATGGAATGCTAATAAAAGTAGTGTGTCAGCCACTAGGAGGGAAATAGAAATACATATGCCTCCTTGTATTAGGCAGTCTTGGCTACCTTTCCTCTTAATGAAAGTATGGATAGCTTTTATTTCATTAAGATATCATATATTATTATTTATTAAGTTTCAGAAATATTTCGTTTTCCTTCATCTATCGTTAGCAATGACACTAGTTTGCATCTCTGAAAAAATGGTTTTAATTTATTACTTTTTTTTTTTGAGACGGAGTCTCGCTCTGTCACTCAGGCTGGAGTGCAGTGGCATTATCTTGGCTCACTGCAACCCCCACCTCCTGGGTTCAAGTGATTCTCCTGCCTCAGCCTCCCAAGTAGCTGGTATTACAGGTGCCCACCACCACGCCTGGCTAATTTTTGTACTTATAGTAGAGACGGTGTTTCACCATGTTGGCCAGGCTGGTCTCGAACTCCTGACCTCAAGTGATCCACTGGCCTCGGCCTCCCAAAGTGTGAAAAAATGGTTTTTAATTAACTTACTTCACTGTAAGATTTTCTTCAGACTAGTATCTTTTCTACCAACTTTTCCCAGATGACATTCTAACATGACCACACACACACATACACAGACATAGATATGTGTACACATACCCTGCACAGATATAAATTCATTCCTACATTCAGTGGGTATGACAGTGAACATTTGGCACCTTTCTAGGTGCTAGAAATACAGGAACATCATCTTTGCTTTGGGGTAACTTACTACCTAAGGGGAGAGACCTATTTTGTAAATAAACCTGTTTTGTGAAGACATCCTTATAATACAATGTGACAGACATTGTACTGGAGGTCTGTTCAGGAGATGGGAGCACCGCAGGAGGTTAGGGATCATTATGGTAGTTGTGAGAGGGTGGCAGTTCAAGAAAGCCTGTCACAGAGGATTGATGATTGTCTAGGTCACTCTTAAATGTTGGATAGGATTTTACTGATCAACCAAAGAAAGAGAACAGAAGAGGCTATTTGGAAACATAGGCAGCATGAGCACGACAAGGAGCATAGAATGGCTGGCTCAGAAGATTGAACTCAGGCCTGCGGTCAGCGTGGAGCCATTGCAGGAGTTGTTGTGTTTGTTTTTTTTGTTGTTGGTGGTGGTGGCGGTGGTGTTGGTTTCTGCAGTTTTTTGTTGTTTTATAGAAGGGATGTGATGACTCTTTTGTTAAACTTCTACCAACATAAATTGAGAACTTGTGTGTGCCAGATACCGTGCTAGGAGCTAAAGGTGCAACAGCGAGCCAGACAGACATGTCATGTCCTCATGGAGCTTACGTTCTAATGTGCCTGAAAAGTAGTATTTTTTCATGTGATTAAAACATTCCATTAAATAAGTACTTCCCACAAAAAAAACGACGAAAAATCACTAGTCAGGCAGGCATGCTTATTTATTTTAAGGAAGCGTTCTGGGGAAAGGGGGAAATGATAACACTGTCAAAATATGTCTCAGCCCTCCATTTCCATAGGCACAGATTTTCAAATGTAATCAGATGGACGTTTTAGAAAGGCAGCCCTGGTGGCAATGTGACAAGAAGAAGACATTCAGGAGATGTAGACATCAGTTGAGAGACTGGTGGCAAATGATGATGGCTGTGGAAGTACTGAGGAGGTAGAAATGGCTGCCACATTCTGCTTGCATGTGGAGTGAAAAAAGGAGAGAAATAGGGGTGACATGGGGATCACAATTTGGATTACTGAGAGAGAGTTATCAGGGAGAAGGGGACCAGTTCATAGAACATTTGGCCACATGGAGCCTGCAATGCCCATGAGACATGGAGTTGTTCATGTCAGGTAGGCAGGTAGACATACATACACCCCTAAAGATCAAAGACAGGAAGGTGGACATGGACTTGGGACTCTCTGGCACATGGTTGGTTGAAATTACAACTTTTGACTTCTGAAGCAATAATAGTTTATTTTTATGAATAAGTTAAACATACAACGTAATATCTCTTGTCTGAAATATCAGCTGGCTAGTGGACAGTGATAGTATGGACAATTGTTTATTTTCAAGTGTTGAATGGCTAATAAATACTCCCCCTGTTCTGCAGATATAAATGAATGTGATGAAGATCCCAACATTTGTCTTTTTGGTTCCTGTACTAATACTCCAGGGGGCTTCCAGTGCCTCTGCCCCCCTGGCTTTGTACTATCTGATAATGGACGGAGATGCTTTGGTAAGATTTGGCATGACTTCACTGTCACAGTTCACGCTTAGAAACTTTAAAGCTGAATTGTAAACCATCATGCTGGTATTAGTCCTAACAAAATACATGTCTATGCTAAAATACATCTGCAAGTTAAAAATTTAGGTCTCAAACATAAGCAATGAACAATTTTTAAGGTACTTTGAATTATTGCCACTGTTTCTACATTTTTATAAATTTTTTTACTAAAAGAAAAATTCTTATTCTGATTTATCAGAATGACTATGTTAATTTTGTTGTTGTCATAGCTTTTTTGTTTGTTGGTGTATGTGATGCTTTTGATGTGATGTAACTTACTGAAAGTTACCTTGATTGTTTTTCTTAGACTATCATGCAACAGTGAAAAAAGAGACTCTGTGTGGAAATCACTTTGATACTGAGCATGATTTCTCGAATTTTCTTAGCACATTATAAAAATATTTTAAGCATATTAAATAATTAAATAATTTTATAGCCAGGTCAGTCTAAATTGGCAAATGAAATCAGCAATCGAAGATTTCCAGACCTGCCTTAACTGCTGATCTAGTCTGCATCCCGTGTTCTACAATGAGAAATGTTCTGTCCAAACAGTGTTACAAAATAATTCCATCTGTAATGTTTGCTTTTTTGATTAGATACTCGCCAGAGCTTCTGCTTCACAAATTTTGAAAATGGAAAGTGTTCTGTACCCAAAGCTTTCAACACCACAAAAGCAAAATGCTGCTGTAGTAAGATGCCAGGAGAGGGCTGGGGGGACCCCTGTGAGCTGTGCCCCAAAGACGATGAAGGTAAGAGCAATGACATCATCAGACAGCACTTTGTGTACCAGTTTTTGAATGTTTGCCAGAGTGGGTTTAACCATGTAATTTAAGAATATTTTGAGAGTGAAATCATCTCCTTGCATATAAGTTTTGATGGTTCATTGAACAACCTAGCCTGAGAAACTTCTTTCAGCTTTTGAATAAGACATGTCTAAGCACAGGTGGAGTTACCCTTTTATTTCATTCCCCACCTCCAAGGTTAGTATTACTTGCTTTCAAAAGTACGAATTTGAGAGGTCCAAGGCAGGAGAAAGAAGGGAATGGAAATTATATTCCAGGTTGCTCCAGGAGTCCCATGTGGGCATTGTATCACAGGCTGTGGCTCTCAGAATGTTACATTAAATTCTGAGAAGCTGAGTCAGCACAATGGCCCTTTACAGGAAAAGATCAATAGCCTCAGGTCTCATTGGCACCCATAAATTATAGGATAATTCCCAGCAAACTCCAGCTGGCTTGGCCTCTGGGTTAGGGATGGCTTCTGAGTGTGATGGGCAGGGAAGTTCTCTTTAGCTGCTCAGCTTTAAATGAGCAAACAGAAAGAACCAGGAGCACTGAGCAGGTGGCACCCTAGAAGGTGGCCCTCACTAAATATGCTTTTGAAATAAATCATAAAAATAAAAGAGTCTTGTTATAGACAGCTTTGTAATGGAAACATAATTAAGTGTAATTTCATGTATATTGTTCATCCTTTCTTAAGTTCTTTGATAATTTCAAGTCTTCAATAATGGAGAATTTGTATTTTTCTTTGTAGTTGCATTTCAGGATTTGTGTCCATATGGCCATGGAACTGTCCCTAGTCTTCATGATACACGTGAAGGTACGCTTTGATATATTTTATTCCTATATTCTTATTTAATACACACGTATTATTTTACATTTATTTTATAACTCATGCTAACTTTACTATGTAACATATAGTATATTGTATTTAATGGATGTATATAACCCTTATTTTGTATCATATACATTATACATATATCATAAGATTATATCGTGATATATGAAATACATATTTCTCTGACAAAAGAAGTATTTACAAGTCTGTGTTGAATAGACATACACAGTACTGGCATATCTTTTTATTTTTATTTTATTTATTTATTTATTTATTTTGAGGTGGAGTCTCACTCTGTTGCCCGCTGGAATGCAGTGGTGCGATCCAGCTGACTGCAACCTCCACTTCCTGGGTTCAAGTGATTCTCCTGCCTCAGTCTCCCCAAGTAGCTGGGACTACAGGTGTGCGCCACCATGCCTGGCTAATTTTTTTTTGTATTTTTAGTAGAGATGGGGTTTCGCCATGTTGCCCAGGCTGGTCTCAAGCTCCTGACCTCAGGTGATCCACCCACCTCGGCCTCCCAAAGTGCTGGGATTTATAAGCATGAGCCACTGCGCCTGGCCGGCATATCTTTTTATATGAGGAAATTCACATGCAGTTCTATATTTTAGATGTCAATGAGTGTCTTGAGAGCCCAGGCATTTGTTCAAATGGTCAATGTATCAACACCGACGGATCTTTTCGCTGTGAATGTCCAATGGGCTACAACCTTGACTACACTGGAGTACGCTGTGTGGGTGAGTGTTGGCTCCACATTACAGAATTTTAAAGTTCTATTTTACTTCTCATATTCAGTAAAAGGTCTCTCAGGTACCCTGGGTGATGGGGGGATTTACAAATCCAGGATAAATAGCTAGTAGTGGCACCTTCTTCACCAGTCTTACATTTTCCAGTCAGACCTGATTTATGTGAAGATGGAGAGAGTTAACAACCTCTGTCTTCAACCAAACATACAAAATCTTATGTGTCCTAGAGACTTACAATTGCCAAAATCTCTCATTGGATAAGAAATCCATTTTACTTTATGCCCTTCCATGCCTGCTCTTGAAGCAGAGGACCACATTCTTCTTCTGGATTTGTCATCTTTAGGGCGAGTATTGCTGCCTGGGGGCCAGAGCATTGCACATTGATCCTTCAGACCCTCTGCACTACATAGCTGCCAGCCAGCCAAGGCCCAAGGGATGCCAGGGTTACATGTGCCCTTCTCAGATCCTGGAAATGGGTGAGGGCCAAGCATGGGTCTTCCTGGGCATTCTCCTGTTAAACTAAAACATCTTTGTGGCAGTTTCTTATTCTTCTTTTTCAGATACTGATGAGTGTTCAATCGGCAATCCGTGTGGAAATGGTACATGCACCAATGTTATTGGGAGTTTTGAATGCAATTGCAATGAAGGCTTTGAGCCAGGGCCCATGATGAATTGTGAAGGCAAGTGATCTTTGTCTTAAATATTATTTCTTCTTGACATAGAAAGTGTTTTTTAATGTCTCAATATTTATTTATATTGCTTCTGATATTCTGCTGGTGAGCATACGGTGGGGTTTTTTGTTTTTTGGGTTTTTTGTTTGGTTGGTTGGTTTTTAGTTTTCCTTTAGTACAGTTAAAATAGCTGCTGTAAAGCCCTTGTCTGATCATTCCAGCATCTGGGTCATCTCAGGGTTGGCATCTCTTGATTGTCTATTCCCTTGAAATGGAGTCACAGTTTCCTGCCTTTTCAGTATATTGGTTAATGTTGGATTTATACTCTGGATATTGTGAATGATATGCTTCGAAATCAGTTATATTACTCTGAAGAATATTGATGTATTTGTCTTAGCAGACAGTCAACTCTGGTAGGCACAATAGCAGACCCTCAGGCCTCAGAAGGGCGGTGGCTCATCTGTCAGTTCTTTAAACCTTACTCACTAGCATTCTTGATTTTGCCCCACACATGCATAGTACAGTCATGCCACTTGAGCTGACTAGATGAAAAACAAATAGTATTTCTCCTTCCCTGGCATTCTTTCCTGGGTTCCCTTTCTTTAGCAGACTTGGTTGCCCTAAGATTCCCTCCCCTCCTTCCTCTGGATGGAATCTCAGAAAGTTTCTTCTGGAGAGTTAGCTACCAGATGACAGCACTGCCAGGCCATGGTCATCTGGAGGGTAATTTCAGAAAAATAGAAGCCAAATCAATGTGAAATTACTCCCTACTGGTTGTTTGCTCTGAGTTTCAGCTCACCACTAAAAACTTCAGGTACTTTTTATATTCTTTCCGGAGTTTATAGCTGTTATTTTTAAAGATGAGTTTGTTAGGTACTAAATTCTGCGTACCAGATGTGTAAGTTCTACTATTCTATTGCTTTGTGTATGACCGCCAAGTAAATGACATCAACATTTAGTTACACAAATAATTAGAACTCTAGGCTGAGCACATTCCTGTCCATTCCTTTGGTCAGATATCAACGAATGTGCCCAGAACCCACTGCTGTGTGCTTTCCGCTGCATGAACACTTTTGGGTCCTATGAATGCACGTGCCCGATTGGCTATGCCCTCAGGGAAGATCAAAAGATGTGCAAAGGTAAGGCCTCAGACTCGGGAGTAGTTCGAACTTTATTTGTCATGCTGGAGATACATCTTAATGATTTTATAGTTCTCAACTAATTTCTTCTAGAGCTTTACAGAAATATATATATGACAGCATTTTGCTAGTAGATTTCCATACCTAGATAACAAGACACATGATGGTATTTTTGTAAAATCAAGTCCGAGATAAGATGGGTTGAGAAGCCCACTATTCTCACACTCTTGGATTCTTATTAAGGCAAAGATTGCCCTTCCCTAAACTTCTTATCACTATGAGCAGTGCTGAAACTTACACATCTGGAATATAGCCAACAGCTGACAATGGCTGGGCTTCTCCTTTCTCTGTCCCACCATAAAATTACATGTTAAGTGTCAGAAGACCACACCTGTGACTTAAAAGTACTAAACTACAGCTTGCTCCAGATAATTTTTAATTTTTATTTTTTGTTCTAGATCTGGATGAATGTGCTGAAGGGTTACACGACTGTGAATCTAGGGGCATGATGTGTAAGAATCTAATCGGCACCTTCATGTGCATCTGCCCTCCTGGAATGGCCCGAAGGCCCGATGGAGAAGGCTGTGTAGGTAAGCGGTAAGGGAAGGTGTCTGCTTATGTAATGCCTCCACTCCCAGCCTCATTAATGGCACTACTCCCACATCATCTTAACTGCAAGCCAACTCTTTTTCCAGCTGTGTTAAGGCAGTGATACAGCTAGCTTTCTTCCATCTCAGGGTCTCTGCTAATATAATAGGTTCTGGATTGTGGCATTTATGCCTGCTCAAGAATACATGCCCTTTTGATTTTTCATATTTTAAAGAAAATTGTAAATAAAACTATATGTGTTCTGTAGGTACATATGTAACCAAGTAAATATATAGAAAAACATTGAAAAAGGTAAACCCTAATTCATAGAAGGAATTACTGCTAGGGAAGACATCGAGATTAGAAGTAACTAGTCTGAGGTGATTTTAGCTGTATCTGTCAATTTTAATTATTTTACAAAAGAGTGAGTTTCTGAACTATTCTGAATTACATGTGTCATATAAAAAATTATATATACAACAAATTATAATTGGATTTTTTAGTTTCTTTTCATTTGTTAGATATTTCATTCAAATATAGTACTTAATAAAGTTAAAAATAGACGTACATAGGAGGTGTAGTTATGCAGTGATTCTTTCAAAAACACTATTCTTCCAAGATCTGTTATCCCAGAAGATTAACCTAAACTCCTAAGTCATATGTGTTCCTCCAAATCTAGCACAGGGCAAAATGCTAATAACCATGTATGGAAGAAAGGAAATCAGCATTCTTAATCATCGTGTCTTCTTACTGTACATGAAATTTCTTTTCATTCATTTCTCTTTTAATTTATTTGAATGAAAACAATGTATGTATGTGCTATGTTTAATCAGATTGGCTAAAATACTTAAAAATGTGTTTTAATTTTTATGCATGGAAATTTCTTATTTTTATAACTAGCTGAATTTTATATTATACTATCTTTATTACATTTAAAGATATGTTGTTGGGAAAGAGGGAGTAAGCACTGTGATCAGATTAAGAACACAGGTTTCTGGTCATGGATCTGCCATAAATGATCTGGATGACTTGCAAGTGATTCAATTCTCTGTTCTTCAGTTCCTTCATCTGCATACAGTGAGAAACTTAGTCTGCATGATTGATAGGAGTGGTGGGGGTGGGTGTTGGGAAGGGTGCATCTGCTCTAGCTCTAAAATTCTATCATCCTCTGAACTTACTTTTTCAAAGAAAAGACCAAGAGCAGCATTCTACATTTGTATTCTTTTCGTTGTTAAACAGCACTACAAAAGATACAGGTTCTGAAACTTTTCTGATCTTCAAGCTTTTCATTATACCATGCTGATAGCTGAAATGTCTGCAAAATTTTTTTGATCATCACAAAACTCTTTGTAGAACACTTTCATGCAAACAATGTGTTTTCACAACTAGAAATTCCAGTTTAAAAACAGTAAAAATATTATTACAAAGAAAAAGTATTTACAAAAGTCAGGATGAAAAATAAAGCCACAAAAAAAATCAATAAAAATGCCAATGCATGAAATTGGAATCAAACTTACCCAAAAAAGTCGATTGCAACGGAAACTAAAAGTATTACAGTTAAGGGAATTAAAGTTATACAGGAAATCTAAGACCTCTTTAATGAAAACCATAAACCTAATCAGAGACGGAAACTTGACTATGCAATATATTATGCCTCAGTAATTATTTCTTAAACAAATAAATGAATCAAGAAATCTGATAAGTAGAACATTTTTTTACCAAGATCATTAAATTTTCTTCTTTAGACTTTGGCAGACTGTCCCAATTTTTTAAAGTTTATCCAACAATCTTTGATTAGAAGATCAGGGACATAAGCAAATGAGAAAAGTATGGAGTGTTTTTGTAGAGACCCATTTCTACACTGCAGTGTGAAAATAGGTAGATGCAAAGGAGAAAATACTGGGATGCTATTTAATTATCAACAAACTAGTCTTCTAGACATGGAGACTGCCGGAGGTGAGGCAGGAAGAGGAGAAGCAGCAACTATCAGAGATTCTAAGGCTTTAAGAACTTTATCAGAGCCACACGACTCCCTAAATTACCTGAAAGCCCGAGTGTAGTGCCTCAAGGGTAGAGAGCATGGCAGATTTGGTGAGAGGATGTTCATACAACAAACATGAATTGAAACTACACATTAGGCCCACTTTAGGACCCGTGACCAGCTACACTATTTTTCAGCCAGTAGCTGAACTGGAGAAAATTGTTCAAAGATGAGTAATTACACAAGACCAGTGTAGCTGAAGCTTGTGCAGGAGAGTGGCATGAAGTGGGTCTAAAGGTAGGCAAATACCATGGAAAAGAATTTGGTTTTATGCTAAAAGTGTTACGGCAGAGTGACTCAGAGTATGGGCCCTGGGGATGGACTATGAATGTTAGCAATCTAGGTTCATGTGTGCTAGCTCTGTGACCCTGGGCAAGTTGGCTTAAATATGTGCCTCAGATTCCTCATGTAAAAACAAATAGGAATTTTGAGCACACTTTCATAGGATTATTGGGAGGGTTAAATTAAAAAATTCACATGAAACCCTTAGTACAATGCTTGGCATAGAGTAAAATTTCAATTAAGTATTAGTTGTTATTTCCTATTTTACACATTTTTAAAGATATCTGGCTGCCTTATAGGTAATGGATTTGAAGGAGGTGGTAGCAGAAACAAGGGTTTCATTTAGGTGACTGTCTTAAACATCCAGACGAGAGAAAAAGGAGGCTCAGATTAGGGCCACCATAGTGTGGAAAAGGAGTGGACAGATTCAGAAAATGTATTGGAAATAATCAACAGATTGGATTTCTGATGGATTGATTGAATATGTATAAAAGATAAGTCCCAGGATTTTTGCTTGAGTGACTAAAGTAAATTAGCTTAGTATAATAATTTACTTGATGCTACTGTTAACTGATATGGAAAAGATTGGAAGAAACAGGTTTCGTTGGGGACACAGAAGAATAAAAGTTCTGTTTTGGTCATGCTCAGTGTCAGATATGTTCTAGCTTTCCAAGTGGGAATATCAAGTCAGCAGACATATTTATGAGCCATAGATGTAAATTGCTAGCAAATCGATAGTGTTTGAAAAATTATGGGATTGACTGAGAACACCAAGAGAGAGATCCTGGAGAGTAGGAGGAGCAGGGCTCCTTCCCAGGACACTGGACTCTGGTTGTTCCAATATTTAGAGAGACTAAAAATATTAGGAGACTAAGAAAGAGTAGCCAGCAAGATAGGAAGTTCTCCATGTCCGTGTGATGTCCTGAGAACTAAAGTGGCCGCTTTTGTATGATGCTACTAAGATGTAGAGTAACATAGAGTTGTAATTAGATTTGGTGACTTCTTCAGGAGGTTTCAGTGGAGCACACACATTAAGGAAACAATCAGTGATGAGGAAGTGGAATTTATCGCCATGGATCATTCTTCCAGAAATTTTGTTCTGAAAGTGAATCAATACATGTGGCAGTAGCCACAGGGGTAATAGGTGAATAAGAGAGTTTTTTGTATTGTTTTAAGATGAAAGTTACTAGAGAATTTATGCTGAGGGAATGATTCCTTGAAAAGGGAGTATTGTGAAATCTGGGAAGGCAATCTAGAGTACCGGTGCAAGAGCTGGCCTTGGAGAAAAAACAAAGATAGTTTAGCTGTTGGAAGAAGACAAAAGGTTGAAAGTGAGGGCATAGCCCAGTGGTTCATAGGGGAGAGATGTCTGATGTGTCTGAGTGTGTAATGTCATTTTAGAAAGTGAGAGTGTGAAGATACTAAGAAGTATAGTAGGATTGTTGACGGAGGATCATGTACCCATTTGAGATTTGAGTCTTGAGTCTTGAGTCTCATTGAAATGAAGCCTGTTTTCCTCTAGGCTGTCATGCTGCACTGGATTGGACATAGAGTAGGTAGAAGTAGGGGAGCATCGGACAAGAGTGATGGACAATGGAAAGGTCGATAATTGACAATCCTGCTGCAGCCCACAAATTGTCAAAGGGTAGAAAGTACAATGCTGGAAATCAACATTATTTAGGTAGAGCAACATCACTCCAAGATACACCCTATTAAAGTTACAAATTTCAACAGAAAAAAGAATCAGGCAACTTTTTTTCAACCTCTTCTCAGTAATTCTTTATGCCAATGTCAATAAAGCAAAATTAATCTAAGAATTTGAAGCACAAATTATGTACTACAGAAGAAACTGTATTATACATAATCAAACTTGGAAGAACTCAGGCAGTATATCCTGAGTTCTTCCAAGAACGCTTTTAGTTCAAAAGCCCTTTTTGAAAAAAAATAATTCAGACAAATCAAATACAATTCAAAATCAGGGTGAATGACATTAAGGATAGGATTAGACCAAGGCAACAGACCTTGCACCCTCAGATTCTAGAAATAATAAACTAAAAAAACTTTTTAATTCATAACTCATTACTTTTGTATATACCTTTAAATTTCTGAAGTAAGTGTTTTTTTCTAAAAAAGGAAAAAAATAATCACAGGAGGCACATCATGGTGAATTTCAAAACACTAAGAAGAAAATGAAAATCCTTAAAACTTCCAGAGAGAAAAACCAGATTTCTTACAAATGAACAGTAACACTGGTTTAAAAAATAATAATAAAGGAGCTGTATTTTGAAAGCATTCTAAGGGAAAATAATTTTGAACTAAAATGCTATACTCAATCAAGTATGAAAACAAAAGAAGACATGGTCAGAAATCTGTTTTAGAATACTTATAGCCCTCTTAAATAATTACCTGCCGGGCACGGTGGCTCGCACCTGTAATCCCAGCACTTTGGGAGGCCGAGGCAGGCGGATCACGAGGTCAGGAGATTGAGACTATCCTGGCTAACATGGTGAAACCCTGTCTCTACTAAAAATAAAAATAAAAAAATTAGCTGGGCGTGGTGGCGGGCGCCTGTAGTCCCAGCTACTCAGGAGGCTGAGGCAGGAGAATGGCGTGAACCCAGGAGGCAGAGCTTGCAATGAGCCAAGATTGCACCACTGCACTCCTGCCTGGTCGACAGAGCGAGACTCTGTCTCAAATAAATAAATAAATAAATAATCACCAAACTACATACACTAATTTTTTTAAATTAATTAAAGTGGAAGAAATAATATAAGTGGACCAATGGTGAGCCAAGAAACCAGTAAGCCTCATTAATTTAAACAGATGCTGATGGCACACTAAAAATCTAACAAACCAAAACTTCTAGATAACATCAACATGGCAGGTGGTTCAGGGAGAGAGCAGAGATAAGTAAATTTATGCAAAGGTGCTTACTATGGCCGAGAGCTTTCAAAACAGATACTTCTTGGCATTGATAGAAAATTATTCATTAAGAATGTGTGTTGAAGTTGTTCAGTGGTTTCCACTGTAAGAATTGAAAGAAGACTGTGACTTCCAAATATGAGTTCATAGGGAAAAGGAGGGCATAGGAAGAGGGCAATCCCACAGTAAATATAAAACAATATAAAATGTCAGGTGAGACTCTAAACATATCAGTAATCATGACAGATATAAGTGGTTTAAACTGCTGGTTAAAAGATAAATGTGTTTTTAAGAATTCTGCTAGGTTCTCTTTAATAGAATTGTAGTACCAAAATTGAAATCTGAGATAGGTTGAAAATAAAAATATTCAAGGCAAATACTAATAAAAGCAAAGTGCATGCAAATATAAATGTCAGTAAATTTTTAAAAATTTTAAGTATAAAGATGAAAGGAGCCATTTATCAAAAAGATGTAATTGTCATGCGCTCTCTTATGCTCCTAACAACACAGCTTTGAAAGAAACCTCAAACAAAATTTACAAAATATCAAAAAAGCACAAAAAGTAAGGATATAGAGAATTTTAGTGAAAACAATTTTGTTGAAGTAGGTTTATTTATCACCAACCAAAAGAGCAGTATTACTTAAACTGCCTCTCCCATTAACTACCCTCACAGACCATAGTTGTTCCTGTGATTTTACTCAAAACCAATTTAGCAGCTTGTCCTTTATTCCTGGCCTGTGAGGCTTTTACTGTACTCATCACCCATACCCAACACCCACCATCCCTCTCCCCACACCTTTCTCTAATATCACAGAAACTGACATTCTTTTCCCCAGAGTTCCCATCCTTGCCTGGTGTCTCAGGGCAATTCTATTCCTTTTGGAGGCCAATTTTCAATTCTATATATTAACACTATCCCTTCTCTGCAGAGGATAAAGAAAAGAAAGAAGAAGACAACATTATCTTAAGAAAGAACCCACCAAGAAGGATGAAGTAAAGCTAAAAATAAATTAATATTCACACATGACCATTTTTAATCTCATCATATTAGTATTTTGGCAAAGAAGTGTTAAATAAGATATAACCCATTAGAAGATAGCTTGTAAACTATAATTTGACAGTTTTCTCATTATTCATATTGTTTGTTTTTCTAAAGATGAAAATGAATGCAGGACCAAGCCAGGAATCTGTGAAAATGGACGTTGTGTTAACATTATTGGAAGCTATAGATGTGAGTGTAATGAAGGATTCCAGTCAAGTTCTTCAGGCACTGAATGCCTTGGTAAGTTGACATCCAAATATATTATACTTGGTAGATAAAACATCTGTTCATGATGTCATCACAGAAGAGCTCCACATATATATTCTTGTCTGCTAAACAAATCCCCCAATCTCAATAATCCACATGCTTCTTCTTAAAGATGCACATCTATTAAAATGATATATTTGTACATGTGTGTGTTATATGCACATCTATGTGTAATGTAAATAACAATCTTAAATAGTCTTTCCAAAATTAAGATTAATTAAGTTCTTTGGAAAATTTGGCTTTAGTAAAACTTACATCAGAGGATGATTTAATTCCAAAAGAAAATATTTGCAATATGAGGTAAGCTCTGCCACAATTAATGCAAAATAAATGCCATATTTCAAAAATGCAGGGAAGGTTACTTTTTATATTGTGGTACAGAAAAAAATGTTTTATAAAACCTTTTTATGGGAAATATACATCTCAGACATTATATTTTATTTTAATGTTAAAATGCATACATTATAAATCATTGTAGTTAATTATGGCAGCTGCAAAAAGTGTGCTGTAGTAAAATTCAAGGTAAACAAAGAAATAAGAGCGCTAAGCTGTTTGACTCATCACTTGATTTAACATAAAAAGAGTATTTCAACTATATCACATTTTTTTCTGAATGACGTCATATGCTTCAAATTCCAAGAAATTTTTGATCAAAAAAACATTTTTTGTTTATTGTTATCTCTAATCTATACCTTTACTAACTAACATCAGTCTTTTAGGAAATAGGAAAAGTAACCTACATATAAAGTGTAATTTTCTGTTCATTTTATTAACAGTTTGGCTAGGATTGTTTATAAAACTGTATTAAAGATTTAATTGGCTTTTAAATCTGAAAAAAATAATTTTATTTATATTTTTATAAAATCTACTCAGTCCAAGTGTTTGAACAGTCTTTCAGATGTAGAAAATATGAGATATCAGATTGAATAAGTACCAAGCTCATAAAATATAGTCTAGAGTTTGCTTTCCAGAAACTAATCCTGGCACTCATTTGTTTAAAGGAAAATAATTTAATTTGATTTTCCTTTCACTTGTATTCTACAGAAATGGTAGGTCACTATCATTTAGTTGGCAATGGATTGGAGGAAAAAATCTATCTATTTCTAAAGTATAGTATCACTTTTTGTCAAATTTAATAGACTGTAGTCTGTAGTGAAAGAATATGCTATGAACTTAACTGCCAGCAAAACTTAAATAATTAAGACATTAAGCTGTCTTAATTATTCCTAAGGAGGAAATTCTTGACTGCCCTGCTTAATTTGAAAGCCAGGATAATGAAATGTCAGTTCCGCATCCTTAACTCTTTCTACTTTGCCATTTCAGACAATCGACAGGGTCTCTGCTTTGCAGAGGTACTGCAGACAATATGTCAAATGGCATCCAGTAGTCGCAATCTCGTCACTAAGTCAGAATGCTGCTGTGATGGTGGGCGAGGCTGGGGCCACCAGTGCGAGCTTTGCCCACTTCCTGGAACTGCCCAGTACAAAAAGATATGTCCTCATGGCCCAGGATATACAACTGATGGAAGAGGTAAGGAGTTGAGGAAATTTATTCATATAATCAACACATTAAATTTTATGAATTCAGATAAATGTGAAGGAAAAGTGAAAAATTGATACAATCAAAAGAGTAGCTAAAATGTTTATACCTTGATATTTATATTTGATGTGTGTTTTCATATATATGTATATAGAAAGAATAATCTTTGCTAATGCTTTAGAGATTTTAGGAGTTAATCTTCGTATCAGACCTAAGGGGTAGAATGTATTATTCCCATTTTAACAGATGAGGAAAATGAAGCACAAAGCTAAGGTAACAATAAGTAATTTTCCCAAGATCACACACTTTTTAAGGGATGGACTTTGAGGGGGTAGCTTTCTAGATTCCCCCCAAAATCATTCATGCTTAGATTGCAAAATGGGTAGTCTTAAACAGGGCTTTCACCAGAGTCTCCCTTTATCCCCTCCCATCACTTGAGATTATTTTTCCATCACATCCATGTTGCTGTTCACCTGAATGATGAACAGGTGCTCCAGTGCTATTAGGAATGTTTGCAGTTAGTTATGTCATCTCCATTTCTTCATTTCTCTTTGATTCTAACCAGTTTTACCCTTGCATATATGTTAACTCCTGATTGTTTTTGTTGTTTTGGTCCACAGATATTGATGAATGTAAGGTAATGCCAAACCTCTGCACCAATGGTCAGTGCATCAATACCATGGGCTCATTCCGATGCTTCTGCAAGGTTGGCTACACCACAGACATCAGTGGAACCTCTTGTATAGGTAACGATGGGCACCTCTATATCCAGGGGTTTGGGGGCTAATCAGCTACTGTTTCCTGCAAGTCACTCATTATCAGTAGAGTGTCTTTATTATGGAGCTTTGGAATATATATTTTATTAAAATGTTGCCATCCTCTCAATAATGTGCTTCTTAATCACACAGCACTTGGCCTTTGTCCAGTAATGTGGGATGCTTAAAGGAGCCTCAGTAAAGAGAGTTTAAAAGAACTTGTGCCACATCCATGTGTCAAAAACAGAGAAACTCTTAAGTTTCTGATTCTCAGGTTGTAAACCTGAGAAACAAAAATCACAAATACATACTTTCAACATTTTATATTTTAATTTAAAATTTAAAGTGCACATTTGTTTGTCACTCTTTGACTGAAGGAAAAGGGCTTTTTCTTATGAATATGTGTGTTTGTGTATATTAAGAGAATGTTTTCCATGTTTCTCTGCTATTATTTTGCATAAAGTATACCAAGTAAGCATTACCTAAATAAAATTTCCAGCTGCGGAGCAGTCTCAGTACAGAATCCTTCTATCATTTTACAATTTATTTTTCTTATTCGGTTTTTTATTGTCTCACTCACACCTATATATGACAGTCGTGGGGCAGAAAGGACTTAGACTTTTGTCGGGTCTTTCCAAAGTATTCAACTTCATTTTTATTAAAGAAAAAATTTTTTTTCTCCTTTATATTTCATTAGCTTACTTGATATTCTATCAAATTACCTATGTCAATAACAAGCACACTTGGCATTAAAAGGTTAAGAAAACCCAACTGACTTCTTTGAAACAGAAGAGCATGAGTAATAGAGAATAGGCCATTAATCATAAGCATTCAGCATTCTGTGGGCATCAACGCCGTATGTTATATGGAGGAAATGGAGATTGTCTGCTATCTCAGAGTCCGAGTAGGAAAGAGATGGCATATTTCAAGGAGGACAATTCAAGGAGGGTCTAACAAAAAGACTGTCTATACACGTGTGAGCAGTGTGCACAAAAGCCAGGAGGCGTAGTGCTGTGTGCTGGGGCTGTACTACCCCTGGGCCAAAAGAAAAGAGTCAGAAGTTATTGGAACCTAGAAAAAGAAAGTTGTGCTCAGAGGACTGCCTTGAGAGGACCTCTGACAGCTGCTCCAGTGACTCAGCCAGCCTGAGCCTATCTTGCAGGGAGGGAGTTGAGGAAATAAGGGCCAGACAGAAGACAGAGGGCAAGGGAGAGCCTCCGGATGGAGTCTGTAGAGCTCCATCTCTTGGGCCTGAGAGCAGAGTGGACCAGGGTGAGGACTGAATCTGAAGGGGAAAGTGGAAGGTTTCCAGCACCATCTGTGATCCCACAAGATGCTTAAAGGAGCCTCAGTAAAGAGAGTTTAAAAGAACTTGTGCCACATCCATGGGTCAAAAACAGAGAAACTCTTATTAAGTTTATGATTCTCAGGTTGTAAACCAAAGTATATTAATCTAAAGAATGTAGTAATTTTGGACCCAGACAGTTGTCTAGACATCATAATATTTACCCAAGATCCATAGATTGATTTACAAAGTAAACCCGCATGTTACTTTAGAAAAAATCCTTCTGTGCATCATTTCTCTCTGGCTATATTCCACTTTAAGTTGAACAGGAAAAACAAAAAGAATGAAGTGAGAATATGGAAGGAGGAAAGAGTCTGGTTGTTTCTTTTAACCAGTAATTTAATCTTCACATCACTTTTACTTAGACCTTGATGAATGCTCCCAGTCCCCGAAACCATGCAACTACATCTGCAAGAACACTGAGGGGAGTTATCAGTGTTCATGTCCGAGGGGGTATGTCCTGCAAGAGGATGGAAAGACATGCAAAGGTGAGTGAAGAGTCTCTGACAATCGTGACCCTAGTCTGTATCTTTTCTTTCAAATTTAAATATTAGATTATCAGGAATTATGCCATGTGCATCACCTTCATTAAAAGGTCCCATCCTAGTGGCCATGTTATTGCTCATAGAAAAACTCTACCAATATGCTCATTGCAGGAAGCAGAGAGGATTAAAACCCAAGTTAAAACAGTTTGCTTCTTATAGAAAACTGCATAAATTTTAAAAAATAAAATAAAACAAAAGTTTTGGTATGGGAAGAGATCGAAACAAATCACTGAAATAAGATATTTGTTGTTGTTGCTTATCTAAGCTTTTATTTCTCTAAGCTACCTTTATTACAGGTTTACTGTGGAAAAGTGAAAATGGATAGGTAAATTTAAATTTTTTGCTTAGGTAGTATCAAAAGTAATTATTTATCAAGCTAAATTAGATCATTAAAATAGTTTCAATACTATACTCATATATTTGATTTTATAGTAAGCCTCATCAGAATGAAATTAATGGACTGAGCAAATTTTTAAAATGTAGATTATTCTCAGTAAAATGAGGTTTTATTTCCAAGGCATATCAAAAAAAAAAAAAATAATAGCAAGCACCGCTTGGACCTGTTTAGTGAACTGAACATTGTTTATGTTCAGTTGTACATTGTTTATGAGTATGACTAAAGACTCCATATCAAAAAAAAATGAGTATGACTAAAGCGTTTTTTAAGCTGTAAAATAATAAATTAGTCTTGCCTACATCTTATGTGGTATATTTATTTTAAATATAGTTTCCAAATTAAGTTTTAGTATAGCCAAAATCAAATTTTGAGTTTTTAATTAGTAGGGTCCAAATATCAATACCATTTGTGACTAGAATTACAGGTGTTGTATTTTGCTTCCTCTAATATTAATGCCCGTGTTTTCATCTGAATGTGGAGACTCTTAGTGTTTCTGTTCGGACCTTCATCAGTTTCTAGATTCTGTTTCATTTTTATTTAATCCTTCCTTTAATAGGAATCAGTAATCAGCCATGTACTATACTGCATTCAATGCAAGAATTGTAACCTTTGGATAGTAGCTTTGAGAACAGTTCATGGAAACTGCTATGATTCTGCCATTCAGTTTCTTATGTTATATATTGCCTTAATTGTCCTATCATCCTAGCCCGTAATATTTATTCTGCTTAAATATGTAAAAAGAAACTGTTTGCCATATGCCTATGGAAATCTACGAAGCTTCCAGCAAAAATCTAGACAAAATGCTTCTAATGGAGCATGTGCATCTCCTGTGGCTTCACAAGAAAGGAAACATAGCCAGATAGTCTACTGTGATTTTCACTGGCTTCTCTCTAATTTCAGACCTTGATGAATGTCAAACAAAGCAGCATAACTGCCAGTTCCTCTGTGTCAACACCCTGGGGGGGTTTACCTGTAAATGTCCACCTGGTTTCACACAGCATCACACTGCTTGTATCGGTAAGACAAAGTTACAAATGGGAAATTTTACAAACTTCTAGTAGATGCATAAAAATTATATTTAAAATTATAAACAGAAGAATGTCCTGGTATTTATGTTCAGTAACCAATACCCCATAATTTGTGGTCTAAAGAAGTTGCTAATAAGATAGATATTTTCAAGAACAATATCCAAAGGGAAAAAAAAGGCCTTTTTAGTCCAAGCACCTGCACAGTAGCCATATTTCAAGCAGTGCCTTTATATCACATTCTTAATGCAACCATGGTGTTCAGACAAAATATGATTAAAGGCTCACTGTAATTTAGAACATGTTAACAAACATATTGAGCTTTTATTTTAGAAGACACATGTTAAGGAACTTTAGTCAGTGTGCCTTCAATCACTCCAAAATATGCTCAAATCTCAAACCTCTTAAAATACACTTTTTCTTACCACTTTTGTCTTTAATATGACAGTGAATTTTGGTATAAATTTTCCCAAAATGCCATTTTCACATCATGAAACTTAGGTTTTCATACATTGCTTTTTACTTCCCATGAAACGTAAGACATGTTATGATTGGAAAGTTTGACGCTCTGCTTCTTGATGCTTTGCCAGACAACAACGAATGTGGGTCTCAACCTTCGCTTTGTGGAGCAAAGGGAATCTGTCAAAACACTCCAGGCAGTTTCAGCTGTGAATGCCAAAGAGGGTTCTCTCTTGATGCCACCGGACTGAACTGTGAAGGTTAGTTGATTTGCTCAAAAATTCTTAATCTAATAACAGTAAACCATATATATTTTTAACTTCCAAGACAAATTGGTATAATCTGAAAAAAAGAAAAAAAAGTATTGAACAAAATAGGACCCAGCAACTTATTCCTGGTCATAAATTTCTATGTATCACTTTGGGGACAGAGGGAAACCTAAATGCAGTGAAACAAAAATTCTGTGATTACGAATTGACTTTTAAAGTAACTGTTGACTAATCATGGATCTGAGAAAGAATTGAATTGAAAAAGAATTCTGTGCCTAATATGGTTTGCGGTAGTGTACAAGCATACCAGAAAAAAATAATAATTGGCCTTTTGTTCCATGATTCTTAAATGTATAAGAATTAAATATAAAAAGAATCTGTCATCAGAGAGAATTGAACAAATGTACTGAACACGCTAAGGTGAAATGATGGCTGTTTCTGTTTTTTACGAGTCAAGCTCCCGCTTCACTCCTTCACTTTCTTACAGTGGACCTTGGTCTCCTCTGCAATAACTATTTCCTGTAAAATCCAAGGGAACATTTAAGTGGAAACAAAATAAGAACATGCTTGCAGTTAAGAAAATTTCATCTAGTTCTTCACTATTTATATTGCAAGTGGCAGTGTATGACAAGAAAAATGTATTAGGATTAGTGTCTTATAAACACCCATGCCAGAGATTATGAGACTATATTTATTTCCCTTACATTCTTATATCGTATTGCAATTTATAGTTTTCTTGATTTTAATCACCCTTTTAACATTAACTATTCTTAGAAATATATGATTTGGATTTCTAGAAATATATGTTAAGTATTTAATTTGCTCTCTGTAAGGCTTGTGGGGCTTTTATATGTATCTCATTTTCAGCAAAGAAAAATTCAGTTTTTAAAATGTCAATTTTAATATTTTATCTTTCAAATCGTTGAGACGTTGAAAGTATTCTTAACCTACAGCTGTTTGCCACATGCGAGTTCAGCTCGTGACCATCCCCATAAGATACCATTTATTAATTATCCATGTAAATTTGTTACACCCCTCAGACATGCCAATTTTATTTTACTCTTTATGGATAGATTTCAAATATTCGGTTGTCATTCCAAAAAAGCATACATAAATAAAGAAATTATTCCACATGTATAATAATACCACATCTTGTCTAAAAATAACATATTTAAATACTTAAGAGGGATTTGCATCTAATTAATCTTGAATGGTAATAAAAATTTTTACGTGCAATATAATTGTACTTTTTAGGTATCTCTGTAATGCTTCTATCCTCCCAAAAATGAGGATTGTATCTCAGTCACTTTCAAACTTACTGGACTATGCAATGCAAATATATTTTATATATATATATATATATATATGATTTACCAAATAAATCATACCATTTGCAGTTAATTAGTTCAAAATGTACAACATTTGTGGTTGCTATGGTTGACTTGCTGAAATTGAGATGTTATTTAGAGCACTGACATGCCGTGGTCTGGTGGAGAGCAGAAGAATGAGCTGGTCTCTTATCTCAGAACTGTTCCCTGCACCACCACTGACTAATAACCATGTGACCTGGAAAAATGACAGCCTCTCTATGTGTCATGTCTTGTTTGTTTGTTTGTTCCCATGATAACAGTTACCCCAGGTTTCGTTTGGAGTGCATTTAAAAATAGTAGAAGAAAGGTGACATAAAGGTTTTGCCGGGCTTGTTTTTGCAGATGTTGATGAATGTGATGGGAACCACAGGTGCCAACACGGCTGCCAGAACATCCTGGGTGGCTACAGATGTGGCTGCCCCCAAGGCTACATCCAGCACTACCAGTGGAATCAGTGTGTCGGTGAGTGCTCTTTTCTTCCATCGCACTTGCTTTTCTCACCTGAAAGTGTCTCTGAATAAGATGAACAAATTGTGAGGGTTGAGATTTCAGTATAGCCTTTGAATTTTAGACTTTAAACCCAGTCCTTAAGACTGATGCATGGGGACTCATTCTGCTAGTGTGTATGTTTGAAAATATCTATTAAAAAAAAAGTTTGTTTTTAAGTACCGGGAAGTTAACTTAACTAGAGGTTACTTCATTTTAAATATCTGCTAAGTAATTTTAAGTTTCTGAAGATGATGTCAAGAATCATCATCTTTGTTTGCGAAGGTCAGCCACTTTTTTGTCTGTAATTTAATATATTTAGATTTCCCATCCATTCCCCTCATACGAATCTAAAGGAGTTCACATCAACTTAATGAGGACAGTCCATGTGTGCTCTCCTGTCACATAGATTTAATAAAGGATGGGAAGTGTTTTAAGGTTGAAAAAGTACCTACTTACAGCAAATGCTGTTGGCAGCTCTAGACAGAAGTGTTTGTAAAATAAAATACGTGGCTCTCAGCTCTGTTCCTTGCATTGATAATAGTCGCTGAAATTCTCCTTTTAAGGAGTGATTGATCAAAGAGAACATTATTCTCTACTTGGATAGCCAGGTGACTTACTTAGCATATGCCTAATTTCTTGGCTCCTTTTGAATGCGCTTCACAGACACTCCAACCAACACATTTTGATGCTAGGTGCTGGCATAACTGAGCAGAAAGGGGCACTGTGGTCCTGCAGAGAAATATCAGGATGCTTCCTGTTTCTGTGTAGTAATTCAAATTACTTCACAGGTTATTCACATATTGAATTATTGTGATCCACTAAATAAATTAGTCTGATTTTATCCTTTGTGGTCTTCTCAAAAGAAATTTCTAGTGACAGCTAAGTGAATTAAGAACAAAAAATCAAGATAAATTTCAGTGGAGGGAAAATCATGCCAGGTCAAAGACAGATGCTTTACCACACCACGAATATACACTCATAGGAGTGTAGAAATGCAGAAACCAATAAGTGATCAAAAGTTAAAGACAAGACAGTTTCAAAAAATTATTTAAATTACCAATTAGGCAGTTATTCAAAATAACTTTATAAATTTAATTCACTTTTTTTTCCTCTTCATAGAAAAAAACTGTTGTAGAACTCCTTATGCCCAGATTTATTGATTCATAAACAAAGGCAAAGTGTATGGCACACTCTTTAGAATATCAGAAACAGTATTTTTTACATAGCTATTAAAATAATGTAAAACATTCTGTAGGTTGCCTATTCACTCTGATGATAGTTTCTTTTGCTATGCAGAAGCTCTTTAGCTTAATTAGATCCCATTTGTCAATTTTGGCTTTTGTTGCAATTTCTTTTGACGTTTTCGTCATGAAGTCTTTGCCCATGCCTGTGTCCTGAATGATGATATTGCCGACGTTTTCTTCAGGGATTTTTTATTTTTTTAGGACGGACTCTCGCCCTGTTGCCCAGGCTGAAGTGCAGTGGCATGATCTTGGCTCACTACAACCTCCGCCTCCTGGGTTCAAGTGATTTTCCTGCCTCAGCCTCCTGAGTAGCTGGGATTACAGGAGTCTGCCACCATGCCCGGCTCATTTTTTGTATTTTTAGTAGAAACGGGGTTTCACCATGTTGGCCAAGGCTGGTCTTGAACTCCTGACCTCAGGTGATCCACCCGCCTCAGCCTCCCAAAGTGCTGGGATTACAAGCATGAGCCACCATGCCCAGCCTCTTCTAGGGTTTTTTATGGTTTAGGGTTTTAAGTCTTTAATCCATATTGAGTTAATTTTTGTGTAAGGTGTAAGGAAGGGGTCCAGTTTTAGTTTTCTGCACATGGCTAGCCAGCTTTCCCAGCACCATTTACTGAATAGGAGATCCTTTCCCCATTGCTTGTTTTTGTCAGGTTTGTCAAAGATCAGATGGTTGTAGATGTGTGGTTTTATTTCTGAGGTCTCTGTTCTGTGCCATTGGTCTATATGTCTGCTCTGGTACCAGCACCATGTTGTTTTGGTTACTGTAGCCTTGTTGTATACTTTGAAGACAGGTAGCATGAGGCCTCCAGCTTTGTTCCTTTTGCTTAGGATTATCTTGGCTATACACGCTCTTCTTTGGTTCCATATGAAATTTATGGTAGTTTGATGGGAATAGCATTGAATCTATAAATTACTTTGGGCAGTATGGCCATTTTCACAATGTTGATTCTTTCTATCCATGAGGATGGAATGTTTTTCCATTCATTTGTGTCCTCTCTTATTTCCTTGGGCAGTGGTTTGTAGTTCTCCTTGAAAAGATTCTTCATACCTCGTTTGCTGTATTCTTACGTATTTTATTCTCTTTGTAGCAATTGTGAATGAGAGTTCATTCATTGTTTGACTCTCTGCTTGTCTATTGTTGGTGTATAGGAATGCTTGTGATTCTTGCACATTGATTTTGTATCCTGAGGCTTCGCTGAAGTTGCTTATCAGCTTGAGTTTTGGGGCTGAGACAATGGTTTGTTGGGTTTTTGTTTTTTTTTTGGGGTGGAGTCTCACTCTGTCGCCCAGGCCGGAGTGCAGTGGCACGATCTCAGCTCGCTGCAACTTCCACCTCCTCCCTGCAACTTCCACCTCCTCCCTAGTAGCTAGGATTACAGGCGCCTGCCACCATGCCTGGTTAATTATTATTAGTTTATTATTATTATTATTATTATTACTATTATTATTATTATTATTATTGTATTTTTAGTAGAGACGGGGTTTCACCATGTTGGCCAGGCTGGTTTCGAACTCCTGGCCTCAAGTGATCCACCCGCCTTGGCCTCCCAAAGTGCTAGAATTACAGGCATGAGCCACTGCGCCTGGTCAGATGATGGGGTTTTCTAAGTAGAGAATCATGATATCTGCAAACAGATAAAATTTGACATCCTCTCTTCCTATTTGAATACCCTTTATTTCTTCTCTTGCCTGATTGCCCTGGCCAGAATTTCCAATACTATGTTGAATAGGAGTGATAAGAGAAGGCATTCTTATCTTATACCAGTTTTCAAAGGGAATGCTTCCAGCTTCTGCCCATTCAATATGATATTGACTGTGGGTTTGTCATAAATAGCTCTTATTATTTTGAGATACATTCCATCAATATCTAGTTTATTAAGTTTTTAACATGAAGAGATGTTGAGTTTTATCAAAGGCTTTTTCTGCATCTATTGAGATAATCATGTGGTTTTTGTCTTTGGTTCTGCTTATTTGATGGATTGTGTTTATTGATTTGCATATGTTGAACCAGCCTTGCATCAAAGGGATGAAGCCGACTTTATCATGGTGGATAAGTTTTTTGATGTGCTGCTGGATTCAGTTTGCCACTATTTTATTGAGGATTTTCGCATCGATGTTCGTCAGGGATATTGGCCTGAAATTTCCTTTTTTTGTTGTGTTTCTGCCAGGTTTTGGTATCAGGATGATGCTACCTTCATAAAATGAGTCAGGGAGTAGTCCCTACTTTTCAATTGTTTGGAATAGTTTCAGAAGGAATGGTACCAGCTCCTCTTGGTACCTCTGGTAGAATTCTGCTGAGAATCCATCTGGTCCTGGGCTTTTTTTTGGTTGGTAGGCTATTAATTACTGCCTCAAATTTAGAACTTGTTATTGGTCTATTCAGGGATTCGACTTCTTCCTGGTTTAGTCTTGGTAGGGTGTATGTGTCCAGGAATTTATCCATTTCTTCTAGATTTCTTAGTTTATTTGCATAGAGATGTTTATAGTATTCTCTGATGGTAGTTTGTATTTCTGTGTGATCAGTGGTGATATCACCTTTATCATTTTTTTATTGTGTCTATTTGATTCTTCTCTGTTCTTTATTAGTCTAGCTAGTGGTGTATTTTGTTAATTTTTTCAAAAAGCCAGCTCCTGGATTCATTGATTTTTTGGAGGGTTTTTCATGTCTCTATCTCTTTCAATTCTGCTCTGATCTTAGTTATTTCTTGTCGTCTGTTAGCTTTTGAATTAGCTTGCTCTTGCTTCTCTAGCTCTTTTAACTGTGATGTTAGAGTGTTGACTTGAGATCTTTCTAGCTTTCTGACATGGGCATTTAGCGCTATAAATTTCCCCTAAACAGTGCTTTAGCTGTGTCTCAGAGATTCTGGTACGTTGTCTGTTTGTTCTCATTGGTTTCAAAGAACTAAAGAGCTTCTGCACAGCAAAAGAAACTATCATCAGAGTGAACAAGCAACCTACAGAATGGAAGAAAATGTTTGCAATCTACCCATCTGACACAGGTCTAATATCCAGAATCTGCAAGGAACTTAAACAAGTTTGTGGGAAAAATACAAAAACCCTATCAAAAAGTGGGAAAAGGATGTGAACAGACACTTCTCAAAAAAAAACATTTATGTGGCCAACAAACATATGAAAAAAAGCTCACATCACTGATTATTAGAGAAATGCAAATCAAAACCACCATGAGATACCATCTCATGCCAGTTAGAATGGCTATTATTAAAAAGTCAAGAAACAATAGATGCTGGTGAGACTGTGGAGAAATAGGAAAACTTTTACACTGTTGGTGGGAATGGAAATTAGTTCAACCATTGTTGAAGACAGTGTGGTGATTCCACAGGGATCTAGAACCAGAAATACCATTTGACCCAGCAATCCCATTACTGGATATATACCCACAGGAATATAGATCATTCTACTATAAAGACACATGCACACGTATGTTTACTGCAGCACTATTTACAATAGCAAAGTCTTGGAACCAACCCAAATGCCCATGATAGACTGGATAAAGAAAATGTGGTACATATACACCATGGAATACTATGCAGCCATAAAAAGGAATGAGAGCATGTCCTTTGCAGGGACATGGATGAAGCTGGAAATCATCATCCGCAGCAAACTAACACAGGAACAGAAAACCAAACACCACATGTTCTCATCATAAGTGAGAGCTGAACAACGAGAACACATAGACGCAGGGAAAGGAAGGGAATAAGCACATGCTGGGGCCTGTTGGGGGTTGGGGGGCGAGGGGAGGTAACCTAGAAGATGAGTCAGTAGGTGCAGCACAGCACCATGGCACACTTGGCTATGTAACAAACCTGCACATTCTGCACATGTATCCCAGAACTTAAAGTAAAATTTAAATAAATAAATAAATATAATAATAATATAAAACAATTTTATTATATTACAATATTTATAAAATATGAAGCCCACCACTTTATTTAGTAAATACCATGGACTTGTTGGTTAATTCCATAGACCTTAATCCAAAAGAATGATTCTCTATCAAACAGAATTTTTTTTAAGGAGAACAAAAGTAGAAATAGGAAAATGCATGGAGTGCCAATTTAATTTCAAAGTGTTTCAGTTTCCTGAAGTTTTTGTTTCTGAACACCTAGCACAAAACGAGCTGCACAGGTTTTTACTAAATGTGGAAGCTCTATCTAAAATAGTCTGACTTAAAATCAAGATGGTGTGGTGTATCCCAGTTCCCCTTTATGAGATCCTGGGGTGAGCACTTTGACAAGGCAGTCACCCCCAAAGGAGCTCGCAATGGAGTCCAGCCAGAAGCCGGTTTGCCTTCTAATCAGGAGAAACTCCATGAGCAGAGGAATAAATGGTTTAAGATGAGTCCAAAACTAAAAATACATGAGCAGATATCCCTAATTGCAGGTATTAATTTGTAAGCTTATTCTACTAAAATGAGTACCTCTAAGCAGCAGGTGCCTGGGTACGACACATCAGGGATTTATTTCAAAAGATTCTAGATTCTTCTGGGCAGGGTTGAGGAATCCAGCTTGTCTCTAATAAAATTGCTGACTTTCTTCCCTTGAATTCATGTAACGCCATTAGATTTTTAACTCAAACATATGGCAGAAATTGGGTGAAATACCCCTTCAGGAAACTAATAAAAGCAACAAGTTAGCAAAAGAATTAGGACAAAACGCAAATTGAAAAGCCACCAACATTTTTTATCTGTCACTACTTGTGTGAATATCTTCAGCCATTCATATGATTGATGGGGGAATACAGAAGGAAGCATTTCAGACAGATTTCCCCCGGAATCCTCGTCAGTGGTCAACACTGTTAGTCAATGCATCAGACAGTTTAAACAGGCAAAACTGTAAACCTACGATGTTACTAAACCTGCTACCAATTGAAGAAGAATGAAAGTTCTTTGAAAGTGTTAATATTGAAAAAAGCTTTCAGTTCAAACTAACACTTTAGGAAGTTTTCTGCCAGTTGTCACAAAGAATTTACAACGTTCTGGTAGATAGAGTGTACAGATGTAGGGAACATTCTCAACTATTTGTAAGCATTAGAATTATTCAAATACAATTATTCAAAATTGGAAATATGTAAATACTAACATTTGCATATGAAGAAAAATTATGTCTTCATATATGAAGACTTTGTGTTTTAGTAACTTCCAGTTGCTTCTGTAGCCTGTTCACAATAATTCACACATAGTTGAGTGAGGCTTGAATCAGTTCAAAGTATGTGTCAGACAGGAACATATTTATTTAAGTCTATAAATTTTAATCATGATATACATTTATAGAATATAAATATGAGGTATATCATGGTGCTTGCAAAAATGTTACATATTTTTAAATATTCTTGTAAGTGATATGTTTAAATATAATTTATTCAGTTAATTATTTTTGCCTGGTAATTTTTCTTCCTAACACAATGTCTAATGGTATATTCATGGCAGGATCATTTTATTAAATTGTAATCTAATTTAGATTCCCTGTTAGGAGAGAAACACTGCATAGGAATGTCAGATCTAATTATAAAAGCAGATGAGGCTTTATGGCAGAATTCCAAGTCTCTTGTATATAGAAATAAAATAGCAGTTATAGTTACATCTTATGTAGCCAAGTTACTGAGAATTTATTTATCGTATCTACGTTCTTCCCCTGCCATAAAGGCTAAGAATTTTCACATATTAGATAATCAGCATCTTTTATATTCAGTGATTAAGACACCTACATTTAGTGGTCTCCTTTAATTCTGAGACTATCAGAATCATGATACAAAAATGTTCCTAATAATATCTACCCTTTCAGTAACTTCTGTCCTGTACTTAATGAAGTTTAATTCCTGTCTGGGAGGCCTCTTCACTGAGAGCCCATGTGCATCTTCCAAATCTCACTGAGCTGCTGCAGATCCCTCGCTTCCCCACTAGGTACTATGTCCTCTGTGCACACCCACTTGCACATGGGCCTGTTTCCCCACATGGGCTGAAATATATACTTGTCACATATTAGGTAAACAGACACTCTTTGCTCCACATGGAGTCACAAGAATTGAAAGAATTCCATGGAACAGATGTGATTTGTTCCCAGGGTGAAATTTGGATTATAAAAAAAGCCCAAAGAAGTCAAGCCACATGCTGTATATCAACCAGACAGTTAAGGCAAACTTATAATCTCCAAAGTTGAAAGCATAATCAGACTTTGATTTTGTAAAAATGATAATAGTAACTGAAAGTATAACCTATAATTATCCTGCTACCAGGTATTTATAGTATAATGTTAGTCATTAAGCGAGTAAAAGCTATAGCTGGCTGATGGCTGGATGCAAACCTGCCTCAGAAAGCACAGTCTGCACCCAATGGGTTCTCAAGCATTTTAAACTGAACTAGTTGTTCGTTCAACTGATTTAACTAAATAGTGTTGTTTTCCATCGTTTTCATTTAGGGTTTATAAATTTTTTTATGCTTTCTCCTCCTGTATAATGAAGGTTTGGGGAATTGCTGGGGGAATGGATACAAATACTTATAGGGACTTTTTTAATTGATATATCATAAACTTCTCTCTTTTAAAGTGTACATGTAAATGGGTTTTGTAGATTCTCACAAAGGTATGCAGTCATCAATACTACCAGTTTCCGAACATTCTCATCACCTCCAAAAGAAACACCATACCCAAGAGCGGTCATTTCCCATTTCTTCCTCCCGACAGGCCCCGGCAACTAATTTTCTCTCTATCTCTAAGGATTTGCCCGAGATATAAGCTTTTGAAGTAACCTTCTGTTAAGAGAATAGAAGAGTTATTCACTAGGCAAACTGCAAATATCTGTTCCCAAGGGCTGCAGACATATTTAGAAACAGTACAAACAGAAAAGAGCAAAGCAAGGGTTTTTTAAAGCCACAATTTAGGGGAATTTTTTTCATTCACGTGCTTTGCAAATCAGTCGTCAGAATAAAATAAAATACTGTGTTAGAGTTATTTCTGCCATAAAATCACAGGCACTTGAGACTCCAGACTTGTTCACGTTTTTGCTCTTGCCTGCTTCCCCGTGTAAGAGTTTCTTTCTTCGTTTCACTAGATGAGAATGAATGCTCCAATCCCAATGCCTGTGGCTCTGCTTCCTGCTACAACACCCTGGGGAGTTACAAGTGCGCCTGCCCCTCGGGGTTCTCCTTCGACCAGTTCTCCAGTGCCTGCCACGACGTGAATGAGTGCTCGTCCTCCAAGAACCCCTGCAATTACGGCTGCTCTAACACGGAGGGGGGCTACCTCTGTGGCTGCCCCCCTGGGTATTACAGAGTGGGACAAGGGTAAGGCGGCCTTCAGCCTCAGCACATAGAGGAATACATGGTTCCTGAGTGAGTTCAGGCCACCCCCCACTGCAGGGAAGAGTACAGTGTCTAAAAGCCAAACCGCAAAAGCATTGATTAGAACTCTTCGGGTATGCAGATAAATACCAAGAAAGCACACACGGACTGTGCTCAGGGTATAGCATTACTTCCTTTGTGATGAGCATAAAACTTGAACTTGTATGTAAATATCACTCTTTGCTCCTCTTATTAAGGGCCTGAATTGATTCAATTTGACCCAAGGCCAGAGACAAACAGATGCTTAAAAATGCGGCTCACACGTTGCCATGGATACCTGGGCTGTGAGGTAGAAGTGGAAATGGCCTTGCCACAGGTTCTTCTACAAATTCTGGAAGGTGCTAGCATAGTGATCACTGAGGAAGGAGTTTGTCCCTTTCTTTGCTCATGTGGCTTTCCTATCGCACAGAGAGAGGATGGTGCCTAGTTGGTGTGGTGTCATTCAGCACGGGCCTGACCCACAAGACAGGCTTCCCTCCAACTAGGCGCACTGTCTCAAGTTCCATGGGCTGTGGCAGAGGTGCTGGCCATTTGCATTCTTCCAGGAAGGCCGTGGTGCTCAGTAACACAGAAGATGGGCATTTAGAGGTCAGTCCAGGTTGCCTTCTTTGAAAGGAGCAGTGTGCAAGGCAGGGACTAAAAGGCATGGACCAAGTCTGTCCAACAATGGTGTATGATAATAGTTAAAACAAAAGGCTTGGTCTACACAAAGGTCATTTAGAGCCAATTCATTGACTCACTAACCAAAATATAAGTTCAGAAATCTCAGTTTTTAAAGCAGGGAGCTTTGTTGCAAGCAGCAAATACAGGCTTCAGGCCCCTGAAACAATGGAACCTGTCTTAGCATTCTCTTTGGAAATTCATACCTTACTTTTACCTTCTGGAGTTAATTATGCTCAGTACTTCAGTCTAACTAAGATTGAAAATTGGGAAAGCATGGGGCTCACCCTCAGAAGAATTTTGCTGTTTCAAAATAAGGGAAAAGTTTATCTATTGTGTGTTAAAGAATTATAGGGGATTGTGGCTCATCCCTGCAATCCCAGTACTTTGGGAGTCCGAGGTAGGAGAATCGCTTGAAGGCAGAAGTTGGAGACCAGCTAGGGCAACATAGCAAGACCCTATCTCTACAAAACATGAAAATTAAAAAAAATTAGTTGGATGTGGTGGTGTGTGCCGGTTGTCCCTGCTAATTTGGAGGCTGAGGCATGAGGAGCTCTTGAGCCCAGAAGTTTGAGGCTGCAGTGAGCAAGATCGTGCCACTGTACTCCAGCTTGGGAAACAGAGCAAGACCCTGTCTCTAAAAGAAAAATAAAAGAGTTGCAAAGAATATTAGGGTTTTATGTTTATGAGTTTAGTGTTTGCTCTGTTGGTTTCGTGTTTCTGAAGAGTCTGCTCTACCACTGGAAAACTATGGTCAAGTCAGTGATAAAGTCTAACAATACTTTGCTTTTTGCAAATAGCCACTGTGTCTCAGGAATGGGATTTAACAAGGGGCAGTACCTGTCACTGGATACAGAGGTCGATGAGGAAAATGCTCTGTCCCCAGAAGCATGCTACGAGTGCAAAATCAACGGCTATTCTAAGAAAGACAGCAGGCAGAAGAGAAGTATTCATGAACCTGATCCCACTGCTGTGAGTATATCCCACTCTGTGTTGCCACAAAATTTTATCCCTACGGAGTCATGTATACAGTGCAGTTCACGTCGTTTTCAGCCTCACTGAAGTTAATCATACCTTGAATTTAATGGATAAATTAATGGACCCAGTATGGAAAAGACAAGTAAATTAAAGTGATTGAATTATTAGATCAAAACACAAAGCTTGGGAGAAAAGACTTTAAGATTCACAGTTTCAGAGCATTTTCTCTTGTTGTAGTTTTTGATTTATGTGGGAGGGTATGTCCATCTCGGGAAGAGCTATTTTTACATGATTCAAAAAATGAAATTATTTTTAATTTGTTCAGTTCTGTTTTATAAATGTATAGCATACAAGGCTGATTTTAATTTTCACTAGGGAAACCAAGTAGGTCTCATATTCTTTGTTTTATTTTTAAGACAGTTGTTCCTTCATTAAGAAGTTTTGTCTTCCAAATCACTTGTATTCTTTAAGGAACTGAAGTTGGAAATTGCGAGCCACTGATATTTCCTTTCCCTAATTGCATTTTGGCAGTGTTTAAAGGGGTGGGCTGCAGACTACCTGGTTTTGAACGTAACTCCCTGGCCCTCCCTATCTGTTACCTCTGTTACATAGTTTGTGTTTATTTAACTTCTCTCAACCTCAGTTTTTTCACCTGTAAGATGGGAATAATAATACCTCTGAAGGCTGATGGAAGGGTTAATTGAATTGAAACATGTGAACTGCCTGGAACAATGCCTGACATATATATCACATGTGTTCAGTTCCTATGAATGATTAATATCTCATATCTAGAGATCTTGATGATTTTCCCAAAGATCTGAGACAGTATGAGGTCGTCACTCACCACTCTCTGCAGTTAATATGACTGAGAAATTACCCCACCAAAAAACCTAATCAACAACTGGCTGGCTGTGTGAATTGGACAACTTGCTTCAGTTTTTTGGGCCTCAGAATCTTTGTCTATATGACCTGACTTGTCTAGCCAAAAAGTTCATGATGCTATTTTATAATAATAAATAAGCCAGTGTTACATTTACCTTAAGTAGACTAAGATACCCAACTGATGTTTGACAGTTGAGATATTCATCAAGTTCCCAAACTACAAATCCAGAAGTTCTGCTTATAAACTTTCCCATTGGGGTACTAGGACATAATTCTGCCTGAACACTGATGGGCACTTCTGGGTCACCACTGCCAAGTCCTCACTTAACAGATGCCCAATCAAAGCATTGTGGTTTTTATCCTATCTTACTTTGATATATTTGTGCTCCTCCCAACCCTCTGAGCAAAAGTCAGACTTGGTTTATCTGGGCCCTGCCCCACTGGCTTTTACCAAAGATGCTGGTTTGAACTGGAGCCCTGAGAACTCTGCAGATCACTCACTCTGTGTACCTCTGATAGCTCCCAGTAAACTCACTCATCATTCACTTACCTTACAAATCAAAGCCCAGCTTTCAGACAGAAGATTCCCCTGGGCGCATTCCCTGCTGATGCCCAACAGCAGTACTTCTTATTTTGACTCCAGAAAAAAAAAAATCATTACCTAAATTTTAGTTTTTAAAAATTATTAATTAGCACAATATTTCATAAACTCATCAAAAAAAACTTGAAATGGGAACACTCTGTAAGCCCAGTCCTGTACCTTTAATTACCTTGTTAAGGCTGAGTGAGAAGTCCTAAAGATTTACAGGGTATTCTCGATGGAATTGGCCTTTTCTTCCAACTGACAAAAATGTACAATAGCCTCTTTCACAGCCACTGCTGGTAAGGAGAGTGCAGAAAGCGGGAGTGGGAAGCCACAGCCTGTCCTCGTGACCAAAGCCCCTGCAGCTGATCTCTTTCTAGTCCTCTGCTTGTGCTGTAGAAGCTTGTCCCAAATCATTTCCTGTTCTTCCTCCAGGTTGAACAGATCAGCCTAGAGAGTGTCGACATGGACAGCCCCGTCAACATGAAGTTCAACCTCTCCCACCTCGGCTCTAAGGAGCACATCCTGGAACTAAGGCCCGCCATCCAGCCCCTCAACAACCACATCCGTTATGTCATCTCTCAAGGGAACGATGACAGCGTCTTCCGCATCCACCAAAGGAATGGGCTCAGCTACTTGCACACGGCCAAGAAGAAGCTCATGCCCGGCACATACACACTGGAAATCACTAGCATCCCTCTCTACAAGAAGAAGGAGCTTAAGAAACTGGAAGAGAGCAATGAGGATGACTACCTCCTAGGGGAGCTTGGGGAGGCTCTCAGAATGAGGCTGCAGATTCAGCTCTATTAACCCTTCACAGACTTGGGCCCAGGCTCAAATCCTAGCACAGCCAGTCTGCAGAAGCATTTGAAAAGTCAAGGACTAATTTTAAAGAGGAAAAATAATAATAACTCTTGTTTCTTTCCTCCCTGTCTTAGACTTTGAATGTTGACCCTCACAGGGAGGGATAATTTAGACTCTGGTATGGCCAAAGATTTGAGCACAAAGGCAACCGTGGTTACTGTATTTTTTATATAACTTCATTTTAAAATATATTAAAAGAAACCTAAATGTTCAAGATATCAGCATATGGCACTAAATGCACAAAAATAATGTGAGCTTTTTTTTTTTTTCCTGTTAGCAGTCTGTAACACTTTGGGTATTTTGCTATAGTTGCTAATTAAAAAAATATAGATGTTTATTTATTTTTAATGCAGTAATATATGGAGAAATGAACAAACTATGTAAACAAAAAGGGAAACTCACTTGTTTTTCTTTAGATTTATAAATTTGAGCTATTTTTTTTAGAGGTGCTTTTTAAAAATCCAATAGATACAAGAGATGTTTCCTTTGGTTTTCTGCCAGTCATCCAGCTGATACACACCTGATGATTTTAAAGAAAGCCACACAGAGCTGAATGGGCAGTGTAATCAATAATTTAAAAAACATGAATGTCATTAGATCCTTTATAACGTAGATCGAAGCCAAAGCAGCTCATTTGTGACAACATTTCATATCACCAGACACACCAGGCAACAGAAGTTGAAGCACAACCACTGTAGCAAAATACCTTGACTGCTTGTGAGACCATTAGCATTGCAGGCCAAACCGTACTGTATTTCCTTCTCATAACCTCAAGGAACCATATGTGCTACCCACAACACCTCATTCTTACCCAGGGTGCGCTGCGTCCTCATGGTACTGTAGGCAGCTGAAGAACCGCCGTTCCCTTGAAAGGGAACACCTGGCATTCTGTGGTGTTTCGTGCTGTCTTAAATAATGGTGCATTTATTATGTTCAAGTTATTTCAGGATTGCCATATGTGCAAACAAATCATGCAATGCAGCCAAGGAATATATGTTGTTGTTGTTGTTTTAAACCCATTTTTTTTTTAGAATTTTCATTAATACTGTAGTTATACACCATATGCCTCATTTTATCATAGCCTATTGTGTATGAAAGATGTTTGTACAATGAATTGATGTTTAGTTTGCTTTAGTCATTTAAAAAGATATTGTACCAGGATGTGCTATTAAGAGCACGTATCCATTATTCTTCTCAACCCAAGAACCTGTTTCCTGGACCAGTGACCAAACCTCATATGTGAAATGGCCAAAGCACATGCAGGCTCCTGGTTGTTCCTCTCAAACCTGTGCTGACCAAAGATTAGTAACCAGTTATACCCAGTATTTTGAGGTTTTATTGTTTTTTTAATAACTAAAAAGAAAAAAGGAACAGTGTAAATTTGTAATCAAGAGTTTGTGAGGAAAAACTTATGGTTTTTGGTTTTGTTTGTTTTTGTAGGTCTGTGTATCAAATATGACACTTTTCTTGCAATAAAGCTTATTTTGGGGTATTTTTCTGACTGAAAATTTTATGAGACCACAACGCCTGTTGTATTTGCGGGAGGGGCTGGGGGCTTTGTCTATGGGAACCTGTATTGAAGTAATAATAGAGAGCCAGACACACAGGAAAATAAAGGAATGCTGGCAAATCTGTGAAGCAAAGTCAACATGTGTTCAACTGATGATTATGATTTGAAGTTACATTCAAATAGAAGGACATAAAGTCATTTACTTATGCATAAATTCTAAGCTTCCTGGGACCCATCTTTCTGGAAACTTCAAAGAATTTCTTCACTTCATGCTAATGCCCCCATAAAGTATCCATGAGGAAGTGAAACATTCTTTTAGAGAATCTTACTTCTCTAAGGTAGAAATTTCCTGAACCCAAGTTTTTAAGCAAAGGTAATAGCGGGCATACCCCAGGCCAAAAGGCATTTTCAAAAATAATCTAAACCTTATCTCTTAAAATGGTATACAGTTTATTCACTGGAGAAGTGGATAGATTTAACAAAGTATTTAGCATGAACTCCCTTTTGATACACTGCCAAAACAGGCACAGAAATGTTTCCAAGACTCTTAGAGATTAATTTAATACATGGTTTAAGAATTTATGCGCTTAAATTTTTTATCCAAGGAATAAGTAAACAAGGAAATATTGTGACTGATCTTAGTGCTGTTCTTTGCCAATCAGAAATTAGCTGCATGGAGTAAGAAAAGTATTTGCCTCAAGGCGTTCTTTAAAACTTAACATGCATATTCAGTTTCATCTGGCATCTATTATTGGTACAGCATGAGTATTGTAATATGAAATTACCTGGAACCAAATTTGACTCTAGCCTTGAAAGTTGAGCAACAACATTTAATTTACCTTTAACTGGCTCTTAAAGAAGTTTGAGAATCCACATCTTTAGGTGCTTTACGTAGAAGATAAAAAATGATGAGGGGTTTAAGAGAAGAATGAAGTAGAAGGAAATGACCACTGCAAGACACTCCTTCCAGGAGGAAATGTCTCAGGTACCTTTGGTAGCTTTGTTGCCATTTTTTTACTGTGAACACTGACAAAATCAGAATGAATTTGTCTGTCTCATAACGAACTGCTAATGACATTTTCTGCACTATTTTGTCATTCCCATGAATGTCCCATTTGCTCCAGAAACTACCTTGGCTAAGTTATAGAAAACCTTGCAGGAGAGAAAGGTGTGATGTAAGCCCAAACACATAAACCAAATCCACTGGGCATATGTATTAGTTAATAAGTAATAATTTGGTCTTTAGCTGACATGAATTCTGTTTCTACTTGTATTTAAATTTGGAGCTTTAAAAAATGTAGCTCTATTTAGTACCTTTTGCTTTCGCTACTTGTAGTAGATAAAAGTTGGATATTTTTGCACGTGAACATTGAATGAAATTCAGGGACAAAACGTTTAGAGTTACACTAAATTCAAACATCTTCCTTTTTGCATTATCTAGGAATACTAAACAGGATAATTCATACAGTCTTTCTCTTTTAAATACTTTAGGGTTTTATTTTGCATTAATTGCCTTCCTGGTTCAGAGAATAAACGTGTGGGGTTGAGGATGGGAAATACACTAAAAATTATAGAGCATCAGTCTACTAGAGTCCTACAAACCTTTAGGGGAACAAGGTAATTCATATATTAATTGAAGCATATGAATTTGCTGTTATTTGGCCATGTTTAACCTACAAAATGGCAATTGTATGTGGTTCAATTTAATAGTTCAGAAATACATTCCTCGAGAATTGACTGGAAATCTGAATACATCTTTTCTCTTCAAAAGACAGTAACCCATTCACTCCTTGCTATGCCATTGTTGGCTCATTTGTACTCCTAGTTTACAATAGTCCACAAGAACATAATTTATTCAAACAACCACTTTCTTTCAAGCTCCAAAACACTGGAAAGAGTCTAAATCACACACCTTTGCGACCTCAATGGTATTATGGAAGCTGTTCAAAGACAAAGACAAGTCCATTGGGAAAGGTTGGAATACAGCACAATGTTTTGTGTTTTTTTGTTTTTGTTTTTCCTTTTAAAAACTAAAGGAAAAACTTGAGGAACTTTTACTTCTTGAGAGAGACGAAAAGTTGGAGATTCATTGCTACCCAACAGGAAGTAAGGGTGTCAACCATGTCTGCAATCTCATCCCAGCCTCCATTTTTTTTTAAAACACGTTTGCTTTCTCAAATAGATACAAAGCCATGGTTTTCTTGATCAATAAGAAGTACATGTTTCTGATCTCACCTCCTTCAAAATTATTTCAGTGTACAGAGCAGTGGAGTCCTAAAATACAATGTGACGAAAGTTCTCTGAAAAGGAATTTGAAGAAAAGAGACTTTATACCAGTGAACAGTTTGCAAACTGAGAAAATATAGTTTCAGTGTGAAACAAAGGTGTGTTCCAGAAAACAAAGAGAAGATTCAGATTTTAGAGCAAAAGGTCATGCCCAGGTTCCCAATCAGGTTCATTTATGCAAATGAAGTATTCAAAATTGCTTAGTTCTGACTGGTTGACACAGTTGAGTCCTGATTTGTCAATATAGCTGAGCCCTGATTGGCGGTGGGGACAGGTGAGCTCTGAATGGTTGGTTTCCAACCCCCAAACCAGAAGTCTCTGTCAGATGCTTCTTTCAAAGGGTTGATGGGGGCAGGGTTTCTGGCCACAGGTTATTTTGGCACCTACAAGGTATCCTGTCTGTGTCAGATGTTTTGCTAAGCTAAATTAAATGATGGGTGTTCATTAAATGTCTAGATCATTTCCAGGCAAGATGTAATTCCCTGTATGCCCTGGCTGACAGAAAGCATGGATTACCCATGGATTCCCCATGACTAACTGAAGTGAGTTAAAACAGAACCAGGCAGCTGTGGCTGGGTGAAGGACTGGTCATGTACTTTGTGTTCTTAGAAAGATGTAAATGTATCACAGGACCTCCCTGTCTACAATCAAGCCAAACCAGTTTCCGTTGTAGGTGCCAAGATAAACTGTGGCCAGACACTTGGTCCCTCCTGGCCCTTTGACAAAAGCATCTGACAGAGACTTCTGGTTTTGAGCTTGGAAACCAACCAATCAGAGCTCATCTACCCTGGCCAATCAGGGCTCAGCTGTATTGACCAATCAGGACTCAATTGTGTTGACCAGTCAGAACAAGTTTGAATACTTCATTTGCAAAAATGGTCCTCACTGGGAACCTGAGTAGGACCTTTTGCTATATCAAATCTGAAGCTTCTCTTTGTGCTCTGGAACCACCTTCATGTTACACCAAAAGCTGCATCTTCCCAGTTTGCAGATTGTTACTGGAATAAAGTATCTCCTCCAAATTCCTTTTCAGAGAATTTTTATTCATATCATTCAATTCAATTCAATCATTCAATTCACCCACTCAGGCAGTATTATCTTGTAGTTAAAAGAAAAAACTTTCAAATCAGTCAGACCTGAATTTCAATTCCGTCTCCTTGGACAAGTTACGTAACTTTTCTGAGACCTGGTTTCTTTCCTAGGATGATCTTTCCTTACACTGTGGCTGAGAGGATTGAATGAGATAGTACAGGCAACGCCATTAGCATAGGGCCCAAGCAGATAGCACACATTCAGTAACTGTCAGCTGCTCTTCTTCCTCCTTCTACTCCTCTTACTATCATCACTATTAGAAGAATGAGCTCACATATCCACACAAAGCTCCTTTCTAAGCATGGCCTGGAACTACTGCTTTCTCATGGAATTGTAGGAACAAATCCAGATAAATGGCAACCAGGAAAATTTTCTAAGTGCTCTGAACCTTTAGAAGTCCTGGTGTGGTCATGAGCGTTTATCGTCTCCACATCACTCTGCCCTTAACAGAATTGTGGGCGACAGCCCGGAAAGGTCAAGCTACAAATGCAGCGGGAGCCCTCCCGTCTATAGACCTCCAGGAAACCAACCAATAAGGAGAATATGGGCATCTGATCATCCCTTTGAGGTGATTTAGTGCTGTTGAATGTCAGCACTAGAAAGGCCTTTAGAGAGCCGGCACAGTGGCTCATGCCTGTAATCCCAGCACTTTGGGAGGCCAGCGCAGGTGGATCACTTGAGGCCAGTCATTCAAGACCAGCCTGGTCAACATGGTGAAACCTCATCGTTACTAAAAATACAAAAAATTAGCCAGGAATGATGGCAGGTGCCTGTAATCCCAGCTACTCAGGAGGCTAAGGCAAGAGAATCGCTTCAACCTGGGAAGCGGAGGTTGCAGTGAGCTGAGATCACACCACTACACTCCAGCCTGGGCAACAGAGTAAGACTCCATCTCACAAGCAAAAAAGAAAGGCCTTTAGAAGTCCAATCCTGTTTATAAGTTTAAAAGTGGGGAAAGTAAGGCCCAGAGTTGTAACATAGTTCATTGCAAAGCTAGTTTCTATCGAGGTGAGGCGAGAACCCTGGTTGCCTAGTTGCAGTCTGGTTCTATTCATATTTCTACTACGTGGTAGGCCTATTTGGATCTCTTCTAAACCCTAAGATATAGGCCAGTTCCCATGGTTTTGGCTCATCTTGAATCCAAAAATATTTTCCAAGCACGATCCAAGCACTGCTTTTTGTTTTGTCTCTCCCACTGTCTGTGTAACTGCTCCCAATCTTATAAACCAGAGATTTGTGTATGCACTGAAATGCCAAAATATTGGCGGCTACATAGTAGACCCCACCCCAATCCTGTACTTCTGTAAATACATATTACAGCCCTGGCTCTCAAAGGGTTAAATGTTTTATTTAAACCAGACCTTCAAAACTTTAAAAACACTTACACATTTGTTTTACTAAGAATGCTTAAGGAAAGTACACTAGTTGCTTGTGTTGCTTAATTGTCATTTTTTTTCCTTTTCCTGAGAGCCTTAAAAAAGATATTACTAGATTAAGTTGGCTTACTTTCGAAATAGCCAAGAACCAACAGCTCCCATTAGTCACTCCCATTAGGGCTGCAGCTTAAATGTCAGGATGTAGTATAGACATTTTCCAAAAGAAAACAGGAAAATGCTTTACATGATTTTTAGAGCAAGCTATGGGGAAAGTTAACATTAGTAGCCTTTGCCAGACAACTACTGCTACACGTGTGAGTTCCATTGATGAAATAACAGTAGAAGCTGTGAATGGCCAGTTCCTAAAAATGTGCCAAAAAAAAAAGTAGGCTTTTGGTCTGTTTAAGCTGCCTGGGTTTCCACCCTAAGGCCACCCCCTTCCTTCCACTCTACCTGACCTCAGCTTCCCTACACTGATGGAACCTGCTCCTGTAGGAGTGGATTTAGAGCCTCAGGCTTGTGCATTTGTGATCTTCAGGCCTAAGGCAGGGTCCTAAGACCCATGACCATGTACTAGAACCTGGGACTTCACCCTGTTATGAACCTGTAAACTTCACAGAGCCAAGGCCAGAAAATACTCCATGAATGAATGAAGGGAGGGAGAGGATTCTGACTCTCTGCAGAGTGGAGACTTATGGACCAGCACAGGAAATTGGACCTTGTCCAAGGAGTGGGTGGTATCATAGTCATGATTTTACTGGAAACCCTCAGAACAGGTTTCTGGAGATCATCATGGAGGTATCTTCCCGTCTTCTAGGAGGACTTTCTTGATTTATTCTGCTTTTCTCCACTTTTCTAGAGAGCCCCTTAGGTCTCCCCCAGGGTGAGAGCAGATTGAAGAAGCTGTTGAGGCAAGCTGGCTGCAATCTTGACTTGTCCCATTAGGATATCCTTGATCCAAACCTGGACTGAGGTTCATGCTGCTTCTGTAGAAGTCTGGGTTTGGGAACTGGTACAGTAATTTTTCTTCGAAGAGACATTACACAGTTCTTATTTCTGGAACAACTTGATTAAATGAGCATCTGTTGGGTATTACACAGACCTAAAATGATTTTCCCTCCAAAACCTTACAAATAATTCAAAGAAACAAGCAAGACAGCCACAAAGAAACAAGATAACCACATGTTATAAGATGGTGTGTGCTTAAGGGCCATAGTGGATGTCTCAGACAAATGGCCCAGACTCTTGGAAAAGGAGTGGTCAGTGAAATGCAGACTTGTGGGAGATTTCCTGGAAATGCTGGGACTTGAGCTGGATCTTGTAGAATGAGACAGTTTGGGATACGTGGCAAAGAGTAAGAAGGAATTTCCCAAAAGATAGAATAGCATGAACAAAATGTTGTAAGTCATAATGTGAATGGTATATTGGAACACAAAGAAGAGTTAAATCCATGGGTCTGCCGGGTGCAGTGGCTCACACCTGTAATCCCAGCAATTTGGGACACCAAGGCGGGTGGATCACTTGAGACTAGGAGCTCCAGACTAGCCCAGCCAACATAGCAAAACCCATCTCTAATAAAAGCATAAAAATTAGCCAGGCGTGGTGGCACACGCCTGTAATCCCAGCTACTCAGGAGGCTGAGGCAGGAGAATCACTTGAACCTGGGAGGCAGAGGTTGCAGTGAGCCAAGATGGTACCACCGCACTCCAGCCTGGACAACAGAGCCAGACCCTATCTCAAAAAACAAAACAAAACCCATGGGCCTTAACTGATGGTACCATGAAGGAAAAAGATGATTAGGAAGGGTAAGGCCCAGGTATGAAGGACACTGAAGGACATCCTAAGCCATTTAGACTTTATCCTGTAGTCCGTAGCTAATGACGAATCATTGGTGTATGGCTGAGAATTGATTAAGAAAAGACGATCTAGAACCAAGGCCTGGCAACTTCCCACATCTAGAAATACAAAAGGAGATTTGTCACAACTTCTGAGAGAGAGAGAAAGTAAAGAAGTAGTAGTAAAATCAGAAGACAGTGGTGATGTCAAGGATGCCTAGATAGAAAGGTATTAGTCTGTTCTTGTATTGCTATAAAGAAATACCTGAGACTGAGTAATTTATAAAGAAAAGACATTTAATTGGTTTATGGTTCTGCAGGCTGTATAGGAAGCATAGTGGCTTCTGGGGAGGCCTCAGGAAACTTTCAATCATGGCTGAAGGGATAGCAAGCATGTGTTACATGGCCGGAGCAGAGCAGGAGGAAGAGAGAGAGGAGGGGAGGTGCCACACCTATTTTTTTTCTTTTTTTTCGAGACAGAGTCTCACTCTGTTGCCCAGACCAGAGCACAGTGATGTGATCTCGGCTCACCACAACCTCCGCCTCCCAGGTTCAAGTGATCCTCCTGCCTAAGCCTCCCGAGTAGCTGGGATTACAGGCATGTGCCACTGCAAAAGGCCAATTTTTGTATTTTTAGTAGAAATGGGGTTTCACCACGTTGGCCAGGCCACACACTTTTAAATAAGCATATCTACTGAGAACTCTATCACAAGAACGGCAGGAGGGGGATGGTGCTAAACCATTAGAAACCATCCCCATGATCCAGTCACCTCCCACCAGGCCCCACCTCCAGCATTGGGGATTACGTTTCAACATGAGATTTGGGTGGGGACACAGATCCAAACCACATAAGAAGGCATTTGGGGAAAGCATCTTGAAAATTTTTTGCTAGTAAAATGAAATCTCCTTTCCCAACCATATCTATTTCTCACGCCCCCCCAATCTTCATCTCTTCCTTCACTTTAGTCACTTTGTTGCGAGCAATGACAGAACAGTGTACATGATTCTTGCCCATAAATTAACATGAGGGGTAGCATGGGAAAGGAGGGAAAAAGTGTAGCCTTTGGGGCAAAGAAACAATAGGGTTTCTATCCTGGATGCCACTCAATTGCTGTGTGGTATTAGTCAAGTTATGTTCGATTTTAAGTATTTTTTTTTTAACAACATACCACCAGTTTTGTTTTGGGTAATTACTCACCACCATTACATAAAGTCATACTAGGACTTAAGAGTTTCTGCTCTCCTGGGTTGGATTTCTGTATCCCTGAAATTTGAATTTTGAGCAGAATAATACAAGAGCAGATAACAGATCTTGCATTCATCCAAGCAGCACCCTAATCAAACTATGAGTCAGTTCTTGCAATCTAGACCCCAGAAGCTGACCCATTCCATCTTCTTTCTAAGCCTGATTTTTCAGTTTTTACAAAATTATCTGAGCTATCCCACATCCTTGGAATCAATTACTTTTATTGTCAAAATAAGTTGTTGCTTACATCCAAAAAACTCTAAACAATATCTATCCTACATTAGGATTGTTTTGAGGTTTAGAAATACAGGATACTCTGGCGGGGTGCAGTGGCTCACGCCTGTAATCCCAGCACTTTGGGAGGCCAAGAAGGGCGGATTACCTGCTGTCAGGAGTTCGAGACCAGCCTGGGCCACATGGAGAAACCCTGTTTCTTCTAAAAATACAGAATTAGCCTGGCATGGTGGTGCATGCCTGTAATCCAGCTACTCAGGAGGCTAAGGCAGGAGAATTGCTTGAACCTAGGAGGCGGAGGTTGTGGTGAGCCGAGATCACGCCATTGCACTCCAGCTTGGGCAACAGGAGTGAAACTCCATCTAAAAAAAACAAAAAAACCCAAAACAAAACAAAACAAAAACAAAAACAAAACAAAAACAAAAAAACAAGAAATATAGAATACGCCCACCCTCCCAACATGGGGCCTAGAATATAGCGTCATACAACAGACTGATAGCTTCTCTATTGATGTCACGAAGGAGCCCTGAATTTTCCCCAGTCCCGTCTCCTGTGTCCCCTATTACGGTGAATAACTAAGCCAGGATCGTTCTGCAGTTCACAAGAATTTTGTCACCTTTATTTATTATTTCTTGCATCCTCCCCAACTCTAGTTTGGGAAGGATGGAGTTAGGAAAGGCTGCGCTGGACTTGGTCCCAGGAGAGGTAAACCATAGCCTGGCCTCTTGTTTCTGGAGCACATGCTGGAGAAAGGTGGTCTGTTCTGCCAGGGAGCTTGCTCTTTACATTTCACAAAGGACCTAGGAAAACAGCCGAGAGAGGAACCACTCATTAGCCCCAAGGATTACGCCCAACAGTCCCAAGAAGGGTCAAAATAGCCCAGCTAAGTAGGAGAAAAATAAATCAAATGCTGTAGCTTTATGTCAGCCACTTGAATTAGTTGGATTTCTTTCCATGCTATCATCCTTTGCTCTTCCTGCAATACCCTGCTAAACCATTCCATGGGCTGATTGAGTACATGCATGTGAAGCTTTATGTGGAATAAATAATTACACAAGACATTTTTGGAAGAATAAATGCATTTGGCCTAGGAAAACCAATTCGCATCTTAAAGAGCCAGCTTCTCCAAATGCCAGTTCTGTCAGCTAACCTTCTCCAGCAACCTGGCGGTTTAATTCTTCACCCTTGTCTCCTTGGCCACACTACACACGAATGGTTTTCAGAGTAGGGAAAAAATGCTTTCCGGTGTCTGTTTTAAATTTGTTTCTATCTACTTTATGTGTCTAACTTTGTCCTCGTATTTGTTTTACAGCAAAAACAAAATAGAGGAAAGATATCAACCATATCCCCAAAAGTTTATACAAGTTACTTTTTGCTGTTGGTAATAAAAGCAATTCTGTTTTATAGCATAGATCCTGTCCATAAACTACAAACATCCACTTCCCTCACTTCCTTCAAATCTCTTTCGAGGGCTGATGAAGGGATAGCCAGTGACATTGTGAAGGTCCCTCAGGGTCCTTCTAATAGCAGGCATTTCTATACAGTCTATCTGTGGGACCACAGAGGCTGTGAGGAATCTAATCGCCCACTCAGTCTTTGAAAGAGGGAAATGAAAACACACTTTGATCAGAGAAAGCCAGGATGAGGAGATGTTTCCCTTAGCCCAGTCCTGATTCCATCTGTTAGCTGCTGCTACCTTACAAGCCCTAAAACAAGTCATGCCTCCTCATATAACATATATACCGGAATATGAGACAACCTCAAGTATTTTCCCAATTGAGACTATTAAAAAGAGAAAGAAAGTGAGTTTGGGGCCAAATTAAAACGATAAATATTATAAATTGTATAAAATAACTTTTTACTTTCCATGTATCAATGTAATTCCATACCTATTTGGAAATTACATCATATCTAAAATGATTTAAAATGTTTTATTTTTCTATATTCATATTTTATAAGCCAATTTTATTTAAATTCTTTGCATGCATCTTTGACTGATGTATGTTCTGCACTTTTTAAACCATTTAACACAGATTTCCAAACATGCTATTTCCACTGTTTGCTAAATCGCTTGATATACAGCACTTTTTTAGTGAAGCTGTACTGCAATCTTTTTCCAAGCTACAAGTGCTCATTTGCGTAGCATTAGGACAGTTGATTATTCTCATTTATCTTATAGATTCAAGATCTTCACAAAGAAACCACTCGCCATATTGGCTTTTTAAAATGATCATTAAAAAGCTTCTATAAAAGATGATCTGAGACTTGCAATTTTGATATTGTGCTGTGGGAATAATTACTAAATCAGAAGTAAATTTCTTTGCTTTAAAACAAAAATAGATGAGACCTTTAACATTCAAAGTTAGTATTAATTGAGGTCATCTCAGGATAAAGTATCTTCTCCAAGACTTTATTTGATTCACAATGAAGTTATTGAGTGAAAACCCCATAAAATAAGGAACTTGTAAAATTAACACATAAAGCAACATCTTGTAATATATGCTTGATCAAATACAGTATCATAAACTTAACATTTATATGCATTAACAGGTAAACCAAAGAACAACAATTAAACTTAATGTTCATATACACTAACAATTCAACAAAGAAACTAATTTCATGGTTGGAGGTTATTAATGTTATTTCATATGTTTAATGAGAAGAAGGTTTTTTGGCTTATTTCTTTAACCAATCTGAGAATCTTTGATTTTTAAAATAACATTTGCTGTTCATTTTTTAATATAAAAATGACCAAAAAAATTCAATGTAGATTCGGGAAAAAATAAGTTGTGATAGGCAAACTAACAGCCATCTCTCTAAAATGTCCACATCAAAATCTCCAGAAACTATGAATATTTTTCCTTACATGACAAAATGTACTTTGAAGATGTGATTAAGGATTTTATGATCATGGATGTTGAAATGAGGATATTATCCTGTATTATCCAGATGGGCCCAATGGAATCACAAGAGTCCTTAAAAGCAGAGCACCAGCCGGGCGCGGTGGCTCATGCTTGTAATCCTAGCACTTTGGGAGGCTGAGGCGGGCGGATCACAAGGTCAGGAGATCGAGACCATCCTGGCTAACACGGTGAAACCCCGTCTCTACTAAAAATACAAAAAATTAGCCAGGTGGAGTGGCGGATGCCTGTAGTCCCAGCTACTAGGGAGGCTGAGGCAGGAGAATGGCGTGAACCCGGGAGGTGGAGCTTGCAGTGAGCCGAGATCACGCCACTGCACTCCAGCCTGGGCGACAGAGAGAGACTCCACCAAAAAAAAAAAAAAAAAAAAAGCAGAGAACGTTTCCTGGCTATGGAAAGAGAGATGTGAGGACAGAAAAAGAATTAGAGAGATGCAATGTGAAAAGGACTCAACCCATCGTTACTTGCTTTGAAGATGGAGAAAGGCGACTGATTAGTCTCCTGTGGCTGCTCTAACAAAACATCATAGACTATGTGACTTAACATAATGGAAATTGATTGTCTCACACTTCTGAAGTCCTGAAGTCCAAAATCAGGATGTCAGTGGGGTGATGCTCACTCCAAAATCTGTAGGGGAGAATCTTCCCTTGCCCCCTCCTGGCCTCTGGTGGTTTGCCAGAAATCCTTAGCATTCGTTGGCCTGCTGCTTCCAGCGCTTTAGACTTCCTGGTCATGTGACACCCTTCCTTTGTATATCTGTCTCTGTACTTCTCTTCTTAGGAGGACACCAGTCATTTCAGATTAAGGGTCCACTCCACTATAATACAACTTCATCTTAGTTTACGCCTTCATTACATCTACAAAGACTTTGTTTCCAAATAAGGTCGCTTTCACAGATACCAAGGATTAGGACTTCAACATATATTTTTGGGAGAAACAATTCAACCAACAAAAGGGGCCGTGAGCCGAGGAATGTGAGTGGCCTCTAGCAGCTGGAAAATGCAAAGAAACGCATTCTCTACTAGAAGGCCAAGAAAAGAACACAGCCCTGCCAACACCTTGATTTAGTCCAGTGACACTCATGTCAGACTTTTGAGTTGCAGAAGTGTAAGATAAATTAGTGTTGTTTAAGCCACTGAGATTGTGGTAATTTGTATGGCAGCAATAGAAAAACAATACATAAATACTCAGAGTTTTTATAAAGAATTATTATGAGGCCAGGCGTGGAGGCTCATGCCTGTAATCCTAGCACTTTGGGAGACCGAAGCAGGTGAATCACTTGAGGCCAGGAGTTCAAGACCAGCCTGGTCAACATGGTGAAACCCCGTTTCTACTAAAAATATGAAAATTAGCCAGGTGCGGTAGTGGGCTCCTGTAATCCCAGCTACTTGGGAGGCTGAGGCAAGAGAATAACTTAAACCCAGGAGGTGGAGGTTACAATGAACCAAGATCAAGCCACTGCAAATATGTATATATATAATGAGAAAAAGAGAGTCTTTTCAGCAAATAGTGCTGAAATAACCAGATATTCATATTTAAAATATGAACATTGACCCTTTTCTCACCATACACAAAAATTAACTTCAAATGAATCATAGATCTAAACATAAAAGCTAAAACAATAAAGCAAAATCATAAAAGAAAAAATAAATTACACTGCCAAAAATGATAATTTCTGTTCACCAAAAGATATTATTAGGAAAATGAATGGGCACACCACAGCCTGGAGTGAGAAAATATTCACAAGACATTTATCTGACAAGGTTTATTGCCTGGGATGCATAAAGAACTCCTTCAACTCAACAATAAAACAATAACCCAATTTTATAAATGAACAAAAGATTTGAACAGACACTTCACAAATGAAAATATGCAAATGGCCAATAAGCACATGAAAAAGTGTTCAACATAATTAGCCATAAGTGAAATGCAAATTAAAATTACCGTATAATGACACACCAACCTGAATGACTAAAATTCAAAACACTGACAACACTAAATGTTGGAAAGAATATAGAACAGTAAGACTCATGTATTGTTGACTGGAATATAAAATGTTAATAGCACTTTGGAAAAGGTTTGGCCCTTTCTTATAAAACTAGATATATACCTAGCCTATGACCCACTAATTCCATTCCTATGTTTACCCAAGAAAAATGAAAACATGTCCACAAAAAAAACTTGTACAAGAATGTTCATTGAAACTTTATTCATCATAGCCCTAAACTGGAAAAATCCAAGATATTCATCAATAAGTGAATGGATGAATAAATTGGCATATTCATATAATAGAATTGTACACAGCAATAAAAAGTTGCATACTACTGATAAACACAACATGGATGTATCTCAAAAATATGATGCTGACTTAAAGAGCCTTACATAAAAGAACACTCACAGTATGACTTCATTTATAGACATTCTAGAACAAGCAAAACTAATCTATAGTGGGGAAAGAAATTAGAACACTAGTTATTTCAAGGTTGGAGGGAGAGGTTGACTAGGAAGGGACATAGGGAGTTTTTTTACTCTCTTCAATGCCAAAGTTCAATATTTCCATAGAGTTTAAATGGGTTTAAATGGGTGCATAAATTTGTCAAAACTCAGTAAATGCACATTTAAGATTTAGGCATTTCATTGTATGTACATTTTACACTTAAGAAACTGTAAATAAATGTTGAAGTGTTTAGGAGGAAGTATATTGAAGTCTACAATTTACTTTGAAATGCATTTTTTAAATGACCCTGGCCTTTTCTAACGTCACTGGAAGTCTTGTAGTAGCATGTGTGTTGCATTCTATTTATGGTGGTTGTCACAAAGTTCTACTCAGGCTCAAGGGGAAGGAACATAGGCTACATCTTTTAACAGGGGTGCCATAGAAATTTTAGCCATGTTTTAAAACGACCATATCTCGTAACACACCTCAGCAAAGGCAGTGTCTCCAAAGGCAACACAGAAGATTAAACATTTGAAAACGATGGATCTTGGCTGCATCAGTGTGGGGCAGAGGAAAGAGCCCTGGCTCAGAAGTAGTAGAGCTCTGCTATCTCTCAGCTGTGTGGACTTTGATCAGTCACAGAGCCTCAGTTTCTTCATCGACCTATCCACCCACCCACCCATCTATCCTTCCACCCACCAATCCACCCATCCAGCCATCCATCCATCATCCATCTACTTACTCACCCACCCATTCACCCATCCACCACCCACCCACCCATCCATCCATCATTCATTCACCCATTCATCCATCCATCTACCCACCTACCCGTCTGTCTATCCATCCATCATCCATCTATCCACTCATCCATCCAACTACCCAACTGACTACCAACCCATCCAACCATCCATACTTCCTCGCATTGTTTTTTATTTTTATTTTTATTTTTATTTTTTTGAGATGGAGTTTCACTCTTGTCACCCAGGCTGGAGTGCAGTGGTGTGATCTCGGCGCACTGCAACTTCCGCCTCCCAGGCTCAATCGATTCTCCTGCCTCAGCCTCCCGAATAGCTGGGATTACAGGCACCCCGCCACCATGCCTGGCTAATTTTTTGTATTTTTAGTAGAGATGGGGTTTACCATGTTGGGCAGCCTGGTCTCGAACTCCTGACCTCAGGAGATCCACCCTCCTTGGCCACCTAAAGTGCTGAGATTACAGGTGTGAGCCACCACGCCTGGCCCCGTTCATTGTTTTTAGTGGACATTTGTAGAATAGCTTTGGCTGCTCTGCATCTTGATTGGGCAATTCCCTACCACATATATCTGAGTGGAAGGCAAAGAATATCACCCTCTACTGAAAAGGACTGATATTCAAACAGACAACAACTCAGCCAGTCAGCTGCACCCACCAAACAGTGGGGAACCCATTCTCTTTGTGGCTGCAACAACAAGTTCCTGGAGCAGCAGTGACCCTTGTGTAAGCTTCAATGTTCTGATATTTGGCGGAGGGTGGGAGATCCTCATCACAGTGGTTTTGTGGCATGATTTGGCCTGCAATTCTTACTTCTTAGCCTTCTTTTTCCTGTTGATTTTCTAAGCTGGTCTCCCCATCCTTTCTGGTATCTATAAACTATCCTATATCCTTTCAATGCAGTATTTTTTAAAAATATAAGATAGCTTAATGGGTGAATATAGGATGGATAGATTGATAAATATGTGATAAAGCAAGTATAATAAATGCCTATGGTAAAATTTAGATAGTGGGTGTATAGATGTTTACTGTAAAATTATTTTAAATTTTCTGTACATTAAAAAATTTTTATAATAAAATATTGGGACACAGCACCTATAATCCCAATCATGCAGATAAATCCATAATTACTATTTTCATGTATTTCCTTCATCTTTTCTTCTATGACATAGCTCTCTTAAAGTTAATATAGCACTTTTCTTTCTTTTTATTTTCTTTGTTTGTTTGTTTGTTTGTTTGAGACAGGTTCTTGCTCTGTTGACTAAGCTGGAATTCGGTGGCACAATCACAGCTCACTGCAGCCTCAACCTCCCAGGCTTAAGTGATCTTCCTACCTCAGCCTCCCGAGTAGCTGGGACTACAGGGGCATGCCACAATGCCCAGCTAATTGTTGTATTTTTTGTAGAGACAGTGTTTCACCATGTTGCCCAGGCTGGTCTTGAACTCCTGACCTCAAGTGATCTGCCCGCCTCAGCCTCCCAAAGTGCTGGGATTACAGGCTTGAGCCACTGCGCCCAGCCACACTTTTTTTAATGGCAATATATTAAGCAGTATGTGCCCCCTAAGCCTCACTGTTGGTCGTGATCTTAGAAGGGAAGAATAGACACCTCCCAAATCACTACCATTGCTTTTCCCTATAAAAGTTAATTGAAGTATTCTGACCCTCTCCTGTCACACTTTACTTAAAATCCTATAGGCACTGCCTTCATTAGGTATGAGCAAGTGACGACTTCTCATCCCTTCCACTGCTAATGCCTTGGATAAAGCCACTGTCACTTCTCAAATTGTATTCACCATCATTTACTTCTTGCCCTTTAGCATTCAAACCTATTAAAGCTCAAAGAGGCCTTCTCATTTCTCCAGAAGCTCTCTGTGAGCTACTCCAAAGGTTTGCCCTACTTCTCAGGGGGAGGCATGGGAAGCAGTTTTCCCCCAAATCTCCAGCATCCCTTTTGTGCCCATGGTTCAACCTACTCTTCGCTGATCCAAATCCTACCATTTTTATATGGCGAATTTTAAAAAATAAAAATACATTTATTCTAGATATGTAGAGGAAGAGCTCTTTTCAGCAGCCCTGATGCCCAGAGAAGCCAACTGAGTCACTGGGCAACTGGTCTTCAATAACATAATAACCCTCCTGGAATTTGGCTTGGTAGTCAGACATAAGGAAAAATAGTAAGCAACCCTCAAAGAAACCTGACTGTGATAGATCATTTTACAGCTGGTGAGGAAGTCAATGTTCCTTTTCACAATTGGATCTGTTTCAATCTTCAGCTACTTGGAAGAAGAAGCAGTCCACAAACAAAGATCATGTTTCTTCTTAAATACTCTAGTTCTAGAATTTTCATTTCTCTCCAAAGAATGAATCTCAAAGTCCACCAATTTACAGAGATGAACTAGAATAGAGTGTTACCATAGCGTACATTGAGGCAATGCTTGTGGTTTGTCACTCTTACGGGTTAGAACATCCTCCTTTCATTGAATGAAGATGGAAGGAAGAAGTCTCTGGAGAGAAGACTACTAGTCAGGCCCAGATGGGAAATACTAACTCCCTCAAGTATCTGATGACTAATTTTGAGTTCATATAAAGCTGTGAAATACTCCAGAAAGTCACAAAAAGCTAAGTGCAAAGTTTTCTAAACCAAGACATCTCACACATCAGGGTAAAAAATTCAATCATAAATTATAATATGGTAAAACAAATTACAATATTAAAGATAGTTTTGTAATGTGTGTAAAGTACAGCAAGACAACATATCACCCAGCTGAGTACAGCATAAATTTCTGACTCAGCCACTGGCTATTAAAATATTTGCTGTTTAAGACACTGCATTTTGGGGGGATTTGTTACATAGCAAAGACTAACTAAATATAGCATTAAGCTTTTCAGCAGCCAACACAATAAAAGAAATCTAGTCCCTTACACAACTCAAAGTGTTAATGTGATAAAGCAATACAATTGTTGGTGAGAACTTCAAGTGTGATTTCTTGCCTCAAGCTAAACCCTGTGGTCCAAATGAGTAACCTTGTTTATAAATCCTGGTGCCCATTCCATTTTGCATCGGTCTTTGCCATGTCTATGTATCAAATATGGAACAACAACTCTCTGCTTATTTCTAAGCAGATAGAACTTAGAACTGAATGAGGCCTCTAAGAACATTCAGTCCAAAATTCAAGGGGTGGTCCTGACTCCTCTCTTCTCACACTCTACATCAACTTCTGTAAGCACTACCTTTATTATATATAGGCAGGTGACCACTTCTCACCTCTTCTACTGCCGGTGCCTTGGCTAAACCACTACCACCTCTCACTCGAACTATTGCAATAACCCCCCAACCAGCTTTTCCTTCTTCCACTCTTGCCTCTGCTATAGTCAGTTCACCTCACAGTAGCCAAAGTGACCCATTAAAAATGAAAATCTGATCACTTCTCTGCCCCAAACCTTCTAGTAGCTTCCCAGGTAACACAGAGTGAAAACTGAAGTCCTTACAACGGCCCACAAGGCCCTTTGTGATCTCTCATCCTTCCCCAACTCTCTAACTTCTCTGCTATTACTCTTCTCCTCATTTATCCACTGCTGCTGTTGCTGACCTTCTTGCTGTTCTTGGAATATATCAGGCTGACTTCTCCCTCAGGGACTCTGGATATGCCCCACGTGTAACTCTCTTCCCACCCATAGCCACGTGTCTTGTTCTGTTCAACTGTTACCTTGTGAGAAGCCTTCCCTGATGATCCTTTATTTTAAAATAGCAAATCCTCACACCTCGCCCAACACGTCTTCTTCTCTTAATCTTCATTGTACCTGTAATCATCTGATATCTTATATATTTCATATCTAAATCTTCACTCTAAAATGTCATGTCTGAGAGGGCAGAGGCCTTATTTGGTTTATGCTCTACTGGCATGACCTAAAACAGTGCTTAGCACATAGTAAGCAATTAAATATTTCTTAAACGGATAAATTAATGAAGGCCGAAGATAAAATGCAGCACGCCTAGGCAGTAAGACCTTTTCTCTCCAGTCCCCCATCTTCAGTAAGTACTATTGAGTATGTACTCTTTCTTGCTGTCTTCATTTAGTGAAAAACTTAATTCATTTACTGTATTAAGTACCTACAATGTCCTGAGGGAAAAAAATTAAGGTCCCAATATTATATAACATATATGCTAGGGGAAGGGCTAAAAATAAGAAGAGTAAACAAAAAATATCAACCAGTGACGAGGACTATGAAGATGGCAAACTCAATGATGACACTCAAGGAGAATGGCTCAGGCAAGGCTATTTAGATACTACCGAGGAACTGAGACCTAAATGACAAAAAGTCAGCCATGCAAAAACCTGGGGAAAGAACTTCCAGGCAGCATGAGCAGCAACTGCAAAGGACTCATAGTAGGATTGAACTTGAAATATTCATGGAAACAAAAGGTTAATGTAGTAGAATGCAGAGAAAAGAGAAGGAGAGAGATAGAGGGGTGATGGAGAAATGAGAGGTGGCAGAGAAAGGATCAAATTATATGAAGGGATATGAGGCCTTGATAAAGAGACTGAATTTTATTGGTGTTAAATCTTATTTTGAGTAAAATGGAAAGCCATTACAGGGCTTTAAGCAGGAAATGGATTGATCTGATCTTGGCGTTTAAGGACCCCTCCAGGTAGATCCTTTGTGTACCATCCGTGGAAAGGCAAGGGCGAATTTGGGAACCAGAGAAGAGATCACTGCACTCATTCAGGGGAGAAACAATGGAGGAGGTGGACAGGAGAAGCTGCTGGATACATCTGATGTGGGGCCCACACAATCTATTAGTGGGCTAGATATGGGATATAAAAGAAAAATAAAGGAGAAAAGGTTGACTTGGGATAAGGAGGTTACCTGAAGGGTGACTGAGCCTGCGAAAGACTGCCATTGTTGTCCTCTGCCAGGAGCAGAACAGACTTTCTTTATGGGAAAAGGCTTTGCTATCATTAAACCAAAGACATAGTGAAAATACCAGGAAAATTCAGTGTTCCTTTTAGTTGCCCTGGCAGGAGCTTCACAAATGGTAAAAAGTCTGTTGGAAAAAATTGCTCAAAACCACCATATATTTCTTGCAAGCTGAAGACTTAAATTGTCCCTTTCACCAGATTGCTATGAGTCCCATTATGATGTTTGCCCACCAGGAAGCCATTGCCCTAAAGTATAGCCTGGTTTAGGAAAAAAAAAATTGTCTGATAAATAAACAGAAAAAATATGTTCTCCCAATTGCCATCTCCAATGATGATTCATAATATTTGGAAATCATGTGGGCTTTACCAAGCTGAGAAAGAAAATCCAATTCAAACACAAGATTTATCCAGGGGCCACTTTGCTCTCAGGCTCCTTCTGTGCTCTATCCCTCATTTCACATGCAGAACATGAATCAGGCCCTTGGAAACAAAGGGCCACACCTCACCTGGTTCCCCACATCCTTTAACATATACAAAGAGAAAAAGGAACATTTAAGAAATTTGGGTCAGTAAAGCATCTCCATCATGTAGTTATTATTTCACAAAAGAAAAGGAAATAGGCAAATGGAAAGATCTAGCAATACGCAAAATAAGTTATACAAATAGTAACTCACAAAAAAGGACATGCATTAGGAAAAAAATTAATAATTCAGTACTTAGTAAATATCCTTGTACTCTACAATTCTCACTCTCTCTTTCTCTAATCCTGGTTTTTAAACCAGCAGCAAAATGGACCCCTCCAACCTGCTCCCAATGAAAGAGGCATTTCTTCCAAAATAGATGATCGGAAATTCGCTCCAGCTCTGATAGTCATGAATCAGACCTGTCACAAGGATGTTTCAAAAAACAGAGCTGTTAAGCTTTCCTCAGGGGAAATACTGAGTGGAACAAATGAATCTCCGAAGCTCTGCTTGAAAACATAACACTCTGCACACATGCTGTAAGCATAAACCCAGCAACCTGCCAAGCAGCGCTTAAACTCAGCATCAGGTTAATCACCCAAACAACCCTCCCATTAAGACATGCTGCGGAGAAAGCTGGTAAAACTTGTGGAAAACCACAGCAAGAGCCCTCAAGCCATAAAGACAAGAGTCTAAAAATAAAACTGCACCTATCGAAATGAAGGATGAGAAACAGATAAGAAATAACGAGAAACAGATGACAACGCTATTTTCCATTGTAGTGTTGCCCTTTATTATTTTTTTAAGTTTTGAGTTTTTGTGTTCCAAAAAGATTTTTACATGGGGGGTTCTGAATGCTTCTCTGTACATTCTGCCTTTGCAAAGGAGTCAAAATTATCTGTAAAACTCTGAGAGAAGCTCTTGGATTATGTGTTGTAGAAGACTCAGGCCATCTGACTACATTCAGAGTTCAATTATGAAGGATTCCTCCAAAGGCACAGGAAGGCTCTTTGCCGAAGGGCCAACAGGAGGCCCTTCTGCCAAGTCTTGATTAGAGATCAGATTTAGAAATGACAGTCCTTAAATAAAGTAGCAGAGCACCTGGCACAGAACCCCTCAATGGTTTTGTGGCTTGCTTTCTTCCCCCAGAGTTAACCATTAAAAAACTCATGTGCAAAGATGTTAACTTGTTACCAGTTCCAAGGAGAAGTCACTGTTAAGACTAAAATAGATTGTAGCTCCCCTTTACAAAATCTAAAAGAATATTCTCTCCTGGTTAGCAGAGGAAAGTAAAATTTACTTTATTTGCTTTTGGGGGACGGGGCACACTTCCTCATCATTTCTAAGTGTGAGAACTTTTTGAAATTATTTAAATTTTGAGAAAAACAGGAATGTGTGGGTTTTATGTGGCTAAATTCTGGGCATTCTAAAAAAATTAACTTTATCATTAAGTAAAGAAATTACTATCAACTTATTAATTAGACATGAAGAGACCTTTCCTATTTCACACCTGGGCTGAACTAGGCAGTATAAGAAAGTGCAAAGACCGTGAGTGAGCTTCAGAATTAGACAAGGGCTCAAGGTTCACCTTTGACATGTATTGTCTCTATGAACTTGGCAAATTATTTCACTTCAGTAGCAAAGTAGCAATACGATTTACATCCTGAAAACTGCTGTAGGGGTTAAATGAAGTAGAGCGTTTAGAACTCCTGTCATGGAGTCAGGTGTAGAGAAGGTGCTGGCACACGCCCACCTCCAGTCCCTGCTTGCTCACCGCTGCTTTACCCATATGTAATGCTCTTCCGTGTTCAGGACACCCAGATGACAGATTGCATCGCTCACTTCTCTCCATATAGGGAAAGTCTAGGTTACAAGGTGTGGAGCAGGTTCCTTTGGTGTGACCTCCAACTATCTTTAGTGTTATGTGTCGAAATGAAGTTATTCAGTGAGTTGGCTGACATTTTCTATACCTCAGTTATCAAGTCATTGCCAAACAGCACTTAATCCCACCAACCCAGAAATGTCAGCTCCATTTTCCAATCACACCAGCCCCTCCCTCCGTAAGCCCTTCAGAAAAAGAAAATTTCTTAGGGAGGCACCCAAATTATGCCTTGATCAAAGAGAAGCAACGGATGAGTCTTGGGAGCCAGAGGGCTCTGCCCTGATCAAAAACAGGTCTGGGCTTCCTTCTTCAAAAGTTCATTTTGAGTAACTTCTTAGAATTACCAATTATGTTTCCTCTTGAAATTCTTGGTTCATCATTTTATTTTTATTTATTTTTTTGAGACAGAGTCTTGCTCTGTTGCCCAGGCTGGAGAGCAGTTGCTCAATCTCGTCTCACTGCAACCTCTGCCTCCCGGGCTCAAGCAATTCTCCTGCTTCAACCTCCTAAGTAGCTGGGACTACAGACGTGCACCACCATGCCTGGCTGATTTTTGTATTTTTAGTAGAGATGGGGTTTTACTATGTTTCCCAGGCTGGTCTTGAATGGTTTATCTTTGTAAAAAGATACCTTTTTTAAAAAAAGGCATATGCAAAAGAAGCCAAAGTATAATGCCTAAACAAAATAACCGGCTTGGAAAATGGAGTGTAATTGAATGAAGCCAACCAGTAAAGAGAATATTGGTATTTACATACGAGCTGGGGTCAGAAAACACCCTTGGTTAAAATCAGAGACAAAAAAGAGTAGAGGAGGATTAAGATGGTAGATAAGAGGCAGGACTAGCTTTCAGCTCCTGCTAGGATGGACAGAGCAGCATGTGGAGATTCACATCATGAACTTTTGCTTCAAGAACTACTGCTTCAACATTTCCAGGAAAGCCGAGAGAATCCACAGACCCTTCGAAGGAATTGGATTACCGCTGCAGGCTCCCTGACATGCTGAAAACTTGTGAGTCTGCTTGCATTCTCAGCAGGGAGGCTAGTGGTCTGGGGCAAGTTCTCAGCCCTGGTAATTGGCTGCCTGGAAATAGACTGGGTGCTGTTGCAGGGGCACGGTGGGAGTGAGACTGGCCTTTAGGACTGTGGGCTGCATGGGAACGGAGTGAAGCTTGTGACTGCTGGCTTTCCCCCCACTTCCCTGGTGACCTGTATGACTCAACAATGGCAGCCATAATCCCCCTAGGAATATAACTCCGCTGGACTGGGAACCACACACCCATCCTTTACAGCCATCGCAGCAAGCTCTGCCCAAGGAGAGGCTGAGCTCAGATAAGCCTATCCCTGCCCCCACCTGGTGGTCTCTCTCTATCTGCCCTGGTAGCTGAAGACAAAGGTCATAATCTCTTGGGAGCTCTATGGCCCTGCCCACCACCTGAGAAACCTGAATACTTAACCAAGTGTCCCTAGGGCAAGTTTGCAACCTCCTTATAGGGCTGCAGCTGATGCACTCTTGAAAGTACCACCTCCTGGCTGGAGGCCAACCAACACAAAATGAGCACACTAAACAAAAACACAACCAAAGACCCTCACAGAGTTCACCTCACTCCCCTGCTACCTCCACCAGATTGGGTGCTGGTATCTACCACTGCAAGACCTGAAGATGGATTACAGCACTCTGCAGACACTTCCCAGTACCAGCCTAGAGCCTGGAAACTCTGCTAGGTGGCTAGATCCAAAAGACAAAAACAATCACTACAGTTTGGCTCTCAGGAAACCCCACTCCTGGGGGAAGGAGAAGAACACCACTTCAATGGAGCACCCCGTGGGACAAAAGAATCTGAACAGAATACCTTAAATCCCAGATCTTACCTCTGACATAGTCTACTCAAATAAGAAGGAACCAGAAAAACAATTCTTAAACACTGTTCTTTAACACCCCTGAAAGATCATACCAGCTCACCAGCAGTGGATCCAAACTAAGATAAAAATCTCTGAATTACCAGAAAAAGAATTCAGAAGGTCAATTATTAAGCTAATATAAGGAGGCATCATAGAAAGGTGAAGTCCAACTTAAAGAAATTAAAAACGTGATACCAGATATGAAAGGAAAATTTTTCAGTGAAATAGATAGCATAAATAAAAAACAATCACAACTTCTGGAAATCAAGGTCACACTTAGAGAAATGCAAAATGCACTGGAATGTTTCAGCAATAGAATCAAACAAGCAGAAGAAAGAACTTCTCGAAAACAAGGCTTTTGAATTAACCTAATTCATCAAAGACAAAGAAAAATGAATTTTAAAACATGATCAAAGCCTCCAAGAAGTTTGAGACTATGTTAAACATCCAAATCTAACAATAATTGGTTTTCCCAAGGAAGAAGAAAAATCTAAAAGTGTGGAAAACATATTTGAGGGAATAATCGAGGAAATCTGCCCCAGCCTTGGTAGAGATCTAGACATCCAAATGTAAGAAGCTCAAAGAACACCCGGGAAATTCATCGCAAAAAGATCGTCATCACCTAGGCATATAGCCATCAGGTTATCTAAAGTCAAGATGAAGGAAAGAATCTTAAGAGTTATGAGACAAAACATCAGGTAACCTATAAAGGAAAACCTATCAGATTAACAGCAGATTTGTCAGCAGAAACCCTACAAACTAGAAGGGATTGGGGCCCTATCTTCAGCCTCCTTAAACAAAAGAATTATCAGCCAAGAATTTTGTATCCAGTGAAACTGAGCTTCATAAATGAAGGAAAGATACAATCTTTTCCAGACAAACAAATGCTAAGAGAATTTGCCACTACCAAGGCAGAACTACAAAAACTGCTAAAAGGAGCTCTAAAGCTTAAAACAAATCCTTGAAATACACCAAACTAGAACTTCCTTAAGGTATAAATCTCACAGAACCTATATAACAATAACACAATGAAAATAACAACAACAACAAGGTATTCAGGCAACAGATAGTACGATGAATAGGAGAGTACCTCACATCGTAATACTAATATTGAATGTAAATGGCCTAAATGTTCCACTTAAAATGTACAGAATGGCAGAATGGATAAGAATTCACCAACCAAGTTTCTGCTATTTTCAGGAGGTTCACCTAACACAAAAGGACTCACATAAACTTAAGGTAAAGTGGTGGAAAAAGATATTCCATGCAAATGGACACCAAAAGCAAGAAGGAGTAGCTATTCTTATATAAGACAAAGCAAACTGTAAAGCAATAGCAGTTAAAAAAGACAAAAAGGGACATTATATAATAATAAAAAAACTAGTCCAACAGGAAAATATCACAGTTCTAAATATACAAGCATCCAATGCTACAGTTCCCAAACTTACAAAACAATTACTACTAGATCTAAGAAATGAGATAGACAGTAACACAATAATAGTGGGACACTTTAATACTCCACTGACAGCACTAGACAGGTCATCAAGACAGAAAGTCAATAAAGAAACAGTGGGCTTAAACTATACCCTACGACAAATGGACCTAACAGATATTTACAGAACATTCTGCCCAACAACTGCAGAATACACAGTCTATTCATCAGCACATGGAACATTCTTCAAGATAGACCATGTGATAGGCCACAAAACAAGTCTCAGTAAATTTAAGAAAATCGAAATTATGTCAAGTATTCTCTCAGACCACAGTGGAATAAAATTGAAAATCAACTCCAAAAGGAACCCTCAAAACCATGCAAATACATGGAAATTAATAACCTGCTCCTGAATAATCTTTGGGCCAACAATGAAATCAAGACGGAAATTTAAAAAATTCTTACAACTGAGCAATAATAGTGACACAATCTACAAAAACCTCTGGGATACAGCAGAAGCGGTGCTAAGAGGTAAGCTTACAGCATTAAATGCCTGCATCAAAAAGCCTGAAAAAGCACAAAAAGATAATCTAAGGTCACATCTCACAGAACTGGAGAAACAAGAACAATCCAAACCCAAACCCAGCAGAAGAAAATAAATAATGAAGATCAGAGCAGAACTAAATGAAATTGAAACAAATAAACAAACAAGACATTCCAAAAAATAAATGAAACGAAAATCTGGTTCTTTAAAAAGATAAATAAAATTGATAGCTCATTAGTGAGATCAACCAAGAAAAAAAGAGAGAAGATACAAATAAGCTCAATTAGAAATGAAACAGGTGATATTACTACTGATACCAGAGAAACACAAAAGATTATTCAGGGCTACTATGAATACATTTACATGCATAAACTAGGAAACCTAGAGGAGATGGATAAATTCCTGGAAATATACGATCCTCCTAGATTAAACCAGGAAGACATAGAATCTCTGAACAGACCAATAACACTAATACCAAAATCAGGGGAGGATATAACAACAACAAAAAAGAAAACGACAGACCAATATCCATGATGAACATAGATGCAAAAATCCTCAACAAAATACTAGCAAACAGAATCCAACAGCATATCAAAAAGATAATCCACCACGATCAAGTAGGTTACATACCAGGGATGCAGGGATGGTTTAAGACACGTAAGTCAATAAATGGGATACACCACATAAATAGAATGAAAAACAAAAATCACACGATCATCTCAACAGATGCAGAAAAACCATTTGACAAATCCAGCATCCCTTTATGATTAAAACCCTGAGCAAAATCAGCACAGAAGGGACATACCTTAATGTAATAAAAGCCATCTATGACAAATCCACAACCAACATTATACTGAGAGGGGAAAAGTTGAAAACATTCCCCCTGAGAACTGGAACAAGACAAGTATGCCCACTTTTACCACTTCTGTTCAACATAGTACTGGAAGTCCTAGCCAGAGAAATCAGACAACAGAAAGAAATCAGTAGCATCCATATCGATAAAGAAGAAGTCAAACTGTCACTGTTTGCTGATAATATGATCATATAACTAGAAAAGCCTGAAGACTCATCCAAAAAGCTCCTAGAACTGGTAAATGAATTCAGCAAAGTTTCAGGGTACAAAATGAGTGTACACAAATCAATAGCTCTGCTATACAACAAAAGCAACCAAGCTGAATCAAATAAAGAACACAACCTCTTTCACAACAGCTGCAACAAATATATAAAATAAAATACTTAGGAATATACCTAACCAAGGAGGTAAAAGACCTCTACAAGGAAAACTATAAAACACTGCTGAAATAAATCATAGAGGACACAAACAAATGGAAACACATCCCATGCTCATGGATGGATAGAATCAATATTGTGAAAATGACCATACTGCCAAAAGCAATCTACAAATTCAATGCTATTCCCATCAAAATACCACCATCATTCTTTACAGAACTAGAAAAACAATCCTACAATTTATATGGAACTTAAAAAGAGCCCACATTGCCAAAGTGAAACTAAGCAAAAAGAACAAATCTGGAGGCATCACATTACCTGACTTCAAACTATACTATAAGGCCATAGTCACCCAAACAGTATGGTACTGGTATAAAAATTGGCACATAGACCAAAGGAACAGAACAGAAGACCCAGAAATAAAGCCAAATACTTACAGCCAACTGACCTTCAAAAAAGCAAACAAAAATATAAAGTGGGGAAAAGACACCCTATTCAACAAAAGATGCTGGGATAATTGGCAAGCCACATGTAGAAGAATGAAACTGGATCCTCATCTCTCACCTTATAAAAAAATCAACAAAGATGGATCAAAGATTTAAATCTAAGAACTGAAACCATAAAGATTTTAGAAGATAACACCAGAAAAACTCTTCTAGACATTGGTTAGGCAAAGAATTCATGACCAAGAACCCAAAAGCAAATGCAACAAAAACAAAGATAAATAGTTGGGACTTAATTAAACTAAAAAGCATCTGCACAGCGAAAGAAATAATAGGTAGAGTTAACAGACAACCCACAGAATGGGAGAAAATCTTCACAATCTATACATCTGACAAAGGACTAATATCCAGAATCTACAAAGAACCAAAACAAATCAGCAAGAAAAAACAAACAATCCCATCAAAAAGTGGACTAAGGACATGAATAGACAATTCTCAAAAAGAGATATATAAATGGCTAACAAGCATATGGAAAAATGCTCAACCTCACTAGTGATCAGGGAAATGCAAATCAAAAACACAGTATGATACCACCTCACTGCTGCAAGAATGGCCATAATCAAAAAAATAATAGTAATAGATGTTGGCATGGATGCAGTGAAAAGAGAATACTTTTAGACTGTTGGTGGGAATGTAAACTAGTACAGCCACTGTGGAAAACAGTGTGGAGATTCCTTAAAGAACCAAAAGTAGATCTGCCATTTAATCCAGCAATCCCATTACTAGGTATTTACCCAGAGGAAAAGACATCGTTATACGAAAAAGATACTAGCACACATGTTTATAGCAGCACAATTTGCAATTGCAAAAATATGGAAACACCTCAAATGCTCATCAATCAATGAGTGGGTAAAGAAAATGTGCATATATATACTATGGAATACTAGTCAGCCATAAAAAGGAACAAAATAATGGCATTCATAGCAACCTGGATGGAATTGGAGTCTATTATTCTAAGTGAAGTAACTCAGAAATGGAAAACCAAACATCGTATGTTATCACATGTGAGAGCTAAGCTATGAAGGCACAAAGGCATAAGAATGATACATTGGACTTTGGGGACATGAAGGAAAGTGTGAGGGGTAACGAGGGATAAAAGATTACACATTGGGTACAGTGTATACTGCTCGGGTGATGGTGCACCAAAATCTCAGAAATCACCACTAAAGAACTTATTCGTGGCCAGGCACAGTGGCTCATACCTGTAATCCCAGCACTTTGGGAGGCTGAGGTGGGCAGATCACGAGGTCAGGAGTTCAAGACCAGCCTGGCCAACATAGCGAAACCCCGTCTCTACTAAAAAATACAAAAATTAACCAGGCATGGTGGCACATGCCTGTAGTCCCAGCTACTCAGGAGGCTGAGGCAGAAGAATTGCTTTAAACTGGAGGCAGAGGTTGCAGTGAGCTGAGATTGTGCCACTACACTCCAGCCTGGGTGACAGAGCGAGACTCCATCTCAAAAAAAAAAAAAAAAGAACTTATTCATGTAATCAAACACCACCTGTTCCGCAAAAACCTATTGAAATGAAAAAATAAAAAATAAAAATAAAAAAAAGGAGTAGAGGGGTCCTTTCCTGAGATCAACTTTAAAAGCCACGATGTCTCAATATTGATTTAGACATTGCGGCTAAATCAATATTGAAAACTATAATAATGTGTTCCCCGGGGACTATAGAAAGTATTTACTGTGGGGTTCCAGCAGAACTGTGGGACAATATGAAGTTTAAATAGTTAGCGTTCCCAAATATTTCTTGCATTATCTGACAGATCCCATAAGCTGGCCCTGCCTGGGAGGAGCTTGTATCCTCATCTGCATATCACATCCTTTGTGGTATGTGGGATTCTACCCTCAGTGCAAACCAGGGAGACCACCATGCAAGATTTGGAACACCCATTTTTGGTAGCCTTATCACCCTTCAGCTTTTACCAGGCTGTGTTTCTAAGTGGGCCCATTGGAAGCCAGGGTAGTTCGAGGAATTCTAGGGATGATTATTTGTTCCTGGGAAAGTTTAATTTGTTGAATAAGTAGGATTGGAACAATGCCACTTACAACAGATGCTTTAGCAAAGAGGGACAGTAAAACAAATGATTGCTCAAATGCACGGTGTCTGCAGAGAATCTGGATAAGAATTACTGGTGTTTAATGACCTAATACCGGCAAGGTCAGCCAATAGCACAGTTTGGAAAGAATCAAATGCCAATTCCTCAGTGCAAGTGAAGCATAATTAAGACTCAGCACAGTGAGGTCCTGCATGTGTTAATTTTCCCAGGGCTGGCATTAATATGTCTAATAAATGTTCATAGCAGATTTTTTAAATTATACTTTTAAAGAGAATAGGTAATTTGTGTTAACTAATAAGCTAATTTCCCGTCTTTCCCCATGTTTATGGAGGTAAATAAGACCCTAAAAATGGTGCCAAATGAGGCCTGTTACTGCAATGAATTTGGCAGGGCCAGAGTAGGTCAGATGGACAAGAATGCTTCAGAAAGACACAGGCCTACTCAGAGCAGGGATTGGCACTGCTGCCCACCCTCAAAACCACGGACCACATAGGCCCAGGGTGGGGTTAGCCTGGGCCCCACCTACCAACAACCAAGGAGTCATAAGTGTATTAGGAGTCATTGATGTCTTCCAGAGGAAGTGAATCATTCCCCACGCTAGCCAACAACTTGTAAGTCAGTGGGTCAGCCTCCTTAAAAGAGCCAAAAAAGTAGGTGTAGCTGTGTTTGTCCATCACCACAGCCAGGCAGGGGGTATGTGTGTATTATGAAGTCCTAGAATCTACAAAGTGTGTCATCGCTAAGGATTAGTATAGATCAGCTCCAAAATATGTAGGTGGGCATGCTGTGTGCCCACTTCTCACACACGTGCAGCACACACACAGACAGTTGAATGGTCCTTGTGCTAAAACAGCTTGGTGAAGAAGAAATTATAGTGAATTTCTGATTGCTCACCATGAATTCCTCTTTTAGTTCTCCTACTTCTTTGGGTGTGTGACTCCGGCAAACCATTTGTTGTTGTTTTGTTTTGTTTGCCTCATATGTACAATAAAAGTATTGTCTCCAGATTATCCCTATGGTCCCCTTGTAACTTAAGCTTAGTTTATGAGTCTATTTCTTGTTCTAAGTATTTTTTGTCTTATGGCTCAAAACTTACAACTATTTGGAGTTTTTCCTCACTTAAATAGATCTCATACTATAATATTCAGAGTGAATATGGGTGAAGGGATAAAGAAATGCATATAGGCTATAATTCTTCAAGGGGCTACAGTTCGGAGGTGGAAATCTTCGGAGAAGAATAGGCATGATCCCAGCCAAGGAGTCTATTCCTATCAGAGCTACCTAGAATATTTCACTCCCACCTCATGGCAATAGGTCATGCTGCCTACCTCCCTGAGCATACAGCTAAGCATGCCTGTTCCTTTTAGCATAATTCCCTTCCCAGAAAAGCAGTATCTTCCCTACTTCCTGAAAGACTAAGACATCCAGCACCAACACCCTCTAGAAAGTTTCTCCCTTCCCTATCCCATCTCCATTCTTCTAATCTACCTGTTTATCCTGAGCTGCCACTACCTATAGGCCAAAGTAGGACACTAGAATGTCTCTCTGTTCCCTTAGCTTTCTTCAGGGGACATTTAATAATGAAGAACCACACTATATCCAACTGGCTACGGAAGAGAGGGAAGCAAGGTATTTATTTTTTCTTCTCATAGTTGAACACTCAGCTCTTTCTTTTTGACCCCTCCTGCCACATACTCTTGATTACATGCATCTGTACCATTGCTTTCTTTCAGTTTACAAGTCAACAGGGGCCGGAATGCAGTGGCTCACACCTGTAATCCCAGCATTTTGGGAGGCCAAGGTGGGTAGATCGCTTGAGCTCTGAAGTTCGAGACCGCCCTGGGCAACATGGCAAAACCCTGTCTCTACAAAAAATACAAAAATTAGCCGGGCATGGTGGCGAGTGCCTATAGTCCCAGCTACTCAGGAGGCTGAGGTGGGCGGATCGCTTGAACTTGGGAGGTGGAGGTTACAGTGAGCAGAGATCAGGCCACTGTACTCCAGCTGGGCGACAGAGCAAGAACCATGTCTAATAAATACATAAATAAATAGATAAAGTCAACAGGCTTCTCTACCTGGATTTCCAGACTCATTCCATCTACCCAATTTACAATGTTATGCACTGAGCTCTTTAAAGTTGTTGGGAATCTCAGTAGTTTGGGAAATCTATCAAAGTAACTTTCTTAGTCTCTTGTCTGTTACGTAGAATACCTGAAACTGGGTAATTTATAAAGAAAAAGAATTTATTTTATTTCTTACAGTTATGGAGGTTGAGAAGTTCAAGGTCAAGGGGCCACATCTGGTGAGAGCCTTCGTGCTGGTGGGAGACTCCCTGTGGCATCCCAAAGAAGCACAGGGCATTACGTGGTGAGGGAGCCAAGTGTGCTCACTCAGGCCTCTATTCCTCTTTTTGTAAAGTCACTAGTCCCGTCTCATGATTTCCCATTAATCCATTAACCCATTAATCCATGAATGGTTTAACCCCTTTAAGAAGGCAGAGCCCTCATGACCCAATCACCTCTTAAAGGTTCCACCTCTCAATACTGCCACATTGGGGATTCAATTTCAACATGAGTTTTGGAGGGGACAGATATTTAAACTACAGCAGCAACTATGGGCATGGAACGAGAAAGAAGGTCAGACGAACAGTGCATGGTAACTAATCCCCAAGCCTGTGGCTGCCTCTGTGAATGGCTCCCTTTACTCACCTTGCTAGGGAGCTCCAGGGCTTCTAAGAGGCTCAAATGTGTCAGTGACATACTATCTGAGAGCCAATGGAGATGCCAAATTGAATAAAAACTTGTGGATTGTTATAATAACTAAAAGGAAAATATTACAATGCTGCCAGTCAGCCTCTCATGGAGATGGGAACCATGAACCCAAAGGTATTCTGTGGTTGGACCTTGACCTCTACCAACATGAAGGCTGGCGGCTGATACTGTTACTTGACTCTGTGGAATTTCCCTTTCTCAGAAATCAAGATGGCAAGAACTTGATTTGGAGTCCAGTGTAGAGCACGCAACTTCCTATGTAGGCTGAAACTGTTAAACAAATCTGCACATTGCCAATGACTTGGCAATTGTTTTCTTTATTCCCTTTCCTCCTTGGGCAGATTCTGAGACATCTCTATTGCTGCAACAAAGCATCTTTTTTTAATGGAAGTACAATTAAAAGATGCATTCAGGTGAAATGCAGTATTGGAACTTTATAATGCTAACATTGTTTTTGTTCTCTGTTTCATAAAATGAGACTTCAAAGCCACATTATGTCATATTGTGGGTGAAAAGGGGCTGTGTTCAAAAGGGGAATTGCATTATTAACATTACCATGGTTAGCCCAAGTGCCAAGAGTAACAAACCAGCCTAACCCTCTGGCAATTCATTGTCATTTAATATATATTTAGAGCCCACCCTCTGTGAAGGAATGAAGAGAACACACACATGGCCCCTTCTTCACTGGACTTTATGGCCCAAAAAGGCAAGGCCCACATCTGGCATGTCTCTTCCATGAGAATATAAAAATGCCACACAGGCATGGACCAATCATTTTAAGATCCTATCAGCCTTAATGTTTGATAGGTGTAAACTCTCTCTGTCTCTTTCTACTCCACATTGAAACACTTTATGAAGAATCAAAAAGAAATATCAGTATTCTTTTTTTTGTTTCTCTGGCATTTAATTTACTTCCCCTCCTCAAAAGCCAATTTCATGACGGGCACTCTGCTAGGCAGGAATTCAGAGCTGAGAGATTTATGAAAGGAGTTCTCAAAATATCCAGACTAGAAGGGGAGATGGTGGCATAGGGCAGAGGTAAGGCAAATAAAGCTACAGTGTGGTGTTCTAAGCCAGATCCTGAAGGGAACGGCTATGGAATTTGGATGCTGCAGAAAAGAGGATGTTGTGTATGGAGTTGGGGGCAGGGTGGACTTTGGCAGTGAACTTGGTAAGCCAAGGAAGAAAATGGTCGCGTTTGTCATTCAGGTCAAGCTTGATGGATGGGTGGAGGACAGCTCAGAAGGGCTAAGACAAGAGGCAAGGAGACCAGGGATTAAAGCTGTTGGAATGGCCCAGGCAGAAAAGGGAAAGATTGAACTCTCAGGGGACAGGAATCTAAGTCTTTTGAAGAGCTACCCAGGCAGATCTTCAGCCTCCTTCCATTCTCTTTTCTCAAATTGGCCAGGCTGAGCACTTGCCTGCAATGGCTGCACTGCATCTTCTTTCACAATCACCCATTCCTTCATGACAGAAAGGCCTCCCTCTCACCCACCCAGAGCCTCACTATGGTGTAATGTCTCAGTGTGAAAACACTCTGGGGGAGAAGAGAAGATGCCAACAATAGGACAATCAAAGATATAGATATCAATCTCATTAAGAGAGATTTTTTCCAAAAACGTTTACTTTTGTGAACTTTAATGCAAATGTATTTTATATAAATTAATGTGTATTAATTACCCACATTTATAATATATTTATGCTGTTTTGGTTCAATTTTTACTACTATTAATGTCAAAAATACTCTTACCAGTATTTTAAAATTACATGTAGATTTACGATCATGTAAAAAAATTTTTCTCCCAGCACTTTGGGATGCCAGTGTGGAAAGATCACCTGAGATCAGCAGTTTGAGACCAGCCTGGCCAACACGGTGAAATCCCATCTCTACTAAAAATACAAAAAATTAGCCGGGCATCATGGTGGGCACCTGTAATCCCAGCAACTCAGGAGGCTGAGGCAGCAGAATTGCTTGAACCTGGGAGGTGGAGGTTGCAGTGAGCCAAGATTGCACCACTGTACTCCAGCCTGGGCAACAAGAGAAAACTCTGTCTCAAAAAAAAAACTTTTTTTCAACATTTCAAATTTCAATTTATATATACTTTGTGAAAGAGAAGTATAATGGGGTGACCAATAAGAGACTTTCAAGTTTAAAAATATATTACATTAGGATAAAATTCTTGGAGGGGGTAAAATGGAAATGTGAATTTAAAGAGAAAAAGGAATGATAAAAATCAATTATTAAAGATGCAGTGTATGTGTGTTGGAGGCCGCACAAATGTTTCTTATGATTAGGCATAATTGAAGCCTGTCAGTAACAATATGAACCTGTGATCAATTAAGCAGCTGACCAATCATTACCTCCTCCTCCTTACTCTTTTTACCCAATAAATACAAAGCGCTATAGCACCTCAGAGACTGCCTTTGCTCATTAGAAGCAGGACTCTCTCGTCTTCTTCCCCATGCTAGCCTTTCCTTAAAACAGTTTCTTTTGTCTTAAGTTTTCGTTTCTACATTTGTCCCTTTGTTCAGTCTTGCAATGATGGTCTAAAGCAGTAAGAGCAGTAACCGCTGTAGTGACAGTCTCAAGTAGTAGTAGTGGCTGTCAGTCACAAGTGGCGCCTGGATGGACAGGGACATGAAGGACGTCAGGGGCAAAAAGAGACCTGAAGAGACCTGAAGAGACCTGAAGAAGCCTGCAGGTATAAATAGAGATAAACAGAAAGAAATAGGGATAGAGACAAATAGAGATAAGTAGGTATGGATAAGTAGGTAGAGATTAGGGAGAGAGGAGAAAGGGAGAGAGAGGGGAAAGACAGGGACTTGCAGGAACTAACAGGTACCATAGGGACAGATAGGTATAGATAAAGACTAGCAATATAAGGTCAGTGCCCTAAAGAGGTACAAAAGTAGAGGCTAGCAAAGACTAGCAGAAATTTGCGGGACAGATAGGGTCTTATAGGGACTTGAATGAGGAAGGTCTGCTGGAGCAAAACAAAAAGCTGAAGTCCAGAGGAAAAAAACTAAAACCAACTAGATGAACGAGAAACCCCGTTACAAGTCTACCAGCAGCAATCTAAGGTCAGTGCTCTAAAGGTACCGGTCAGTGCCCTAGAGGTACAAAGAATGGGAAGTTTTTGAATCAGTGTAACACGAGGAAGAATTTGGTTATTTCTTTTCTCTTTTTTGTTTGGAGTTTTTTACGTACCACCTTTTTATTATTTCAGGGTTTGAGAGAATTTTTTTGCCCCACCTACAGCACCTATAGAAAGTGGTGAGCAGGAAAGGGAGAATGGAAATTGGCTTGTACTGTCTTCTTTTGTGGCTACAGAAAGGCTAACGTTAGCTTTGGCTTTTGTGGATTGTAAACGTGCGCTGGCACCTGTGAGATTTGCAGAGGACTTGAGAGGTTTTCTCGGAGCTTGTCAAGATGTGGGAACTGAGCTTCATTGCTCTGCAGTATTGGCTTGGGCAATGGCTAATTTGGTGACTGACAGATCTAAAAGAAGCCAAGGGTTAAGCCCTAAAGTGGGGAAGAGTTGTTAGTGTAGAAAAATTGGATGTTTCAAAAAAAGAACACCGCCAGACCTCTGGGCAGAAGGGATTTTATAATGCAGTTCCCCCCACAACAGAAAAATGCCAGGACTTTGCCCTTGTTGTAAAAAAAGGAAATCTCTGGGCTAATCAATGCCACCCAAAACTTCATCAAAATGGCACCTCCCTGTCGGGAAGCGAGAAGGGGGCCTGGACCCGGGAACCTCAAACTATGAGGGTATTCCCCGTCCAGGCCACAACTCCATTTCAGGGGTGGGTTTCCAGAGGCACATTGATTCCCTCTCCCCAGGAGCACCTGGGAACGCAGGATTAGATCTTCTAGAGAACAAATTATGTTAATTGAAAGAAACAAACTCACTAAGATTCCCATTGGTATTTGGGGACCTTTGCCAACAAGATACATGGGATTGATTTTGGTAAAATCTGTCTTAACTTACAGGCCCAGGAGTTGTTGATTCTGATTGTGAAGGAGAAATTCAGGTAGTGGTAATGTCACAAGATCTTTGGGTTTTTGAACCAGGAGAATACGTTGCTCAACTGTTGCTTATTCCCTGTACATTGTACCCTTCTCTACGTAAGAAGCAAGGAGGTCAGGGATTTGGAAGTGCAACTAGGACAGAGATTTATCTATCACAACCTGTAGCATCTCGTGGACCCACCTGTACAGTGCAAATTGAAGGTTTAAGGATTGCTTTTTGCTATACTGTTGTGCGAAAAGGATAAGCCTCAATTTGCTTTCTCTGTGCCTTCTGTTAATGAGAAACAGGCTCTTTCTGATTAACAGTGGAAATTTTTACCCCACGGTAATTAACCAAAGAAGCTTGTTCTGTCTTGTAATGATGGTCTCAAGCAGTAACAGTAGTAACTGCTGTAGTGACGGACTCAAGTAGTAGTAGTGGCAGTCAGCCATATATGTGTGCATATATATATGTTCTAAAAATTTTTATATACAGTAAAATTCTTCCTTTGTGATTTACAGTTCTATGGGTTTTGGCAAATGTATTCACCACCACAATCAAGATGCAGAACAGCATCATCACCTGCACCCTCAAAATTCCCATATGCTGCTTCTTTGTAGACAGTTCTTTCCCCTAATCCCAGTCATCGGTGACCACTGATATGCTCTGTATACTTATAGTTTTATCTTCTCTCAAACATCATTTAAGTGGAATCATATAATTTTTGAGGTCTGGCTTCAACCATTTCATTACGCTTATCAATAATTCATTCCTTTTAACTGGTGAGTAGTATTCCATTGGATGGATGTATCAGTTTGTTTATTCATTAACTGGTTGAAGGACATTTCAGTTGTTTTCAGTTTTTGGCCATTATGAATAAACATTTGCTGTAAGCATTTGCATACTGGTCTTTGTGAGAACATAAATTTTCATCTCACTGGGGCAAATACCCAGGAGTGGGATTGCTGAGTCATATGGCAAGTACAGGTTAAACTTCAAAAGAAACTCAAACTGTTTTTGTATCATTTTAAAGGCTCTACAGTTTTACATTCCCACCAGCAACGCATGGAAGTTCCAGTTACTTAATATCTCCACTAGCACTTAGTATTGTCAGATCTGTATTTAGCCATCCTTCTAGCTACAAAATGGTATCTTCTCATTGTAGTTTTAATTTGCATTTCCCTAATGATGAACATGTTTTCATTTGCTTATTTGCCATCCATACGTCTTTTTTGGTGAAGTGTTCAAATATTTCGTCAAAACATTGTGTTATTTTCTTACTATAATTTTGAGAGAAACAAGTCTTTTGCCAGATAAGTCCTTTGCCAGATATGTGATCTACAAATATTTTCTCTCAGTCAATGGCTTGTCTTTTCATCCTCTTAGCAGTGACTTTCACAGTGCAAATTATTTTCATTCTGATAGGTCTCATGTATCAATTGTTATTCTTTTATAGATTGTGCTTTTGGTGTCACATCTAAAATCTCTTTGCCCTCACCCAAGATTGCAAAGATTTTCTCCTATGTTTTCTCCTAGGAGTTTTTTAGTTTTAGGTTTTACATTTAGGTCTGTGATAATTTTGAGTTAATTCTTGTGTAAAATATGAGTTTCAAATGTTTTCACAGGACATCCAATGGTACCAACACCATTTGATGAAACATGTATTTTTAAAATGGGTAATGGGCTGGGCACAGTCGCTTACGCCTGTAATCCTAGCACTTTGGGAGGCTGAGGTAGACGGATCACTTGCAGTCAGGAGTTTGAGACCAGGCTGGCCAAGATGTTTGAGACCAGCCTGAGACAAAATGGTGAAACCTCATCCCTACTAAAAATACAAAAATTAGCCAGGCATGGTGGCACAAGCCTGTAATCCCAGCTACTTGGAAGGCTGAGGCACAAGACTCTTTGAACCCAGAGTTAGAAATTGCAGTGAGCCAAGATAGCACTACCGCACTCCAGCCTGGGTGACAGAGCAAGACTCTGTCTCAAAAAAAAAAAAAAAAAGGCGGTGGTATCAACACTTGTTTTTAGGTTTCATTAGATTCATTTTAAAGACCAACAATGAGTAATAAAGTACTTTTCAAATGTCAGTATTCATAATATGTTAGAAATTATATCCTTTGTAAATATTTGAAATTATGATGAAACACTTTAGAGGAAAGTTTGATAATGTTCGGGGTTACAAAGTTTTTCATAAGTATTTTAGGAGATAGGGAAGCCGAAAAAAAAATCTGAAGATCACTTTTAAGCATTGGCAGAAGAAATAGAGAAAAAAGGATTCATTAAGGAGTATTCCAACTTCTAAGTCTAGTGCTTTGGCACTAGCAGAGAGGAAGGTTAGCAAGAAGGAAGTAAAAAGATTCCATGGTTTCTAATTTTGGTGGCCAATGGGTGGTATTATCACCAACCAAATTCAGGAATACAGGAGAAGGACCAGATTTGGGTGGGAGAAAGAAAATAAGCACGCGTTGTATTTGGGGTACCTTTGGATAAAAAATGTTATGAGTTTTGAGTTTTATTTATAATTGGGTAGGGTGTTTTACTTTCTATTTGTTTCTTTTCTTTATATGTGTGTGGGATATGCATATTTGTGCACGTGTGTTTGCTGAAGGGTTGATTTATGTTGGATTATTTCTTCGAATACAAATTAATGTTTGACTCAGACTAGTAGTATAGAAGTTTGTGTGGTGCAGTAGGAAGGCAAAGACTTGAGACACATACAAGCTTGGAGTGTGAATCCTTCTACGTCTGCTACCCACTAGCTGTGTAGGCTTGGGCAAGATACCTTACTTCTCTAAACCTCCGTTCCTTCATTGGTAAAATGGTTATAATAATAACGACTGGAAACAAGATATTAAGTGAGGCTTTTCCTTTCTTGAGATTTCAATCAAGGACAAAGAATGACAAGTACTTACACATTCTACTAAGAGGGACAAGATAGATTAGATTATTGATTTATGTATGCCATGTGAGTTAGTAGGTCTGAGACTATAATGATACTCAAGTATAATTTTCTAAGACTTATAAAACAATGTTATGAAATGAGCATATGTCAAAGGTCTTTTTCAAGTCTAATTAATGAGGAAATCAGTAAGATGTTATGAACGGTTCAAAGAACACATGAGAAGATAGACATTTATAGGTAATTTAGTAAGGGAACATTAGGAACAAATTGTTCATTCAATACAAGACGAGTTATGGGCCTACAGGTCCACACACTGAGACCTTTGGCATTACCTTTTCCATTGGACACACTTTTTGTGTCTCTCCCAGACAAAAATCTACAAGTTAACCAGTTAATGGAAAGTCAAAGTTGCAAACTCAGTACTACACTGAAAGAGAACATCCTGTAATGTCTTCTATTTCAAAGTTTCAGATAATTTTTCTGATGAGGAGGAGAAAAACCAGTTTGAAAGAAGCCAATGGTGCTTTCTATGGTTAAAATTTCTGTTAAAAGTGCACTCAGGTATGCAAAAAAAATTGTTTTCTGTAACTCAGTTTTTATCTTGAAGCACCATTCTGTGAGATGTAAAGAATTTCACCGTGTCACTTCCAGATACAGTCAGCCACTTTTATGACTTTTGTTAAGTTTTAGGTTTAAATTTGGTCAAATACAAGATTGTGCACATATAGACACAAGATCACCCCCGCAAACTCAGCACCAACACCCTAGCATGGAGATGGAGGAGAGCTGGAGCATACACCCCAGGCTGTGGCATGCTAGAGGAGAGTGGTCCACTTCTTACCTCCAGCTGTCTTGGCTGATTCCCGGCAACAGCTACAACCCTCCTACCATTACCCTTGGCTGCCACCATCCAGTTAATACTTCACATGGCCTTACATGTCCTGGGACTCTGGCCTCCAGTTACCAGGTCCATGCAGGTTATTCTGGGTCCTTCCTCCCTGCCAGCCATGGCCACAGGAGTTGCAGGCTCCTTCTGCTACCTTCTACACCTTAATCAAAGGGCTACCAAAAATTGCAGGTGTTTTCTCATGGCACTTTGGTAGTTGGGGCTGAGCCTCCTGGAGTCCCTTGAACTTCCCTTTGCCTATTTGCCTCATGAAGTACGCACTGGATAGAATGTCCTCTCAAGGCTGCACTCTGGAAATCAGTCACAAGGTCACTTTGCTCTGGGACCACCAAACCCATTGGAGATATTATTATTCCTTCCCAATCTCTAGCCCAGGAGATGTAAGGATAGGCTTGCAGTTCAGAGTACCCCTCCCTTTCAGTCACTACTGTATGCACACTCAACTCTAACTCTCTCACTTTCTTTCTCTCCTTAACAACTTATCCTCCCTAAATCCCCAGCCTGAGAGAATCTTTACCTAATGAGGGTGGTGGATAGGTTGGGTCCTAGTTGGGGCTGGTTGCCTCAATCTCCTAAAATACCTCGACCCAAGGCTTTGAGATTAAAAGTCAGACTTTGCTGTCCTTGTTTCCCAAATCCCTCTTGACACCCCTCCCTATCCTAAGGGACAGTGCCAGGCTGTGGCCTCAGCCCAACTGGCAAGGATACAGCAGTGGAGGGAGCGGGGGAACCCCAGTGAATAGTTTGCATGTCTTCCTGCTGCATTAGTTTTATATGACACACACTCTAGGTGTGACCTGCAATATTCCAGTTTCCAGGAAGATCTGACTGGCCCACAGTCTAATTGCATCTGGCCCTGAATCATCTTCCAGCCACGGGTTTGTGGGCACGAGCTCATCTGAGCGCATTAAAGCTGGCTCAGGAGGCAACGGGCCCAGGCCACAAACCCTTGGCCTGAGTCAAGCTGCTTGGCTCCTACTGGGAGTCTCGGAAACCCAGGCCTTCCTACCCAGCAGGGGAGTGGGAATGGGGAGTGAGAGTGAGGGGAGGTTGATCTCCCATGCGCTGTCCACATCAGGGCAGAAACCCTGCCAGGATCAACAGCGTGGCTCCTGGCAGAGCCCCTGCCCGGTTCCCTCAACACTGTGGACACCAAGGGCCTGTGTTCTCTCCGAGCCGTGGGGTTTGAAAACGACCTCCTGAGGTCTGGCACACAACTGAGTTCTTAGAGGAAAGAGGACAGGGAGGTGACGCCTCACTCCAAGGGGTTATGAAAATGGAGCCGGCTGTTACTCCGTGGGAATGGTGCTACAAAAACATCAGCACACACTCAGTGTTCACTCGGTAAGAGGACTCTACAGCGTGTGACATGACATCTAATCATGGACATGTATTCTCTGAAAAGACCTGTAGACCATCGAATGCAAACCTTTCATTTCACAGAGCAGGAAACTGAAGCAGAGCCCTGTCGAGAGCCCGGCCACAGTGACGCTCCCCTGCTGCTCTGTCCCTTTCTTTGCGTGTGTTTGCCTTCTGCTGAGTTTTAAAAGGCATGTGGGTGAGGTTTGTCTTATTTAGAAAATCAGTCAACCACTGACCTTCAGGACTTACTAGTCTGAAGTCTGGACCAGCCCGGATTGCTGTGTGTGGCCAAACTCAGACAAGGAGCTGGGCCTAGGAATTGGGTCAGGCACGTGTCGGGGCGGGGGGGCTGGTTGCCCTGGTCAAAGTAAATTTGAATTGCTCAGTACCACAACTGAGAGCCTTCCTCTGGACCAGGGTGCTAGGCGGAGCCTGACAAAACTGTGTGTCCCAATAGTGGGTTTCATGGTTTCAATCCAACCAGTCTCCTTGGAAAGGTTTGCACCTGAGCCAAACTTAGAAGTCGAGGGGGAACATGGCGGAGCAAAGACGCTGAGACCTAAGAGTGAAGGGGCAATGGACTCCTGATTATGAGTGGAAACAAGACCAGAGGTGTCTTGGGTCCAGCCAAGTGGTTGAGACACAGAGCCTCACTCTGTGGTTCCCAGGCAGCTCCTGACTTTCTTTCCTCTATACGTAACTGAGGGAACCTCCCTGTAACCCCCTCCACAGAATGCCTCTGTCCCTCACCACAATCATAGCAGCATGATTTTCATGCTTCCAATAACCAAAATGTTAACTCTTGTGACTCTGGGGTTTTGTTTTATTTTAATAACAATCTTTCTAAAAAATACACATACCTTTCCAACTTCTAAAATGCTGAGCCCACAGTTCAGGGGTGATGCTCTCCAGGCCACTTGGTTCATCCCTGGTCTCCTTGGTCTGAGCCATGCCCTACCATTACCTTCTCCCACCCCTCCGCCTCTGCTGAGAGATGTTCTCTTAACTCCTCTCCTTGCCTGCCTTCCTTGTTTTTCCATCTACCACCTCTTGTGACCTCCTTTTCTATAGAGAAAGCTGAACTTCTATACTTCTGATCAAGAGAAAGAAAGTCTCTCAAGAAAACAAGGAGATCCCCAGCCAGGCCCTGTGTGTTGTATACTTTGCCCTGGCCGTCCCCTGCTGTCTCCTTTTCCATAGAGTGGAAAGTCTGCAGGCTCAAGGGAACATAACCACCTGGAGCCCTCACCCCACTCCCCATCTCAAACATGATCCCCACAGTTTCTCACTCCAGTGACCCCACAGCCAGCTTCCTCCCTAGGCCCTTCCTCCAGCAGGCAAATCACAGTGTTAGTATGTACATCCCAAGGGCCAAGGGGTAGGAGGCAGGGGGCACTCATTTGTGAGGGGCATGGACAGAGCCTGGACATATGGCCTGGGTGTCTGCACACATGCATGTAAGACCTCTTGGGCAGCTGGGAGGCAGTTCTTCCTGCGTGTTCATGCTGTGGGGTAGAACCTTGAGGGTTCTGGGGACCCACATTCTTCCCAGGCCATCAGGAAGGCATATTTTTCAACTTAGGAGGATAGAACATATTTCATTCAACAGTTTTTAGCTTGACTTCTTACTTTAAAATGATAAATTATTATACAGGGCCTCCATTTATAACTCTTGTTCCAGACCTTGAAAAGCTGAGGGATAGGCCTGGGCTCATGTGTCAGATTTGGGATTTTATTCACCTAAGTTTGTCCTGTGTTTTCTCGTAAAGACTCACAATCCTGAAATGAATTAAAGGAGATGTGGAGCAGTTTGGTTGGCCTGGACTTAAGATTAAAAGGCACATGCAAACTTTACCTGGGAAAAATTTGCAGCCTCTCCAGTTTATATCTAAGTTCTCAAAGAAAAGATGTTTGTAGACTTTTTCTGTGTCTCCAATTCATCAAACCTAAGTTGTCAAAGTCAAGATATTTCAAAAACAACTTTTAAAGGACTTTTTTATCCTTTGATTGTTGAGCTTATCTGAAGTATAACTTCACAAGTATATACTCAGGGAATTATTTCTGTCCTATTGATAATTTAGAAGGATTTGATTGGCTCTACTGAGTAGTCCTTGATAGGGCACATACATTCTGTACTGCAGAGACTGGGTAAGTTTCCTTGTACTGGTTCTGGATATGAGTTTATCCACCGTCACCCATGACCTCCCAGTGGAAGGGAATCCTGATAGTTTCTAATGCCATACGTTGTTATGGACATAAAATAAATAACAATTTGCCAATAAAAAAAATTATTGCCTAGTGTCACTATGGGAAAACTATTTCTGTGACATTAACTTAAGGGTAGAATAGCTAAGAAAAACTTTTATTGATTTATGAGATGAAAGTTTATGAAAACTAGTTTTTATGCCTGAAAGCTCTTTTGAATTTGCAATAATGTTACTAACAGGTAAGCAGACCTTTGGAATCCATATGCCATATTTTAAAATCACACACATGCACACACTTGATCTGATTATTTGGGGTAAGATAAAGGAAGCTCTAAAAAGAAAAAGGTATTTCCTCTGACCCTAGAAGGCTTCCTTCTTCCCCATTTCTTAAATTTATATATCTCGTGTAGATTTTGAAGGTTCATTCTGAAAACTAAACTTGTCTTTATCTTGACTGGCTTTAGAAAAGCGAAAAATTTTATATTTCGAGGAGCCAAGCAGGCTCGAAATTGATTTCTGGCCAACCCACTGACTAACTGGAACCTCAGGAAAAGAATTTAAACTTCCTGAAAGTCAGTGACGTCATCTGTAAAATGGGGGTATTGATACCTGTCTCACAGGTTTCTCTAAGAATTAAGTAGTAGCAGCCATACAAAGTACTTGGCACAGTGCCTGGCTCACAGTGACACTTGATCATGTATCTATAATATTATTGCCATTGCTTTTTCATGATTAGTTCCTGAGACTTGCTGTTGTTAAAGTGTATTAACTTTGCAATTTCTCTACCATTTCTTTCAAACAAATACTTGGATAAAAACTGATAATTTTTCAAACATATCTTTGAAATCTTTCAAACAAATACTTGGATAAAAACTGCAATTTGTCTACCATTTCTTTCAAACAAATACTTGGATAAAAACTGATAATTTGATAGATTCTTGTCAGTGCCTGCCTGCCTCCTCAGATGAGTATATTGGTGGGCCAGAGCAAATGGCCTTGGATTAGCATCCGCTCCTTCCCCACACCTACTCAGGCCAAACAGCCTCAACACTACATTGCTAACACAACAGAATCAACATTTCAGCCCCGAATTTTCAATGTTTGCCACAGTTCACCCGCTTCCAACAGCAGTTTCCTCAAAAACAAGGGCAACATCGCCATCTACTGTTGCCACACAATCACTGAAGAGAAAATTGCTTGCTCTTAACAAAGTAAAGAAACTGGGAACATTTTTGTTTGATACCTTATAAAATCATTCCATTTCTACTTCAGCTACCAGAAGAAGCCCTATTTTTACAGAGGTTCACTGTTTGAACACCTCTTGGTGGGACCTGAAAGTGGCTTGAGAGTGAGCATGGGCCCTGGCTGCATTTAGTCAAATTTCTTCTCCCAAATTTTGTATCATGTGTATCTTCGAACTTTCACCCTCAACTTATTTATACTTAAAAATGACTGATGGGTGGCAATTTGTGTGTGGTTTGGCATCTCCACTGTGCAAATTGGATGGGCAGTGGGTTCAGAGAAGTGGGGGAATAGTGAGAAATAGTGAGGCCAATCTTTCCGGTTACTGCTCTAAGGGGTTATCCTGGCTTATCACATTCACATAAGAGCCTGTGAGAGTGAAGTCCACTCCCTAGATCAGTGCCCTTGTGCCTCACCACCAAGTCTTAAACCTGTCCCCACCCCACAGACAGCTGACAGCAGTGTCATCTAAATGTAATTTTTGCCCTCTGCCTCAACTGTGATTTATTACTGCGTGCTAACAAATGGCCATCCAAAGCTTTTAACTGTAAAGTGGTTTTGGAAGCAGTTTGTATGAAGGAAACTTTGCAAAAGCAAGCCCTAAGTACTGAACCATGTTGGAGAAGAGGTGCCCTTTTGTACATCACTTTTGTGCACATTCTTGTCTGGCTTTTTATTTTTCCATCACCTCACTCGGCACAGGAAAGCATCTTTCATCTTGGTGTGGCTGTCTTCCACACTGCAGTATTAGTTCAGTCTCTGGTGGACTATTCTGGCCTCTGGGTGTGTGCCTCAGATGCTAAGCAAAACTGTAAGACTGCTGTGTAATAAGTTGGGAGGTGACAGTTCATTTTGCACAGACAATAATATAAAGTGCCTTTACGTCATACCAGAATTAGCTGCACACTCCCTCACAAAGAACAAGGCCCCCTTTTCATGTCCCAGGCAGGAAGCAAAGTGACTTAGAACAAGTGGGATTTTTTTACATCTTTGAAAGTGTTTGTCTCCACCACAGGACCGGATGCCAGACCTTAGATTCCAGCTCCTTTCGGGGTCATTTCCCTCTTGGAATCAGGATCAAGGTGGGCAGAGCCTACGGTCAGGCCACAGTACACTCTTGGGAGAGGCAGCTTGGATTACTTTAGCACAAGGGACTTTCCAAAACCAAAGTTATTAGGAAAAGCAGAATGGAGAATATTTGGAAAAAATGCTGTTAACACCTGATCCACACGTTCTTTCCTTCCCCTGTGCTGCTCATAATCACTTACAGACGCTGAGGTGTGTAGGAACGGACAGGCAACCTCAGCCTGCAGAGACCCCAAGACATGACAACATGGAAGCCTCACCTCGGATACCGTTTCTGGTTTGATTCTAATTATACATTTAAATTTCAGGGGAAACTTTAACAAGAAAAAACATAACCCCACTAGTGTTTTCTTTTTTGCATGCTTCGTTGTAGTATTTTGCTCTTTCTTTCAATTACACAGACCTGTTAAAATTTGTTACTATGATTTTAGACTTGTCTGTTTCTCCTGGTAGGTCTGTCAACTTTCCTTTATATATTGTGAGACTGTATAATAAATGCATGTAAATTTTTTATCTATTTTCTTTTTTATGGGAGGTTTTTTTATTTTCCAGCTTTATTTAGGTGTAACTGACAAAATTGTATTACTGTTAGGTGTACAGTGTGATGATTTAATATGTGTATATATTGCAAGATAATTATTGCAATCAAGTTAGCTAGCTATCTCTTCACCTAGTTATTTTTTTTGTATAACATTTAAGAGCTACTCTTTTAGCAAAATTCAAGTGTACAACACAGTATTGTTATAGTCACTATGCTGTACATTAGATCCCCAGAACTTAAAACTGAAAGTTTGTACCCTTTAACCATTATTTCCCCATCTCCCCCACCCCCCAGCCCCTGGCAACCACTATTCTATGATCCATTTCTATGAGTTTAGCTTTTTTTAGATTCTGCATATAAGTGAAATCATACAGTATTTGCCTTTCTTTGTCTTACTTAATTCACTTAGCCTAACACCCTCAGGTTCATCCATGTTGTCGCAAATGGCAGGATTTGCTTCCTTTTTAAGGTGAAATAATATTTCATTGTATATACATATACAACACAATTTCTTTATCCATTCATTGTCAATGGACACTTAGGTCTTTTTCATATCTTGGCTATTAGCTGCAATGAACATGAGAGTGCAGATATCTCTTGGAAATACTGATTTCATTTCCTCTATCATACATGCTATTAAATGCATGCAAATCTTAAGTTATTTTATCTCTCCCTTAAACCTTTTATCATTCAAGAGCAACTTTATTTTTAAGTAATGCTTTATGCCTGAAAGTTTCTTTTGTCTGATATTAATATAGACCACACCAGTCTTCTTTTCTTTATACTTTTATCAGGTATACTCTTTCATCATTTTAATCTCAACTATTTATCATTAATATTATTTAGATGTATCTAAATATAATCATTTTATGTATTTTTATTATATATATAATTATATATATTTATATATAATTATATATTTTATATATTAAAATATATATAATTTTATAAATATATAAATTTATATAAATAAATCTATATAATAAAATAATATAAATATTATTTAGATGTATCTAAATTATGTTATTTAGATGTATAATATATAGATTTAATATATAAATAATATAAATATATTTATATTATTTAGATGTATCTAAATATTTATATTTAGATGTATTCATATTCATATTATCTAGATTTATCTCTTGTTAAACAACATATGGTTGGGTTTTTTTTTGTTTTTCTAAACAAGCATTCTTTTTTCTTTTAACTGGAGGATATGACCCATATGGCTTTAGTGTAATTACAATTTTGTATTTTGTTTGTTCCTTCCATATTTCCTTTTTGGAGATTGCTTGAGAATTTTTTACCTTTTTCCTTCTCTTAATTTGGAAGATATCCTTTTTTTCCTCCCCCTAGAGACAGGTTTCACTCTGTTGCCCAAGATGGAGTACAGTGGCTCAATCATAGCTCACTACAGCCTTGATCTCCTAGGCTCAAGAAATCCCCCTGCCTTAGCCTCCTCAGTAGCTAGAACTATAGGCACAAGCCACCATGCCTGGCTCAATTTTTTTTCTTTCTTTCCTTTTTTTTTTTTTAACTTTCTCGTAGAGATAGGGTCTTGTTATATTGCCCAGGCTGGCCTTGAATTCCTGGCCTCAAGTGATCCTCCCACCTCAGCCTCCTAAGTAGCTGGGATTACAGGCATGAGCCATCATGCCCAGTCAAATTTATATTTTAGTCATTGATTTAATTCTTACTTTCTAAAAAATCCACATAAGAAATTATTGCTAGTTAGGGTCAATACTTAGTAAGTTTTACCCATATATTAGCCATTTTCTTTTTTCTTTATTTATTGTTATATCTAAGCCATTCTTTCTGAATTTAATGTATTTCTATTCTCAAGAACAACCTTTAGGATTTTCTTTTTTGAGGATTGCTGGTGAAGAACTCAATTGTTTTTGAGCATGCCATGAACTTTAATCTCCTGTTCTATGTGCCCTTTGAGGTTCAGAAAAAATTCCAGGAGCAAAGATTATTGGATAAAAACACTTTTGTTTACAGGGCCACCATTTACATTGCGGAGTTGCGCTCCCTGAAATACTGTCAGTAGACATTCATTAGTATTGTCATATCACTTCCTAAGCTGTTGTAGAAATAAGTCAGATTCACTACAAACACATTAGTATATATTATCATGTTATGATGTTTCTTTAGTTGTAAGTGGCACCTCAAATTTGCTTTAATTTGTATGTTTTTGAATTTGTGTTTGTGAACATTTTTTTCCTGGATGCTTTCATTTGCTTTCTTGTATAAATACATTTGTAATTTTTTGAGGGATTTTATTGACTCAGCCTTTGGTAATCTCTCAAGAAACTGGCCACTATTACCTGGGATAGACATTTCCCAAAGGCCAAATAAACTTTTATAGAAACCGGGTCTCCCTATATTGCCCGGGCTGGTTTTGAACTCCTGGGCTCAAGCAATCCTCCCACCCTGGCCTCCCAAAATGCTGGGATTACAGGTGTAAGCCACTGCACCTGGTCCCAAATAAACTCTTAATCAGTACTCAGGGCTTCAGCTAGAAGAGGCAAGAAATAATTTTTTCCTCATCTTTAAAGCAAAACCAGGTAGACACATAAATGGAAAAGCAACCACAAAACTACCCTTCGTTGTCAGTATCGTTGTGGTAAACAGACCCATGAGCATAGCAAAGTTGATTACAGATTCATTTTAACACAATTCATTAAGAATCAGTGATGTGTAAGGAACTGTTCCAAGGCAATAGGGAGGAAAGGAGCTTATTCTCTTGGGTATGTGGCAGGAGGAAGGGGAAAAATTACCTGAAATAAGAACAGAGCTGTTTTCTAGCTCTTCATTCAGCTCCATGGGATACAAGAAAGGGAAAGGGGAAGAATAGAGCATAAGACCAACTCTTTGCTCTAACCAAGCTGGCTGCCTCTCCTGGCTGGAGAAGGAGAGAATTCCCTACTGGTGGCAGGTGGGGTCTAAGTTGTTCTGAGCCTTTGTTCTGGTCAAGTTGTACTGGAGAGCAGTAGGGCTGTCCTCCACAGAACTCTTGATGGGAGCAGACTAGGAAAGCACTTCAGCTTGGTGGGCCTTGCTGGAAGCTTTTTACCCACTCAGTTGGGTGTCACTGTGACATTGGACAGTGATAGTATGGAGTGTGTACTATATTTGTCAGCTTTTGGACTGAGCATGGGTATCTTTCTTACCTCAGCCTCCTGTTCTGAACTCCAGGCCTCTGCATGTAGTAGACAGTCTATCTCAATACTGCAGATCATTGTCTTCTGAATGCCAGCTTAACTTTCAACTTGGGTTTAATATTTTTATCTATGCCCTCTCTGCCATCATCTTAGGTTTATAGAGGTGAATATATGTGCACATGTTTCTAAATACAAAAACTTCTTTATAATCTTTTTTTGCAGTTTAAAAAATGTATTTTTATTGGTACATAGTAATTTTACATATTCATGGGGTAGATATGATATTTCAATATATGCATACAATGTGTAATGATCAAATCAGGGTATTTAGAATATGACATCCAACATGTATCATTTCTTTGTGTTATAATCTTCATATGCAATAATCAATAATCATAAACAGGATTTCTAGTTCTCAAACGGGCATGGAATCATTACAAAATGTTATTAGTTGTAATAGGTGAGGCTTCTAATGAATGAGGAATTTCCTAATCTCTCTCAACCACAGATTATTATGAAATGGAGTACAGGCTTCCACCTCCATCACTGACACTCCTTCTTTTGGTGAACCACAAGAAGATTGGCATTCTGGTTGTGAGCCCTGCCCATCACAGGAGATCTGGCAACCAAAAAACAGGTACTATTGGTACTGCCTACTGTCTCCCATCACTATCTGCTATAAGTAAGAACTAAAAGAAAACACATTTATTTTTTAAATGGAGCAATTTCAGTTTGATTGAATTAAGAGCTAGATGGAGAGTTTTGGATCCATTCTTCCTTTTCGTGTTGACAGACACTGTTAATACATACAATGATATTTATCATAGTCCTACTGAAGCATGAAAATATGGTTGAAACAGTTTTTAAACTAAAAAATGATGACCTACAGCAGAGTGCAATTACAAAGAAAGTTTTCAATATTCGGGCCAAGTAATGGCCTTCCCTCCTTGGCCTTAATTCCCATGTTTAGAAATATACCAAGTGCAGTACACACTGTACTAAATTGCCTTTGACTCAACGTTCATTATAATTATGTTAAGTAAAAGAGTTGCAGAGCCAATTGGGCTTCTTAGCTCTCAGCCTTGTAGTTTATAAAGTTTGTAAAGTCCCTAAAATAGTATACATTATCTACCACAAATACTTATTTTGGGACAGGGGAGAGTGAGGTTTTATTTTCCATGCTCTTTAGAATGAAGCCTTAAAAAAAAGTTTCTCCAGTTGATAAGTATTCATTTTTCCTTAGGGTGAGCACTAGAATTTAATTCCTTGATCTTCTACCTCAGTCATGACTCATTTTCTGAGACTCTGCTTCTCTATCAAGCTTGTCCAACCCATGGCCCATGGGCTGCATGTGGCCTAGAATGGCTTTGAATGCGGCCGAACACAAATTTGTAAACTTTCTTAAAATGAGTTTTTTTGTAATTTTTTTAAGCTCATCAGCCATTGTTAGTGTTTTATGTGTAGCCTAAGACAATTCTTCTTCCAATGTGGCCCAGGGAAACCAAAAGATTGAACACCTCTGCTCTATATTGTTGTTTGAGGCAATGCTTCCCTTCTCCACCCTTGCTTCCTGGCAGACCCATCAGAAAAGTATCTCTCGCTAGGTACAGAGGCTTGTAACTATAATCCTAGCACTTTGGGAGGCCAAAGCAGGAGGATCACTTGATGCCAGGAGTTTGAGATCAGCCTGAGCAACACAGCAAGATCACGTCTCTATAAAAAATTTTAAAAATTAGCTGGGCATGGTGGCTTGTGCCTGTAGTCCTAGCTACTTGGGAGGCTTAGGTGGCAGGATCACTTGGGCCCAGGAGTTTGAGGCTGCAGTGAGCTCAGACTGCACCACTGCATTCCAGCCTGGACAACAGAGCAAGATTCTGTCTCTTAAAAAGAGGAAGAGTGGCAACAACGTACCTCTCTTGGGCTCTGTGAGCCCTTCAGGAAGGCTTTGGTATGGGGGTCAGAAGATGGGGGTTAAGGCTACATGAAAGGCTTTGGTACAGGGGTCAGAAGACCACGGTTATGGCTTGCTAAGAACCACTTACTAAGCTGAGGGTTAGGTGAGTCATTTAGCTTCTCTCAAGCCTCAATTTCCTCATCTTTAAAATACAGATAAAAATACTGCTTTGCACATCTCCCAAAGTAAGTGGGGATCAAATAAAGTCATGTGAAAGCTCTTTATAAACACTGTCATATATATTTCTACATCCCAGATTTTTGGGGATTCCAGTTATGGCACAGTCTAGTATTGGTTAGCATTTGATATGGTTTGGTTCTGTGTCCCCACCCAAATATTATATTGAATTGTTCTCCCATGATTCCCACATGTTGTGGAAGGGACCTAGTGGGAGATAATTGAATCATGGGGATAGTTCCCCCATACTGTTCTTGTGTGAGTGAATAAGTCAGGAGATCTGATGGCTTTATAAGGGGTTTCTGTTTTCACTTTTTTCTCATTCTCTTGCTGCCACCACGTAAGAAGTGCCTTTCGTCTTCCGCCATGATTGTGAGGCCTTCCTCACAATCCATGTGCAACTGTGAGTCCATTAAACCTATTTTTCTTCCCAGTCTCAGATATGTCTTCATCAGCAGCGTGAAAACGGACTAATACAGCATTTTTTCAGTTCCAAATACCAAAAACACAATTCAAGCAGAATTAAGGTAAACAAATATAGATGGGCTCAAAATACAAAAATTGTATTTCTACACACTTGGAATGATCTATTCAAAAATAATATTAAGAAAACAATTCCATTCACAATAGCTTCAACAAGAATAATATACCTAGGAATAAATTTAACAAAAAAGAATGCCAAACATACTTTGAAAGCCACAACATGTTGTTGAAACAAACTCAAGAGAATCTAAATAAATTGAAAGACATCCATGTTCATGGATCAGAAAACTTAACATTAAGATAGCAGAACTCCCCAAATTGATCTACAGATGTAACATAATCTCTATCAGAATCCCATGTGACTTCTTTGTAGAAACTGACATGCTGACTTCAAAATTCATACAAAATTGCAAGTCAACCAGAATAACCAACACAATCTTGAAAATATAAGCAAAGTGCATGCACTCACATTTTCTGACTTCAAAGCTTACAATAAAGCAACAGTAATCAAGACACTGTGGTACTGGCACAAGGATCAGTGGAACGGAACTAAGAGTTCAGAAATACATCCTTGTGTTTGTGGTCGACTCATTTTCATTTTCAATAAAGATGTCAAGGCCATTCAATAGGGAAAGGAGAGTGTTTTCAACACATGGTGCTGGGACAGCTGGATAGCCACAAGCAAAAGAATGAAGCTCAACTCTTATCTCATGCCATATACAAAAATTAATTTAAAATGAATTAAATACCTAAATATAGAAGCTAAAGCTACAAAACTATTAGAAGAAAACCTAAGGACAAATCTTCATGGCCTTAGATTTGGCAATAAATTCTTGCATTTAACATAAAAAGCACAAGCAAAACAAAGGAAAAGTTCTGATAAGAAATTTGTATATAGAATGTATAAAGTAAAATGGGCAAAGGATCTGAATAAACCTTTCCCCAAGGAAGATACAGAATGGTCAATAAACATATGGAAAGATGCTTGACATCATTATTCATCAGGGAAATGCAAATCAAAACCACAGTGAGATACCACCACATCTACTAGGATGGCTAGAATGAATAAAGTTGGATATTAATAAGTATTGGCAGGGATATTGAGAAATCAGAGCCCCTCATACAGTGTGGGTGGGAATGTAAATAATGTAGCCACTTTGGAATAAGGCCTGGCAATTCCTCAAAAATTAAACATGGTCATATGAGTCAGTGATTTCGTTCTTAAGGTGGAATTCTAGTCAAGAGAAGTTCCATTCAAATCCACTCATGAAAAATAAAAACATATCTACATAAATGAACACAAAATATTCCTAATAGACAAAAGGTGGAAACATCCAAACATTCAACTGATGAATGGATTAACAAAATGTCATATATCCATAGGACAGAATATTATTCAGCCATAGAAATGAAGTACTGACATACACCATAACATGGATGAAACTTGGAAATATTATGCTAAGTAAAAGAAGCCGGACACACAAGCCATATTATTCTGTTTATATGAAGTATACAGAATAGGCAAATGTTAAACAAAGTAGATTTGTGATTGCTTAGGGCTGGGAAGGATGGGAACATAGGGGAGTAAACAGAAGAAATGGGGGCTCTTTCTGAGGTGAGAGAAATATTCTAATATGACTCTGGTGATAGTTGCACCTGTGTATATATCTGTGAATATATAAAAATCCATTGAATTATACACTTTAAGAGGGGAAGTTGTATATGAACGATATATCAAAGCTGGTTAAAACGTATTGGCTTGGATCATGAACAGTCCAGGGGTCCACACCCCTTGTCACTCCCACTCTCAGCTCTTCTTGCCTCTGTTGGCTTTCTCACTTGGTGGCAGAGATGATGACTAGTAGCCCCCAGCTGACCTTTTACCACTGTGTTAGTTCAAGCTGCCATAGTAAGATACCATTAGAGTGAGTGGCTTAAATCACAGAAATGTATTTCTCACAGTTCCAGCAGCTGAGAAGTCTAAGATCAAGGTGCCAGCAAGGTTTGGTTCCTGTGAGGACTCTTCCTGATTTGCACCTGGCCACCCGCTGTGTTTTCTGTCCACAGTGCATGCCTTTCCTCAGTGCAAGCATGTGGAGAGGGAGCAACCTCTGGTTTCTCTTCCTCTTCTATGTACTCTCATCCTGTGGGATCTAGGCCCTATCCTTATTACCTTACTTTAATTACTTCTGTAAAAGCCCCATGTCTAAATATAGTCACATTGGGGATTAGGGCTTCAACAGATGAATACTAGGGGGTGGAGGGGGTATACGAATCTTCAGTCCATAAAAGCCACACTAGCAAATGCAGTCAAAAGCACACTTCCATACCAAAGGGGCTAGAAGCTAAAACTATAAGCACACTTCTCTCCCAAAGGGGCTAGAAGCTGCAGCTGCCTGCTCTTAGCCCAACTTAGAGCAGGATTTTGTTTACGGACCAATCACTTTGACAACCCAGGCCAGAGTCATATAAACACCATCAAAGCCTGAGTGGATCAGCCCCACCCTAGCCAGAGAGAAAGTGCCTCATCCCAAAGGGAAATGTTGAGTCTCATCAAAGAAAAGGGGCAAGATGAGGCCAAACAGTAAATAGCCCACAATGCAAGGTCCACAGTCAAGGAACCTGCATCCCAGGCTTAGATGGGGCAGAGACTGCCTGTGTGTCCAATGGCTAGTCACCAAACTCTATACCCCTGTGCATTAGTCCGTTTTCACGCTGCTATGAAGAAATGGGTAATTTATAAAGAGACTGGATAACTTCTAAAGAAAACAGGTTTTATTGACTCACTGCTCCACATTGATGGGGAGGCCTCAGAAAACTTACAATCATGGCAGAAGGGGAAGCAGGCACATCTTACATGGTGGCAGGAGAGAAAGTGTGAGCGTGTGAGGGAGGCACTGTCAAACACTTACAAAGCCATCAGATCTCGTGAGAACTCACTATCACCAGAACAGCATGGGGGAAACTGCCCCCATGATCCAGTCACCTTCCATCAGGTCACTTTCCTATATATGGGGGGATTATGGGGATTGCAATTCAAGATGAGATTTGAGTGGGGACGCAAAGCCAAACCATATCACCCTGGTACCCCCAGATTACAGCACTGGGAAGATGAGAGGAGAAACATATGTGACAGCACTCAAGAACCAGAACTCAGAACTCAGGGGCTAGAAGGGAACTTTAGGATCCCCACCTCCCTCATTTAACAAATTTTTCAAAACTAGTCTACAGAGGTAGATGTAAGACAACTTGATATGATAATTAAAATTGATTTCACACCACTAGACCTGAAAAAGACAAATTCATGCACATTTGCTAGCTGTCAGAACTTTAAGCAGGTGACTTCATCTCTCTCTTCATTTTATGATTAAATTGCCAATAAAAAAATCATCTCATAGGACTGTTCTCGAGATTACGCAACATACTTTGCAATGCAGAGATCAGAATGCCACACTCCACACTCATGTAACTCAGATGGGCCATGCAGACGTGAGGTTATTGGACTTGAGATATAAGCAGCTTTCTCTGGAGCCTGACGTCTATCTCCAACAGAAGGAGAGAACTGAGCAGGAGATCCTCACCTTACTATGGTTAGAATGTTTGTGTCCCTTCCAAAATTCATGTTGAAAGTGAATCCCCTGTGCAACAGGATTAAACATGCATCCTATAGGAAGGTGATTAGCATCTTATAAAATGGCTAGAGGGGGCAAGTTCATCTCTTCTTGTCCTTTTTGCCTTTCCTCCATGTGAGGATGGGGTTCGAGGTGCCATCTTGGAAGCAGAGATGGGGGCCCTCCCTAGACATTGAACCTGTCTCCGGAACTGTGATAAATACATTTTTGTTCTTTACAAATTACTCTGACTCAGGTACTCTGTTTACAGCAACACAAAGGGACCGAGACGCCTCTCTTGTATGAGGTCTTGTCATGCCAAGTGTATGGGATTTGGAGTCAGCCTGGTCACAGTTTGAACCCTTGTTACACCATTTTGAGACTGCGGACCTCAGAGAATCTGTTTCCTCTTCTGTAAAATGAGGTGACTATTCCTCTTCTGTAAAATGAGGTGACTATTCCTATCTAGCTTGGGGTACAGTAAGATTAAATAATGCATGTCAGATGCCTGGCACCTAGCGGGGATCCAGCTCATCTAGAACCTTCCCCGCTCTTTCCCCTCGCTTGTGTGGCAGGAGTGGTCTTGGGCATCATGAAATCATTCGACCCCAAACTGTCTCCCCGGCAGGAGTTTGTTTTGCTTTCTTGAAATCGGCCATCATTCAATTCCTCTGCCAGAGTCCATGTTAGCCTGAGACCAACTGGAAATTTTTTGCCTCTGAGAAAGGAAACCAGAGAGACTCCTCCGTGAGCTCCGGAGGAAGAGACGCCAGCCTTCTGACTTCTCAAAGCATGTTATTCGCATCACTACCTACTCAGGCCACACGGGGGAGCCGCGGGCCGGGCAAAGGCGAGTCCGCGCGCCCGCCCAGCGCACACCTGCCCGGCGGTGGCGGATGCCGGCTGCGGGCTCCCAGCGTGGGCCAAGAGTCCTCACTCGGCGAGTTACACTGAAATCAAAATGAAGCAGAAAGATGTGGCTTTAAAAAGAGAAAAACATTTTCAAGTCACGTGCTTTTTTCTTCGCTTCCCTCTTATCGTGAAATCTGAGAAATGTCAAACAAGAAAGGAATGAAGTAAATCAGGATTACAGTTTAATTCGAAGGCAGGTGGTGGGGGGTGAAGGGGAGGGAAGGAGGGAGGGAGGAAGGAAGCAGGAAGGAAGGATGGACGGATGAATGGGTCTATCCTAGGATCCTTCTGTTGGTGTGAAGTTGGGAGTGACTCGGGTTAAGCAGAAATGGGATTATGCGAACCCTCAGTCACGTGTCTGGGAAAAGGATCTCTTGAAAGACTGGAGGTTTTAACAAATAAGGATTTGCCCGCATTCGTGTACTTTTCGGCACTATTTTCTCAAAACAGCAGACACCTGTGGGACTGAATTGTTCACTAATCCTCAAAGAATAAAAGCAACCTAGAAGCATTTAAAGGGCAGTTAAGATAACAGCCTGAACTTGGACAAGCAGGTGGCCAGTTCCTTAAGCAAATACTTAGACACCTAACTAAACACTACCTCTCTTTTTTTCCTTGACTTAAGCATTTCAAACCAAGCCCCCACCACCTTCCTGAGCCAGGGTCCGCAGGAGCTCCAGGGCCACTACACATGGTGTTGCCCTGCCCTAGATAATCAGTAAGTATTCACTGAATCAATAAGCACTTTAATAAATGATCCTCTCTTCAAATCATCATTAACCTTAATCCTTAGCATGAAGGAAATAATGAAATAATGGTTATTATAAGTTAGGTCTCAAGAATTCAAGCATACATGAAACATGCCATGCAAATCATATTAGTGTGTAGTTGTTACAACTAGAACACTCAACCAAGTCACACGTTCCAAAAAGCTCCAATCCTAATAATGCTCCATGCCTATAACCCCTTTGAGCTATTCCCCTGTCACCAGCAGCCTTCCCCCTTTATAGATTTAATCTTTTCATTCATCCCTTCATGAAGTAAATCCTGTATTGAAAACTCCAAGCTGCTCACAAATAAGATAAGCCACTAGAGGTATGAAAGTGATTGTCAGTTACTCAATCTAATGGGGAAATCAAATAAATGACAGTGGGATCGTCCAACAGATCAGGTGGAAGGGCTACAGGAGGAGTGTGGTGATGGGATGTCACAGGAGTTTTACAGAGAAGGTGACTTTTGAGCTGTGTCATCAGGAAACAGTAAGACTTTGCTAGTTGGAAAAAGTCACAAGTAATAACTGCAGTTTCCCAATTCATAATGTTTAAAAAGCATGGGTTTTTGAGTCACACAGTCCTTAGACACTTGACAAGATAAGGCATTAATAGCAGAGGTTCATTTGGCTTTTTCACAGTGATAAATTCATTTATTTTTAAAATATTTTGGCACTCCCCTTTAGTTCTACAAATGTACTGATACTATACTACAGTTATCAGTGAAGCAACAGCATGTAGGAGTGGGATCCATGGGTTCACCTAATACCTTAAATATCTGCCATAATCTCTTGGTAGTCCTTCCCTCATCAGTGATGAATAAGTGGGAAACAAAATTATTACACAACCCATAGTGTTCATAAGAGAAACCAAACCAGTTCTTTGCTTCATTCATTCACTTATTCATTGACTCAGACATTAATATTAATTGCTGATTATGTTGCAAGCCTTGTCTAAGGTTACTACCCCTAAGGAGCTCCCAGATTGGTGTAGACCACAGAACAAAACCAGGTAACTCAAGTGTGTTACCAGGTGACACCAGCATAGTGAGGACATGAAACGGCCAAGCTGGTGAGCACAGAGGGGCACAGCAGAGAGGGACCCTAATCCAGACCTGTGGCATCAGAGAAAACTTCCTGGAGGAGGTCTTTCTGAGCTGCTTCTTGAAGAGTGCTGTACTTTCCTCTAATCTGGTCTGGAGGGCTCTCCCTGGAGAGGGGTTATAAATTCTAGTCCTGCCCTGATGGGGCTACAGGAAAGGCGGTCATGAGTATTTACAGTGTGCCTTTCATGGGATACTACTTTACCCTGGTCAATGGCCTCATGCCTAAGTGTCTGACTCATGACCAGGTGTCCCTCTCACAGGAAACTTGTTTATATTGGCAGACACCCTTGTGGCTCTTGTCTGACCTGTGTCCAGTGCATTCTTACCAAGATAGCCACTCTGTAGGAGAGCTCTGACGGGGAGAAGAGTTAGGTTCGACTGTGTCCGTGGGGTGAGACACAGAGGAGGCAGTGCAACAAACACATTAAATAACAAAAGCAGTGCATTACCTACAGACCCAGAGAGAAGAGGGCAGCACGCCTTGCCTCACAGGGCCAGTGGGATGAGAAGAGCTGTCCAGGACACATGCACTCAACCAAGGAGTGGGGAGCAAGAGAGAGAGAACCTGTGGGACTAAAGCCTTTACTGGGGACCAGGGCATTACCCAGTTTCCCGTGGGTAATTCTACTTGGTGGGTTTGGAGCAAGCAGGTCCATGTCTCATGCAGTCACACTGGGACTGGTCACTATGGCATATCTGCACAGTCCATGTTAGGTACGTGGGTCAGTAAGGTGATTCAAGTAGGCTGCATTGGGAGGTGGTCCCATAGGGAGGTGGTCACCAGGAGGCAGTTGTATAAGGCAATGTATAAGTCCATTTTCATGCTGCTGATAAAGACATACTTGAGACTGGATAATTTATAAAGAAAAAGAGGTTTAATGGACCCACAGTTCCACATGGCTGGGGAGGCCTCACAATCATGGTAGAAGGTGAAAGACATGTCTTACATGGTGGCAGTCAAGAGAGAATGAGAGCCAAGTGAAAGGGGTTTCCCCTTATAAAATCATCAGATCTCGTGAGTCTTATTCACTACCATGAGAACAGTATGGGGGAACCGCCCCCATGATTCAATTATCTCCCACTGTGTCCCTCCCACAACACATGAAAATTATGGGAGCTACAATTCAAGATGAGATTTGGGTGGGGACACAGCCAAACCATTATCAGGCAGATATCTGGATTGACCAGGTTGAGGAACTGGGAGGAAGTGTAGAACTGGAAACTCTGTCAAGGGTGACTGAGCCCTGCTTCTGGTATGAAAGAGTTTAAGTTTCAGTCAAAGTAGATGCTGCAGCAATGTAAAATTATGAGTTCATGACAAGGAGGAAAGTCAAAGGCCAGCCAGAGAGAATGGCATGTTCCACTGCCTGGAAGCAAAAGAGCCCACTGTGCCAATGGTTAGTCTGACTGGAGTATAGAGCTCCAGGCATGGCAAGTGGTGGCTGAAAATGAACCTAGAGAGAGGCGTGAAGGGCTCAGAAGTTGCTGAAGAACTTGGAATGCAGCCAAGGAATGGTTTTAAGCAGAAAAGCGATAAGATCAAATCTGTCTTTTGAACTTCACCCTGGCTTTAGTATAGAGACAGGTATAACAGAAGGCAAGAAGACAGATTAGAAACCTTTTGCAATAATGTGCGAGAAAAACACAACTGATCTTGGCTAATCAACAAAGTCCCAGTCTAAGTTAGAGGGCCAGAATGATGATTTGGATTCAGTTTAACTGGCCACTGCTTGGGTCTGCTGAAGAGCTAGCAAAGAAACTAGCAGGGAGGCACAGTGTAAAAATGATAGACGTAACCAAATTTCTTGTGGATGCAGCTGTCGTATTCAGGGGAGGAGGGTCCCCTCTCTGGAGGTGGAGGGAAGACTTTGAATAATGCCCAGATGCATTATTTGAATCAGCAAAAAGAGCCCACCTCTTCCCTGGCTGGACTCTGGACTCTGTTTCTTTCCATCATATTAGGCTTAGGGCAGGCCTGACATGGTCGGTCTCAGTGTTGGAACCCTGAACTGATGTCATGGAAAAAGGGCCGGTGAAAGGTAGGAAGATTAAAGATGTTGAGAAAAATGTCAATAGGATAGGGTGATGAATTGCACCTGAGCAGTGAGCAGAAGGGAGGAGTTCTGCAAGGTGTCTGGATTGGTTGAGCGCTGTTTTCTAATTCAGGAGAAAGGGGGAGAAAAGAGTTCATAGCAATTAACACTATACGCCAGCCAGTTTACATATTTTGACTTACTGAAATCTCATAACACTTCTGAAGGGGATCGTAGTATCCTCATCCTAGAGTTGAGCAGCAAGGCTCAGGGGGGCCAAGGGAAGTGTCTGTGCTCATAGGGAGCTGCAGAGTCAGCTTCAGGAATCCACAATCTCTCTGGAAAGCTACATCAACACTTCTCTTGTCTCTCACAGTTGGGCCTTCTGGTATTTTTATGCTCAACTTCTTAACTTCTCTGAAAAAAGCACGGTCTCCTGTAGTAAGCAGAAAACAATCTTCCACTCACTGAACTAAGCTGCTGACTTTTTACCTCATCACTTTTTTAGAAGTTCAAGGGATATTTCTTGTTTATCAGCTGCTCCAGTACAAGTTCATCTAACAGAACACGTCAGCTCTGTGTGCAATCTGAGCTTCACATGCAGCTTCCTGCCAATGAGCTAATTTTGTGGCATGGTTTTAGAAACAGAAGAGTTACTTTGATGTTTTGGAATAGTTAAGCCTCTTGGAGATACGAGCATGACTTTTCCTTTATCCACAAACTGCTATTTGCAAGACAGTGGAACCTCTTGGAAACCAACGAGTATCTTCATAGATTCATATCTAAGTACTTTTCTGAGATTATGAGAAAAATACATATTCCACGTGATTTAGGTCATTATTTCTAATAAGGGGACAGTTAGAGCACTGCTTCTCTGCTTTGGTTTCTTCAGCCATGACACCTGAGAAAATTAATGGAAGTGATAAATCCAAGAGAATGTGGCCTCCAGGGAACAGAAATCCAATCAAGAAATGACTATTTGACAGGTTGTATTATTATTCATCTGATGACTCTTATTTCTAGATATACAATGAAGAATGTCAAAGAAAAGGTAGCAAGCTACCCAATTCATGCAATAAAAGCAAATGTAAACCTTATAACTAAACGATAAATACAGCAGTCTTGTTTCAACATTATCATTATAGTGGACAATATAAACGTTATGTACCAGGCACAGTTCTAAACCTCTTCAATAAATTGTCTTACTTAAACCTTATAATGATCAGTAAGAAAACTATATTCCCATTTTACAGATATGGACACTGAGGCCAAGAAAAGTTCATTTGCAAATGACAAGAAGATGATTAGAATTTGGGCAGTCTGGCTTCAGAGCCTGTGGCTGTCATCTTAAATACTACTAGGAATAAACTCAGTTATGTATTTTAAGGGTAGCCTGGTTGACCCCAAGGGTAGCCTAGTTTATCTTGGTCTTGATAGACTTTTGCCTTTCCTACTAACAAAGTGTTGATAAAAGATTCTTAAGTCATTTCGTGACATGGCAAGGGAGAGAAAACAAAGTATCCTCTACCACTGTTCTCCCTCAACCCCTCCACACCCCAGCTCTGCAACTTAACAAGAATAAACTTATTGTTAACCCCTACAATCTTCATCAGTCCTTACGGTGGTTTTATGGCCTAGCTCTTACAACAAAAGATGAAGCCAGAAGAGCACCTTTTACTCTTTGAGGAACTGTCCTTTCCCCACTTGGTGTGTTCGGGTGGACACAGTACCCTATCCCCGACCTAGGTGATTGGTCCGGGGTGGACTGATATACCATCTATTTTTAGATATGAAAATAGAAATTCTTAAAAAGTTTAGTCATCACAAATAGTAATAAATCCATTGCATGTAAATACAAATAACTTTTTAAAAAGAAAATAACTATATTTTCCAAAAATGATTAGTAAGAAGATAGGCATTGCTCTGCATGTTTTCAAATCTCTTCAACATTTGGCTTAGTAGAAGACAGCCAGATTCTCATAGCTTCATAGATTCCATTAGCCATTGAAGCAATGAGGTTACCACATGTCAACTAACTTCTGGAAGACACCACTGTACGCTTGGCAGAGAATGAGTGAAAAAGGCAACTAACATCTTAACATTATAATGAAAGTAGTTTTGACTTTGCAGAACCCCATGAAGTTCCCATGTCACACTTTAGGAACCACTGCTCTAGGGAAATGTATCCATTTTTGACTTCACTACTTACTATTAAGGGCTTAGACTCTAAGAAGTTACATGTTTTACTGTAGACCTCATCTGCTAGATACGTAAATATTGTCTGTCTAGTATAAAAGATAACTCCACAGGTTAGGATCTGTCTCTAATTCAGCAAACATTTAAAAATGCTTTTCCTGGTGAAGACATACATCCTATTCCTTTCATTCTCCTTTGAACCACTTTTGCCTATTGGTTCTCTGACCAATGAGTTGAACATAATCTTTGACTTATTTACTCTATTTGTATACTTATGTTTTAAACTTTTGGAACATGATAGCTTGACATGCACTTGGCTATTTCTGGAGATTTCACCAAGTTTTCTGTAAGAAATGGTTAAACTTCTAGCTAGGCTGGCCCTTGTGAAAGTAGAAAGGAGACAACAGGTGATTTTGCTAAAAGAAACTCGCTCTTCCGCAGCTAGCAAACATGACTGGATGAGATTAAACAATCAAAGCCCTCTCAGCATTTAAAAATCCCAACTCTCAGTCTTGATCCACAGGAGCAAAGGGTAGATTCTAAAACCATGGACGCGATGGGGATCGGGAGGAGCCTGAGAACCAGGAGACCCCTGATCATCCCCTTCTAAGCCCCTCCTCTTATGCATACCCTTCTGGGCAAAAGCAATCTGGTGGAGTTGCAACATGCATGTATTGGACTGAATTATACACGTTCTGTTGGAGAGTGGTGGTGGTGGTGGTAACTAAGAAGGCAATGACAAAATACTCCAGTTATTACAAAAAAAAAAAAAAAAAAAAAGCCGGGCGTGGTGGCAGGCGCCTGTAGTCCCAGCTACTTGGGAGGCTGAGGCAGGAGAGTGGTGTGAACCTGGGAGGTGGAGCTTGCAGTGAGCCGAGATCACGCCACTGCACTCCAGCCTGGGCGACAGAGCAAGATTCTGTCTCAAAAAACAAACAAACAAACAAACAAAAAACTCCAATCATTCCGTTTGTCATGAAGAAAAAAGTGGTATGAGATGAACCTGTCATTCCTGCCACTGGTGTTGGCTCCCTCACTGTGGGATCCTAGTATTTATGTAATATTTGAACAACATTGTCCTAACTGCAAGCCAGCTGTTTCAGCTGGTACACAACTTAAGAAATAATGGAAGGAAAACCTAACTGTACTAGACTCATTGAGAAACAGAACTGTGTGGTTTGGAAGTGGTAAGTGATTTTCAAGTGCAATGATGACTTCCTGTGATGACTTTAGAATGTGACTTTGCCTAAATTGCAATTCCACAGGAGGCATTATGACCATCATAAAGTATTGGAGCAGGAAAGAGAATCTCTGCCAGACCATTGCAGCCAGTAAACTGAGAACTAGAAAATAGGCTGTGTTGGTGCTAAGAGAAAAAAAAAAAGAGCAGAGTTCAGATCAAGGATCAGATTTCCAAGGTTGCTGGAATTGCTCACCAGTCCTACAATACCCAAAGTCAGATCAACAAGTAGCTGGCTAGTTAAGGGTGTTGCCACAGAAACCTCTAGCCTGGCAACAAGCTTTTGAGACTTCTCTAGAGTAGTCCTCAGACCCCTCAGCCTACAGCAAACGTGCGCCCCCAGAATGGGAATCCTTACATGCAGCCATGGAAGACAATGGGTAAGCTGATGATCACAGAGGAGAACCTGGGGAAGCAGTGACTCACCATGGAACCCACTTTAAGGCCAGGGCTTCCTCTTCTCCCCATTTCCAAATGAGTGTTCTTACAGTGACTCTCCTATTTTCTCTCCGTAACTATATGTAAGCAGTCCAGCTGAGTGGTTAAGAGCACAGGGATCAGCGATATTCCCTGAATCTGGACTGAGGCTTTGCACTATGTGACCTGGATTCACTCCTGTTATCTCATCTGAGAAATGGGGATTACAGAGTCTACCTCACACTTGTGAGGATTAAATGAGGGCAAAACATTTCATTTATCTGGTACACAGAGGCCTTCAATAAATATCAGTCATTGTAAGGTATATTAGGGGTAAAAATATCATTTAGCCAATCATAGGTTGCTGGATCATGAGCAGCCACATCTGGATTTGATCATCATAAATATTCTGGACTAAGACATGTCCCTATAACTAGAGACTCCGAAGGAAGCAGATGACCTAGATTTTCTCTGATTTTTAGTTAAATGTGGGTCAGCACTATTCTTTAGGTCACTCCCAGTGGTATCTATTGGTTTGGTTTTCCCAACCTCCCTTTAATTTTTTTAGAGACGTGTTCTCACTGTTGCCTAGGCTTGAGTGTGGTGGCAGAATCATAGCTCATTGCAGCCTTGAATTCCTGGGCTCAAGTGATCCACCTCCTGAGTGGCTGGGTCTACAGGAATGTACCACCATGCCCGGGTTAATTATTTTTTTGTAGATACAGGATCTCACTATGTTGCCAAGGCCAGTATTGAAATCCTGGTTCCACCGATACTCCCGCCTCAGCCTCACATAGTGAGATTACAGGCGTGAGCCACCATGCCTGGCCTCCTTTTTTTTCAATAATAAAATCTGTTTTAAATGGAGAATCTACTTCAAGTCAAGTGGGCACAAGATTCATGTCTAATCAATGGCATGGCTGAATTGGGGGGATCACATTTCCCAAACTGAGCCCATTGGGACCCTTCCCTAGTCTTTTCTGCCAAAGCTTATGAGGAGACACCACCTTTTTACTGCAGCTGTTGTTAAGCCACCAGGACTGAGTATGGTTTTCTCAGAAGCCACAGAGCACACTACATGATGACAGTCTATGTGAAGAACTGTCACGCTTAGAAAGGCAAACCAGAGAAGGAAAGATGAGCCCTAAGGACCCCGTTCCAAGTCCCTGCTTACACTCACTGAAGTCCCTAAGCTCAGCTGCCTTCTATGGCTTCCTTTTTCTGTTACCCACCTTTGGGTTCTGTTCTTGCCACTGACAAAGACCTAATATAAAAGGGAAACACTGAGCAATTTGGAAAGGAGATAATCATTTGAATTCACAGCTGGTGTTAAGGGGAGATGGAAGTTACATGTATACCATGAAAGAAAGGACAAAAGGAAGTGTAAAGAAGGGAGGTTATATTGAGAAGTAGCCTACGTGAAGAATTTCACTTAGAGATTATGTGGCAGGACTAAAGTATGTGTTAACAAGCCCTGCCATTGATTCTGAGGCACACTAAAGTTTGGGAACCACTGTTCTAATCAATGTTTCAATACAAAATATACCTGTGCTTCCTTACCAATTTTCTGAAAAAACCCAAGTGCGAAATTTATGTTAATACTACTAAACTCACAAGGGCATGGACAGTAAGCAATGGATAGTCTTTACTGATGGAAAGACCACAGAGAAAACAGACTACCTGAAAGATGTAGATTATTATAGCTCTGAGACTGGCACCGTGTAGCTAACAGAAGGTGCTGGTTGTGTCAACAGATTTAAAAATTCAGAAAAAAACTAACTTCTTCACAGTTCACTATTTCCCAAAAGGAAATATGACACTAAGACTTAAAGGCACATATTTTGCAATTCATAAACCTTTTCTTGGAGCATAATTTTTCATCTCACTGTCACCAGCCACCTCCTTCCCAAACTGTCCTTGTCATCTTCTAAATTTCTTAAATAGTAACATTTCTTAGGAACTCAGAGGATAGTTTTCATGGCTTAAGCAAAAATGTTGTAAACTTAAAAATAATCTGTGACTTTCTGGTTATCCAAATGCATGCCTATAGATTGCTCCTTTTCAAATTGTGACTTCCTTGAAAAAATGGCTCAACTGAAGCTTAATTTAGAATGTAAAAGAGCAAATGTAGTATCTTTTAGTAGTTATACACCTTTATATGTACCTTATATAAATAAATATGAACAGTGCCTACTTAATTTTAAAACTGTCTTTTTTAGTATATCTTAGAGATATAATAGCTGGATATAAAGTCACCCTATAAATTGCTTGCTTTCTTAAGACGAAGTTAACTCTTCCAGGATGAAACCTCCACAATTCTCTACCTCAAAAGCTTCGGTAGTATTCTAACAAAATTCTGACAAGTATTGAGTCAGATTTTGGCATTCAATACCAATGGATCCTGATCCTGTTTTGTGGATCAAAAAAGTAAGCTTATTTTCATTTGTAGCTTTGGGTAGAATACACTGGTAGTTTGTATTCATATCCTAGAATCGTGGAACAAAGGATATGTGTTACCAATACACTATCATTTTGGGGAATGAGTTCCTGATCTGTGAGGACAGCAGCCACAAGGAAGGCTGCACAGCAGGAGGGGACAAATGCAGAGGCATTCACATTTTCCCTAATAGTTTCAAACTTTTACCTTGTCTAAGAAAAAATTAAAAGGTAGATTTAAGGAGGGAAAAAAATGGGCTGAGGTTCTTAATGCTATCATTTAACAGACCATGTTAAATGCCCATCATATAGGTAAAACAGGTCCATCACCATTGCCACCAGATTCCATACAGGACAATGAGACTTAGATCCTTAGGTATTCGACTACTACCAAAAAAAATATGTCAAGTTGGTTAACCCACCAACATGTTGTATTTATTATCTGAACTAGAGAAACTAAATAGTACTTTCTATTGAGCATATCCTAGAACTTGTACCATCTTTTCCCCAAAAGTTAAACATTAAACTACCATCTATTTCCTCTGGACCTACAAACTTCCTATAGGTACATAAACATAAAGAGGGAAGCATATCAAATGGATTTATCTTTTCTTCCTGGTGAGTGAACAACAAAAGCCTGCTGGCTCAAAGGTGAATGATGTTCCTGTTTTAAAAACTGTTGGATGGTCTGATATTAGAAAATGTCACATACATAGTTGCCTTCAAATTCTCTTTTAGCTTTCCAAATAAGTGAGTAAACTGGCCTGAATAGTGGCTTGAGAATAAGGAAGATGACAAATCAAAAAATGGATATTTACATTTTGTTTCAAACCTATTAAAGGCAGCCTGTAGCCAACCTATATTTCTAACTATAATTTGCCTTACCTGAACACACATTTACTGGGCGGACAGGTGTAAGTAATTTGGAAATGACCAATCTGGAAATGACCAATCTATCCCAGCCATCTATCTTATGGATCAGCCAGCAGTGAATGCATAATAAAGAAATTCCTGGGGATAAAAGACCTGGGCTCTAGACCAATATCCTTCCTTGATTTACCCCATGACCTTGGAAAACTCCCTAAACTGCTCCAAGCTGCTTTCTCAAGAGTAAAAGAAATAGCTGTCCTGCATATATACACACCTACAGTCATATTCAAATGAGAAAATGAAAATGCTTTCTAAAACTCTAAATGAGCTTAGACAAAAATCTTTGGAAGGAAAGAATCAGATTATATTCAGGGACTATGAATCGCTTTTAATCTTCCAGTTTCCTCATTCACAAATGAGAGATCTGGCCCAAAGATAAAGCAGAATTAGAAAAGCTAGGTCACTTAAAAAAATACCATAATGAGCTGCATCTCAGATGGTTCAGTCATACTGTGAGCATCAACAGTGATTATTGCAAAGGTTTAAGAATAGTGAACGACTTTTCCAGGGCGTGAATATTAAGGTAAAAGCTATTTTAAAAATTCAGAAATGAATGAAGCAATAGTTATCGAAATGAGATAAAACCACAAAGCTGGCAAAGACTTATTAAACAGATATAAGAATGGACATTAAATAGGTTTAATGAATCCACTTCCTTTATTGCAGTAACCTCTGTACAAAGCAGCAACTGCAATACTCAAGGTTAAAACATTAGAAAAGCATTTGTGTGACAGGTATATTACAGTATTATCAAAATATTACATTTTCAGACTTACTTAGCAGATAATCATCCACCAGAGCTTAAATCTTTAAATTATTTCCATAGTCTTAAAAAATATGTAATGTCAGAATGCATATAAAAAGAATGTAAAAGGAAACCTAAAATACAAATGGAATAATGTAACAAATAAATATTTGATTTCAGTAACTGTTAATAATCAGCTCAACACCACCATTCTCTCTAAACTCAATTTAATTCTTATAGGAATAATGAACTGTCAAATGCCATGGCATAATTATTTATTTCCAAGCTATCATCAATGATTAGAACTAAAAAAAATTTGGCATAAAAAAATCACAATTCAGCATAAATAAAGCTATTTTTAGCTTCAACACTAGCTAGCATCTCTAAGAATTGTTGAAATAAGTACTATAACCTTGAAAATTTTCGACCTGGTGTCTAGTGTTAAGTGAAAGTAATGCATTTTTTTTAAGTGAAAAGCTTCTTACATTATTTCACAGACAGTATTACCCACCCCACATTATGAATAGTTAGATATATTTTATGTACTTTATACCCACATGTATGACGCATGACATTTGGTTCCTGTAGTACAGATCACAATGTTGTTTTCCTGAATGGGAAAAACTTAAAAAAAAAAAAAAAAAAGGTAAGTGTACCTGTGCACATTTCAAGATAGCAGCACTCAGTCCATGCCCTATTATCCATCTTAAAAGTTCACACATTATTGTTTACTGAATAATATTTCTACTGTCTTTACCCCCAAACATTGCAAAACCTGCAATGGAACAATGCTGTGAGTTATAATGTAGAAATTTTTTTTTTTTTTTTTTTTAGAAAATCAGTTACTTCATTTTCTTAATATTCTGAATTCAAGTTATCAGATCTCTATACCTAGGTCATACTCATGAAGCAAAAATGCTGCACACCACTGAAAATAATAACGTTATAGATGTCTATCAAGATTCATGAAAACCAGCCAGGCGCAGTGGCTCGCACCTGTAATCCCAGCACTCTGGGAGGCTGAGGCGGGTGGATCACAAGGTCAAGAGATAGACACCATCCTAGCCAACACGGTGAAACCCTGTCTCTACTCAAAATACAAAAATTAGCTGGGCATGGTGGCGTGCACCCGTAGTCCCAGCTACTAGGGAGGCTGAGGCAGGAGAATCGCTTGAACTGGGGAGGTGGAGGTCGCAGTGAGCCAAGATCACGTTACTGCATTCCAGCGTGGCAACAGAGCAAGACTCCGTCTCAAAAAAAAAAAAAAAAAAAAAAAAGGATTCGTGAAAACCTGCATAAATTTTCCACCACAGAAACTTGTATCAATTAACCCACTTAACAGTATTTTAGGCGAAGTATTCTCCATTTTTGAACTGGAAAATTGTGTGAAATTACAGCATGCCCTTCAAATGATCACCTTTGTTCTCTATGAAACCTGTATCTGTTAATCTGATTTTGAACATATGTTTACTTAAACCAAAGTTTGCCTAATGAATCTTGATCACTTTAAAATGCAAAATACCAGCAACATAAATTTCATTATATATACACATATGCATCTGTGTATGCATATTACATATATATACACACACACACACAAATATGTAGACATAAATCCCTTGAAATGTTTTCAGGAAATCCTTCCTTGAATTATAAATGAAAAACTTCACATTAATAATTTCATATAAAGCTTTTAGTAACAGTACATATGCACTGTCAAAATTTTACTAGACTATGATGTCAAAACAGACATTTCAAAAGCACAAACTGGCAGTTTTTCTTAACAAAAGTTTTAAAATATTAAGAATGGATTAAATTTTAATATTCAGAATAATCTGTTCAAACCTGAGTGTATTAAGACTAAGTGTACTTGACAATTGAATGAATTAAGCCTAAAAACATTTCTCTAAGAAACCAGTGGTCCATTTAACCATTTGATGAAACATTATTTTAATGACTTATAAAGGATAGTACAGTATACTGAAATTCCACTTAAATACTGAAATATTCTACTAAATGACATTGTTTTGTCTAAATTTCCTCCAGAAAAATCTGTTAGCATTTCTTAAAAGTCCCTCAGATTTGAGGGAAATTCTAAATTAGGACAGTTTTCTCTCCAAATAAATATAAATGATCTTGAGTATTTTTGTTTAAAGAATGACGTGATTTTTAAGCATGGTATATAGAAGTATGGGATGAATCTTCAATCTTCCCTAAGGTTTCAATAAATAATAATAAATATAGTAATAATAGCCAATCAGAGGGGTTAAAAAGGTATTTGGGGGGGCTTTTTTTCCTAGCTCTATATTCACATATACTCATATAAACCTTACCATGGGGTTACTTTTTGGTTACCATTTCCCCTTCCCCATTTTTGATTAACCTGCCCTAATTCTCACCTTTAATATCTAACAGATACCTTTATAGAATTAACAAAACACATACAGTACTCAACACTAAATGGTCAATGGAAGAAGACAAGCAGTGTTCATTTTGTTTTAAAGTGGAAGAGACTAGAAATAAAAACAGTTGAAGGCAAAGTTTGACATTCTATAAGTTTATAAAAGAGGATATATGGATGAAATTTGGTTAATTTCAGAAGGCACCTCAAGGCTAAAGGCTTTTTGTACTTCTTTCATCAATCAAAAAGTTAACACGCTTTTATTGCTATTCAAGTAGCAAAGGAAAACTACTCTCACAAACTTCAGTTCAACAGAGAAGAATCACCATTAAGATTGAGATATGGAATTGACTAAAACCGAAGTCTCCATACACGTTATCAATGGAGCAACTTTCCTGTGTGCTTTCAAATTAATGAAATCGTGAAAGAAAAGTCACCATTCGCCATTGTGATGTTAATGTGTCATTGAAGATTTCAGTTACTACACTAGGCACTGAAGTACCATTCTGGAGGGCTGTCCACTGTATAGAACATTTATGAATAGAAGGTAAGGACACTCTGATGATTCCCACGAACTAGGAGGATTGGTGGTAGGTCCTTAGATAGAGCTTCTAACCATGCCATGTAGAGAGCACTAGACACAGCACCTTTTCGTGCAACTGGGAGACTCCTGGTATCAAAAAGAGAAAAAGAAAAAAAAAAAACCCTGAGCAATGCATTTACAGAATAAAATGTAGCAAAAATTATAAAGTAGATTACAATAACAGTTACTGTAAATTACTATAATTACAGAATATTTCTGAGTGCAGGAGAATTCTGCAAATAGAATAACAACCACAGTTGTGTTGCTTAGCGATGGAGACGCATTTCTCAGAACTTACTGTCAGGCAATTTTGCCCTCGTGAAAACATCACAGGAGTACTTACACAAACCTAGATGGTATAGCCTACTACACATCTAGGCTATATGACACAGCCTGTTGCTCCTAAGCTACAAACCTGTATAGTACGTTACTGTAGTGAATACTATAGGCAACTGTAACACGATGGTAAGCATTTGCATATCTAAATACAGAAAAGATACAGTAAAAATATATATATATTTTTTTAAGAGAGATGGGGTCTTAATACATTGCCCAGGCTGGACTCAAAACTCCAAAACTCCAGATCTCAAGCAATCCTCCCACCTCAGTCTCCCAAGTAGCTGAGACTACAGGTGCACACCACCATGCCCAGCTTAACATATGGTATTATAATCTTATGGTACCACCATCATATATGCATATATAAAAGACTATAATCTTTCAACAAAAGATTTTTCAAAATTTGTTCATAAGAACAGTAAGTATTTCTATAAACCACAGTACCTCTGATATCTAACACTAAATCCTAGGTTTCCCCTTCTTTAATAAGAATAGAATTCTTTTAGGTGAAAGGTATGTTTACTATCAAAATTTAGAAAACAGAAGCTATATATGGATAAATGCAATTTTTATCTTCTCTTAGTTTTAATTTCTATTTATGGATGGTGGCAGCAGTGACCAATTGCTGTATAGTTTTTCTCTAAATTTCTATGTTTTGGTGTCTTTTCCATTTACAGGTATTTGATTATCATCAGCAAAACTTGAAACTTTTTGATTTATTGAATGTTGTTAAACTAACAATCTTTTGGTAGTTTTTTTCATTACTTGGCTTTTTTTGTGGGGGAGAGGCCTGAGCTTTCCTATCTAAGGACACATGTTCCAGAACTCAGAAAATGTGGGTTCAAAGAATAGCTAACCTAGTTCAGTAGAGGAAGAGCCAAAGTAGGCATTTAGTATCATATTTAACTCAAGGACAATGTGTCTGTATGTAAAATTTGCGTGTTGGAAACATAAGAATGGGGATCCAGATAGGAATCACTATTCAAGTTTAATCTGCCAAATAACATTTTTTGAATTATTTTCAAGAGGAAGCTGTCCGGGGCCCAAATTTTAACGTAGGACCCTCCTATCCACACGTGCTTAACGGCTATGCTGTAGTGTTTACAAAGATAAGGAATTTTAAAAAGGTGAGAAGAAGGGTAAACAAAAGGTTCCAATATAACCTACTATGATAAAAAGATTACTTGGGATTCATATAAGCATAAGGTTAAAGTTTTTGTCTTTCTCCATATGCTTAAAGCATAGTATATTTTTACAAGTTTGTTTTTTCCTCCTTATAACCACTAAGTCAATATGGGTGTTATATAGATATGTACTTGGAATAGAAATTAATTCAAAGCATATTATCATAAATTAGCAAGAAAATCTTTATAAAGATATTACTTACATGACAATAATATTAGCTGTGCTTGAATGTTCCTTTAATAACTCATTTAACCTGATCTGCCGGTATGTCTGAAATGAAACAGGACAGTCATTCCTAGACCATGTGGAAATAAGAATTTAGCATGGTTCATAAAACTATAAGGAGACAAAAAGAAACTGAAATGAATTTTCGTGTAATAAAAATATCTGTTCTCTATTTTTATTTTTTTTAAAAATGCTTTCCACTAACCTCAAATAAATCTATTTTAAAGTAGAGTTCATTTATACAACTGACCCTCCTATATCAAATTAAAGTTCTTGGTTTTCATGTCTTTTATTATATAAAAGATTAATGAAAAGGAAGCAGAAGAGAATACCTTGGTCTTATAAAGTTCAAGCTCATTATCTGTTATTCGCCATGGTTCATCTTCTTTCATTTTATCTGCAATATCTTGCTCTTTATCATCTTCATGAAGTCTGTATGGCTCAATGATTTCCTCAAAAGCTATAATACTTTAAAAAACAGAAAGAATACTGACAACTAATCTTATTTTAAGTTACATAACAGGAAGATCTTAAATATTAAATTGTAACTTGCAAAGTTAGTGCCTCTCATTTATTACGCTCCTCTCCATACCCCAACCATAATAATCAGTTTGGCAATTTATTTCAAAAACAGCAATTTCTAGTCTCTCAAACTGATGAGAAAATTAGAACCCATATAGACAATACAGATTGTGCATCCCTAATCTGAAATCCAAAATGCTTCAAAATCTAAAACTTTCTAAGCACCAATACGATGTCTAATGGAAATGCTCAGTGGAACATTTTAAATTTCTGATTTTTGGATTAGGAATGCTAAACCAGCAGGTATAATGAAAATATTCCAAAATTTAAAAAAAAATCTGAAATCTGAAACACTTTTGGTTGATCCCAAGCATTTGGGATAAGGAATCTCCAACCTGTAATAAATTGCATTTTTAACTGCTAAAGCTGATCTCACTGTTATCTACCCCGCCTCCCCTTATGGCCATTTTCTCTCAGCCTAAATAAATTTTACCATAGTAGCTAACATGATCCCTTTGAGCAATAAGTCAAATTGTGTTACTACTCTGCTCAAAACACCCAAAGGCTTTCCCAGTTATCAATGAATAAAAGTGATGTAAAAAAATGTACTAGAACATTTTGAAGGGGAAAAGGGCAGACACTAAAAATTTAAGGAAATGCAAAATTAATTTCTACATCCAAAGATATTTAACAGTAAAATAACATGAATGGCATTCTAATCCTCTATGAACATGAAAAATATTTTTCAGTATCAAATCTAGTATGAAACACCCAGTATACACTGTGTTACAATAAAAGCAATCTCACCCTGATTACAACCTTACAAATTGTACCTTACTATTTTCTATCTAAAAGGAATTCTTTATATCAGCTTCATATTGATTCAACATTAATCTAAGAATTAAAATTATATCAGGTAAAATAAATACAAATATCATTATAACAACCTGTATATACCATTTTCAGGTGGAATATTCCAAAGTCTTTGCTAGAAGAATTCTGAATGCAACTATTGCAGGCAAATGTTTAGATTTTCCTATTTTAGCAATAAAACAAAACAGTGGAAAGTAATAGGTATGTAGAGCAGGGACTGAGTGGTTATAACGACTGTAGGCAGGGGCAATGGAAATGAACCACCTTTCAGAAATCACATGTAAAGCTGTAATTTAAATCCTCTCTGAATATTGAAAACTCTTTAGACTTTCTTTAATATCTGATATATGCATGCCAACTATCAATGCTAGATTTTTTAAAATATTGACTTCACATGTAACTAACAACAGGAAAAAAATCTCTGGGTTTTAATTAAGTTGAATCTGTGTCTGAGTAGGCCATCTATAAAGGGATCAGAAATTTGTAGAGTAACTTACTTTTCTTTCTTTGGTTTGGTATTGATATCTCCTAGAACCATGATATCAGAAAAGTCTATCCGGAACTTGCTAAGCAAAGTAGCCATCCTACAACAAAAATAAATAGAATTAAGATACAAGTATTTTCATTCTATATTGGGCTGAATCCATATATCTAAAAAGCATGATTTATAGAAAAAGTCAGTCTATCATATGCTAAACAATATCCATTTGAATTAATTCACACCATTCATTCACAAAGTAGACTTAAATTCACTGAGTACTTTACTTTCTGAGTAATCACTGAGTATTTTACTTTCTCTGAATCTCTCCTTAGCACTGAGTAATGGACAAAGACATTAATAATAAAATTTAAATGGAAGCTAATGTTTCTTAAGTTAATTTTAGTCAAACTATATTGATAAGTACATAAATTTCAGTAAAAACTAGTAGACAAATATTTAATTATTTTTGGATTATTCTTCCATCCAAGAACACTTATCTCAGGGCCCAAATATGACCTGTGGGCCATACTGAAGATATAGTTGATGGCAGATTAAGTTCATAGCATTTTGGGGAAAGAAGGAACTGGGACAGGATGTAGAAAAGGATCATCAACAAGCCTGATTTTCCAGTAAATACCTTTCTGAAGGCTTAGCTGGCAATGAAACATTGGTGGCAACAACAGAACAGGTGAAGTGCACATATATACAAAAAGCAATTAACAAAATGCAATTTTATTTGTAATAAAAATGTTTTTAAATTGAGATATGAGAAAACAGATCTGCTATAGGTTTGACTATTAAATTTATTATTAGTATTTCTTGCATAATTCACTATTTGAAATGAATAAACAGTTGAATTCCAGGATCTATCAATTAAGTGGCTACTATAAAACATGCTAAACAGGGCCCACAAAACTTAAATAAGACAATAAATATAATACCAGCCATAATGTGATGAGTGGTAGGTATAAAAGTATATTGTGATTCCAGAAGGAAACATAACAACTAGATGGGGGGGTAAGTGGGGGGAAAATAGGAAAGGCACTATGAAGAACTGAGCTGGGTTTTAAAGAATGCAGTATTTAAAGAGATAAAAGGAGAGGCAAGTGAAGAGCTATTTACAGGAGAGAGATGAGAGGAGGCAAAGGAGTAAAAGCCTGAAGTCACATGCATGTTTAGAGCATAGGGAAAAGTGTACTGAAACACTGGGGGAAACAGAAGAATAGAAAGGGAATGAGAGGACAGACTGTCAAGGGCCTTGACTGCTACATTATAACAATTAGATTTTCTATGGCAGGTAGCAGAGAAGTCGTTTAACTATTTTGGGTAGAGGAATCATATGGTCAAAACTCTGCTTTCTGAAAAATAAAACTGGGTTTCAATGCTTCTGAGTACCCATGTCTTACCTTTGACCCATAATGTGTACAATATACATATTAATTAGGTTGAAGATTATGCATATTATGTACTCTGTACAATATACATGTTACAGGTCAAAGACAAAACAAGAGTACTTAGAGAGCAGGAGAGAAATACTGAAACAAGAACTAGAATCGTGACAGTATAGATGGAAAGAATTGGATGGATGACAATGGCATCCTGCATTTTGTTGTCTAGAAGTCTACAACAAAATTTATCTCATATATAAATATGTAACGTTTGTGCATTTTCTCCCTGATTAAAAGAAAGAAGTTGCTTAACACTTTAATGTTACAAGTATTTAAGAAGGACCTTCTAAAATGCTAGTATGTTAAAAAAAATTATATCTAAGTAAAATTAAGTATTTACTAGTTAAACATGAAGACTAAAGAGAACAAGGTTATATTTAAAATTTTTAACTTCAGTAAAGAACAAAGCAAGATAATAGACATTTTCTGGATTGTCTAATTTTTATCCTATCAAATTTATACTGTAGCAATGAAGTGCTAATAGATTCATGCCCTTCAATGTGAAATAAACTTACGCTCTCCGGTCATGGTCTATTCTGTTTATCTTTCCACCAATGAATACTCTGATCTTACAGTCTTTCCATTTTTTCTTGGTCGTCAGAAGGTAAGGTATCAATAAGGTCAAACCTGAATTATAAAAATGTAATAAATCATTTACTAAATGCAAATTTCTTAATCAGGAACATCAATTTAGTCTCGAAAAACATGTTTACTACAACTCCATATGAAACAAAAATCTTTCTGTCCTTCCTTGATAATTCAGTCAAAAAGCCATTAGCAGACCTGAGAAACAAGGGACTCCTAACGGAGTCTGATCCCATTCAAGGAAGGTAGCCAAATGGGATAGTGGCCTGGTAAGGTCGAGATCAGTCACATACAACAGGATTGAGAAAATAAGTATAATTATTGACCTTAGCAGGAGCCATGTTTAACACTGAAATTAGAAATATGAAAAGGGAGAAGCTGGACTGAAATTGCTTTTTGATCTCCATTTATATCTCCACAGACACACACACAAGGAGTTCCTGGCTCTGTCCATGGAGAAGGCCTGGGAGCAGTGACACTCCAGTAGACACAAGCATATCCAATGCCCTGATCTTTGTTTCTAAACACTATGATTCAGTAAAAGGAACCAGCATTCCTTGGAAAGGGTTACTTTCGTGGCTGTGAAGGGAAAGTGCAAAACAATAAAACTGAGCCTGGAACATCTTCTTGTATTAGAAAATAACCCAAAAGAATGGGCTGGGCGTGGTGGCTCACACCTGTAATCCCAGCACTTTGGGAGGCCGAGGTGGGTGGATCACGAGGTCAGGAGATCGAGACCATCCTGGCTAACACGATGAAACCCCATCTCTACTAAAAATACTAAAAAATTAGCTGGGCATGGTGGCAGGTGCCTGTAGTCCCAGCTACTCGGGAGGCTGAGGCAGGAGAATGGTGTGAACCCGGGAGGCGGAGCTTTCAGTGGGCCGAGATTGCGCCACTGTACTCCAGCCTGGGTGGCAGAAAAAGACTCAGTCGCAAAAAAAAAAAAAAAAAAAAAAAAAAAAAAAAAAAAAAAGGAACGATTGGGACATGATAAATGGAAACAAATGAGCCTAAGGAGGATTCTGCTGGCGAAATATAGGACAATTGGAACATCAAAACAAATGAAAGTAACAAATTATATCCTGGAATAGTTCGGATATCAGCCCCTACCCAAATCTCACGGTGAACTGTAATTAATCCCCAGTGCTGGAGGTGGAGCTTAGTGGGAGGTGTTTGGATCATGGGGGTCAGTCCCTCAAGGTTTGGTGCTTGTCTTTGTGATAGTTCTCATGAGACCGGGTGATTTAAAAGTGTGTGGCATCTCTGTCTCCTCTCTATGACTCTCTCACTCTTGCTTTCATCATGTGATGTGCCTGTTCCTGCTTTGCCTTCTGCCATAAGTAAAAGCTCCCTGAGGCTTCTCTAGAAGCTGAGTGATGTCAGGACCATGCTTGTGTGGTCTGCAGAATCATCAGCAGATTAAACCTCTTTTCTTTAGAAACTACCCAGTCTCAGGTATTCCTTCAAAGCAACACAAGAACAGTCTAATACATATCCCACTGAATATCAATAAAATAGGAATCAATGAGTCCACACTGACAGAAATAAAGAGCTCTTCCTTACAATAAAATGCCAACTAATAAATGAGGAAGAAATGATGGAATAGGAGAATCATCATTTGGCAACCACAACAATAACAATACATTCAGGCAGAAACATCAATGGATCCTAAAGATAGTGGTGAAGGCTGCAAGAATAGTGTATTTACATAGTCTCAGAGTAATCCCTCTGTGCCATCCCCAATACCTGTAATTATAAAAGGGGGTGGGGTAACTTTTCAGTGAATACATGTGGTGAAAATCATATATTACTCAATGGTTAATTTCACCAGTGAAGGTACAAATCAACATCCTGTGCCACCTGATGAGATGTAGACAGAAGAGCACAGCATCACTTCTGTGATATTTCTGCCAAAGGTAGATAACCTAAAACTAATTATAATAAAACATTAACTAGCACTTCAAATTGGGTTACAGTCAACAAAATGGTTCATATTAAAAAAAAGTTAAGGTCATGAAGCTCAAGGAAATACTACTGAACAACCTCCGCATTAGGGATACTGAAGAGACCAGACAACTAAAGGCTGTGCCTGATTCTGAAATTAATCCTTTTGCTTTTGGGAATGCTGGCAAAATTTGAATGGGGTCCACAGGTAAAGAGTGCATGTCATTTCTTACTATTCTCACAATGTCAGTAAATTTAAAATCATTTTAAAAAAATTAACAACCTTACCTCCATCATCAAAAAGCCACCAGACATCAATAGTATTCTTTCCTTGTTTTTTCTGAAACTGTGTACTAGCTTCAAGAAGCTTTTGGTCAGCTACATTTAAAGGCACAATAGGGCCTTTGGATTCTAAAGGATTAAGCAAAATATAAAATGTAAGCAAAGTAAATATTAAAGTCCCTTTTGCTGAATTCCTATCATTTCCTAATGTTTGTATATTCAGATGTTTATACTACAGATAATTCAGACAATTGTATACGGCATCTACCATAAACTTTCAGTTGTTTATAATAAAAGTATACTTTATAAATGGCTAGAGAGAAATAACTCTTTACAATAGCTAAACCAATCCAAATTATCTGCCTACTTACTAATATTTTCAAGCATTCTGAATGAATGTAAGAGAATCATAAATAACAATAAAAAAAATTACAGTGAGCTGCTAGATTTTGTTTTGAAAAGCTGTTTTAGTCAAACTGGACAAATCAAGTTTATACCTGTTCTGTGAAACTATTTCTTTGGTAATCTGGTATCTCAATAATTTAAAGCTCAAAACTTTTTAAAAGACAAAGTTGTTATCTGCAATATAAATGAAAGATGGGAGTTGAAGACATACTAACACATTCTTACAATTATCACAGTGAAACCTTAGTCTAAGGAAAGACTTCTCATTTTTACCTATGTTTTGTCCCCAATATGTGGCACCCAATTCTAAAGCCATATAACCACATCTTTCTCTGAACCACAGAAAGATGGTGGGAGCTCCTTCAAAGGGCACCCATCTGCTGCAGGTCTGAGAACAATACACCAAGGAGTTCCCATTTATATTCCCAGGAGTTAAAACAAAACAAAAAACAGCATTGATTCTGTGAGCAAGCAAATGACTATCATGAAACTCCTACACCAAAATTTTAAAAGCAGAAATCCATACGAGGACATCTGATCACTTCTGTAGAATGTCACTTTTCATGCTGCTGTGATATATGCAAACATGACAAATGATTTTGCACGATGAAATAATATGGCTACCAAACCACACTGCTCCATAACTCTCACCTCTATCTCCTTCTCATAAAATTCATGTATGTTGACATGACTGTGTATCTCCCAAACGCAGCACGACTGTGAGAAATATTGTAATTTTTGAAATGAAAAATACATTAGTATCAAAATTGAGGACTTGGCTGGGTACAACTGATGGTAAAGAATGCAAGTGACACTGCAAATAAAACCTATTTCAGTGTCCCTACTTATCATCTAAACCATGCAGTTTAAATTAAAAAAAATTAATACCGGCTGTCTGGGTCTAATATTTCAGAAATGCTGTGATAATAGAAAAGAATTTGTGATATAACTCCATTTCCTGAGAATATTTAACTTTTTAGTTAGACTAATAATAATTTTTCTAATCTGCATTTATAGAACTGTAACATTACCTCACCATGGAAATAAAAACCAAGGTTAAAAAAAAGGGAATAAGGTTGGAGTTAAAGAGTTTACAGTATGAAAAAGGGTTTAAAATAAAATGATGAAAAATGCCTGCCTTTTTTCAACAGTGGTTGAGTTGCAGTCTTGCCATCCTCTTCCTCAACTAGATTATGTTTAAAAAACACAAAAATATGTTAATTGCCTTTATATTAATAAAATAATAAAAATGTAATCAGAGCACATTTATAAACAAAATATAATATGAAGCAGCAGTCCACTGAAAAATAATCAAGACTGAAGATTAATATTTTCTGCACTGAGTGTTGAAGCTTTTAAAAAGCAAACATATTTGAGACCCCTCCCCTACAGGATGACTAACACCCCTAAATTTAATTTCTGTAAAATTACTTTTTAAATTTCAGCATATTTTTAAAATGTTTACACTTTCATACTTGAAATAAGTTGAGAAGATGTTGAACTGTGGCTTATAGGTATAAATATGACATTAAACATTGATATTGCAGATAATACATAAATTTTAAACATGCCATCACTGTGCAAATAACTGAACAGCAATTTTAGAAACATTTAATGGATATTTGTTGTTTGTAAAAAATTAATCACACTTGAAATATTAAGAAATTTGATCAGAGACATAAGTATTTTGCTTTATATAAAATGCCAGGTTATACAGGAGTGATTTTTCTCACATATATAAATTTATATATGTATGTATATACGTGTGCATTAATATTTATCCATTTATATTTAAAAATATCTACAAATATATCTGGCATTAACAATTTTCCTAATCTCATTTTGTTCCCTTAATACAAGCTTGTATTAAAATATTTGTTTATGGCATATAAAACTCTGGACTTAGGAAAGAGTATACTACAGTGGGCTCTGGAGTTAGGCTGCAAGATTGCAATCTTACCTCTACATTTATATTCCCAGGAGTTAAAACAGCTGAGTAAACTTTCATTACTGAACTTGCTTTTCTCATTTGTCGAAAGAGGTATTAGTACCTACCTCTTAAGCTTGTTATACTAATGCAAGTATTAATGCACTGAACTCTGGGCCTGGCAGAAAGTATTTGAAGGGTGTTCTTTTTGACTTCTTGCATGATGTATGCTTCAATAACCAAGATAGACACAGCTAAATACTGTGGATTTATAACAACTACACACTAATGTCTCTAATTCTGAAGACTTTTTAAAATGTATAAACGTTTCTATAGTATCTACACTGTTGACTGAGAATAACTGACTAAACAGAAAATAAACACAAAATAAAGCAAACACTAATTTCTTAAACTTGTAATGGAAAAAGAATCATTAGATTTAATATTATAGCATTCAATATTGTTCTTATAAAGCAGACATTTAATGGCATTTGTCTTTGATAATAAAAATTATAACTACGGATATGCTGCATTTGTTTAAAAGATCTCAGAAATGTCAAGGAAATCTTGACATTTAACAATTATAAAGTAAGTTAAAGGCATTTAGATTTTTACAATAAAAAGGTAAGTAGAAATGTACTGACCCAGTTTCCTGTTCTATAAAAATAATGATTTCATAAGATCGTAACATATATTAATTAGCTAATGTATGGGTAACATCCATTATAATGTTGGGTGCACGGAGTAGATGCTTGATATGTATTTCTTCTTACCCTCCCATTAAACTTCACCTATTAATTCCCAACAGATTCTGTAGAAAAAGAATGTTTGAAGCAAAAGAAAAAAACAAAAAAGAGGAAATGAAAGAATGTATAGTGTAAACTAAAATAAATGCTGGAATATAGGAACAGTTATCAGAATCAGTTTATAGAATTTTGAGGAAAAACAAAATAAATTATAATCAAGTCAGCAAAGAACTGAAAAGGAAAATGGGTGTGAACTAAACTTTACTAATACTCTAAGCCAACAAGGTAAATGAGAAGGAAAGAAATAAAAAGCAACATTACTGCTTCTAAATAATATAGAAGAGATAAACTGTACAGAGACATGATTGGTCCAAGGTTACAATTTCAGAAAAAGAATGGGAAATATTTTGCAGGAATCAAAAGTATGTTACAGTTTGATGATTCACAGCGCAGATTATTTTCTTGTTGCGTGTCAGCTGGGAATAGGACAGATGGAGATACTAGACTGAACAGAGGTAGGAGAGTGAGGGTGGGAGAGTAAGATTTGGAAGTCATCCCTCTTTTCTTCTCAAACATGACACAGATTTGTGGATGAAATTATGTGAAAGTCATGAGTTTGTTACTTTAAAATTACCATGTTCTTTCCAAATTCAGATTTAACTTATGCTTCAAATTAAAATGTTTTATTTAAAGCAACTATAAATAAAAACACAGAAGCCATATTAGTAAATAACTAGCATGGTTTCTGTTTGATGATCTACTCTAATACCTTACACAGCTAGTCATTTTGTAGCCATTTTTGAAAGCCATAAATTTTACCTGACCAGCTAGAAATGACCAGTACAAGTTTGAGAACAGGTTATTTTTATAAGACATATTATATAATTAAAAATATTTCTCCCAAATTAAAACATTACTATTAATAAGACTTATTGTTTGAATGAAAATTACCTTTGTGTGTAATTGGTTTTTCACTGAGTGGTTTGGAAGTATCTAAATCGGACTTTTTACTATATTCCACACTTACTACCACATCCTTGGTGCCAGGAGATTTCTCTTGTGATGACAATAATTCTTCTGTAGACAGAAAATTATTTAAAATAGTATCTAAGTCATATTTTAACTGTTAAATAAGGCATTATGGTTTAGTAATTAAACTATTATGAAAAAATAAGTTTATTATAAATGGCTTCTTATTTAAACAACTATGATAATCTGTTTGAAATGACTATTCATTTAAATACATAAACCACAACTAGGTTACAGGTTGAATATCCTGATCTGAAAGTCTGAAACTTTTTACATGCCTAACATGATGCTCAATGGAGCATTTCAGATTTGGGATTTCTGGATCAGAGATGCTCAACTGGTAAGTACTATGTAATGCAAATATTCCAAAATCAACCTCTCCCCGTCCAAATTCTGAAACTCTTCAGGTTCCAAGCATTTTGGATATAGATACACAAACTGTATTTGAATTACGAGCTGGAGAATCAGTAATGAGTACAAGTCATAGGACAGTAGAATCTGGTAGACAGTAATACATAGTATGTGAATCAATTCTCTCTAAATCAATTACATAAAAAATGTAAAATGTAACAACTGTCCATAGATACGTAAGATGACAGACAACACTGAAAAACTCTACCCACTCTATAAAACCAAGACCACCAAATGGAGTCTTCCTAAGTTCATGGTGAAAGTACCATTTCTCCATTTTAAAGTAGTTTTTCTTCATTTTCTCTTTGTCAGAGTTAGTAAAGATTTAGTTTCCACCATACAAACATGTATCACAAAGACAAATATAATATAAAATTGATAGTATGTCCATAATCCTCATCACTTATTTGCGTAAATGAAGAGAAACAAAAGAAGCTACATGCCAGCACTATGCTAAGAGCTCGCAGGCCTTAATCTTCTTTTTAATCTTAACAACCAACCTGTAAGGTAAATACATTTTAACAGATAAGGAAACTGAGGCTTGGAAGTCATCAAATTTGCCTAGGCTACAAAACATCTAACAGAAAAGGCTGATATTTTTAAAGCAGATTTGCCTGACTCCAATGCCTATGCTCTTAATTCCTATTCCCAAATTCCTGTTTTAAAACTTAATGATGAATAATAAGGCATTCAAAAACATTTCACAATGATTATAAATACATGAAAATACTTTTTAAAAGTTTCAATCACATTCAAACTTCAGTAAATGATAGAACTATATAATTTATTCATCAAACTGATACGTGAAAGGGAACACTACTATTTATGTTGAGTTAACAGGTATAAGTTAGGCACTCTAAACCTCAATTCTGGTAGAGCAAGAAATAATTGAAATAGTATTTTGCCAAACCTACTCCAGATTGCTGAAAATGCATATTTGGTTACATGGATAAAGACCTCAAATTGCTTTTTTCAAAACTGCAGACTGCCCTTAAAGGGGTAAAGAGAGGGAAGATTAAAACAGTTTAAATACAGAAGCAGATACCTCTTACGTATTTAGGCTTAGCTCATTCTGATGATTTGGTTAATTAATTGATAGGGGTAATATGTTATATATGTAAATTTTCTTAAGCTTATAATTTCTTAAAGTATCAGAAAATCTTCAAAGGATATAAAAATCTTCACAGTTGTTTTTTTTTTGTTTTTTGTTTTTTGTTTTTTTTGTATTTTTTGAGTCTTGCTCTTGTCACCCAGGCTGGAGTGCAAAGGAGCAATCTCGGCTTACTGCAGCCTCTGCTTCCTGGGTTCAAGCAATTCTCCTGCCTCAGCTTCCCAAACATCTGGGATTACAAGCATGCCCCACTAATTTTTCTATTTTTAGTAGAGACGGGGCTTCACCATGCTGGTCAGACTGGTCTCAAACTCCTGACCTCTGGTCATCCACCCACCTCAGCCTCCCAGCATGCTGGGATTACAGGCATGGGCCACGGTGCCCAGCCATAGTTTTTATAAAGTTGGCAAAAGTAGTAATTATACCTTACTTAGGCTTTAATCTTCACTTTCAAAAATGCTTTAAAAGTTACACACTATATTATTATTTACATACCATTCTTGACATGTCAAAATTATACAGTAATGATTGGAGACAAAGTACATAGTGGGAAGTAGAAAGGGGGAACACATAGGGAGACCTCTGTAGTGACAGAACAGTTCTGTATCTTTATTGCAATGGTGGTTACACAAATGAACACATAAGTGGCACACAACTACACAACCACATACAAGTCTTTGTAAACTGCTGAAATCTGAAAAAGGTCTGTGGATTGTTCTAATGTCAATTTCCTGGCTTGGATATAGTACCTTAGGATAAGGCAAGATGTTATCATTGGGGGAAACTGGATGAAAGGTACAGAGGACCTCTCTACTATTTTTTGCAACTTCTTGTGAATCTATAAATATTTTTAAATTAAAAAATGTTTTTAAAAAATTTATTAGGTCTGCTGAAGATAGAAAACGTTATGACAAACTTTAGGCTTCTATCAATATGACTCTGTACAAAGCATACTTTCATAAATATGAAAATGTCTAATGATTTAGTGGTCATTTAAAAATTTTTCCTCAGGCTATTTTACTTAGGTTTGTCTGTTGGCCAGGTTTTTTAAAGACATAACTAATGTCTGTTTCTCTTAAGCTTATGCTTTGGATTGAATTTTATTCAATCCAAATAATCACTAACCATCATCCAGGTTGGTACAACGAGAAAACACAAACTTTAGTGGAGCCAAACAGATGTGATCTTAAAATGCCATACAATAAGTCCACGATACATAATTATTAAAAGTAACGAAGAGCCCAGTTTGTGAGAATATAATTTTCTAACAAAGTAGTTTATATTTTTGTAAATAAAAAACTTATTGCCAACAAAATTTACCTTGTCCTTGAAGATGAGATATATCCAGACCTTCTTTTAGGCGAATAACCACTACTCCATATTGTATGTCAAAAGCATCACTAAGAACAAAAAAACAAAAAATGAAAAAACCAAAAAAAAAATCACAAAAATTTGTGTTATCCTCTTTAAAATAAATAATAGATGATCTCTAAAATTACTTTCGGCTTTAAACGTCTGATTTTTAAAACATGCTTTGAAAATCACTTGTTGAGATATGTATGTTAGTTTCAAATTCCACAACATTCTCTTCTGTAATACCCTTGAAAACTACTTTTTAGATCTTTGTTGTACTGACATTATACCTACAGCAGCGGTTTAAAGCAGCAGCAGTATTTTTATCCTACTAAGTTAAATTATAGAAAAACTACTTTCAGAATCCCGCTATATTTATATTTGGGCTTATACCATTAAAACCAAGAGAAATACATGAAGACACACACACAAAAACCTTGATGCTACTGCGAATGATAGCAGGTTGCAGGATATGAAGAAATTCTTTTTGAAAAGACTGAGGGAATTTTAACATAATTTTAAAATTTTTACAAAACTGGTTTGAACAGTGGTTCAAAGATTTTATATACATCTGAAAATATATATTTACCTCTCCCTTTCTTTTTTTTTTTTTTTTTTGAGACAGAGTCTCGCTCTGTTGCCCAGGCTGGAGTGCAGTGGCGCAATCTTGGCTCACTACAACCTCTGCCTCCCGGTTTCAAGCAATCCTCCTGCCTCAGCCTCCCGAGTAGCTGGGAGTACAGACACACACCAGCACGCCTGGCTAATTTTTGTATTTTTAGTAGAGACAGGGTTTCACCACATTGGCCAGGCTGGTCTTGAACTCCTGACCTCGTGACCCACCTGCCTTGTCTTCCCAAAGTGCTGGGATTACAGGAGCGATCCCTTTCATTTTTAAAAACAGAAATGAGAGCATCCTATACACACAGAAAATACATTAAAATCTTGAAGACAGCTTTAAAACCAGACTTAAACCCTGGAATCTCAGTTCTGAGCATAAATCTTCATTTTAACCCAAGTTTTTCTCAAATCTACTGAAAAAATTTTAAATTCCAAAACGTCACGTTGTTCTCTGAAAGTGGTAACAGGCTTAACTTTCATCTTTAATTATTATTTTTCATTGCACAAGTAATAAGTATTCAATGTAGACATATTAAAAACAATGATATATTAAGATACAGCTATATGAAATCAAAAAGGCTAAAATCCAATAAAACAGTCAAATTATTACTCTTACTGACAAATGGAAGAATGTGTTCAGGATATAATATATGGTTATAAAAGGTCTTTTGTTGTTTTTAAATCATGGAGAGACAATTTGGCCACATTCCTATGATGAGCTAAAGTTAACAAAGTCACTGGAGAAATAAATTTAATAGGCATGTTAATCTTTCTCAGCTGTATCTTGAAAGATATAATTAATACTAGAGAAAAAATAACTATAAGCATTTTAAAAATTGTTTAATAAATCGACTAAATCAAAATCAATTTCTTTAAAGCCAGGGAATATAGCTCCCCAAGTTTACTGTGGATTAAAACAAATAAATGTTTTTGTTATAAGCTATAAAAATTGATTTGCAGCTTCAGATCTTATATACTATTAATAAAAACACAATATATAAAGCATACTTAAATTGCACAAGGTATTTAAAAATCACAGCTAAAACATCAGTGGAAGTGCAACAAGATAAAGAATGAGCAGTGTCACTGCTGTGAAACTGCTATTAATTTACATGGTTCTAAAACCAGAAAGCAGTATTTTACCTATTCTTTAACTGCTGCCTAATGTACAGGAATAATGTTTAGACTAATACTCAACTTTCAGAACACTCACTCACTTTAATCCCTAGAAAGTCAGAGTCAGAAAGACCCCTTCCAGTGTTCCATTATGAGCAACTACAACTAATAATGTGACAGGTGTATGAAAGAATTTGTAAAAAATGTCACTTTTTCTATTTTTTAGGATAATTACGTCATCTCACTGTTCTTAGGTCTTGAGAGGGAAAAAGCATAGGGTTTCATGGCTCATGGACCACATTAATCTTTCTGTCCCTAATCCCTATATACACAGAATACAAAATTAGAAAGCCACAATGAGGTTTTGCTTACAAAAACATTAATAAAACCAAAACTCAGCAGTAGTAACAACATACAACACATCAGCAGTTTTAATTTTACTAAAAGCATTTAACGATTAGTTGGTAAATCTTGTTTATCATATATATTACTAATCCATATAAAGAGATCCTTTAAAAAGTAGAGTATGAGATCCAGCTGCTTCCTCAAAGACTTTTCAAATGTCACTAATAAAACCATCATATGTGAGACAGGCAAATATATGTGGTTATAGCCAAAGATACAACAGGAGTTCCAGTAAGGAAGTAACTCCAGTGAGAAAAAAGGGTGATCAGATCAAAATTCATGGAGAAAATAGGACTTAAACTTTAATCTTAAAGCTACTTTGTAAATAAAAGTTTTTTTTAAAGGACAATTATAAGAGGAAGCAGACAGTTCTATTTCATCAGTGCTTAGGATGAGAAAAAAACTACTCCTCAAATCAAGTATGGCATAGTGGAGAGGGAATGCTTATCTTCAGTATAAACAAGATAAATAGGTTAGGCAAATCTTAGAATAGTAGGAAAAGAAGTACTTTTCAAGATTAAGAAGAAAATCTGGCAAAAACAAAAAAAAAGTTTTATTGTTATTAAACAAAAAGTATGTGGTAGATTACATTAAACATCCACAAAATCCACAAACAGAACACAACCAGAAAGACAAAGTAGCAAAGAATAAAAAAGAACGCACTATACCAAGGGTCCCCAATACCTGGGTCATGGACCAGTAATGAGCCAGGCTTGTTAGGAACTGGGTGGGCTGCACAGCAGAAGGTGAGCCATGGGCAGGTGAGCATTACCACCTGAAGTACACCTCATCAGATCAGCAGCGGCACCAATTGCTCAAAGGAGTGCAAACTTTATTATGAACTGCGCATGTGAGGAATCTAGGTTGTGCGCTCCTTATGAGAATTTAATGCCTGATGATCGTCAATTGTCTCCCATCACCCCCAGACGGGACTGCCTAGTTGGAGAAAAACAAGCTCAGGACTCCCACTGAGTCTACATTACGGTGAATATGTAATAATAATATAAATAAAGTCCACAATAAATGTAATGCGCTTGAATCATCCTGAAACCACAGACCCCACCACTACCCATGTCTGTGGAAAAATTGTCTTCCATGAAACTGGTCCCTGGTGCCAAAAAGGTTGGGGACTGCTGCACTAGACAACGCAAAAAACGGAAGTTACAGTGAACTCAAACTTAACTCTTCATAGTGGTAGAAAAACAAAACATATAAGTACATTTAAATAAAAGAAATGTAAATAACTTAATGAATGAACCAAATGATTAACTGCAAAATTTGTTTGGAAGGGGAACAAGCCTAAACAGCGATAAAACACTCTTCCTCAGCACATTATAATGACATAGTTTAGGAGGTGATGGGTCTGACATTTGGGAACTCTGCTCAGCAACAGCTGGAGGGATAGGAAAAAGTTTACAAACTTAAATGAGAAGCCAGAGTGTATACATATATACATATACATACATATATGTGTGTGTGTGTGTATATATATATATATGCATGTATGTAAAGAGACATATAAAGATCAATAAAAAATTGTTAATAGATTATCAATTTAAAACCCAGATGCTTTGTGTGATTCTTTTCGTTCTTATATTTCCATTACAAGAGACTATATGAGAAACAGTCTCCAAAAATTAGGACAAGCTTTCAAAATTAACATTTTCTAAATGAACTAAATTATTGAATTAAAAAGATACTTACTGAAATAAGTTTATATACATATCCACATCCCTCATATCTGCTTGCAACCAATCTTTCTTAAATCCAAGGACAAGTGTGTTTGGCTTCATACGACCAAGACCAGCAGCCTAAAATATAGGGTCAATATAACTTTACAGATATATTATTTTCAACAAAATGTTTTCTGAAGTGATAAAACTGTCCTCCAAATTGACAGCTTCTATAGACACTCTTAACAAAAATTCTTCAGCATTCCATATTCATATTTACTTATAAATTACATATACTATTCCATTGATATTACTTAAAATTAAACATACACAAAAATATAATTTAAAAATAAAACACTTGAAAAATTCTAAATGTACATATTTTTGTACTTTTATGATCTACCAAAATTTTCATATTTTTACTAAGAGAAAGAGAATATAATCTTTTTAAAAATTATAATACAGTGGCATTCTCATTTATATATTGTGATAACAGCCATTAAAAACTATAAACAAAAGTCCAAATGAATGCAGTTCTGAATCACATCAATACTAAAATCTGAATTTGTTCTACCAATCATGCAAAAGTTTTTGCTGACATCTGGCTAGTTAATTTCCTTCCTCAGTTATTCCATCAATTTTTCTTGCAACCTCATCAGGATTTGCAACTCAGTATGTTTAACAATAGGGAATTGGTTTCAGGGTCTCCCTTCAGCCCTTCCAGGATACCAAAATCTGCAAATGCTCAAGTCCCTTATATAAAATGGCATAGTATTTGCATATAAACAACACATAACCCCCCTTATTCTATAAATCATCTCAAGATTACTCATAATAGCTAATACAATATAAAGTTATATTGTATTTTTAAAATTTGTATTATTTTTATTGTTGTATTATTATTTTTTCAAATAATTTCAAGCCATGGTTGGTTGAATCTTTAGATGTGGAACCTGCAGACACAGAGGGCCAAAGTATCCCCCAAAATTCACTCAATCTAAGATTTTTAAACACATTAGAAAATTCTATTTCCAAGATTGTGTGCACACACAAGTTTTAGTATTTTATTGTAGCAAAAGATAAATAAAAAAAATTGTCATTTTAACCATTTTTAAGTGTACAATTCAATAGTATTAATTATATTCACAATGTTATATAAGCAACACTACTATCTATTTCTAAACATTTTTCATCACCCCAAACAGAAATTCTATAACCCTTAATAATCACCCATCCCCTTCTCCCTCCAACCCTTGGTAATATGTACTTCCGTCTCTATGAATCTGCCTATTCTAGATATTGCATGAGTGAAACAACAGTATATATTCTTGACATAATGTCTTCAAGGTTAATCCATGTTGTAGAACTTCATTCCTTTTTATGGCTGAATAATATTCCATTTCATACACACACACAAACACACACACACACACACACATTTGTTTATCCATTCATCTGTTGGGAGACGCTTTTGTTTTTATCTTTTGGCTATTGTGAATAAAACAGCAACGAATATTTTTTATCCATCCCTTTTATTGCTCATGCTTTTGGTGTCGTATCTAAGAATCCACTAACAAATCCAATGCTATTAAGTCTTACTGCTGTTTTCTTCTAAGAGTTTTACGGGTTTTGCTCTCATATTTATGTCACTAATTTAACTTTTATATATAGTGTGAGGTCACACATAGGATTATTTGTGACATATGTCATTTTTTGAAAAAAAAATTAATTCAAATATTTATCAAGTGTTGACCTGCCACTCGGGATAATTAGGACAGAAGAAATATCCCTAACTCTGTAAAGTTTACATCTGTTTTCAAAGTGTTCCATCCATATACAGACTTCTTTCAAGAAGTAAATTTTCCCCCCATTCAATACTAAAAGGACCTTTGACTTGGAGAGGCAGATAAAAATATTCATTTTAGTTTTTTAAAACTATCTTAACCACACAGCATATTTTTAACTGGGGGGGGGGGGGGGAGGTAAAAGAAAACCAAGAATATCTTTAGGTTGATAGCTTTTTAAAGAACTAAGCCATAAGATAACCAGTACCTTCTTAATGGTGCAAAATACTGTCAGGGTCACTCACAGAAATTTGTTACAATCCTATAATAATTAAAAGGTTTTATTTTTATAAAGTTAACAATAACAACTTGCTGTACTCTGTATACTTACATTTTCAATTTTGTTACTGCAATAACTTTCCCTTGAATGACTGAAACTTCACATCTATCACTCTCATCCCTAAATCCTTTGCAAATTCCAATCAAAGTAGCTATTCAGTCAAAGGTTATGTTTTCAGTGTCCAAATAACAATATGTTTATCAGTGGAGTAATTAGCTACTGAAAATATGTTTTCTCTGGAACATACTTCTTTACTAAGTGATCGGAAATGAGTTCTTCATGGATTACATAATTGAAATCTATTTAGCAAAATGCAGTCATCTGAAGCTTATTGCACGAATTTCAAACATTCCCACTGTGTTATTTCTTCAAATCTTTAACAATGTTTTCTGTGCATCTTAAGCCAAAATTTGCTGACCAAAAAAACGTATTTAGTTTTGCTATTTAAATATGAAGGTTTAAAATTGAGTTGACAATCAGGTGGCTATTGCCTTACAAAAAATTTAAAGGGAAAAGGAAATACAAATATACAAAACAAGAAAATTAGCAATGCTAATGTCCTTTGCTCAAAGAGGTCTCTAAGCAAGCTATTTATTGATAAGATTGTCTCTTTTTTAAAATAGTGAAGTCTTAGGCTGGGCATGGATGCTCATGCCGATAATCCCAGCACTTTGAGAGGCTGAGGTAGGAGGATTGTTCAAGCTCAGAGTTCAAGACCAGCCTGAGCAACATGGTGAAACCTCATCTCTACAAAAAATACAAAAACTAGCCAGCCATGGTAGCGCACGCCTATGGTCCCAGCTACTCAGGAGGCTGAGGTGGGAGGATCACTTGAGCCCAGGAGGTCAAGGCTGCAGTCAGCTACAGCTACTGCACTCCAACCTGGGAGACAGAGTGAGATTCTGTCTCCAAAAAAAAAAAAAAAAACAAAACAGTTTTGTTGTGGAAGCTAGATACTTAATTGCTAGTTTAATGATAAATAGATGCTTAAGATTATAATTAGTAACTAGAAAGATGAGGGGACAGGGAAAAATTGAGGGTAAGTCCAGTAAAACAAATAACATCTAAAAACAGCATCTCTACAACTATACAAAAAGTCACTGTACAAACAAATTAATGTACAAAATTCTTTTGCCAAAGGTAATAAACAACTAAAAGACATTTGACACTTTGTGTAACAGGTTTCCCAAAGGTAGAAAGGAAAGAGAAATACTCTCAGCAGCAATTCACACTAAAAATTTCAGTTACTAGTTGTACAGAGGCAACCGGCACCTATTTGTAATAATATTTCATATAGTTCCTCAGACAGCTCTGCTAGAAAGTCAGTCTCCTAAGTATTTTTCTCAAAACAATACTCTTCTATTTATCCTAAAACTTTGCCCCACACTGATAGAGTTGTCATGGTCCACTGCAGTGAATATATTAGGTGGATGAAAGTAATCTGGAGGATGAATTCTAGCTCCTGCCAAATTTACAGAAGAATCATTTACACCACAGAGACTTTCTAGAGCAGTGATTCTTAAAGTATAGTCCCTGAACTGAATCAGCAGCATCACCTCAAACTCTGTTGGAAGTGCAAACGCTGGGCCCTCACCCCAGATCTGATTCATTCTGGGGTGGGGCCTAACAATCTGTGTTTTAACAAGTCTACTAGATGATTCTGACGCATGCTGAAGTTTAATGACCACTGCTCTAAGGAAAATTTTTCATTCATTTCCTTCCTAAAATTTATTGTTTGTATAAATTGGCTATCAGAATGTTCCTATAAATTATATAAAGGAAGCAAGATTTACCTACTAGAAATAACCATATGACCCAGTGTAGCATTCTACCTAAAATATTTCAATATTTCACATACAAAAATAAAGTATAAATAATAAACATTCATGTATCTACCGCGCCGTTAAGAAACATGAGAAACACAGTAAAGCCTCCACTGTATCTTCATGTTCTCTTTGCATTTTTACTATGTATTCTATTACTTAGAAATGCATACATATAAAATTTACTACATTTTTAAAATATTTAAATCTTCATATTGTTCATATACTTTTTAAAACTTGCTATTTTTCCTAAGCACTGTTTCTGAGGTGTATCCATGTTGATATATATAGCTCCTCTTCACCACTGTATAGAATTCTACCATACATTTGTACTACATTTTCATTTCTGTGATTGATGGTTGTTACTTCCGATTCTTTTTCACTATTACAAATGACGTTGCCATGAAGTTTCTTTTTTTTTTTGAGATGGGGTCTCGCTCTATCGCCCAAACTGGAGTGCGGTGGCATGATCTTGGCTCACTGCAACCTCTGCCTCAGGGGTTCAAGTGATTCTCCTGCCTCAGCCTCCCAGGTAGCTGAGATTACAGGTGCGTGCCACCACAACTGACTAACTTTTGTATTTTTAGTAGAGACAGGGTTTCACCATGTTGGCCAGGCTGGTCTTGAACTCCTGACCTCAGGTGATCCACCTGTCACAGTCTCCCAAAGTGCTAAGATTACAGGAGTGAGCCACTGTGCCCGGCCTGAAGTTTCATATAGCCTTCTTCACACGTGCAAAAGTTCCTGTGAGATGCACACCTAAGAAGAGAGTGTCCTAGAATATTCAAACCAAATTTGCAGGACATTTTGCCAGGTTGCTTTCCTATTTTGGACAGCGTTGTTGTCCAATCTACATTACCACAGCAGTTCAAAGATTTCCAATTGCTCTATGTCAGGGGTGTCCAATCTTTTGGCTTCTCTGGGCCACACTGGAAGAAGAATTGTCTTGAGCCACACACAGAATACACTAACACTAATGATAGCTGATCAGCTTAAAAAAAAAACTCACAAAAATAGCTCATAATGTTTTAAGAAAATTTACGAATTTGTGTTAGGCCGCATTCAAAGCCATCCTGGGCCATATGTAGTCCACGGGTTGGACCAGCTTGCTCTATGCCATTTCTAACACTCTGTATTGGCAGACTTAATTTTGGGTCAGTCTAATGGATATGGAATAAGAGTATATTGTGCTTTTAATTTTTATTTCTGTCATTTAGTTTTCCTCTCTGTTCATATCTTTCGCTTTTTTTCTGTTACTGACATGGTATTTCTGTCTGTACTCTGGACCATATCTTTTGTTGATTACATGTTAGGATCACCATCTTCCCTTGGTCTATGCTTCCTTTATTTATTTTCATGTTTTCTTTAGAATCTCAAAATTTTAAACTACAAAACTACTGAACTCAACTTTTGGTGCCTCATTCTTCCCTAGCTAAAGGTCATAAAATTGTTTTAGAATTTTTTCTAAAAACAAAACAAATTTGCCTTTTAAATTTAGGTATTTAATCCATCTGGAGATGTGTTTTGTGTGGTTTTTATAAGGATCTAGTATTTTTTTTCATGTTAATAATGATTTATTCTGGCCCATGCTTTCAATAGCACCTTTGTCATATATGTTAAGTTTCTGATACGGGTAGCTCTATTTCCTCTGTTTTGTGCCATTCGTCTAACTGTCTATCGCTATATTCAACACCACAATGTCTTAATTACTACAGTTTTTTGACAGGGCTTTCTTTCCTATAAAGCAAGCCTACCTTGTCCCTTCTTCCTAGATTGCCTTGGCTATTCTTAACCCTGTGCTTATCAAGTTCTAAGAAACACACAACAGAAACGGATCAGAAGACAATACTCTGAGCCTCCCACCTCTACTTTAACAAAGTAGCTCCACAATTACACAATTAACACAGAACAACACAACATTTCTACTGTCCCTTTAATTCTGAATTATACAAATCCAAGTAGTTTACTTTCAGTGTCTCATGCTTTACTGACTGAACTAGCCAGGTGAGCCAAAGTAGTTTACTTTAATAAAGACATAAAAAAAGATTTGCCATTTTTATTAGTATGAAGAATGAAATCTAGAATTAAAAAGTTTTAAAAAGCTTATACAAATCTAAAATGTAGGCATTTGAAAAGCATTAACAAAGTTACCTGCATCAAATACTGTGCACCTTCTCTCAAGTCATCTGCATGTACTGGAGCATAAAATGCCTTCATTTTGTTCTTAATAAGCCATCGCTGATATTTGGCTTGATCGATGGACATCTCTTTCATGGCTTGTCTTCGAGGACCCTTTGAATAAAAATATTAATAATATATTTAATTAAAAGGTAAGCAACTTCACATTTATACAAATGATTCATCCTGTTATACTGGCTTGAAACAGGTGACTAAATGTAGGGTCAGAAGTATAATAATAGCATTTTATTTCCATGTAGTCTTTTTAATACATAAGATTACAAAAAGGTAGAGGTGATGGAATAGCTAAGGCACAGGGATGCCAGTAGAAAGAATAAGAGAAGAAACACAGACTTACAAATAAATTAAAAGTTTCCATTCTAAGTAAAGAGGTTAGAAGCTATCAAAAATGAAGAGATTATACAGAGTAAAATAACCACCTTCTATTTTTCTACAGAAAGTTTCCCTAGTTTTGTTTTTGTTACTCCCAAATGTCTGTGTTATTAATTCTAACTTGAGAATATCACTGAAAATCAAAGTGAGCTATAAAATATTAATGCATTTTTCTTTAAAATTCTGTTAAAGGATGAAATAACAGGAGAAACTAAATGAACTTTGTTAACTCATAACTCTTATTTTGATCCTTGCAAGCAATACACAAAATGTGTTATACACAAATATATAAAACAAAAATCTAAAAATAAGCTTAAGAGTACACACCCTAAATGTAAATAAGTAAAAATATAATTTACCTTTTGTAGTGGGGAAATTGTCTCATTTGTAAATGTCTTATGCTCAAGGCTTGATTTAGCTGATCAGCTCAGAGACAAACTAGAAAACTCCACAAGTCCCAAGTGGGGTCAGTGTCTCCAAGTATCCTTCTACCACCCTACATACACGCACTCTCACACACACACACACACACACACAAACACACACCCCTTGACTTTGCCACTGTATAAGCAGAACAATTAGCTGGGGATGAGACATGAGGTATACAATATACACTTCTAGAATCAAGACAAGATGAAGAACAGAAATTGAGAGAGAAGCTGATCCAACAAATACCCCTATTTCTTATGCAGCACAGGTAAGCCATCATCCAGTCTGTTCTTAATAAACACAATGCCAAAAAACTAAAAACTACTTTCGGATTAAAAAAGGTTCATTATTTTTAATAGTTTTCTTCTGGCTAAAACAAAAAAGAATTGGCAACTAAGTGTTTGAACTTAGAAATTCAGCATTCACTTTGTTCTTCTTACATACCAGAGATATTACTTCCCCCGGAGATATTTATCACAATTTGCCTATTTCTTCCAACCCCCATTTTTTTCTGGTAAGTAAATGTTCCCAAGTGTTCTTGGGACTTTATAAAACATATATATATAAAACTTTAAGTTCTGAGATACATGTGCAGAATATGCAGGTTTGTTACATAGGTATATAGGTGCCATGGTGGTTTGCTGCACCCATCAACCTGTCACCTACATTAGGTATTTCACCTAATGCTATCCCTCCCCGAGCCCCCCCACCTCCCAACAGGCCCTGCTTTGTGATGTTCCCCTCCCTGTGTCCGTGTGTTCTCATTGTTCAACTCCCACTTATGAGTGAGAACATACAGTATTTGGTTTTCTGTTCTTGTGTTAGTTTGCTGAGAATGATGGTTTCTAGCTTCATCCATGTCCCTGCAAAGGACATGAACTCATTCTTTTTTATGGCTGCATAGTATTCCATTGTGTATATGCACCACATTTTCCTTATCCAGTCTATCATTGATGGGCATTTGGGTTGGTTCCAAGTCTTTGCTATTGTCAACAGTGCCACAATAAACATACGTGTGTATGTGTCTTTATAGTAGAATGATTTACAATCCTTTGGGTATATACCCAGTAATGGGATTGCTGGCTCAAATGGTATTTCTAGTTCTAGATCCTTGAGGAATCGCCACGCTGTCTTCCACAATGGTTGAACTAGTTTAAACTCCCACCAACAGTGTAAAAGTGATCCTATTTCTCCACATCCTTGCCAGCATCTGTTGTTCCTGACTTTTTAATGATTGCCCTTCTAACTGGTGTGAGATGGCATCTCATTGTCGTTTTGATTTGCATTTCTCTAATGACCAGTGACGATGAGCTTTTTTTCATATGTTTGTTGACCACATAAGAAAAGTGTCTGTTCATATCCTTTGCCCACTTTTTGACAGGGTGGTTTTTTTCTTGTAAATTTGTTTAAGTTCCTTGTAGATTCTGGATATTTGCCCTTTGTCAGATGGATACATTGCAAAACTTTTCTCCCATTCTGTAGGTTGCCTGTTCACTCTGATGATAGTTTCTCTTGCTGTGCAGAAGTTCTTTAGTTTAGTTAGATCCCATTTATCAATTTTGGCTTTTGCTGCCATTGCTTTTGGTGTTTTAGTCATGAAGTCTGTGCCCATGCCTTTGTCCTGAATGGTACTGCCTATGTTTTCTTACAGGGTTTTTATGTTTTAGGTCTTAAGTTTAAGTCTTTAATCCATCTTAATTTTTGTATAAGGTGTAAAGAAGGGGCCCAGTTTCAGACATATTAGTGAGAAAAATAACAGTGAATTTCTACTCCATAGGTATCAAAAAGCCAAACCACTCTACAAGGACAATACAGTTTGTTAAAATCTACTCATAATGAATAAGAAAAACAATGAGAGCTCAAAATTCAGTAACTGTTTAAAAATGCTACTTCAAGACCATTTAGGGGCAAAAATATTTTGAAAAAAACAACTACCTGAAAAAAAAAAAGTTGGCTTGTCAAATTATTTCCAATCTAGAAAGCCCTATAAATTACAAATTATATACAGCATAAAAGTTTTAGTATAAAAAAATTATTTCACACCTGTCAGAATGGCAATCATTAAAAAGTCAAAAAAAAAAAAAAACACAGATGCTGGTGAGGTTGCAGAGAAAAGAAAACACTTATACACTGCTGGTGGGAATGTAAATTACTTCAGCCACTATGGAAAGCAGTTTGGCCTTCTCAAAGAACTCAAAGCAGAACTATCATTCGACTCAGCAATCCCATTATTGGGTATATATCCAAAGGAACATAAATTGTTCTACCATAAAGACACATGCATGCGTACGTTCATTGAAGCACTATTCACAACATCAAAGACATGGAATCAACCTAAATGCCCATCAATGGTAGACTGGATAAAGAAAATGTGGTACCTGTAATACCATGGAGTATTATGCAGCCATAAAAAAGAATGAGATCACTTCCTTTCCAGAAACATGGCTGCAGCTAGAAGCTATTATCCTAAGTGAACTAACACAGGAACACAAAACAAAATACCACATGTTCACACTTCTAAGTGGGAGCTAAACATTAAGTACATATGGATACAAAGAAGGGAACCACAGACACTGAGGCCTACTTGAGGCTACTGGGTGGGAGGAGGGTGAGGATCAAAAAACTACCTATTGGGTACTATGCTTATTACCTGGGTGACAAAACAATCTGTACACCAAACCCCTGTGACACACAATTTAGCTACATAACAAACCTGCACATGTATTCCTGAACCTAAAATAAAACTTTAAAAAAAAACTTGAAAAAGAAAACAAAATTGATACTTACCATATGTACATGGCCACAGATCATCAAACCAACATTTTTTGTGAAATCATGAACAAGATGAAGTAAAGCTGGACGTGAGTTTGGAGCACCTGTCATAACAAGACACTGTGGCCTAATTTAAGATGAAAAGACAAACAAAATTAGATAAATTTGTGTTTCTGGCAACAAGATTTTAAGTTGTTTCCCTAAGAAGCTTTCTGTATACAACTGTCCTTAAGACACAGGCCACAGGATTCTCAAAAAGACTATTTTTAACCAGGACTTCTTGGTACATGAGAAATGCAGAAACAAAATCTTGGAACAAACATCATGCCAAATGTCCCTCTAAAATAATAGGTACTATTATACATCAAGATTCTGGTAGGTATTACAGAAAGAAATTATCATGCTAGTTAAAAAAATATATAACAATTTTTCATTTTCTGAAGGTAATAAATATTCTGTTAATAATTCTTTCACAGAGTTTGCATAACTTCCTGCGAGCACTGCTTTGTCTTCAAATATGTAACAATTTTTCATTTTCTAAAGGTAATAAATATTCTATTAATAATTCTTTCATAGAGTTTGCAAAACTTCCTGCAAGCACAGGTTTGCCTTCATGTACAAAACAGGTCACTTTCCTTCTTAGCTTGATCACTTCATAATTATTACCACTTCATGATATCAGCCCTCTCTAATCTAGCTTAACATTAATGACTGTCGTCCCATGAGTAAAATCACCTATGTTGAAAAAAAGATTTCTACTTGAACTAGAAATCTGAATTCTAGCTATCAATGATGAAAGCCAAAACAGAATTCAATTGCCTTTGCAAATGTGAGACAGTGGCATGCCTTTCATATATTTGTAGCTCTTGATTTTCACTGACTGGAAATGGAAATCACTGATATTTAATGTAAAAAATATACAGGTCTCCATTTGGTAGGTCCAAACAGACTGGCAAAAATTCCTTCAGAAAAGGATTTATATAATCAAAATGAACTATAACAGAAAGTGAATTGCAGACTACAATTTCCGACTTAAACGTTAACGTTTACAGGAGTCCTTAAAATGAGGATGAAAACCTAAATAACGACTTTTCAAAAAATACCATCTTACTTAGAATTTTAGCAAATGAGCTGGAAAAGCAATTCTGTCTGGGAGAGTTGCTTTGAGGCAATCAAACATGAAATCATGCCCCAGACTTTCGAGCTTTAGCAAGTTACATTAACTCCTTAGCCAGACAGTATATTTCCTAGCCTTCCTAGGAGCTAAATGTGGCCCAATGACTAACTTATAGCCCATAAGTATGTTCCTATTTCCAGGGCGTGTCCTTTAAAAAAGGAAGCTGTGCTGCCTCCATACATTCTTCCCCCTTTCCAGAAAGCTAGACTGTGGATGCAGTGATGACTTTGACCACATGAACAAAAACAGCTAGGGAATGGCAGACTGATAAGGAACGTGGGTTCTGAGTGACCAAAGTACAGCAAATCTGCTTACCTGCTATGAAACATCTGTCTACTTGTGGACTACCATGTGACACCAATGTCTCTCTTGTTTGAGCCACTGTATTTTTCAGTCTTTTTATTATAGTAGTTTAACCCATACCCTAATAGAACCCGTTATTGTGAGAAATTAACTTGTAGCCCCTATCTTTACTAAACAATAAACCACAAAGATATAATTTGGTACAGTCTGATCATACCAAAAATGGTACAGTACAAAGTTTATTAGGGATGACTTTGAGTAACAGCAGCAGAGTGCACATCTACCTTGATGTAATCTCCTTTCTCAAAACTCTCCACGGCATAAAGAGATTTTTTTTAAAGGCACAAACCACAAAAATATCTGGAGCACAACAGCACTGGAATACTGAAAGCTAGAAAGCAACTGGAAGAAAAGTAAAGGATTTGACAAATCAGAAAAAAATGAAATCTGGAAAGCACATGAGGAAGCTATGAAACTACCTGATTTTACATCTAAAAATCACCAAAATGCCTAGGAGTTAGGAACAGTAGGTCCCTCTGGAAGTGGCAGGAACAGTGTGTTAAAGAAAGTAAAAGTTTACACAAGAAGTAACTAGATGGATCTAAATCATTTCCATCACTAAATCATTGCCACTGTCCCTGAACCTCCCCAACCCTACTAAGCTGGGGCTTATTTGCTGGAGAGAGTCCCTGGTCTGGGAGTCACCAGCAACAGCTAGGGGCAGAAGTAAGCTACATTTAATAGAAGAGTTTAAAGAACATGTATATACTGAACCCTGAAACCTTTAAGCTCCTTTCCCCACTTGGCTCCCAGAACTCTCTACCTACAAGCAGAAGATTAAAATAATCTTTTCTGGAAAATCTAATCAGATCAAAAAGAAAGCCTTTAAGATAATCACATTCCTCAAAGAACCAGCAAAGCCACATTAATCTACATTAAGGACTTCAACTGACAAGCTCCACTTACCAATGCCGAACTTCCCTGGCCAAGTATTAGAGATACTTCATTTCAGACCAGGCTAAATCCCAAAACCCAAATTAAAGAAACAGTAAACAGTAAGAAACTACAAGGTGAAGACAACAAAAATCTTTTGGCAAGTTTGGTGAAGGTTAAGACAGTGATGAATACAGTTAAGGAAGAAGAAAAATTATTAGTTTCAGGGAAAACAAAAAAGCTATGTAGCAAAGAAAAAACAGTAATAATTTACTACATGGCTCAGCTGTTACAGCATGTTTAAAAGTCTTAAAAATATAAATACCAAATATGATCTAATCAAAATCATAATATAAAATGTATTGGGAGGATGGGGTATAAAGGTAAGGATGCATGCATGTGGTAGGCATACGTAGATGAAAGACATCAGTTGATAATGTCCAAAATTAAAAATCAAAAAGTACACTAGCCCCCCTTATCTGTGGCTTTGTTTTCCATTGTTTCAGAATATAGAACATTCCATAAATACACAATTCATGTTTTAAATTATGCATCATTCTGAGTAGTGTGGTGAAATTTCTCAACATCCGGCTTCATCTGGCCTGGGACATAAATTCTCCCTTTATCCAGCGTCTCTGTGCTACAGACACTGCCTGCCCAACATCTGTCCTGGTTATCAGATCAACTGTTGCATATCGCAGTGCCTGTGTTCAAGCAACTCTTATTTTACTTCATGATGCCCTCAAAGCACAAGAGTAGTGATGCTGGCAATTTGAATATGCCAAAAAAAAAAACTGTAAAATGCTTCCTTTAAGTGAAAAGGTGAAAGTTCTTAAGGAAAGAAAAAAAATTTTACGCAAAGGTTACTAAAATCTACAGTAAGAAAATGAATCTTCTAACTGTGAAACTGTAAAGAAGGAAAAAGAAACTCATGCTAGTTTTGCTGCTGCACTTCAAACTGTAAAAGTTACAGCCGTAATGTGCAATAAGGGCTTAGTTAAGATGGAAAAGGCACTAACTTCGTGGATAGAAGACATGAACAACAACAAAAAGGTGTTCTGACTCATGACAATCAAATTCAGTACTCTCTGCAGTTCCAGCTATCCACCGAGGGTCCTGGAACACAACCCCTGTGGATAACAGGGGACTACTCTGCAGCAAGACAAGCATGCTATTTATGAAGTAAATAACATGGTTACCTGTAGTTGTGAGAGAAAGAGGGATATGAGGAGCAGGCAACTATTGATTTTCATGACAAACCTTGCAGACTAGCTTTTCCTCTTTACACAATACTCACGTATAATTCTAATAAAAATTAAAAAGCCAAACTGGGATAACTTTTTTTTTTTTTTGAGACAGGGTCTCGCTGTTGCCCAGGCTAGCATGTAGTGGTACAATCATGGCTCACTATAGCCTAGACACTCCTTGGCTCTAGCAGTCCTCCAGCCTCAGTCTCCCGACCACAGGTATGCACCATCATACTTGGCTATTTTGTAAATTTTTGGTAAAGACAAGATCTCACTATGTTGCCTAGCCTGGTCTCAAACTGCTGGTCTCCAACTCCTAGGCTCAAGTGATCCTCCCGCCTCAGCCTCCCAAAGTGATGGGATTGCAGGCATGCACCAACATGCCCAAAAATAAATTTTTTTTAATGTTGGCTTTACTACAATGAGCCAAAGCAAGAGGTTTTTTTTTTTTGTTTTTTTTTTTAATTGACGGCAAATAAACATAGGCTTTTGGTCATACTCTCAGTTCTAGGATACAACTTTTTACATAAAATAATAATTTCTATTTTCTGTCATCCTTGACATCACTATCCAAAATATGCTGAAGTGAAAAGTTTTCCTCCCAGGGCTCTCATTCCTTCTTCTCCATTTCTGTCTACCCTAAAGCTGAAGACCTGCGTGTGGTCTCTCAGACCTTTTTAGTCTAGCAAAAAGGAAGGGGGGAATTCAAAAGAGTAACAAAAAAATAAACAATTACTTTTCTTACTGAGAGAGAGACTGGGTAGAGCAATTCTCTTTTGACATTTATCTACGTTTCAGGGTTTCTTTAAAAACATTATTTTCCCTTTTGGTTTACTAATAAACATGGAAAAGATTTGTGTTTATCATGCAGAAGCCAATAAGGAGGGATTACTCATGACTAAAGAAAGTTTATACCGATGGTTAATAAACTATTAGAAAGATAATATATTCTTTTTTTGTTTTTTGAGATGGAGTCTCGCTCTGTTGCCTAGGCTGGAGTGCAGTGGCATGATCTTGGCTCACTGCAACCTCCGCCTCCTGGGTTCGAGCCATTCTCCTGCCTCAGCCTCCCAAGTAGCTGGGACTACAGGCATGCGCCACTACGCCTGGCTAATTTTTGTATTTTTAGTAGAGACAAGGTTTCACCATGTTGGCCAGGCTGGTCTCAAACTCCTGACCTCAACTGATCCCCCAGCCTTGGCGTCCCAAAGTGCTGGGATTACAGGCGTGAGCCACCGTGCCCAGCCAAAAAAGATAATATATTCTTAAAGTCATTTATTGAGGAAAATAGTAATAAATGCTCTTTAGTATAAGCACTGATTCTTTGTCACTATAAGTTGCTTCCAGTTAATCACTAATTAAGACACAACTAACAATTTTAGTGTGTCAGTAATGTTACAAAATAACGCATGTCAAAAAATCTTTATGAATCTCATACTTACACAGTTACGTAACTTTAATGAACATGGAGAAAATCAAACTTTGACTTTATCATACCCATCATTTAAAAGTCTTCAAGTGAGAAACCTCCAAAACCCTCATAACATTTTTTAAGGTAGATATTAATTTTTCTTTGTACAATTTTGTTCTTGAATAATTAAACTGCCCAAGACCGATTAAAAATGTGAAATGTACATGAAAATGTCAATGAAAAATAAGAACTGACTGGCCAGCAAAGAGAAAATGCTTCCATGTTTCCTTCTTTATCACTTACCTAAAGTTTTTCACGTGGTCTTCCACTCCAGAAAGACGAATTGAATGCTGCAGTGCATTCAGGTAAGTCAGGGCTTGTGTAGAGGATCCCCAATTCACATCTGTGGGAAGATAATGTTCATGCAGCATTAACATCAGTAATAACAACCAATCAATAGCCAATCTGAGGCATAGAGAATTAAACATGCTTTCACATTTAAAAAGTCAATTGCTGAAATACACTATTGTACTTTCAATAGTTCACATATACAGCAAGATATTAAGACTGATAATCTGAACTATAATTCATTTAAAGAAAAAGTATTACTTAGAAAAGATTGAGATGACAGGGCTGCAGACATGCTGTGCATACAACTCTGAAAGAGTCTTTCACAAATAAATATGTTAAAATTATTGTTTGTATATAGCCAAAGGTCTAAATGGAAATGAGCAAATTTCTAATTGTTAAGAAATACTTATTTATAGTACTTAACTGTTTGGGTTATTTGAACAGGACAATTTTATTTCTTATTGAATAAACAACTTGGACTTCAAATGATTTTAGACATTTGTTAATTTATAGACTTGATAGGTATGTTAGAGAAATAACTGATTCTAAAATGTTTTATTTCATTTCTGGAGCTACCACTTTAATCTAAAAGCTCATTATTTCATATCTGGATTACAAAATGTGTTCTTACTGTTTAAAACTACTATATTGAAACTACTCTTGTAATCTCTTCCCAGTCTATTCTATTGAGCCCAGATGAAGCCTTTCTCATCAGGTCTTTCATGTGTCACGGGTTATAATGCTCAATACCGGGACCAATCCTAACATACTCCAGCATCATCATCTTACCTGGAGATACGTTTAGCTGTTATCAATACGACATACTAGGAAATCATTAATCATTACTCAGTTAAAACAAGTTTGTCCAATTTCCCCTGCTACACAGTAACCTAGTGGGAAAGATACTATGTCTTCTAGTATTTTGTTAACTCCATGGTACTCACTCCAGTTCAAGGACCACAGTAGGTTATATGTATAAATAGCCTAGCTTATTAGGCTATACAGCTACTACAGTACTGTAACTGGATCCTTTCAAAAAATAATTTAAAAATATACCGAGTGCAGCAAAATGTTAATTACATGAATTTATTCTTTTTCTACAAATAGGATCAATTTAATTTATGAGTGAGAATGGAAACCAGAATAAAAAATCTCAAAGTAACTGTTTTATTAAAACTACATGTATTTGAAAAAAAAAAAACTTTAGGAGTTTGGAAATAAAGTATTTTAGGTTTTATACAAAGTAGCTTTCAAATATACAAAAGATGATGCTTAAAATGAAAAATAACAAAGAACTTCTAGATGTTTTCTAGCTTCTAGATGTTTTCTAGCTTGGGATATAAACAAAAAAGGCTACTGACCTGGTTTTTTGTAGGTAACATAAATATACAGCCCAAGGACTATCACATATGTTAGCAATGCAGCCCACCAGTTAATGACGAACATTACTATGCAACAAAGAATTGCTCCAAGAAGTGATATCCACATGTTGTAGTATTTGAATGCAGGACGCCATCCTAACAATAACAAATAAATAAAAGTCACACAAATACCTCATCTGCTTTACACAATGGTACATATGTATTCAAAAAATAACATTCTTTATGGTTGCCACACTGAGAGGACTTTAAGCATTAAGTATAAGTCTAATATTGAATAGTAAAGTCAAAGACTATTATTGATCACAATTGAATTTGACAATTCTTGATGGCTATGAAAAGGTAACATCTATTTCCACATTACTGTATTTGACTAGTTCTGTATTCAATAAACTCTTCATAAAAAAAAAATCAACCTACCTTAGGTGAATGTTAAAAAGTATAGAAGGTTTTAAAGAGAAAGGTTTCAAATTGAATCCTTAGTAGTAACTAGGCTTTATTTTCTGGTTCTAGGATGACCCATATCCATAGTCTAATGAATATATAAAACATTTCAAACAAAATGTTCATAAAAATCATTAAAAACATAATCAACTTGCTAGAAAAACTAAGAGCTGACTACAGAAACACATATCTTCCCATTTAGTGAAGTATTTATGAAGGAAGCCCACTTTAAAAAATGTTGAAGACCATGTTTTTCAATTTTCATTGGTAGGTAGTTCCAAAGCCAAAATTATTTTAAAAAAATAATTTCAATAGAATTTATACATTTAAAGTAAAAACCTGATGTTAGAATGTTTGTGTCCAAAGTTCTCATACTTTATATGTTCCCTGTTCTCAGACTTTCAAATCTTTAAAAGGAACAATGCTTTTGTTCCTTTTTTAAAATTAAAATTTTAAAATTCCTTTTCAGAATTTTACAGAACTCATCGTGTTAAAACCATTTTCTTACAGGTAAACTATATCATAATGATGTTCTTAGAACTAAAATAGAAATCAGCTAAAGACTGAAAAACTAGTTTTTTTAAAAAGTAACAATTTTTCAGTGTTATCAGAATTAGAGATTAATCCTATCAAATGCTTTGAAGATAAGAAACAATATTATCAGTAAACTTACTGATAAAGAGATCTTTGAAAGCTTAATTTGAATTAACTGTAAAGACAGACTTGGCATTAATGAACTAACCCCACACATAACATCTTTGAAAATGTGGCAAAAGTTTTATTTTCTTTGCAATCAAAAATGATATTTACAAACTTTTTTAAAAATGTAAAATTACCTGGAGATTTTGCAAGTGATGCATGGAATACTGAAAAATTGATCAATGCATATGATGCAAGGAAGAAGTTTGAGATAATTGGTGCAATAACATTCAGTTCAGCTGCAGAACAAACACATGCGAGATTTACTGACGTATTAGACATTTAACTTTTTAAAATTATGAAGTATTTCAAATCTTTAGATAACAACGTAACACCCCATAACCACCATCCAGCTTTCATAAACATTTAGAGTTTGCCATATATGCCTCATATACTTTACTTTTCAGAAATCCAGTCCTGTGCAAACCATTGAATCCCCTTTATACTTTATCTCACACATCTCCAAACTTGGTATATTCTGTCCAGTCATATTATATAGTTTTATGACATGTATCGTCTATATGCATCATAATAGTACTGTTTTGGGTGTTTTAAAAGTTACATAAATAGCATACCATATGTATCATTCTGAAATTTGATCTTTTACATTTATTTTTGAAATTCATCCATATTGATAAATGAAAACCAAGTTTATTCCTTTTTTTAACTGCTGCATATTATTCTTCTATTGATCTAGGTGGCTTTCGTTTTTCACTATAATGAATAATACTAGAAACATTATTGTATATGGCTCTTTAAGTATATATACAAGTTTCTATAGGGTACATACCTAGAAGGAAAACTCTTGATCACAGAAAAGTTTACGAGATATTGCCCACTTGTTCTCCACAAGTGGCTACACCAAATACACATCTAACAGCATCACATGAGAATTAGTTTCCACATAGTCCCACAACACTTGTGGTACATCAGCCTTTTAATGTCAACTAGTCTCAGGGGTTAGACAAAATTCTTTAAACCTTAAAAAGTCCAATGTCATCTTTAGTAGTGGAAGACCCAACAGAGCTCACTTATGATCAGAGGCAGAGTGCCAAAAAAATAGATCATCAAAGGCACTGATGTCACAGGGGACACTAGAATCCTTTCCCTTATGCCATTATCATATTTGTTTTAGGAAAAAGAGCCTAGGAATTCTCTTTAGCTCTAATGAGGACTTAGTAATGGCAATAATTTCAGCAAATATGTACTCATGCTATTACTTACAGTACTTTATAAACTTTCTTTGATTACAAAGAAACTTAGTATACCAAGATAACATTGTTAATAATTTAATAATTCAACGTCTAGAACTAATATGCACCAAAAATCTACAATAACACACCATTTATATAACTAACCAATTAAGATGAATCCAAGTGCAATTAAGAATGTTAAGATGTAGCCACGAAGAGGTTCATTATTTTTCCCATAACCTTTAGCAAACATCTGGAAAGCTGGGTAGATGTTGTCCTTACATAGAGCCTAATGAAAGAAAACATTAAAATGAAACATATTAAAATTAGACATGCAGATTTGCTGATAGTTCTAATAGGTTAATCAGGAATGAGATTCAAGTTTCTAATTCTTGGTCATCTCTTTTATCCTGTCCCAGATACTGCTTCACCTACAAAATGTAAAGGAAATTCAAGCATTTCAAACATCAGAAGGATACTGGTCAAAACTTCTATCTGCCTTACCCTATCCCCATGTTGAAATTAAATTTTATGAAGAAGAAATCACAGAAGCAGGCATACAAGTAAAAACAAAGTTGGAAGCTTGATAAATATGACATAGTTGTGACCTATTTTAAGAAAAACAAGCTGAAATCTTAAAGCAGATAAAAATCTTGATTATAACACTTAACTACCTTTCTTAAAACATTACTAAAGTCTGTCTTAAATGATATTTTCTACCTTTACTGTACTCACTGGCTATAAATACAGCATTAAGAACAAGACTGCAGAATCAACATTCATTTATTTGATTTACCAATAAAAAGTACTTCCCATCAGTATTCAGCTGTTTAATGTTCACTAAAAGGAGATAATGTCTATCCTATACATCATCATACCCTTAAGTAATGAACACAATGTGTATATCACGTTAGGTGTTTAAATATTTGTAAAATAAAATATTTAGGTTGATATCATACTGACTAGAACAAAGATATTTTACTACTTCCTATTTTCAGTCTTAGACTGCACTCCTATACCTTAAACATCTTGAAAATGTATGCTAAAAATGTCAAAAAAGCAAAAATCCATCAGCACTTCTAAAAAGACTCAAAGAATATACCTTAACAGCAAATGCACAAATATTTATATAAACATTCACATTCATTCACACATATAAAATTAACTATGTATATCTTTATGTGCATATATATATCATATATATGTATATATGGTTGATAGAAGCAAATAATTTGAAAATAGCAACAATTCTAAATTGAGAAGTATTACTTTAACTCTCCCTTTAATAAAGCCTGTAATATAAAAACACTTACCTGAAATATTTTGGGAGCACTCACTAGGGATGCTAATGCTGAAGAAAGAGTGGCTGAAAATATACCTGCAGAAATTAGTGGTGTAAATCCTGACACCATACTCATTACCTTAAATAAAAGTGACAAAAATGGAAAAATAAATCTCACAAACAATTCAGAAAATAACACAATATTATGTGGTCACATCTTGAAGGAGGTTAACACTAGGGATCATTTTATAATAATAATAACAACAACGCTATGTGCATTACAAATATCTGAAACAAATTTATTTACCACTAGCCCTTACCTTAAGAAAACCTTTTCATTCGTAAAATGTTAAACACACACAATGGCAGAGAGAAGAGTGTAATGAACTGCTAACATCCATCACCTAATTTCAACAATGATCAACTTAGGGCTATTCCCCACAATATTTTGAAACAAGTCCCAGATATCCTTTAGCACATAAATATGTCAGTACGTATCTCTAACAGGTAAGGACTTTTGAAAACTTAACTACAATGCCACTGTCGCAGCTTAGAAACTTAATAATTGCTTAACAGTACCACAAAAAAGGCAAGTCAGCATTCAAATTCCCTAAATTGTCCTTTCTTATCTTTTAAAAATAGTCTGTTCAAATCAGGATCCAAAAAAAAAAAAAAAAAGGTTACACATTATATTTGGTTTATGCGTCTCTTCAGTCTTTTTCAATCAACAGGTTCACATTTCCTTTTCCTTTTATTATTTTTCTATCATTTCTCCCATGGAGATCTCATACTCTGGATTTTTCTGACTTCATCATCATTGTATTGCTTAACCTCTTCTCATTTCTATAATTCTAGTAAACTGGTTCTATCTAGACAGTTAATCAAAATGAGGTACAAGTTTTGGCAAGAATACTGTGTAAGTGCCATCATGTACTTCTATTAGGAAGGCTGTTTCTTATGTTAAGATAGTATTGTGGTTATTTTTTTCTAACCTTTTATCTTCTAGAGCTAAATGTGGAAATATTTCCAGCGAAAAGATATGATATAAAGTCTAGGGTTTTGCTCTAAATAATCTGGGATAGGAAGAGTTACACATGAAACAAAATTAACCATGCATTGATAACTGATAAAGCTGGGTAATGTAGATACTAGGTATATTATATTGCTTTCTCTGTGTACATGTTCAAACATTTCCTCTTAGAAGACTTAAAAAAAAAAAAAACACCAACAACATAGGATTGATCACTAAGATCATGAATTCAGGTGAATTCAAACTGAGAGGCATAATTCAAAAACAACCTGGTTCAAATGTTGAAAATGTCAATGTCATGAAGATTAATGTGGGCTAGAAACTCCCCTAGATTAAATGATTTTAAAATGACACTATAACTAAATGCCATGTGTGACCCTAGATCAATCCTGGACTTAGAAAAAATAGCTATAAAAGACATTACTGGGACAAGTGGAGAAATATGAACATAGGATGTATATTTAAATAACAGTATTTCATCAGTGTTTAATTTCTTAAGTAGGATAACCATATTGTGCTTACACAAAATGCATTAAATACTTCAAAATGATCGTCGTGTCATGATGTCTATAACTTATTTGAGGAGAAAAAGACTATATATATACACACACAAAGCAAATAGGGTAAAATATAAACTAGTAAATATAACTGAAGGATAAGTACACAGGTATTCACTGTGTACTTCTGAATCTGTGAAACTTGTCAAAACACAAAATTAAAGTGGAGGAGTTGTTTAGTGGATTCAACTATTGTCAACTTGAACAGCTGTGAATGGTATTATAAATCTCCCAGCAGTGAATGGTGATCATCACCTAGATTCTCTGCTTCATTGGTGGAGATTTTATCTTTCATTTATATTGACTAAGAACATGTCAACTGAGACCAAAGAGATAAGGAAATCAGGTTTTAAGCTGTTTCTATCACACACTTTACTGTAAAATTTAATTGTTTAAACAAAATGGAAAGTTAGCAACGGGTACAATCCCTGTCCACAATGCATAAGTCTGATTTCATGTACACATAAACCACCCTGTTGACTAAACATCTTTCCCTAGATCTTCCATTAGATTTAAGGTTAAATATGAAGAATACATCTCTGAAGTGTTTTAAAGACAGTAGCAGACTTCTAAGAGTGGGGAGAAAATCTGAAAAGATTATTTTCTACTCAGCCCTTTAATAACAATTTAGTAGTTACATATATGCTGTGCATTTTTCATAATCACTATTTTTCATGGTAATTAATGCTGGATTATTTAGAACTGACAACCTTATCTTTAGGGAAGGAGATTGTAAAGGACAGATGAGTCAAGATTAAAATGAATAAACCCAATTTCTGCTATACAGCCTCATTAGATCATACAAAATTCTACATCTGTCTTAATGATCTCAAAGTTAAATTAAGTACAAAGAAAGAGATAAGTGGACGAAAGTAGAGAACAGAGTATATGATACATTCTGCATTGTAGGAGTAAGGCAAAACTGACACCACCAGCATTACTATAACCTTTCCTCTTCCATGTTGAGGAAACAATACATTTTCCCTTCTTCCATCAGTTATAAATTGAAGTAAATAATGATCCAGGCTTTTCATCTGGAAATACTATGTTTTGGGGCCTGCTATAATAGGTTTTCTGTTTTCTATTAAATAGTTGAACAGTTATCCAGTAACCTCTGCACTTCTCAACATTTAATGGTAAAATATCAGCAGCAAGGATAATGATATTCAATGTAAATAATGATATTAGTGTCAACAATATACAGTGGAAACAAAGATGAAAAAAAGACTGTCTTGTCTCTAAAGGGGAAAAAAAGACAAAAGTCTAATAAAAGCTAAAAGATAGCAAGTAAATAAAATGAATGGTAAAAGTCTGTGTGGGGGTGTGTGTTGAAGATGATTTGGGATTCAAGAAAATCTTCACAGAACTAAGTGGCCTTGAAGTCAGGCACATTTGGACATGGGAAAATAAACCACAGGTGCATTCCAAGCAGAGTGAAGCAATGACTAAAGCAAAAGAGTAGGGTATGCATGTGTGTGTGTACAAACACACTCAGTGCCTGGAGTCCACTCGGAACAGAAGGCAGTGAGGCTTAAGAAGAGGTATGAAGGGCTCTGACTGATTTAGACTAAAGATTGCATTTTGTTTATTAGGCAACAGTGAGTCAAAGGTTTTAGAGGACATTAAAATGTAGAAATATAGCAAGCAATATAAGACTATATACACAATTTAAAATTTAAGAGCAAGAAGATAACCTAAATAACTTTATTCCCTGAAGTCTGAAAAGATGATTATAAAGTATGGCTTGTATAGATCTTATGATGGAGACTCCAACTTACATACTCCTCATTTATGTCCTATCCACCATTCTTCACTCTCCAAATGCCAAGGTATTTATATTTTCACAAGATTTTCCCTCATGTTGTATCGCTTTACAAAGTATTTTTGAAAAGTTTACTTCCTTTAAATAAGAAAAGCAGCTTTACTTATACCAAATTCCTCTTTGCTCGAATGAGTCCATAACTAAACTTGATAAAGACAACAAACTTTTCTATCTTAAGGCCACACAGAAATCTGACTGGCATTTTCAGTCACTGGGCAAAGACCAATGTTTGTGCCTTCCATACACAGTATCAATGTCAGAATTGGCCTGAATCATTAGCTGGACATGAATACTTTCTTTCATTCCTACAATTTTGCCTAGTCTTATGACTAGAAAACACAAACTTCTATTACATAATTGGGTTCAATATTTGTAACCACTGAAAGTACAGTCAGTTGCTTAAAACTACATAATTTTATTATATTTATAATAAATAATTTTATTATAAATAATTTTATTTATAATAAAAACAATGCCTTTACAAATTTTAGTTAAAAATTGTATTGTAAAACTTACAGATTGTACATAAAACACATAATTTTAAATACATTAAAATACAAATTATTCTGTTTATACAATACTGAAAAAAATTACAAAGCAAAATTTTTATTTTTCTTTTGAAATCAGCAGAACCATGTACTCTATAAATTTACAATAGAATATTTTGATTTAATCTCCTGAATCTACACCTTTGTGTTCTTTCTACCATCCTAGGACTTAACAAACAACTCAAAATTATCCTCCAAATTAATTTTAGTAATTTATTTTCCCCTTATATAATCTTTTTTCAGTTTCTAAAAACTCATAAATCTGGCAGACTAAAACTTCATTTCATTTTCAGTACCTTAATAGAGGTAACAATAAACAGCAGAAACTGACAGCCTCCAAATACTGGAGAAGTACTACTAACCTGTCTAGTTTGTATGTTTTAGAAATTCACTAGCTTTCTAGTATCCATTCAGAATTAAATTCTGTTGTTAAATGTTAAATGGTGATTTCATGCTGCATGACTTTATATGAGCCATATCTAATAAAGTAACACTACTATTGATACTGATCAATGCTTTTTTAAAGGCCATTTATAAATAAAGCAATTATGAAGACAACACTAATTAGAAAACTGAACTTAATTGGTATGGGTTTAAATTGAGCAAAATAAAAATACTTACTCGTAAATCTAACAAAATACATACAGGACGTATATGCTGAAAACTACAAAATGCTGACTGAAAGAAAATCAAAGAAAATACAAATAAATGGAGAGATGATATTTATGAATTGAACACTCAACAAAGTCAATTCTCTCCAAACTGATATACCAGTTTAACGTAATTCCTATCAAAATCCCAAGACTTTTTAAAAATAAACGTAAGGTGCTTGGGTGATAGGGGCACCAAAATCTCAGACTCCACCACAACACAATTCATCCATGTAACCAGAAACCACATGTACCCCAAAAACTACTGAAGTGAAAATATATTAAAAAGTAAATTAATTAATTAAAACACACACACACATAAGGTTATTTTAAATTTTTATATGGAAAGACCAAGGAACTAAAATAGCTAGAACAATTTTTTTAGAAAGGCTAAAATGGGAGGAATTAATCTACCTGACCTCAAAACTTATCATTTAACTACAGTAATTAGGAATGTGTGGTACTGGCACAAGGACAGACACGAAGATCAACAGAACAGAATCAAGAATCCAAAAACAGACCCATACAAATATGACCATGTGCAAGATGATTCCATGCTTTCTAAAACAGTACACTTACATATTACATATATAAAAACACACACACTAATATATATATATATATTACATGCTGTTATAAAAGCATTACCTCCTAGGGGCTCTTTGCTCTTGAACATCCTCAGATTTTATCCATTCATATTTTAGTTTGTCCAATTAGATATTTACAGTTTTAGGGGATATACAGAACAACTGGCCAGACGCAGTGGCTCACACCTGCCATCCCAGCACTTTGGGAGGCCCATGCAGGTGGATCACTTGACGTCAGGAGTTCGAGACCAGCCTAACCAACATGGTAAAACCCCATCCTTACTAAAAATACAAAAATTAGCCGGGTGTGGTGGCTGGCGCCTATAGTCCCAGCTACGCGGGAGATTGGGGCAAGAGAATCATTTGAACCTAGGAGGCGGAGCTTGCAGCAAGCCAAGATAGCACCACCGCACTACAGCCTGGGCGACAGAGTGAGACTCTATCTCAAGAAAAAATTAAAAATTAAAAAAAATAACAACTGTCCTCCCTTCTATGTTACAGCTATATTCTGAATGGTCATATTTGATAGTAGTCTCACCCCTAGATAAATACAGAATGTCTGTATATTACAAAGTCAATGCTCACCTGGAAGTTGTTCATTAGGCCATAGGAACAAGGACTGCTTTCACAAGATGAAAAATCAAAGTTTAATTTGCAGGCTGCAGAAGTACAGTTTGTTAGCTCTGTTACGATAGTGTCATTAACGTTTCCAGTGGCATCTCGAACAACACAAGAACCTAAAGCACAAGTGACAACAAGAATAATATAGTTAATATCTACATTCATTTCAGAATTTTATATACATATATATATTTATAAAGAAACCAAAGTAGTGACTACATATCTACTCCCTTATAATAGCATACATTGCATTTACAATTAAGACTTTACCTTGAACAGAATTTGTAAAGCATCATGGTCCCCAATATGTGATGAAACTGAACCTTTTATAAAGAATAGTATTTACACATAAACACTTAAAAACCATGTAAAGAGTTGTGGAAAATGGTATACTAGCAAACTATTTCCTAGCCTATTTGGTTAAGATGTCCTTAAGTAAATATGAAAACACTGTACTGAAAGAGTTCCAAATGGCAGTGATGTTTTCCTATACTCCAAATATTTTATACTTGAATGTGGCTAAAAATCAGACTTCAGGTAATACCACTCTTCTGTGAGGGAAAATAATTTGAATGTTAATGAATTATAATTATATTTAAATCTCTGTCTCAAATATGATTATCCTAAAAAGAAGAAAACACATGGTATCTAAGATTTGCTTAAAAAGAACCCATAGAGCAGAGTGACTTGGGTATAGATGAAACAAGATTAACCATGTACTAATATTTTTGCTAACTTTTTTGAAGCTGGGTAATAATTATTGAGCTAATTTGAAAATCCTCCCTACTTTTCCATAAAATTGAAAACTTCCATAATAAAATATTTTAAAAGTGACCTTGAAACAAGCAATTTATTATTCAGAGTAACGTGTAATGCACAACTAATGGTAATTACCATTCCTTATACTTTAAAGATTTTTACTTTCTGAAGCACTTTTTCAGTATTATTTCATCATATATTGAGGTAAAAATTACATGCATGACAGCAAAAATTGAATAAACAGAACTAAGTATGAGAAGGGAGGATATTTTAATGACTAGGCAGACTATACAGTTCTTTGTTTTTCAATTTTTTCATCTACCATTCAGAGCAGTCCTTGCAAAACCATGTTTCCATAAAGGTACCTCTGAAACAACTGGGGAATGGGGGGAGAATAGAGCCTTGCAAATCCCCCCAGCCCTAAAGTAACTATACTTTCATGTGCTTTGTATTCTGATAGTCTATGCCTGAAATTTTTTGGGGGGGGAAGGTTCCACTTCTTTGAGCTTAACAACCACTGGTGTAGAGGCTGCCTTTACTGGCCTAGCTACTGAACATCAGCATCAAGGGGTTACCCCTATTGCTCCAAGGGCTAATGCAGACAGAATGAAATGAGCATGAGGGCCAGCAATGTTAGACGGTAAAATAAAAATAGAAAATATTTGCTGTAACAAACTATTTTACAAGTTAAAACATAATCAATTATGTCACTTTATGCCTAAATTTTCTTTAGCAATAATGTATAGAAGCATGCTAGGAACTTTTAGGGGAACCCATATATTTTGCTAGGCATATATATTCATCCGTGTTTTCAAAATAAATTTCAGAGATTTGTGTGTGAATTCTAAGGATAAATGAAATCCAAATTCCTCTGTAAATGCCAATTCAGGCTGGGCGCGGTGGCTCACACCTGTAATCCCAGCACTTGGGGAGGTTAAGGCAGGTGGATCACCTGAGGTCAGGAGTTTGAGACCAGCCTGGCCAACATGGCAAAACCCCATCTCTACTAAAAATACAAAAATTAGCCAGGTGTAGTGGTGGGTGCCTGTAATCCCAGCTACTCAGGAGGGTGAGGCACGAGAATTGCTTGAATCTGGGAGGCGGAGGTTGCAGTGAGCCAAGATCGAGCCACTGCACTCCAGCCTGGGAAACAGAGTGAGACTCCGTCTCAAAAAACAAAAAACAAAAACAAAAACAAACAAGCAAAAAAGGCAATTCAGCTCACCATGATATTATTAGTATTTCTGTCATGTAGTGAAATTTCAAAATTACATTTAAGCAAATAGTAGAGTTTATAAATATAATTCTGCTATTACTTCCCAGCAAATCAGTGAATATATAGCAAAAATGAAATTTTCTTACCAAATCCAATAGAAACCTCATATTGTGTAGCCTATGGGCTTGGAGTTTATGATTCTTTACATTAGTATTAAACTAAGATTTACTTTTGCATTATGCTTAAGAAATTTAACTGTAAAGCTTGACAAATGCAAACCATATGTAAACTAATAGTAATTCATAGAAAATAGCCTTAAAGACTTTATTTAAAACAAACAACAAAAAAACCTTCTTTGCCATGAAAACAATTCTCTAAAACAAATGCCACTATCTTTGGTAGTGAAATCTCGGAACTTCTATCCTCTCATCTGTAAGAAAAGGATTAGAGACTGGTTGACCACTTAAGTCCTTTCAAGTTGATCCCATGAAGTAACCATGAAGTTGATCCATGATCCCATGAAGTAATAACATGGTTTTGAAATCACTTTCATTCAATTTACTAAGAATTTAGTAAAACTTTTCCTAAGTAAAACTTAGTATGTCCTAATCTTCAAAACCAGTGTTTTTATAGTAAAAAATTGCCAAGCATTGCTTAATAGCCTTGAAAGAATCTTCATATACTGTAAAAAAAAAAAATAAATAACCATCTTAAAAAAATACAGAAATTTGTAAGAGTGAAATTCATTTGCTTCTACACATACATTGTTTTCAGTATCTCAGTGGAATGAGTTTATAGATGCAATTTCATATAATTTTTTAATTTACCATAATTAATAAAAATCCTGGAGATACCATAAAGCATTTGGCGGTTTAGATAATGTCTATAGAAGTCATTACTAGTTTTCTAAAAACTGTTTTTGAATTATAATGAGCAACTCCATGTCTTTTTATTGAAATATTTCTGTATTTAAAAAAGTTAGCAAATGTCATAAAAATAAGTATTTATAGTACGTACATCATGAAATTTCTGCGACACATAAAGAAATGTGAAACTATTTACCTACAGATACTGCAATTCCTACGTAAACCAATGTAGTAATTAAAATGGCTAGGAGTGTTCCTTTGGGTATGGCTGACTGAGGATCCTAGAAGACAAGAAGATTTTTTAAAGTCTATCTGTAAAAATAAATATACAAATTCCACTTTTAAAATATATAATTGATATAGCACTTTATAATACTTACTGCAAGATCACCTGAGATATTTGCTCCAGCCAGAATACCAGTTGCAGCAGGAAAAAAGATGGCAAATACAGAAAAGAAAGTCTCTTCCTCTCGAAAATCGGGCCCAAAGTTCTCATTAAATATTTCAGCTGCAGAGAACAAAATATTCTTGACAATTAATGGAGAGCAAATTAGACTATAATAACTGAGGTCAAGAATAATAGGTATACATGACCCCTAACTTTTCTTCAGTTAAAGTAACGAGTAAATTTTTGCATATTTCCCAGTTCAAGTATTTGGTGTTCTTTTCTTGTATGAGACAATGGTTTACCATCAAAATGATCATCTGATCTGATTCATGTCTCATTTTTTGTATACCTCGCTAATTATGTTTCAAGAGCCTCTGAATGAATTGTTATGACTAGCCCAAATGCAAATCAAAATGTGGATAATCCCCTCAATCTCTGAGGTAAAAGAAGCAAGAAGGGAGGTAGAAAAACAAAAGGGGGCATGGCGTGGTGCCTCACGCCTGTAATTTCAGCACGTTGGGAGACCGAAGCAGGCAGATTTCTTGAGCCCAGCAGTTTGAGACCAGCCTGGGCAACACAAGGAAGACCTTGACTCTAGAAATAATTAAAAAATTAGCCAGGAGTGGTGGCACATGCCTGTGGTCCCAGCTACTTGGGAGGCTGGGGTGAGAGAATCATTTAAGCCTGGACAGTCGACACTCCAGTGACCCATGATCATGCCATTGCACTCCAGCCTGGGTGACAGAGTGAGACCCCATCTCAAGAAAAAAAAAAAAAAGGAAAACAAAAGCAACATCATAATAATATAGAATCAACTTTTTGATAGCTTCCAACTTACTTTACTATCTGTATAGATTTTGGTCCACAGCTTTCTCTGCTGTCTAGTCACCTATTGATTTTTGAGGCTGTCAGACAATTAGCTACCCTAAGTAAAGTTCCTTTCTATTTCAACAACAATAAAAGCTTCAACTAGACCTAGTGTTTTCATCTCTGACTCTAAGATAACCGACTAACTGTAATGTATCCATCTATCCATTCAATACTTCAGCAGCTACTATGTGTCAGGTCCTGTACTAGAGCTTTCTAGCACCTCAAAGTACTTGGAGATGCAATATAAACAAGTTAGACATTGTTCCTGCCTTCATGGAATTTAAGAGTCTCAATAGCAAATGACCAAAATAACAGGTAATTATAAACAGCAGTAAATGTTCTGATGGAAACAGGGATTTGTGAATAACAAATGAGAGAGAGAGAGAATCTAATTCAATGTGGTTACAGAAGGCTAAGCAAATATAAGGAAGGAGACAATACTTAAGCTAAGAGTTTGCTGAGCAAGAATCAGCCATGTGATCATCAGGGAAAAAGAGTATACCAGAAAAGAGAAACAACATATATGAAGACCCCAAAGTAGAAAAAGGTTTAACTCTTCTGAGGAAATAAAAGAAGATAAAATTCTTATAGTAAGGAGAAAAATTAAATGAAATTGGAGTGACCACTGAGGAACAGAGTGTGAATATTTTATAAAAGTTAAATTTATCCTAAATAAAATGGAAAACCAAAGTAGGGTCATAAACACGCAAATGACATATACTATTAATGTTGTGTGGACAATGGACTGAAAGATTCAACATCTGATAACAGGGAGGCCCATTAGGAGGTTGCTGCAGAGGTTCAATCTAGAGATGGGAGAATAAATACACTGATTAGGAAAGGATTAGAAATTAAGAGGAGCAGGTAGGACGGGAAACACTAAGATCCTGGTTTCAGCTACTTGCTTAGATGGAAAAGCCTGAGAAGAAATAAGTAGGAGAGACTTCAAATAATCAGTTGGATATATATTTATGTTTGGACTTTAAAGGAGAGATTCAGGAATAGAAACATGTCAGTCCCTTAATAGCATTTTGAGCCATGAGAATACACACCACCCAAGGGAGAGTGTATAGTTAGAAGGTCAGCACTATAATAGTTGTAAAATTCTGCATTTAAAGGGGGTAACAGGAGTAATGGACATAGTGACCAGTGAGTTAGGCACCTAGGGTATCTGACATCGAATAAAATAGACATGTTTCAAGAAGGAGAAGGAATGACTAAGAGAAATGAAGCAGAGGACAAAAAATTCATAGTGCATCTATCACCATCTGACATATTTTAACCAACAAAAGCCAGATGTGAGAGGGGTTAAGGATGAAGCCATTTGGTAGAAGTTTGACAGGGCTATGAACAGTCTCAGAGTATTCTTCCACAGATCACTTACTAACTGCAAAGAAAAAAACAGCAACTTCACAATAGAGAAACTGTGCAGGTATAACCTTGACTAAGTCATCAAAACTAACACCACTAAGTAATATAAAAAACTGCATCATGCACCCTCCAAATGTGCTGGACTGAGAAGGAGACACGGTTCACTTACGTTCCTGACAAACATAAATAACCTGAATCTATAAAAACAAATAAGACAAACCCAACTGGAGAGATCTCCTAAAAATCAAATGGCCTGCACTCTTGAAAAATGCAATTATACCAATAATTGCTTTCACAATCTTAGGCGCTTTTATACTGTTGTGCTTAAATATGTTAAAAGAATGAAAGTCATATTAGAACAAAAGTTAGAAATTCAGTTACAAATTCCCAAAACTAGTAGAGAATAAAATCTCCTTTTCTTAGCAGCACTGATTTCTCCATATTCTATCACCTTTTGTTGCTAATAATGAAAAAGAAAAGATGTAAATAGAAGTAATTTTTACTCCAACTGTACAGCATAAAGGGGACAAAACTAAATTGTAAATTAGGGTGAATCACCAAACCATAGTCAATTCTGTTACAAAATATCTGAAATGTACAAAATTTAATTGATGATAGAATTCTATAAATAGGTACCCTTAAAAAATATTGAATCTTTTTTACTTACATTTATAACCAAAAAACCCTTTTGGCTTCTTGCTCTCCAGTGGGATAAATGTTCCTATGACGAAATCACCAATAGCAAGAAGTAGGATCACCAAAAGAACAATCTGAGCCTGCAATTTTAAACATTAAAAATTAAAATCAAGTATCTTGTTTCTATATCTTGATTCAATTCCCCTAGAATATAACTTCCATGAGGGAAAGAATTTCTGTCTTGTTTTGCCTGATTCCCCAGTGCCTTAAACAATGCCATATGCCAAGCAGCTGCTCAATAAATCCTTGTTTAATGAACAAAGAGATCTTTAAAGAAATATCTGGGGAAAAAAAAGATAGTAAAAGTGAGATCATGCCATATTTCTGAAATGAGTTAAAGATGTGCATGCCTTCCCACAAACCATAAAGCACTGTAAATTCCAAAACAATATAGGCTTTCATTCTAGATCATTCATTCCTGTCTCTTCCACCTTAACACTACCATCTTGACATGGAGAACATGCTGGACACAAACACAAGTTTTATACATGGTCCAAACATAATGTTGAGTGTGTGATTGCTACAGGAAAATAAGAAAAAGTACAGAAAGAAGATGACAATATACAGGAGGGAAATTCAAGTAGCAATGGGATTGGAAGGAAAGAACAATCTATGAAAACTACCATTTCCCCTTCTCCACTCTCAACCTCTCAATAAACCTGAACACTCATGAAAAACGGTGTCATCTGTGGGAAATGGAACTACATACATGCTAATCATGTCCCAGGTGGTATAAAATTCTGTTATTTTCATACAGTCAATTTGTAAAATGTGTAAATAAATGATTTAATTTTACACTAATATGACTTTACAATAAAGAACAAGATTGAAAAAATTATTCTTTCAGGCTTTCCTAATTTTTGGTTTGGTAAACATTATCATATCATATATAGCACAAATATGTGACTTTTATAAGGTCTTCAAAAGTAAACACCTTTGTGGATATCCATTACTTGGGAAACTACAGCTGTGCTATGATGCTCTAATTCTCAAAGAGACAAAAACACTTCTGGGTGCTCTGCTTATGGGTAACATGTGACTTTAGCAATTTTTTCCAGAAACAATGATACTGGCTTTGGTAGTCCTAACTTCTGAAATTTCAATAGCAAGAATAACTTCTCTAACCTCATGTGGGCAATAACTTTTATTTACTGCCCCATGTCTAAGTTGAACTTTTAAATAAATTACAAAGCCAAACGTTTAATTTGGACTAACACACTGACCTCAGCATTTTTACATACTGCAAAACTGGAGGATGGGCGAGAAGGCGGGAAATTCAAAATTTACAAAGTACTGTGTTTAACTAGATCCTAGGCTGAGTGTTATCTCCAAAGATTCTCTGCCTTGTCAAGTAGAAAATAACCTTATACATAAACATTTGTGAAAATGGCCACTTAGGTACCATTAGAATCTGGAAATATTACCATACTTCAGAGTGTTCCCAAAACATAAGCTCTAAAAGTTTACGTATTAAATATTTACAGGTGTTCCTATCATAACTTACTTTTGCTTCCCACTCCATTCCAGCTACTGAGATACCTAAAAGAATCACGACTGTAATGGCTCCAATAATTCGGATATCATTGATTTCATCTATCATAAGTATGGAATGTTCCTAGAAAAAGGAATCATAAATATAATAAGCAATACTAGTTATTTTTATACACATTCACACTCCTTTTGAAACATTTTAGAGATATTACGGTGCCTTACATGAAGAAGTTGAATAAATGGTTGCTTAAGGAATAAATGGAAGACCTAAAGGAACAAATTACTATTTACCACTGAGGTGTTAGTCATTCAAGCATCTGATGACATAAATGTATGATTATTAATGCTTCTATATTTAATATAGACTCAATAAATCAAAAAAGGAATTGCTAACAAAGAAGTAAAAAAGTTATAACTAATACTGCTAGTTAGAATTTTAAGTTATATAGCAGAAATATATTTTGTATTTATTGTGATTAGTGAACTCATGCTTTTAAAGGTCTTTTATACTGTGAGAGAGTAAGTGATAAGCACAACTTCCTGCTGCTGTCCAAAAACACACTGTTTCCACTCTGCAAACAAAATTATTTGTAGTTTAATATCAATGGCATTTTTAAAAGATTCCCATCTAGGATAAAATTAAAGATTATGATATCCCAGTTAACTAAGCAAAAGCTATTTATCAATTACTACCACTTCTCAAATAAGGTAATAAAAGGCACAAAAAAACTAAAACATAATTTAGTTGTTTTGATAACTCAGGACGACTATATTCTGTGCAATTGACTAAAGTACAGATTATAATAATCCTATCAATTTGCTTCTTTTAAGAAAAAGCAATCTTGTTAATGCTTTTCAAAAGAAATTATTTCATAAAAGTCAATTACAAGGGAGGAAAAAAATTACTTGAATTCCAGATAAATGACCTTAATACAAATATTAGGGTGGAAAAACCCCTAGATCCAAAGATCCAAAGATGCTTTTGTCAACTGAAGGCATAGAAAGTGTTAATATTTAATCAACACAGTAGGAAAAGTCATTTCCCAACCTTGTCCACCTTCAAGGGTCCCATTCAATTTCATAAAGCTACATACTTTTTACTTTGCAAAAAAATTTTTTAGTGTTTTTTTAAATTTGATTTCGACATCTCTTGAATTAATCTGATCGTTGAAATTCCCTATAGCATTTGGAAAATCATATCTGAGAATTACTTGAAAAAAAACGGTACTAGTGTAAATGTATCTATTGACTGGCTTTTAGATTCATGGACTATGATTGTAATAGAAGACTACTGCTATAGCTCAATATTTTATATAATAAATGTAGTTTAAAATGTTTGAAATTTCATATTTCTCTAAGTTAAATTTTCCATGAAACAAAAACATGTATAAACCCTAATTAAATACTTTGATAAGACTTCATAGAGTAAACCTTAAACTTTGACTATCAAATAAAAATATACACTAAATTAAACAATGAAAGAATATAAACTCTAATGAGTACATTGCTTACTCATGGTATTATAGCCCTTTTTCTTCATCCCTTTGGTGTAAACATGTAAAGGTCAATGTCAACGCAGGTGTCAATCCTTGTCAGATTTTATACTTCCTTATGTACCATTTACTACTGTAGAATAGTTACAACCTAACCTAACATGAGCAATTATAGGTGTCACTTGAGGTTCCTCTCATTTAATAATATTTGAGGAATCCTATTGCACTCTTCTTTAATTATACTCCAGAGCAATACAGCCAGCTCTATTTGGATATACTCATGGTTCTTCTAGTTAACACATTCAAACTAAACTGTCCTGTGTTATCCATCACACCGCAAATGGCATTATCTTCCATCTAAATCCAAAAGTCAGAAATTTGTGTATAAACTTGAAATCCTCCTATTTCTCTAATTTCTCACATCCCATTAATTATCAAATCCAATCCTTCAAATTCTTTAAAATCTCCCAAATTCGCCCACATCTTTCCCGCTCCACAAGTCACTGTTTTAATATAAGCCACCATCTCCTCTCCCAGGACACCTACAACCTTCTAAATGGTCTCTATTTCCATTTGTGATTCCTCAAGTCCATTCTCCGTACCATGGTCAGATACTTCCCTACATCCCAAATCTGAGCATGTCACGCCCCCCAATCCCAAACAAGACCCTAACTTCAATGGAAATAAGACCCTTCTCCTGATTATTTTTTCTCTCTCTAGTATTAAATGTCTTGCTGCTTTTGTGCTTGAACCATACAAAAATGTTTGTATTTTTCTTTTTTTCTTTTTTGAGACAGAGTTTCACTCTTGCTGCCCAGGTTGGAGAGCAAAGGCGCGATCTCGGCTCACCGCAACCTTTGCCTCCCCAGTTCTAGCAATTCCCCTGCCTCAGCCTCCAGAGTAACTGGGATTACAGGCATGCGCCACCACACCAGGCTAATTTTTTATTTTTAGTAGAGACCGGGTTTCTCCACGTTGGTCAGGGTGGTCTCAAACTCCCGAACTCAGGTGATCCGCCCAACTCTGCCTCCCATAGTACTGAGATTACAGGCATGAGCCACCACGCCCGGCTGTACTTTTCTTTATTTTTCCGAGACGGAGTCTTGCTCTGTCGCCCAGGCTGGAGTGCAGTGGTGCCGTCTCAGTTCACTGCAAGCTCCACCTCCTGGGTTCACACCATTCTCCTGCCTCAGCCTCCCCAGTAGCTGGGACTACAGGTGCCTGCCACCACGCCCAGCTGATTTTTTTTTTTTTTTTTGTATTTGTAGTAGAGATGGGGTTTCACCATGTTGGCCAGGATGGTCTCGATCTCCTGACCTCGTGATCCGCTCGCCTCGATCTCCTGACCTCGTGATCCGCTCGCCTCGGCCTCCCATAGTGCTGGGATTACATGCGCGAGCCACCGCGCCCGGCCCACTGCTGACATTCTAATAGTATTTTGTTCTTTGCCTATCTCCTGTAGTAAACTTTATGAAGGACGAATCTCTTGGTCATCATATCACTGCTTTCCCAACCTCTAACATGGTGATCGGCATATAATCCCTCAATAAAGATTTGGTAAACGAATGACTAGAAGGAAGGTGAATTACCTTAAGCAACTCCACCACGGTTTCTGCAAATCCAACCACATACATAGCAACTGCAACAGCGTTGGCAAAGGCGAAGATTAGACCAATTGCACCACCAAATTCTGGCCCTAGACTTCTAGATATTAAATAATATGCTCCTCCTAAAAACAAACAAACAAACAAAAAAAACAGGTACTAAAGTTAGGATTTAAAATGCCAAATTATCCTTTAATTATACATGAATTCACAAAGCAGATGCCCCCAATAAGCAGAGCAGTTAAAGAGGCAAGTGAGTGACTGTATTTTCAGAAATACCTAAAAAGAATATTTCACAAAACACGTATTAACAATTCACAACATCCAGATAATGCTCCCAATATCAAATATAAAATCATCCTATTTGAATTCCCATTTTATCTTTTAAAGTTTAGATTAAAATGGGCCACAGCCTCCTCCCCTTCACAGATCCCAAGAGATCATTTCCCAATGAATTTCTAATATATTTAATCTTAATGTAACTTTTATTTTTATGCTTTTTTTTTTGTTTTCAGAAACAGTTTCACTGTCGCCCACGCTGAAGTGCAGTGGTGCAATCTTGGTTCACTGCAACCTCTGCCTCCTGGGTTCAAGCAATTCTCGTGCCTCAGCCTCCTGAGCAGCTGAGACTACAGGTGCGTGCCACCACACCGGACTTTTTTTTTTTTTTTTTTTTTGAGACAGAGTCTTGCTCTGTCACCCAGGCTGGAGTGCAGTGGTGTGATCTCGGCCCACTGCAGCCTCCACCTGCTGGGTTCATGTGATTCTCCTGCCTCAGCCTCCTGAGTAGCTGGAACTATAGGCGTGCGCCACCTGGCTCAGCTAATTTTTGCATTTTTAGTAGAGACGGGGTTTCACCATGTTGGCCAGGATGGTCTCAATCTCCTGACCTCAGCTTCCCAAAGCGCTAGGATTACACACATGACTGATTTTTGTATTATTAGTAGAGACAGAGTTTCACCATGTTGGCCAGGCTGGTCTCAAACCCCTGACCTCAAGTGATCTGCCCACTTCAGCCTCCCAAAAGTGCTGGAATCACAGGTGTGAGCCACCACGCCCAGCCTTAATGTAACTTCTAAATCACAGTTGGTATGATTTTAATTACTTAATTAAGACAATTTGTGGTAATGTGAATACCAAGACCAAAAAAAAAAAACAAAGTCTCACAAGAGCATATAATGGTATTCCAAAGAGATGTAGTTTGTATCCCAGTAAATCCTGTCTAAATGGCAGAATAAACAAAGATATTAAATGAGCTATCAAGAAGCAAGTTATTTTTTCTAACTTAAAAAAGAAATCAGTATTATGATTCAGAGACAATCTAATGCTTACCTGAAGTCTCTAAGAGCTCTTTTAAAATTCTAATTTAAATTTGGCCATTAGGTCACAATCAAAACTTGGTTTTAATACTACTGAAGTTACATAAAGCTATATACATATTTCTATTAACTGATTAAATACTTGAGACCATATAGTGAAATGTCATTAAACAGCTGAATATTTGTTTCTATTGTTCACCCAGTATAAAGAAGGTAAATGCACCAACAAAAAAATTCTACAGTTAAAGTACTAATGATGCAAACTTCATTTTGGAAAACACCTGTAACAGGTTTTCTAGTTGATTCCTATCAATTTGCTCAAAATATTCTACACTTTAAACCCATCCACTATAAAACTTTCTTAGTTTTCATGATCCTGAAAATGAAAAAAAAAAAAGCAACCTAACCATTTAACATTAGCCTCATGATTTTGAGATAAAAATGACTTAAAATTTTCCACGAAATATTCTTGAACACTAAAAACTCCAATTAATTTATATAATGACAATTTTGTCAAAGATCTTTGACTATATTACATCACATTATAATTAATCACAAGTAAAATCCCTACAATAGTATAATTATCAGCCTTTATCTAACGTATGTTTTAAAAATTAATGAATTATTTCATCTACTCCCAATAGCAAAAATGAATTAAAACAAAGTATATCCTGATTTTATAGATGAGAAAATGAAGTCACAAAGAAAAGTTATTGAAATTAGTCAACACTCTTGTCTTTAGTAGTTGACAATACAAACTTTAGAATCAGAAATATCACCAATAGGACCTATTAAAGCAAGAAATTCATGTTATGTGCCTTAAAGTTTTGATTTTATAAAATGTGAGATTTCAAAAGATTTAAAAGTCTTTCACAAATACAGAAACTTAAAATGTAAAACTCACATTTTAAAAGATTTGTATTGTTTTCAAGAAAAAGGAAGTGACACATGGATAAGAATGTAAAAACAACTGCACATCATCTATTACTTCTTATGAAAATCAACAGTTATTTGCCCTATTCCTTCCCACTTCCATTCCTATTTCCTAGAGGTTTTTTTTTTTTTTTAAAGATCTACCACTCTGAAAGGCTGTGTTATTTTTTTACTAATCAGCACAGACTAGGTATACACCTTATTTTGTTAAATACTACACATTTAACTTAATTCTACTAAAGTACTGTTGTCATCCTCATTTTACAAATGAGAAAATTACAGCTCAGGGAGGTTAAGTAATTTGGCTAAGGTCATGTAAGCAGCTAAGTAAAGAACTGTATTTAAACTCAGGTCTCCTTGACTTAATTGCTTACCAATACAGTATGTATGATAAACTCTTGTAAATCAGCCTTTCTGTTATCGCTAAAAATGCTGAAGACATAGAAAATAATTTTATTAAAAAAATCTGTTGATCAAGCAAACACAGACATCAATATGGAAAAAAAGTCCTGATGGGGTCTCATAATTGGTCATAAACTACCCTAAACTCTGACTGTAAAGAACATAATTAGTCAGATGCCAGAGATACTAAGTAGTGACAATACTGAGTTCCATCTTTATTACATCTTGATTTGGGGATATATGCCCTGGTAATTCTTATTAAATGTCCAATCAGTAATCAAAACCCTAACTAGGCTAATCAAAAGCCTAACATTAAAAACTGGTTTCAGTCATAAAGTGTGTCTCAATTTCAAAAACCTGAAATAACACACTGTATATTACTGACCACAACAGAACTATATTAGATGCATGAAAGATCCCTAAATATTTAAATTACATAACACACTTTTAAATAAATCACAAGCGAAATTAGAAAGTATTTTGAACTGATTTGATAACGAAAAGTGAAGCATAAAATTAGTGAGATATACCTAACAGAAATTACAGTAAAATTTGTTTTAAATGATTATACTAAAAAATGAGGATATATCAATAATCTAAGCTTCTAACTTCAGAAACTGGAAAAAGAGTAAATAAAATCTAAAATGGAAAAAACAGTAAGAAGAAAGCCAAAAGTTATTCTTAAATATTAAAAAAAACTGATAAACAATAGCTAATCAAGAACAAAGAAGAAAAAAGTAAATTAGGAATGAAAGCAGGGACATGTCATTACAAATCCTATTGCATCAAAAAGTTAAGAAGGTAATATATTAAATGACTTGATTACAATGATTTTGCAACTAGATGAAATACACAAATTCCTTGAAAAACAAAATGTGGCAGAAGTGTGACTGCAACAGGAAACTGAAGTAACCCTATAGTATGACAGAAATTAAATTTGTGATAAGCACTCCTGCCAAAAAAAAAACTATAGGCAGAGATGGCTTCACTGGTGAGGAAGAAATAAGATCAATTTTACACAAACTCTTTCAGAAAATAGAGGAAAAGGAAACACATAAGATGAGCATAATACTGACATAAAAACCTAGTAAGGTTATTATAAAAAAAGAAAATTCCAGGCTAGGCACGGTGGCTCACGCCTGTAATCCCAGCACTTTGGCAGGCCGAGGCAGGTGGATCACAAGGTCAGGAGATGGAGACCATCCTGGCTAATACGGTGAAACCCCGTCTCTACTAAAAATACAAAAAATTAGCTGGGCGTGGTGGCGGGTGCCTGTAGTCCCGGCTACTCGGGAGGCTGAGGCAGGAGAATGGCACGAACCCGGGAGGCAGAGCTTGCAGTGAGCCGAGATCGTGCCACTGCACTCCAGCCTGGGTGACAGAGCAAGACCCCATCTCAAAAAAAAAAAAAAAAAAAAAAATTCCAGACCAATATTCCTTATGATCATACTCAAAAATTGTTAAACTATTAGCAAGTAAAATTCGACAGAAACGATAATATCTCTGACCCGGTGAAGTTTATCCTACAAATGCTAGGTTGTTTTAGATGCAAAAAAAAAAAAAAAAAAAAATATATATATATATATATATATATATGTAGGTTGTGATAATAGAATAAGGGAAGAAAAAAAACATACAGTTCAACAGATGCAGGAGAATCATGACAAAATTCACCATCCATTTAGGATAAATATGCTCAGCAACTCAGAAATAGAACTAAATCTGACAAATGACATTTTAAAACCTTATAGTTAACAGTGATATTGAACTCATTCCCTCTAAGACTAGGAACAAGGAAAGGATGTTTATTCTCAACACTTCTAGTCACCATTGTTCCATAGGTCTTAGGTAGTTCAAAAGGCAAGAAAAAGAGGAAAAGTCCTAGAGATTTGAAAGAAAAAGTAAAAACCATCTCTATTCAGATGACAAATCTTGGCTATTGTGAACAGTGCTGCAACAAACATGGGAGTGCAGCTATCTCTCCAATATACTGATTTCCTTTCTTTTGGGTATATACACAGCATTGGATCATATGGTAGCTCTATTTTTAGTTTTCTGAGGAACTTCCAAACTGTCCTCCATAGCGGTTATACTAATTTACATTCCCACCAACAGTGTACAAGAGTTCTATTTTCTCCACATCCTCTCCAGCATCTGTTACTGCCTGATTTCTTTATATGATTTGCATTTCTCTGATGACCAGTGATGTTGAGTGCCTTTTCATATGCCTGCTTGCCATTTGTATATCTTCTTTTGAGAAACGTCTATTCAAATCTTTTACCCATTTTTAAACTGGATTATTAGATTTTGTTCCGAGAGTTGTTTGAGCTCCTTATATATTTAGGTTGTTAATCCAATTTTTTGGGCAGAAATTGGCATATCTAAGTCAAAAATTTATATGAAAATGCTAAAGATCTAGAAAAGCCAAAACAATTATGAAAAAGAAGAACAAAGTTAGAAGACTTAGGACTTACTGTGAAGCTAAGCAATCAATACAAGATAGTACCAGCATAGGATACACAAACAAATCAATGCAACAGAATTCAGTCCAGATGATAGACAACTGATTTTTCAACAATGGTATCAAAAACAACTCAATAAGAAACAGATAGCTGTTTCAAAAAATGGTGCCAAAACAAGTGGATATGTGTACAAGGATGGGGGCAAGAAGGGTAGGGAGAAAAACAACTACACTCTCCATCTCACATTATACTCCAAAATTAATTTGAGATTGTCCACAGATAAAAATCTAAAAACTGAAACTATAAAGCTTCTAGAAGAAAATATAGGAGAATATCTTCATGGCCTTGGGATAGGCAAATATTTCTACCATGAACAAAGCACTAGCATAAAAAAAAAGAGAAACCGGACTTCATCAAAATGGTAAACGTCTCTTCACTGAAAGACATGATTAAGAAAATGATAAAAATGGTAAGACAAGCCACAGACTGAGAACAAATACACACAATATATATGTCAAACCGAATAACATAACTAGATATATAGAAAAATCTACAAATCAGTAACAAAAAGACAATCCAATTTTTAAATTGGCTAAAGATGTGACTACATCCCAAAAGAAGATTGTACAAGTGGCCAGTAAACACATAAAAAGATGCTCCTCATCATTGAACATCAAGCAAATAGCCCAAACTCCTCCTTGCCACCTACCACTCTCTCCATACACTTCCACTGTGGTCTGTAGGTGTGGCCTCATAGAATCCTGGTACTAAACTTCTCATTTCACACGCAGTAAGGCTGAGATTCAGAATCTGTGACTTTAAGCCATAGGTGAACAGTAAAGCTGTGAGAAGACTCGAGCAATCTGTTATTTAGTCCCATAACTAAAATCAAAACTAAAATGACTGCCTGACCTATCTCTTATTATTGTTTTAAGAGTTAAAATCCTTTGGAAAAAATAAAGCCCGATCACAATTCCATCTTAAACTCAGGCAAAATACTGAAATTATTTTCCTTGCTGTGATGTTGTGATGTAAGAAGAAATATATATTTGGTCTTCATCCAAGGTTACTGCAACAGAGCTTATAAAACCCTTGGAATTTACTGATCAGGTGAGAAAAGCATCTTTTGTTATTTAAAATAAGCCCCTTCAAATCTACCTCAGTTTACGGTAATAAGGTGACTTGGTGGGCCCTTACATAGCTTCCGGATTGGACAGTGCTAGTTGCTAGAGGAACAACTATGTGATTAGAGGGTTAGCACTTTCAATACCCCCATTACCCACCCCAGCTCCCACCCCTCACACCTTAGGGGAGAAGAGAAGGGAGAGGCACTAGAAATTGAGCTAATCATTAATGGCCAATGATTTAATCAATCGTGGCTATATAATGGAAAACTATAAACAAAGGGGTTTAGAGAACTCAGGCTGGTGAACACAGAGGTGCCAGGAGGATGGCACTTGGAGAGGTCATGGAAGCTCTGCATCCCTTCTCCCATACCATCCTTTACTCAACTCTTTTATTTGGCTCTTTCTGTGTTGTAGCCTTTATTATAAACTGATGATAGTAAGCTGTTTTCTTAAGTTCTAGGAGCCATTTTAGCAAATTATCAAACCTGAGGAAGGGGCTGTGGAAACCCCCAATATATAGCCAGTTGGTCAGAGGTACAGGAGGCCTGGAATTGCAACTGGCATTTGAAGTGGGAGTAGTCTTGTGAGATGCAGCTCTTAACCTATAGGGTCTGCAACAACTCTGGGAAATTAGTGTCAAATTTTAATCAAATTGTTGGATACCCAATTAGTGTCCAGAAAGTTGGGGAATTGGTTTGTGTGGGGAAAACCCACACATTTGGAGTCAGAAGTGTGTAAAACAAGAAACAGATCCTAGTAGTATTGCTATTACCTAATGTGCAGAACTTCATGAATGGTGTTAAGAGTCACAAGGGCTTTTGCCAAGATGAATGGAATGGCACAGAGTCTAGAAATAGACTCACACTGTAGGGTCAATTAATTTCTGAGAAAAGCACAAAGGTAAGTAAACAGAAAAGAGATCACCTTAACAGACGGTGCTGGAATAACTGGATATCCATATGAATACTGATTCACATTTCACAATATATACAAAAGCTAGCTACAAATGGTAATATATCTAGCTGAAAACCTAAAGCTGTAAAACCTCTAGAAGAAAACACAGAAGAAAATCTTTGAGACCCCAGGCTAGGGAAAGGTTTCTTAGATACCATTCCAAAAGCACAATCCAAAAAGGAAAAAGTGATGAACTGGACATAGCTAAAACTATAAGCTACTTTTCTAATGATGCCATTGAAGGAATGAAATGACAAGCCATATACTCAAGACAAAAAAACTATAAATCATTTATTTGATAAAGTAGTTGTATCTAGAACCTCTCAAAACTCAATAGTAAGAACTCTCAATACAATAAATAACCCTTCAAAATATGAGTAGACACTTATAGTACATGAGAAGATACCCAACATCTTTAGCCATTATGGAAGCACAAATGAAAACTATCCTAAGATACCACTACGCACATACTAGAATGAAAAATAAAAAGGACCATACCAACTGTTGGTGAGGATACAGATACGGAACAAGTGAAACTCACTGTTGGTTGGAATAGAAAGTGAAAATTTTGTAAAAATAAAGTTTTCTTGGTGTATTGAGGAAAGAATCAAAGGGTGACAATAATGAAATACATTCCAGTATCCTGGTTTACAAATAAAAATAAGGAGTTTGCCTCTTAATGTTTGGCAAATTTTCTCTATTTTATTGCCATTATTTTATCAAATAGGGAAAGGTGAGGTGACAAACATGGAATCTTCCAACCAGGATTAGGTGTTATCTTATTGTGAATGATCACCAGAATAATTCAATTAAATTTTAAGATACAAGAGGCAAAGACATATAACCCTAATTCTGCAGCAAACAATTTTGGAACCAAGCTGAAGTATTAATAATAAACTGCATAAACTGGCAAAACTGAAAGGTCACCAATGAGTAAAGAAAAAACCCATGCTGAAAATTCTATTACTTGCCAGATTCGTATCTGAGCTATTTGTAGAATACAAATAGTGTTTTACTGAACTGAAAACATAAAGTTATGTTAAATTTAATAAACCTCATAATACAACTGTGTTTTACAGCTGCTTCAAACATTTCATTGATCTGAAAAGTTATAATTTCAAAGAAACTAGCTATTAAAAAAAGGAACTATGGAGCTGAATTCTAACTTAGAACTCCTTGCTTGATAATGGTAGGAACTAATAGTTACACAATGGATAAAACAAAAAAATTTGACAATCAATGATAATCTGATTTTTCAAATGCAGAAAGCACTTTTCTGTCACAGTACGTGGAAAAAGTTTTTCCTTATTTCCAATGTTTTTGGCTTTATCTATTTACAAAAATGAGGAGGTACTCAATTATTTCAGAGAAAAGTAAAAGATATGAGTACATAAAATTGTGACTTATGTAGACATTCTAAAAATTCACAAGCAGAATCTGCATAAAAATTAATTTTGTTAAAAAATGGGTATAATTGATTTTTTGTTCTCACTATCCATGTAAATGTTAAATGTGACTAACCACAATGTTGCATTACATAAGATAATGTATGTCAACACCATGGCATCATGCCTAGCAGTTAGTTCTCAAAAAATAATAGCTACTATTATTACCTCAATGTAAACTCCAATAACATAGCATTTTGTCTTTCACTGTTAAAAACCCAGTGTCTGTCACAAAATGCTCAACAATTGTCAGCTGATTGACTAAAGTACAAGTAACATAAAACTTCATCATGGAATAGGCAAGTTTATGTTGATTTTAGATTTTGGAAACTTCAGAACTACCTATCTGAAGTTTTATGTAACCAAGGCTTTTATCTGAAAAGATACTGACCTCTGCTTTTAACTTAGTCAACTAAATGCCCCCAAGCAAAAAGTGGTTGAGGAAACTTTCCTTTGTATTGCTCAGTTCATATAATACAGTATTAATTAAAACCAAGAATTTACAGTCTTCATCTTATGAACGGCTGCCTGCAGTTGTCCTCTATTCTATGAATGAGTCTAAATTCATGGATTAATTAAAGATGGGACAACTCTGGTCTGTGTAATCTAGGAAATGCAGATCTGAGTGAAGGTGGCTGCTGGCCAGCACCATCCAAGTTGCAAAACCTGTTGTACAGATCCGTGGAAACTCTATAAAATCCAAGCTCTCAAGAACACTGCTATGATTCGTAGAACAGGAAAGGGCTCTAAAATCCCTGTAGCCTGCAATAATCTGAAAAGCATTAATGTGTCTTGCAGGCAGGGATTATGACAGAAATAAAGTAAACGTTATCAGTTCCTTGGCACTGCTATTCTTATGTGGAAGGCAGAGAACTTAAGTGATGATTCTCTAATCTGCTTCCAGTAACTTTAAATAGTACCCCAAATCAGCCGGGCGCAGTGTCTCAAGCCTGTAATCCCAGCACTTTGGGAGGCTGAGGCGGGCAGATCACGAGATCAGGAGATCGAGACCATCCTGGCTCACACAATGAAACCCCATCTCTACTAAAAATACAAAAAATTAGCCGGGCGTGGTGGCAGGTACCTGTAGTCCCAGCTACTCGGGAGGCTGAGGCAGGAGAATGGCGTGAACCCAGGAGGCAGAGCTTGCAGTGAGCCGAGATCGTGCCACTTTACTCCAGCCTGGGCAACAGAGCAAGACTCTGTCTCAAAAAAAAACGGTAATAAAAATAAAAAAATAGTACCCCACATCAGTACTAAAATTGAATCAAGCCTGAAACTAAGCATGTTTTATTTTCTACATTTTGACTTTTTCAGAAACCTTGCATGTTTCCATTACATGAGACTTTAAAGTTGGACATTATTACATTTGTTTACAAGTTAATAACAAAGTACAACTTTTCTAGATTGATATCTGTTTAATCTCTAAAATGTACTGTTAAAGCCAAAGTTAAAATTAATTAGTAATATTAAATCTCTCCTATGGCAAAATGTACATAACACTAGGGAAAATTCACTGAATTCACACTTCCGCAAAGCTGCAAACACATAATTTTCAAGATAAGAATAAAACATTATTCAATTAATAAAATATAAACACGTTATAATTCAGTTAAGAATCAAGATAAATAAACAGGCATTATCTCAAATTAGTTAACATTAATTTTTATTTATTTTATTTATTATTATTATTATACTTTAAGTTTTAGGGTACATGTGCACAATGTGCAGGTATGTTACATATGTACACATGTGCCATGCTGGTGTGCTGCACCCATTAACTCGTCATTTAGCATTAGGTGTATCTCCTAATGCTATCCCTCCCACCTCCCCTCACCCCACAACAGTCCCCAGAGTGTGATGTTCCCCTTCCTGTGTCCATGTGTTCTCATTGTTCAATTCCCATCTATGAGTGAGAACATGCAGTGTTTGGTTTTTTGTCCTTGCGATAGTTTACTGAGAATGATGATTTCCAATTTCATCCATGTCTCTACAAAGGACATGAACTCATCATTTTTTATGGCTGCATAGTATTCCATGGTGTATATGTGCCACATTTTCTTAATCCAGTCTATCATTGTTGGACATTTGGGTTGGTTCCAAGTCTTTGTTATTGTGAATAGTGCCACAATAAACATACGTGTGCATGTGTCTTTATAGCAGCATGATTTATAGTCCTTTGGGTATATACCCAGTAATGGGATGGCTGGGTCAAATGGTATTTCTAGTTCTAGATCCCTGAGGAATCGCCACACTGACTTCCACAATGGTTGAACTAGTTTACAGTCCCACCAACGGTGTAAAAGTGTTCCTATTTCTCCACATCCTCTCCAGCACCTGTTGTTTCCTGACTTTTTAATGATTGCCATTCTAACTGGTGTGAGATGGTATCTCATTGTGGTTTTGGTTTGCGTTTCTCTGATGGCCAGTGATGATGAGCATTTTTTCATGTGTCTTTTGGCTGCATAAATGTCTTCTTTTGAGAAGTGTCTGTTCATATCCTTTGCCCACTTTTTGATGGGGTTGTTTGTTTTTTTCTTGTAAATTTGTTTGAGTTCATTGTAGATTCTGGATATTAGCCCTTTGTCAGATGAGTAGGTTGGGAAAATTTTCTCCCATTCTGTAGGTTGCCTGTTCACTCTGATGGTAGTTTCTTTTGTTGTGCAGAAGCTCTTTAGTTTAATTAGATCCCATTTGTCAATTTTGGCTTTTGTTGTCATTGCTTTTGGTGTTTTAGACATGCAGTCCTTGCCCGTGCCTATGTCCTGAATGGTAATGCCTAGGTTTTCTTCTAGGGTTTTTATGGTTTTAGGTCTAACGTTTAAGTCTTTAATCATCTTGAATTAATTTTTTATAAGGTGTAAGGAAGCCAAAAGAACAAAGCTGGAGGCATCACACTACCTGACTTCAAACTATACTACAAAGCTACAGTAACCAAAACAGCATGGTACTGGTACCAAAACAGAGATATAGATCAATGGAACAGAACAGAGCCCTCAGAAATAATGCTGCATATCTACAAGTATCTGATCTTTGAGAAACCTGAGAAAAACAAGCAATGGGGAAAGGATTCCCTATTTAATAAATGGTGCTGGGAAAACTGGATAGCCACATGTAGAAAGCTGAAACTAGTTAACATTAATTTTTAAAAACTATGCATCAAGTTTAAAATGGGGCTCTTTGAATTAAAATTACTAAACAATAAACATAATGTTCCCCAACCTTTGAATAGTGTTTTAAGAAAATTTATTTCCTCATTAATTCCCTTAATAGTCAACTTTCAGTCTACAAAAAGTTCAGATGGGTTCACCAGACATCACTCTTCCCACAGCATTTTTCCATTTCCTTTTAAGACACCAGTCCTCTGGATAATTCTAGCTCTATTACCGTCCTCTCTAAGTAGCCCTTACAAGGTAGGCAGTCAAAATCAAATCTTAGCAGTTGAGCTGTAGGAAATCCAACTCAGGGATTCTTGGTACCACCAAGAAGTATAGTTTATAGTTTATAGCTAAAATGGCAAACAAAACTCATACCTACACATTGAATCCCAAGTTTGTTTTAAACCATTAACTCTCCTCTCCATCTTTTTTCGAGCCTTGAATAAGAAGGGTTCCTTGCTCCATAGAGATTCCCAGTCTGGAATTTTCTGTCATCACCCTATGCTGTCATTTAAAAAGTTCCTCTCTCCTCTGGATATTCTATAAAATGTTTCCTGGAGATATTGGCATAATGTGATTCAGATTTAATTTGTTGGGAAACAATACTTCACAGGTATTCTTATCAAGTAAAAGCTTTACAGAAGTTGGAATTAAAAAAAAATTATTTCAATAGTTTTTGGGGAACAGGTGGTTTTTGGTTACATGGGTAAGTTCTTTAATGGTGATTTCTGAGATTTTGGTGCATTCATCACCCAAGCAGCATACACTATACCCAATGTGTGGTTGTGTGGCCTTTTATCCCTCACCCACCTCCCACCCTTCCACCCGCATCCCCAAAGTCTATTATATCATTCTTATGCCTTTGCATCCTGATAGCTTACCTCCCACTTATAAGAAAGAATACATGAGATTTGTTTTCCATTCCTGAGTTACTTCACTTAGAATGATGGTCTCCAACTCCATGCAGGTTGCCGCAAATGCCATTATTTCATTCCTTTTGATGGCTGAATAGTATTCCATGGTGTATATATACCACATTTTCTTTATCCACTCACTGGTTGATAGGCATTTAAGTTTGGTTCCACATTTTTATAATTGTGAATTCTACTGCTATAAACATGTGTGCACAAGTGTCTTTTTCATATAATGACTTATTTTCCTTTGTTTGGGTAGATTACCCAGCAGGAAGACTGCTGTATCAAATGGTAGTTCTACTTTTAGTTAAGGAATCTCCATACTATTTTACATAGTGGTTATATTAGTTTACATTTCCACCAACAGTGTAAAAGTGTTCCCTTTTCATAACATCCACACCAACATCTGTTATTTTTATTATTTTTTTTAATTAAGGCCATTCCTGCAGGAGTAAGATGGTATCTCATCGAGGTTTTAATTTGCATTTCTCTGATAATTAGTGATGCTGAGCATTTTTTCGTATGTTTCTTGGCCATATGTACATCTTGTTTTGAGAATTGTCTATTCATGTCCTTTGCCCATTTTTTGATGGGATTGATATTTTCTTGCTGATTTGAGTTCCTTGCAGATTTTGCATTATTAGTCCTTTGTCAGATGTAGAGTTGGCAAATATTTTCTCCTACTCTGTGGGTTGTCTGTTTACTCTGGCTGATTATTTCTTTTGCTGTGCAGAAGCTTTTTAGTTTAATTAGGTCCCATTTAGTTTTGTTTTTGTTAAATTTGCTTTTGGGTTTTTGGTCATGAATTCTTTGCCTAAGCCAATGCCTAGAAGAGTTTTTCCAATGTTATCTCCTAGAATTTCTATGGTTTCAGGTCTTAGATTTAAGTCTTTGAACCATACAAAGTTGGAATATTCTAAGTCTCTTTCCTCCTTTACTCATTATGTAGAGCAATTATCTGAAGAACAAATCTCATCGACTTCTTGGTTACCTTGAGTTGAGGAAAGAAACCTTTCAGGAGTTTGATTCAACACTATTTATTTATCAATTTTCATAAGATGGTTCCCGAGTATGTTTCAAAGGTGAAAAGTGAGATTTTTTGGTTTGTTTCATTGTTAACTTATGGATTTACATCCATATTTTCATATATTTTCATCCAAATCAGTTATCATCATTACTGCTGTTCAAATTATCCAAACTTTAGCCAGTGTTAGCTCCTTTAGGTTGACTCTTAGGTCCTTTTGATATGAAACTAGTAGTGCTCAATACTTTGGATCTGAAAAGGTGTCTAAGCTCATTTCCTGCCCAGATAAGGAATCAATTTTTTCTCTAAAGTCCGTTGGTTCTTTTGAGTGGAAATACACAACATGGGCACAAGAATTGCTTATTGCCACTGAGCTGGTCATTTATTATAGGTCACTTTAATGGAAAAAACTAAAAAATATGTACTTTCAGGATAAATTTTAAGACTAATACTTTCAATTTAGAATCCTGAATACAGGTGTAATGTGATCTCAGTTTTATGCCTGTATCTAGTTTCTCCCACGTGGAAAATATTTTTTTCATGATACCAAAATAAACCATGTTAGGGGTTTCCAAATCTGAGTCAGATACAGAGGAGACAGAAGGGGCTTACATTCACTAAAAGAATCTCTTGAAAACACTAATTGCAGATGATGCAGCTCATACATATTCTATAAAGACCATCCAGCTGTCCAAAGTCACTAAGTGAAAAATGAATGCCTTCTAAGAAAGCTTCGTAGTATCTGGTCACTCTTTAAATTAATAACTTTCTCTTTTATCTTCTATGGGTTTCATTATTTCACCAAATGTATCACCTTCTTGATCGTATGAACACCTCATAACAGAATTTCAAGTGGTTTTTACCCTCTAGGTTCTTCCTTTGTGAACAGATTTTTCAGGAAACTCATGCAAAATTATAATATATAGTCATTTTTTGGGACAGATCTGTGTGGGTTCCACACTCTCGTACTTTCCCTGGCAGTCCAGGACAGAAGACTGCACACAAAGTCTATCAGGCAGATGTATTTGTAAAGAGATATATATATATATATATATATATTTATATATACACACTACCAATGGTATATATATGTAAACTACAAATGGTATTATTGAAAAATGAAATGGCTTTTTGGTCACAATCTTGCAAAATCTCTACCTTCCAAAAATCTGATTCAAATGGGGGAAAAGCATGAAGTTAATGTTGCCAGTGGCTTCATGCCCCATTCCTTTTGAGGCTCACAGCCTAGATTCTAAGGTCTGAGGAAAAGGAGAAATTCTTTGATGATTTGCTGATCCCCTACAAATACACAGCATCCCAGCCCATTTCTCTTCCCACTTTCATTCCCCAGTTGTGGCAGAGAGAAATGAAGCATGGAGTACCCAGTTCACGAGAAGCCAAAAAGAATCTCTCAACATTATCTGACTAACTCTGCTGAACATATCCACACTGTATATCCCAATATAGCTCAATCCAGGCTAACAGAAGCATAAAACTTCAGTCAACAGTGATGAATGCTCAGCATAGTCATAATCATATTGATACAAGATACCAGCCTCCAAGGGTCACAGTGATTTGGATCCTCTGGTGTCTAAAACATATAAAGACAATGGTGAAAAATGAAAAGCTCAATCTGGTTCTCTGTCTCTATCCCTCCCACACCCAAATACTTGATGCAGGTAAAGTGGAAATTGTGTTATATAATGTCAAAAAGGGATATTCAAAACAGTTGAGGCAGATGAAATAGATCTTTTCTCAGTTGATTTGCTACCATGACTTTACAGGTGCTGGCAGACATTTTGTCTCCTTTCTCCAGGGATCTTCTCACTCTGACTGAAGAGTTTTGATTTGGAAAATGGAATTCTTTTCTTCTTGTTTTCAGGGATCCTGATTCCATTCTCCCGTAGTCTCTTAGGTCCTCTTCCTAGGGAGGGTAAAAATCTCACAAGGCAGATCTTATAGACTCTAATGAGAGGCCTCATAGTGCCCACAGAAAGCTAGACTTGAAAGTATGAATTTAAAGTCCCAGGGCCAGGTGCGGTGGCTCACACCTGTAATCCCAGCACTTTGGGAGGTCAAGGCAGGCAAATTACCTGAGGTCAGGAGTTCAAGCCCAGCCTGGCCAACATGGCAAAACGCCATCTCTACTAAAAATACAAAAATTAGCCGGGCGTGGTGGTGCACGTCTGTAATCCTAGCTACTCAGGAGGCTGATGCAGAAGAATCACTTAAACCTGGGAGGCAGAGATTGCACTGAGCCAAGATCATGCCACTGCACTCCAACCTGGGTGAGAGTGAGACTCCATCTCCAAATAAATATATTAATTAATTTACAGTCCCAGGTATAGCTCACGCAATGCTATTAGATCATGGGGAAGGTATACTGCCTCAGTTTTCCTCAATAGGGGATGGAGGTGGGGAATGAGGTTACCCCAATACAATGTTGAACAAATGCCAGGAGCATGTTGCTGACTGATCCAAGGGCAAGCCTTGGAGGAGGCAATTAAGATGCAGCCCAGTGGATAAGAGACCAAAGTAGATGCTCCATTCTTGCTACGAGACACACTGAATAACTTAAAAGCTTATGTGTATGAGTTGACATAAAATTTTACATTGAAATATACTAGTCTGGAAGTGCTCGGTAGCAACTTTCTTGTCTATATAGACTTAATATGTTGCTTCAGTTAAAGTAAAAAATAATTAAAAATACAATTTAGACCTCTGTTTAGTAAGAGTAATCTGATGATGATGATTCAAAAAGATTCTACTTACCTCCTCTTACAAATCCATTAGTTGCTATTGCTGAAGTAGACAATCCTGTGATAGTTGTCACAACAGTGGCCATCATTATTACAAGGACTGATAGACCTTTACGAAGAAAGAAAGACAATGAGAATACTTACACTCTTGTTTAAGCTCATCGGTATCTAAAACTGGTTGGTCTAAGAATACTGAATCTACATTTTAAGTTATAAATTACCCAATTTTGATCTCATTTTATAAAAACCAAATCAGAATTATGAAAAAAGGAACATCAAGATAACAATCTGATATAAAGGAAAACGTAGTTAAAAATGACTCTAATTTCTTGAGTTTCATGAGGTTAAGAGCTCAGACACAGTTATTTTGCTTATTCTCAAATCAAGCAGGATATAACTTCACTTACCTATTCCAGCTTGACCCACAATCCATGACAATCTAATGAAAAGCATCACACCCCAAATGTTTAACATACAACGTACCTAAAGAGGGAAAAAGAGGCCAAGACACAGAGGAAGAAGAATAATCAAACATTATATAGTAAGCATTAAACCAGTCAAAGTAGAACATGCATTTGAAACTACAGAAGATATGTAGTTTTAAATCTAACTCCTACCCCACCCTTTTCTTTAACAGTTTTTATAAAGAGCTTAAAAGAGCTTACTTTTGAGCTAATATAAACACAATGTAACATATAAAAGTGTGTATGAAAATAAATGCACTCATCACAATTGTGTGAAGCAGCAGAAGCAACAGAACAAGAAAGATACAAGATATATTTTTAAAATTCAGCCCTTTAAAAAAGTAGTGCATATTCCCTTTTATCAGTCAAAGTTTAACTTTTGCTTATTCTTTTATAACATCCTCATTTCATGATTTCTTCAGCAGATTTAAGTATTACATAATATTTGTCGATACAAAATGCCAATTGTTCACATTTTTAAAAATTCAAATTAGTTGTAAAAGTTTCCCCTATTTATTTTCAGTTTTATTTGCTATGTTCATACATAGAACATAGTCTTCTAAAACACTAAAATCTAAGGCAAACAATACTACCTGAAGCTTCACATTCACCTTATGGATTAGGCAATAAAATTAATACTAGAACTGTGATTTTTTTCCCTCTATTTCTCCCTGAAATTCCAATACAACCCCTATTAAGTGCTTCCAAAGTCCCAATGAGAAGGCAATGTAGCCTATTTTAGTCAGATCCTTAGTGCTTATTCAAACACAGAAAAACAGAAGTAAATCTGAACCTTAACCACCTAAATCTATGCACAAAGTGAACTCAACATTTAAGTATTTCTCCTGTATTCCTTGCTTGTTAACTTCCATACGCTTCTCTTCGAAATATAATGGGGGGAATGTGAAAGGAAGCAGGCATATTTCAGCTCTATTCCCTGCTCAGCCTTCTTGATTCTGATGCTCCCAATTTGATAGTCTTCATATTTAATTTCTGAAAAGTGACAGTGCATGAGATTCACAAGAGGCAATGAAATATAATTTAATACCATCAGTAACACATTACATAGAATATAATCAAGAATAATTTGGCAAAATAAATGGCATATCTCCTTTGCTGAAGTTAATATCCAAAAGCAAAGGAGGTACAAGCTATTAATTTGGTTTTCCACAGCACTCAGATAAGACAGTTAACATAGAGAAAAAAAGAGTTCTCTTGAGAACTGATGAGAACGTTAGGAAGATTTTATAACCAACAGATATGCTGTAACTATAAAATTAAGTCTATATATACATACTAATACACCCTTGATCCAGCCAAACTTCACGACTCCTTTACTTTCTGCAGTATACGTGACCACAGCATCTCTGGTTGGAGTACTTTCTTCCCCATTTGCAAAGCCATCCTCAAAAGGTTCCTGGTTATAAAAAGAAATATGAATTATGCTTAACATTTAAAATTTAAAATCACTTGATAAAAACAAACATAACTAAATACATCTAACCATATTTAAGAGGGCATAGTACAGATTTCCAAGAATCAAGGGTTTCCAAATATTTTACCCCAGGAAAGGACAAAACAATAAACTAGAAGAAAACCTTAATTACTGAAATTTCTTAAAATTTAAGTCTCACTATGACAGTAAATCCATTTTAATAATTCCAAATTCTAGCTACACTTTTGGTAGTGTCTGGAGGAAACAATGACTCCTGTTTGCTAATTACAGGGTAGCTAAGTCGATCAATTCAGACCCCATCTCTCAAGCCACAAATTTACATCACCTAGTTGCCACCAGTCCTACATCTGAAATTTCAACATTAACAACTTAAAACTCCTCTTCATCACCAACGAATATGTTTTTTTTATAGTCCATGACAGCAGGAATCCCATGGATCCCAAGATTCCTTCATAGCTCCTCTCTTTACTCATTCCTTGTCTGCAGTGACTCAGTGCTTTTCATTGCTTTCCTTTGTAGTTTTTCTCAGACTCAGACATGTACTGGTTGACATAATGAATTTGACAACCAGTGTTTCCTTTTTAGGTTTTTAGGTTTCATAGCTGATTCCATAATTCTTTGTTCTCTAACTTCTCTCTTTCTCTTTCAGTGCTTCTTGAGTTTTGTTCTATCCCAATATATGACACATTTCCAAAGCAGTAACCGAGCCCTAAAAAGGTCATGAAAGGAAAGGGGAGATGGTTTAGGAAATAGATGTTCTGGGTTTAGAATTATGTCTCTAACACCATCCTGTGGTTCTTCCTCTACCCACATCTAAACAGCAGAGAACATAATGTGGCTATATTTCAGATGTTCTTTAAATGCAGAAGAACCAACTAAATTTTTAAAACATATTTTCAGTACTTCACATCCTTTAGTGAATTCTCTCTCTCCATATATATATATATACACACACACACACGTATATACACACACATATATATATGCGTACACTTTTTTTTTTTTTTTTTGAGATGGAGTCTCGCTCTGTCACCCAGGCTGCAGTGCAGTGGCGCGATCTCAGCTCACTGCAAGCTCCGCCTCCCAGGTTCATGCCATTCTCCTGCCTCAGCCTCCCGAGTAGCTGGGACTACAGGCGCCCACCACCAAGCCCGGCTAATTTTTTGTATTTTTAGTAGAGATGGGGTTTCACCATCTTAGCCAGGATGGTCTCGATCTCCTGACCTCGTGATCTGCCCGCCTTGGCCTCTCAAAGTGCTAGGATTACAGGTGTGAGCCACCGTGCCCAGCCTATATATATTTTCTTTTAACAGAAATGAGATGCAGCAAGTTCTGTGCTACCACAGTGCAAAATCTACATGATAATCAAAATTCCCTTTTCCCTTAACCAACATCTGTCAGCCAAATAGACTCACTCAATTCCATGTAATGCAATATTGCTATATGCTTTTTTAAAGTACTATCAACCTAGATTAGCTCTTAGATTCCATATTTACATATGTTAATTACTGTTAATTCTTTGATTTTTGAAGCAATAGAAGTATAAGCCAGATGCAATAATTGTGTGTATATATATTTTTTAATAAAGGTAGTTTTATTATAAAATTCTAAAAATGTAAAGTACAGTCATGAGAATACTGCATAAGTAGAAACGTTATCTTCATACTGCAAACAATCACACAGATTTTATATTGTCCATGGAATTAATACTTAAAAAAATTCTTTTTAGTTAAGAGTCTTCAGAGCACCATTATTTTAATAGAAGTTATTTTGCATATCAGAGTTCATCTTTGGTCTTTTTCCTATGGCAAGTGCAAGGGAAGAGGTCATTCTCAGTCTGTGGTTCTACCCTTTTCATGCCCTCTCAGATTTGCGGCCCACTCACTTGTAAATTGGCATATTCCTGGAAAAGTTTGAAATAATAACAGAATATGTCATCATCCATGAGATTATTTCTTGCAAATTCTTGTCCTGCTTTTGCTATCTTTTTGGCCTCTTCATTGTGATCTTTTGTCCATTTAAGTTTTTCTAGCAGATCGCTCAGGTTGCTCTTCACTGGAATGTAGTGTTTCCAGGGCTGCAGAGCTCATTGTAAAAATGTTCATAGTAGACGGAGTCTTGGCTTCAGCACAACACTGTCACTAACTAGTAAATATGGCAGGTGATAAGCTGCTACGATGCCATCAATATTTATTTGATACTTATGCTTGAAGAAATCAAAAAATGAAATGTGTTTCACAATGGGACCATACAGGTTTTCATCATGTTTAAAGAAGAAAAAGTTGGTGAAAGCAGCGTCTATGAGTTCAGGGTGTTTCTACTGAGTTTAACCAGCTCAAGTCTCCTTTGCGGCTGTCTTGCCCTCTCAAGACAGCTGTGGAGTTTTTGCTTTCCCAGGGAGGACCCGTGTTAGCTTGCACAGACATCATATCCAGACTTACCCAGCCCATGGTTTCTAAAACAGTCAGTCAAGTCGTAGGTAGGCATCACGATATCCTTGGAATCTGTGGAGCCACACCAGGAAAAGGTCGGATGGATGTTTGAATTGGATTTCTTTTTTTCCAAAGCAAAGGCCAGTCTGCCAAATTAACAAAGAACTCTACATCTGGCATCTTCACCTTTCTAGTCAAAGAAAGTAGTATGACATCCATGAAAATTCTAAAACCTACATGTTCACCATGAGACTTGATATAAACTTTGTTATCTTTTAAGGTGTAGTGACACAGGCTCTGCCTCTGTCCAAGTCTTTTTGGGATTTCTACTGCAATCTTTTCTGGATCCACAGTAGGGAAATGTGCCAGATCTCTCTGAATCTGAGCAATGGTTTCCAGTTGGGCAGTTCATCCCCCGTAGCCAGGCTGCACTATCTTGCAAAGGCCAGTCACAATTCTCATGGCACACTGGCTCTTTTAAAATACATGGGGATTTGGCCACATCTTGACCTTGGAATTTAACTCCCATCTTCAGATTTTTGTAGCCTGCACACATTCTGTATCTTACCATGAAGGACCCATCCTTTTAGTCTAAAACCTGGACTCCAACTCTAGTGAATTGCTCCTCTGGTGCTGGGACTTTCACCTGGAAGACTTTTTCGCCTGGAGAAGATGTGAAGCTATTCCCTGATGTATCCACTGTCTGAATATAGAAATACTGGGTAGGAAGGACGATGTCTGCTTTTAACCTGGGTCCCCATATTTTGCTCTTCTCCGGACTCAGCTGCCTTTCTCCACCCAGCAAGTGCTGGAACTGTCCCCAGAAAGAAGCAATAAAGCAGCAAAATGCTAAACATTTACAAGACGGACTCTCGAAATGATCCATGGATAAATGAAGAAGTGTAAGACGTGGACAGAAGCAGCCGAGGCTTCGGCAGGGGCACACCGGCCAATCACAGCGACTCCAAAGCGTGCTGCCTGGCATGCAGGGCAGGCATGCAGGGCAGGCACGTGGGTTTCCGCCGCCCCAGGACAATCACAACCTGTGCCCTGGCACGCCTAGGTGAGGGTCACCAGGGATTCTGCTGACCCGGCCAAGAACTGCGCTGCTCCTCTTTCTCAGGACAATGATGAACTTAATTAAGTATATTTTTTGAAAATTATTTTAACTAGGCTTTGTAATGGTGAGAAAAATAATTAAATTTTTAATTAATCCTCATGTTTTCATTAATAGACATAGCTATAACCTCAGCTATGTGAAATACATGGAAAATGAGTCATTTTAAGATAACCAGGAATTCACATATGAAGTTTAATGTTAAACATTTAGGATAGTAGTTCATACATTTTTCAAAAGAGATCCTAAAACACATTAAGTATTTTCCTTACAGCACACAGTTTCATAACTATTATCAACCAATGATTATTTTACTGTACTATAAAAAGGATGCCCCCAGGCTTATGGAAAATGGAACTAACCAACCCCATAAAAATTTAAAATTACCCCAAATTTGCAATTGTTTTTAAACTTTATTAAGCTATATTGAGATATAACTCACAAATCACAAAACTCACTAGTTTAAAGTGTACAAGTTAATGATTTTTCGTATATCTACAAAGTTGTACTCTTATTCCCAGCATCACTACAATCAACTGTGGAATATTTTTATCACCCCGAAAAGAAATACCTCAATTCCCCCTTCCTTCAGCCCCTGCCAATCACCAACCATTTTCTGTCTCTATGAATTTGCCTATTCTGACATTTCATATAAATGGACTCACACAAGATGTGGGCTTTATGTGTGGCTTCTTTCACTTAGCATGTTTTCAGGGTTCATTCATGTTATAACATGTATCAGTACTTCACTCCTTTTTATTGCCAGATAATATTCCATAGTATGGATATGCCACTTTTTTTTAATTCATCAGTTGGACATTTGGGCTGGTTCTACTTTTTGGCTATTATGAATAATGCTGCCATGAACAGCTGTCTAAAGTTTTTGGGTGAAAATATGTTTTCATTTATCTTGAGGATACACCTATGAGTGGAATTGCTGGACCATAATATAATTCTTGAAGTGACTACTTCTGGTCATTTTTCTCATCTCTTCCTTTGTATGAGACTGCAAACTGTCACTTCCCATTTCAGCAAATATGCCTGCCTATTGTTAGCCCTCTTCCTGCTTAAAATGAAGATGCCTATTATTCTTCTTCTGCTTGCTGGTATGAACACAGAAACCATTAACGGTTAAACTTGTTAGAAGTATGCATAAACCAGCCAACAAACATATGAAAAAATGCTCATCATCACTGGTCATTAGAGAAATGCAAATCAAAACCACAATTAAGATACCATCTCATGCCAGTTAGAATGGCAATCATTAAAAAGTCAGGAAACAACAGATGCTGGAGAGGATGTGGAGAAATTACATTGTTGGTGAAAGTGTAAATTAGTTCAACCATTGTGAAAGACAGTGTGGCAATTCCTCCAGGATCTAGAACCAGAAGGACCATTTGACCCAGCAATCCCATTACTGGGGACACACTCAAAAGGATTATAAATCATTCTACTATAAAGACACATGCACACGTGTGTTTATTGCAGCAGTATTCACAACAGCAAAGTCTTGGATCCAACCCAAACTCCCACAATGATAGACTGAATAAAGAAAATGTTGCACATATACACATAGAATACTATGCAGCCATAAAAAAGGATGAGTTCATGTCCTTTGCAGGGACATGGATGAAGCTGGAAACCATCATTCTCAGCAAACAATCACAAGAACAGAAAACCAAACACTGCATGTTCTCACTCATAAGTGGGAGCTGAACAATGAGAACACATGGACACAGTGAGGGGAACATCACACACTGGGGTCTGTTGCGGCAGGGAGGGGTAGGGGAGGGACAGCAGTAGGAGAAATGCCTAATGTAGGTGACAGGTTGATGGGTGCAGCAAACCACCATGTTACGTGTATACCTATGTAGCAAAACTGCACGTTCTGCACATGTATGCTAGAACTTAAAGTATAATTCAAAAATAAGAAGTGTGCATAAACGGTAAAAGAAAAAAAAATATGACTAGGGGACTGTGTAGCTCAATCACAATAACAACCCACTTCAGCTGTACTTCCACCACTGTTTAATGTGTTTCAGACAGTAGAGTCAGGGACAATCCCAAATAATAAGAAATGACTCTGAATAGGGATTGATGATTCAACTGTTCAATTATTCAAATAAAGCCAGAACAAGAAAATCTGCCAGTTAATTCAACAAACTTTAAGGAGGAGTTCCCTTATCTTTCACCATAGAATACATAGTGCTCTTCAGTTTTTTTAATGGAAGCAGACTTTAAAATATATAACCTCCAAGTATTACAAGAAAATATAATGTCTATAATATACACAAAAAGGCATCTCTCTTCCCATCTGTGTTAAAAGAAAACGAAAGATGTATGTACTTAGTAGGCTACTTTTTCTAAGGCTAAGATTTCATGTGGGTGTCTTTTTAACAATGCAAAAGTATGCAGGCATCCAAAAATTTTTGCTGTGGGTGTTTATCAGAATTCCACCTCAAAATAGAAGAACTAGCAATAATTTTGCAACTAGCTCTCCACCATACTACATACAACTATGTTGTAAGAACAAAGTAAAATTTTCCAGTATTTTATTTTAAAATAAAGGTATGTCCACACAAAATAAAAAATGTATCTTCTCTATCATCTTCTGGCAGATCTATTTTTAAAACTGTTTTAGTTATCTCTACAATAAAATTCAAAAGTCAAAAGCAAATAACTTTTTATTTGTAGTTCAATTAGTAGACTTAAATATAATAAAATTGGGTTCATAATTGTATTAATTTCCTGAAATACCAGGAAACCAAAGTGGAAGACACATCTTTTGTTTCTTTAAATTTGTTTCAGAGAAATAAGAGAATTAGCAAGTATGGTATTTGGTCCACACACACAAAAAAGTATAAAAACTGTATAATCAAGGAGGTTCAAGTGTGCAATTATGAACTATAAATTATGCTGATACAAAAGTACATAAATAAAAATCTTCACTCTACCTGCCATTTTCACAGAAATGATAGATTTTTGGTTTTTACTGTATATTCCACACTAATGGATAAAAAGTAGAAATTGGCAACATAAATATTTTATGGGTAATGGTTTATTAAATGAAGCTGACCAAATTTAGTATTATTCCAGAAAATAATCTTTCAAAAAGTAGCATTATGATTTGAAGTTTCCCAGCCCCAGCAGGGACTGGTAGGACAGAGAAAAAAAGGGGGAAGAAAGGAAGAGATAAAGGAAAGAATGGAAGATCCAGATATTTAGGCCCTCAGTAATCAAAAAGGAAAAGATTCAGTTGAACATGTTGAATCTGAGGAGCTATGGGACAATTAGAGTCCTATCCAGCAGTTAAAAAATGTGTGACTGGAACTTAGGAGAGGGGCCAGGGATAAAAAGCTAGTAGGTAAAGAAGCTATGCAAACAGATGAAAAGAAAAACAGAAACCATAGGGAGCAGAACACTTTTCTGAGTATGTAGAAAATAGACAAAAAAGATGGAAACTCTGGTCTCCATCATCATTACTTCCTTGCAGGATGTAGAGAAAAGGATAATTTTTACACTATGGATGATCTCTTCTTTCCCTAGTATATTCAAATTTCCACCTCAACTTGATCATTCCCTCTCCTTTAACCAGAGTTAACTTTTTACTGCACTCTGACTCTTGCCAAAGTTTCTAATAGTGCAGCACATTCTTAAACGCAAGCCAACCTGGCTTCCCCTCACCACAACACCAAAATCGTTTTATTAAGACATCCAATGACTTCTTGGCTGCTAAATCTAATGTACATTTTTCAGTTCCTGTCTCACTGAACTCCTACAGTACCATCTGACACTGTCAGCCACTCCCTTTCTTGAAACAACACACTCTTCTACCCAGCAATTAAGTGGTAGGAGTTCCTTTAGCACTTGGTCCTATACCCCCCTCCCTTGCTCATCCCGTATTTTCCATGGTTATCGTACCAGACTCATAGCTCTAAACATCGTGTATATGTGTTAAGTCGTAAGTGACGGCTTAGGTTCAGTCCTCTTTTGTGAGTTTCAGCCCTGGGTATAAAATATTGATCTTACCACTTAGGATGTTTCATTACATTTACTATTCTAATCCTCACCAAAAGATAAAAAGAACTTGTCAATATACTATAAACAGTGACTTCTGTCAAAATGGAGAGGGAAATTTTTCTTTTTGGATCTAGTTTTAAATTCCTGATGGTTTCAGTGAAAACACTTAACCATTTTCCAAATGACAGAATTCCACATGTTATAATGAGTCAAGGTAAATTATTTTAGATTATCTATTTTTAGGTATCTATTTCCCTCATTCCTTTGTTCCCAAATCTACAGAAGCTAAGGGCTTCTAACATGGTCCTCATAAAAACGACAGCAGAAGTTCTGCACTGTATAGCTCCAGAGGAGATTTTTAAAATTCTATACTTTGTAGAAATACCTCCCAGGGTATACAGCATCTATGAAACTGCTATACAGGATTGTTACAAATAGCTGTACCAGACTACCTTTAAAGAAGAATTGCTATAGTGTCCAGAAAATCCATCTGAGAAAGCATACCTATTATATATCTATATCTATATCTATATATCTATATATCTATATATATATATTTTTTTTTCTTTTTTTTGAGATGGAGTCTTGCTCTGTCACCCAGGCTAGAGTGCAATGGCACGATCTGGGCTCACTGCAACCTCTGCCTCCCGGGTTCAAGTGATTCTCCTGCCTCAGCCTCCCAAGTAGCTGGGATTACAGGTGCCTGCCACCACGTCCGGCTAATTTTGTATTTTTAGTACAGACAGGTTTCACCATGTTGGCCTGGCTGGTCTCTAACTTTCCTGACCTCAAGTGATCTGCCCGCCTGGGCCTCCCAAAGTGCTGGGATTACAGGTACAAGCCACCACACCCGGATTCAAATGTTTTAAGTATGAAATTGTGTACTAGATAGAGTTTTGTGTTATTTAACTTTGGAAGTTTACTTGGAGGCTATTCTGGTAGAGAGGGCTGGTAAAATAGGCCAATCATTCCGTTTCTACATTATCTAGGATTTTTTCCAATTAAAAAATCCTCATTAGCTGCTCAAGATAGCATCTCCTTTTAATCAATGTTCCAGGTCAAACTAGGTTTTCTCTTCCCTTAGATACTTTCCCACTGCAACCTCTAGACCCCTGGGTTTCCGTACATCCATGCCTTTTTCAGGAAGCCTTGAAAAATAATGTTATCCCAAGGAATTCTTTCGATCTGTCATAAATATGTTGTTACCACACATAGTAAATTTTGACATGATTAAAGAAAAGGCAAATATTAGTCTGACTGTTATAGAAGTGACATTTCTATTTTTTTCCATAGACCACTTTCCTATTTAATTTTCCTTGAATTTTATAATACCCCAAACTCTTATCCTTTAAATTAGATAATTGAGGGTTCTAACTAAAATGTTTAATTTGATATAATGTTCTTTTGCTGAAATACTGGTTTTAAAGTATTTTCTCCTGAGGGACTTTTGGCTTGCCTTTCCCTCTGCCTGTTAAATGCACTTTGAAGATGGCTGGCTCTTTCTCATCCTTTAGGTCTTAGTTTAAATGCAGCCTTCTTCTTCCCAAAACACCTAACATATTGTTTCTTCTTAGTCCCGTTTATTTCTTTCATGACACATATCATACTCTGTAATTATCTTTTTTATTTACTTGGTGTTTTGTAATCTATGCACTCCCTCAGTAAGTATTAAAATGGAAGGTCCACAACAGCACAGACCTTTCCTGTCATTTTTATCAAAGATATGGTAAATGAATATTGAGCTTTCATGAGGAATCTGTTTTCCAAATAATGTCCTGAAATAGTAGAGCAAAATGAGTGTCTGTTCTCAAGTCAGAGATAGGCTCAAATCCCAGCTCTGCTACTCACTAGTAATGTGTGCTTTGGCAAGTTATTTAATCCCTCTGGTCCTCAGTTCCGACATATGCGAAATGGGGATATTATCCACTCCATACTGTCTGAGAAGACGAAGTGAGAAAATACAATAATTGTACAGAACACAAAAACTCTCATATGATCCCGGTGAGAATATAAACTGTTAAAACAATTCTGAAAGAAAAGTTTGGGCATTATTTTCAAGTTGAAAAAATGCACACCTTTAACCCAGCAATTCTACTCCTCAGCATATCCTTAGAGATATACAATACTTCTATGAAGCAAGATACTCGTATAAAAACGTTCATATCAGCACTGTTTAAAATTGTCAAAAACTAGAAACATCACAAACATCCTTAACTGCAGAATAAAGAAACTGTAGAATATTCATACAATCGAAGAAAATAGCAATTGAAATGAATAAATGAAGGGATGGGCACAGTGGCTCATGCCTGTAATCACAGCACTTTGGGAGGCCAAGGCCAGTGGATCGCTTGAGCTCAGGAGTTCAATACCAGCTTGGGCAACAAAGGTGAAACTCCATTTCAATAAATAATACAAAAAAAAAAAAGTTAGCCAGGCATGGTGGCACGTGCCTGTAGTCTCAGCTACTTGGGAGGCTGAGGCCAGAGGATAACTTGAGCCCAGGAGGTTGAGGCTGCACTGAGCTGTGATCACACCACTGCACTCCAGCCTGGGCAAGAGAGTGAGACTACCTCAAAAGAAAAAAAAAAAAAAAAAAAAAAAAAAAAAAAGGCGGGGGGGGGGGTGAATTACAGAAAGACACAGTATAAATGAGTGTTACAAACTAAGAGTGAACAAAAGATGTCAGATTGAAAATATGCTATACGATTCCATTTACATACATTTTTAAAGCAGGAAAAACTGACTAATAGTCTTCAGGAATACATAAAGGTGACAAAAATCATTATAAAAAATAACACCAATACCCAAAGAAGTGATCACCATAAGTCAGGGTAGTGGCTATTTTGTGGAGGAATTAGAAGGGGGTGCACAGAGAATTTCTAGGGTGCCAGCAACATTCTATTTCTTGATCTGGGTGGTGATTACACAGATGTTCACTTGATAACTTACGTTATACATTTGTATTTTATGTTTTTTTTAGATTCCACAATAAAAAATACTTTAATAACATTAAATGAGAAAATGTGTTAAATGTTTAGTACACTGCCTGACATTAATAAAGTAAGAGCTCAATAAATTTTAGCTGTTACTATAAACAAATAAGTGATCTACTATTGCAACTGCCCATACTGTGAGCTGAAAACTGGATGTTGAAAAAAATACATAAAAATAAATACTGTAAAACATTACTAATCTAGACTCTACTACATAGCTTCTTATAATTTGATATTGGCAGAGTTTAAGATTACCTCTAAAAGACTTTAAAAAAAAGGACTTTTGCATACAAATATGAAATCACCATTCCACATGGTGGTGTTAAAGGATTTATCACCCACACCATCTGCCAAGCCAACACAGTATAGCACAAGAATGTGGCTTTAATGACCAATGTTCACAGTACTAGAAATGTTTCACAACTTCTCTGACACTAAAAATTTAATAAATGATAAACTCTTTCCTATTTGCCTTAGTGGCACTGATACACACTTTACAAAAGGAACGCCTAGGGTTAATATGAGATTGCCTAGTCTGAGAACAGAAACAAAACTTCTGGACATAGCATTATTTCAGCAAATTAAATAATGGTTAATGACAGCCAGCAGAGTGGGGATCTTTATTTTAGGGCACTGTTAACATACAAAAGTGTATTACTTTCTTGACAAGTAGCTTATTGTTGATTTAAATAAACCCAAAATTATATTTCAAAAATGTTAAAGTCCACCTAAAAATGCCATTTATTTACACCCTACAAACTTCTGAATTAAAATGTTTTTAAAGATACGTTAAAGATCAAAATTTCTTATATGGTTTAACAGCATCTGCTTAATACTAAGGTAAGTCAAAGCGTTAAATTACTATCATGAATCATAGGTGATTTAGCAACTAAAAATATGTGCATACATATGCAAATTTTGACCCCAAAGTGGCCGGTTTTATTCTAACAATTGTTCTAACAATTTTTTTTAATCAAGTACTGGCCAATTATATCATCCTAAAGCTACCAACATTTCCTATCCGTGCTGTCGGTGATTGGTGTATTCAGTGTAATGCTCCCCATACAGACTACTCTTTCAAAACAAAGTATTGTTTTACAGGAATCCAATCTGCTCTGGTTAACAATGCTCTATTAATATCCAGTGGTATTAATGCAAAGCTCAAAACTCAAGTGCCACAGATAAAAGTGGATGGTGTGACCATGTGACTTTACAATGAACCAAGTCAGAACTGCTGATTACAAAGAATTCAGTCCTCTACCTAGCCCATCATGTTCTTTACTAACCATTCAAGACTGAGTTACAACAGAATGCATTAGAAATAGCATTGCTTCAAATCCCACACAACTTGCTAATGTCAATAAACTAAAAGCTTGAAAATATTTTAATTCGAGTACCAGAAAACTTACACCTTCCAGTATCAATTAGTAACTGTACAATTTCTATTTCAAATTATTTTAAAGATGAACCAAAAGTTGGTAAGAAGATAGAGAAGTATATGTCTAGTAGCATCATAAATGGGTAAAACACTGGAAAAGCAGTATGTATCAAGAACCATGTAATTAAAAACTACATTTTAGTATACACCTGGATACATAAGATACACTTGATTTTTCATGTATTTCTCACAGGAATTTGATACTTCTCACTGTGAATACTGGTTAAGTATCCCTTGTCCAAAATGCATGGGACCAGAAGTGTTTCATATTTCAGATATTTTCAGATTTTGGAATATTTGCATTATATCTACTGGAGTTCAGCATCCCTAATCCAAAATGCTCCAATGTGCAGTTCCTTTAAGCACCATGTCAGCACTCAAAAAGTTTTAGATTTTGGAGCATTTCAGATTAGGGATACTCTAGCTCTGTCACCTTTCCCATTTTTCATATAAGGAAACTGAGGGTCAGAGGTGAAGTCCTTTTCCTAGATGTCCCACAAACTATTAAGTAGAAATGCCAAGAGTTAAATCCCTCGAGTGCTACATAATGATGTTTCTGTCAACAATGAACTGCATATACAATAGTCCCATAAGATTATAATGGAGCTAAAACATTCCTCTCCTACTGACGTGGTAGCCATTCTAAGAGCACAGTGCGATGCATTTCTCATGAGTTTGTGGTGATGCTGGAATAAACAAACCTACTAAGCTGACAGTAATATAAAAGTATAGCGGATATAATTATTCACAGTATATAACACTTGATAACAATAATAAATATGTTACCGGTTTATGTACTTACAATTTTTATTATTGTTTTACAGCTTACTTCTACTTACTTAAAAAAAATAATAACTGTAAAACAGCCTCAGGCAGATACTTCAGAAGGTATTCCAGAAGAAGGAATGTATACTGTTATTATAGGAAATGACAGCTCCACGTGTTATAGTGCTTGAAGACCTTCTAGTGGGACAAGGTGTGGGGGTGAAAGTGATATGATCTTGAACCTTTATAGGCTTAGGCTAATGTGTGTGCTTGTGTCTTCCTTTTTAACAAAAAAACAGATGTTTAAAAGAAACAAACCTAAAATTTTTAAAAATAGAAAAAGGTTTGTAGAACAAGGATACAAAGAAAATACTCTTGTACACTTGTACAATATGTCTGTGTTTTAAGTCAAATGTTATTACAAAAGTGTCAAAAAGTTTTAAACAATCTAAAAGTTTATAAAGTAAAAAGTTAAAACAAGCTGAGGTTAATTTATTATTGAAAAATATTTTTTAAATAAATTTAATGTAGCCTAAGTTTACAGTGTTTGTAAGTCTATAGTAGTGTACAGTAATGTGTTAGGCCTTTACATTCACTCAGAGTAACTTCTAGTCCTGCAAGCTCCATTCAATAGTAAGTATCCTACACATGTGTACCATTTTATCTTTTATATTGTATTTTTACTGTTTAGGTTTCTATGTGTGAATATGTAAATACTTACCATTATGTTCCAACCATGTACAGTAACATGCTGTACAGATTTGTAGCCTAGAAGCAACAGGCTACACCATATAGCCTAGGTGTGTAGTGGAATATGCTCTCTAGGTTTGTATCATTATGCAAAATGACAAAATCACCTAATAATGTGTTTCTCTAAAGTATCCCAGTTGTCAAGCAACATACGACTGTATGTGCATGGAAAAGAAACCAGAGTAAATGAAAAAGAAGCAAAGACAGGAAAGAAAATACTCATGATAGATGTAGCTGCACTTTTGTCAGATCCCTGACTTTGCTGCTTTTTAACTGAGAGCCTTTCTCAACTGTGGATAGCTTAAATGGCTGAGAGTAAAGCCCTACTAACTTGAAATATCAGGAAATAGAGCCCAAAGTCAACAGAGGAATTGGAAATTAAGTGAAAATCTTCAGAAAAAGTATAATGATGGCAAGGGTAAGCCCCCGAATCTCTGCTGGCCACCAAATTACACAAATGCAGGGGAGACTCCCCAGGGGCCAACCTAAAAATAAGTAGCTGGAAACCATAAAATACAGAACAGAGATATCAGCTATTGTATGGGGAGAGGAGTGGATGGGGGTGGAAAGTCTGCAGTTTGAGCCTAGATAAAAAGTGCCTTTTAGAACAACAACAAAAAAAAACCAACAACAATAATTTTCAGAAGAATATTTTTAAAAACCAACCCCAAAACCCGTAGTGTCTGCATGGCCAGTTTCCATATAAAAAACTGCTAGACATCCAAATAAACAGGAAAATGTAACACACACTCAAGAAAAAAAAACAAAAAAAACAAAAAAAACAAGCAGTCATTAGAAATTTCCTCCATGTGGCCCATATGTTAAATTCAGGAGACAAAGACTCCAAAAACAGCTGCAATAAATATGTTAAACAAAAGCAAAGGTAAATATATCAATGAGTAACAGAGATGGAATCTAATAGAGAAATGAAAACTATATTTTAAAAGTTAGAAATTCTAGACCTGGAATAAATTTTTACAGAAATTCATGAAAAAAATTTTGAAATGAAAAATTCCCTAGGTGGACTTAATAGCAGAATGGAAATGGCAGAAGAAGGAAGAGTGAAAAACATCAACGTACAGATTCAAGAAACTTAACAAACTGACAAAGGATACACAAATAGAGAAACTCTTGAAGCACAAACTGCTGAAAGTCAAAGGTAAAGAGAAAATCTGGAAAGCAATGAGAAAAATAACATCTTACACAGTTGGCTGACTTCCTACCAGAAACACCAAAGGCCAGAAGACATTGAAATGGCATACTGAAAAGGCTGAAAGAAGAAAGCTGTCAACTAAGAATTCTATATCCAGCAAAACTATCCTTCAAAACTCCAGTAAAATAAAGACATGTTTAGATAAAAAAAAACTAAGAGAACTTGTTGCCAACTGACCTCCATTACAAGAAGTGCCCAAGGAAGGGAAGCAATCTGATAAACAAAAAAGAATGAATATAAATGAAAATATTTAAAAACCATACATATTTTTCTTTTATCTGTTTTTTAAAGCCATGTAACTATTGAAAGCAACAAGAACAACATGTTTATCATCTAGATGACAAGAGCACTGAGGAAAGAGAAAGTACTGTTTTAAAATTCCTATATTTCAGCTGAAGAAATTCAATGATATTCAAAGTAACCACTAAAAAATAATGCAAAGATATATAACTAGAAATTCAACAGAAGAATTAAATTAAATGCTAAAAAATCTTAGCACAAAAAATGGCAGGAAAGAATAATTCGAGAAACAAAAAACAGGTAATAGAAAACAACACAATGTCAGGCCTAATTACAACCAAATCACAATAAATGTAAATGGACTAAAAAGTATACAAAGAGCATGAAATGGCAAGTTATGGTACATATACTTTAAAGTATTATAACTATATGAATATTCTATAGGCAGCATTGGAAACTGATTATTTACTAATGTTACTTAATGCTAGATAGAGAAAGTAGGACATAAAATTTTAGTTTAAAAATGCACAGAAATGCAAAAAGGTTAAGGGTTTGAGATATTTAAGTTACCTTCCCTATTTCTCAAACTTATATTACTTTCTCTTCCTCATGAAACAATAAACATTTGAAATAAGCAAAGTACAATGAAACTCTTTGAATAAAATTTTAAAGTGTTGGTTTTCAAAAAGGTTAATCCTCAGACTCTTAAAATCTAATATTCTAGGAAGGCTTGAGACTGAAATTTTCCAAAATTGTATAGTTCACTGACTCTTTTTTTGTATTGAGATTTAAAACATTGTTAATTTCCTTAGCATTTATGCTAGATGAAGATGTTATAATGATTGAAATTCAGGTCCTGTTCTTATATCTAAAGGGTTATTACAGACTGCTATTTTCTGAGAGCTTTGTTTCTGCTTTTCATGATTTTCTTATCTTCTGTTCCTGCAAGATACCACAAAGCCGTTTATTATGAATGCCTATTTGTTGTTATTGCTGTTATTTTGCTTAATTACCTTTCTTAAATTTGTTTCTGATCAGCAAATCTGCCTGATAATTGGAATTGATACAGGAGAGGCAGTGTAATATTTTCTCTAAACCCAACCTTAGGCAAATCTCTAGAAATTTATAGGTAAGTTAGTACTGAGGCTATGTCCTGCCCAGCTTTGCCAGAAAACATTTCTCTTTTAAAATACTTATTTGCAAATGCTCTCAGTACACAATTCTCATGACGGTTTTATTTTAAACTAAAATAATGAGATTCAAATTGGTGATTAAATAAACAAAAAGCAAATTCACATTTTAATTTTCAAAGAAAAAAATCTTCCTATAAAGAGTTATTTGCCATAACATTAGTTTCTAAAATATCAAGTCTGATAAGTTATGCCCGAAACCATTAGGTTTTATAAAAAAGAGGTTAATATCTAGACCCAACTATTCTGCAATAACTCATCAGGATTCAAACTTATCACTTAGTACTTGTATGTCTGATATCCCTACAGCATTTGAATAGGACTCTTAATAGCAACATAACCATGTTTTGTTCATACTTAATGAGTAAAAACATAGATGTTTTTCCTAATACCTCATCTTTCCTAATATCCAGTGTCTGCTACTAAATAATTAGGTATTAATACCTATTACCTTTCCTAATATCCAGTGTTTACCACTTACAAGTTGATACTAGCTTCTGAGTCTGTCCATCTGTCAACTACCTAGCTTGCAAGGTTGTTGTGCCCAGGCTACAGAAAACTACTGAAACCTATCAGATGTTTAATAACTGACAACTTAATTTAATTCAGTATACAGTTATCTAACAGTTAAAGCCAGAACTTTGATAGATAGTACTTGTCAATATCAGGGTATTTCAAAATTGAGAATCAGCACATCAATGAAAACAAATGACTGTACTCTCAATATGGTAATCAAAGACTCAACATGGTCTAGGTCACCAATTCTCAAACCAGCCTCTCTAAGAATCACCAGGAAAACTCTAAAAACCACAAATACTCTAAGACAGGAGTATCCAATCTTTTGACTTCCCTTGGCCATACTGGAAGAATTGGCTTAGGCCACACATAAAATACACTAACATTAATAATAGCTAATGAGTTTTTTTTTTAATTGCAAAAAAAATTTCATAATGTTTTAAGAAAGTTTACAAATTTGTGTTGGGCCACATTCAAAGCTGTCCTGGGCCACATGTGGCCCGCAGGTTGTAAGGTGGTCAAACTTGCTCTAAGAGGTTGAATAAAACATACTTTGCCTGTTTATAAAAACAAAACACTGCACATATTCTTTGGGAAATGGGAAACAGCCATTTTTCCCCAGGTGGTTCTTTTAGAAATTTTGGAATCACTGGTCCAAAAGAAAAAAATTGGGATACCGAGACCTGGTTTCAAAAAGATTCTGCCCTACCAGGTATTATCTTGAAGACAAACTACAGCCTTGCAAAATGAGACTGTTACTCCAGGACCTTCTAAAAAAACCCACCTACTCCTGAGACTGAAGACCAAATGCAGATATGTAACTTAAGAATGCTTTGGAAACTAACATTTCTAACAATACAATATTAAATTATTCACAGGCCTTTAAAGACCCAAATCTCCACTCTCACAAAGAAAACAGATTCCACTGATTGAAACACTTCATTGAGAACCTAATGTTCCAGACACTTTTATTTAAGGAAGGATCCTATGCAAAATTAGAAGAACATTAGACTCTCTAATGACTTTAAACTAGTAGTCACTAATGTGGAAGAAAAGGAATTAAGAAAAGAAAGAATGAATGAAGGAAAAGAGTTATTTTAGATATCACCTCCCTTGACAGCACTATCTAATATATCTTTCTGTGATGATGGAAATCTTTGGTATCTCAATTGTCCAATGATAACAACTAGCCAAATGTGGTTATTAAGTACTTAAAATGTGACTCAAGTAACTGAAGAACTGAATTTTTAACACAATGTTAATTTAAAGTTAAATTTAACAGCCACAAGTTACGAGTTACTGGAAAGTACAACCCATATTACATTTAAAAATTTATATCATACTTTTGGAAGATATGGACAGGGGATGGCAGAGGAAATACAAAAAACTAAGATTCCATGTATAAGAAACTTTCTTATTCTTAATTTTTTGAACATTTTTCTACTAGGAAGAGATACATCCATACACTAGAACTCTGCAGCCTAAATCTTTTCTATTTTATATTCAATGGATATAAAAACATTTGTCATGAGTATTTAAAAAAGAAAAAAAAAGTCACCAAAATAACAAGAGCTTATGCAGTATTAAACTGTAGGATATTGAAATGAATGCCAACTGAGACTCAGTAATGCCTGCCCCAATTTCCAATGCTAGCTCTGCATGTCTATGATTTTGGACAGGTCATTTAGTTCTTTTGGGTCTTAAACACCACATACGCAAAACAGGGCAATTTCTCTGCCAAACATTCTTTAGAGAATCTAGACAACAGATATAAGGTAGGTAAGATTCTTTTGTACCACATTAATATGTAAAGAATTAGGCCTATTATTCAATATGTATCGATTGAGGGTCTACTGTGTCAGGCCTATACTAGATAGCAAAGGACATAATGGTGATCAATCACAAAGTCAGCTTCTCATGGAGCTTGAAGTTAGCTTAAGTTGACTCAAGCAACCATGTTAATAGATATACTACCACTAACTAAAGCCATTAAGGGAAAATGAGTTTGTTCTAGACTGGAGGATGAAGGCCTCCTCTCAAAAGAAATAAGGACTGAGGTGAAATCTTAAACTGAAAGTTAACAGTGGGTGTATGGAATGGTGGAAGGGAGAGGAAGAGTCCATGGAGAGTACCATGTACAAAGGCCACGTGACCAAAGAATTATTGTGCCACTGAGTAAGTGAAACACTGAAGAAGAGGCAAACCAGAAATAGACAATGCAGGGAGCATTGGGCAACAATGATCAGTTTTGTTTTGGGCACAATAGTGATGGGAAAGCACAGTGAATATGAGAAGCCCAGTTACAAGGCTATTGCTGCAGCTTTGTTGGTGCAAAAGTCATTGCGGTTTTTGGCATTACTTTCAATGTCAAAAAATGCAATTACTTTTACACCAACCTAATAGGATGGTAGCAGCTTAGATGAAAAGAATATTTAGAAATTCAAGTTGACAGAACTCAGTGATTGGATGGGGGAATGAGAGAAAAGTGTCAAGGATGACTCATAGGTTTCTCACTTTTGCAGTATGATGAATAGTGGTACCATTCCGAGAGATATAGCACACACTGGCAGAGGGCCTGGATTCTTGTTTCTGGAGGGAATGGGAAGAAATACTAAGTTTGTGAGCTTGAGTTATCTTTGAGACATAAAACAAAAATGTCAAGCAAGCATTGGATACCCAGAACTCAGAGGAGTGTGGGTAGAAGACGAAATTTCGGGAGTCATTGGACTACAGATGATGTAGCATAAGGAGAGAAAAAAGAGGAACAAGGAAGGAGAAAAGTCCAAATAAAGCCTTGAGGATGTTCAGGTTAGAGAAGGAGGCGACTGCAAAGGATGCGAGGCTGAAAGAGTCAGAAAGGCAGAAGGAAAACTAAGAAGCCAAGGAAGTGACCAAAACACTTCAAAAGAACACCAAATGCTGCCTGAAAGCTGAACACTGCTCAAAACAAAACAAAACAGAACAAAACAAAAACTTCCTGAAATTTGTGATAAGAATGGAGATCACTTGTGACTTTAACAAGAACTATTTATGCAAAATAGAAGCCACACTACAGCAGTTTGAGTAAAAGGTAAGGAAGGAAAGACGGCAATTATAAACAATACTCTCAACAAGTCTGGCTGAGGAAGGAAGGAAAGAGCTTGTACCTGGAAAGGAATGAGAGTTAAATAAAATATTCCGCTTTTTCTGTCAGATAGAAGCTACTCAAATTTCTTTAACAGAAGTAAACTATTGACAGGAACAGTTAAATATCCAAGAAGAAAAATGAAAATCATAGGACCTCAGAACCAAACTGCCAAGTACTGTTTACATCTACACTGTCCAATATAGTAATCAAAGGTCACAAGGAGCTACTACTTCAACACCATTGAAATGTTTGTCTGAATTGAGATGTGCTGTACTGTATGTGAAAAACACACGGGGTTTCAAACTTTGTACAAAAAAAAGAAATTGAGATATCTCATTATAAATGTTTTAATATTCATTATATCTGCAATGAATGTTTTAGACACAGTGTCAAATAAAATACGGTATATTATAAATTAATTTTGCCTGATTCTTTACTTTTTTAAATGACATATGTAGTTCATATTATATTTCTATCGGACAGCACTGATAAAGACCTTAAATGGTAACAGGCCATAATCACAACAACTGCTAGTCCAAACTTCGGACTGGGGTCCTCAGTCCAGACATGCTCTGTGAAGTTTCCTACCTCTTTCCAAGACCGTCAGCCCTATAGCCCAATTCTTGAATTGCAGCTAAATGTTTTAATCACCCCCTTCCTCTCATCTTGGCTACTGCAATGGTTCCATTAAGATGATAATGGGCTTTTACCAAAGTGGTTGTGACTGATACAATGAGAGGTATTGAGATACTGGATGTGTTTCAAACGTATAATTGTTCAGATTTGCTGATAGTCTGGATGGGGATGTATGGACAGAGTAATACCTATTTAGAATGGAGTTGATATTAATGGAGAAGTCTGTGGGAAGGGCAGGTCTCTAATGATTAGGGTCCTCTAAGTCTTTCCCCACTGGAATACTCAAGCCTGCCCTGCCAAACCACCTACGCTCCCTTGCAAAAGTCTCCAAAATGGCTAGCATACCATACCAAATTCTGTTTGAAACTAAACTGATGGAAGAACTAATTCACACTTACCCAACAAAGAACTATCCCACAGGTTTCCAGAATTCTGAACCTAGATGAATATCTAATTTGTGACTATTCAGAAAAAGCACAGAATTTTTTTAAAAATTAAGGCAGGGAAATTTCTGAGTCCAATGATACTATGAGTGTACTAGCCATAATTAGCTTCTGCTGAGAGTCAACATTCCACTAAGCTATTTTTTCTTTTTGGCTTTCCCCCTTCTTCCAATTAGAAACCCCCAAGTTCTCTACCAGCTCCAAGTTTTTCATAATAGCTTTAAGCTAGTGTTGGTAGAGATCCTAGTGAAAATGGAAAAAGACAAAGGAGGGCCTCAGCTGATAGTAGCTTTCATGGTTTAAATGAGACACCACTAATGTTTTTAACTTCAGTATTTTAAGTAATTTTCCTTGTTGCTCACCCTCAGTGGGCTTTCACTTTGTGGAATCAACCCACTAGTTCCCTACCCCTTTGTACAGTATTTGAAAGACTACTAGTTTTCATGGTTTTACCTGAAGAGCAAAAGCACATTTTTACGCTAAAAATGAAAGCTGTTTTCTTAAGTTCTACTATTTAACAAACCAGTATCTGCAATTTTACCTGTTTGCCTCATTGGAGAACTAATTTGTAGAATGAAACCCTATCTTGAGTCCATCTCCCAAACCTGCCCTTCTCACAGACTTCTCCATTAATATCAACTCCATTCTAAATAGGGGGAAAACCCTAGTATTACTCTGTCCATACATCCCCTCATCCAAACCATCAGCAAATCCCAACAATTCTACCTCTGAAACACATCCAGCATCTGAACACCTCTCATTGTATCAATCACTACTACCTTAGTAAAAGTCATTATCATCTTAATGGAACCATTGCAGTAGGCTTCTAACTGGTTTCCTGCCTTCTACTCTTGCCCCCTTACAGTATATTCTCTACACAACAATCAGCGTGGTATTTTGAAAACATAAGTCAGATCATGTCAAATCTGTGCTCAAAACCCTACAATGCCTTCCCCTAAATCACTCAGAGTAAAATCCTAAGTCTTTATCATGATCTGCAAGGTTCTGCGCTATTTGGTCCTCACTACCCCCTGACTTTATCACACTGCCTCATCAATTCGGTCTTGCTGACCTCCCTGTCTCTCCATCACACCAAGCACACTCCCATCTCAGGGTCTTGGTATCTGTTGTTCCTCTGCCTAGAGTGTTCTTTCCCTGGTATCTGCATGGGGGTCACCCCTTTCTAGAGCCTGCTCACATATCAGAGGTCTTCCCTAACAATGCTAAAACAGCATCACCCAGCCATCATCTAGCCACCTTTAATTTTCCTCGCCCTGCTTTAATTTTGTTTGTTTATTGTCTCCTACCGCTAGAATGAAAGCCCCATGACTTTGTTTTGTTTACTGCTATATCCCCAGCATTTAGAACAGTGTTGTTGTTGATGTTCAACAAGGATTTGTTGAATAACTAGGTTCACATTTATTTCACTTCAGCATAGGACTATACTATAGACTTCCCAAATATATATATGTAACATATAATGAAATATCATTGAAAGCAAACACACTCCACACATAAGAACCAAGAAACTCTATTTTGGTCCTTTAAATTCTAGTCTCACAGGATTTTAAAATGTATGAACATAAATACACACAGAGAAGATATCAATTTAGCAGTGTACTGATTTTTTGCTACATTTTAAATCCCAAAATTTCTTTCCTTCTACCCAGGAAATTTTTATGCTAAAAATTAAAAGCTGTTTTCTATTTAACAAAGCAGTAGCTGCAATTTTACCTGTTTGCCGCATTGTAGAACTACTTCAGTCAGTGTACACCTGGGGGAATGCATTTAGTATTATGGGTAAGCCTGACTTCAATGGCAAGTAGCATGGGTTTAGCAGGGCAAAGCCCCTGGCAAAACTGTGAAATCAGCCAAATTTGACTTTGCCACATGTAAATATTTCTTATCAGGGTCCCACCTTTACCCAGTTCTGGACACTACTCTACTCTTCCCCTCACCCTCGAGAGACACATTCTTGTTCCCCCAGGGTGACTTTCAAGGACTAAAGCTATACACTGAAATGATTAATAGTGTGTGAAATTTCTTGACTAGGCATCAACACAGCCCACTCAGAGAAGCAGCTCATGGTTAGAGGAGATTCTGTAATTATTTAGTGTTTTACTTAAAGTCCTTGTTAAGTGACAGGAACTGCTCACCTGATTTGTACATTCCATGAACAAATCTTTATTAAGTGCCTATTCTCTGTATGAAGATAAACACTTATACAGATGCTAGTGAAGAAGTCATAATAATATTTACATCATCACATCTCTTGATTTCTGTCAGTTATATAATCATTCAACTCTCAGGAGTTCAAGGTAGAGAAATGGTGGTGGTAATCCCCAAGGGGTCCCCCTCAACATCTTTGTTATCTTAGAACAGGTCTAAGGGATAGAAAAGATAAAGAGAGAAGAACCTGCTGCTACTATGTCCTAGCATTAAAGTCAGAAAAACCTGGATGTGAAGTCCAAATTGAGCTGTACTACTATTTTTTTTTAGACAGGGTCTTGCTGTTTTGCCCATGCTGAAGCGCAGTGGCTGTTCACAGGCATAATCACAGTGCACTACAGTCTCAAACTCCTGGGCTCAAGCAATCCTCCTGCCTCAGCCTCCCAAGCAGCTGGGACAACAGGCTCCTACCATGGTGCCTGTCCTCCAGCTGCACTTTTTGTAAAAGTGGCTATTAAGCAATTTCTTGTGTTTCTTTCTTTTTTTTTTTTTTTTTGGAGACAAAGTTTTGCTCTTGTTGCCCAGGCTGGAGTGCAATGGCGCAATCTTGGCTCACTGCAATCTCCACCTCCTGGGTTCAAGCAATTCTCCTGCCTCAGCCACCCAAATAGCTGGGATTACAGGCATGCGCCACCACGCCTGGCTAATTTTGTATTTTTAGTAGAGACAGGGTTTCACCATGTTGTTAAGGCTGGTCTCGAACTTCTGACCTCAGGTGATCCACCCGCCTCGGCCTCCCAAAGTGCTGGGATTACAGGAGTGAGCCACCGCACCTGGCCAATTTCTTCTGTTTCTATTAGCTCATTTCATCTTGAGTAAAATGTGTATAAGACCTATTTCTTAGGAATTAATGAAAATCCAACAAGCAAAGTGACACATGAAAGACAATATAGTTGCTCCCTTGACCTTTCCCCTTGTTAATGAGAAAGGCAAAAATACAGGAATCATATAGAAACCCTTGACATACCACCAGCAAAAGGCTCCTAAGCCTTGGCCCAAGGACAACTGCAATGGTAATGCTACCTTTAAAAACAAAAATATTAGAAATTATGGTTTAGCAGTCAAAATAGTAAAACACAAAATAGTAAAACACACACACAAAAAACAAACAAACAAAAACAAAAAACTACTTTAATAATGCTTTAAATCCAGTAGGAGCTAGTATGGATTGTCTACCACTCCACTTTCCACATTTGATAATCTAGCATTCCATCATACATGTTGAAGATGTCCATCAAATACTTTGTTACCCTCCACCTTTTATTTCTTCTTGTAGGGCCAAAAATCCATACTTTGATTTTTCACTCTGTGTGTGTACGTATATACATTTTTAAATCAATTCCTAGCATCAGCTTTGAAGAGTTTCTGCCTTTCCAAAAACTCTTTTCTCTCAGCTTCCCCCAACACTGCTCTCCAGGCTATTTGACAGTATGGCAGCTCTTCCTTAATTTCCTTTGCTAATGGCTCCTCAATCTCTAACAGACCTTTAAACAATCTCCAAGTCCAATGCCAGACCCTATTTTCTGTTCTCTTATCTACCACTCTCCCTAAGTAATTTAGTCCATGACCTTAAGCAACCAAATCTTTATATGTAAATATATATATTTACATATGTTTATATACAGACACACACACACACACACACACACACACACACAGAGCCTCCTCCACGACTCTTGGAATAAGTTGTCTTTGTCTTTATAGGCTACTGAAACAGAATAGCCTCAAATACAAACTTCTCCCAACCACCAAATCTATTCCTCCTCCAGTATTTCTCATCTCAAGCAACAGTACCAACATCTATTAAGTTTCTCAAGTTCAAAATCTACAAGTCAGCTTCTTTCTCACTCCCACATCCAATCCTTTGTGCCACCAACCTTTACTATCTCTCAACCAGACCACAGTAATCACTTGAGTCTCTTTGCTTCCATTCTTGCCCCTGCCAATCCATTCTCCACCCAGAGCCTAAAGATGTTAAAACAAAATGGGTCATGTGGCTACCCCACACAAAATTCTTCAATAGCGTCCCACTACATTTATAATGAAAAATAGTTATCTCCTTTTAGTTATGTTAATATACCACTCTTTCTCACCCCATTACCTTCATGTGCGCTGTCCCTTTGGTCAGGACTGTCATTCCACCCAATCATCAACTTACCCTTCAGGTCTCAGCTTCAATGTCATACTTCTCAAAAAAACGCCTTCCCAAAACCCAATTAAAATTAGGTCCTATTCTATCTTTACAAGTATCCTTTTCTTTCGTAACACTTAAAAAACAGTTATTAACTATGTTATTTGTCCAACTACTTTGTTAATGTCTGTCTAGGCAGAAGCAGTAACTGGTTTGCTAATCACCACATAATCCCACAATGTCACAAGCATGTTGTCAACATCTAAGATACCCCCTTCCCCAATAACTCATAAATGGAGAACTCATGCCTACTGGTCCTAGAATGGCTATATAATATAGCAAGATGCACCAAGGATATTTATCTTTTCCCCTACAGTTGGACATCTAGACAAAATACTTTTAAAAAGTCAGTGATGGATAATGAAAGGAATTCAACTGGAGGGAAGACAATCCAGTCCTTTTCCCTAACAAGTTTCTGAAGTATTTTACTTCTTTTCTTCTTCTGTAGTTCCCAACACAGAGTTAGTCCCATGGTAGATAATTATGCACTTAGTAGACCAAAGTAGAGTATATGCCAATCAATCGACTGCTAGAATTAGGTGTTATAAAAATTCTAAATATTATAATTCACTGAAGGCTAGAAACATTACAGAAGGTGTTAGAGAGGTAGAAGTCAATTTAGACAGAGTAAGGGACAACTTCTGGGGATCCAGCCAACCTGTTATAACCCCTCCTGTCTGCCCCTCTTTCGACAGTGATGTATAGTCATATTTGTACTACTTAACACCCATTTCTTTAATCCATCTGCTAAAATTCTAAGCAAAATTATCTTCAACATGTAGTTATTAGTTAAGCCAATAAAACAGTGGCCATAAAGATTATGAGTGGCAGAAGGTAAACTACAAAGAATTAAAGTACCTGTTGCATAAATGAAACTGAACATAATATTTATATACTACATTCACCTAATAACGTAAGAATTAACAGAATCTAAAATTGAGATCCTAGAGTCTTCTGAAGGGCCAATATAAGAGGGAAATAACAACTAGGTATTATTTTCCAGGCACTGAACATGGTCATTTTTATTGCGCTTTTTTTCTAATCTTCATGATAACCCTGAAAAGCTGAAGCTAAGAGGTTGGGTGATTTCTTCAACTACCATACAACTAACAGTACAGGTGTTGTTTTTTAGATACTTTGAACCAAAAAGCCAAGCAAAAAACACAAACACACAAATCTAAAGTTTTGGAGAACTTGAAGTGCTTTGTTATTGAGATAATTTAATTTAAAGTAGCAAAAACTTCCCTAGGAAGCATATAAGCTCAACATATATACCTTTCAATTGGATGTCTTTCTAAAACTTATGGGTAAATACAGATCACTTTACTGCTCACATACTTGGCTTTGGTAAAATAAATCTAAAATATATCTGTATAATATTTTCATTAGTAAAACTGTCCTAAGATAATGAAAATTGCCAGCTCCATATCTACTTTTGTCTACAATGATTTTTGAGTTTTGAAAAGAAAAAAGAATAGACTTGATAGAAACTACAGGAGTATGAATAAAAAATGTTTTAGACATTGTTTTGCTTCTGATTATGACAAAATACCACAATGGAATAACAAGAATAGTATTATCTAAAGCTAAATGATCTCAGGCTTTTAAACAATCAATAAGCTGTAAGAGCTCTGTAATTACCTCTGTGTGAATGTTACATTATCAAACACTGGGACAAGTACAATCTTGTATGAAATCACTGTATGAGATCAAATAATCATATCCAAAAGAAATCACATACTGGATTTAAACTTGTCCAAACTGTGATCATTTCAACCTATGTGGTACCATCCTCTTGCGTTCACAAATTCCATCAATGTAGTCATTACACACTTGTAAAGGAAGACTTCAAGTAATCCCGGCTCATAAAAAAGTTAAACATTAACGAAATCTCAAAAGCATCAATGTTATCTCAAAACAGTGACATTGAACGCTGAAGAAATAAGTCTTATGTGACCATAAAAAATAGTTACAAAAATCAATGAGTTTATGGGGATGGTTTTCTGTTTACAAAGTGTAACTGCTTATGGCAAAGACCCCACAGGTCTTTCTGGTCATCCTCTACAGAAAAACCAATTCTCCTGTTTCCCTTTTTTCTTTAAAGACTCGCCTCTGTCCCTTTTTTTTTAAATATACACCTCTCCCAAAACGTTTTCATCGCAAAAAAAAAGAGTTATGCCATTATTAGGAACAGCGTGTCCCAAGACAAGATCTCTATGATCCTTTGTATATTCAAGATTGCAAGAATTGAGCTTTAATAACTCATAGACCATAAACACACCCTGTTAAGGTTTTCCTTCAAACAGCAACATTCCCACTCTTGCGATCCCTAATAGGCGTACATAAGCCACACAACACAATCTTTCAAAACGACACAGATGGTAGGTGCTCTCCAACCTCTCTCGAGAGATCCTCACTGCACATTCTCCTCTAAAGGGCCCACAAACACTACTGTCATTCAGAGGGATGGTGACTGTTGAGCGTGGGTGGGAAAGAAAGTGCACACGAGATACCTAACTGGATGGGGAAGGTTGTTAGAGGCAGCCCTCCGGTATCACGTAACTAGCCAAACCCGCTACAAACTTTTGAGAGATTAAGTTAACATTCCTCGGCAATTCCACCCTTGACAGCTGAATCCAGAGATGCCAGCAAGTCGTGCACGTCTACTACTCCCGCCACCTCAACTCGGGAAGAGTCTGCAGCCACATCCCGCGGTCGGCATGCACCAGGGGCTGGGGAAGAAGGGAGGGCTGGGCGAGCTCACCTTTTCCAGCTCGTCGTGGAGCTCCGCCAGGCTAGGCCGGAGCAGCTTCTCGCCCAGCTGCGCGGCTGTGTGCCGGTAGTGATCGATCCTGGGCACAGCGTCCATGGTGTTGTGGCCGAAGGTGCGCAGGTAGTAGGTGTTGGTGTGGGTATCATAATAGTAGTGCTGGTGGTGCCCACTGCCGCCGCCGCCGCCGGAGTGCAGGCTGCTGCCCTCGCTCAGCACCGTGTCCCCGCCGTTCTGGAAGCTCACGTTGGGCCCGTCGACTCCGACCCCGGCAGCATCTGACAGGCTGTCTTCAGCCGACGAGGAGGCAGCTGGGTCCACGAAGTTCACGCGGAAGCGGCCCTTGGCTTCCTCGCTGCCTTTAGCCGGCTCGCTCTCGCCGCTGGCTTCCCCGTCCGCGGGGGTCTGCTTGGCCCCCGCCCCAGCACCAGCCGCCGCCGCTGCCGCCGCCGCCGCCGCCGCCGCAGCAGCGGCCCGCCCGGCGTTCTCGGAAACCAGGTCCACCTGGAAACGGCTCTGGCTCGGGGTGGGCCCCAAGGGTCTGCCCAGCCCGTCCCCGGCCGCCGCGGGGCCCTCATCGCGGACCCCGCCGCCGTCCCGGCTCGCGGGCGCAGCATCCTCCGGCACCGAGGGCACAGCCGTGCCGGGCAGTTCCACCCTGGCTGCGGCCAGCGCAGCGGCTGACGGCGTCTCCCCGACCCCGGCCAGTCCCGGGGCGCCGGAGGAGGGCGCCGTGGGCCGCGGCTCCATAGCTGCCCGACCCCCGGCGGAACTGCAGAGCCCGGCGGACGTCTCCGGCAGCACGCCCTCCACACCCCTGGCCGGCGGTGGCCACAGCCGCAAGACCAGGTGAGAGAGTCTTTCTCCCCGCCGCCTGCGGGCCGCCGCTAGCCTGGACGGCCACAGAGGCCACCGGCAGCCGAGCGAGCGCGCGAGTGTGGCGGGCGCGGGGCGGGCCCCGCTGTTTAAAGCCTCGGCGGGGCTGCGGCGGCGGCGGCTCCGGCAGCAGCACGCGGGAGGCGGGGCCGGAGGCTCCTCCGCCCCTCAGCCCGCCCACCCGCGGTCCCGCAGCGGCGCGCGGCTGACGCTCCCTCAGCGATCCGGCCCTCCGCGGCTCCTGCGCGACCCCACGCAAAAGCGCCCCGTGCGAAGAGCGCGGCCAGCCAGTCCGCAAAGGGCCTCGGGCAGTGCGGGCAGCACGAACGGCGCGATCGGGGAGCAGGCGCGGCTACGCTCCGCCTCAGTGATGTCGCCGGGAGGATCTCCGCGCGGCTACCTCCTCTTCCGCCGCCTTCCTCCCACGCCTTCACCTCCCTCCCCCGCCGCGCTCTGCGGCGAAAAGGAGCGGGCTCCCAGGCCACCTCCCCTCTCTCCACCCAGGGGCCGCGCGTCAGTGGACCTGCAGCCCAGGCAACGGGGCTGCGGACGGCGCGCGTGCCCTGCCTCGCCTCACGCCGGTAGCTGATGCTCCCGCGGCAGCTGCCACCCCAGCGCCCCAGCCACGGCTTCAGAGGCTCTCGCACGCTGGCTTTTTTTTTTTCCCCCCGCTTTGGTGAACTCGCAGTACTTGGGCTGAGCCCGAAATCTCGCGAGATGCTGCAGGCGTCAGTGCGGCTTCCCACTAGGCGCGTGGTACCCGAGGCCGGGCCGGAGCCGCAGGCCAGCCGCGATTCCTTCGGGCGATGCTGGGGGCTTTCCGGTCGGGGCCGCAGCCGCTTCCGGAGCCGCGGGCGAGGTGCGTTCCCCAGCCTGGTTTGCTCTGGGCTCTGACCCGCCGCCGCGAATCTCCGCTCGTAACTCCGGGCCTGAACCTGGAGGAGGGAGGATTTCCTCTGTGCAGCTTTCGAGCGGTAGACTCACCCTGCCAGGCAGACCTAGATTGGCATAACCAGAGATCAGTTCCAGTTGTGATGCAGTGGGTGTCTACACACTTCTGATGACACCTTTATTTTAAAAGCTGATGTTCCAAGGTGAGAAGGGAGCTTCTTTGAGACGTCATGTTGTTTCAAGACGAGTTTTAATTTAAGGCATTTCCAAAAGTGATATGCAGCTCATCTCTCAGAATACAATGCCGGCAATAACTACCCGTGGAGTCCTTACCAGGAGGTTTCTGCGTGATTTGGGTTGTGCAGAATTCCTCTGCTTATATAGAAACAGAAAGGTACTCCTCTGCAGGTCTAGTTTCTCTTCGGTAAAATGTAAGGGAATATAACTGTGTTCCCACTTTCTTAGCAGCAGAAATTTTTAAACCTATAGATTATGCCCAAAGTCCTAAGTAAAATCAATGAATGGCGTCCTCCAATTACTTGGTTTTTATTTATGTACTTTTTTTTTTTTTTTTTGAGACGGAGTCTCGCTCTGTCGCCCAAGCTGTAGTGCAGGGGTGCGATCTTGGCTCACTGCAAACTCCGCCTCCTGGGTTCACGCCATTCTCCTCCTGCCTCAGCCTCCTGAGTAGTTGGGACTACAGGCGCCCGCCATCACGCCCTGCTAATTTTTTGTATTTTTAGTAGAGTCGGGGTTTCACCGTGTTAGCCAGGATGGTCTCGATCTCCTGACCTCGTGATCCGCCCACCTCCGCCTCTCCAAGTGCTGGGATTACAGGCATGAGCCACCGCGCCCGGCCCTTGTATTTTTAAACTTTGACTTTATGGAGACGAACACCATCGTTTGCTGAACACTTGAAACATGATGAAAGAGCCACAGAGTTGGCAGAACTGTTTGAAAATGCTGTAAGTAAAAGCTGCAACCAGGCAATTTTCAAAAAATTGTCATAAACATGATCTTACTTGAACTTGACAACTTTTCAGGCTATTTTATTATCTCTATTTTTAAAGACGGTGAGAGGGGAAAACAGCTGTTGCATCAGGATTTTTAAAGCTCCTTTTGAGCTTTAGTAATAACCAGAGGAGGCCAGAAAAATGAGGTGGTCCTTTAAGCAGTGCAGTTTTCTACTAGGGAATTGCTGCATTAGTAGTTGATCCGTGCAGTACCTTTCAGCTCCACAACGAATTCTGCCACTATTGGAATTCAACATTCATTTAGTTGAATAAATACTGAACAGGTACTATGAGCTACTCTGTATTTACGGGATATAGCAGTGAGCAAAACGGACAATCCCATCTCTCATGGAGTTCTTTCTAGTGAGAAAGAGAAACAATAGACAAGATAAATAGGTAAAATACATAGCATCCAAGCAGTGAGTACTAAGGAAAGGGAAATGGGATATTTGTGTGAAATGAGGATCATAAAATTTTCCATAGGATGGCCTCACTGAGAAGGTGATATTTGAGTAAGGAAGTGAGTGATATGAGTTCTTGGGAAAAAAAGTGTCTGAAGCAGAGGGAAACCAAAGACCCAAAGGCAGGAGCATGCTTAGCATGCTCACGGAATTGCATGTAAGCCAGTTTGGCTGGAACTTGCTTAAGAGATGTGAAGAATCAAAGGCAATTACATCAGAGAGCTTAGGATATGGGATGTAGTAGATCAGAATGTTTAGGACCTTTTTTGGCTGTTAGACATACTTGACTTTTTTAGTAGAATAGTGTGTTAGTCAGCTCAGGCTGCCATAACAAAATACATAGATTGGGTGGCTCAAACAGTAGAAATATATTTTCTCACAGTTCTGCCTGCTGGAAGTCTGAGATCAGAATGCCAGCATGATCATGTTCGGGTTTTCTTTTTGGCTTGCAGACAGTACCTTCTCAATGTCTCCTCAGATGATAAAGAGAGCGTTGTCTCTTTTCTTATAAGGGCACCAGTTCTGTGGAATCAGGGCTTTACCCTGATCACCTCATTTAACCTTAATTATCTCCTTAAAAGGACTGTCTCCAATACAGTCACATAGGAGTGAGGAGAGGATTCGGGCTTCAACATATTAATTTAGCAGGGTACACAACAGTCCTTGGCAGATGGCAGGTTATTGGAAGGTTTCAGTGGAGGAATGACATCTGCCATTTTTAAAGGATTCATCTAGCTGTCTTGTAGGTAGGCAAGGGATAAATGGTTGGGTCAAAGAAGCAAGGAGATGTGTTAAGAGGTATTACAGCAATCCAGGAAGTGATGATAGCGCTTTGACCACAGTGGGTATCAGTGGAAATGGGGAAAAGTAGTTGAATTCTGGGGAAACAATAGAATTTGCTGATGGATGTGAAGTGTGAGAGTCCAAGGGTTTTGACCTCAGCAACTGGAAGAATAGTATTGCTATTTTCTGAGATGGCAAAGGAGGTTAAAGGAACAGGTTTGGGTTGGATGAATATCAGGAGCTTAGTCTGAGATGTCTGTTGGAAGAAACACACAAATGTGTATTAATAATAAATAGTAGTCACTCATATAAATTTGTAACTGCAAACAGAAGTTCTAGGGGATAGGAACGTAGTATAAGGAAAATGCAAAATAGGCCAGACTTAGTCAAGACAGAAGTGACTTTTTAGCAAAGGTCTAAAGGAAAATTAGGACCAAATTGTCACTAGAGGGTTTCCAACAAGGGAAATATTGTGGACAAATGCCCTCATGGAGTGAGCAGGGACTATCAAAGAAGCAAGAAGCTTGAAATCAGTTTGGTTAAAGCATAGGGAAGGATTGGGGGCAAAAGTAGTAAGAGATGTGTCTGTATTCTAAAAGCCCTATAAAAGCATTAATGGGTTTCTGGATAGATTGAGGGGCACATAATCAGATTTGTGCTTATTAAAACTCTCTAGGCCTGGCAAGGTGGCTCACACCTGTAATCCCAGCACTTGGGAGGCCAAGGCGGGTATATGGCTTGAGCTCAGGAATTCGAGACCAGCCTGGACAACAATAATGAAACCCCATCTCTACCAAAAAAACCCACAAAAATTCAAAAATTAGTGGGGCGTGGTGGCACGCACCTGTATTCCCAGCTCCCTGGGAGGCTGAGGTGGGAGGATCACTTGAGGTGGGGGTTGTAGTGAGCTATGATTGTGCCACAGCACCCAGCCTGGGCGACAGAGTGAGACACTGTCTCAAAAAATAAATAAATAAAAATAAAACTAGTTATATTATGAGCAGAAGAGTGGAGAAGAGGAAGAATAAGCATGGAAAGTCAGGACACAATTTCACTAATCTAGCTGTGAGTTGATAGTAGTAATAGTAGTTAGCCTTTATAGAGAATTTAGGTCCTGGATACTGTGCCAAAATCTATACATTCATAATCTTACTGAATTCTCGCAACACTATGAAGAAAATCATAAGATTACATCCATTTTACAGATGAAAAACTTGGTTAAGGAAAAAATAAGTAATTCCAACATTAATGAGCACATAAAAGACCTACAAAGGTCAGGAGGTGAGAAGAAAATCAGATGAAGGCATTTGAAAACAGGATCAGCTGTGTTAAATTGGGCCAAGAGGCAGAGAAAAATGAGTTGAATATATATTGACTTTAGTAACATGTATTAGCCAACAAAATGAGAGAGCAATGCAGTGAGGGGAGGGCCACAAACATTCCAGGAAATATCAAAGTGTATTATGTGAAACTTATGAAAAATTTATCAGGAGAGATCTCCTTTACTTAATTGTTGGCAAATATTTCATTGTCAGACTTACCAGGTGTCAGTTTAGAGACTAACCTTGAGAACAGACTTGCTATCAGTGCCGTGGTGGGAACCTGACTGATTTTGCTGTATTTCCTTTTTGCCACAAGGCCAGCCTTTGACATTGTGTGTGTCTGAGTACTTACTAATATTTATTTCATGTAGTTGGAATTTTAGGATTAGAAGTGACTTGCGTAGTTGTTTTCCAAACTTCTCAATTCACAAATGCCAAAGTATCCTAAAAGAAGATATAAATTATGTTAGACCTACAACTTCTCATATCTGCAGCATCAGAGCATGTGAAGTGCAAAGCCATGTAGAACCTTTGAAATCAGCTCTCTTTTCCTTTTTTTTCTTACAGTGAGTTTTAGTTAGACATGCTGTGCTGACATTCTGCATGGTTGTGGCTTTGCTGTTTTATTAGATGGCATTCAGAGTACAAATTGAGTAAATGGTATTTCCCTTGAGAAATAATGTGATTATTCTGTTACAGAAAAAAGAAAAAAGTTACCCTAAAGAAGCTTTTTTATAGGCCTAGCACAGTAGCTCATGCCTATAATCCCAGCACTTTGGGAGGCCGAGGCAGGCGGATCAGATGAGGCCAGGAGTTCGAGACCAGCCTGGCCAACATGGGGAAACCCTGTCTCTACTAAAAATACAAAAATTAGTTGGGTGTAGTGGTGCATGTCTGTAATCCCAGCTACTAGGGAGGCTGAGGCATGAGAATTGCTTGAACCCGGGAGGCAGAGGCCTCATTGAGCCGAGACTGCGGCACTATGCTGTAGCCTGTGCGACAGAGTGAGACTCTGTATCCAAAAAAAAAAAAAAAAGAAGAAGCTTGTTTTTTTTTGTAAGAAACAAAGCTTGTTTATGTAAAAAAAAAAACAAAAAACTTGTTATGTAGTAAATGTTATAATTTTGCTTTCTTACCTAAGTCCCGGTCACCTTCTTCTTTAATTAAAAATATTATAAAGATTTTAGTCAGTCATAGAATTAAACATTAATTGAAATTGTACTGTGCTTTTCCTCTAGACAATATATAAATTCATATTTGTAAATTATGTCTTTCAAAAGAGACAGCTCAAGTTTTTTGCTTACCCAGGTAGTAAATTCATGACAAATGCATTTAAAAAACAGTCTTTCTTTCTTATCCCTACTTTTGTCTACACATGTTTGTTGTAAAGCTATTCAAAGAAATCTTTTCCAATTTAAAATCTGTATTAGAAAAGTTATTTGTGATTACTTTTGTACTTCTAACTATACAGGCTGTGGATATTTGCAAACTTCAAAGTTCAAAATTGTTATCAAATATTAATATTTGAAGGAATTACTTGTATATAATAGCTTAGTGATTACACACATGGACTCCAGCACCAGACTGCCTGGATTTGAATCTCAGCTCCATCAGCTCCGCTATTTGTTGTGTGATCTTGGCTTAGTGTGACCTCTGTGCCTCAGTTTCCTAATCTATAAAATGGGGTATAACAATGGTAGCTTTTTTTTTTTTTAGACAGAGTCTCGCTCTGTCACCCAGTCTGGAGTGCAGTGGTAAGATCACAGCTCACTGCAGCCTTGATCTCCCAGGCTCAAGTGATCCTCCCACCTCAGCCTCCTGAGTAGCTGGGACCACAGGTGCAGGCCACCATCCCCGGCTAATTTTTTTGTTTTTTGTAGAAACAGGGTATGGCCATGTTGCCTAAGCTGGTCTTGAACTCCTGGACTTAAGCAGTCTGCTTTCCAAAGTGCTAGGATTACAGGCATGAGCCACCACACCCTCATACTTGTGGAGCTATGAGGATTACATAAAGTACTATTCGTAAAATACTTAGAATAGTGCCTGATAATATGGTAAGGCCTAATGTATGTAAACAGTAAATAAATGCTTAAAACTTAATATTTTATTCAAAAAACAAACAGGGCTAAGATACAACCTTTAGGTCATATCTTTTCTTGCAAGTATGTCCTGTTTTATTTTTTACTTTGCTTTTTGTTTTGATTTTGAGAGGTATTTAGGTAATTTTTTGAGTAGCATGTAAGCTATTTTTTTTTTCTGTTACAGATTTTTAGGGCAGTTTTTAGTGTCATTATGTTGCTGCTACATATTTGGAAGATGGAACAAGCCCAGACAAAGGAGGATTCTTTTTTACTCATCTTAAATCCATTTTATTTTCCTTCATCTGAGCCCCTTAAAACTAATGTGTTACTGGTAAGTTGGTGTGTGCCTGTAGTCCCAGCTACTAGGGAGGCTAAGCCAGGAGTATCGCTTCAGCCCCAGAGTTCAAGACCAGCCTGGACAACATAGCAAGACTCCCGTCTTAGAAAAAAATCTGTACAGATATGTTATAGGAACATTTTGTCTGCATTCACTACATTGCACTATACTTTAAAAAAAAAGAGATTTAAAATACAAATACTGACACTTAACACACATGTACTCATATCTTAATAATTAGTTTAATTGCTTCCCCTTTATGGAGTCAAATAATATAATGCGTTTCCTAACTAACTGTATACTTATATTTTCCTCAATGTTAATGAAAAATCTCTAATATTTTTATCCTCTTATATTTCTTAATTATTAATCTATTTTCACTTTTAAAAAGCCATAAAAATAAGATATGTTTTTATAATTATTCTAGATGCCTGAAATTTTGTAAAAATCATAAATATGGAAAAGATCTTAAAGGGTTATGTAATAAGCCCCTACTTTGCACAATATTCTACCTCTGACACTTTTAAGAAAATAATTTCTAGTAACACATCCTAGTGGTTACAAGTCCTTATGCCATAGCATTGGACATTAATAATCACTCAAATACTTATTGAGGAATAAGATGTTCTTCCTAATGACTAAATTAAATTATTCTCATTATAATTCAATTCTTTGGCTTCTTGTCCCATTCTTCAGAGGTTATGGTAACCCGTAAAAGTGTAAGGTTATTTTCAGTTTTATTTTCTAAATGATTTCCTCTTGCATGTCATTATAGGACCAAATTTCTAAGTATGTAATTATTTTTATTACTGTCCTCTGGGCCCTTTCCAAGTAATTTAATCTTCCTTTAAATGTGGGCCAAAACTATTAGGTTCAATATGGCAGTTTTTAAAAACATGAGTATGAAGGTAAAGGCAGGTTATTACGGTTCATGTAATTGTTTTCATTTAAAACTGAAGTACCAGCTGACTTTGAATATGGCCCTGAGTATCAGCTCTTCTGATTAGTCAAGAAATGTTTCTTGTTTTTTAAGAGATTTGAACTAAAATTCCACCTCAATTGTAACCAATTTTTTTTTTTTTTTTTTTTTTTTTTGAGACTGAGTTTCTCTCTGTTGTCCAGGCTGGAGTGCAGTGGCATGATCTCGGCTCACTGCAACCTCTGCCTCCCGGGTTCAAGTGATTCTCCTGCCTCAATCTCCCAAGTAGCTGGGATTACAGGTGCTCACGAACAGGCCTGGTTAATTTTTGTATTTTTAGTAGAGATGGAGTTTTACCATGTTGGCCAGGCTGGTCTCGAACTCCTGACTTCAAGTGATCTGCCGGCCTTGACCTCCCAAAGTGCTGGGATTACAGGCTGAGACACCCACCATGCCTGGTTGAATTGTAACCAATTTCTAGAGACATAAAATTCTTAATATATATTATATAATATAGATAGATATTATTGATATATATTCCATATTATATAATTCTTGATATAATATATAATTCTTGATATATAATAGGATATATATCAAGAATTTAATATCTATAAGTCAAGTAGATATTTATTATTTATAACATCTTTCTATTTATAAAGTAATAATTAATATAGAAGTCATAGGAAAAAAGCAAAAGGAAGTAACACTTATAATGCCATCACCCTGAAATAACATTTTCCTGTTTATGGTATTACAAAATGATTTATGGTATGTTTTATAGTTTTTAAAACCAGTAATGTGAACATTTCTCTATATATGAAAATGGATATCTTGCAATTGCATGATTTCTAATGGCTTCATAATATTGCATCATGTAGATTTATCATAATTTACTGACTCTATCACCTATTTTTGAACCCTGTTTATTTCATTTTTAAATAAGAGCAAGCAGTGCTACATTGGATGTCTTTGTGCATATATCTTTCTTAATTGAGTATTTCCTTAGGATAAATTCTTAGAAGTGAAATAGCAGGGTATGTATATTTTTAAAACTTTTGGCATACATATCAAAATTGATTTTCAGAAAGGTTATTATCAATTTATCCTTCTGTCAACATTGTGTTTGAATTTCTGCCTTCCACCACCCTTATAAAGTCAGAGTAAAATCTTTCTTAATCTTTGTCAATCTGATTAGCAAAAAAAAAAAACAACAAAAGTTTAATTTGCAGATCATTGACTTCTAGTGAGGTTATAGTTTTTAAAGTTTCTTAATCATTTATATATTTTTATTTCTGAATTGCCCATTGATATCTATAGAAGACCATTACTGTATCCTAGAAGTGGGGTTTCCATTCTCTCTTGTTGTGGTAATAGCATACACATTTTTCTTGTTGTTTTTGTTTGGGTTTTGTTTTGTTTCTTTGGTGAGGTGGGGGTAATTCTTTTACTGGAATTACCTCTCTGTGTGTAGTTTTGGAAGGACATAATAGAGGAGCTTGCCTGCCCCAGCCAAATTGTGAGCATATGACCAAATGTGCCAATCTGGCTCTCATAAGTGTTTTGAATTTTGGGTGGTGTGATGCAAAGTCAGAAAAGTAAGTCCAGTTGTGGGACTCTTAGTTGCTTATATCTCACTTCCTCCCTCCCTGGGCAACTGCCTTGCCTGAGGGCAACCCAAGGCCACTGACTAGCTGATGGTCAATATAAAGGGCATTGACTGTATTTGGGACAATCTAAAGAGCCACTACCTCAAAGAACACCCTGTAGGATGGACTGAGGCTTCAGCTGCATCCTCACTGTGAGTCTGCTGCTTCCTCTGCCCAATCCTGCCTTCCTCATTTCCTTATAGTTGTGTCTCCTGAGTATACTCTCAATCAAACTTCCTCTATGCCATTTCTCTATGCTTTCTCTATGCCATCTCTATGCCACCTCAGTCTGTTTCTAAGGAACTGTCCATTCCAGTGGCAGTACTCAGGGAAGACAGTATGGTAGTTCCTGCCAGCAGCACCCTCTGGAACTACTTCCGTTGTCCTTTCTGCATCTGTTTCTTCTTTCATTTAACTTTCCCATACTCTTACAGTAATTCACTTCATCTAAGTTAACCAGAGTCTTGGTTTCTGTGGCTTGCAACCAAAAATCTATTAATACAATGTTCTTTGTCATTTTACCCATTTTAAGAGCTTTTTCATGTATTATGGACAAAAACCCTAAACTAAATTGGTTTTCTCCAGTTAGTTGCATTGCAATTTTGTTTATCATAGTGTTGACATTCAACTATTTAGAAAATTTATTACTGTAAGTATCTTGGTCTTTGTGTGTGTGTGATTTTTACTTTGATGTAATGCAGGAGTCCCCAACCCCTGGGCCACAGAATGGTACCATTAGGAACCAGGCTGCACAGCGGGAGATGAGCAGTGGGCAAGCAAGAGAAGCTTCATCTGTATTTGCAGCCACTCCCCATCACTCGCATTACTGCCTGAGCTCCATCTCCTGTCAGATCAGCAGTGGCATTAGATTCTTATAGGAGCATGAACCCTATTGTGAACTGTGCCTGTGAAGCATCTAGGTTGCGTGCTCCTTATGAGAATCTAATGCCTGATGATCTGTCACTGTCTCCCAACACCCCCAGCTGGGACCATCTAGTTGCAGAAAAACAAGTTCAGGGCTCCCACTGATTCTATGTTGTGGTGAGTTGTATAATTATTTCACTATATATTACAATGTAGTAATAATAGAAATAAAGTGCACAATAAATGTAGTGTTCTTGTATCATCCCAAAGTCATCCACCTTCACCACCCCAATCCATGGAAGAAAATGGTCCCTGGTGCCAAAAAGGTTGGGGACTGCTGATGTAATGCCTGGAGAGACCTTTAATGTCACATGAGCATATACATAAAAATTCATGTGTACATATTTTTAAGATTTTGTTTTTATCCCCTAATTCTTATGACAAAGATTTTTGCCTTGACTAATGACATTGATTGAACTATTTCCTACAAATAATTTAACTGAATATTTAGACTTTTGTGTTAAAATTTTCTATAACAATATCTTCAAATTTCAGTGCTGAAATAACAGACATTTCTGTTCTACTCAGACAGCAATCTAGAAATGACCTGTCTGAAGCTGGCCAGGCAGCTCTGTCCTTCTCATCAGGAGGCTTCTTCATCTGAATTAAAGATGGGAGCCTTTATTTGTTGCTATTATCTCGTCAGTGAGAAGGAAAACCTAGAGAGGAGAAAACAACTTCCTACCATACACACACACACCAAATCCATTGGTCCAAATTTAGGCAGTCGGCTGTACGTAGCAGATTGGGAAATAGTCTTTTACTGGAATCCCCCATGATGACAAGTTCTGCCCATTGGTAGAAACCTGTGTTTTCCTGTGTTATAAAGGGTTATAAAACATTTTTAATACTAGTATTAAAATGGTATTATGTTGAACATGTAACTGAAAATGTTCCTACAAATATTAAGTGAAAATTAACACATGGCTAAGATTTAAAATAAATGTTCCCCTTACAAAATGGTTTGTGTGTGCGTGTGAACCTGTGTGTGCATGTATACTATAACAATTCAAAACTTCTCTTCACTCTCCTTCACCACTGCTACCATATATTTAAATGTGGAACATGAGTTAAGAAGATTTTGGTTTTGGCCAGGCATGGTGTATCAGTTCATTTTCACACTGCTGATAAAGATATACCTGAGACTGGGTAATTTATAAATAAAAAGAGGTTGAATGGACTCACAGTTCCACGTGGCTGGGGAGGCCTCACAATAATGGAAGAAGGCAAAAGCTATGTCTTACATGGTGGCAAACAAGAGAATAAGAGCCAAGTGAAAGGTGTTTCCACTTATAAACCCATCAGATCTCGTAAGACTTATTCACTAACGGGAACAGTACAGGGGAAACTGCCCCCATGATTCAATTATCTTCCACCGTGTCCCTCCCATAACATGGGGGAGTTATGGGAGCTACAATTCAAGATGAGATTTGTCAAACCTTATCACTTGGTGTCTCACGCCTGTAATCGTAGCACTTTGGGAGGCTGAGGTGGCAGGATCTCTTGAGCTCAGGCGTTCGAGACCAGCCTGCGCAACAGGGTGAAAACCCATCTCTGCAAAAAATACAAAAATTAGCCGTGCATGGTGGCACACGCCTGTTGTCTCAGCTATTTGGGAGGCTGAGGTGGGAGAATTCATTGAGCCCAGGAGGCAGAGATTTTGAGATTTTAGTGAGCCAAGATCATGCCACTGCCCTCCAGCCTGGGTGACAGAGTGAGACCCCATCTCAGAAAAAAAAAAGGCTGGGTGTGGTGGCTCACGCCTATAATTCCAGCACTTTGGGAGGCCGAGGCAGGCGAATCACGAGGTCAAGAGATCAAGACCATCCTGGCAAACATGGTGAAATCCCGTCTTTACTAAAAATACAAAAATTAGCCGCGTGTGGTGGCACACGCCTGTAATCCCAGCTACTCGGGAGGCTGAGGCAGGAGAATTGCTTGAACCCAGGACACGGAGGTTGCAGTGAGCCGAGATCATGCCACTGCACTCCAGCCTGGCAACAGAGTGAGACTCCATCTCCAAGAAAAAAAAAAGAAAAAGAAAAAAAGATTGTTTTGTTAAGTAGTGGTTTTTAGCCTCTTGACATGCTTCTTACACTTTTTTTTTTTTCATCTCTTAGAGGTTTCTTTCTGTGAGGATAGGTTAATATGAATAATGATGATAGGAAGGATATATTAGTCTGATTGTTTAAGAGCATTTGCAATTTATGAAATATATCAGGAAATGTAATGTTCTTGAAAAGGAATGGCTAAATCTAATTTAGGAATGAATATTAAAGGTTTAATAATGAAGAAGTAATTAGAAGTTCCATCTTCTAATCTAAATATAGAATCTCTTCTCTGTACTGGTACTAATTTTTATTATGATGGTTTGGACACAGTTCCATATTCAGCCTCTTTGTACTTTATTTTTGAATTATAAATGCCCAAACCTTAAAATTTGTTCTGCAAGCCTAAGGATGATTCTTTGTATAGATATACCATTGTATAGATATACCATAATTAATATAGCCATTCTAATGTTAATTACTATTTTAGTAGTTTTGAGGTTAGCTTTTGTTTTTTGCTATTATAAACACTCTGCTGTGAACATTTGTATACACATACCATGGTGAATATATGAGTAGATTTCTCTCTAGGGTGTATATTTAGTACGGTATTGCTGGTTCATGGAGTATGTATAGCTTCACCTTCAATAGATAAAGACACACTGTTTCCCCAAGTGGTTGAACCAAGAATGGTATTATTTTAAGATCCTTTACTATAACTTCAAGTATTTGCTTAAAGTTTCTGGAGAAAGGGAAAAAAATGAGTTATACTATGGTATTGGATTTTATTATGAAATGAATTTAAAAATAACATCTAAAAAGAATGGAAACCCCTTTTTTTGCAGTCATTGTTTTGAAAAGGTATCTCAATGTGGATGAGATGAATTCTATACCATATATATTGAATGACTGGGCCTGTGAACAATTATCTGTGTAGTTTCTTTTCTCTAAAATATTATTTAATAGTACTACAATAACTATTATTTAAAATATGTTATATATGTACAAATTTTTTACATATATGTGGCAAAATAAAAGTTTAAATCAGGCATAAAGATATAAAATGAAAAATGAAGTCTACTAATTCCTCTCCCTAAAGATCTGTTTTAGTTGCCTCATTGTTTCGTTTCCTGAAAAAATTTATATATATTTCTTCATATAAGTAAACGGATCATAATGCACATGTTTTTTTATTCACTTTTTAACACGATGTATGATTCTTTCTGCTCAATGCTAAATAATATTGAATTGATTGGGTATATAATAATTTATTCAGGCAGACTGATGGAGATTTAGATTATTTTCCATTTTTTGTTATTACCAGTAATGGATCAGTGAGTACACTGGAAAATGAACCTTGCAATTTTTGAGAGTTTATTCATTTAAATTCCTAGCTATAAAATTACAGTTGAGACAGTACAAGCATTTTTAATTTTGATGGGTATGGCAAAATTGCCCTCTAAAAAGTTGTTTTAATTTACATTTCTATGAACTGCTACTTGCCAACATTGTGTGTTGTCAGAATATTTTATCTTTACTGCTCTCATAGTTGAAAAATATAACTTATTTTAGTTTGCATTTATTTAATTATGAGTGAAGTTTAGCATGATTTCATTTGCTTTTCTTTCTCTGTCAACTGCCTGTTAATATCTTTTGCCTATTTTTCTAAGTTGCATTTTTTTAGTGATTTGTAAAACTTGTAAATTAAATTAATGTTTTTGTCTATTATGTGTTGCAAATATTTTTCCCATTTTGTGGTTAATTTTTATATTTTGTTTATAACTTTTTGTACATAAATTTTAATCTTCTTTGTGACTTTCAGGTTATATATAATTTCCAAATTGCTTAGAAGCCCATTTCCTGTGTTGCCATTTGTCTTGTAAATGTATAATGATAGGTAAATTTAGTTCACATATAACTCAGCCCGTTTTCTTTCTTTTTTTCAAAGAAGTCTGTGAGAACACACCTAGGGAAAAAAAAATCACAGCAGACAGATGAATATGATAAATCTAATGAGTTTGGGTTGTCAAAAAAAATGTGTTTAACAATGTGTTTAACATTTAAATGATTCCTATTTTCTTTTTCCTTCAGGCGTCCTAAAAGTCAATAGGTGGGAAAGTTTTATTAGTAAAGAACATTATCTTACCAGACATAAAGTAATCCTTTTCTCCAAACTTCCTTCAAACTGCTGGTCCTCACCTCACCTAGAACACCCTATCAGAGACTAGCAGATGTTCCAGCATCTCTATAAAATTTATTTGGTTAAATGTTGGCATGTGATAAATGAAATGAAATGAAATTTATTTATGCGGACTTTTTCTATATTCTATATTTGCCTTGGAAAGCATATAATAGATATTTTAATAGAACAGTTAAAATATGATTTTATCAAAACACTTAAGGATGTCTAAATGAGTTAGTATATGAATATATAAAAATAGTCCACATGAACCTAGTCCATACTTAGTCCTCAGCTAAAATGACTTATAGTTTAACCCAAACTATAGTAAAGAGACTGAACAAATCTAAATAGAAACACTAAGTAGTGAAGAGCAACTAATCATGCAAGACTTTTTTAGTTTATATTCTTCCTTCCTATATGTTATAAAGTTATGTTAAAATTACTCAGTAAAATTATGTAGTGGAACATCAGATCTTAGCTGCAGCTTTTGTTCAGTAGGCTAGAAACTCAAAGCTACTAGACCATACTTAGTTGGACACAAGAGATTCCATATTGTCCCTAAAGGGATTCCATATTGTCCCCAAAGTAATCTTGCTTTCTCCAGAGCTCTCCAGCTCAGGCCTATATTAAAGCAACATCAGATCAGTTCTGACTGGATTTCATACTTTGAGTTTCTAGGGTTAAAAAGGTTTCATATTAGAGAATTCTGCTAACTGTCCCATATCAGACATTTAAAGATGATCTAGATTTTCTCAAAGATTCCCAATTTTACACCTTACTGTTTCTAATAGAAGCAGCTTGTTAAATATTTAACTAAATGTTACATAGTTTACATCCTTGTAAACATTTATCTTGTAAAAGAATTCTTTTTAAAAAAGTCATAATTTTTAGAAACACTGTTCCATTTATAATGCTGCGAGAAAACTACTTAGTGAGCTCTACTTCTAGATGTTAAATATCAACTATAATACTTGTTAAATCAATACATTTTAAAATGTCCTTAAAGTGTTTAAGTTTCTTCTGTAAAATGTGTACTATTAAATTCTGGGATTGATTATTTATTTATTTATTTATTATTACTGTTATTTGAGATAGAGTCTCACTCTGTTGTCCAGGCTGCAGTGCAGTGGCGCTCTTTTCTCGCTGCAACCTCCACCTCCCAGGTTCAAGCGATTCTCTATCCTCAGCCTCCTGAGTAGTTGGAACTACAGGCGTGTGCCACCACACCAGGCTAATTTTTGTATTTTTAACAGAGATGGGGTTTCACCATGTTGGCCAAGCTGATCTCGAACCCCTGACCTCAGGTGATCCACCTGCCTCGGCCTCCAGAAATGTTGGGATTACAGCTAACTGTACACTGTGCCTAGCCAAATTCTGGGATAATTTTAAAACATTTTGGACTGTAGTAATAAAATTTTATAGAACATGATATAGTTTATGCATCCACCAAAGAAAATGTCAAGTTACCAAATTAGTTAGAAGATGACTGTAGAGTAAGTTATCACTTACCTGGCCCATACCATAAATCAGTCCTTCTGCATATCAGAATTTTTTAAATAGCTGAGTAATAATTTTTTAAACGTTAAGATTTTAAATTGCCTTTAGAAATCCCTATGAGGTGATGTAACTATTATTTCCTCCACCCTTTAAGATAATACTGAAAATATTTTAGCACTTGGCTCAGATGAACTTTTGAAATGATATAACTATTATAAAATCTGAAGGCCGCTATAGATACAAATTTAGATTATTGGATCACAGTGCTCCATGATTCTCTTGTGTTTCTCTATATCTTGTAATTAGAGGCATTGACTTTGTTCCAAACTATCTTTTCTTAAATATTTGTAATTTGTAATAGCAAACAGCCTTGGAAGATTGAGATAATGTCTCCCTGCAGAGCAAAGAGCAGGTGTGCTTACTGTCCATTATAAAAGATTTGGGTGCCCTAAGCTCATTATCCTCTCCTGTAACACAGCTACTGTGCATGCTGGTGTCACCTGGCTCTCTTCTTATTACCTGGTGGAAATTAGGGCATAAGGAATTGGTACTAATGCTGATGTTCTGATGACTGCTATTGCTGTAAATAACAAAGTCCTTTGTTTCTTACACTGGGTTATCCTGTCTCCCACTAGCATCCATGAAATTGTAGCAAGCTAATTTATTGGTCTGCAAGGAGGGGAAAACTCTCAGACCTTTACAGGTCTTGGCAAGATGATATAGGAGAGTCATCAGCAAACTTTTTCTGTACAGGGCCAGATCGATAATACATGGTCTCTGTCACATATGTTTCTTTAATTTTTTTTCAACCCTTTAAAAATGTAAAGCCCTTTCTTAGCTTACAGGCCATCTGAAACCAGTCTTTGGGTTATATTTTGTGCATGGGATATAGGTTGCCAGCCTCTAATGTAGATCACAGGATCAAATGACTATTCACCTCCCCCAGGAAGTTCCCCAGAACTTCTCTCAAAATTATAATGGCTTGCTTTTCAAACATGCTTTTCTCATGACTATAATAAAATGAAACACGTATTGTTGCATGTCTGCTTGAAAATAAAATATGACTGCAAAATTAATTAGATAATAAAAAGAAACAGTAGTATCTTCCTAAGTGATTTTTATATAACCTCAAGATAATTCAGAGGGCAAAATGCAATTAAAATTGCATCCAAAAAGAAAACAAGAAAGGAAGACAATATAAACAGAAAGCACTTCATAAAATGGTAGATTTAAATACAAACATATCAATAACTACATTAAATGTAAAAGAAGAAAATACTTCATTAAGTGACAAAGTCAATGCTGTACTGTTTACAAGCATGATGTTTAAATTGTGATACTCCAGACAGAGAGGAAATCTGGCCAAACTCATCCTTTTATTAGGAACCCACTCCAGTGATAACTAACCCACTCCCATCATAATGGCTTTGATCTATTCATAAGGGCTCTGCCCTCTTGACCTAATCGCCTCTTAAAGACCCCACTTCATAACACTATTACAATTGTAACTACCCAGTGGGTTCATTTTGCCCGCTGTCCAGATAGAGCCTATTATCAAGACATGGGAATTGTAATAGAGAGTTTAATACATGTTAGATCAAGCTAAACAGGAGGCAGGAATTTTATTATTACTTAAATCAGCCTCCCTGAAAATTCGGAGGCTATTTGAGGATAGTTTGACAGGCAGGGGTTTAGGGATTAGGAAATGCTGATTGGTTGGAGATGCAATCATAGGGGTGTGGAAAGCAGCCCTCCTGCACTGTGTCTGCTTCTGTGTGGGGGCCATATGACTGGTTGAATCCCGAATTGCAGGTCCAGATGGGGCTATCTGGTAGTCAGAAGTGCAAAAGCCTGAAAAGACATCTCAAAAAATCAATACAGGAGTAATGGAAGAAGTTAATAAATTTCTTGACTTCTGGAATAATGGCTGGTAATCATTTATACCTGTATTTTAGCAGGATTCAGGCCCCTCTCATCTTCCTAATCTGGTGGCCTTTCATTAGTTTTATAAAGGTGGTTTAGTTTTGGGGAAGTGTTATTTTCATTTAAACTATAAATTAAATTTATCCCAAAGTTAGCTTGGCCTACACCCAGGAATGATCAAGGACAGTTTGAGGTTAAAGGCAAGATGGCGTTGGTTAGCTCAGATCTCTTTCACTGTCATAATTCTCTCAGTTATAATTTTTGCAAAGGCAGTTTCACAATGGCAATTAAATTTCAACATGAGTTTTGGCAGGGACATTCAAACCATATCAGCAAACTATAAGGTAAAAGCATTTGTAAAAATAAAATGTATGCTTCATAATGACAAAAATACTAAGCCACCATGAGGGTATAAAATGTATGTGTATCTAATTATATAGCATCAACATATACAAAGCATTACTCTGAACTGGGTCATGTGCACACTATGAGGACTCGCTATGGATGAGAAGAGTCAGGGTCAGCCTTACCAGGACCTCACAGCATAGGAAATAATGATTCTCCAAAGGGATGGATGCTGGTAAACAAACTGAACCGCATCATGAAGTCCTTTTCATTTTATCATCTTCATCTATAGCAGTGCTTTTCAGCTTAGGCTGCCTTATAGAATCAATTAGTGATCTTTTTAAAAATACTGATGCAGAGACCTTCCCTAGACCAATTAAATCAGAATCTTGGAGGAAGGGAGGAGGGCCTTGATATTATTGTTTAAGCTCTCCAGGTGATTTTAATGTGCTGTTTCAGTGTTGAGAAGCCCTGAGTTACTATGTAAATCTCGAGGTAATATTTAGGGCAGTAAATAGCAAAAATGTTTATAGATATTAATCTGTTTTTCCATGTGAGTTTTGTAGTTACCCAACATAAAAACTGTTGTTTTTTAAATTACAGATCATTACAACCTGTGGTTCCAATTAAAGATTTTAAAGAGAAGAGTTTAATCCTGCAACAATTGGTTAGCCCTTCTTAATTTAGAGGTACCTTTACAAGTTCTTGATCACCAAGGTAATCAAAGTTAAGTTAGCTACATTACCACGTGAAAAACAATCAGCTGGTTCACACAACTGCTTTAAACTTATAGGAAATTGATTCATTAGCATTTCCTAGATTAGAAATTGGCCAACACCATTATCAACAATATAGGTGATAGATGGTGCTCTACAAGGAATTTTCTGAAAGATACCTACTTTCTCATTAGTTATAACTACATTTTAAATGCTATCTCTTTCTCAAAAGCCAAAGCTACCCTTCTGGAAGTACAAAGAATCAGACTTCAGGCAGGACTGTCATGTGATGTCGTGTCAAGTTCTGTAACTTCAGATAACTCAACTTGCAATGGCAACAGCCATTTCTGAGTTCTAACACCACTTTAGTAAATAGATGCTAATATTGTACTAATAGATGCAATATTGGGTTAATCCAATATGTTATGCTCACCCTTTGTAAGGAGTAAAAATGGCCATTCTCTTTTTTTTTTTTTTTTTGAGACGGGGTCTTGCTCTGTTGCCCAGGCTGGAGTGCAGTGGCACGATCTCAGCTCACTGCAAGCTCTGCCTCCCGGGTTCATGCCATTCTCCTGTCTCGGCCTCCCAAGTAGCGGGGACTATAGGTACCCGCCACCACCCCTGGCTAATTTTTTGTATTTTTTAGTAGAGACGGGGTTTCACTGTGTTAGCCAGGATGGTCTGGATCTCCTGACCTCATGATCCGCCTGCCTTGGCCTCCCAAAGTGCTGGGATTACAGGCGTGAGCCACTGCGCCTGATCTTTTTTTTTTAGACCGGGTCTTGCTCTGTCACCCAGGCTGGAGTACAGTGAGGTGAACATGGCTTACTGCAGGCTCAAGTGATCCCCCTGCCTCAGTCTCCCAAGTACCTGGGATCACAGGCATGCACCACTACACCCAGCTAATTTTTAAAAATTTTTTGTAGAGACAGGATCTCACTTTGTTGCCCAGGCTGGTCTCAAGCTCAAGTGATCCTCCTGTCTCAGCCCCCCAAAGAGCTGGGATTACAGGCGTGAGCCACCATGCCCAGCCCATTCTCTCTTTTAATGTTAGTATAACTATACATTTGTAAGCAGGATCATGGCATAGTGAAAAGTAACTTTTAGGATCAGATATGCCTGGAATTAAATTCCATTTGCTATTTATCAACTGTGTGGTCTTGAGCAGGTTAACCTGTTAGTGCCTCACTTTCCTCCACTGTAAAATAAGAATACAACCCATCTTGCAGTGTTGTGAGGATTAGGAATGACAGCTATCAATCTTCTGCCATTTTGCTTCAGAATTTTACAAAATTATACAAGTAAAAAAATGAGTAAATATATTCTCCTTACAAACAAATTTAGAATTACAAAATATGAAATTACTTGCTGACCCTATCCCTTCCCATCTTGCCAGTAGTAACCACTAATGTTAGTTTGGTGCATACTGATAGACTAAATATACAAACGGACAAGGACCAGACCATATATGTCAATAGAACTCGGACACACAACCTCTGCAGCAACCAGCCTGGGAAGCCAAACCACAAGCTCTGATACAATTGGTTCTGAAGTGTCAGTGCTTGGTCAATGACTGTCAGCTTTTAACTCAGGACCAACCAGACAAAGCCAAATGTACTCCCCAAACCAATCACATAAGATGGCTCACTTGTAATTACCCACCTCTAGCTTCCCAAACCAAGTTTCCAATTGTAGCATTTGTGAATCTTCCCTCTTTTCACTATAAAGCTTTTCATTTCTGCTTTGGCTGCCTGTGAGTATCTGCCAAACACAAGCGATGGTGTTTGACTCCCTTGTTTTAGTAAGCAATGAATAAATAGCCTCTGATTGTTCTCATTTTGGGTGGTCTCTGTTTATTTCCATGGTATGGTTCCAGTCTTTTTATTGTGGAAATATAGATGGACATTTATATGTGTATATCCCTGGGAAATATATACCATTTTGTGGACTTTTAAAAGCAAAAATGTTACACGTATTGATTTATATCTTGTTTTTTTTCTCAAAAATATCCAGGAAATCTATGCATGTTAATTCATCTTGATTATTTTAACTGGAGGGAGGTAGTAATATCTGTCTTGGTGTCTTTAACACAGCTCTGTGGTGCTGCCTACTTCAGTGCTTGCTTTCCTGTCTATGTCTATCACAGAGACGTTCTTTTTACCTTTACACCCCCATCCTACTTCCCTTTCACCTGCATCCCCAGCTTACTCCTTTACTACGTATCCTTTGAACTGCAGTCGATTCACCATGATCTTGGCTGGCTGTCTTCTTCCTTCATGGCTGCTAGTAATGACAATTCAGTGGCTGTTTCTTCAGCTGTGCAAAGTTGGAACATGTTTGGGAGTTCAACGGCATTGGTTTCTGGTTGGTAAATGTCCTGTTTATTGCCTGTTCAATTTCCTCATTACTGACTGTGAGAAATTACAAGTCTTATTCATGCTGGATTCTTTTACCTTGAGTCAGTTTTCAGTTGTATGTAAGAAATTTTTTCCAATGAATTAAACATACCAACCTTAGAAACTGGCTTGTGAAGGAAGTAAAATAAAGTCAAATGCTTCATTTATCTTTGCTTTTACCAAATAATTTAGGTAAACTTTGCAGTCACCCAAATAATGTCCCTCCTGGTAAATACCAAAACATTCAGAATTAGGACACCTGATGGTAAGGACTAAGAAGAATCACTTTTAAGATCTGCCCATTTGCATGGGCTGCTAAAGCCTCTAGACCATGTAAGAACAATTTAATGAAGTGATACTAGTGTAGACTCTGGGATAATATAGCTTGCATGTGTTTTTTGTTGTTGTTGTTTTGTTTTGTTTTGAGACAGGGTATTGCTCTGTCTCCCAGACTGGAGTGCAGTGGTGTGATCTTGGCTCACTGCAACCTCCGCCTTCTGGGTTCAAGCGATTCTTGTGCCTCAGCCTCCAGAGTAGCTGGGATTACAGGCATGTGCCACCACACCCAGCTAATTTTTGTAGTTTTAGTAGGGACAGGGTTTCACCATGTTGGCCAGGCTGGCCTCATGTGATCTGTCTGCCTTGGCCTCCCAAACTGCTGGGATTATAGGTGTGAGCCACCGTGCCTAGCCTAACCTGATTTGAATCCTCATTCCTCTGGTTTAATGAACTTGGGCAAATTTTATAACTTCTTTGAGTCTAAGTTTTCTCATGTTTTTAATGAAGATGAAATTACTTACCTTTGTAAGTAATGTTTGTTGGAGAGGAAAATCTTTTCCTCTACCCTCTTAGGTTCAGTTCTTGAGGGCCTGGGAATTAAACTTAGACAAAACATAGATTTTTATTCACGCAGGAGCACACAGAAAAATGTGACTCTAAACAACTAAAGATGGGGGTTTATATACCTAATAGGGGAGAGGTTACTTAATGGGGGAGAAGAAGGGGGGAGTAAAGCCCTCTATGTAGGGAAGAACAAATGAGTATTTAGGGGAAGAAATGAAAAAGAAGAAGGTTTGTGATAATGTTTGTTTATGCAGGTGCAAGCGGTCTTCTCTGTCTTCTTTATGGCCAGTAAAATTCTCCAGAAGAGATTTATGGCAGCCTCACTCCCAGTAGTTTCTGCATTTAGTGAGATAAGGTAAGTTCTGAGAAGGCTTTTTTCTGCATCTGTTGAATTTCAAATGTCTTTAGAATAATCTTTATATCAACTCTGGGGGTCTCAGTGAGTTCCCACAGGTTGTTGTGAGAATAACTAAGGTAATATGGCAAAACTGTTAAGTTAGCACTCCATAAATATTTGCTTTTATTATTATTTGAAAACTAGTCTTTCTGCCTTGATGCCAGTAGCAGATGGGAAATTATGGTGATTTTTATTTCTAACATTGATCCATTTTACAGATCAGCCAGTCTGCTTAATTCCTGGGTCAGCATTTCCTATGCAGTTACCCAAGTGCTGATTCATTGCTTTTTCTCATATTCAATTAAACTCCCCATCTAACTTTTCCAAATCAATTTCTTCCTGACTGTTGACTTAGAATTCATTGCAGTTGTCCTAAATAATTTGAGCAACTCAAGAAAATTAACATCTGCTGAGATCTGTTTCTACCTTTCCTAAGTTTCTCTTCATTCCCTTTCAGTACCCTGGGATGTCACTCAAGTCTCTTTTTAAACCTATATCCACTTCACCTCATTTGGCTTTTTGCCTATCAGAGGTGAAACAAAAGAGTGAAATCTTTGCTTGTGGAATCCTCTCATGTCATCAATTGTTTATAAATGTTTAGTATTTAAAGGACCACTAAGGGCCAGTGGGGAAAATGAATCTTATGGATGGATATCATCATTTTTTGCTACTTAATAATGTTATGGACTTTCAAATGAGATTTCTGTAACTGGAATGAGAAAAATCCTAATAAGTTTAGGATGGGTCAGAAGATTTGTGCAATGGAGTGAATGCTTGTGTGCTTCCCAAATTTCGTATGTTGAAACTATAATCCCAATGTGATAGTAGTTGATGGAAGGGCCTTTGGACAGTGGAGCCCTCATGAATGGGATTAGTGCTCTTAAAAGAAGAGACCAGAGAGCTAGCTAGCTGTCTTTCCACCATATGAGGGTGCAATGGGAAGCTGGCAGTCTGCAACCAGAAGAGGACCCTCACCAGTCCCTCACCGTTCTAGCACCGTGAACTCAGACTTCAGTCTCCAGAACTGTGAGAAATAAATTTCTATTGTTTATGTCACCCAGTTTATAGTACTTTGTTATAGAAGCTCAAATTGACTAAGATAATTTGGATATTAGGTTATATCGCTTGCAGGAGGTATGTAACTTCTTGAAACATGTAAACTCTCTGTGTTGTGTTCTGCTGCCTAAATCCACCAGATAAATATTTGGTTTACTTTGCTTGGGAAAACTGTTACTCAAATGTTCTCTGTACAAATGCAGGAGAGTAAAATTATTTCCCCATTTTATATCAGTAATTGCTATTTTATTTGTCAGTAAGTGTTTCATTATGATTTAAACAATTGGTATAAGTATATTAATATAATTATTTACTAGTTGCTAAAAATATATGCTGCATCTTATGAAAATACATTTAAAAAACACTCGAATGGGTCATTTGACATGAAAGCATCATTCGATTTAGAATTCAGAGACTAAGTTGCCAAAAGAGGAAAATATTTAATACCATTCCCTGAAGGCTAGTAAGTTTATAATTAGCAGGATCACCAGAGGGAGTAAATTTAGAGCTGAAAACCACTCACTGATTCTGTAGTATACTTGAATAAAATAAGGTCACTGTCCATGTAGCTGGCCAAATAGCTTGGCACAATATGGAAGAAGGAACTAGTTTGGCAGCCTTGGGAAATATGATTATTATAAAAAATTTTAATATTTTTAATTAAACAAACCATCAATTCATTTTAAAACCAGGATATTTCCTCATTTGATTAAGTTTTTCATACTAGAAAATTAGAATTGTGACTATGTGTATCAGAATAGAGATGAACTTTAGGCTCTTTTTGATATGGAATTTGTTCCTGGTTTACTGGCAGCTATTTCAAGACTTGGGGTTCTAGAAGACCTTTTTCTTAAGTTTTCTCTATCTCCTAGGAAAGACGTTGAACCCTAAAATGTCATTTAAAAGAGTGCCAACTCAAATTAGAACATCATTTACAATAAAAGACAGTAGGTAAGGTTTACAGCTGTAATTAACTGGTAATTCAGGATAGGAAGCACAAATTTTTCTAAACTATCAAAGATAATTAAGAGGTTATGGACTCAGCCTGAATTATCCCAGTGGTTCACTGTACAATTCAAATATACATGGTGACTCTAACTCCATACTTATAATTTTAAGGCTTATTTTGGAAAAAAATGCCTTTGCAAGCTTTGAGATACATTACTTAAAGCTGCAGAGCCTCTTCTTGAAGACCACTGAAGCTAACTAGCATATATTTCCTGGCTTGATGAGGTCTTCAAGAGCCTGATGATTATTCCTAGGTTCACGTATTATACACAACTAACCATTTGTCCCATAGCACCTTATTTTCTCCAGCTAACAGATTAATAGTCTGAAAAATCTGTTCTCTTAATTGAACAACTGTCTCTCTCAGAACTCACTGGGATAAAGCCAATTGTCCACAAGACAGACAAGTCAGGAAGGGGCCTGACTTCTGAATGACTGATGATCCATATCTTAGCAAAGAGAGTTTGACATAAAAGGGTCTCATGAACTCTAGGTAAGGCAGGTAGCTAACCTTGAAAGCCTGATCAGAAGTGACACCTGGATGGCCTGTCTCTACTGGCCTGCTATTCAAGGGGAGAGGTGAGGCAAGAGCCCAGTAAGGAGGCCTGGCAAAGGTGAGGCAAGATTCATTTCTCTTGGGGTATCGGAATAGAATGAAAAACAGGACCAAGGCAGAAGCTCAGTTAAACAAACCAGTGCCACAGACTCAACCAAGATTGAATTCTGTTACCACAGACGCCAAGGAGCCACACAGAACTCCTCTCCAGCTTCCCCAAACCTGCTTTTCTGCCTTTCCCATTTCAGTAAATGGCACCACCGTCCATTTTCCCCAGGTCTCCCATGCTAGACATGTTACTTTTTTTGTCTCTTAGCTCCAAATATCTGCTGTAGGCTTTCATAATAAAGTTTGACTGCATATTAAAACTGTAGCAAAAACACTGGCAGACTAAAAGCTGATTTCATTTCCTTAAAGGTAAAAAGAACTTAGTTTTACAAATATGGGACCCATCTCCACACTTTGAAGGGGGTCGGAAATATTTGTTTTATGTCCTGAGGTTACAAATAAGGGGTGATGCTCCTCCTCATAGATTTATTAGAATCTCCCTTCTAATACTAAAAATAAAAGGGAAAATTCCATATTAAAACAGGCTAATTGTTTATATCCAGCAGACAGATACCGGCTGGAAAACCTTTATTTTTGAAGGAAAGTACTTATGTAATTTCTAAACATAAGAAAAATAATGGGCTTTGCTCTCTTTTTTTGCTGGTTAGTTTTGCTAATTACTTGAGCCTTCTGGCAAGAACATTGAAATGATAATTTTATCAGTTTAGTCACTTTTTGTCATATGTGAAAAATGAGTTACTGACATTTGTCAATCAGTCTTTGCCTTATTCCTCTGGTTGGTGTGAAACAAAGTGGTGCAGAGAATTTTAGACTGTTGCTACCATTTGTACTCCAAATGATAGCATATTCCTGATTTTCAATAACCAGATAAGGATGGACTTTTCTTGCCTGTGCCACCAAATATCATTCCTAATAAAACACCAAAGTTTATCATCTTGTGATAAACATAGAGAAACTCTATTCAAGATAGGTGCACATCTACTTGTAATTAGAATTAGTTAATGAGACTAAGCATTCTAAATGTCCTGCTTCACAGCAGGTACTATGGGGAATTGAGTTCATTTGGTAATATATTTTGATTTTGTCTGATTTCTAATAAGACTGATGAACTATCCCCTAAACATTTTTATTAGCACATAGTATGTGTCAGCTCTTGGGGTTGATACCATGAAGAGTAAGATACAATCTCACTACCTAGAAATGAGTCTACCCAAATAGAGACTCTTTTTAATGCTTTCAACCCATAAAAACATTTTTGGGGGGATTCTACTGAAGAAGCAATGGAGACATCCATTGGAGGTTAACAGTATTCCTTTGAGTGGTGTGATTAAAGGTGCTTTTATATTTTCCAAGTTTTTAGTTTGTTTGTTTTGCAGAAAATGTATTTAATGTTCTATAAGTGGGAAAATAAAGATTTTTTAAAGTGATAAACAAGGACTTATATTCTTTTTCAGAATAGAATGCTTAGTGAATATTTGTTAAATGAATGAGTATATTTTTCAAATTCTCTAACTTTTTTCCTAGTGTCTTTAAAAACAATAAGCGCATTTATTTTAGGTCTAAATGACTCCCCAAATTTCCTTTAAGGGAGGTATTCTGAAAACTTTATCTTCAACATTTGAAAACCCCTGATGATAAGTAAAGAGCTTGATAAGTTCTGTGGATGTTATATTGTACCCAAAGGATAAAGAAGGTGAATTTATTTTCCCCTTCTCATTTTTAGAACATTCTCAAAATAAACACTATTTGCATGTAGGACATAAATACAGCCTGAGTGTCATCATCTAACCTGAACTAATATGAATTGCTACAGTTTTTCTGAACTATCTTGATGGAATAGATTAGAGAAGAGAATGCAAAAAAAAAATGTCTATCTAAGCTGTAGGGTGTAAAGATAAGTAAATGTAATGAAAAGCAACCTTAAAGTTACTGGAACAATTTGATCTTAATCTACAGATGGAAGATTTCAAAATATAGTCTAGCTTAGATGGCTGGACTATGAGGGCTAATGAGCCCAGTGTTCCAAACTTAGATAGTCCATTCACCTTCTTTATTTTTTTTTAGCCAGTGACTGTGTTGCTAAACTGGTCAAACTTCCTACACAGAGGTTCCATGGTCTTGAGGAAAACGATGTAATAGAAACATGAAACACAATATAATCAGGAGAAAAGAGTTCAAAATATAAGCTTTAATAATAGTGGGTGGGAATGCTTTGACATCAATACTGGGAGCAGATCCAGAGAGGGCTGGTGGTAGTTGTTGGTAAAATTCCAGAGAGTTAACTATATGACATGAATTTTACTAAATTAGGCAATTTATTGAGAAAATAGAACTGGAAATATTTAAGATTTTAACATCATGAGAAAATTGAATGTGAATGATTGAATGATTCGTTTAGCAAGTGTCTTAATTCTACTGAATGGATATATGTCACTGAGACATTTAGAGTCCTGCTGAAGAAACAAGAGACCCACACAACAAACTAAATAAAAGGTGTATTAAATGCCTTTTATGAACCAGTCAAGTCCTCTTTCTGCCATGTCTTGCTCTAGAAGCTGCTATAATAGGTTTGGACCAGCATCTTGTTGATACAACTGGACAACAGTCACCTAAGCCCCAAACATTTACCTACAACTTCCCATGTCTTTGTTTTTTATTTGCTTGTCTCTTGCCTGTGCAGAACTTCTCTAATGCCGTGGTGGAGGCCAGAAGAACGCTCAGACACACACATGTGCAATCAGGAAGTGCAGGGGAGGTATTGCCAGTAGGGTCATCTTTAATCAATGGAGGCCAAGAACTCATAAATAAATATTTTTTCTTTTCACCTCTCAGGTGGATTTTCTGAGATGAATTTCGTAAGACTCATTATAAGATCCTGGTGAGACCTAGCATCAGTTACCCATAGTGGTGGCCAATTCAATAAGGCATTTTTGAACTCATTCTCCCTCCTTCTCTGTCCTACTCTCTTATGTCAGTTATGCTTCTTGGGATTATTGCCCAAATAAACTACCAATATGCAAGCCTATGTCTTAGCCTTATTTTGAAAGACTAATGTCAGACCAGGGGAGGGAGAAATCAATGTGATAATGAAGCCATAGCCTAAGAACAGTAATTGCAAAGAGAAGTGAAAAGATAGATTTGAGAGATAGAATCAATATAAGAGGCCGGGCACGGTGGCTCACGCCTGTAATCCCAGCACTTTGGGAGGCCAAACCAGGCAGATCATGAGGTCAGGAGACCGAGACCATCCTGACTAACACGGCGAAACCCCGTCTCTACGAAAAAATACATAAATTAGCCGGGCGTGGTGGCTGACGCCTGTAGTCCCAGCTACTTGGGAGGCTGAGGCAGGAGAATGGCGTGAAACTGGGAGGCGGAGCTTGCAGTGAGCCAAGATTGTGCCACTGCACTCCAGCCTGGGCAACAGAGCGAGACTCTGTCTCCAAAAAAAAAAAAAAAGAAAAGAAAAGAATCAATATAAGAATGATAGGACTTAGTAATGAAACAATGAAGACTGACAATAATCTGCTCAGATGGTCCAATAATGAGTTCTATCCTAGATGAGGCCATAACTTTAGTGGGATGCCCAGTAGGCAATTGGAGCTAAGATGCAGGAATCAAGTGACAGTTGAAACCTTGAGGATAAATGAGTTCTTTTTTTTTTCTTTGAGAAGTGAGTTCAGTGGCACGATCACAGCTCACAGCAGCCTTGACCTCTAGGGCTCAAACGATCCTCCCACCTCAGCCTCCTGAGTAGCTAGGACCACAGATACGTGCCACCACTCTTGGCTAATTTTTTTTTAAAAAACATTGTAGAGATAGAGTCTCCCTATGTTACCTAGCCTGGTCTTGAATGCCTTGGCTCAAGTGATCTTCCCATCTCAGCCTCCCGAGATGCTGGGATTACGGGTGTGAACCACCATGGCAGGCCATGAATGAGTTCTTGAGAAAGAAGACTTTATGAAGAGATGACCAATGGGCTATAGACTGAATTTCAGACAATGGTCAGATTTCAGAAGTCCAGAGGAAAAAGAAAGGACAGCTACTGAGCACTCAGGAAAACAGACAAGTTTAGAGCTATGTGTAATGGTGGATGAGTGGGAAGAACATACAGTTCCATTCCACCATCAGGTTAGAGACCAGAATGAATAGGCTCAAGATGGAAATAAAGAATAGACAAGTGAAGAGATGGAGACAGTAATGGAGATGGTTTACTGAGCAGACGAATGCAGAGGGAGATAGTTCACTCTTGACAAGTAACAAGCTTGTTAATAATGAACTAAAGGAGAAAAGTTAGAAGCATGTAGATCCGAGTATGGTCATTTTTGTCAGGATTTAAAAAATGGAAATAAAAACGAATGGAGAGAACTTTCATAGAAAAAAATCCTAATTTTAAAATTTTCAAATAAAATTTGCTGAAATTAATCATCGATTACATAGAAAATCTAATATGTATCTTACTTTTACACACTTATGCATTTTTTATACATAAGAACACTTATTTTTAAAAAAGATGAACACTCTTCTCTAAGATGTTGGTCCACAGAACAGCATTATTGAAAAGTAACTCTCTTCCAGAAAATATTGGAAGAATTCCACTTGAATAAATATTGCATAACTCAGTGCCTACTTTTACATACCCATATTTGTGTTAAGCTAATCCTAGTTTCTAAAAAAAGGTTGTTGTACTGTTGAAAAGCATTTCTGAAATACTGCCAACCCCATCTTGTGATTGAAGTTTTTTGGTATAAAACAGGTTAGGGGGTGAGATGCCAAGCAGGTATTTAGAGAGAGAGTTTGAATTTGATTTTTTTATATTTGAATAAATCATGGTTTAGATCCCCAACCCCCAGGCTGCAAACCCTTGATCTGAACTGGGAGTCCCCAACCCCCTGCTGGTCCATGGCCTGTTAGGAACTGGGCCACACAGCAGGAGGTGAGTGGGGGCGAGTAAGCAGTACTGCCTGAGCTTGGCTCCTGTCAGATCAGCAGTGGCATTAGATTCTCGTAAGAGTGTGAACCCTATTGTGAACTTTGCATATGAGGGATCTAGGTTGTACGCTCCTTATGAGAATCTAATGCCTAATGATCTGAGGTGGAACAGTTTCATCCTGAAACCATCCCCTGCCCCTCCTGTCATGGAAAAATTGTTTTCAATGAAACCGGTTCCTGGTGCCAAAAAGGTTGGGGACTTCTGGTTTAGACAATCTGTTTCTGCAAAAATGTTTTCAATATGCAATCTGGTCATTTTCCACTTTTTCCATTGAATATTTTCTTTCTGGTCATTTTTAACCATCTACTTTAAATATAGATGACATTTTATCATAGTGTGCTTAGATTTTAGCATCCATTATCCTTCCAGGGTGTGTTTATTATCTGTTGGACTTTCACTTTGGATTAAACAATTACTATATGAGTGAAATTTGAGACAGTGACTAGCTGCCCAGAGAATGAGTGAGCCTTATAAACTAAGTATTGTTTATTTAATGCCTTGTTATAAACCTTTTGTTTATCCACATAATATAACTGTGACAATCAAACTATAATTTACAGAAGGTTTTTTTCTTGTTTTACATTCTCATGACTATCATATCTGGTTTCAATTGATATTAAGCAATGGATGAGTTCTCTGTTGCTTTTTAACTTTTTTATCAATAAGGAACTTGGATTTCTTGTGCATTAAGAACAAAGACTACGTAGGCACCAAGATGAGGAACAAGAAAAAATTAGGACAAATAAAGATTCACACCAAAAAGAAAATTAAAATAATATATGAAATATTTGTCAATCTGCAAGTTGAGTAAGCAAAACTAAAAGATATAAAAGTTTAAAAACAACAGAGAACTCATCCATTGCTTAATATCAATTGAAACCAGATATTATGATAGCCATGAGATCGTTTTTAAAAGGAGGGAATAAAACGTTTTGCAATTCTATCAGAGAGAATGTTGACATTTTTGTTTACATGATACTATAATTTTTTGGTATGCCTATATATAAATAATTTAAAACATAAATGGTATCATTTGGGAAGGTTAGCAAATAACCTTCCCAAACTTGCTTTTTTCATAACATCTATTATATACGTGTAATCCTACCCTAATATTCTCCTATAATATGATTGATATTGGGCACATAATGGATGTACTAGTCCTCTACTGTTGAATGTTTAGAGTGTTTCCAGTGCTGTGATGAATAGCTGTATAGTCAAATCTTTCCCAATTTCTTAACTAACCCTTTAGGATATAGCACTATGTTATTTCTTTATTAGATAAAACTCTTATTTTCAAGCAACAGAAACCCCCTTGAGCTTAACAAATATATTAGAAAAACACAGGAATATCTTGAGGAATCAAAGGACAAAGATGGAGCTGGAAACATTCTCTTGACTTCTATGTATGCTCCTCTCTGCATTTCTGATTCATTCCCTTCCTCTTAACCAACAGTTTTCCTCTGCTTCTTACTACATTGATGAAAACATGGCCAAGACTGCTCCCAAGTTTATATGTCATAGGTCCAGTTATCCTGAGAAAAACAAAATCAATCCCAATTCTTTCTTAGCTCCCTTCCCCACTCACTATTCCAAATTTTCAGAATTATCAGATGTTCACCTTGGCACAATCATCTGGGTCCAAGGGCTGATGTTTGATGAACATGGCTGCCACGTTTTAACCTATGGCCATGCAAGTGATCAGGAGAGGCTGTTCAGAAGTAAAGGAGAGGATGGACAAACAACCTATAAATACTATCACATTCTCATCACTTACACTCATTCTTTTGGAGATATTTGTTGCAATAAATTGGTACAGTTAAACTAGTAAAAGGAAATTCTTTTTGGTTCATTCATTAGTGAGGATAGTTTTTTCTAAGATTAAATTTGCTTTATCTGACAGTGGGCTGTAACTCCTTCCTGTGTTTTTGAACTATGGATCTACAAAAGAGATATCATCTGTCAAAAGCACTCTAGTTTGATTCAACTGGAAAATTATCTATTTTCTTTTTTTTATATAGATGTATTTTATTATACTTTAAGTTCTAGGGTACATGTGCACAACATGCAGGTTTGTTACATATGTATACATGTGCCACATTGGTGTGCTGCACCCATTAACTCGTCATTTACATTAGGTATATCTCCTAATGCTATCCCTCCCCCAAAACCATAATAGAAAATTATATGATAGAAAAAGGTCTTAAAATTTGTTGATTGTTCTCAACTAAACTTACTTCTGTGTAACATCATCTTTCTCACATAATAAATTTTATGGTTATTATAGGAAAAGTAATTCTAGTGTTTAAGAAAGGACATTAATTTTTACAGAGAATAAATCATAACCAACTTAAAGTAAATCTGAATTTTCTATGGATGCTCATTTTACAACTAGAAATGTTTCCACAGGAGAGTAAAATCTTCCAGTCAAGCACATTAAAAACTTGTGGAGGGAAAGGAATTAATAGGATAGAAGGCCCAAGGCAAATCAGGTGTTATAGAATTTCATTGGTTTTCTGTTTTCTAGAAATGCCTACATTGTTACATAAGACTGGAATCTCTACATTTTGTCAGTTCTCCTATTCTCTAATGTAATAGTTATCTAAGGCTGCATAACAAATTGCCCCCAAATTTAGCAGCTTATATGACAATCGACATTTATCACACACAGTTTCTCATGGTCAGGAATCCAGGAGGGAGTTAGCTGGGTGGTTCTGGCTCAGAGTCTTTCATAAAATTGCAGTTAAGCTGTCAGCTGTGGCTGCAGTCATCTGAAGGCTTCAAAACTCACTCATTTGGCTGTTAAAAGGAAGGCTCATTTATTTACAACATGGGCATCTCTATGGGGTTGCTCATGGCACAGGAGCTGGGCTTCCCCCAGAACAGATTATCTGAGAGAGAAGAGGGGATGGAGCAGAAGATACACTGTCTTTTATGGCCTAGTCTTGGGAGTGACAAACCATCACTTCGGCCATTTTCTGTTAGTTGCACAGATCAACCCTAATATAATGTGGGAGGGATTACATAGGATGTGAATACTAAGAGGTGGGAATCATTGGAGGTCATCTTAGGGGTAGGATCCCACATATACCATCATCAGATATTAAAAATTGTTCTCATAACTTGAGATGTATTTACATCTTTAGAACTCTTATTATTTTTCTTCTTGATACTCACAGTAATCTTACAAATCAACTCTAATTTTACAGTTTGAGCACAGAGACTACTTTAAACAAAAACAGGTCAATTTAATATTTATCTGTATTCAAGCTATTGTTCACTCATTCATTCAACAATTAATTATTGAGCTCAGGGCAATGTGCTTTCTTTATTGTACTAATATGTCACCCCTCTGTTGTATCCCCTTCTTTTTATTTTATTTTACTTATTTATTTATTTTTATTATCTTTTTATTATACTTTAAGTTCTAGGGCACATGTGCACAACGTGCAGGTTTGTTACATAGGTATACATGTGCCATGTTGCTTTGCTGCACCCATCAACTTGTCATTTACGTTAGGTAATTCTCCTAATGCTATCCCTCCCCAAGCCCCCTAACCCCCGACAGGTTCCCATGTGTGATGTTCCCCTCCCTGAGTCCATGAGTGAGAACATGTGGTGTTTGGTTTTCTGTCCTTGTGATAGGTTGCTTAGAATGATGGTTTCCAGCTTCATCCAGGTCCCTGCAAAGGACATGAACTTATCTGTTTTTATGGCTGCATAGTATTCCATGGTGTATATGTGCCACATTTTCTTAATCCAGTCTACCATTGATGGACATTTGGGTTGGTTCCACGTCTTTGCTATTGTGAATAGTACTGCAGTCAACATATGTGTGCATGTGTCTTTATAGTAGCATGATTTATAATCCTTGGGTATATACCCAGTAATGGGATCACTGCGACAAATGGTATTTCTGGTTCTAGATCCTTGAGGAATCTCCACACTGTCTTCCACAATGTTTGCACTAATTTACACTGTCACCGACAGTGTAAAAGCGTTCCTATTTCTCCACATCCTCTCCAGCATCTGTTGTTTCCTGACTTTTTAATGATCGCCATTCTAACTGGCATGGGATGTTATCTCATTGTGGTTTTCATTTGCATTTCTCTGATGACCAGTGATGATGAGCATTTTTTCATATGTTTGTTGGCTGCATAAATGTCTTCTTTTGAGAAGTGTCTGTTCATATCCTTTGCCCACTTTTTGATGGGGTTGTTTGTTTTTTTCTTGTAAATTTGTTTGAGTTCATTATAGATTCTGGATATTAGCGCTTTGTCAGTTGGGTAGATTGCAAAAATTTTCTCCCATTCTGTAGGTTGCCTGTTCACTCTGATGATAGTTTCTTTTGCTGTGTAGAAGCTGTTTAGTTTAATTAGATTCCATTTTTCTATTTTGGCTTTTCTTGACATTGCTTTTGGTGTTTTAGTCATGAAGTCTTTGCCCATGCCTATGTCCTGAATGGTATTGCCTAGGTTTTCTTCTAGGGTTTTTATGGTGTTAGGTCTTACATTCAAGTCTTTAATCCATCTTGAGTTAATTTTTATATGCAGTGTAAGGAAGGGATCCAGTTTTAGCTTTCTACATATGGATAGCCACTTTTCCCAGCACCATTTATTAAATAATCTTTTCCCAATTGCTTGTTTTTGTCAGGTTTGTCAAAGATTAGTTGTAGATGTGTGGTGTTATTTCTGAGGCCTCTGTTCTGTTCCATTTGGCTATATATCTGTTTTGGGACCAGTACCATGCTGTTTTGGTTACTGTAGTCTTGTAGTATAGTTTGAAGTCAGGTAGCGTGATGCCTCCAGCTTTGTTCTTTTTGCTTAGGATTGTCTTGGCTCTGTGGGCTCTTTTTGGTTCCATATGAACTTTAAAGCAGTTTTTTCCAACTCTGTGAAGAAAGTCAATGGTAGCTTGATGGGGAGAGCATTGAATCTATAAAATACCTTGGGCAGTATGGCCATTTTCACGATATTGATTCTTCCTATCCATGAGCATGGAATGTTCTTCCGTTTGTTTGTTTCCTCTTTTATTTCATTGAGCAGTGGTTTGTAGTTCTCCTTGAAGATGTCCTTCACATCCCTTGTAAGTTGGATTCCTAGGTATTTTATTCTCTTTGTAGTAATTGTGAATGGGAGTTCACTCATGATTTGGCTCTCTGTCTATAATTGGTGTATAGGAATGCTTGTGATTTTTGCACATTGATTTTGTATCCTGAGACTTTGCTGAAGTTGCCTATCAGCTTAAGGAGATTTTGGGCTGAGACGATGGGGTTTTCTAAATATACAATCATGTCATCTGCAAACAGAGACAATTTGACTTCCTCTTTTCCTAATTGAATACCCTTTATTTCTTTCTCTTGCCTGATTTCCCTAGCCAGAACTTCCAACACTATGTTGAATAGGAGTGGTGAGAGAGGGCATTCTTGTCTTGTGCCAGTTTTCAAAGGGAATGCTTCCAGTTTTTGCTCATTCAGTATGATATTGGCTGTGGGTTTGTCATAAATAGCTCTTAATATTTTGAGATACATTCCATCAATACCTAATTTATTGAGAGTTTTTAGCATGAAGCGGTGTTGAATTTTGTCAAAGACCGTTTCTGCATCAGATAATCATGTGGTTTTTGTCATTGGTCCTTGTTATGTGACTGATTATGTTATTGATTTGTGTATGTTGAACCAGCCTTGCATCCCAGGGATGAAGCTGACTTGATCATGGTGGGTAAGCTTTTTGATGTGCTGCTGGATTTGGTTTGCCAGTATTTTATTGAGGATTTTCACATCAATGTTCATCAGGGATATTGGCCTAAAATTATTTTTTTGTTGTGTCTCTACCAGGCTTTGGTATCAGGATGGTGCTGACCTCATAAAATGAGTTAGGGAGGATTCCCTCTTTTTCTGTTGTTTGGAATAGTTTCAGAAAGAATGGTACCAGCTCTTCTTTGTATCTCTGGTAGAATTCGGCTGTGACTCCGTCTGGTCCTGGATTTTTTTGGTTGGTAGGTTATTAATTATTGCCTCAATTTCAAAGCCTGTTATTGATCTATTCAGAGATTCTACTTCTTCCTGCTTTAGTCTTGGGAGGATGTATGTGTCCAGGAATTTATCCATTTCTTCTAGATTTTCTAGCTTATCTGCATAGAGATGTTTATAGTATTCTCTGATGGTAGTTTGTGTTTCTGTGGGGTCAGTGGGGATATCCCCTTTATCATTTTTTATTGTGTCTATTTGATTCTTCTCTTTTCTTCTTTATTAGTCTTGCTAGTGGCCTATTTTGTTGATCTTTTCAAAAAACCAGCTCCTGGACTCATTGATTTTTTGAAGGGTTTTTTGTGTCTCTATGTCCTTCAGTTCTGCTCTGATCTTAGTTGTTTCTTGCCTTCTGCTAGCTTTTGAATTTGTTTGCTCTTGCTTCTCTAGTTCTTTTAATTGTGATGTTAGCGTGTCAATTTTAGATCTTCCCTGCTTTCTTTTGTGGACATTTAGTGCTATAAATTTCCCTCTACACACTGCTTTAAATGTGTCGCAGAGATTCTGGTACGTTGTGGCTTTGTTCTTATTGACTTCAAAGAACATCTTTATTTCTGCCTTCATTTCATTATTTACCCAGTAGTCATTCAGGAGCAGGTTGTTCAGTTTCCATGTAGTTGTGTGGTTTTGAGTGAGCTTATTAATCCTGAGTTCTGATTTGATTGCACTGTTGTCTGAGATACAGTCTGTTGTGATTTCTGTTCGTTTACATTTGCTGAGGAGTGTTTTACTTCCAACTATGTGGTCAATTTTAGAATAAGTGTGATGTGGTGCTGAGAAGAATGTATATTCTGTTGATTTGGGGTGTAGGGTTCTGTAGATGTCTATTAGGTCTGCTTGGTCCAGAGATGAGTTCAAGTCCTGGATATACTTGTTAACCTTCTGTCTGTTTGATCTGTCTAATATTGACAGTGGGGTGTTAAAGTCTCCAATTATTATTTTATGGGAGTCTAACTCTCTTTGTAGGTCTCTAAGGGCTTGCTTTATGAATCTGGGTGCTCCTGTATTGGGTGCATATATATTTAGGATAGTTAGCTCTTCTTGCTGAATTGATCCCTTTACTAGTTTGTAGTAGCCTTCTTTGTCTCTTTTGATCTTTGTTGGTTTAAAGTCTGTTTTATCAGAGACTAGGAATGCAACCCCTGCTTTTTTTTTGCTTTCCATTTGCTTGGTAGATCTTCCTCTATCCCTTTATTTTTAGCTTACATGCGTCTTTGCACATGAGATGGGTCTCGTGAATACAGCACACTGCTGGGTCTTGAGTCTTTATCCAATTTGCCAGTCTGTGTCTTTTAATTGGGGCATTTAGCCCATTTACTTTTAAGGTTAATATTGTTATGTGTGAATTTGATCCTGTCATTATGATGTTAGCTGGTTATTTTGCCCATTAATTGATGCAGTTTCTTCATAACATCGATGGTCTTTACAATCTGGCATGTTTTTGCAGTGGCTGGTACTGGTTGTTCCTTTCCTTGTTTAGTGCTTCCTTCAGGAGCTCTTGTAAGGCAGGCCTGATGGTGACAAAATCTCTCAGCATTTGCTTGTCTGTAAAGGGTTTTATTTCTCCTTCACTTATGAAGCTTAATTTGGCTGGATATGAGATTCTGGGTTGAGAATTCTTTTCTTTAAGAATGTTGAATATTGGCCCCCACTCTCTTCTGGCTTGTAGGGTTTCTGCCGAGAGATCCACTATTAGTCTGATGGACTTCCCTTTGTGGGTAACCTGACCTTTCTCTCTGGATGCCCTTAAAATTTTTTCTTCATTTCAACCTCAGTGAATCTGACAATTATGTGTCTTGGAGTTGCTCTTCTCGAGGAGTATCTGTGTGGTGTTCTCTGTGTTTCCTGAATTTGAATGTTGGCCTGCCTTGCTAGGTTAGGGAAGTTCTCCTGGATAATATCCTGAAGAGTGTTTTCTAACTTGGTTCCATTCTCCCTGTCACTTTCCGGTACACCAATCAAATGTATATGTGGTCTTTTCACATAGTCCCATATTTCTTGGAGGCTTTGTTCATTTCTATTCATTCTTTTTTCTCTAATCTTGTCTCTTGCTTTATTTCATTAATATGATCTTCAATCACTGATACCCTTTCTTCCACTTGATCGAATCGGCTATTGAAGCTTGTGCATTCATCACGAAGTTCTCGTGCTGTGGTTTGCATCTCCATCGGGTCATTTAAGGTCTTCTCTACACTGTTTATTCTAGTTAGCCATTCATCTAACCATTTTTCAAGGTTTTTAGCTTCTTCATGATGGGTTAGAACATGCTCCTTTAGCTTGGAGAAATCTGTTATTACCAACCTTCTGAAGCCTACTTTTGTCAACTCGTCAAACTCGTTCTCCATCGGTTTTGTTCCCTTGCTGGTGAGGAGCTGCAATCCTTTGGAGGAGAAGAGGCACTCTGGTTTTTGGGATTTTCCACTTTTCTGCTCTGGTTTCTCCCCATCTTTGTGGTTTTATCTACCTTTGGTCTTTGATGTTGGTGACCTACAGATGGGGTTTTGGTGTGGACATCCTTTTTGTTGACATTGATGCTATTCCTTTCTCTTTGTTAGTTTTCCTTCTAAGAGTCAGGCCCCTCAGCTGCAGGTCTGTTGGAGTTTGCTGGAGGTCCACTCCAGACCCTGTTTGCCTGGTATCACCAGTGGAGGCTGCAGAACAGCAAATATTGCTGCCTGATCCTTCCTCTGGAAGCTTCATCCCAGAGGGGCACCCGCCTGTTTGAGGTGTCTGTCGTCCCTTACTGGGAGGTGTCTTCTAGGCAGGATACATTGGGTCAGGGACCCACTTGAGGAGGCAGTCTGTCTGTTCTCAGAGCTCGAACGCCATGCTGGGAGAACCACTGCTGTCTTCAGAGCTGTCTGACAGGGACGTTTAAATCTGCAGAAGCTGTCTGCTGCCTTTTGTTCTGCTCTGGTCTGCCCTCAGAGGTGGAATCTAGAGAAACAGTAGTCCTTGCTGAGCTGCGGTGGGCTCCGCCAAGTTCGAGCTTCCTGGCCACTTTGTTTACCCTGTGAGCTACTCAAGCCTCTGCAATGGCAGACGCCCCTCCCGCTGTCAAGCTGCAGCATAACAGGTTGATCTCAGACTGCTGTGCTAGCAGTGAGCAAGACTCTATGGGCATGGGATGTGCCAAGCCAGGCATGGGAGGGTATCTCCTGGTCTACCGGTTGCTGAGACCATGGGAAAAGAGCAGTATTTGGTCAGGAGTGTACCGTTTCTCCAGGTACAGTCTGTCATGGCCTCCCTTAGCCAGGAAAGAGAAATCCCCCAACCCCTTGTGCTTCCCGGGTGAGGCAACACCCTGCCCTGCTTCATCTTGCCCTCCATGGGCTGCACCCACTGTCCAAGCAGTCCCAATGAGACGAACCAGGTACCTCAGTTGGAAATGCAGAAATCACCCATCTTCTGTGCCAATCTTGCTGGGAGCTGCAGACTGGAGCTGTTCCTATTCTGCCATCTTGGAACCTGACCAGTATCCCCTTTTTAAAAAAAAAAACAGGTTTATTGAGAGATAATTCATGTATTATACAATTCACACATTTAAAGTCTAAAGCCTCTCTTTTTAAACTTTATTTTTCAAGACAAATGGCCTGACAGTATCTAAAATTGGGGACTGTTCTTATGAATCAAGATATCTGGCCACCCTATGCACTTAAATAAGAAAGTCCAACCTTAAGATTCCATGGATATATGTTCTTCTATTAGGGCACGCAGGAAGACACAGATGCCTTCTTTATTCCTCCTGTTATGGCTCCACAGAACTCCAGAAACCTAGAAGGATATTGAATATGTAGCAAACAGGATCAAACAAGTAACTTCAGTGGCCTGCAGACCTATTTACTTTTAGATAAGTTCTCTAATCACACCGCTATCATTGTATCCCTAAGAACATATAAACCAAGCCCCAGTAATGACTATAAAAGACATGTTACCAAATTATCAGTACACACCCAAATACTGCTGCTCCAAATAATCAGGTCACCAAGGAAAGAAAATTATATTTTAACTAAAGATATTCTAAAAAATCAAAAGATGCTTTCACATGACCTTTAAAAACAATCATAAGCATAAATCAAAGCAGATGTTTATCTTAAGGGAAATGTGATATACATTCTTTTATTTCTCCCCTTTGGGATAATTTTTAATTGTTAAAAATTATACAACTAGTACGTGTACACTACAAGAAATTAGAAAATACATAAAGCCAAAAGTACAAGAATTATAAGATCTCTTGATGCTATTATTCAGAGATCCTATGTATAAGTTCTGGTGTATATCCTTCCAAATATTTCTTTTGGTGTATACTTACATAAACTGTAGCTGGTATATTGCAAGCTTTAACAGTCTATAATTAAAAACTAGGCTTGTATGAATATTTGACACCCAGATTATTTCCAATTGTTGTGTAGTCTATCTATCCTGATCTCCAACAGGTATCTATCACCTTCTTTCCTCCCTGCCCTGGCTCCTCTGGGTCCATGTTTACTATTGCGGTTCCTGAAGGAACCTCATCATCACCATTGTTGATGGTGTCCCCTACCTGTGTGAAGGTTCTCATGGGGCTTAGAAGGCTGGCAAATATCTTGCAGGCCTCGAAACAGCATTGCCATGTGCCATGACTCTCCTTTAGCTTCTTAGAGCTCAGTTCCCTATCAGCAATCCTGCAAACAAACACGAATGTTTATTTGTAAGAACAAGTGACATTTTTAAGACAATGAGATCTTAAGCTAAATATATAAAATAAAACATTTATCTCGAAGAGACTAATACTTGTCATACAATAAGAACAGTTAGCTTACCCATACAGCCAGCCTCCTGTGTGAACCTCTTTGTGCTAAAACACTCAAGTTTTGGGGGCTCACCATCTCCAACATCTATCCAGGTGAGAGATCAGTGTAATACTTACATCATTAAATGGCCTATGGAGGATTTTCAGGTCAAACAAGCAACAATCTGCCCTAAAAGCAGATCCAATAACTGCAAAAGAAACAACAGTAAAATCCAGTTCACTGCTTTGACAATTATGTAGGTTCTTATCTTCTCCATCCAGGTTTCAATTGTCCAAGTTTCAGTAAAGGTACAAGTTTAAAGTTCTTGCTCCTTATTAGCTGTCTGAGCTATTAACTCTGGTTCCTCTGAGGAGGGTCTTTACTATAGGTTGGGAATAGGAAAGGGGAACTTTTCCATTTTAATGCTTGAGGCATATGTAGACTTTTAAGTTGTTGCAGTGTAGACATATTTATATATTAGTGGCATTTGTGGATCACAAGGTCAGGAGATCGAGACCATCGAGACCATCGAGACCACTGGCTAACACAGTGAAACCCTGTCTCTACTAAAAATACAAAAAAATTAGCCAGGCATGGTGGTGGGCACCTGTAGTCCCAGCTACTTGGGAGGCTGAGGCAGGAGAATGGCGGAAACCCAGGAGGCGGAGCTTGCAGTGAGCCGAGATCGTGCCACTGCACTCCAGCCTGGACGATAGATTGAGACTCCGTCTCAAAAAAAAAAAAAAACTGCCAATATCACTACCAACAAAACAAAAGTAGAGATCCAGCCCCAAACATGTTGAAGCAGTCAGAACAAAGCTCACGGTGTATCTCTTTTTAATACACTATTACTAAACTGGTTACCTCTTAACAGGACTCTGTAAAAGTAAGATGCTGTTCTTGTTATTCTCAGATCTTATAAAACTCACATCACTTAGGATTCTTACGGTTGCATATAACAGAAACCCAACTGAGAAAACTTAAGACAAATGGAAAATTTATTAAAAGACTATAAGTGTGAGTTATGGAAACCTGCTACTGCAGCATATCCAGGCCTCTAGTATCTTAATGGATGGGAAAACTGCAGGTAACTGTATCAGTTAGCTAACGCTGCATTACAAGCCACCCTTATAAAAACCACAATTTACTATTTTTCACAAGTCTATGGGTTGGCTGGGCAGTTCTGCTCATCTGGACTAGGCTTGGATGATCTCAGGGGGCATCTCTTTGTCTCTTTAGTCAGTTGGTGGGTCAGCTATCTCCTGGCTTTTTAGGATGATCTTGGCTATGGCACCATAGCTATGCTTCTTATCCTTCCAGCAAGCCAGCCAGGCATGTTCTTAGGGAGAAGATGGGTCAAAGATAAAAACTGTAAATATGAAAAGCTTCTTGTGATTAAGACTTGAAACTAGCATTCTGTCACTTTTGCCAAGTCACAAGTCCAGTCCAGATCTAAGCGATGGGCCACTGGCTCCACCTCTTGTTGGGAAGACCTGCAGTCATAATGTTAAGGGAGTGGCATACAGGAAGGGGAATAAAGAATTGGGGACAGTTATGGAATCTGTCTCCTGTAGTAAACCAGGGAAGGGTTGCTTATTCTTCTTTTACTGCAGACCAGCTTTCTCTTTTACCTGGTCCATGTAGTACTGTAGTAAATGGCCACTGCTACCAGCTTCCAAGTTTACTTTTTTTTGAGATGGAGTCACCCAGGCTGGAATGCAGTGGCATGACCCCAGCTCACTTCAGCCTCTGCCTCCCAAGCTTAAGTGATCCTCCCATCTCAGCTTCCTGATTACCTGGGACTACAGGTGTGCACGACCACACCTGGCTAATTTTTTGTATTTTGGGTAGAGACGGGGTTTTGCCATGTTGCCCAGGCTGGTCTTGAACTCCTGAGCTCAGGTAATCCTCCCGCCTCAGCCTCCCAAAGTGCTGAGATTACAGGTGTGAGCCACTGCTCCCGGCCCAAGTTTATATTTTTGCTGTTCAAGAAGATAGGCGAAAACTGAAACCTCTACCTACACCATATAGCCTAGAAGAGATCTCAGTGGCTCATCTTGAGTCAGATGCCCACTCATGGTTCAATAAACTATGGTCTAGAAGACAGGGTCATATGGATGTTTCTATTACAGCCATACAGATGGAAAGAGAATAGAGGATAATTATCAGAGAAGGAAATAGCAACACAAATGTTATTCAAATATAATTACAGAACTTACAAGTGGTTCCAATGTGTCTTCAATTATTTTAGGAGAAATATCCTTTTGCAGCTATGGCTTAGGTCATGAACAAAAGAGGAAGATGGATCCCTGTGCTAAGCAAGAGCCTGGGTTCTAGTATGAGACTGCCTATGTTGGTATTTCCCATCTGCTACATCCTGATTATGTGATGTTGGGCAAATTCTTGAGCTCTTTGTGATGCAGCTACCTTATTAGTAAAATTGGGAAGAAAATGATTCCTGCCTTGTAGATTGTTAAGAGGATTTAATTAGCAAATGGATAAGATATGTGTAACAGTGTCCATACATTAGTAAATGCTCAAAAAATGTTAGCTATTGATATTGTTATTACCATTAAAGAAAAAGTGGTGAACACTGAGCATAAAATTCAGCAGTATAGCACTTGTCATTCCTGTCTATTAACCCTCATTGTCCAATGTATTTGCTAGGTGCTGGTAGAGATTCCTAGTTTGAACTTAAATTAAATTTGTCACAGGATATCCTTATTGGAAATCCCAGATATGTGTTTACCATTCTGACTATTAGTCTTCTTTTTTTATTTTTTTATTTTTTTGGGTGGTGGGGACAGAGTCTCACTCTGTCGCCCAGGCTGGAGTGCAGTGGTGTGATCTCGGCTCACTGCAAGCTCCGCCTCCCGGGTTCACGCCATCCTCCTGCCTCAGCCTCCCAAGTAGCTGGGACTACAGGTGCCCGCCACCACGCCCAGTTAATTTTTTGTATTTTTAGTAGAGATGGGGTTTCGCTGTGTTAGCCAGGATGGTCTTGATCTCCTGACCTTGTGATCCACCCATCTCAGCCTCCCAAAGTGCTGGGATTACAGGCATGAGCCACCGCGCCCAGCTATTAGTCATCTTTTTAAAACATTCCTCCAGGTTTATGTGTGTATGCTCACAAAAGACACAAAGAGTTAAGTCAAAATGTACGGAGACCAGGAAGGCGAGTCTATCAGTAGCAGCAAAATGAAGATGTGAACAATCAGAAGTTTGAGGATCAGACAGTGACCTTCTGCTCCAGGCTACAGTAAATCAGAAAGGCACAAAATTTTGAAGGAAGAAAAAAGATTCATCTTTATATATATTTTTTCCCTAACTGCTATACAAAGCCCCAAAGCCTGGAAGTGTTAATTATTATATGATCAATAGTCCTAGCCAAAAAGAAAAAGAAAATATTTAAATATTGAAAGATTAATTATAGATAATTTAAGTCATATGACATAGAATGCAAATAGGAGTTTGGCGGCCACCAAATCAAGAACTTATTTTAGCAAAAATAAGAACTGTCTGTTTAAAATTTTAAAAATTTACTATGTAATTATTTTGAAGGTCAGATTTTATCAAATGAACCCAGTCTAAAACTACATGCAAAATATTATGAAAATGTATTAAAATAGCTTCTTCTGTTTTATTTACCACACCTACATTCTTTGTGCATATTCACATAGGAAGCAGCTAGAACTCAAGCAGGCAATTCCTTTATCTCATCAAAAATAGAAGCCAATAGTTGTAATGACTCACTTGTTTCCTTCTGCTTTCAATCCTTATCTTGGGACCACAGATTGCATTAGTTTTTTAAGTAATTGTACATCTTTTGTGAAGCACTTTGAAGTGGTCTGGCCATGTTTAGAATTCCTAAACAAAGCTAAGTTTGTGACTGAGCCCTATCTCTTTAATGCCACACTTAATATGATTTTGAGATCCTGCACAAGTCACTGACAAAAGGATCAGAGCCAAGCTCTTAGTTAAATTAAGAGATTTTCCTATAGTTCAATTTGTCATACTTTTCTTCACTTCTAAAATATACTATGAGCATGTCTAATTATAAATTCTTGGTAACTTGATGCTTAGAATTTTTTTCTTCTGTATTGTCCTTGACACCAATTTCTTTTTTCTCTGCATGAAATATAATTCAGAAGTTTGAAAACAATGAAGGTCCATATGAGATTAACCCAGGCACAATGGATTTGACTATTAATACAATGTTAAAATGTGTGGAGTGGAGTGTAATGGAAACTGCTAGTAGCTCCCCCAAATCCATTTTCCGCTTAGTCTGTATTAACAAAGTCCCGGTGTCCATCTGGGTACATGGCTGCCCCATATCAAAGCTATGTTTCTTAGCCTTCTTTGCAGCTGGGTATGGCCAAGTAATTCCCTTCTGGACAATGGGATTTAAGTGGCAGTCATGTTTGACTACCTTTGGACTTTCATGTGAGAGTGTTAATTACCTCCACACCTCACCACCCATCTGCATTTCATTCAATAAAGGAATAGTGGGAAATGATAATAAAGTAGTTATTATTAGTAATTAGTGATTATCATTGGGTACTATAAAGAAGCATGAGAGAGAGCTAACCATACCTCAGTCTGTAAACAGAGTGACAGTCCTGAGCCTTCACCTGCATTCTTAATTTTAATAGAAGCAGATCCATCCTTAAAAATACAAAATATTTGTAAACTGATGGTTACTTTTCAATTGAAGGTTATCACGTATTTTAGACACTACCCACTGATTTGCCTCTGTTAAAGGTGAAAAATGGGAATTGGATCCAAATCATGGCAAGAGAGATTTGGGCTATAAAGATAAATTTAAGGAAGAATTTAAAATACTAAAAATGATTAAAATCTACATAAAAGACCTCAATTTTGACTATATTTGAAAACAGGATAAACAGATGCATTTTGTATTCCAGTTTCTTCAGTCTCCTTTCTGATACAGAGTTGGATGAGTCCCCTACATATTGCATTTATTTAAAATTATAGAAGCACTTTTCTGTGAAAATAAAATACAGTATCTTTTCTTATTTTTATGTTTCTAACGAGCATTACTTTAAAAATTGTATTCACATTCAGACATAAGTGATTCTTAGGGAAGATCAAAAAAAAAACACAGGCTTACATTTTCATTTTTGTTGTGCAATTCTTAGGTAGTCAACTAAGTATATATTTAATCATATCAACGCATCCAGTTAAGCTATAATTTCTAAGCCATCTTACAGGTCATATAAAGGACAAAGATATCTTCATTGCACACTGTAAATATTTTGTTTAAAACATCAGGTAAGATTGGATATAATTATAGTTTTCTTTATCAAATTTAGAAGGCTGTCAACCACAGCACACATTCATTCCACTAGTCATTTTAATCAAGTCTGAAAAGCATAGGGCAAACATCACTCCAATCAGTTGTCATCTAGACCCTGGGGCAAATATGCTTAAGCAATGCTGAATTCTCCTGGACGTGAGAAAAGAAACAACTGTGAGAAGAATCTGCACTTCCTTGTAGTAGCCTCTGCAAATTCTTGAATGCTGGCCATCTCCTTTCACTAGAAAAAAAAATGAGGCAATTGATGAATTTCTGTTAATTCTACTACTCCTACAACAATAGCAAAACTGATGCTATTTTTTTCTATTATTACTTGAAAGAAATCTTGTAGAACAATCATATTTCTTTAAATATATCTGGGCAGCTGAATCCCAGGGTTTTTTCCTAAGTTTTACGAACACACACTATGAAGATATGATAACCAAACCAGCACGTTTCCTGACTCTTCTATCTTCTCTCTAATTTTGATTATATTCTACTCATACTGAACATTGACTTGGATAAAACATAACATCATTGCTGAAGCATTCTTCTAATATCTTACCATGATAGTCTTTATACATTTTTAAAATTATTTTTTTCTGGTGAAGAAAGGAAGATGGACCAGGAAGTAGGAGACGTATATTCAATTTTCTGCCTGTGACCTTAATTTGTAGTGTGACTTTGGGCACCCAGGGTTGCAATGTGCATGGCTGTCTTATCTGTACTATGAGGAGAGTTAGGCTAAAAGATTTCGGGATATTTTCCTCTAAATTACAATATGCCAAAGTTAACAATTTAAACAAATGTTTAAAAATATTTGTTTATTTGGTATACTCAGGTAAATATCCCTTCTTTTTTGTTTGTTTGTTTTTTGCTTTAAAAACTATAAACCCTAGAAATGGTAGCACTTATGGTTTAATTTTAGTGGGAATTTGAAGAGGATCTTTATTGATGTTAAAAAAAATTGTAACCATACACCTCTCTGAAATGAGTTTTTGGATTCAGTATGATTATTTTATACTTGATGAGAATTCAGATATAGAGCCAGAAGTTACAACTCAGAGTTATACATGGCATAAGTTAAATAATGAACAAGTCTGCAAATTTATTACTAAAATAATATTTTTGTGGGTTTTCTTTGTTTGTTTTACAAACCCTAATAGTATGCCCTCTGAATTTACCAATGCTTAAACTTTTGGAGAATAAATGTGGCATTTTAAGAAACTTTATTCAGATTATTAGAAACTGTAGAAGTAAAAACCTTCTACGGTTGAGCTAGATCTCATTATAATGCAAAGTTTTGACATTAGCCATTTCTGCAACCTGCAGTGCTATTTTTCCGGTTCAGTAACCATTAACTGGCCATCTCAAAACCTATTCCTCTTTTTATTCCTATTAAGTCCCTCTCTCCCCCGCCTCTGCCCAGCCACTTATCCTGCCTCTCTGTACCATTGATTTATGGTGCAGCTCACTCTGACCTTTCTCCACCAGCTGCTGACCAGGCACTGAGACATCTCAAGGGAATACAAAATCCTGGGGGCTCGTAGAATCAGTGCAATCTGTCTATCTATCATCTACCAAATTTCTCTCTTCATTGGCTTTAGCTACAGAGCATTCTTCCATTATCGGATACATGTTGATGTTTATGTTGTATAATAAATACAGTTAACATCTTTTTATATCAACACCAAGTTTCTATTTTTCACAGATTTTACCCAGATCATCATCAGTTTATGTATTCTTTCTTGACCCTCAAACAGTTACCTGAAAACTAATCTAAATCAGAATCATGCATCAGAAAACTTAAAATTTTTTAACTTTGCCTCAGGATTTTTATTACCGCTTTCCTTAATTCTCAGCTGATTTATATTGATTTTACAATTCTGCAGAGAAAATGCCAGATTATTTGGAAGATAATAGCACAGTTTCATCAGCTGCTGAATGAATACAGATAAGGAAAGAAAGAACTATAACTTAAGGAGCACCTGATTTATAAGCAAAAGACAAGCACTTCAGACTGATTAGCCAACAGCTGTCTTCATTTTTCTGAGGAAAATCTTTGGAATATAGTATCATAGTCTCCTAACTTTAGCATACTGATGTGGACATCAGAACAGGTAACTTTGAGATAACCAAAGGCTGTGAAGGGCTAAAAATCGAGGGCATTCTGAATCATGCTTCGCTTGAAATTATAAGTTGAGCCATGATGAATACTCTAAGATAAACTAAAAATCTCTGTTGAGAAATGTAGACAAGAAAGGAAAGTTAGGTAATCAGAAAACCCAATATGTAGACAGAACATTGTTCAAAACCATGCCTGAATTAACACTGATGAGCTGTCTGTGTTTCTACAATTCCCAGATGTACTTGCAAGCTATATACTTTCAATTGGTATCATATTTTATGTGTGACATTCATAGTTAGAAACATTGTCATGATTTAATCACTTGCTCTTGGAGAAGAAGCTAGAGAGAAATAAAGTTTTGGGAACTTTATTTTCTTTTTAACTTTTAGGTTTGGGAGTACATGTAAAGGTTTGTTACATAGGTAAACACGTGTCACGGGGGTTTGTTATACATATTATTTCATCACCCAGGTATTAAGCTCAGTACCCAATAGTTATATTTTCTGCTCCTCTCTCTCCTCCCACCTTACCTCCTCAAGTAGACCCCAGTGTCTGTTGTTTCCTACATTGTGTTCATAAGTTCTTATCATTTCTATCCCACTTATACGTGAGAACATGTGGTATTTGGTTTTCTTTTCCTGCATTAGTTTGCTAAGGATGATAGCCTCCAGCTCTATCCATGATCCCACAAAAGACATGATCTTGTTCTTTTTTATGGCTGCATAGCATTCCATGGTGTATATATACCACATTTTCTTTATCCAGTCTGTCATTGATGGGCATTTAGGTTGATTCCACATCTTTGCTATTGTGAATAGTGCTGCAGTGAACATTCGTGTACATGTGTCTTTATGGTAGAATGATTTATATTCCTCTGGGTATATACCCAGTGATGAGATTGTTGGGCCAAATGGTAGTTCTGCTTTTAGCTCTTTGAGGAATCACCATACTGCTTTCCACAATGGTTGAGCTAATGTACATTCCCACCAACAGTGTATAAGTGTTCCCTTTTCTCCATAATCTTGCCAGCATCTTTTTTGTTTTGTTTTGTTTTGATTTGACATTTTAGTAATAGCCATTTTGACTGGTGTGAGATGGTATCTCATTGTGGTTTTGATTTGCATTTCTCTAATGATCAGTGATGTTGAGCTTTTTTTTATATGCTTGTTGGCCACATGTATGTCTTCTTTTGAGAAGTGTCTCTTCATATCCTTTGCCTACTTTTCAATGTGGTTATTTGTTTTCCTCTTATAAATTTGTTTAAGTTCCTTATAGATGCTAGATATTAGACCTTTGTCAAGTGCATAGTTTGCAAATGTTTTCTCGCATTCTGTAGATTGACTGTTTACTCTGTTGATAGCTTCTTTTGCTGCACAGAAACTCAAGTTTAATTAGATCCTGCTTGTCAATTTTTCCTTTTGTTGTGATTGCTTTTGGTATCTTTGTCATGAAATCTTTGCTCGTTCCTATGTCCAGGATGGTATTGCCTAGGTTGTCTTCCAGGGTTTTTATAGTTTTGGGTTTTACATTTAAGTTTTTAATTCATCTTGAGTTAATTTTTGTATATGGTCTAAGGAAAGGGTCAGCTCCAATCTTCTGCATATGGCTAGCCAGTTTTCCCAGAACCATTTGTTGAATAGGGCATCTTTTCCCCATTGCTTATTTTTGTCAGCTTTGTGAAGATCAGATGGTCATAGATGTGCTGCCTTAGTTCTGGGCTCTCTATTCTGTTCCATTGGTTTGTGTGCCTGTTTTTGTACCAGTACCATGCTGTTTTGGTCACTGTAGCCTTGCAGTATAGTTTGAAGTCGGGTAACATGATGACTCCAGCTTTGTTCTTTTTGTTTAGTATTACCTTGGTTATTCAGGCTATTCTTTGGTTCCATATGAATTTTAAAATAGTTTATTCTAGTTCTGTGAAGAATGTCATTGGTAGTTTGATAGGAATAGCATTGAATCTGTAAATGTTTCTGGCAGTATAGCCATTTTGATTATATTGATTCTTCCTATCCATGAGGATGGGATGTTTTTCCATTTGTTTGTGTCTCCTGTGATTTATTTGAGCAGTATTTTGTAATTCTTATTGTAGAGATCTTTCACCTCCATGGTTAGCTATATTCCTAGGTATTTTATTCTTTTTTTGTGGCAATTGTGAATGGGATTGCCTTTCTGATTTGGCTCTTGGCTTGGCTGTTGTTGGTGTATAGGAACGCTAGTAATTGGGACCTCTTTTTAAAAACTATGCTGAAACCATTTATAAAGAGAAAAATTCAAAACATTGAAAAACACGTAATGTTAACCAGCTAATTTCTAGACTTGCTTTTAGATTACATGATCACTCTTTTTAGCAAATGTACTACATTTAATTTTAAGTCTGATAGATTTTTGTCACCACACTGCTGTATTCTGCTAGTGAATGCAAATTATTTAATAGCCTGCCATTAAATTCTTTAACGAATTCATCATCTAAGATTAAGGTACTAAATGTTCACTCTATTGCTTGGTGGGTTTTCTCTAAACAAAAATTTTACAAACAGCAGAAAAGTTCCTTCTAGCTTTGTAAATGAGTCAATGTATCAGTACAAAAATTCCTAGCTTCTGTTGAATTATTCATACTACTGTTATCAGATTAACAATTCTGCCTTCATTTTGTTAGCTCAACTCATTTTTCTGTCACATGAAGAATTTGAAAAAGGCATTTATGTAGTAAATGAGTGAAGTTGAATTGGTTCATCTTTAAGGTCCTTTTAAGGGTTCTACAATAGAACATTAATATTTTCTTTTCCTTCTTTTTTTTTTTTTTTTGAGACAGGGTCTCACTCTGTCACCCAGGCTGGAGTGATCATACATAGGTCACTGCAGCCTCAAATCCTGGGCTCAAATGATCCTTTCACCTTAGCTCCTGAGTAGTTAGGACTACATACCCATCCTAACAACTGTGAGGTAGTATCTCCTTATGGTTTTGATTTGTATTTCCCTGATGATTAGTGATGTTGAGCACCTTTTCATACACCTGTTGGACATTTTTAGTCTTTGGAGAAATGTTTATTCAGGTCCTTTTCCCATTTTAAAATTGGGTTATTCAGATTTTTTTGGCTATTGTGTGAATTTCATATATATTTTGGAGATATATATATATATATTTTGTTTGGTTGGTTGGTTTTGTTTTTGGTTTTGTTTTTGAGATGGAATCTCACTCTGTCACCCAGGCTGGAGTGCAGTGGCACGAACTTGGCTCACTGCAAGCTCTGCCTCCTGGGTTCACGCCATTCTCCTGCCTCAGCCTCCCTAGCTGGGACTACAGGCATCCGCCACCACGCCCAGCTAATTTTTTCTATTTTTTAGTAGAGACAGGGTTTCACCATGTTAGCCAGGATGGTCTCAATCTCCTGACCTCGTGATCTGCTTGCATCCGCCTCCCAAAGTGCTGGGATTACAGGCATGAGCCACCGCGCCTGGCCATATTTTGGATATTAACCACTTATCAGACATGTGGTTCGCAGATATTTTCTCCCACTCTGTAGGTTATCTTTTCATCTTGCCGATTGTTTAGTTTGATGTAGTTTGTCTTGTTTATTTTTGCTTTTGTAGCCTGAGCTTTTCCTATCCAAAAAATCATTGCCAAGGCCACTATCAAGGAGCTTTTCCCCTATTTTATTCTAGAAGTTTCATGGTTTCAGGTCTATGCTTAGGCCTTTAATCCATTTTGAGTTGATTTTTGTGTATAAGATAAGGGTCCAGCTTCATTCTTTTGCATATGGAGTAGCCAACATCTTGACAATCCCTAGAAACTCTGTAAATTTCAGGGGTGAAGATGAGGGGGCAGGGTGGGAGTTAGCGTGCAAATTCACAGGGAGGTATCAAGAGAAAATCCTTTTATATCCTTGTAGAGATCCCAACACTGAGACCTTTCCTGGGAAAATGCGCACTCTAAAATTGTATGTGTTTTAATTAAAAACAGTCAAGTCTTACATATTGGTTTTTATTGCTGCTTTAACAAATTACCACAAACAGTGGCTTAAAACAGCACAAATTTATTATAATTGGTTCTACAGGCCAGAAGCCAGAACATAGGTCTCACTGAGCTAAAAGCAAGGTGTTGGCAGCACTGAGTTCCTTTCTAGGAACTTTCTAGTTCCTTTGTAGGGGAGAATCCATTTTTTTCCCTCAGTTTCTAGAAGTTTATATTCCTTGGTTCATGTATTAATCCATTTTCATACTGCTATAAAGTACTGCCTGAGACTGGGTAACTTATAAAGGAAAGAGGTTTAATTGACCCACAGTTCAGCATGGCTGGGGAAGCCTCAGAAAACTTGCAATCATTGTGGAAGGCAAAGGGGAAGCAAGGTACCTTCTTCACAAGGCAGCAGGAAGGAGAAGTGCCAAGCGAAGGAGGAAGAGCCACTTATAAAACCATCAGATTTCATGAGAACTCACTCACTATCATGAGAACAGCATGGGGGAAACCACACCCGTGATTCAATTAGTGCCACCTGATCTCTCCCTTCACATGTGGGGATTATGGGGATTACAATTCAAGATGAGATGTGGGTGGGAACGCAAAGCCTAACCATATCAGTTCATGGCCCCTTCCTCCATCTTCAAAGCCAGTAACAGTGGGTCTAGTCCTTATGCTGCTATCTCTCTGGTTCTATAAAGCCAGGAAAGGTTCTCCACTTTTAAAGACTCAGGTGATTAGATTAAGCCCACCCGGATAATCCAGGATAATTTCCCTGTCTCAAATTTCTTAAATTTATTCACATATTTTTATTTATTTATTTAAATTTTATTTATACGGAGAGTCAGGGTCTTCCTTTGTTGTCCAGGCAAGTCTTGAACTCCTGGGCTCATGCAGTCCTCCCACTTTTCCCTCCCAAAGTTCTGGGATTACAGATGTGAGCCACTGTGCCTGGCCTTATTCAGATCTTGAAAATTCCTTTTGCCGTATAAGGCAACATATTCACAGGTTCCAGGATTAGGCCATGGACAATTTTGGGGAGGTAATTATTCTGCCCACTACACCTTGGGAGGCATTCATTTGCTCACCTTTACTTTCTTTCCTCTCCCTGTCTGTACTGATACCGTGGATAGTCTATCTTCTCTTCACTTCCTTCTCCAGGAATTTCATTTATTCTCATACATTTGATATTTAATGAGGATGACTTTTTATTACCAACATATGACAAATTGATCACTTTTTGTTAAAATTTCAGTTAACAATGTGAAGTCAGTCAAACTATACTACAAGGCTACAGTAACCAAAACAACATGGTACTGGTACCAAAACAGAGATATAGACCAATGGAACAGAACAAAGCCCTCAGAAATAATGCTGCATATCTACAACCATCTGATCTTTGACAAACCTGACAAAAACAAGAAATAGGGAAACGATTCCCTATTTAATAAATGGTGCTGGGAAAACTGGCTAGCCATATGTAGAAAGCTGAAACTGGATCCCTTCCTTACACGTTATACAAAAATTAATTCAAGATGGATTAAAGACTTAAATGTTAGACCTGAAACCATAAAAACCCTAGAAGAAAACCTAGGCAATGCCATTCAGGACATAGGCATGGGCAAGGACTTCATGTCTAAAACACCAAAAGCAATGGCAACAAAAGCCAAAATTGACAAATGGGATCTAATTAAACCAAAGAGCTTCTGCACAGCAAAAGAAACTACCATCAGAGTGAACAGGCAACCTACAGAATGGGAGAAAATTTTTGCAATCTACTCATCTGACAAAGGGCTAATATCCAGAATCTACAATGAACTCAAACAAATTTACAAGAAAAAAACAAAAACAACCCCATCAAACAGTGGGCGAAGGATATGAATAGACACTTCTCAAAACAAGACATTTTTGCAGCCAAAAAACACATGAAAAAATGCTCATCATCACTGGCCATCAGAGAAATGCAAATCAAAACCACAATGAGACACCATCTCACACCAGTTAGAATGGCGATCATTAAAAAGTCAGGAAACAACAGGTGCTGGAGAGGATGTGGAGAAATAGGAACACTTTTACACTGTTTGGTGGGATTGTAAACTAGTTCAACCATTGTGGAAGTCAGTGTGGCGATTCCTCAGGGATCTAGAATTAGAAATACCATTTGACCCAGCAATCCCATTACTGGGTATATACCCAAAGGATTATAAATCATGCTGCTATAAAGACACATACACACATATGTTTATTGTGGCACTATTCACAATAGCAAAGACTTGGAACCAAGCCAAATGTCCAACAATGATAGACTGGATTAAGAAAATGTGGCACATATACACCATGGAATACTATGCAGCCATAAAAAATGATGAGTTCATGTCCTTTGTAGGGACATGGATGAAGCTGGAAACCATCATTCTCAGCAAACTATGGCAAGGACAAAAAACTAAACACCGCATGTTCTCACTCATAGGTGGGAATTGAGCAATGAGAAAACATGGATACAGGAAGGGGAACATCACACACCGGGGCCTGTTGTGGGGTGGGGGGAGCGGGGAGGGATAGCATTAGGAGATATACCTAATGTTAAATGACGAGTTAATGGGTGCAGCACACCAACATGGCACTTGTATACATGTGTAACTAACCTGCACATTGTGCACATGTACCGTAAAACTTAAAAGTATAATAATAAAAAAAAAGTGAAGTCAGTAATCTGTTACTTATTTTCATTTATATGACATGTATATTAGTTATTAAACAGGCAAGGTTTTAGCTGATTTAGTAGGTTGTAACAACTATGTATAAACTGTGCTTATTTTCTTATTAGCTAAAAATGTTGACATAAATAAATGAAGCTTTTAAATCTAGAATGCCTTCTGACTGGGAGAAGAACTGATTTTCTGTTAGAGTCAAGCTGGTTTTCAAAGTTGCTACTCACTTGACTATCCCTATGTAAAAATTGGACTAAAACTTAAAATTTGAAAATTTAAAAAATATTACAGGGATGGGAGCACGGGATAGGTAATGGAAGGAAATTAGAGTCTTGGGTAAAGTTATTACCCTTATGAGCTATATTTGTCATACAGCCTCTGGTTCATTGCTTTTTAATTTCAAGTCACTAAACTCTACTCACTTGAAAACATAATGTTGCCAGATAAAATTCAGCATATTCAGTTAAATTTGAATTTCAAATAAACAATAAATAAATTTTTAGTATAAGGATGTCCCATGCATTATTGCAATATTTGGTTAAATACTTCCACCAAAATTGTTACTTATCTGAAATTCAAATTTATCTGAGTATTTTGAATATTTATTTGATAAATATGGCAATCCTATTTGTAACTAAAATTTTCATATCTCTGGCAAAGATCAAGTTAAATTTGTCGTCAATTGTTCTGCTAAATTTCTAAGCACTTGAATTAGGGGTGGGATGATGAAGCCATTCACCATTTAGGGAAACAAGCTGAGTGCCAACATTTCTTCCTCTTCTTTCCTTTAAGGAAATTTATGAGCAATAAGTTTTCTGGCTTCTTATATTTCACTTTTTCTGTTTGAATCACAGGCCGTCCAATTCAGAAACATTTGCAAGAATATAGAAGGCAATGTAGACCAACCTTGGAGTATGATTTTAAATAAAGATGAGATTAGCTCAGTGTAGTACAATAACACATTTTTATCACTTTTTCAAACCTTTATTTTCAAAAACACTATGTTTAAAGTTGCCACAGATCAAATTTAATTATCACTACCAGCTCTGAAGAAACTGTATTATTTCAGTTCTTGTCACCAGTAGAAATTTTTGATATACCATATGTGGCTTAAAATGAAGAGGTAGCTGGCTTGTTGCTCACACATCCTTGGACTGTCCAAAATGTTAGTTGAATAGGGATTTTTTGGCTTGGGGTTCTCTTAGTAGATGGCTGGAGCTCTTGGATCAAATTTCTTTCTTCATTTTACCTTTGCCACCATCCCTAATGCCTTTTACATCTACATTAGTACATTTTAGGCTTCTCCACTTTGAAATCTTTCACTCTCTAATTTTGCACAGGTTCACTTTCCCAACATATTTTCCATATATGGGCGTGGCATTAACCCTGGATTTTATCATCATAAATTTCCCAGAGAGTAAATGGAGCCATTTTCCCTGTAGGACCACATTCTTATAGCTTCCGTCTTCTCTACTCCTCTATCAGGCCACTAGTATTACTTCACCCAGTGAGTCTTTCTTGACCACCTTGCACTTATTCCCTGCTTGGCTTCCACTCTAACCATTCCAACACTATAGATCACCTTCCATCATGAAAGTAATGACCTGGGCATCAATTTCGTGACCTCACAAACTTTCTTCTTTGGCACCTGATCCTTGACAAAAAGAACTCTGTTAAAGGATAGAAGACACTGTGGGCCAGATCCACTGCAAAGTCAAGTGTGTCATTAAAAGGATTATGAGTATGTCTAGAGTCAGACCAAAGTATGAGAGGCATACAAAATCCAATCAGGACTAAAAGAATGCAAAAATTTTGCAGAGTCCTATCAGACAGTAAGGAAATTAATGGAATCAAGTCAGAGCATGAAGGAAGTTAATTGCAGTCATGGTAAGGATGCAGAATTCTAGCTATCCCAGTCAGGTGAATAAAATTGGTTTGTGAGCTGCATAGACTTGCTGACACAGTTTGTATAAAATAGCTGCAATCTATTTTGTGATTCTGGAAGAATCATGGAAGTATAGATTTCAAGTTCCACTCTCTAGTCTTAAATTTCTGAACAATAAATAACTATCAAGATCTTAGAACTTTGATTTAATAACTTCATTCTATTAATACTTGAGATGGTAAATCTCCTTCACTGAGTAAATCTCTTGAAACTCAGGAAGGTTTAGAATTAAAATGGATGCAATGAAATAAATGAAACCCATGATACTTAGGCTTTTATATAAGAACATTTTACACAATCATTAGGGAAATATGTGTATGTGTTATTTAATCTAAGAGATTACACATGTCACTTTCATTTGAAATATGTATTTGGTTTAGATATGTGACTTAAGAGGAAAAATATAAGAATTTGAATAATTTATTAAAATCAGTTTCGGAATATTTATGAACAATCGTGATTCATATTTTCATAGATAAAATTTATTAGCTCTATAGAAGTGATGAAGGAGCTGTGGAAGGCCTTACTTTTTAGGGTATAGGTGTACCTGTGCAGACACTTGAAATGCTTGCAAAAAATCAAATCTATTAAATTTATAATTTAAAATGTGGCAAAGTGTAATTAAGTATTTAAACAGAATTATTTACATGATTGTAATCTGTTCAACATGAGTTACTTGAACTCATGTTCAGTTAAAAACAACAATAAAAGAACATCTGAAAGTGATTATTCTTATTTTATACAAAAATATTAGATTTTTTAAGTGAAAGATTTGGATGTTGACCTCAAAGGTTTAAGAATATCTTACCTTTAAAAATATCTGAATATTAATTTGAAATCTAAATAACTATAAATAGCCCTTTCTGAGCACAAACTGAAACACTCAACCTAACCCTTAACAATCGCACTTCCCTACTTTTTTTCCACTGTCAGAATATGCTAAACACTTTTTTGTTTTACCCCAAATACTTCTTTTTTGTCCAAACCCAGTTGAGGTTCTGCCTCAGATATTAGAATATATTTCCTAAAATGTAGCTGTCAATGATTGCTTCTTGTTTTGACATTTTAGTACCCTTTTTCTCTTCTTTTATTCACTTTAGACTTAACTTAATAATTTTTCAGTCAGAACAACTCATCTGTTAATCCACCTAAAGGAATATATTTGCATCCTTATATCTTGTTTGGTACTGGGTAGACCAGTTGTTTACATCAAATCCTTTACTGAATGATTTAGGTATTTCAATAATTAATCAAATGTTTGCTTTTTACACTTTCTGGAGGTATAATTTGCATGCCATAGTTTTTTCCCATTGAAAGTGCACAATTCAATAATTTTTAGTAAATTTAGTAATTATTCTACTTGGGTGCAGCAATTCAACAGTACTCTCAGTGACCATTGCTCTTTGTATCTTTCCCTTCTGCCACCCTCAGTGGTTTGATTTTCTTTCTAAGGTTTGTCTAAGGCAAGTTTGCAGTACAACTATGATAGCTCCAGGAACTGCATCTTCAAAGTTATGCATTCACAACCAGAAGAAGATATAGTCCTTCTCACTGTTTCTTTTTTTTATTAAGGATCAAAATTCCTTCCAGAAATCCCCATAGAAATTTCCCTTATATTTGTTTGATTGATACTAGGTCACATGCTTATTCCTGATTTGGTAACCCAATGGGTTACAATGCTCACTTAGACCAATTATACTGTATACCCAGCCTTCATCACCTAGCGCTGGGTGAGAAATAGAAGGTATATTATTTTGAATCTCACTATTATGATTCCTTTGACAATCTTTAGAATTCATGTTGGGACTTTCAGTTTATCTTTCTAATCCTCAGTTTCCTGCTTGGTAAAACAAGGGGACTGGAGTTAGACTAGGGTCAGGAAAATCTCTGAAGATTCCTTCCAGTGCAAAAGACTTGTTGGTCCCTTAGAGTTTTTCACAGTTTCCCTTATCCATTCCAATGGGGCTTGTAGGGAGCCTAGCTCCATTCTGATTTGATTCCAGGAACTACAATCAAAGTGTAGAGGTGAGGAAGAAATGTTTCTTTTCGTTTATCTTTAACCAAATCTACTTTTTTCTCCATCTGACTTTGCTTGGAGCCATAGGCTTGTATTATCTTGGATTATAATATACTTCTATTTAGATAGCATTGAAAAAATTGAAATCAGGGTGTTCAGTGTTAAAACCCCCTGGTTTAAAATATGTCTTTGTGGTTTGGCTTATCTGCTATTTTATTTTAATTAATTTATTTTTCTTTTTCTTGCAGCCACAGCAATTGTCTGCTATTTTAAAAGCACTGTGATGCTTAAATATTCCAGCTGCTACATCGGACAGGTGTCTGATGATCCTGAGAACAGTCATCAAAAAGTAGAACTTGAGCCTGGAATACATTCTCTGGCATAGCCATAGTCAATCACCAGTATAATTAATGTAAATGGACACTGGATAGCTTTTTTGTGAATTCTGATGCAGCACAAAGAGACTTTAATTGTTTCCAAAAAGAAAATGTCTGAGATTAAAATCTAGAGTTTTATGACTTAGAGGAAATTTTATAGCTTTACTCCAAAAAGGGTAAGGCACAAAATATTCTGTGCCAAAGGATGCATATTTGGTATTTTTCCTATGAATCCCTTAGTGTAAGTGGCATGATGAAATTTTCTTGGTTTCAACACAGATGATGTGTTGAGGTAGTGTTGAGGCTGAGAGGTGGGTGGGATGGGTCTTGGAGAAGGAAAAGATTTGTTTTGCAAGGTTTGTGGAGAGCTGATGCGGTAGTGAGGCTAAGACGAGGGGTATTTACTTGCTACTTACATTGAGTCCACTAACATCTGCAGCACTTTGCTTGCATTATCCACGCAATTATCACGGGAAACCTATAAAATAAGTATTCCTCTCCTCATTTTACAAATAGGGAAGCAGATAAGATTTAGAAAATTTCCCAAACTCACACAATTATTAAATGACAGAACTAGGACTCAAACCCAGGTTTTATTAATTTTAGAGACATGTTTTTAACCACTTGGACACTGCCAACCATGGAATTGTTGGTATGAAAAAAACGTACTCTTGAGTTATATTATCCATGGTCTTAATATCAGAGAAGTGCAGTTGAGTCGCTATTAAAGAATATGGTAAAATTATAAAATGGATACTATACAAAGGTATAAAAATATTATAAATACTTATGTTTGGGGTAAAAGGATCAAAGTAGCCATGCTCAGTGGAAGGGTAAGGAACTCTTAGCAGAGATTGATTAATTGGGAGATAATTGATTAATTGGGAGTTGATTGATTAATTGGGATTTATTAATTTGGGAGTAGGTAGGAAGATAGGAAGTTGTATAAAATAAGGGAGAGATAACTTAGTACCTGGAAAAAAAGAAATGGAAATAGGTAGAAGCTAAGAGTTCAATTAAAAAAAAGGAATAAAAGATATTGGAAGGGAACGATGAATGTAGCATGGAAGATCCAAGATGATGGGAGTTCAGGGGCTAATTACAGCTATGGGGAAAAAGTAATGTATAAGCTGGAAGCCAGAGATAAGAGCCATGTAAATGAAGAAGTTGGGCCCCAATAGGAAAGAATTATAAGGACTAGAAGGAGCAGGAGCCATGTGGAAAAATATCATGTAGTACTTTTAAGCTTGATCTGTCATCTGTAGCAAAACCAGCATGCTTGAGTACTGAATTGACCTGACTGAACTATGTTGAAATGTACTGTGGTTTTATATCCATATGCACTTGGTCTGTGGAGTTGTGGGAAAAGCATCAGTGAGTAGGAAGCCCAAGGATTTGGGTCAAGTATTAAATATGCTATTTACTGTCTAGCTATGTGACCTTATATAAGTCACTTGTGGTCTCTGAGCCTTCATGTATTCATCCATAAGATGAGTTGTTGTTTATATTAAATGGGATGTGGTATGTTAAAGAGCTGAATGCATAGTGATACAGAATTACTTTCTGTAATACTATTTTTTAAATATTTTAAATGAAAAATTAATGAACTTATAAATTAAAAGATTCAAAAGGGATAAAAAGGTATACAATGAAAAGCAATTCTCCTTCCCACCAGTAACTCTGTCCTACTCCTTAGGACATTCACCATAAACAGATATCCTGAATTCTTCTAGAAATATTATATATAAAATCTTATATTTCTTATGTTTCTTTTTTACTATTTTAAAGGGGATAAACTAAACTTTGCTTTTTTTCATATAATAATATATTCTGGAGATCATTTTCTAAAAGCACATGTAAACATACCTCATTATTATAAAGGTTTGAAAATATCAATTTATTTGACCTGTCCCCTCTCGATAGATAATTAGATTGTATCCATCCCTTTGGTTATTACCAACAGACACTAATCACTTATCATGTACATATAGCCTGTTTTTTAGCATTGTTAGACAAAGTAGGCATATTCCTTTCCATCCAAGAACTCATAACCTAGTAATTGTAGTTGGCTGATAGCTCATTGCCCATACACAAGGATCTAACACAACCTCTTGAATAAACATCCCCCTTATTCAGAAATGCCTTTTCCTATTTCCATATTGCAACTTTGCTTACAAATTTCCAATCTGTCTTTCTGTTTACAGAAGATATACAAAATTCCTTTTGTATGATCTCTTTATATCTCTTGATTTTCTTTTGTGTTTGCTACCAAAGGGCCTGCACATAGTGAGAAGATTGTGCATGATCTGTGAGCTCTACCACACCTGGAATTAGGGATCACCAATATGAGAAAAAAAATTGGAGGTACAAATAACATTATCATATGTAATTGGCATATAAATTACAGATGTATCTATGACTAAAAACCCTGTGGATATAAACCAAATGCAGATAAATATAATAAAATATATAAAAATATAATCAAATAATGATAGTGCTATTCAAATACTTCAAATTTGCACAGTGATTTATTTCTTAAAATATGTTAACACATGTGAGCCAATACACTGAGGTCACTGGATAAATAAACAGATTCTTGCAAGTGCTTTGGAAATGAAACTTTTTTTTATCATTTTAATTTTGAAGAAATAAACTTTAGAATTTTAGAGTCATAGAATTTTAGTGGTAGGAGGAAATTGACAGTTTAATCTAGTGGTTCTTAAAAAGTTTTATGCGTCTTAGATCCCTTTGAGAATCTAATAAAAGCTATGTTCTCTTTCCCAGAAAAATAAAATTTATGATACACTTTTGAAGAGTCCATAGATGCCCTGAAGCAAATTCACTGCCCTGTAGAGCAGTATTTTGCTTTGTTTTCAAACAGCTTTATTAGGATGTAATTTAATGCCATAAAATTCATCCATTTTAAATGCGCAATTTAATGAATTTTAGTATATTTACAGAGGTGTCCAACCACCACCACAATCTAATTTTATAACATTTCCATCACCCTAAAAAAAATTTTTAAGTCAATTTACAGTCACTCCCCATTCCTACTTCTAGCCCTACACAACCACTAATCTATTTTCTGTCTCTCTATATTTGTAGCTCAGAATTTTAAAAACATTTCAGTTCTATTAACAATAAGAAATATGTTTAACACCCAACTCACAGATAGAACAAAAGTTTATAGACAAATAGTCTTGTTCTGTGCAATGTATTCTTAAGTATTCCAATCCATTACAAAAATTGGTTTTATGACCAATCAAATGGTTACAAACGCAATTTGACCAACTCTGTCCTAGAGAGTCTACCCTAGCTGAAAACCCAGGTGGCTCCTCTGTTTAACAGCTGAAGAAACAGGCCCAGCAATGTGACTTGCTCAAGACAAAAGCCAGGTCATAGCAGAGTGATAATGCTATTTAAATTCTTCAAATTTGCACAGTGGATTAGAATTCAGTTCTCTTTGTCCTAGAGCACTTCATTATTTGTTCTACTCTTGATTTCCATGACCTAGGAACAAGCACAAAAGGGGTTTATAAGAAGCCACAATAAATTGATATGTGATCAGGAGAAAAAATATTTAGTGTGTTACAGTTTGAGGCAGGAGAGGAGAAACTTGATTCTTCCTGGAGAAGTGGGGTGCATGGATGGTGAAGCAGTATGGGGCTGCTCTGGACCACAGGAGGAAGGCACACCTGCTGCAAGGTGACCAAAAGCACTCCCTGGTGGAGGCCACAGCTTGAGGCTAATTGCCCTTCATCGTGTTCAGGTTATTAGAGTTGAAGTCAAACAGCCTTTTCCACTGAGGTGTCTCTTGTGGCTCTGTTGCTCAGAAGGTTCTGGCATGTTTATAATCTTCTGCAGTGACTCTGCAGTACCAGCAGAAGTTCTTTCTTTTGCTTTCTGTGGTGCCTACAGGCTGTCAGCCCATCTGCATTCAGAGCATATGCCTACAGTGCATCTTCATTCTTGTCTGCCTTTGCTGTGGGTTGAAATGTTATCTCTCCATATACTGCTGAATATTCACTGTGATGCTTGTGAAACCTACTGCCTTCCATTCATATTTTGGATAGCAAGCAGCAAATTGGAGGGTAATGGTAGGTGCAGGGTTAAGAATTCAGTTGTTTAGCAGATAATCACACAAATTATTGAGAATAACACTGAAGATGGCAATAAAGGAAAGGTATAGGGCCCCCTGAGAACATATAACGGGGGTACCTGGCCAGGCCCGATGAGTGATGAAATCTAAGCTTTTGATCATTATAGTTTACAAGATGGAAGACAGGCATGTTTTACATTTATGAAGGGCCCAAAGACCCTCATTTTTTAGTTTTAAAAGTGTCTACGTTTTCCAAAAATAGGTGAATGAAGTACAATGAGAGCAGCTATCAGCTTCTTTGGGCAGAGAAATGTATGATTAACCTTTTTTTTTTTGAGAAAGGTATTTGTGGAGAGAAGTCACAAAGGGTGAGGATTCCATTTCAGATTTCAATCCTAGATTGAAGAGGAATGGGGCTTAGGGGGAGACAGAGAAAGTACTGTTTATCTTCTTGCCAGAGGGAAGAACCAGACATGTGGGAACTAAATGCAATCTAGCTTGAGCAGAGTGTGAAGAGACTTGGGGAATGAAAAAAAGAAAAAAAAAGAAAGAGAATGCAAAGTTCTTGTAGAAAATTAAGAAAACCGGGAAATACAGGATTCCAGCATGGTGAAAGAGAACTGACAGTTGAGTCAGGAGAATAGAAAGTGAATCCCTGTATGTGGCTATATGCAGATTTGGTGTGACCTATTTCTTGTCTTTCTCTAGCACAACAGTTGGCTTGGAAAGCCTAAAAAGACTTGTTGAGCCCATTTGTTGGGAAAGGAAGGGATTCTGGAGGATATTTGGGCAATAAGGTCCTAGGGGGGAAAAATCCCAGACAGACTTGAAGCATTGTCATTCACCTTTTCCCAGTAACTTCTGTGACTTTAAATGAGCAATAAGTATTTAAAAGTATTTAAAACATTACCAAGATGGGACCAACAATGGGAAGTCTCTGAATCATGGTTGTCATTAATAGGAAGATGAATTTTAGGCTACTGGTGGCACACATCTTATTAGAATGGAGAAGAATGTATTTGCCTGGTCTAGAGTTCTATGAACTGGACATGGTAGGTATGAAGAGAAGATGAAGAGAAACATCCAGACTATCTATGGAAGAGCTGGTTAACAGGAAAACATTATGGGAGCTTCTCAGGTTTTGACAAGTGAAAATAGGCAGGGAAGCCAAAAATAACACTGAAGCCTTAAACATCCATCCCTTAGGTGATATGGACGTAGCAAACAAGATGAACAAAATAAGCCTAAGACCATAATCAGCAAGCGTGAATTCAGATGCATCAGTTGGTCTACTGTGCCAGAGCCCTCAAGTGGAAAAGTACAGTGGCAGAGCAGGGAGAGGGGAGAGGTGATGTGTGTCAGGATGCTGCATACCTGGAAGAGAATCCTTCTACCTGCTGGTGCAAGCACACTGCAGGACAGGAGAAAGGTTGAAAAGAAAAAAGAAAAACAGTCCATTGTTTTACAAGTAGAGTTGAGGCTCTCTGATGAGATAGATAAAATGAACAATGCATTCCTGAAGCAGATGCTAAAATTGTCACAGAAAAAAAAAATATACAGTAGTGATAGAGAGTTTCAGCCAGCTGATCATCTGCATGGATGTCTCAATTGGCTGAAGTTAACCAAGTTCTTATCTGGCTTTATTCACAATTATATGCACCAAAAAAGTCAGTTACATAAGCCAGTGTATTATCTGTCATTATCTGTCATCCAGTGTAAATAATTTCATGATGTTAGTCCATTTGAATAGTATGTTGGTCTCCTTTCCACCTGGAGAACCATAAGACTAACAAGAACTTGCAACTCTCCCAAAATCCAAATAAAACATATGTCTGATAGTCAGTTGACTGAAACAATAAAATAATCTAAAATGTTATTTTCCTAATTTAGTAAATTCTTTTCTATTTGTCATTCAGATAGCTCTGGAGTCTTCACTCCCCTTTTTGCCTTGTAATGGAGGAGGTTTATGATTTTCCATTCATATTACATGAAATGTAGAGAAGAGAGTAAGGAGCAATGAAGGAAGGAAAAATGGTGTACAAAACATGATTCTTCAGAATAGTATTTCAGTAAGTAATGAGAATGTGAAGAATCAAGTTTGGCTGTAGTTGGCTATAGTGCTTAAGACGGGAAGTAATGGGAAGTAATTTTGGATAGATAGTTGGCAGTCAGACTGTGGAAGCCTTGAGCGCCAAGCTAAATTGTTTGAATTTTATATTTGGGGTATAGGAAGTCTTAAAATATTTGAGCAGGAAGTGTCAAAATGAGAATGATTTTTAGGAGTGCTAATTTGGGTGCCATAGCTAGGAAAAATTTGTGGGCCAAAGCGATTAGGAGATACTAAAAACAGGGGAAACCAGACAGGAGAATATTACACTAGAGCAAGCACAAGGTGAGAAAAGGCTGAACTAGATTGATGATAGTGCCAATGGGAAAGAGAGATTATGCAAAAAAAGAATTGTTAGGGCTTGGTAAAGGACAAAGAGAGAAGTGAGATTATGCTGAAGTTTTGAGCCCAGGTGACCAGAATAATGAAAGGGAAGATTGAAAAAAATTATTGATATATGACTTATTGGTGATGGCAGAAAACCCAAGTGTAGAAGTTTAAGAAGCAATTTAAGATATGGGAGGGCAGATAAGGTCAGACTTTGGAGATATAAATATAGATTTTGAATTTATTTTCATAGGGAGTTAACAGTTGGAGCTACAATAATATGAGCTTTACCTAAAATATCCATGCCATTAGAACTATTTTTGCCAAATTATTTTTTCCAGTGAATATGGTCTACAGTAGTTTTTCATGTTTGTTATAGCCAGAGTTCAGTTTTAGATAAGAGTCTGGCCTGTTTAAGCTGAAAGATATTTGGCTATTAAGAGGTTTGTGAAAGCATTGTGACAGAGGGAGCTGAAGAAACAGGGTCTAGGTTGAGCTTCCAGGAATGACTCTCAAACCTTATTAGAGAACTGGGCATCCGGATGAGCTGCTGCCACCTCCTCCACCAGGGCCAGGAAGACCCTGGATCAGGAAGCCTGGGTTTCTGTGGCTGACCATGAGACAATGCTGCCTCCAGCACAGACCTTTCTAGGAATATGTACGTTGAACTCTACCTTTCTCTTCATGCAAGTCTTTCTGAATTGAAACCTAAAACCTGAATGTAAAAGGACCAAGAGATGTTGTTTTTTAGCTTTCCAGCTTCTGCATGCTAGAAGAGAGTTGGCATAAATGTTGAGTAAACCAATCCATAATATTCAACACTGTGTCTCAGCCTCATTTCACAGTAAATATCTAGAATCAAGTTGAAATTTGAGAGTTTATATGATTCTCTTAATCAGACCAATGAGACTGCAATACTGATCTTTCTGTGGGCACAATATCATGTTGTTCACTGTGTTTTCAGCATATTATTTATAGGGCTACTAGTTCAGGGATGACAATAAAGACCAAGAATCAGAGGTTGCATCCAGTCTCAAAAGGAAAGTGTGCCATGATTAATTTATAATGCCGGCCTAGGGGGAGGAAAGGGAGGGGAGGGGGCAGTGGCTTCTTCTATTTGCCACCTCCATACTAGATCACTGCTTCATTAGTGATATTCTTATTGCTTTGTCTGTCACCGTAGAATACTTCCCTTACATGTTAGAAGAAACAGACACTCTAACATTTTGGCGAATAGGTTTTTTTTTTTTAACCAGTAGTTTTTTCTATTAGAAAACTAGTAGAACACATACTAAGTCCTCAGCACCCTGAGTGTATTATGTGATCTTAACTATTTTATTTTTTAACTCTAGATTTATCCAATGGTGTCCTCCCCTCCCTCTCCCTCAGTTCCTCTATGACTCATCTGCTGATTTTATCTTATCTTTTTCCTAAGCTGCTTCCTTGGAAGGATCAGTCCCCTCAGTAGAATGCTTTTTGGAAATGCCATTAGGGCCAGGCAGTGTGGGGCAAAGCTGGAAATGTGCGCAACTTTCAACTTCCAAGAAAGGGAGCATCAGTGGCCTGAGGGGGTGAACTTTTCTGCTGCTACCAGGAGACCTGGGAGATTTAATCTTAACTTTTCTAAATGTCTCTCTCTTCCCCTCTTTACTCATCTGTCAAGGTTACCTTCTTTCTGACACTTCATTGATGACCTTCTCCCAGCCCCACTCCAGACAAAATTAGCCACTCCTTTCTCTGTACTGTCTTATAGAGTACACCTTCTGCTGTAGCAAATAGCATATTACATTTTGGTTATTCATGTACATGTCATTTTCAAATCGAGCTATTCAAAGGCAGGAACTGTCATCTTAAAACCATAATGTATTGAGTATTTTACATATATTATCTCATTCAGTTTTTACAATAAACCTAAGAGCTCAGGGGGGTTAAATATCATGCTCCACTGAAATGTAATTACTCAGCAAAAATAGGGCTTGAAACTAGGTCAGGATTTATATCTATACCTAGCACAGTGCTTGGCATCAGGTGTGTAGAGGGTCAATAAATGCCCAACAAGTAAGTAATTAAATGTACAAACTGTATGTTACAAGAAAGTCTTTTGGCCATCAGATGAAAACAAGTCCTTTCAGTTACTCCCCACAGCTGTGAGTATGCTGCGGACTTTAATTCAAACCAGACCTTAATACCTAGGAGAAGAAGGATATATCACAAAGCCGAATTACCGGGAACAATGCTGTAACCACCTCAGTTAAGGTCATCTACCGAGCTTGGCCTTCCCAATAATGTTGTTGACATCAGAAAAATCATTTAAAGATTCAATTTAAAATGTTAATACTGCAGTGTCAGAAACATACAAACATGAAACAAGAAAAAAAGCCTTCCTTCCATTGTGTGAAATGAGCTTTGTCATGCCCTGTGTTCAGATGGAAGATTTTCTTTTGCTAAAATATTAAGACCTACTTAATGAACTTTGACAAAGCAATGCACTTTTCCAAGTTTGCATAGTTTGCGTGGTTATCTGTTTTTGGTACCACTATCTCCTGTGTTCCTGAAGGAGTTTCTTGCCATGATTTGAATGAATAAAGATCTTTTCGAACTAAGATGTTTTAGATCTAATGTTTTTTGTCTGCTGGCATTATTCATAAATGGCAGCCAGGTGCCTGAGCTATTTTTTGGCTTTCCTTTTCTGCTCCAAAGTGGGTTTTTCCATCAATAGGTCTTCTTCCACATTTACCATCCATTGGGGTGGAGGTTGGGAGTGGCTGTGTGCTTCCAGGGTGCTGTGCTGGGAATGCTGGACACTATTCCCCTGTGTTCATAAGCTCACCCTGTTTCCATGTGTCACTGCACACGTGTTGGATCCTGGTGGAAAAATAGTTCGGTTCAAATGGAAATAGCAGGAAGTAGGACAGCTGCATTTCAAAGCTTTTCATTTCCTTTTCCTCAGCATCCAGCATATGGCTCACAATAGGGTTACTGAGTGTATAGTTCTGCACAGTTTCTCCCTGCCTTTACCTTTCTGTTTTGCTCCTTTGCTATCACCACTCCTAACCTTAAAGCCAAATAGTGTTCCCAATGTCTGTCTCTTGGGAATATTAGTTTTATCTTAATAAAAATTTTCTTAAAAATCTAAACTCTTAGGAATTCTACTCATATACCCTCAGATTCTTTTTTAATGTGATTATCCACTGTAAGACTTTTTTAAAAAAAAATCTTTTTTTGGGAGTGGGAAAGGTTTGGGAAGAGGCAGTGTGATTTTTGACAGTCTTGTGGTAGTAGGAGTGGAGAGATTTGGTTTCTGGTCCTAGTTCTGCCTCTATCTAAATGACTATTTCAGACAAGTCATTTAAACATTCAGGGTCTCTAGAACAAGAGAGTTGAAGGCTAAAGAGATGATCTTTAAAATCCTTTCCAGATTTTTTTTTTTAAAAAAAAAGATCCTGGGATTTTATCCATCTAGTTTTAGATTTTTTTTTTTTTTTTTTTTTTGGTTTCCCAGAATTTGAGTGAAGTAGAATTTAGAGGAGGTACAAAGTGTGAACAGAACTATTTTTATATGAGAAGGATTTTCTACCATAACGCATTCTCTATTGATTTGTGTTTCTATACTTTCTCTGTGAATTAAATTCTTCAAAATTATCCATAGTTCCCAGTATATTTAGAGCCATTGGAATATAATTAGATCGATCTAAATGACTCTCAGATTGACCACTAAATTATTTCTGGAGCTATCATAGTTTATTGAAAACAGGGTCTTAGTGTCTTCCTGAGAAGAAATAGAATAATTTATTTTAAGAAACTTACTGGAATTTCTTAAGTTTGTGCTCAGAGTTTGTGCTCAAGATTCTAGCTTCTCCTCCCCTCCTCCCCACCTTTATTCTTATAGTGTATTTACTACTTACCTTCAACAAATCGATTCATCTCTCTGGGCCACAAGCTACCCAGTTAAAGAACAGTAGTATATTTCAAAATTATCTGGAATGTAAGGGCTACCGAGTTGAACTCTGTAACATGTTTTAGGTAGTCTGATAAAAACTGATAAAGACAATGTCTTATTTTAGTCTCATTTTCCTCTTCATGCTATTAAAGACATTCAGTATGAGAAATGCTATTTCTGTTTTCCAAGTAGAATTTTTGAAAATGTTGACTATAGTAGCAAATTTTTTAAAAGAAAAGTCCATCAGGCATTTATTGAGCATAAGCATTAACATTATTTATTAAATTTCAAGTCATTAGCATTGCATTTTTTTTTCTGGGCACTATCAAATTTCCTTTTATATCTTGGTGATTAAATGTATCCTATATCTACTAACAAGAGGGCGACTTCATTTTGTGCCAGACAGAAACTCTAATTCTCCCTAGAGACTTTAGAGTGTTTCATTTTATGTACAGTGAATCAGAAGGGCCCCTTTCTTCATTTTATAAATACTACTTTTATCCAAGTATCTTTATTCCCTGGCCTAACTGAGCCATAGGTGTCCTTTAAAGTTGAATAGTACCCATTATTGATAAATATAATATTTATAGAGATATTATTAATAATAATCTAGGAATCTGTTCTTTACATTTGGCAGCTGAATTTTCAAATCCACGTCTTTGCAGATTAAATACTTATATCTTGCCATGAATAGTATAAAACATCAAAGACTTATTTTGCTTTGAAATGGTCAACATGTTAACTAACCACATTATTAGCATCTAGATCCTTTATTGTTTTATTTTTTCATGGTTTTCAAATTTTACACCAATTCTATGTAACAAGCCTGCATATCCAGCACACGTACCCCAAAACTTAAAATAAAATAAAAATAAAAATAAAATTCTACTAGGTCAGTGAGATGAGCATTTTACCTGCCAATATGTGGTAGTGCAAGGGTGAATCCTGGTTTAGGGGGGCCTGAACCTTACATAATTGGGGGTAGGAGAGGACTCTCTAAGAAAAATAACACAAAGTAGTTACGATAGTGATATATACGTAGAAAAAGAAATCACACACACAAGTTTAAAAGAGCTGACAAATACCACAAATTAAATTAACTTCCTGAAATTAAACTGTCCTTTTCCCAGTATTTTGGGATGTAAGCTCTTTGATTACCTCTTTACATGTCAACAATTTTTAAATTTTATATCATTTTCTATAAAGAGAACAGAATAAACTTTTCTCTAGCATGATTGATACAAATTTGTTCTTAGTTGTTTACAAAAGATTTATTTTATTTCTACAACCCATGATTGATTGTGTAAAATTATGGATTTTTGTCTGTGGATTCTGAACCTAAAACTCTATTCACTTTAAGGAAAACCTAACTCTGACCAAGTGCCTGGTCTTTTTGACTTTGGAAATAATGTTCTTTATATCCCTGGTCCAGGTGTGAACATTCCCTTGGGGCACCAGTGCATGGTGCTGATGTGGCAGTATCTGATGTCATTTTGTAGAAATAAGGCCTCTCTCTTTCCCCTCGCCACGTTTCCTTTTGTTTGTGGTATCCCCAGAGCCTAGCAGTACACTTCGTACACAGCATGTGGAGAAGTAAAAAGATAGAGTCTTTCCAGGGTTCAAATCCTACTTTTGCCCTTTGACTTTTGGAAAATTAGTTTATGTTTATGAGGCTCAATTGTAAACCAAAGCTAATACAAACCTTTAAAAGTTTCTGTGGGAATCAGAGAACTTATATATGGACCTTGTTCCCAGACACTCCATGATAGAAAGAAGAATATATGTAAATTAGTTAATTTTTGTGAGCCTTGGTTTATTCATTTATAAAGTGAAATTATTAACACTTATCTTGAAAGGTTGTTTTGAGGATCCTAGATAATGCACATAAATTAATTAGCACAGTTCTTGGAATATAGACAGCATTAATCAATATATCAGCACTACTTGTGGGAAAGGCTCTTAGGGCTCACCAGATATTCTGGTGCTCTTCTATACTTTCCAGACTACCTAGCAGTTAGGTTAGTGTCATGTGAGTAGCTCTAGCCAATGAAATATGAAGAGAAATTGGCATTTCTGGGCCAGGACAGTTAAATGCCAGTGTATTTTCTGCATCTGTTTCCACCTCTGCAGCAGGAACCTTGGCTATGGTGTAGCTACAATATGCAAGGAAATTGCATCCCTGAGTCATTATCAAATGGGAACTTCTCAGGAGAGCTCCTAGACTGTATTGGACTTTGTATGAACATGAATTAAAATTTGATTATGTTATGCCACTATGACTTGGGGATTTTTTTTTTTTTTTTTTTTTTTTGGTCACTGCAGTTTGCCTAGCATTATCCAGTCATTATTGTTGTTGTTGTTACTATTGAATTGAATAGAACTACTCAAACTTTGGCAATTTTACTGATACATGGAGCTAAAGTGTTGGTGCCTACCCTCAGGTAATGGAGACAGTAAAATATTCCTGTTGCAAATCAAACCTTTATTTCTTTCACAAACATAGATTCCAAGAAAATTAAGGGAAAATAACATAGGAGGGAGAAAAAAGTATATTAAATTTTCCATTTGGCTCCCCAGCTAATCCTCTTTATTAGGCTACCTTATTTCCTTGAAACACTCTAAGAGTCAATGCATATTTTCATGACTTATAATGTCTCTTTATCAAAGTTTTAGAAATTATGTTTTCTCTCTTCTAAATTTCATTGGTTCAAAAATCCTCCTCCAAGACATTTTTTTAAAAAGGTCTAATTAGAGTTGTGTACTATCTCTTCCAATAGTCATAAATCCTATAATCACTGATTCTTGGTTAGGTGGCTGGTAAGTTACATTTAGCATTAAGGCATTAGCAAGCACTGGCACAGAGTGAATGTGTGTGTTTTTGGTTTTGGAGGAAAAACAAAACGATTTGGTAAACCTCTATTAAACACTTTTTAGTGGTGTAATTCTAAATATGGTTCAGTTTACCCAGCTTTCTTTGAAGAGACTGCTGGAAATCCTAACTTGATGTGCTGTTTCCTGAATCCTGTGCAGTTGTTACTAGGGGCTTCAAGAAGTAGACATAATTCAAGAGACCAGTGCAAATTATAGAAGAAAAAGTAGCAGCAATGTCAGGTTGGAAACAGGTATGAGGCTGCAGAGAAGTGGTAAGATCACAGTGCAAGAGGTTGGGAAATAAGGTAGGATACATGACGGTTTAGGAAACAGGGCCTGGACAAAGAAAGAGTGCTGGATCTTGTTCTTTTTGAATGCTAGTTATACACCTGAAAAGGGAACAGGCAGGTATCAGTGCTGAGGGGCAGATCATGGGCTTAAGGTTGTAGAACTAAATTAGACTCTCAGTCTAGTTAGAAAAAGATGATAAGACTTGGCACAAAGAAACGTCAATATTCATCAACCTGGATGATGTTATAAAAGAAACATATGCCCATGGATTTAAATATATATATATATATATATGTTCACGGATTTAAAAAAAACAATTAGTCACATTTGACAGCATATTGAGGTTAAGGGGGTTTCATAACCTTAATCTAAGTATAAACAGATGGTTTTGCTGCTAATTTATATATGGACCTTGTTCCCAGATACTCCATGACGGAAAGAAGACCAAAGATTAAAAGAACACACACACACACATCTAATGGGGCTCCTGAAATCTCCAGCTAAATCCTTTTATTGTAGAATATTTGGATAGTGATATCAGGCAGGCCTAACTTGAGAGGTCTTCTTGGTAATGGTGAGATGAGCATACATTCTGAAAGATTTGAGTGACATAATAAATTGCAAATATATTCCAATATGAAGAAATGTGGAGGAAGAGGCTGGGGAGCAGGTGCTCTGAAAGCAGGAGGAGTCTTCATGCTGTCTCCTGAGAAGAATTATTTTCCAGATTTCTCTAAAACCCTAGCTTACTAACACTAGCAACAGACAAGTAATTCCCTAGTCAAATAAGAAATCCTCCTGGAAAAGGAGAAGAAAGTCCTCCCTTGAGGGCTTCAGCAATGTTCCTTTCTTCAGGAGCAGCTCCCTCCAGCAAGAGTCCTGCTTATGATTCTCCCTTGGGTCAGTGCAGTCTTGTTAACCACCTGCTGGGCCTGCTAACTGCCTCTCTGCTGATTTCCATCCTAAACAATGGCTCTCAAACTTTGGCTGGCATCAGTCACTTGGGGGGTTGGTTTGTAAAAGCACAGATTGCTGACCCCACTCTCAGAGTTTCTGATTCAGCAGGTCTGGGGTGGGGCCTACTAATGTGCATTTCTAACTAGTTCCCTGGAGATGCTATTGCTACATCTTGAAGAAATGCTGCTTTAATATATACAGTAGAAGTATTTTTAAATAGTTGTTTATTAACAAATATAGATCATTTTCTGTAATCCAGGGGTACACTTACAAACCACTTTTTACTGCTAGATGCTGAGCGTTTAAAATGTTTCCAAAGATCTCTGAATCACAAAATCACAGAAGCTCAAGTGTTGGGCATTACCTTACGGAGCCAGATTTTCTAATTTCGTCTTCTTCCTTTCTCTCTCTCTCTCTGTTTTTCTTTTTTTCTTCTGAGACAGAGTCTCACTCTGTTGCCCAGGCTGGAGTGCAACGGCATGATCTCAGCTCACTGCAACCTCCACCTCCGAGGTTCAAGCGATTCTCCTGCCTCAGCCTCCCAAGTATCTAGGATTACATGCGTCCGCCACCATGCCCAGCTAATTTTTGTATTTTCAGTACAGACGGGGTTTCATCATGTTGGCCTTTCTGGTCTCGAACTCCTGACCTCAGGCGATCCACCTGCCTTGCCCTTCCAAAGTGCTGGGTTTACAGGCGTGAGCCACCACGCTCGGCCCTTCCTTTCTTTATGAAGCTTTAAATACAATTTCACCCTTTATGCTGCAACTCAGTATCTCTAACTTTGTGGTAAAGAATCAGTCTTCCTCTCTGGCCAACTGTTTTATCAGTAAATGGCTTGTTTTTTACCTTTTTTCTTCTTCATAGGTAAGGATGGTGGTCTACAGAATACAATAACTTTTATAAAAACATTGTAAATAGACAGGATATTATTAGAATCGGTCCTACTTATGATCACCTCCCTTTTCAAAAATATCACTGCTCAGTGCTAGCTGGCTTTCTGTTCTATTTTTTGATTTTCTGTTGTTTTTCTGTATGGGTAACATAGTATAATTCTTGCAGATGAGGATCCAATGTATTTCTTCTTTTTATAGTTCTTCTGAAAACTTTTTTTTTCTTTTCTGTAAGTTCATAACATGTTAGTATCAGAGGGACTTTCTATCACAAGGTCTCCTTACTTGCTTTTTTTCATTTGTTTACATTATATTTTTAAAACTGTGGCAAAATATACATGTCATAAAGCTTATTCTTTTAACCTTTTGAAAGTGTATAAAATATATTTAACATAAAGCTTATTCTTTTAACCTTTTGAAAGTGTATAATTGAATGTTATTAAGTATATTTACAAGGCTATGCTATCCATTTTCAGAACCATTTCATCATCCGAAACAGAAACTCTGTACTCATTAAATAATAACTTCCCATTCTCCACTCTCTATGGCCCCGGTAACCTCAATCCTACTTTCTGTCTCCAAGAATTTGCCAATTCTAGGTACCTCATATAAATGGAATCCAACAATATTTGTTCTTGTGTCAGGCTCATTTCACTTCATTTACCATAATGTTTTCAAGTTCATCCCTGCTTGCTCTTATAATCTGTATTTCTTATTGGAGCTTGCATTTTTTCTAGAGCCCTTTTCCAAAAGAAATCTCTCTTCTTTTTATTTTATAATCATCTTCCCTTTTTTTTTTCTTTTTAACTGAGTCTACTTATCATAAAGGTATGGGTTCTGGAATTGTTTCTGTTTGGTCTTTACTAGCAGGTGAATAGAATTCTGTGTGCTGATTATTTATTCTGTGACTTGTGCAGAGTGTCTCTGAAATCTCTGCTGTTATCTTATTCCATAGCCAGCCACAGCAAGTAGAGTTTTCCCAGAACATTTCAGGAGTGTCTTAGAATTTCTCCAAGAGGTCTCTTTCTAGTTCCTTCTGGAAGTAATCTGTAAAGCTGAGGGCCTTATAAATAGAGGGAAAAAATACCTGTTAGAAGCTGTATTGATTGGACTTTACCTGCAAGGCAGCTGCTTCTTTAGCTTTCTGTCGTTAACATGGTTATTGTTTTTTCTCACATATTCAGTAAATAAAATAAGTAGATGCTACTGTTATGGAAAAGTTTAAAAGACAGTAGAATTTTTAAGTCACTAACTGTATTTTGTTTCATAAACCTTTGCCTTACATCTGACAAGGCAGCAAGCACATGACTCTCTGTCAAAGGCAAAAAAATAATAAAAGTCAACAATCTTCTGATAGATATAGTTAGAAGAGGGTGACATCTTTCTGTTATCTATGAGTTCAGCCTGCATATCAATTTATTAAAGTTGTGGAGAATTAAAGGTTGTCTCCAAGCAAAGTAAGTAGTACAGACAAACCACTGCCTCAAAAGAAACCCAATGACAGTGAATTCCTTTTTCATCACTGCAAGTCACACTAACTTACAACTGCTTGAAAACAAGGCTGTGCCCAACTACTACCCAACTATCAGTTGGACAATATCAAGCATCCAACTAATTAAAAATAAAGATCTCATTAGTGTATATATGTATGTATTTTCTATTTTTAGTCTCCAGTATATATGTGTTGTTATATATATATACACACATGTACATTAATATATATACAGACACACACACACTGTGCACACATGATTTGAAGACATCTAAGTAGCCACTAGTTCCTTCTTTTTACCTTCTTTTAAAACATTGCTTATTAGTACTAATTAGTGAATGATGTTTAAGAAAATAGTATTTTTAAATTTCCTTTTGTATATGATAGACTCTATCCAGTTAGAAAGAAAGAGACTATGTGTTATTTTTACTGGATTTGCAATTTAATGGGCCAAGCTTGGATTCCTTTCTGAGTTCAAAGTTACTTAAGCAAAATGGGAAGCACAAATAGCATTGTGTATACCTTTTATAGGCAGATAAAATAGAAAGTACTTTTACAGAACCATCAGCCTTACACATACATTTTGCCTCAATTCTTGATATTACATTTCCCGTCCAACATTATGCATTGAGAAAGTTATGTTTAAAAAATGGGCTAACACTACAGAACCAAAGAATGAAGAGATGATTATAAGGATGGAGCTTTAACTCCTTTGCCTTTCTTGAAACTCCGCTAGTTAAGAACTTGAAGCATCCAATCCATGTTGCTGTTGAATTTTCCAGAATGGAAATTTTTAATTGATATTAAAAAGAAAGTTTTCTTTCTAGTTATTTATTCTCTAGTACTGTAAGTACCACAGATTCTTTCATTCCAATGTAGTCAAACAAATATTTGAAGGACACTTTGTCAAGCCCTGATTGCTAGTGGAAGATGAGTAAGCAGAGTTCCTTCTTGCAAAGTGTTAACAATTTGGCAAAAGTAAAAGAGGAATAAGATGAATGTACACATATGGTTAAGGTAAAGCAGAAATGCCAAGGTATGGTACAAAGTGCTGCTCAAAATGTTTTAGTCAGGAAAGAGATCAGGTGCCCTTGGAAGGATAAGAAATAATTTTAGGCCAGGTGCAATGGCTTACACCTGTAATCCCAACACTTAGGGAAGCCGAGGTGGGCAGATCACTTGGGGCCAGGAGTTCGAGACCAGCCTGGCCAACATGGAAAAACCCTGTCTCTACTAAAAATACAAAAATTAGCTGTGTGTGTTGGCACATGCCTGTGATCCCAGCTCCTTGGGAGGCTGAGGCAGGAGGATCACTTGAGTCTTGGAGGCAGAGTTTGCAGTAAGCTGAGATGGTACTACTGTACTCCAGCCTAGGTGACAGAGCCAGAGCGAGACCCTGTCTCAAAACAAAACAAAAAAACAAGAAAGAGAGAGAGAGCGAGAGAAAGAAAGAAAGAAAGAAAGAAAGAAAGAAAGAAAGAAAGAAAGAAAGAAAGAAAAGAAAGAAAGAAAGAAAGAATAAAAGAATTTTAGATGGCAGCATTTGAGATTGGTCTTGATTCTCAAAGTTTAGTGTGCATCAGGATTACCTGGAAGACTTGTTAAAACACAGATTGCTAGGCCCCATACTCAACATTTTTTATTTAATACGTCTGGAATGGGGCCCAGAATTTATATTTCTAACAAGTTCTTAGGCGATTCTGTTACTCCTTTTTCAAAGACAACTCTTGGAGAACCACTGCTTTAGAGAGATTAAAAAGGAGTGGAGAATGTTCAGCAAAACAAAAGAAAATGAGCAAATTTGAGAGGCAGGAAACTGAAGGGTACTTTAAATAATAATAATAGTAATGACAAACAACTAACTTTTTGAGTTATCTCAATTTTGCCAATGAGGGGATTAAGTTTCAGAGAGGGTAAAGAATGGACTTGAAGTCATAGATCTAATTATTGGCAGAGTCAAAATTTGGACCCATGGAGTCAACAATTCAGAACCTTATATCTAATTGCCATGATTAATAGTAAGAGTTAGTACATCTGGATTGACACAGGCATTTTGTGAAGCAGTAATGAAAGTTAAGACTTAGGATACAGGTTGCAGTTGTATTTCAGAGGGCTTAATGCCATGGTAAGGAAGTTTATACTTAGGATGTCAATAGAGATGTATTAAAATGTTTTAGCAGGATTAATTACTTGAGTAGCAATGAATATAATCAAGAGAGAGAAAATAATGGAAGCCTAGTTAGAAGCCTTTTATAACAGCCCAAGTAAGAGGAAAGGAAGGAATAAACTAGGGCATTTGCAGTTGGAATGGGGTAGAGGGTATGGAGGTAAGAGCTATTTTTGTAGGGAGGCTATAGTGGTGATTCCCAATCTTACCACCAACTGTGATTCCGTGATCCAAAAGATTTGGTTTATGAAGCAAACTATATTTAACTAAACAAAGATAAACATGTTCCATTTGAGATTAGTATTTTTCCCATTATGGCACAAATCTAGATTGTAACTAACAGTTCATAATCATCAAATATTAAAAAAAAAAGTCACAGCACTATCCTGGTTGTGGTAATGATAAGCGCCAAACTTGAACAAGGGAGCAGAAATTTTAAAATATTTTACTGCTTTGTGTATCAGATCCTTGTTACTATGCCCACATCCAAGGTCAGTCACATGATCAACATTTTAAATTTAAGTCTGATCTACGTTCATGTTTCAGGTATTCTTCTGATGCTATCAAAAGACATTGTAATGTTTTAATAATCCTTAGACAATAAATGTTACCATACTGATATAAAATAATTTCAGGCCGGGCACGGTGGCTCATGCCTGTTATCCCAGCACTTTGGGAGGCCGAGGCGGGTGGATCACTTGAGGTCAGGTGTTCGAGACCAGCCTGGCCAACATGGTGAAACCTCATCTCTACTAAAAATACAAAAATTAGCTGGGCTTGGTGGTGCACACTTGTAATCCCAGCTGCTTGGGTGGCTGAGGCATGAGAATTGCTTGAAACCAGGAGGCAGAGATTGCAGTGAGCCAAGATTGCACCACTGCACTCCAGCCTGGGTTACAGAGCAAGACTCTGTCAAAAAAAAAAAAAAAATCAGCCAAAGCAAAGAAACCTGTGTGGTTTTATGGGTAAATATATGATTTAAACTAGATATTTTAAAATTGAATATATCTTTCCTGTCTTTATGGTTCTAAAACTACAGGATTTTGCTACTTGATAATGTGTGTGGGGTCTAGAAGTCAAGGAAGACTCTCTAGGTTCAGGAAGAGGATGGAGTATTGATCAAAACAGGAAGGTCAGAAAAGAACCCCTCTGGGAAGAGTTGGTGCTGAAGATGAGATGGAGTAAGAGAGGCATGTTGGGCTGTCAGTTTCACTCAGGACCCATGGCAGAATATTGCTACCAACGGACCATAACAAAAACAAGAAGAATTGAAACATTTTGGAGGCCGGAAACACCACATTGATATTTCTCTCCAGTGTGAAATATTTTAACCTGAAAAACTTCTAGATGCAATTTTCAGATAAAATAGGCCTATTCTAATGGTAATGTAAAAGTTACACTTATACTTTCTGTCACTGCTCATACCTGTAAATCCCATGGGGGGAAAGTCATGATTTCCTTTAGACATAACAGTCGTAGCCCACAAATAAGCCGCCATGAAATAGTCAAGCAACAGGCCTCCAGTAGCTGCAGCTGGAGAAAACACTGGATAAGGTGATCCAATTTCTGCACAAGATCTAGTCTCTCCTCCATAGTAGCGTTTAGCCTGGAAGTCAGTCATTCTCATACTGTCAAAAGCCAGGGTCCCAGAAAAGGGAATCTTTACAGAAGCAAATATTTTATGGAGGACTTGAGAGAGTGTCTCTCAATGTTTAAGTATCTATTCCATAGCAAATTAGGAACAACAATAGCTAGAGTTATAAATACAATTCATTATGTGTATTTTGAAATTGAATTTTGAGCGATTAGCATAAAAATACTGAATATGCATTGCAAATTAGCATGCCAACCTTGCTAAATGAAATAACAGCCCTGACACGTACTTAAGTAGAAAGTGGAACTACACAAAAATGGAGGAATATCAGTAGATAACATGTAAACCAGGACGATGAAAAAAGAGGACACAAGTAAGATCACTGCGGGTATATTATTCTTAGCTACATATAGCTAACTGAGTCACCATTTTCTAAGGAGGAAAAATTAGAAGGAGTGCTGAAAGGGAATAACTCCAGACTGTTAATTACTTACAGTGAATATATGTTTGCATATATTTGCTTAAAGTAGCTGTTAAGGAAGCTCTATTTAATTTATTTGTCAGTGTGGGCTGAGTCATCAACAACTATACTTTTCACTTTTTTCATAGAATCCAAGACAAGAAGAATCTTTCAAGTGTTGCTAACCAGAACTGAGCAGATCCAAGTAGCAATCGTAGCCAAGCCATTAGTCCATGTATGGAGAGACCAGAGAGGGCATCCCCACGTGGTGATGCCTCAAGCTTCAGGAGCACTCGACCAGAGTCAGTGTAGCCCTTGGCAGCTGGTGAAGCACAACCTGGGACAAATGGAAGCTTTAGCAATGAGCCGATAGGTCAAGGCTAACCAGAAAGAATGCAGCTGGGTAATGCAAGCTATCCTATCTTGTAATTAAAAGGGTTTTCTGTGTGGTTACCTGACGTAGTTACTAAATGGCTTGCATGAAATAACATGCAGCATTCTGCAGTTACTGTGCAATTACCTTATATCATCACCCTACAGTCAAAAGACAAAAAGAAAATTCAGGGTGAAGCTTTTAACCGCAATTTGTAGCAAAGATGTTTGGAATAAAAACACATTGCTTGTTACCACTGGCTCTTGTGTTAATCACCTAATTGCAAATTGGTATAGACTTTTTTTTGTCTCTTCCCACAGGCATTCAATGGCTCAATTTTTTTCCTTCCTGTTTGGAGGCATGGAAATAAGACTAGTGAACCATGGGACTGTATTCGGAACCCATAGTTCAAAGATAAAATATAATATAAAAATGGAAATGTTCTGTAAAGCAATATATAAATCTTTATTCACAGAAAAACCTATCAAAAACTTCACATTCTGGAGAAGACATTTTTGAATATTGCTTGAATATTCAAATTCAATTTTGAGTATCTTTGAATATTGCTTTCCTTTTACCATGGTCCATTCTGGCATTTTGACCCTCGTTTCTTAAAGAGAAGCAGACTTAAATCCACATTTTGCTTACTATATTCTATAGGTGACTGTTACCTTCTACTAACGGAAGTAACAGTAACCACTGGTTGTTTTTGGTTACTGTTATTATATAGACCAAGAGAACAGTCTGTATCGTCATCCCTGGCACCTAGATGTGTGCCATTCAAGATACTCACACAGAATGTACAGCCTTATCAGGTGGATGAAAGGGCATAAGTAAACTAGTGTGAAGTAAGCTAGTTAGCACAGTGTTCTACCAAAGGAAAGGGACAAATGCACATATGGGGTTCAGGCAGTTATCTTCCATCTTCCTTCCTCCTCCTTTTTATTTTTAAACTTCCCTCAAATGCAAAATGTTTGTTATAGAAAATTATATCTGTAGTGATGAAAGGTATAAAGAAGAAAACAAAAATAACCCTTTCCCCCACCTTGAAATTAATGCAAATACTATGCATTTTAAAATTCTTCCTTTTTCAAGATTTATTATTTCTATTTTTCTATGCTTCTGAATATATTTATTTCATTACATAAAATGAATGTATATGTTCATCAGTCAGGAAATATTTTGAGCCTATAAGGACTAGTTTTGACAAAGACAAATTTCAGGTCAATACGGTGTAGGGATTACAGATGATCCTTTTATGAACTATTGGAAGGAAAAGAAAATGCAGAATTGGTCATCTTATCCAGTTGTCACATAACATAGGACCAGGATGTGTATATATATATATATATATATATATATATATATATATATATATATATGTGTCTCTGATTTTTATGTTTATTTTTTTAGTCTGGTTGAAATACTATGATCACCTCCATTTTGGCTCTATTCCCAGAATCTTCTTCTTCATAGCTCTGGGTTATATATTTCAACTAATTATCTTAATATATTTATTTTATCTTCTAGTGTATTTAATCCAAAGTTTATGTTTGTAAAAAACAAACTTGTCTTATAAAATGTAACCTTGAGGGAAGAAACAGCACACATCCAAATAATGAATAAGCAGGGTGAAAGACAAAAGAAAAAGCTGTGACTGCAGCTTGAGTTTGCAATCTTACCTGCTCAGTTAAAACCCCCTTACTTTCTGAACCACACAAAAAGAACTATTTTTGTTGTTTTAAAATCACAGCTGAACATAACACCAATGAAATAATTTCATTCCTAGCAGCTAAAAAAAAAAATCTAGTGTCTCTAAATCAAACAGAGCAAGACTCCATCTCAAAAAAAAAAAAAAAAAGATTTTCCTCTTTCCTCTTTCCTCTTTATAATGGGCTGAACTTGTCATGTTGTAATTCAAAGGCTTTCTAAAAACTAACCTTATTGAGTGGATAAGGTGATAAACCTCATTGGCTCTGATTGAAAATGTAAAAACTGAAATGAAAATGTTGAAGGCAGGAAACAGGTTTTTGTCAATAAATTCACATGGGATGAATGAATTAATTAAAATTTATCCAGTTTAGGCCTTCTAGCCTTTCACAAATAGTCACAGGTTAACCTGGCTCCCAGACTGATTTTCCTAGGATACCCTTAAATCAAGTGTCTTAGCTTAAGAGTAAACCAAATTCACCCAACCTTTAGGTACATATAAACAAGTCTGAAAAATTTGCAGAGGAGGTAAGGAGTATGTTGTATTCATGAGTCTTCTGAGCAAAAAGAAGGAGTTTGACCAATACTATAGAAAAGGGGTGACACTGTGTCTTCCCCCTCAAATTAATCCTTAATACTCAGACTAATCCCTGGTATATACATGTAACAGGTTCAGTAACTTTGCCAGAAAGTGGACTAGAAGCTTCAGTAGATGATGGCCTTGGCTGCAAGTATTGCACTCTCAGCTAGACACGGGTGGTGGCTGCTGCCTTTGATGTCCTCAGTAGGAGGAAATATTACCCTATAAAAAGGACAGGAGAAGAGAAGCACTAGCAGGGGGTCACCAAGAACATTAGTTTGTGGAACACAGAGGAAGAAGTTCTTGAGAAGCCTCATACTTCTTAGCAGAAACAGAAGCTGAGTCAGGAAATATTGTTTTGTGATCATTGTTTTGACTATATATTTATTCTCTGGCTGTGGTGACCTAGGAAACATGGATTTTCCACCAGCTTAGAGTTTGTGCTAGAATAAAGATGACTGAAGTGGGTGAAAAAAATATCTGAGACATTGAAACATGATTATATATGCATTTTAGACAATATTTATAGTTCAGATTTAAGTGAATTGGTTGTATATTACTGATCTGCATGGTTTAGTTCAATGTTGGGCGGGAAATGTGACATTAGAATGTTTATCAACTGATAAAATGTGATTTATTAAAAATATATGGTGTGAAGAACATTGTTAAATGCCATGGAAGGTTGACATTAGAGGGAAGCAAGACATGTGTGGCAAATTCCTACCTCTACTAAATGTATGCATGTTTTTATAACCAGGACCATGGAGTTATGCAATTGCCTTTCTTATGGGCTAAATGACTATCAGTAATTATTAAGAGTTGTTGTAAATGATAAGAATGTCTTTCAGGCTTACTTTGAAAAGGCTAACTATTGCTGGGTCTCCATAAGCATGCACTTAGATAGGGATTCGGAGCCCAGATAGCTGGTAGAAGAGGTCCAAAGGACGGCACCATACTTCAGGAAATACAGCTTATCAGGAGAGTATGCTAGATGCAAGGGCCTTGAGTTTTGTTCACTGCTGCAGCCATAGCTCCTAGAACAAAGACACTCACTAAGTATTTGTTGAATGCATGAAGAAATGGACATGCAGTGGGGGCATCTCAGGTGGCTCAGGCAGCAGGGGAACCAACCAAAAGCAAATTATGTGAGCATGACTCAGCTTCAACTGAAATTAGAAGTCATCAAACTAGAAAAGGCCATATTATCTTCCCCAGGAAGCAAGGAAGACAGTTCTGGTCTGGGGTTAACTAGAGAGGAGTATTTAGATCAAGGGCCACTGAGAAAAATTGATAACCTAATGGACTATTCATCAGCTATTTATGTCTGTTGCCGAATAACAAAGTTACCCTAAAACATATCAATTTATTTGGAACCCAGGAGCAGCTTAACTGGGTGGTTCCAGCGCAGGGCCTCTGATGAGGATGCTGTCCAACTGTTGGCTAGGGCTGCAGCCATGTCAAGGCTTGACTGGGGTTAGAGAGTCTACTAAGCTCACTCCCACAGTTGATGGTGGGCCTCAGTTTCTCATTGGCTGTTGGTAGGCTGGCAGGTTCTTGCCATGAGAACCTCTACATAAGGCTGCTCAAACATGGCACATTGCTGTCTCCCAGAGTCAGTGATGAAACAGAGAGAGAGAGAGAGAGAAAACATGAACAGAAGCCACAGTCTTTTATAATCTAATCCTAGAAGTGACATCTCATCACTTCTGTATTCTGTATTCTGTTGCTTGCACAAACCAATTTTGGAACATTGTAGGAAAAGACTATTCAAGTGTGTGAGTAACAGGAGGCAGTGATCTTTGGGGACCATCTTAGAGGCCAGCTACAGTAGTAGCTATGGGGACTATTCCAAAACAGTATATCCCCCAATAGAGGAAAAAGTGAGCCAATCCTAACCCTCAAGGAGTTTATAGTCTATGGTGGGCTATAGAAATTTTTGAATAATTATTAAAAAAATTAAAAAGTAAGCTGTCAACAAGTTCAAAATAAAACCCCCAAATCTCTCTTGTAGGTTTCTGCTATAATATTTGAACTGGAATGCAGACTGCTCTGAAACCCATCCAATTTGGGACCTAAAGTCAGAAATTTATTTCCAGTCTATTATCTCTGAATCAGTTTCATCTGCCCATACTGTCAGGAGAAGCAGAAAGGAGTCATCTTTTCAATTCAGCTTTTATTAGCTAATTTTCTAGACAGGACTGAGGGTAAATCCTTTTGGTCACTCCAAACCCTCATTTTCTGGCTTACCCAACCTCTGTTTGACATTAGGATTATCTTCACTGTAGAGGCTCCCTCAAACCTCTAGTACAGTCTTTATTTTAAAAAAGCTATATTTCTGTTTAGAGAGCATTACCTCCACTCCAGTTTTATAGCTTATGCAAATCATTCAAAAGTCATATGGCAAGTGAGGACATGCACCTGTGTCCTGGTGCCACTAGAGAATGTCTGCTTCAAGCAGGCAGGACTCTTCTGTGGGCCGAACACAACAGACCATCCCCTGTGTGGAGTGTTTTTGTCTTCTCAGGGCTTGGTGAGGTGTTGCTTTTGGAGCTGCTGCATTCCACAGGGGGAAAGATCTGCAAAATAAACAGTTCTGGACTAAGAACTACAAGATCCATATTTGAGCACACCAATGGACTCAGTCCAGGATTCAGCTTGGACAGCTTCTCCTGTGTGGATGAGGCTGGATGAGCAGCACTCCATTATCTTTCACCAGAGCCAGCCTGGCTACACCACAAGGAGTTAAAGCTTTCTCTCTGCACACAGAGAAGCAATACCGGAGCAACCGAAGCTCTAATTGCTTCTCTAGAACCAACAGGGGGATCGGTAGATGCAATGACCTAATAGTTTTTTTCCACAGCTATTGTTCTGATTGCATGAGAGCTATTCGTAGTCCTTTAATACAAATTTTCCAAACCCTGGCAATTCTCATGATGTAGGCTAAACTAACCTTTAAGCCATTTTGTTCCTTAGATCCTTGAAGCCACTGGACAATGAAAGTGCAGATTGCTAAACTTCAGCTGGTTTATAAAACCGCATGGTAGATAACAATTACAATGGTCTTTTCCATTGCTTAGATAAGCTCTGCTGGTGTGGATTAATAAACTTGATCTCAGCATTCCAATGAGGGAGTGGCTTTATTAAACCAAGTTTGACTCTAGCAACATAATTTTTTACAATAGAGTTAATGTAGGAAAATCTGATTCTTACTTAAAGGGATAGTGAAGTTATTTATCAAAATTTTGCTCTAATCTAAATTCTAATTTGCTTAATACATAGTCTTCAATAAACCTAATCATATGGACATTTTCCAATCACAGTTGCTAATTACAGAAGCCATTTCTGCCAACTTTCTGGGGGCTAAGAAAGTCATGATTGAAAGGACAGTTTTTACTTAGGTCCCTGATGAGAGAGAGTAAGTAATGCCTTCATTTAACACATGACAAGGAAACAAGTAAGTGTTTTTGGTGAACATATTCTTCTACTTCTCTATTTTTCTTTGTTTCCAACAGTTTATTTCTGACAAGTTTCTCATTGGCATGAGGTAGAAGTACTTGTCATAAACCAGTCTACTTAGTATAATCCAGTTGCCCAGGGAATTACACAAGGATTGTCCTACCTTTAACAAAATGTACTTAACCCTTGCACATAATGCTCCGAGAATTCTAGCCAGAGTGGGACAAAAAGGGGTGAGTGCTTGGGAGTATGGCTGCAAAATATCCCAACAGAAGCTGTCTTGTCCCATGGCCAGGTATCTTCACCACTCGCACCATGACTTTGAAAATTGCATCACTTGGTTGTTATCAATGCCTTCACAGAGGACACTTTATATTCATCTGCCGACATGTGCCAGGCAGAGAAGCAGGTACACTTAACAGCAGATGTGTAGCATAGTTATTAAGAGCATGGATTTTGGACAATGATTGCATGCGTTAGGTTCCTATGTCTGACATGCTAATTGGGTAGTGTTGGGAAAGTTATTAGACTCATCTGTGCCTTGGCTTCTTCAACTTTAAAAGGGGAATAATAAAAGTATCTATCTCTTGGTTTGAAGTGATGATTAAATGAGTTAACAAATGTTCTACATATAAAACAGTGCCTTCCATAAAGTTATGCTATATTTTAGTTATTATTGGTGTTATTATTAAAAATAAATATAGTCTCAATCAACTATTCATCTAAATTTCTCCCTATCCACTCTTTCTCACAGTTATTTTTTGTTAAGTTTAAAGTCAGTTTTCACAAGTGCTTCAAGAAGTACAGCACTTTGCAGTCTGAGACTCTTATTTTATAGATGAAAACCAGCCCTGGAAAGGTTATATGAATGGCTCAAAGTAAAAAACTTGGTTGCAGTGCCAGGATGAGTATCCTATTATGCCTCCAATAGTTTAATTGTTGCTTGAAAGTCAGTATGGCATAGCTTTGGGGGGCCTTTCAGACCTTGGCCAGAGGACCCCAAGCTCATTCTTCTCATGCTACCACTGTCCTCTCAATAAATCTGCATTCTTCTTCTCGCCACAAGAGCCAGATATTGTGGCCTTGACTCTCCATTCTGGCCGCTTTCCCAGTTCCAGGCATTCTTATAGAAAGCATTAATGCAAAAACAAAAAAGAAGTGAGTATTTCTGACCTTTTCTATGCATCAGTCATTACACTGGTGACAGAAACCAATCCAAATTAGCTTACCCAAAAAAGGAGATTTATTAGAACTGAAAGAAGATGTGAGCAACGACCCTTGAGAGGTCTTCAGAAGACTAAAACTAGGAGTTCACATTCCATCAGTATTCTGTTTCTGTCATCTGCTAGAGAAGCAGAGTGTTGCCCTAATTCTTCCAGACCAGCTCTTCCCACGTGCTAGGGACTTGGCCACTAGCAGCTCCAGACTCACCATCTTACGGATTTCTGATTATGTAACACAACAGGCCTGGCTTGGACTGTGTGCCCATCATTGCCAAGGAGAGGGGGTAAGGTATTATAATTGGCCCAATCTGAGTCATATGTGAATCCCTGAGGCTCTGGGTGGGACTGGGGTCTGTTTTGAGTGGAAGGAGGAAAATGGTAAAAGGAAGACAGAACGTATACTCTGATTAGCTTCTTCTGAGTGAGGTGGCAATTCATGGCTCTTTGTAGGCTCACGTGATACACGTCTCTGGAATCTAGGTCTCAAATTAATTTGCTTGCAAATAGGGAAGATAGAACACATGCTCCTGTGAATATTCTAAATAATCTCTGTGTATTATAGCACACATCCTGGATTCTGAGATTTCTTTCCTATTTTGAATGTTCACTGAAATTCTGTGGGGAGTAAAGCAAAGGGGGAAATGGAATTACCAATCATCCTTTTCCCTGACGAAACTGTTTTTGACATCTGCCAGTCTGGGATTTAAGAGACCAAGAGAGCCTTCATACAGCAACTTGCCCAATATTTATCATTGCTTATAATTATAATTATAAGAGCTTGTATTTGGCCATACTTGCCTTTGGTAACATATTTAATAAGTAATAGAACATGAACTAGAACTGAATCTTTTTGTCTCATTGTCAAATATTCTTTCTATATATTTTGCTAAATTGAGGCAAGCAAGGATATTTTTAGTTTACAGGCAACAAAGGCGTTGAGTACAGTGTGCTAGGAATCTGGCTCAGTGTATACATCAATACACATTTGTTGAATGAATGAAAATATCTTTGCTAATGTCACAGAGTAAAGCCTTAACAAGGGGGAAAGAGAAGTGAAGATGTGTGCAACAATGAGGCCCCACTAAATTCTCTTGACACGTGTCCACCAGGGCTGGCATTCTTCTTGAGTACTGGCTGAGGGAAGCTTTTCCTTGTTTTCTTTCCTGATTCAGATTGCCAGATCCTTGTGTTTGATTTTAAATTGATATGACAGCATGTCCTGTTTACTTGGATTAATTCACAATTATTCTTTTTGTCTTCTGTTCTGTAATACAAGAGTTACCTTTTCATACCTGACCGGATGCTAAACATGTCCTTTATGTGTTTGAATTTGTTTAGTTCTTGCAAATATGTTTCGCAACTGTATTTAACAACCAAATCAATTCACAGGATTGGGGTGGAGGAGTAATGAGTAGAGTGAAATTCTACAAGCTCTTTTGCTTGGCTATTAATTAAATGATTCATTCTATATTAAGTATTACTGAAAGCAATTCTTAAATTATGATTAATTAGATCAATAATAACATTCTCACTGGGAGTTTTTTATTTCCAAAATCAGAACTTGACCCAAATACAGTTTTGCAAAGAACCTACTTCTGTTTCAAAACTGGGAAACCATTGATCAAATCCCAGAGAAATGAGAACAGAAACGTTATGCTCCATAGTTATCAGTAAATCCAGTTTTAAAAAATGACACCCCACCACCAAATAGCCAATAATAGAAGTACTTTATAATTGGCAGCAACGAGCCCTTTCGAACTTGGAGATTCCATCTGCAGTTTTCCCTTTGAGGTCCCAAACTCCTCACAAATAAATGATTTTACATTTCATGGAATGGAGGGGCTGGCCCAGTCTATAAGCAGTGAAAAATTCCTATGTGCCATCTTGTGGAGCTGTTGAATTACTCATCAACAAAATTAATCTGTGACTGTTTGCATGGGTCACTCAGTGTGCCACCTCACACATTACATAAGTGTAAATGTAAACACTGAGCTGTACACATGCTGGCCTTGTACCTAAAAGGTAAAAGGAAAGTTAACTCTACACTTAGGGTCTTCTAATTATTTTCTTCTAATGTAAACACATTCACATCTCTTGGCCATCCTTTTGTTTTGAGGAATTTCCCCCTAAAATCTTAGTGTAATCTCAGTAGTCTTATCAAAGCATGCACCATGTTTGGGGTAACTTTTGTGTTCTTTTTATCGTCTTTGTCTTCCTTATATAATTTTACCTTGCCTTTCTTTCTTTGTTCTTATCAATCTTCTTTACATGCATCATTTCCATAATTTCCATAAATTCCTGAGTGCTCTTGGTTTTTATGTATTCTTTACGTTCTTCTTCCTTGAATCTTATGACGTCTCTAAAGAGAGCTCGTTGGATGACAAGTGATGAAAACAGGAGGTCCTTATTCCCATTGGCACTGTTAGTTTGGCTTTCAGTATCCACCGTCTTAGTTTTTCTGGCAGCCATTCTGATAATACCTCTATGTGTATAGAGAACTATTTCAGACAGTTTTCAAAACAATGATAAGCTCTATAACCATGTCAGTGTCCCAAAGTATCTAAACATCGATTACATTTTTCATGAGCCTAGATTTTTCTATAGACAAAGAAAAGTTTGCCCTCTAGTCTTTTTTTAATCAAGCTCCAGAGCTAACTTATAGTGAGTTGCTTAGAAGTGGAAGACCCTAGTCATTGCCTGACTCTGGGGCCCAAGTAGATCATGTGTGCATTTGACTGCAAGCCACTTGGGGTCTTAAACAACTCCAGGTGTGGACTTTCTGTGTATAGTCAAGACATTCTTCCCAAAATCTTAAATAAAATTGCTTGTTGCCCATTAAATTTTATTCTTTTTGTTTGTCTTGTGTGAATTCCTCCACAAACTTGGTATGAAATTAATGCCACCATTATTTTATTCATTTCAAATAATCTTTTTAGTCTCACCTGTTTTGTGTGTGTGTGTGTGTGTGTGTGTGTGTCTGTGTGTGTGTCTTTCAGGTCTCTAAGAACACTAGGAATTTACGTAGTCCAAAGACGGGACAAAGGGAGAGTTAGGAGCCTGAGTTTCATATACAAGCAAAGAGAGAAATTGAGTCTGATCAATTCCCATTGCCTCTGGCTGTCACGGGATGTCACTATTGATGACTGCTCTCAAGACAAGTGGTGTGTATCATAGCTGTGATGGTTCTGTGGTTTAGAAGGGGTCCTTAGAGGGAGTCCAATACCACCCCACCAACACTAAACTTGCTTGGCTCTTTCCTATACAGCACATTAATAGGTCTCAGGTTTGCTGGGTTGGTCTGGCCTGATATTTGTCCACTCATAGACCCAAAACAACATCTCCCTTCTCTCCTTCAGGATCCACTCAGTTTGATTTCATTCATATTGAGAAGACTTGTTCAACTCTCTTCTGAGGATGAATACTTTCAGTAACTCAAAAGTGTTTTATCTTCTGAAAAGGATTCAGAAGTGATTCCAGGGTACTGACAGCTACTCTTCTTTTGTTTGGGAAGGATTACTGTCCCCAGGGTATAATCTTCAGTGAGATAAAGGTGATTGGTGATTTTGTGGCACTTTTCTAGATGGCTTAGATTATAGTTTGTTTGTTTCCTAAATTGTGATATTTTTGAAAGGACACTAAGAATAATTGTACCAGAACTCCACTCATAAACAAGGGAAGCTAGGATGTTTGGTTCTTCAAAACTTTTTTCATTAGAGAGGAAAGAGAAATAGAAATGTAATGTATGGTGGACCTTCTACTACAATGGATAAGAGCCTACTAACTTTTTAACGTCAAAAGAAAAATCAAATACCATTCACTGAAGGAGAACAGGAAAAAAAATTAAAGTTTGTCTTCAAACAAAAATGGATATTATACTGATCACACAAAGTCCCATAACTAGATTTTCTTTCTTATATAATCAACATTTATTGAGCACCAACTGCATGCAAGGTCATACTGGTCATGGGGAATGCATGTATGAATAAAACATTTCCCATCTGCTGTTTTGAATAAAAAAAATTTCAACTTCTACATCTGTTTTTTCTCTCTGAAGCTGCTGGTGTTACTTGTATTAAGTAATAGTAAGATTGAAATTTTGTCAGGAATTTATCCATTTCTTCTAGATTTTCTAGTTTATTTGCATAGAAGTCAAATCCCTGAATAGACCAATAATAAGTTCTGAAATTGAGGCAGTAATTAACAACCTACCAACAAAAAAAGTCCAGGACCAGACGGATTCACAGCTGAATTCTACCAGAGGTATAAAAAGCAGCTGGTACCATTCCTTCTGAAACTATTCCAAGCAGTAGAAAAAGAGGGAATCCTCCCTAACTCATTTTATGAGGCCAGCATCATCCTGATACCAAAACCTGGCAAAGACAAAATAAAAAAAGAAAATTTCAGGCCAATATCCCTGATGAACATCAATGCGAAAATCCTAAATGAAATACTGGCAAACCAAATCCAGCAGCACATCAAAAAGCTTATCCACCACAAACAAGTCAGCTTCATACCTGGGATGCAAGGCTGGTTCAACATACTCAAATCAATAAATGTAATCTGTCACATAAACAGAATCAATAACAAAAACCACATCATTATCTCAATAGATGCAGAAAAGGCCTTCGACAAAATTCAACAGTCCTTCATGCTAAAAACTCTCAATAAGCTAGATATTGCTGGAACTCTGGAAAGCTCAAAATAGTAAGAGCTATTTATGACAAACCCACAGCCAATATTATACTGAATGGGGGAAAACTGGAAGCATTCCCTTTGAAAACCAGCACAGGAGAAGGATGCCCTCTCTCATCACTCCTATTTAACATAGTGTTGGAAGTTCTGGCTAGGGCAATCAGGCAAGAGAAAGAAATAAAGGATATTCAAATAGGAAAAGAAGAAGTCAAATTGTCTCTGTTTGCAGATGACATGACTGTATATTTAGAAAACCCCATAGTCTCAGCCCCAAATCTTCTTAAGCTGATAGGAAACTTCAGCAAAGTCGCAGGACACAAAATCAATGTGCAAAAATCACAAGCATTCCTATACACCAATGACAGACAAACAGCCAAATCATGAGTGAACTCCCATTCACAATTGCTGCAAAGAGAATAAAATACCTAGGAATGGAATACAACTTACAAGGGATGTGAAGGACCTCTTCAAGGAGAACTACAAACTGCTGCTCAAACAAATAAGAGAGGACACAAATAAATGGAAAAACATTCCATGCTCATGGATAGGAAGAATCAATATCGTGAAAATGGCCATACTGCCCAAAGTAGTTTATAGATTCATTACTATCCCCCATCAAGCTACTATTGACTTTCTTCACAGAGTTGGAAAAAACTACTTTAAACTTCATATGGAACCAAAAAAGAGCCCGCAGAGCCAAGACAGTCCTAAGCAAAAAGAACAAAGCTGGAGGCATTATGCTACCTGACTTCAAACTATACTACAAGGCTATACAGTAACCAAAACAGCATGGTACTGGTACCAAACAGAGATATAGACCAATGGAACAGAGCAGAGGCCTCAGAAATAACACCACACATCTACAACCCTCTGATCTTTGACAAACCTGAAAAAAACAAGCAATAGGGAAAGGATTCCCTACTTAATAAATGGTATCGGGAAAACTAGCTAGCCATATGCAGAAAACTGAAACTGGACCCCTTCCTTACACCTTATACAAAAATTAACTTAAGATGGATTGAAGACTTAAACATAAGACCCAAAACCATAAAAATCCTAGAAGAAAACCTAGGCAATACCATTCAGGACATAGGCACGGGCAAAAACTTCATGCCTAAGTCACCAAAAGCAATGGCACCGAAAGCCAAAATTGACAAATGGGATCTAATTAAACTAAAGAGCTTCTGCACAGCAAAAGAAATTATCATCAGAGTGAACAGGCAACCTACAGAATAGGAGAAAATTTTTGCAATCTATCCATCTGACAAGGGCTAATATCCAGAATCTACAAAGAACTGAAACAAATTTACAAGAAAAAAACGAACAACCCCATCAAAAAGTGGGCAAAGGATATGAACAGACACTTCTCAAAAGAAGACATTTATGCAGCCAACAAACATATGAAAAAAATCTCATCATCACTGGTCAATAGAGATATGCAAATCTCTATTGAGATTTCTATTCTGTTAGAATGGTGATCATTAAAAAGTCAGGAAACAACATGCTGGAGAGGATGTGGAGAAATAGGAATGCTTTTACACTGTTGGTGGGAGTGTAAATTAGTTCAACCATTGTGGAAGACAGTGTGGCTATTCCTCAAGGACCTAGAACGAGAAATACCATTTGACCCAGCAATCCCATTACTGGGTATTTACCCAAAGGATTATAAATCATTCTACTATAAAGACACATGCAAACGTATGTTTATTTCGGCACTGTTCACAATAGCAAAGACTTGGAGCCAACCCAAATGTCCATCAATGATAGACTGGATAAAGAAAATGTAGCACATATACACCATGGAATACCATGCAGCCATAAAAAAGGATGAGTTCATGTTCTTTGCAGGGACATGGATGAAGCTAGAAACCATCATTCTCAGCAAACTAACACAAGAACAGAAAACCAAACACCGCATGTTCTCACTCATAAGTGGGAGTTGAACAATGACAACACATGGACACAGTGAGGGGAACATCACACACCAGGGCCTGTCGGGGTGGGGGGACTAGGAGAGGGATAGCATTGGGAGAAATACCTAATGTAGGGTGACGTGTTGATGGGTGCAGCAAACCACCATGGCACATGTATACCTATGTAACAAACCTGCACGTTCTGCACATATACCCCAGAAATTAAAGTATAATTAAAAACAAAAGAAATTTTTTTTAGTGTTATAGAATTAGTATTGGTGAATTCCTTCTTTGCTATTGTTTTAAATTTCCTTTGAAAACAAACAGCAGTTGAATTAAATATGTTGAATTGGGAATATGCCAATATTTTATTCTTCTTAAAATTGGAGAATGTGATGACTCTGAAACATATGCATCCTGGCTTAGTCTAAGCATCAGTCATTGATTGCTGTGGCTGCCTTCAGTGTAAATCTTGTTTAACCTTAGTCTAGCTCAAAAGACAAAATGCTCTCAGTTAGGTTTGACAGAAGAACCTGTAAAAACAAGAGGCTTACATTGTACCTCTGGATGGTTTGGAGTAACTTGTGATAGATACTCTGTTCACCTGGCATAATTAGATTCAACATTGTTAAAATGTCTGGATTCATAATCACAGCTCTTGGGAACATTAATAAATTGTGGAGGCCATTTTGTTTGCATTCCACAAAGGATGATCTTTTTGTAAAGCTTGCTGTGCAGGGGAGATTTTTGGGCTCTCTTCCAAGATGACTCAGCTCTTGTCTGGCTGTTCTATGAATTGGTTACTTGGAAAATAATGTAAATAACAACTGCAATGGTAAATTACAAGTAGGGACAGCAAGCATCCTGGACATCTAGCATGCAAAAAAGCCCTGCCCATTAAGGCAGGCATTTAGGTCAGTTGCTGATGCTATGGAGGCAGATGTTATGGGAACATTGTAGCGTACATGTGTTTGAGCACATCTTGCTCAGGGATGCTGGATGTGCCTCGCATTGCCTTGACCACAGACACTGACCACAACCAGGTATCTGGAGAGGATGGAACAAGAGTAGTGCAAATTTATAATCATTTCTGAAAAAAACAAAACAAAACAAAACAAAAAAACCTCAAAGCTCCTCAAATTCTAGAATATACCATGTGGTTAAACAGCTAATTACATGCTGCCTATGTTTTCCTTAATTTGTTCCACATGTGATAGTCTTAGCTCCCCAAATAGACTGTTAGAAGGCATAGTCCCTGACAAAGCTGGGAAGCATGAGGAGCTGGTATTGGAAGTCCTCCCACCCACCCTCTCCTGGTGTCCTCCACTACCCTCCCCATCAGCCCCCAGAAGTACTACTGTTGTATCCCCTTTCCCCTAATAGGACACTGTGCTCTAGGCCTACCCAGTGTGACCTTTCCAATTAGGCAAATCTGTTAGAATTTGCTCAGTACTTACTGTGTGACCTCTGGAAAGCTCCTTATCTCCTTGTTTCCTCCCTGTATGGAGCTAAAAATACTGGATGGTTGTGAGGATTAAACAAAGTAAGGTATTAAAATGGCTTAAACAATGTGTAGCACATGTAAATAGTGTAATAAATGCTGCTCCTCTTTGCTTCTCCTCAGTTGAATTCTAACTGTACTCTACACTTACTGAGGCTGACTCTCATGAGTTACATCTGTAAATGAGAATTATGTATTTTAGAGTAGAAAAGGCTTTAGAAATGATCCAGGCTGGAAGTTTTTGAGGAGTGTTCTCCATGGCCTCGGGTTCCTCTGGGACATCCCGAGGAAGGCTGCAGTATTGCCCAAGGAGCAGAGCTGGTAGAGCTCTGGCTTTTGACCTCTTTTAATCAGAGAAATACTGCTTTTATCAGTTGTAAATAGTGAGATTTTCATAAGATTTCATTTTGGGAATACAAAAGTGTTCTGTTCCTTGCCCCCACCCCCACCCCCCAAAAAATAGTTTGAAATGCTGCTTTGGCCAATACTTCATTTTATGGATAAGGGAAATGAAAAAAACTCAAAGACATTACAGATTCAAGCCTTTGCCTTGTTCTTTCTACCCCAAGTCCTTGGACTCTCCCTTCTTGGAGCACTTCCTTTAGCGTTTTAAATGCCATTTGACCAGACTCCACATTGAACTGTACTCTTGCAAGCTTTGTTCAGTAAAGATTTATTAAATTCAAATTACCACCAAAACTTTCACAACTGTTTATGATTGAAGCCCCTTCTACGACTGCCAACATAATCTGAGTTTCATTTGTTCACTTTTTGAAATCCAAATATATTGGATTTGAAATCCAATGTAGAGAATTACTCAAGTAATACAATAATATGTGCTATAAACATTCAAACAATGAAGATGTGTGTAGCATAAAAAGCAAAAGTGCTTCCTCATCCATCAGCCTTCCCCTAAGTCAGGTCAGTTAACTTCCTACCCTACCGTGGAACCACTGTTAAAATTTTAAGACATTGAAGATATTACTCTGAATCTACTTACATTCACATTCACATATAGTTTCAGTTTTCTCCATATAAGGAAAACCAAACTCCTTATATTGTTTGACTTGATTTTTTACTTCTAAAAAGTCATAGAGATATTTCTGAGTAAGTCCCTATATATCAATGTTACTCTTTAAAAATTCTCCACGGTATTTCCATTATATTTCTTGGGGTGAATGTCACCAAAAATGGGCAAATAGATGGTTTTCTTTTTTTTTTCCATTACAAATACCCTTGCAATGAACATTCTTGTATATATCTTCATGTACACATTTGAAAGTATATCTCTAGCTTGGGTGAGGTGGCTCACGCCTGTAATCCCAACACTTTGGAAGGCAGAGGCTGGTGGGTCACTTGAGGTCAGGAGTTTGAGACCAGCCTGGCCAACATGGCGAAATCGTGTCTCTACTAAAATTACAAAAATTAGCTAGGTGTGGTGGTGCATGTCTGTAGTTCCAGCTACTCGGGAGGCTGAGGTGGGAGAATTGTTTGAAGCCGGGAGGCAGAGGTTGTAGTGGGAGGAGATTGCGCCATTGCATTCCAGCCTGGGTGATGGAATGAGACTCTGTCTAAAAATAAATAATAAATAATAAAAGTGTATCTTTAGAATAAATACTGGGAGAATTTCACGGTCAATTAAAAAACTTGATAGATGTAGACAAACTGCCCTCCAAATTTCCATATTCATTTATCTTCCCATTATTACTCTCAACCAATACAAAATATTTAAACATATATTTTTCTTTTATTATATTTTAAATTTTATGTCTTTAATTTTTCCAGTGAAAAAGATTAAAGTGATTTATTATTTTATTTTGTAAGTCTTAGTTTCTTGACAGGGTTGAATGTCTTTGCACATGTTATTTCATTTGTATTTTGTTCTGTAAATTATCTCTTTATATCACTGCGCATTTTTCTATTGGGTTGTTTGTCTTTTTCTTATTCATTTATAGCTTTTAAAATGTATTTTTGACATTTTTTAATATACATAATATATTTTATTTTAATCCTTTGTTATATATATTACACATTTTTTCTTCATTTATTTTTTAACTGTTAACTTTGTTTATGGTCTATTTGATATATAAGATTTATGTTTTCATACGGCAACATCTGTCAGTCTTTTGCCTTATGCCTTCTGCAAGCCCTGTCAAATTTTCCTTCCTAATTCAAACACTTCACTCTTCTTTCTGTCGTTCTTGCCTAAGACACTATTTTCTCTTGCCAAGACCACTGCAATAGCCTCATAACTGATCTGCCAGCTTCCACCCTTGACTCTCCACAATTCATTGTCCATGTCTTTCTTATTAAAAAATATTTATGCGATATTACTCTGTTTAAAATTCTTTAATTAATTCACATTTCATTTAGGATAAAATCCAAACTCCTTGCTCCAGCTTGCTTTCTTACTCTAACTTACTCTATTTTACAGATCCTAAATGGTCTGACCTACCTCTCAGACTTCATCTTAGATGGGTACTATGCTTCAGCTACATAAGTATTTAAGTTTCTCAAACAAGCTAAATTTAATCTTAGCTTATGGCCTTTGCACTAATTAATTTCCCTAATAGAAAGTGTTCCTTCCAACTCTTTGAAGGACTTGCTCCTTCTTGCCATTCAAATATCAATTTAAATTTAATGTTTTCAGAGAAAACTTTCAGCCAGAAATAGCCAAAGTCACTCTTGGTCATCACACCAAACTTTGATTCTCACCACAACACACATTTCACTCTTTGATTCTCTTTTTTCCCAGTTAGTTGTTGGCTGAATGATCAGTCTATTTATTTTATATATATCTAGGCATCTACATATCCATTCATCTACTTCTCTTTCTATCCACCTACTTATGTATCCATCCATCCATCCATCCATCCATCCATTCATCCATTCATCCATCCATCAATCCATCTCTTCTCTTGGACCTTTTGACTAATATTTTTAAAATGTATTTATTGCCTTAAAACCCTACTTTTAAGTAGGGTTTGGGGAGGGAGTACAGACACATATATATGATTAATTGTAGGGTGGCCATATAATTTATCATCCAAAACTGGATAATTTTGAGGGTAAAAAGAATTATAATTATACTAGGACAAGAGGTGAAACCTGGTCTCAGGCACATGATTATCCAATTTAATACCAGCAGTGTCTTTAAATTATGGAAGCTTTGTAAGATTTTAATATCTGATATGTTTTATATTTCTTTGTTTTTATTTAATAAGGCTATTGACTATTCTAATAATTTTATTCTTCCTGATGAACTTTACATTAATATTATTAAATTCACATATCTCTGTGTTGGGATTTTTTTCTTGGAACTGAGTTACATTTGGAGCAGAAATAACGCCGTTCAGGAATATGATGTATGGCATTGGTCAGAAAGGACATTTTTAAGAAACATTATATATATCTTCATTTCATTTAAAAAATCTTTCAGAACATTTGATGATTTCTTCATCTATGCCCATGTAATTTTTAAACTTTTTTTCTAAATTATTTTCTATTTTGTAGTACTGATGTAAATGGGATTTGTTTCCACCTTTTTTGCATTTTTTTAAGTTTTCATGATAGAGTCTTGCTTTGTCACCAGCTTGGAGTGCAGTAATGCAGTCACAGCTCACTGCATCCTTGACCTCCCTGGCTCATGTGATCCTCCCACTTCAGCCTCCCAAGTAGCTGGGACTACAGGCATATGCCACCATGACCGGCTAATTTTTGTATGTTCTGTAGAGACAGGGTTTCACCATATTGCCCAGGCACTGGTCCTGAACTGCTGGGCTTAAGCAATCCACATGCCTCAGCCTCCCAAAGTGCTGGGATTATAGGTGTGAGCCACTGTGCCAGGGGCTGCACTTTATTTTCGTACCTGTTATCGTTGGTGTGTAGGAAAGCTCTTACTATTTGTCTAGTTTTTTCATAACCATTTAAAGCCCTAGTTTATATTATTTTCTTTTATTTCCCTGTTATTTGTGCAGGAAATATATTTGTGCTTATAGTGGAAGATGACATTTTTCAAAGATGTCCACAATAGCATCTGCCATCATAAATGCTCTTCTAAATGTGACCCTGCCACTCTTCCACCAACAGTCATCTTCCATTGAATCTGGGCTTACTGACTCACTTATAGCCAAGAGAATACAGCAGCATGGTTTCTGTGTGACATCTGAGGCCATTCATCTCCTGCCTAGTTCTCTAGAACACTCCCCTTCTAGATGCTCCCTTTTGGAAGTGCTCCTCAGAATGCAGATGATGTGCTGGGAGAGGCCCAAGCCACATGGAGAGGCCTCATGTAGGTGTTCTGGTTTATAGTTGCAGCTGATGTTCTAGTCATCCTTGCTCAGGCACCAGACATGTGAGTCTTCTTTAAGCCTGGTCATCATCTATTCTTCCTAGCTGAAGCCCCAGACCTCGGGGGGGAAGACATAGGCCATTTCCACTGTGTCCTGTCTAAATTCCTGATGCTCTGAATCCATGAACAGTTTGGACTTGTTTGTTACACAGAAGTAAGTAAATGGAACACTCATAAATCAGTGCAAAGAATAAGGAGTCGTAATACCTCTGCCATCGGTTACCCTTAAGACCTTCCACATATCAAGTAAGCTTTCTTGGGCTCAAGTTTCCTTATCTGTAAAGGAGTACAGTGTTATTTGACTTTCCAAAACCACAGAGAATTGGTGAGAATCAACTGAGAAAATAATATGAAAGCACTTTGTGGAAATGGATGTAAAATAAATAAATAAGAAGAGCTGCATAAATATAAAGACTATCTTTTGAGTCAATTATATGCATATTTTTCTAAATCAAATAGGCTTAATCATTCCCTAGGTAGAGCTGGCCCCATGCTGCAGGGAAAGTGATCCTGGCCCCTCGGAACATAAGCTGTATTTCCAAAACATGAAAAGAACTCTCTGCTCTTGATAAATGACTGAAATTCCTTCTGAGAAAGGCAAGATTTGTGTAGTTCCATTCAGAATTAAAGAAATCCAGATATCTCAGACATGACCTTAAGTAAAATTAAAACTGCTAGAGAGTGTCTCACCCTTGTTGAGGTTTTTCTTTACTATCTAAGGTTAAAATAATCATTAAAAATAATTGAAATGGCTTGTTGAGAGAGCTGCTTACCATGTTACTCCAAGGCAAACCAAGGCATTGGCCAAAATGGCTTAAGTCTCCAATGTGAAATGCCAGAACCATCAGTGATCAAGCCAAGCTCACTAATTTCCATGCAACCCAAGTAAATCAGAGTTAGATAAGAAAGTGTTTGACCTCTGCAAGGGCACTGAGAGAGATCTCCCTCTCAGTATTTCCACTCTGTTTTCATGTGAGTCTAAGAAAGAAAAGTGTTGATGCAGAAAGTATAAAAATTCGAGCTTCCTGATTTATGCCTAGGTTGTTCTCAAACCCAATCCCTGCTCATTCTCTTTTTGACACTTAATTATCCTGTATCTAAAACAATTTGAGCATCCCTTTCAGTTGTCTGTCTTGTTTTTTTCTTTAAGAATTTTATAGCTGCAAGTAGGCAAAGGAACAGAATTTAGTGCTTAAAGACAGTATGATCTACTTACAGGAAAGAACTCAAATCCTGTTATGCACAGTTAACAGCATTAACTTCATCTATCTACCTTCTGAAACGCAGAAATGGAGTAAGCAGGGTTAATGATATTTATTTCCTCATGTTGTTGTGAGGATTAAATGGTCTTTCATGTATGGGAGAACAAAGTCATGTTAACATCTTTATCCCAATTTCCCTGGCTCAGATTCTCTTCAAACATTGCTGCCGAGCATCCCGACACCCTCCTTCTTCTTTCCCCATTCCCTCTAGGTATTTCTGGAATGTCCTATGTGTTTTCACACATGCCCACGTGAGGGTCTCAGCCCTTATAAAATTTGGAGTAAAAGAGTCCCTTTAACCTCTGCCTTCAACCTTTTGGCCCATAGGCTTCAGGCTGGAGATTAGACAAAATTTTCTCTATAAGCCTATTTTCCTTTTCTCTCCCAATATACATTTCTGTTCAGATTTATAACTTAACTACCTCTTACTTGTATGCAAATAAACTCCTAAAATAGACTCAGGAATCACCATATCTTCCAGTTTCTAAGCTTAGCTAGACCCTGAATTCTGATTTGGGCTGACTGGAACGTAAGAATCTCTCCATTACAAGATCTAATTTTACCTTCAGAGAGGCTCAGTGGCATATCCAAAATCACAGAGTCAGGACTCCAACTCAGATCTTGTGACACCATAGAACCTCTTCTGTATGCAACAGTTGGAGTTAGACCCTGGAGCTAGATTGCCATCTTCAAAGCTGGGATCATTGCTTTCTCATCAGTGATATTGGACCAAGTCTACTCAGGGACAGAAGACTCAAAGTCTATTTTGTGACTTAGCCTGGTTGTTGCCCTCCATGATTCTGATCTATAAAGGTCATTCTGCAAAATCTATGATGCCTTCCTACTTAGTAGGAAAAATCACATCTTTATTTTTCACCCTTGGCAAATATGTGAGTGTACTTTTCTTGAGTAAATACTAGTTATTTGTGTTTAATTTCTATTGTGTACTCAAAATTTCCATTTATGGGCAGAGTCACAGCTTAAGTTAAACCTGCCTCATAGGATTTTTGTATTCAATATTTTTCTCTCTTTTAAACTTTAAAAAAAATCCTGGAATAATTCTTGGAGAACATTGGCAGAGACAGCTAGGTAGTGCTGTCACACACATACATACAGAAACATCCAGTGATTTTTAGTTTTTCTACCAAAGGAGCTGCCCACTTGGCATCCAGATTCACGTACAAGTGACATGCAGTTAATGTTCATGGAAGTCAGCTGAGATAGCCCGGCCAGCTTACTCCTATGAACCACCCTCATGTAATTCAGAAAACTGATATGTTGAAAACCCATATAGCATTGATTTCCAGCCAAGAAACTAATAACTATTTCTTGCATAGTCAAAAGAGATCAGCTAAAATGATCCCTCAGAGCCCCTTTTATGAGGGAGGCTTGCAGGCCTCCACAAGCTACTGCCAGATGTTTTCTACCCCTTTGGAGGGGCTGGCCTATAGACTCAGAAAACTATCTGAAGCTCGTGGCTCTGCCCTGTCGATTTTTGAAGAGGTAGGGAAGCCATGGCACATTATTTTGTGTAAGAATAAAGGGGATTCAGTGAATGGAAACATCATATAACTATTAAATTATAACCAAGATTGTCATTATTAGGTATGTTTGCTGTAAAATGTCTCCAAAAGAATCCCTTTCTGTTCTTCCTCATTGTCTTTATTTTGATTTCACTTCACTTCTGTGTCTTTTTATACCTCTTGGGCAGGAATTTATACCAAAATGAAACTTGTATCAAAAACCATAACCACCAGACTGTCTTGCTAACCCTGAACCAAAGATAGATCAGCAAATAAATATTTATTTAAGGCATGGGCTAAATGAAAGACTTTGGTTTTCTTTCTTTCTTTTTAAAATTCTAATGAATAGGTTTGAAATGGAATGACCTTTTTTCCCCTTAATCGAGAACACCACAAAGTATTCTCAGAAATGAAGTGAACAAAATTTATGATTTTTAAAATTCTAAGTCTACAATCAAATGGAGAGATCTGGGGTCACTGCCTGGGAGATGTATTTATTACCTGAGATGTTGGGCAGATGATTAAGCTTTTTATAGCTATGTCTCATTTCTTGCCTGTCTTCCCTGTCTTCCCCCTTAATTTCAGGAAGTTGATTACTGAAACTTGGGCTGACCCCTATACTCTCCTGGTGCTGTCTGTATTGGCACCCATGACCTGTGGAGTCTAGAAAGTCCTTGGAATGGGTAGGAAACCATTAACCAATCAAATCTTTGTTCTGTGCACTCCTATTAGCTCTTGAACCTTAGAAAGCAGATTAGATACTGCTCCAGCTTTCCAAAAAAGAGAGAGAGAAAAAAAAATGCCAGATTTTCCAAAGGTATTATAGATAAGCACTCTCTCTTAAGCTTAAGCTTGGGTTATTTAAAATAATTACTGTAACACCTGTACTTTCCTTTATTTTCTGTACCAGGCAGAAATAAACCCGAGGACTACTTTGCACACCGAAATTTGCAGGAAAATGAGACCCTCAATTCAGCCTGACATTTCCATTAGCACTTAAATGAATGGTAGCCTAGCAGCTCACATTAGAGACTTCTCCTCTCAACTAAATGTGACAGGAAATTACCCCTGGCACTTTGGGGGACAATTGTTCCTTCTCACCCCATTTCTATACACAAAAAGTCCCGCTGTTATCACCTATATTGATTTTAGCTCAATTTGTACTAGAGAGAAAGGTTTTCATTTTAAAGTTAAAAAAAAAATCCCAGATTAACTTAGTTAATCTTTAGCACAACCTCATGAGGGCAGTTCTATTACTTCCACTTCACACAAGAAGAAAGTAGAGGCATAATGTTTTACATTCCCTGACTATGTAGACTCTGTGATGGCCTAATTTGTTTTGTTTACTGCTGTTTTCTCAAAATCTAGAATGGTTGGCACATAATAGGCGCTCAATAAATACTTGTAGACTGACGTATGCATGCATGCATGAATGAATAAATGCACAAACAACCCAAAGGTCACATAGCCAACTGGGACCTAAACAGCTATCTAACCCCAATGCCTGTGTCCTTGGTGACCTCGGCACACAGATGATTCAGGTGGTATGCCTGCACTGTGACCTCGCTCTACCCAGAAGAGGAAGGGGCTACCTGCTCATTGTCATAACCTTTGTGAAATCACCAACCAAGGTAGGACCAGATTTAGGTCCTCCTAGGGTTGTCGTAGCTACTTGTTTGAGTTTGATATGAACAATCCGGTGAAGTGAAGAAGTAGGTAGTGTAATGAAATCTGATAGAACTCTTAACTGCCTAACATGTACCCTCTCTCTGCTCCAGTTCCATCATCTGGAAAATAGAAATAATTATATTTACCTCATGAGGGAATTGTGAGGGTTAAATTTTAAAATATAGATAAAACACCTAGCATCAATGTCTTGTACATAGTGGGCATTCAGTAATAGTTTACCTTTTCCTCCACCCATTTAACCTGAAGCTCTGTCCCCATTTTGGATAGGCAACACAATGCTCTGCTCTCTTCTTTTCAAGCATAGCGGAGAGGGAAAAAGCCTGAACAAGAAGATTCGCCCTAGGGGATAGAGGATGAAAATGTACTGAATTTGTACTCACTGTTCCTCTGCAGGTAAAACATTCCCTTGCAGATATTTCAGCGTATGTGTTAAATACTCTGAGATAATTCTGGCATTTGTGGATATGAAATAAATGCCAAATTGACTAAGGTGTTGTGGATGCTGAAACAAAGCCTAATTAAATAGTATGAAACACTGTAGGTAATGTGCAGCTGTTGTGAGGTTAGGGAAGGCAGCCTTTTCAGAATTTTTATTAAGAGAAGGAAGGATTAGAATTAAGCATTACTAAGGACTCAGATTTTACGAAAACTTGTTTTTTAAAAAATGTACATATGAAGCTTAAAGTGTCTTTTACAGAAAAAAGGAATGGCATCCAAAATGGGATTGAAATGGCTTTGAACGTTTTCCTTGAATGCAACATCAGATCCTTTTCGGGACTGAAGAGGAAGGGAGGCATTGGGAAAGAAGTGAAGTGGGGATCAGTGAGGCAGGACTTAGGAAGCTCACTGGAAGAGTGGAGGCACCTGTGTCTCTGCCTCTGGGTCTCATCTTCACCCCAGCTGAGACTTGCAGTGGAAAGTATTTTTGAAAATAAGCTTTAATTTAAAAAAAGAAAGAAGGAAGGGAAGGAGTGAGGGGGTGAGGGGGGAAGGAGTGAGGGGGTGAGGGAGGAAGGAGGGAAGGAAGGAAAGAAGGAAGGAAGGAAAGAAGGAAGGGAGGGAGGGAAGGAGGAAGGGAAATGCCTGTTAAAGCACCTGCAGCAGAGTCCTGAGAGCCGGAGCTCAGGAGCTGCCACTACTGCTTACAGTGTATTGTTCTGAGCTACCAGCATGATGAAGTCTACATTCAGAAAAAAATGTTACATCCGAAACTGGACACTCAGCCAGAACTGAAGCAAAGTTCCCTGGACTGGGAAATAAGCTCTCCCTTGTATTCTTGTTTCCTTTCCTACTGTCACCCAAAAGGTTAGCAGCATTGCTTCATTTCTGTAAAATGTCTTGAAGATTCGAACAATGGAAAGAAGGCCTTTAGTAAAATGTTTTCCTCTTAAAACAAGGGGTAATAAGGCTAGATTTAGGAATAGGAGTTTAAAGATAAAGCAAAGATGAAGTCCTATTTGTCTTCTCTCTTTCTGCCTCCTGCAGGGCCATAGTAAGTAGCCGTATGAGGACGGATGCTGGCTGTGTTTGTATCTCATTTCCATGGCTACTTCACATGTCTTCCTTTTGCCTGTCATCTTCTTTTATTCTTGTCTTTATTTATCTTTTTTCCTATTCCTGCTATTTTGATTTCCATTCCATTGAATTCTGCTCCAGTCTTCCTTTTTTCTGTCTTACTAATATGTTTATACAATAATTTCTCAGAATGACGGGTTTAGAGATACCCCTTCTTCACTCTGCCAATGTTAAATGCAAGAGATTTTTATTATAGAGTTTATTTAAAAGAATTTTTCTCTGAAAACTTTTCTTAAAAACTGGAATGCTCTTTGAGATAGTCTGATACAGATTGGGGTGTAGCAAAATGAGGGCTGTGCTTCTGAGGCAGGAGAATAGGGCATGGAGGCAGGTAACCTAAGAACTTCTTAGAACGAAATCAAACGGAAACACATCAGCTATGACGGGAAATAGCCTCTTCATTTACATAGGGCGTACACTAATAAATGACTTTGCAACTTCACTTTAGCCTCTTCATTTACATGGGACATACAACAAGTAACCAATGGAAGCCTCTAGAGGGTATTTAAGCCCCAGAAAATTCTGTAACTGGGCTCTTGAGCCCCTATGCTCAGGCCTGCTCCCACCCTGTGGAGTGTAGTTTCATTTTCAATAAATCTCTGCTTTTGTTGCCTTATTGTTTCCTTGCTTTGTTGGTGCGTTTTGTCCAATTCTTTGTTCAAAATGCCAAGAGCCTGGACACCCTCCACCGGTAACACTTCCCAGCCCTGAAGATCTTGGTAGATCCCAGACAAAGTAAAATACGTTTGCCTTTAGTTAGAATAACGTACCATAATAACTGGAGAGAAGATTGTAGTATAATTTATAGGTGACCTAACATGTTTTCTGTGTGGATGATAGCAGACTAAATTATGAACCCTGAACCTTCATAATATGATTATCAAGCTTAATAAGAATTCTAAGTGTAACTTTGAACTTGTTGACCAGCCTCTTCTGGTCCCCTCTCTCTCCTACCCTCCCCAGCCACTGGTGGCCACTGTTCTACCTTTCCTTCCATGAAATAAACTTTTTTAGATTCCACATATGAGTGAGATCATTTGATGTTTGTTTTTCTGTACCTGGCTTATTTCACTTCACATACTGTCCTCCAGGTTCATCCGTGTGCCATCCACCTATCAATGGGCATTTAGGTTATAGTTAGAAAGGAAGAGTTAGTTCTAGTGTTCTAGTACACAGAAGGGTGACTATAGCAAAGCACGATGTAGTGTATATTTCAAGTTAGCTAGAAGACATTTTTAATATTATCACCACTAAAAAATGATAAAATGCTTAGGGTGAAGAATATGGTTATTACCCTGATTTGATCATTAAACAACTTATACAGGCATTGAAACAACACACTGTACCCCATAAATATGTGAAATTATTATGTGTCAATTGAAAAATAAACATTAATTTATTAAGAAAAAATTCTAAAGGTCTTTCTATTATTCCTATCTCAGTCCTGGGTGCCTAAAATCAACTTTGAATTATTCATGCATGGTTAATCCAACACCATTCCTATTATCCAGCACTCACTTTCTTCTATAACATATTTAGGAGGCGACAATGATGCAAAATTCATAATATGGTCAATATAATATAATTACAGGTCTAATATTAATTATTTTATTGGCAGAGTAACTATTTTTAGGAATTATACCTTTTTTTTTCTTTTCTAATAACCCTATTGTCTTCTCTTTTCTACCCATCCTGACTTGTTCATTTATTCCATAAACATTAAATGCCTACAAGGCATTCAGCTATGTCCTGGGCATTAGAAACACCGTAAGTGAACAGATCAACATGGCTAGGTCATCCCAGAGCTTCACATTTACTTCTTTCTTCAAGTGGCTTGGTTTTTACTAGGCTTCAATGACTACAAAGAAAAAAAAAGTTCATTTCTTGACTTGAATATTGATACTTTCAAACATAGCAATGCTACACTCCCCAATAAATCCTTTTTGAAGACTGAAACAGTTTAGTTTGTAAGAGTATACCTTGAAATCAACAATTTATCAAGCTTTATAAAGTACCTATAGAGTGTGAACCATTGAATGTAAGATATTCTACAAATAAAACCCAGATGCAATTTTTTGAGGAATATATAGACATACAGACATTTTCACTTTTTTCTACTTTTGATTTATTTATTTATTTAAATAGAGGTATAAGCTGGGTGCGGTGGCTCAAGCCTGTAATCCAGCACTTTGGGAGGCCAAGGTGGGCTGATCTGAGGTGGGCAGATCAGGAGTTCGAGACCAGCCTGGCCAACATGGTGAAACCCTGTCTCTACTAAAAATATAAAAATTAGCTGGGGCGTGGTGGTGGGTGCCCGTAATCCCAGCTACTCAGGAGGCTGAGGCAGGAGAATCGCTTGAGCCTGGGAGGCGGAAGTTGCAGTGAGCAGAGATCGAGCCACTGCACTCCAGCCTGGGTAACAGAGCAAGACTCTTTCAAAAAAAAAAAAAAAATAGAGGTATAATTTACATATAATAATATTGGTAGATGTTAAATTTTCAGTTTAGTGAATTTTGACAAATGCATACAGTTATGGCATCTACACTTCTGTTAAGATAGATAACGCTTCCATCATCCCAGAAAGTTTCCTTTCCTCGTTCAGCCAATTATTTCCTTTCCCAATACCAGAGAACCTTATTTCTCTCACTGTGGATTAGGTTTGCTTGTTCTTGGTCTTTATATACGTGGAATCAGATAGTATGTACTTTCTGGTTTTTTTCCTTTAAATATTATTTTTGAGATTCATCCATATTATTGTGTATATCAATAGTTTGTTTCTTTTTAATTCTGAGTAGGATCCATTGTATAGCTATACCACAATTTGTTTTTCCATTCAGTTATTGATGGACATTTGGGCTGTTTCCAGGCTTTAACTACTGTAATGAAGTTTTCTTATACAAGTCTTTTTGTGGACAATTTTTTTTCCCCAATTCTCTTGGGTGAGGACCTTGAATGGGATTTCTGGGTCATAGGATAGGTTTCGATTTAACTTTATAAGAAACTACCAAAACATTCTTCAAAACAGTAGTTATATTCCCATTAGCAACATTTGAGAATTCTAGTTGTTCTGCATTCTCACCAATATTTTGTATGCTAGCCTTTTTATATTAAATTTTATTTTTAATTGACAAGTAATTATCATATATATTTACGGTGTATGACCTGGTATTTTGATATGCAGCATTTTTACCTTGTGGAATAATTAAATCAAGCTGATTAACAAATTCATCACCTCACATACTTAGCATTTTTGTGGTAAAAACATTAAAACTCTGTTCTTTTAGCAATTTTGAAATATAAAACACATTATTATAATCAACATTGTGTGCAATAAGTGACTAAAGCTTATTCCTCTGGGCTAATGGAAACTTTGTACCCTTTGATCAACATCTCCCCTTTCCCTGTCCACTAACATCCCCAGCCCCTGGTGACCACCATTCTACTCTCAGCTTCTATGAGTTCAACTTTTTTAGATTCCACATAAGAGTGAGATCATGTGGTATTTGTCTTTCTGTGCCTGGCTTATTTACTTAGCACAATGTCCTCCAGGTTCATCCATGTTGCCTCAAATGACAGAATTTCCTTCTTTTTTGAGGTTGCATAGTATTCCATTGTGCATATACACCACCTTTCAAAAATCCATTTATCTGATGATGGATACCTAGGTTGCTTCCATATTTTAGGTATTGCAAATAATACTCCAATGAATATGGGAGTGCAGATACCTCTTTAACACACTGATTTCAATTCCTTTGGATATATGCCCAAAAGCAGAATGCTGAATCATATGGTAATTCTATTTTATGTTTTCTGAGGAACCTCCATACTGTTTTCCATAATGGCTATATTAATTCCTACCACCAGTTATGCCAGTCTTTTTTATTCTATTTATTGTGAGTGGATGTGACAAGGTGTCCCATTATAGTTTGTACTTTGTATTTATTTAATGATTAATGATTTTGAGCACCTTTTCATGTTTTTATTCCCTATTTGCATATCTTCTTTTGTGTAGTATCTGGTCAAACTTTTGTCTTTTAAAAATGGATTTATGGGCTGGGTATGGTGGCCATGCCTGTAATCCCAACACTTTGGGAGGTCCAAGTGGGAGGATCTCTTAGAGCCAGGAATTTGAGACAAGCTTGAGCAATCAAGAGTCTGTATATACCTAAATAAATAAATAAATAACCGGTCATGTACCTGTAGTCCCAGCTATTTGGGAGGCTAAGGTGGGAGAATCACTTGAGCCCAGGAGTTTGAGGCTGCAGTGAGCTATGATGGCACCACTGCATTCCTGCGTGGGTGACAGAGAGAGCCTGTCTTCTGAAAAAGAAGAAGAACAGAAAAACAAACAAAAAATCCCAATGGATTTATATATCTTTTTATTGACTTTATGAATACTTTATATATTATAGACACAAACTCTAAATTAGAAATATTTATGTGAATAGTCTCTCCCAGTCTATGTCTATGGCTTTTTCTTCTGTGAGTAAAGTATAGGAGAAGTTGCTGCAAAGACTGAGAGAAGCATTGATTTAGCTGGGAGTTTGAGGATCATGGATGGCTGTGGAAGTCTGCAAGAGATGAGGGAGGGTAAGGACTATAGATCAGAAATTAAGGGCAGTGATTTCTAAGGTGACCCTTCGGTTCACTGGCCAGACATCTGCAATGGCTCCCTATCAGAGAAGGAGGGAGAATGGGTTAGTGTAGAGTTGCGTATTGAAAAGGGGGACAAAGTAATAGGACAGGTGGTGGAATCTCAGATGTCAGAAAGACTACGACAGAAATGGCAGACGTAAGTCTATCCTGAGAAGGAAGGAATTCAGGGTCAGAGGACGGCTGATGGAATGGAAGAATATGGAGCTCTTGAAAACAAATGTGTTAAATGGTGGTAGAATTGTCTGATTATGGGCAATGATATGACTGAAACACCATTTCTTTTTCTATAGGAATTTTTATGCAGGTATGGCCGACCTAGACCTAGTCTAAGGTTGTGGACATTTTAACTATCAGAAGAAGGATTAGAAATCGATTTTTGGAGCCATACCAGAGAAGTTGTTCTAGAGTCCTATGAACTCCAAGTTTCTCTATACCCTCTCATACATAGGTCCAGCAATTTTACAAAATTTAATCAACTGTGCTGTCTTAAAAGTAATTACTTCCTACTGATAAGCTAGTTCCTCTCCTTTGGAAAAATGCTTTCTCAGTGGTAACTGTTTTACATTTGGCATGGCTTGCGTATTACATTTACTTTCGCCTAGAAGCACAGCTCTAGATATCTTGTAGAAGATGAGATACCAAAAAATAGAGGAAGAAAGGGAGAGAGAAAGCAAGACATCTGGCATCCCGAAGGGCTCTGGAGGAACAACATATCCCATATGAGCTACCAGAATATTGAGAAGGCTCATTTCTGAACTTTGGTCTCTCTCATATTCCTCATGTCTTCATGTCTTAACTAAAATTTGACAGTAGTCACTGAGCAAATTTCACCATTTGAAATTTGATGCAGATTCTAATTTTCCCTCAGGTTTGCTGTAAATACACCCAATATTCTGCCAAAACACAGTCTCTTGTGGAGATAAATTTAATAAGAAGAAAGAGAAAGGAGGAAATTGAACTTACTCTAGCTTTGGCTTGATTTGCAGTAGACCTCTGAGTCTAATCATTCTTTAATACTAGTTGACTAAGTCAATTCACTACAAAAAGTTAATAATATAATACTTCTGAATCAGTGTTTGACATAATAACTATAACCCAATTGATTACTTGGTTAAATATTTTCACACCTCAGTCAATGGCTATTGCCACATTTTCCATCCTATTTTCTGCTTGGCCTAGGACAAGTGGCTTGTCAGTTGTATCTAATTTTAGACTTTTAGAATCCTTCTGGAGTGTATTATTATCATCTATTATTATCTATCTATTTTCTATTATTATCCTCTAGAGTCTATTATTATCCCTCCAGCTTCAATTATTCTTCTTTTAAATTGTTTCAGGCCAATGGGCAAGTCTCCTAATCTCCGGGGAAGGGCATGTTCTTGTGACCTAATTCAGGACTCAGTAAATTGTACTGTTCAATTTAATGACGTTGTAGGGGAATGCATGGTATAAAAAGCACTGCCCTCAAGGCTGTAAGCATCTAGTTGGGACAAGACATGTGTGTGAAAAAACAGCTAACACAGTAGGTTATTAAGTGCCTAATATAAGTACTTGACAATATGTGCTGTAAGAATTCAGAAGCAGGAGAAATCAGTGTAGTCTGGAACACTCAAGAAAAATTTTGTGAAGGGTTAGAGACTGGAGGATAAATATGATACCAAGAAGAAGATAAAAGTGGGGAGGGCAGGCCAGGTTGAAGGCACGGTACAAGTGAGGCATTGAGGTGGAAAGGCTCATGGGTACTTGGGAAATGATGGTTAGTAGAGAATGGTTAGAGAGCAAGTTTCAGTTCAGAAATGGGAGATAAGTTTGGAAATCTGGGGTGGAATAAACAGTGGCAAATCTTGAATATAACTAACTGATCCAAGGAACTTGGAATTTGTTGTGTGGGATGTAGGAGGCTATGTTTAAGCAGGAGAGAAACATGATAAATTTAAACCTACTTTCTATTTGGTTCTCTATAGAAAAAGGATTGTTAGCTTCTGTCTTCCATATATTAAAATTTTAATGTACTAGATGCTAATTATTAAATTATGTTCTTCTCTTCCTGGAACTAGATGCATCTGTGAACCCATCTCCCATTCTTTTAAAGGTATTCACCTGAACTTTTCCAGATATTTTAACCACAATTCAGTTCCTTGAAAAAACACTATAGCCTTTGTTTTTCTGTCAGAGAATTTCAGGTAAGAGCATCTGACTCAACTGTCAGTGATTAAGATGGCTCAACAAGTCAGTGTCTGTGAAGCATGAACATGGACTCCTAATGCTCCACATTTAGTTTTCCTTTATTATTTTCCTATAGAAAACATTTTTAGATTTAACAAACTTTATCAGAACATGACAAGTCAGTTTTCTTTTGGCGCTGTAAAATGTCTTTCAGAGAGATGATACTAGTAAAACTCAGATGGCCCTATTGAGAACTGCTTGTGTCTCAGAAGCAGTTGAAAATTGTCTGACAGTGAGTTTTGATAGAAAGAAGCAGGGCAGTGCAAACAACTATATACACTCTTTGGGACCTGCTATTTTTCTGAGTGACTTCACATTGGGAGTCCTAGAGATAAGCAACCACTTGGTCTCTGCTGAAGAAAGATTCCCTTTCATTTTGACCAACCCTATACAAACCAGGTCACTGCATGTTGTATTCATGGCTTCACAAAGCCCTGCTTTCATTCTGATTGGAGGCTGATCTCTATTCAGGACCTTTGCTGTTGATGGCCACCAAATAAAAGGAAAGGGATCTGATGTTGGCCAGGCCAGGATGGGCAGAACTGTGAAGTGGAAGTTTCTTAGTCCCAAAATGGGGCATTCATCTGGCCCAGGCAGTGCCACTTGCTCGCTTGTTTCCTAGTTTCCCCTAGCTTTAGATCCCTGAAAAATGTTAATCTTACTGTGTTAGTCAGGGCGTGACCCACTTGTGTAATCTTGTGGGATTAAATCTCCGGGATTTAAAGTACTATGCTATGTAACGGAGGCAGTATATTTGAATAGTTGGCCTTTTCTTGAAGGAAAAATTGTGTTATGCAAGGAGCCACCTTTTTGCATGTATAATTTGTTTGTCTCTAGAATTTTAGAGTCGACTGGGATTTTACAGATTATTTAATTCAGTTATCCCATTTTACAAATGAGGAAATTAAGGTTCAGAGATACCAACCAATATGGTGGTTTGCCCTGAGCTAAGTAAGAGGTTTCCTGGGATGCAGCACTTTCAGTGCTACAACTGGGAAAGTCCCAGGCAACTGGGAATAAGTTGGTCACCCCAGCAACCAATTACCTAACTCAAAGTTTCACAGCCGTTACTGACACATTGCAAACTAAAACACATGCTGACTTCTAGCACAAAGCCTTTCTTAGGACAACATGATACAATCAAAATAGTTTCTCATTCATGAGCCACATATTAAGACTTTGGAATACTATAATGGTCAGGTCGACTTTATGTTCTAGATATTTATGAAAGTTTTCTCTGACTTCTGATTTAGGCCATCTTATCCCTAAGAACTCAGCATTAGTACATACATTTTTAATCTAATTTAGATTTAATAAGGATAGCAGGCTATTTCTGTCTTTATTGAATGGAGAAAAAAAATCAATGCAGTGTATTAAGGATAGCCAAAGAGAGTATTTGTTTTGGATATTAGTTTAGGACCATAGTTACTAGATCTCAAACATAAGAGGCTTCAGTTAAAGGCAAGAGACAATGGATAGGAATTCTGTATTAATAAAAATTGGGAAGCAGTGAAGTCAATTGATACACATAGCTTTCAAATTGCATCATTACAGGTACAACCTGGGCAAAACTTTGTGACTCCTTGTGAAAAGGGTGAAATGCTTAAAAACCCAGGTTGATAAAAATTGCTGAACTTATCCTAAGACAAACCTTCTTTTATCTACTTCTTAAATATTGGTGATTCACTGGATTCCTCTTGATCATGGTTTTCTTCATATGCTACATGCTGTTTGGGGGGCAAACTTGACCATGAGTTCAACTGTTTATGACAGAGTCAGGCAATGTGCTGCCTGCCTGCCACTGTACCTCTGGCTTAGGCCCATGGCATGTATTGCTGATTTGTCCTGGTACTCATTCCTGCCCATCCTTGACTTGGCCGCACAGTCCTTCTGAACATGTGTCTTCAATATGACACTACAAACTGATCCAAATTGGCATGAAAGACTAACTCTATCCTTGGATCTGCCATTAATTAATCTTAGACCCAGATAAAACCCAAATTTAGGTATTTAATCCAGGCCTCCTCCAAGCTGCCTATCTGAATGTCTAAAGCCCATGTGCCATCTCTACCTGGATGACTTAGGGATAACTCTGTTTCAACATGTTCAAATGTGAACTCATCTTTACCCTCCAGGTCTGCTTTTCTTCTGTTTTCCTTACTCCTGCCATTCAATTAGTCACCAAAGCCTATATTTTATTCACTATAAACACCTCTTGAATCCTTCTCATGCCTTCTATCCCTGCTGCCACTGCTTTATTTGGGCTCTTGCAAAGCCTGCTTGCTGGTATCTCTAACTTGATTCTCCTCTCTTCCTTCCTCATATCTACAAGAGGGATTGCTCCCAAAACCACAGATCTGACCATGGCCATTCCTTTCCTCAGAAATCCCTAGAATGGCTCCCCGTGGCCTTCAGAATGAATATAGTTCAGGCCTCATAATTCAGCTTATAAGATCCTGATTGTTCCTCTGTGCCTGTTTTTACAGAAGTGCTGACTTCTTCCCTGTTTTAATATTTGCTGAAGATTTGACTCATTTATTTGTCTTTTAAAAAGACAACATTGGTTTGTTTTATTAATCAAAGCTTTATTAATCTTTCAGTTTTCTATTTTATAGTTATCTTCTTTTATTCTTATTTGTATTTATTTTCCTTTATTAATCTTCTTAGTTGAAATGTAACTGCCTGAGGGGTTTTTCCTGCCCGCTGCACAAAGACAGACCATGGCATTGTAGTAGAGAAATAGTTTAATAGACATGAGGCCAGCCACACCATGTGGGAGATGGAGTTAGTACTCAAATCATTCTCCTCCATAGCCTTTAGGTTAAAAGTATTTCAAAGGCATTTTGGGGGAAAGGGTGAGAGTGGCTAGGCTTGCAGCTGATTAGTTGAGGCAGAGATGAATTCATAGGGGGTCGAATCTGTCCTTCTGCTTGCTGAGTCACGTCTGGGTGGGGCCACGGGAGCAGGCTTGGGGGATCCCAAGTGGAGTCATGGGTGTCAGACATGCAAAGAAACTTGAAAAGATATCTCAAAAGGCCAATGTCAAGTAGTGGTGTTATTTGTAGGAGTAAATGGGGAAGTTGCATGTCTTAAAACCTCTGGAATACCGCCTAACAATCGTTCATGTCTGGGCCTTAGCGGGATTCAGGCTCCTCTCCTTCCCCAAGCCTGTTGGCTTTCCATGAGCTTTACAAAAGCATTTAGCTCCGCTCTCTTTCACTGTCATACTTTTCTCACTGATAATGATTTTTGCAAAGGTGGTTTCACAAATACTTAGTTTTCAATTTTATTATTCTCTTATATATGTTTTTAGGAATGGATTTTCTTCTGTGTATTGCTGACACGAACAGGAGACGGAAATACTGAGTAGAAGAGGGCGGTTCCCTGGCTAAGGCCCCACCCTCAAGCCTGGATACCCGCGGCCCTAAATGAGAAGAGGCGTTTCTGTTTGGGGCCCAAAAAGTTGCTTTTTGACCCACCACGCCCCCTATCCTGCCCCCATATAAACCCCAAACCCCAACCTCCAGAGCATACCAGCAGGTGAGGAGATACGAGGCAAGCCGACTGACGGCAAAACGACGTAGCAGAGAAAGAGAGAAGAGGAGGGACGTCTGGACACCGAGAGATGTTTGGCTCGGGGCAGTCAGAGCGGAGTCCAGCCCCTGGGCGGCCCAACTCCAGGGGAAGATCACCTTCCCACTTCATCCATCCCCACCCTTCCAGCTCCCCATCCATCCTGCTGAAAGCCATTTCCACCACTCAATAAAACCTCGCATTCATCCTTCAAGTCCGTGTGTGACCCGATTTTTCCTGGATTCTGGAAAAGAGCTCGGAATACAGAAAGCTGTCCCCTGGTCCTTTGCCCTTGTGAAAAAGCAGAAGGTCCATTGAGCTGGTTAACACTCCAGCTGTCTGTGGTGGCCAAGCTGAAAGAGCTTTGTAACACTGGGGTTGCAGGCACCCACCTCTAGACGCTACCGCAGAGCCAGAGCCCAAAGCCCTCACCCCGGCCTCTGCACTTGCCCATCTGCGTGCTCCCCCTCTCGCAAGGGGTTTCTGCAGAGGGGGCTACTGAACAGGTGAGCCACACCCCTGTCGCACGCCCTGCAAGGGGAATCAGGGAACTCTTCCGTTTCATTGCTTTGACCACATCCTATAAATCTTGTTCTCCTTGTCTTTCAGCTCCAATTTGTTTATACATTCAGTTTTTACTTTTGACTTTACTCATGATTTATTATAGAAAGATGTTTAACAATTTTCAAGCAAATGGAATAATTTTTGCTCCTCTTTCGTTGTTAATTTATTATTCATTGGAGTTAGAAAATTGTTGCTAAAATAAATTCTGCATTTTGAAATTTATCAAGAGCGTGTGTGTGAATGTATGTGTTTGGGTATGCATAGGTATGTGGTCAATTTTTGTAAATATTCTATGGATCTTAAGAATGTATATTCTCTTACTGTGGAGTATACTGTTCTCTTAATGTGTATTAGGTAATATATATATACACATATATATACATATATACATATATATACACATATATATACATATATACACACACATATATATATATAAAATCTTTTAGAAAAGTTTTCTTTTTTTTAATGGTACCTTTTCTGAGTAAGGACACACTCCTCAAATCTTTACCTTGTTCTTATCTTTTAGTGAGAGTTTGGCTAGGTATAGAATTCTAGATTCAAAATGGCCTTTCCCCAGTATTGTAATGATATTGTCCCTTTATTTTCTAGCAACTGTCTTTGCAGATAAGAAGTTCAATGTTAATCTGATTCTGTTTCCTATTGGTATACCCTTTGTTTCTATGAAGTGTTTTAGGATAGTCTGTTTATTGTTTGTTTCCAAAATTTCATCAAGATAAGCCTAGTGGGTTTTGTTTTTGTTTTTAATTTGAGGTTTTTCATCTGAAGGATGAGGATATTTTACTCTATTATTATTTTTATTTCTTCCCCTTCATCCCCTCTCTTCTGTTTTTTAGAATGCCTAATAAATGGATGAATATTCTTCTGGGTCTCTTCCTCATGTTCTTTAGGTTTTCCCCCTGTATTTTTCACCTCTTTGTCCTTCTGGACTACATAGTAGGAGAATCACTTGGCTCTATTTTCTGCCTATTTGACTGTTTAGCTGTGTACATTTTTCTGTTTGAGCCGCCAATAGATGGTGATCATATTTTTTACTTTGGAGATCTCCCTTGTCACTTTTTCACTACAATATATTATTTTCTTTTGAACACAGTATCTCTTCAAACCAATCTGAGGAAATTATTCTTATTTTGAAGTTTTATTTAATTTCTTGTGTTTATATTCCTTTGTAGTTTTCTTTCATTTGCTTGGATTTTGTTATTTCCCCAGGGGTTAATTTTTCTGCTTGTTGAGTTTAGAACTTTGTTGTGGTTATTGTTATTATAGTTGATATATTTATGGTTGATTTTCCACAAATATTTAGATATTCTGGTTATCTGTTCTTAGCTATAGATGTGAATCCTAGCCTGAATGAAAATCACTGCTCTTAGGCTGGGTGTGGTGGCTCATGCCTGTAATCCCAGCACTTTGGGAGGTCGAGGCAGGTGGATCACCTGAGGACAGGAGTTCAAGATCAGCCTGGCCAACATGGGGAAAACCCGTCTCTACTAAAAAGACAAAAAATGAGCCAAGCATGGTGGCGTGCACCTGTAATCCCAGCTACTCGGGAGGCTGAGGCAGGAGAATCACTTGAACCCGGGAGGTGGAGATTGGAGTGAGCCAAGATCGCGCCATTGCACTCCAGCCTGGGTGACAGAGCAAGACTCTGTCTCAAAAATTTAAAAAAATTCACTGTTCATGTGACACAGAAACAGGTTCTGATTACAGGAGCCCTGGGAGCTTATGTAGGGAAAGTATGAATGAGATCACAAATGCCAAGAGCTCCAGTCCCTCACAGTAACCATAGGTTGTAGTACTGCTCTGCTTCTCCAGCCTCAGCTACTCTGGAATTCTCTATGCCCCAACTTTCACTTTAGAGAAGTGTTCTCATGGCTTGAATCTGGAGTCGTAGCTCTAAGAAGTAACCACTGTCTTCATGACATCAGGGACATGAGTGGACACTGATGTAAATGTTTTGAAATCCTTTAATTAGTCAGCTTACTAACGGTCTTCATCCTGCTCTTTCCCCTAGTTCCCACTGGTTCTGCTCTTTGGATTATTTGGGGGCACAGTTGGGAAAACACACTCTGTTTGACCTTCTGTTTCTTCTATATGAGATCGTGGCTTCCTCAGCTTTCTTAGTTTCCACTTTCAATCTAGTCTGAATGACTCCATATCCTCTAGAAATTTGATCGGTGGCATCACTTTCGAATTTCCCACTCTATTACGGATTCACTTTTTATGTGTATGTATATGTGGCTTTCTGTCATCTTAATGGGATTTCTTTCCCCCACAGTAAACTTTTGTATTCAGTTAGCCAATGTGAACCGGAAAGCCAATTCTTTGTTTAGGACTTCAATATATAACCAGGACTTTTCCTTTTTATTGTTCCCTCTGTTGAAGGATTTAGAACAGATGTCTCAAATCAGGTCAGAAGTATTCTGAGCTATGCCCCAAACATGCTGTTTTTTGCTTCATGATTAGAGTCTCTTGCTGAGGCACATGTCAGATATCTTCTACTTCAGGGTAAGAACTTGGGGACCACGTTTATCTCAAAGGCTCAAACTTTGAGCATGTTTCTCAAAATCCACTTTGCATTTATCTCAGGAAGTATCAGAACCTTTATACAACAAGAACTCCTGGTTATCTTTTCATCCCAGAGTCTCCAAGGATATACAGATTAGGTCCCCTCAAATTCACTCATGGTTGTGTAACATTTCTCACCTTATCTAGACTTTTACACTGGTATTTCATTTGAGCCTCTTGATAATTTTCTTGTAGTTATAGAATATTATCCTCATTTGGCACATGAGGAAATTGATTCAGACAGGTTCTTTGCCAAATTATACAAATACAAAATGGAAAAGCCAGTTCATAAGCCCCAAAATTCTTTTTCTAAGTACCGTGTTTTGCTTCTATACCTCCTGTGGACTGCGGTATAGAAAGAAAGCTGAGGTGAGATCAATGTCCTTAGACCAAGATTGGTTTTAAATCTAGATATGTATCCTTGAGGCTAGACAGTAATTGAACTAGACTCTAGGAATTTGATTCAATATTTACTGAGAAGAGTATGTCTGCCGATGACAGATTAAGTTTTTATATTATTTTAAAAAGTCATAGAATTAGCTACTCATTAAAGAAGCTCCCCTGAGAAAAACATAGGAATTTCATGAATTATTTCTTTAAGATGCTTGGTGACCTGTATTAACTCCATTTTTCTGTCCAGGTTCACTTTAGTGTATGTATCAGTTATTTATTGCTGTTTAACAGGCCCCTTCCATGCCCCAAGCTTAGTAGTTTAACACAGCTGCCATTTATTATTGCTCCCAAATTTACCAGTCAGCTGGGTAGTTCTGCTGATCCATCCAGGCTTAGCTAATCTCTGCTGGGCTCACTCATGTGTCTGTGGTCAGCTTGAGGATTGACTGGAGGCTAGCTGTTGTATTCATGTGTTTGGTCATTGGCTGGCTTGCTACTGGCCAGGATGATGCCTCTTATCCAGCAGGACAACCCAGCTTTATTCATGTGGTGGCGTCCAAGCTGCAAGAGAGCAAGTGGAAGCAAGCCTTTTGAGCTCTAAGATTAGAAGTGGTACAATGTCACTTCTGCATTTCATTGGTCGAAATAATTCATAAAGCCAGTCCAGGTACAAAGAGTAGTGAGGGAGTTGCAAAGTCATATTGAAAGGGTCATGCATACAGAAAGAAGAATTGCCATCTTTTTTGCAAACAATCTATCATACCTGGCCTTTGTACATATGCCTCAGTTGCTATGAGTGTTGACTGCCAAAGGGTCACAGATGCCTCTGGCTATGAACTGACTTGTGTCACCTCAAAGTTCGTATGGTGAATCCCTAATCCCCAAAGTTACCATATCTGGATATAGAGTTTTCAGGAGGTAATTAAGGTTAAATGAGATCATAGAGGTCGGGTCCTAACTCAATAAGGCTGTGACTTTATACTGCGAGAAAGAGAATTTTTTTTCTTTCTCTCTCTGCCATGTGAGGATACAGCAAGAAGGCAGCAACCTGCAAGCCAGGAATCGGGCCCTCATAAGAAACCACCTGTGCTGGACCTTGATCTGAGACTTCTATTCTCAGAACCATGAGGAAATAGAGCCACCCAGTCTGTGCTATTTTGCTATGGCAGCCCAAGCTAACAAACACACCTCTCCACTTTTGAAGAATTACCCTGTGCTGAAGGGGACTGCCTTGCCCTAGAGATTATGCCCTCATCTTTCATGTGGGAGGAAGGAGGTGCAGCTCACAGCAAATGGCTCATGGATGTGGGAGTATAAAAGGCTGATCCTCAATAGGCAACAACGCTGTATGATTTAAGCCCCAGAGCCTTCCTATGGATCAAGGCAAGGCTAGGTTTTGTCTGAGACCACATCCTTGCTCTTTTATCCCTCTCTAGTCTTACTTTCGTCTCCCCTTTACAGGTTTTTCCTGATGAGGACTCTCTCAGTAATTCATAGGCACCCAATTCCCTGACTCAGGACCTATTTCAAGGGATCCCTACCAAGACAGATGTTTTATGATCATAGGATATTAAAAGACAGCACTTGTCATTAGTACATATTTATAAGCAGAGTTGCATATTTTAGCTTAGTTGCAGTCTCTGTGAAATTTCAAAATGCTATTTTACACTTTGATAAAAATAACAATGGTTATTAACATTTGCTGAGTGCTTACTAGGCTCTCTGCTGAGTATATAACATATGATCTCATTTAATCTTCACCATGACCATATGAGACAGCTACTCTCAGTTTTTATACTTTTAGTGTTTTCTAAATCATTTTGTATCTGGGATTTTGGTCTAGATTCTTTGCTGTAGCAACAAAAGACTTCTGGGCCTGCATAAAAATAGACTTTGGCACATGACATTCAGGAAACACCTGATAAGTGTCACAGACAAGACAAGTTGGCCTTTCTTCAACTTGAAAAATCAGGACTCTCTGGATTCATTATTGAACAGTGTTGAACAGAATGGTCTATGGAACATTCCTGTTCAAAACCCTAAATCTTTTCGGTGAAGTTAGCTGGTAATTGTGGTGTGCTACTTTGGTGTTTCAAAGTGCTTTGCTAAATAACACATTTGTGGGTCTAGGCATGTCCATATTAGTTTTTAAAAAGTTTTACCCTTTCAAGTTTTCACTAAGTAAGGTTCATTCATACAACAAACATGTCTTAAGTTTTCATCACTGCTTGTTAAGTAATTCTCTCAATCTCTCTCTCTTTCTATATATATATATATATGTGTGTGTGTGTATATGTGTGTGTGTGTGTGTGTGTGTGTGTGTGTTGTGGGCATCACAGGAAGATAAAAAATGAGTCGATATCAACTGTTGAAGTCAGTGAATCCCTAATTTCAGCAGCTGCAGCAGGAAATAGGAAATCTTATAAAGGGAGGGTCAAGGAACAGGCATCAATTCTTTGTTAGTTGCGTGGCAATGCTTTGTCTTTTTCAGTTTAGTGGAAATGGCCTCTGGCTCCAAGGGAAAATCCAGAAAGGAAGACCAGATAATACTGTGTTTGGCATGGTCCTAAGCCAGAAACCAAGGCTTAAAGGACTCTCCTCAATGTTACACAGCTAGGAAGTGGTGCAATCAGAAATTGAACATGGGTGCACCACTGCCAGCTGAAATAGCAGGAAATGAAAGAGTAAGCAACATGATGGATGTAAAGGGTGCTTCCTGGAGAGCAGCTCATATGGTGCAAAGTTTCTTCTACAATGAAAGCAAACTCCAACAGGTGGCATTCCATGTAGCTTTCATGATTCCACCTACCTGAACTAGATCCCTGTAAGTTTATTAAGGGGATTGTAGCTAGACTTATAAAATTAAATCAGTTACCCAGAAGTAGAACAGCCATTTGAAGAGAAGGAGAGCTTGAGAGACAGATGGAATGATGAATGTGTCTCTGAGTCTGGTTAGTTTGAAATGTCTGCTAAAACTGATGAGAAAATGCTAAGAGGCTTAAACTTTGGAGTTTTGTAAAGACAGGTTTCTCTGGAAAGTAAATAATAAAGACATAATTCTTTCAGTGAAAGAAACAGAGCCTAATTTAACGGGAGATTGGGTACCTTGTTCTGCAAGGAACCAGAGATTGAAGGCTGCCACTGGGCATTCTATGAATTCCCATGGAGTGGGGGTACTCACTGGCATTGAGCCCATGAGTGGCCCACCTGTTTGCACACCACATAGGAAGGATCCACATGGATAGCTTAAGTTCCCCAAAACCATTTGTTTTATCTAAAAGAAACACAGTCATCCCAGAGGCTTATGGATGTGCAGTTTAGTCTCACTTTTAAAGGATTTTTATGTATCCTTGTGTCTTTAAAGGCAAAACTAGCAAGTGCTTTTTACATCTGTCCAAGCTAATCTTTCCCTGCTTTAAGCAGGCAGACAGGAAATGCAGTTTGCCTCTATTACCTAACATGCACGAGGTATATAATACAGAGAAATAAGAAAAAAAAAAAGTGAGAGCATAAGGTAAACGGATTGGATGAGATCAAAAAAGGAAAATAGGAGCCTGGTGAGCAATCCTTGGCAGGGTGCCCAGAGCAGCTTCAGGAGAGGGACAGAGCCCAGCAAGAGCATTTCCTGCTTTGGGTTAAAAAAATAAATTCAACTATCCTCTATGAGGTGGTCTATTTATCCTGTGCAGCATTAGGTCATTAATTTGAAAATTACAGGTAGTAATAAAAGCAGCAGTTATTTTTTTAACACCTAGATGAATGGGCCTCTCCCTGCTTCACCCACTGCACACCTGGGTTATATTAATATTATCTGGTGTGTGGGTAGTTTCCCAGAAAATTTCAGCTTGCGTGAAAGCTTGAACAGCCTTGTTGCTTCTCTAAAACTTCTTATGTTTTCTATATCCTACTATTTCCCTCAGACCATAATCTTCAACAGAAACTAAAGGATAATCACCATATAGGCTAAGAAGAAGCATTTTTTTCATAATCATAATAATTGCTGGAATTAACAAAATCCTAAATTGTCTTCTGTCATTGCATACCCGAGTGGCTTCATGTTTTGCCTGCCTTTCAGTAGTCATCAGTTTCCCTCATCCACAGGACTTTGGAAGCTTCCTAAGTACGGCTTGCTATCATTCCACCTGGCCTTTCTTCAGGAAGTGGATGAGTCTGGCTTTCTCTTTTCACATTGCCTTGGACTTAGGGGAATTTGCCTTAGATGTCTAGCTATGTGACTATAAACTGTTTCCCATGTCAGAGCTTCCTGATGCTTATACAACATATCAGACCACAGTCTTTGAACTCTGGGCAGGTGTATGGTTTTACAGTGCAATATTTTAAGAGAATTTGTTTTAATCTTCTAGCTAAGCCTCTTTATACAAACAGGGCTGCCAAGAGCACAAATGCAATTCACTTACAAGTTGTTTGTCTAGTTAACAGTAAGTACGCAAATCAGTTTCCTGTTCACACAAAGGATTTTCTTGTGTTTGAAATCTTTGACCAACAGTACGTTGGCTTGGATTTTTACGGAGAATTCACAATGTTAATTATCTATAGTGCTCTGTGCACCAGGATGTGAGGTGACTTAGTAAGCCGCTGGTTAGTACCAAACAAGTATATTGCCTGAGTTTTTGAAAAGGACCTTTGTGTGCATAGTGGGGAGGCACCACAAAGGGCCCACATGGAAACAGAGGTTCAGCATGCAGTGAAAGGTATCAGGAAGTTGGAAGACAGCACAGAGGAAGGGAAAAGGAAAGCTTTATTGTAAGGATAAAACTAAGACAAGAGATTACAAATCATTAATTTTTTCTCAGGGTTTTTGTTCAAGGTTTTCCTCTTATGCTTCTTTTCTTGCATGTGTTTCTTCAAGAAAAATGAAGGCATTCGCATCAATAAGCATTTTCAAAGAGACTCTTGACTTTCAAAGAGAGTCTTGAGTCTTAATGCAATAGGACTGCATTATCATTAAAAGACAAGTTGTATGCAGCATCAGTAACAGAAGCCCAGCATCCAGAGCCATATGGGAGCATTGCTAATATGTACAGTACAACACAGAGATACTTAACTGTAGGAGCATAACCTCCCCCCACCCATGTATGCATTTATGTACTTTATTCTCATTGCCAAGCTCTTTAAATTTTTTCTCTTCACTTATTTACCTAAGGCTGTTTCCCTTCAGCCCAGAGAAGTTAGACATAACTTGCACATTGCCCTGGGGAAAGAAAGATGCTATGCAACTGGAATAACAAAGTTAGCATAGTCTTGATTCTTAAGTTCAAAACTGCTGGTTTAGAAGGAAGACAGAAAAAAATCAGAAGCATCCCTTATAGAACTAGTATCTCTCATGGTCAAATCTGGGAAATGGGAATATGATGGAACCCTTTCTGTGTGTGCATTTTGGAAAATAGAGTGAAACTTATAACCATGGTTTGAACTAGGCAATAGCAATTCTCAGGGAAATGATCCTTTCTCTCATGCCACCCTGATATGGCAGCTGACAGGTATAGATGAGAACTGGTGACACAGTGGATCCAGGCAGGAGAGGGCCAGAAAGAGTCTCCTCAGTTTTATGTGCTCTTGAAGTCGTGGGCAAAGGCATGTGAAAAGTTCCCCAATCCCCTAGAGCAGGTCACTGATCCAAGCTGAGGAGAACCACTGTGCTACATAGGTCTTGTTGTGGCAGGAATGAGATGTTGCATTGTTAGCAGGGGGTTGAAGCTACTTGCTAGCAGATGGATGCCAGGATGCTACGTGGGAGCCAGGCCAAGGTCTGCAGCTCCTCCAGCCACTGTGGGAATAAGCAGCACACTTTGTCTCTGCCCAGGACCAGACAGGATGAGTCACACCTGGAGCAGGAGGCCAGCATGGGCCTGACACAGATATGGACATCTGCTGCCCACTGCTGCAGGGGTGCCATCTGCTTACATTCTTTCACAGCTTAATAGTGTCAACCCCAGGAGGAGGATACATAAAAACAATTCGTAACAGGCTGAGTTTTTTTTTCTACTAAATTTTATATTTGAGATAATTGTCGATTCACTTGCAGTAAGAAATAATACAGAGAGATCCAGGTACCATTTACCCAGTATTCCCTAGTGGTAACAGTTTACAAAACAATGTAAACCACAGCCAGGATATTGTCAAGGTGTAGAACATTTCCATCAACAGAAGGAACTTCATGTTGCCCTTTTTTTTTTTTTTCAGATGGAATCTTGCTCTCTTGCTCAGACTGGAGTGCAGTGGCATGACCTTGGCTCACTGCAACCTCACCTCTCGGGTTCAAGCGATTCTGCCTCAGCCTCTCGAGTAGCTGGGACTACAGGTATGTGCCACCAAGTCCAGCTAACTTTTGTATTTTTAGTACAGACAGGGTTTCACCATATTGGCCAGGCCGGTCTCGAACTCCTGACCTCATGACCCACCTGCCTCAGCCTCTCAAAGTGCTGGGATTACAGGCATGAGCCACCGCGCCTGGCCCATGTTGCCCTTTTATAAACATACCTGCTTCCCTCTCCAGCACTTACAGCTGGCAACCCCTAATCTGTCCTCTATTTCTATAATTTTGCTTTTCTGAGAAAGTCTTTATTTCTTCTTCACTTTTGAAGAATAACTTTGCTGATATAAAATCCTAGGTTGGTGATTTCCCTTGTTCCTCTATAGGTAAGGTATCTTTTCCTCCTGTGTCCTTATTCAAGACTTTCTCTTTGTCTCTGCTTTTTTTTCACTTCAATATAATATGCATGAATATGTATGGGTTATTTATTGATTTTTTAATTTATTATTCTGCTTGGAATACTCTGAGCTTCTTGGATGTGTGACTTGATAACTACATTCACTTTGGAAAGTTCTCCACATTACTTCAAATATTTTCAGAGTTTCTAGCTATTCTAGTACCTTTGCCTTCACATATAGATTTTAGAATGATCTTTTAAATAGGGGAAAAAAATGGCTGGGATTTGACTGGAATTGTATTGAACCTGTATATTAATTTGGGGAGAGTGTCACTATATTGAGTCTGCTAATCTATAAAGACAGTATTTATCTCCATTTATTTAGACCTTCTTTGATTTTTTAAATTAGCATTTTACAATTTTCACCCTACAAGTCCTCTGTGTTTTGTTAGATTTACACCTAAGACATTTTTGTAAAAAGTGATTATAATGATAATGCATTTTTTATTTTGGTGTTTTTAATTACATGTTCATTGCTACTATATAAAAATACAATTAATTGTTATATTTTTATCTTGTCTTCTGAGACCTCGCTGAACTAATTTATTAGTCCTAGAAGGCTTGGTTTTTTTGTTTTGTTTTGTTTTGTTTTTGTTTTTGATACTTGGGATTTTCTACAACTTTTCAAAGAGTGACAGTTTTATTTCTTCTTTTCCAACCTGTATTCCTTTTCTTTTCTTTTCTTGCCTTATTGCACTGGCTGTGATTTCCAGCATTATGTTGAATAAGAATGGTGAGACTGGAAATTCTTGCTTTGTTCCCAATCTTAGAAGGAAAGCAATCAGTCTTTCATTATTGAGTATAATGATACTTATAAGTTTTTTTATAAATGCTCTCCAAAAAGAGAGTAAGTTCTTTGTAAGAGAATAAGTTGATTAAGTTTCCTTCTGTCTCTATTTGTCTGAGAGTTCTTAGTTATAGATACTGAATTTTGTCAAGTGTTTTTATCAATTGATATGGTCAGGTAATTTTTTTAGCCTGTTAGAATGGTAGATTACATTGATTGAATTTAGCATATTGCACCAGTCTTGTATCTCTAGAATAAACTCCACTTGGTCACGGTCTATAATTATTCTTCACTATTGTTGAATACCATATGTTTTTATTTTATAGAATTTTTTGAGCCTATATTTTGAGCTATATTGGCCTTAATGGTCTTTGTCTGGTTTTGATATCAAGGCAATACTAGCTTTATATAATAAATTGAAAAGTGTTCCCTCCTTGTGATGGTTAATTTCATGTGTCAATTTGACTAGCCTAGCCTACGGTAACCAGATATTTGGTCAAACATTATTCTAGATGTTTTTATGAATGTACTCTTTAGATGATAGTAACATGTAAATCCGCAGACATCAGGTAAAGCAGATTACCCTCCATAATATGAGTGAACCTCATCCAACCCCCTATGAAGGAGGGAGAATTCTATCAACAGACTACCTTTGGACACAAACTGCAACATCAACTCTTCCCTGGGTCTGTAATATGCTGGCCTACCTTACAGATTTTGGGTTTGCCAACCTCTGCAACCATATCAGTAAATTCCTTAAAATAAATTTCCTCTGTCTGTCTATATAAATATATATATATATATATATATATATATATATATATATATATATATGCCTGGAGATTTCTATTCTTGAGATCTCAAATGATTAAACCAGGTTCCTTAATATTTATAGGTCTACTCAGATGGTCTATTTCATTATTGGCTGAGTTGTGGTAATTCATATTTTTTGAGGAATTGGTCCATTTCATCTAAATTGTCAAATTTAGGTTTATAGACTTGTTTCTAGTATTCTCATATTATCCTTTGATGTTCACACTGATATCCCCTGTTACTGATATTGCATACTGTGTCTTCTTTCTTGTCAGTCTTGTGGAGGTTGTCAGTTATATTGATTTTAAAAAAAAATCCTAGGTCTTTTTTTCATTGATTTTCTTTACTGTTTTATTGTTTTCTATTTAATTGACTTCTCTTCTTTTTATTATTTCATACCATCTGCTTGCTTTGGGTTGATTTTGTTCCTTTTTTTCTAGTTTCTTTAGAAGAAACCTTAATTATTGATTTGAGACTTTTCCTCATTTATAATATTTACATCTGGGGCTATAAACTTCTATTCAGCACTGCTATAGAAATGTCCCACAAATTTTAATAGTAGTATTTTCATTTTCATTTAGTTCAATGTACTTTTAAAATTTTTCTTGGGACTTCTTTATCCCATGGCTTATGTATATTGTTTAGCTTCCAAGTTGGAGATTTTCCTATTATTGTTCTTTAATTGATTTCTAGTTTAATCCCATAGTGGTCAGAGAACACTATCTATATGATTTCAGTTCTTTTAAATTTTTTGCAATTGTTTTATGGCCCAAAATGTGGTTTATCTTGGTATATGTTCCATGGGCACATAAGAAGAATGTGTATTATGGCCAGGTGCAGTGGCTCACGCCTGTAATCCCAGCACTTCGGGAGGCCAAGATAGGTGGATCATGAGGTCAAAAGATGAAGACCATCCTGGCCAACATGGTGAAACCTGTCTCTACTAAAAATACAAAAATTAGCTGGGCGTGATGGCGTGCGCCTCTATTTCCAGCTACTCAGGAGGCTGAGGCAGGAGAATCGCTTGAACGCGGGAGGCGGAGGTTGCAATGAGCTGAGATTGCGCCACTGCACTCCAGCCTGGGCGACAGAGCGAGGCCCCTTCTCAAAAAAAAAAAAGAAAGAAGAATATGTATTCTTCTTTTGTTGGGTGGAGTGTTCTATAAACGTTGATTAGATTTTAGTGATTAATAGTGCCATTAAGTTCTATATCCTTGCTGATTTTCTGTCTAGTTGTTCCATCAATTGTTGAAAGAGGGGTGTTGAAATCTTCAGCTATAATTTTAGATTTGTTTATTTTTCCTTTTAGTTCAATCAGATTTCGTTTCACATGTTTTGCAGGTCTGTTTGGTGTATATACATTCAGCATTGCTATGTCTTCTTGGTCGATTGACTTTTTAAAAATCATAGTATAATGTTCCTCTCTCATGCTAGTGATTTTCATTCCTCTGAAGCCTATTTTATCTCTTGTTAATAGAGCCACCCTTGCTTTCCTTTGATCACTGTTTGCATAATGCATCTCTTTTTATTTAAAAAACTTTAATCAGTCTATGTTGTTATTTTTGAAAGGAGTTTCTTAAAACTATATATTGAACATTATATAGTTTGATATATAGTTTTGTCTAGTCTACCATTATATGTGTTTTAATCTGTGTATTTAGGCCATTTACATTTACATGTAACCACTGCTATTACAGGGTTTAAGTCTGCATTTTGTTTCTTATTTTCTGTTCGCTCTTCTTTTTCTCTGTTTTCTTTTTTCTGTCTTTCTTTGTGTTATTTGAATATTTTTAAATTCAATTTTGATTCACTATACCATTTTTAAAGTGTATTTCTTTGTATAGCTTTTGTTAAGTGATTACTTTAGGTATTACATTCTATACTCACAACTTATTAAAATCTACTGTTGGCCAAGCATGGTGGCTCATACCTGCAATGCCAGCATTTTTGGAGGCCAAGACAGGTGGATAGCTTGAGCCTGGGAGTTTGAGACCAGCCTAGGCAACATACTGAGACCCTGTCTCCACAATAAATTAAAACAAAACAAAATGCCAGGAGCACTGGTACACACCTGTAGTCCCAGCTACTTGGGAGACTGAGGTGGGAGGATGCCTTGAGCCCAGGAGATCGAGGCTGCAGTGAGCCGTGATTGAGCTACTGCACTCCAGCCCGGATGACAGAGTGATACCCATTCTCAAAGAAAAAAAAAATATCTACCACTGGAGATGAAAAAGTATTGCAAGATTTCAAATTTTTTTTTTTTCTCATTACAACCTTCACCTCCTGGGCCTAAGTGATCCTCCCACCTCAGTCCCCCAAGTAGCTGGGACAATAAGTACACATCTGGCTAATTTTTGTATTTTTTGTTGAGATGGGGTTTTACCATGTTGCCCAGGCTGGTCTCAAACTCCTGGGCTCAAGCGATCTGCCCACCTCGGCCTCCCACAGTGCTGAGATTACAGGTATGAGCCACTGTGCCTGGCCCTCAATGAATTTTTAATGTTAGTTCTCTTAATCATGTATGGATTATTTTCAGGTTGAAAGGTGTATCAGTGCCATTTCATTATCTAACCCACTGTGATTCTATAGAACTCTTTCAAAGAAATGGAAGAGAATGAAGACTCTTATAAAATGCTCTCTGACAGGGAGGACAATTAAGGTGTTTATTTCGTGAAGCCACTATACTCCACCGTAACTTTGGTCACCAGAAGAGAAAGAAGAAGCATCTATGAGCATCTGATTGGTGTAAGACACAGTATGGGTGTGCTTTCCCAAGTTATCTCACTTTAAGGGAAGTTCTAATCAACCTCATTCTGGGGTAATTTTCACCAGACTCATAACAAAACTTCACTGTCTCAGTGCTGGCTGGAAATAATACAAAAATTTTAACTCTCTCTTTTCATTTATCTGGGCGAAGTGCTCAAGAAGTTCAGATCAGTAGTTTCCTGTTCAGTCTTTTGCTATTACAGTTAATCGTGCCTACTTAAGACATCTGGAAAAACTCTAGTCGAATCAAACATATAGGACAACTATTGTAGCAGAAAGAAAAAAGTAACTTGTATCTCAATTTTCCACTTAGTAACGTAACATATCTCATTTCATCCAAGGATTTGCTCTGTAGAGAGCTCACTAAATCAGTAGAATGTTTGTTTGTTTGTTTGTTTGTTGGGACTTATGACTTATAGATTTACCACACATTTCCCTATGGGGAAAAATCACAAATACCCCAACCTATTAAAGGTTATTACTAGTACTGATGAGAACAGATGTTTCTTAGGGTTGATTCCCTGGAAGATATTTTCCATGCATTTGGTTTGTAATGCAACTATTTCATTTTCCAATTTTAATTACTAAAAAGGAAATTTACTTATAGACACAGGCTCTCTTTTAAAAATTTAGTTCCTTTTTCTCAGTAAAGATTGAGTTCTCTAGTTCTTGCTGAAAAAGTAGCAGATGGGAATAAGCTCTCTCAAATTATACATCACTCTAGGGGCCTATTGAATTTCAGTATTGGATGGGGTCTCAGGCAAGCGTCACTATGCTCTGATGCTTGAAACAACTCCCTACATTATAGTTAGCCCTTCCACAGCCTGAGCTCCTGACTCACAGGCACTCTGACATCTTTACGAGATAACTGCTATATTTCACAACTGCAGAGCAAACACCAAGAAGGAAAAAAAATATTCTGTCTTCAGAGTCTCAGTTTATTAAAGTATATAGCAACCAGCAATCTAGAGAACAACCTCACGGAATGGGTCTAAGTTTCTATGGCAAAATAATATGATTGGGTAACTCCCAGAGGATAATCGGATTAATTTAAATTCTTGGCATCTTTGCTACGCTGGAGGTCAGGTAGAGAAGAAAGGAAGCCACGGCTCTTCTCTATCCCTAGACCTTCCTTCAGAAATCTGAATCTGCAGACTGAAGCCCTAGACCTTCATCTGAGTGCCTGAATCTGCAGTCTACTGCAGATGCTAAATCACCTGGCTCTCTGAAGACTATCTGCCCCTACAAAGTAGCATTCATCCTCTCCAGAAGGTCCAGAGCATGGAGAATTAAAAAAAAAAAAAAGTTCCTTCTAATCAATTTCAAATATATTTGTAAGAGAAACTATGGCATAGGAAACCTTCTCCTGATTTCTTTTTACCAGCCATTTCTTGAACCTACTATTTAATAAACTTAAAAGGTATAGTAAACATCTCTGAGGCAATAATAAGAAACTATATTATTCTATGTATAAATTTGGGCTAAATCTAGATATCTGACATGATTGCTAGAGCATATGATATGTACAAGATCAGAATAAGTATTCAGTAACTTTCTTGAGTGAACGAGTGAATATATACTCTGGCTGTTAATCTATTTTTAAAAAATAGAAAATTTTAACAAAAATGACAGTGTGGTGAGAAGATTTATACTTCAGCTTATAGTGGTACTGCTCTGTAAGTCTTTGATTAGTAGAGGATGGTATGGCAGAGAAAGAGACTTTGTTTTAGCTTAAACACTCCCATATGAATCCAGGCTTGGTGGCTCATAGCTGTAATCCCAGTGCTTTGGGGAGGCCAAGGCAAAAGGATTGCTTCAGGCCGGGAGTTCAAGACCAGGCTAGGCAATAAATTGAAACCCCGTCTCTGCAAAAAATTAAAAAATTAGCCAGGTGTGATGGCATGTGCCTGTGGTCCTAGCTACCAGGGAGGCTGAAGTGGGAGGATTGCTTGAGGCCAGAGGTTCAAGGTTGCAGTGAGCTATGCTTGTACCACTGCCCTCCAGCCTGGGTGACAGAGTGAGATCCTGTCTCAAAACAAACAAACAAACAAAAAACAAACAAACAAACAAAAAAGACATACAAAATTTTCATATGAGTTATCAGCAGCTGGATTTCTAGAGTTATGACTTTAATTCATCTTTGGAGATGCCTTCCTTTATATTAGAAAGTCACAAAAATGGTCATTTAATTATGAGAATGCAAATACCTACTTCTTGAGATGGAAGTCACCATATATCTGAGTGCAGATGCACAGATTGAGATACTAAGCAGTCTGTAAAGTAGTGTGTATTGAGAACATTTCCTCCTAAATATAGATTTTTATAGGACTTCTGGTATCCCACAGAGGGTGTCATTTAGGCTTGAATAACCCAGGTTCTAGGACATATAGTTGAAGTCCATGCGATCAGGCCACTGACCTTAAAGGCAAGTTTGAAGATCAAGTGAGAAGAATGTCTATATGTGGGTCTCCTGCCTTCAGAAAATGCTGGTTCTGGTAGTAATCACTTACCTATTTACCTATGCTCGTGATGTGGATAAAATGACATTTTGCTATCAGAATTCCCCACTGCATACGAAACAGATTGAAAAAGAAAGATTTATAAGCTGTCTTGAAGTCATGAGAATGAGGCAGTGGGCCTCATTAGTAACTTCCTTTAGATTTTCTTTTCCTTCTTTATTATACATTTGGAAATATGTATTAATGTTAAATGTAGGATGTAATGCACTCATTTTGAACGTTTATTTTAGACTATAAATCAGAAGTTCACAACCATAGCATACCAAATCAGACCTGGTATACACAATTGAGAGTATTTCAGGAAGGGTTTACACACCTATAAGACCAGGCAGGCAAGACAAATGCCTTAAGCAGCCCTGCATAAAACAATAGGAAATGGTGGAACCTGGAGCAAACTGTAGAGTGAGCCCCTACCCTTCTTAAAAGAATTTACTTTAAAACAAAACAAAATAAAACAAAATGAGCAAACAAAAAACAAAACACTGTTCTGTGCCAAACCAAACAGTCGGTCAGTTGAATCTGGACCACTTTTTGGACCCCCTATAGTGGAGCAAGCATGAGAAAGAAGATACCCATGGAAAGCTGTTTTTCTTATAAATGGGATGGAGGCTGACTTGAGAAAGGGGGTATAAGAAATACATATCTTTTTTGTCTAACTGCACAGGAGTGGTGAGTGATGAAATGTATACTGGCCTGGGGGCTACAGATCCTGGTTCTGGCATTTTCTTTTTATAACTTTAGGACTAGTTATCTAGCTAAAACCTTCTCATGATGATCAAATAAAATAATCTATTTGAAATGTTTTAAATAACTGTAAATTGCTGTGTAAATATTAGTTACATTCCTATATATATATATAGCTGATGGTTAGTAAATGCAGGTCCGGAACAAGATAGTGGGCATCCATGATGGGTATTTGTTGTTCCTTTCACTATCACCACACCAACTGTATTTCAATAGGAGCTAGGCAATAAGGCACACTTTTTTATTGCAAGGCCAAATATTATATTATCAGCATTTTTCTTTTAATGATAACTCACTGTTATCATTGCTTGGACCTCATATGACAAAGGGCTGGTTTAGGGCTAGTTCTTTCTCTTCCATTCTGCTATCATCCATTGCCTGTGATATCATCATGCTATATGAAAAGGGTGATATCAGATAATGAACTGTTGGTGAAGCTTATTTGTGACATTTAGGAAAATGGATTAAAAAGTTATTAGACCACATGCCATGTGATTTTCCCATCCAAGAACAGAAAGATTGGGTACTACTGGAATTGTGCACTAAGGGTCATTCTTTGTTAAACAAAAAACAATAATAAACCATAGAGATGGAAATGGTCAGATAATTAAATGTCATCCTGCCACAAGCTCATATTATTGAAAATGTACAACACCATGCTGAATAGGCAAAAGCAGGAAGCATTCCCCTAGAAAACTGGAACAACACAAGGATGTACTCTGTCACCACTCCTATTCAACATAGTACTGGAAATCCTAGCCAGAGCACTCAGTCCAGGGAAAGAAAGAAAAGGCATCCAAATAGGAAGAGAAGAAGTCGAACTATCTCTGTTTGCAGATGATGTGATTCTATATGTAGAAAACCCCATAGTCTCGGCAAAAGCTTCTAGATCCGCTAAACAACTTCAGCAAAGTTTCAGGATACAAAATCAATGTACAAAAATCATTTGTGCATTTCTATACACCAACAACATCCAAACTGAGAGCCAAATCAAGAACACAATCCCATTCACAATAGCCAAAAAAGGAATAAAATATCTAGGAATACAGCTAGATACAGAGGGATGAAAGATTTCTACAATGAGAATTATAAAACACTGTTCAAAGAAATCAGAGATAACACAAACAAATGGAAAAACATCCCATGCTCATGAATAGGAAGAATCAATATTGCTAAAATAACCATACTGCCCAAAGCAATTTAGAGAATCATTGCTAATCCTATTAAACTACCAATGATATTCTTCATGAAATTAGAAATAAAAACTATTTTAAAATTCATACAGAACCAAAAAAGAGCTCAAATAGATAAGGCAATTCTAAGCAAAAAGAACAAAGCTGGAGACATCACATTACCTGACTTCAAACTATGCTACAAGGCTACAGTAATGAAAATAGCATGATACTGGTACAAAAACGGACACATAGACCAATGGAACAGAATAGAGAGCCTGGAAATACTGCCACAAACCTACAACTATCTGCCCTTTGACAAAGTTTACAAAACAAGCAACGGGAAAAGGAAGCTGTACTCAAAAAATGGTGGGACACTAGCTATATTCAAAAAATGTCTGGGTGGGATAACTAGGTAGCCATATGCAGCAGATTGAAACCGGACCCTGTCCTTACACCATATACAAAAATCAACTCAAGATGGATTAAAGACTTAAATGTTAAGACCTAAAACTATAAAAACCCTGGAAGATAACCTAGAAAACACCATTCTGGATACAGGTCGGGGCAAAGATTTCGTGACAAAGACACCAAAAGCAATTCCAACAAAGACAAAAATTGACAAATGGGACCAAATTAAACTAAAGAGCTTCTGCACAGCAAAAGAAACTATCAGCAGAATAAACAGACAACCTACAGAAGAGGAGAAAAAATTGGCCAAATATGCATCCTATAAAGGTCTAATATCCAGAATTTATAAGGAACTTAAACAAATTACCAAGAAAACAACAAACAACTCCATTAAAAAGTGGGCAAAGGGGATGAACAGACACTTTTCAAAAGAAGATATACATGTGGCCAACAAACATGAAAAAATGCTCAACATCTCTAATCATTAGAGAAATGCAAATCCAAATCACAATAATATACAATCTCACGTCAGTCAGAATGGCTATTATTAAAAAGTCAAAAAAAGCCGGGCATGGTGGCTCATGCCTGTAATCCCAGCACTTTGGGAGGCTGAGGTGGGTGGATCACAAGGTTAGGAGATCGAGACCATCCTGGCTAACATGGTGAAACCCCGTCTCTACTAAGAAATACAAAAAATTAGCTGGGCGTGGTGGCGAGCGCCTGTAATCACAGCCACTCGGGAGGCTGAGGCAGGAGAATGGCATGAACCCAGGCGGCAGAGCTTGCCGAGATGGCGCCACTGCACTTCCGCCTGGGTGACAGAGCGAGACTCCGTCTCAAAAAAAAGAAAACAAAAAAGAGTCAAAAAAAAAAGAAGACATGCTGGTAAGGTTGCAGAGAAAAGGGAATGCTTATATGCTGCTGGTGGTCATGTAAATTAGTTCAGCCATTGTGGAAAGCAGTGTGGCGATTTCTCAAAGGACTTAAAACAGAGTACCATTTGACCTAGCAATCCCGTTATTGAGCATATACCCAAAGGAACATAAATCATTCTGCCACAAGACACATGCACACATATGTTCATTGCAGCACTATTCACAATAGCAAAGTCATGGAATCAACCTAAATACCCATCAATGGTAGACTGGATAAAGAAAATATAGTACATATATACCATGGAATACTATAGCCATAGAAAAGAATGAGCTCATTTCCTTTGCAGCAACATAGATGAAGCTGGAGGCCATAATCGTAAGCAGATTAATGTCAGGGAAAAGAAAACCAAATACTTGTTCTCACTTATAAGTGAGCTAAACTCACTTATAAGTGGGAGCTAAACCTTGAGTCCATGTGAACACAAAGAAGGGAACAACAGACACCAAGGCTTACTTGAGGGTGGAGGGTGGGGAGAGGGAGAGTGTCTGGCTTTGAAAATGATTTCTTTGGGAAACTGAAAATAAGAACTGTTTTTTGTTTTGTTTTGTTTTGTTTTACCATAAAAGTCCTAATTTCATTAGGTGTGGGAAATTTCATGGCGAGGCCTGTCTTTTGCTGTGAACTTTGTCCCAGTGTACTTGTTCTTCTATTTTAAAAAGGTTATTTCCTACTTGAACTCAATTCTCCTGTTTTAGCAGGAAAGTTCTCTTGCGTGTGGGAAATCTTAATAAAAAATTTTGTTGTAAAACCATGGAGAAATAATAATTATTTCTTTATAATTTGTCTGTTCTTTTTTGTTGTCTAATTTCAAATTATGAGAATCAAGCTTTGAATCTCAAACATTTGGTTTCCTAAGTCTTTTTAAAATGTTTAAAAAAACCTTTTAGAATAGTTTTGTCTTTGCAGTTCCTATACTCGATAATTGCCAAATAAACATTATTTTTACTTAACCCTATAACATTTACCAACAATTCTCTTTTTATTGCATTAAACCAAAAATTATTTATTTCAGTGTAATATAGAAGAAAATGATTGGATTTTGAATAAGCAGAGAGAGTATAGGAGATAATTAGAATTGGATTAGATTCATTCTTTTCCAGAAATGCACTTAGAAAGTACTATAATTTATCTCCTTTTGCTGGACTGAATACTAGAGCAATCCCTGGGCCAGTTACTCCAATGGCTTGCTTTTCTGCTAATTTTTAACAAGTTTATTGCTATGATTTCAGCTTTGCATGAAAGTATTTGGAAGTCCACTAATATAACAATGAAACTAAATTGTTAAATCCAACATTTACCTAAATTGGTTAGAAATGTTACATATTTAACTTTCTGTCTGAGAAAATTTCATGCCAGGTGAAAAAGGAGAATTAAAACTATGTATATAGTTCTGTAAATGTTTTTATACTATTAGAGAATGGCTTGTGTTACTCTTGTTAAGTACCTTATTTCCTGGATTTTCAGTTATTTTTGAATCAGATATATTACCTGATGATTTGCTGAATTTTCATTAAAAAATAGGATCATTAGCATATTAATTGCTTTGTTATATTTATACGCAATATTTTAATGGTCAGTGTGAACTGCTTCAGCAACCCGATTTGCTCTAAGAAAATGAGATTTGTGTTTACAGTGTAGGCTATAATCTGATTTTCAGTTCATCTGAACCCGGTATTTAGCACAATTTGAAGTTTACTACTCAATTCTCTAGAGGTTTGGCAGGACATAGAAATGAACTTTGGGGCATACAATCACAAAGAGATTCGGCTGGGAAGGTGAATTTTTCCACTTCAGAATTTCTCAGGTTGGGCATGGTGGCTCATACCTGTAATTCTAGAGCTTAGGAAGGCCAAGGCAGGAGGATGCTTGAGGCCAGGAATTCGAGACCAGCCTGGGTAACATTCCAAGACCCAGTCTCTATAATAAACTAAAACAATTAGCTGAGTGTGGTGGCTCATGCCTGTGGCCCCAGCTACTCCGGAGGCTGAGACAGGAAGATTGCCTGAACCCAGGAGGTTGAGGCTGCAGTGAGCTATCATCGTGCCACTGCACTCTAGTCTGGGCCACGGAGTGAGACCCTGTCTCTAAAAGATATTAAATTAATAAACAAATAAAGGAAAAGAATAAATTTCTCAGAGGCCAATAATACTCCTCCCATCCCCTCTCCTCCAACCCTGGACACTTAAAAATTTCTTGTTACTAAGATGTCCCTAACAGAGATTAGTCTATTCGTACCTTTGGGACACATTTCCTCCCCACTTCTAATTTGGCAGTAACCTAGACCTGAGTCAAGATCAGCTTCTTGTAAAGATGGTTTTGCGGGGTAATATGACCCCTGATGCTTTCTTCTTCGGTGGCTGGTCCTCGGATGTTTAGAGGTGATAGGCTCAATTAATTATTAATAGCAGCTCCTGCTCTGCCTGTTACTTTATCTCCACTGTAAGGCTGCTTTCATACTGAGGGCTACTCAGGGTATTAGCCAGGGGAAACTGATCTAGAAGTTGACACACTGCTATCTGGAATGTGATGAAAATTTTTGTCTCTCTCTCTCTCTACTTTCCTATAGTGAGACTGGGATATCTCATTCCCAATATCCCATGAGATTAAAACAATCTTTGGTAAAATAAAGAGATGGAAACTCGGTAAGCATAATAACACAGCAAAATCGTGGAGATGACAGTTTGTCTTGCAGATGGTCCACTCTTAACAAAGAGAAGGATTTAAAGCTTTCTCCTACAAATACACAGTAAGAACATGCCAACCCTCAGTCTCACTATAGTGTCAGAGGCAATGGGCCCTTCATGACTGCAACAGGGACACCTAGGCCAGAGAAATAGAAAAGATCAGGGAAATCATGGATTTGGGGGAGGTGAGAAAAAGGAGGGACCAGCGAGAAGGGATTTCTGAAGTGGATTCTGTAGGGACTGAAGTGCACCTTATGGAAAAGATAAAGAGGTACTTTTAACTACTTTCTGGGGTAGTGTATATTCATGATCAGTGAGTTGGTTTCATTTCTGATATAGAACCGCACCTGTACATACTTGTAGCCATTGTAGGCAAAACTGAGGTTAAATACAAATATGGGAAATTTCTTGCTGTGGTTGAAAACAGAGGCTACCGATAGTACCCACGTTTTTTGGGTTTCTTTGGTGGTGGGGTAGTGAAACTCTGGAGTCAATATCAACAAGTCATCTTATGTGAGTCAAGAACTCAATTAATTCCTTTTTTGTTTTTGAAAAATCACATTTGGAAACTGTGTTTTGTAGATAGTTGGGATCCATAATCAGATTATGCAATAGGTAAATAGTGTAGAAGACTCACCCCAGATTTCAAGGAGAAATCTCCTTCTGGGGATTGTCTATTAGTCTGGGAGCAAAAGTATAATAGGTCTGCTTGAAGCCATCCCTAAGCCAATGTGGCCTAAATGTAGTTTCTGGAATAAATTCATCAGGAATACCACATGTGTTTATTAAAATGCATATTCCTGGGCCCTAAACTAGAGGCCAGGAATATACATTCTTGCTGATTACTCATGCTCAGTATATCTGAGAACCTCTGCTGAAACAATGCTGATCAGGTTTACCCCACTTTCACCCACTTCCCTTCTCCCATTTCCCATCTCTCAATACAATCAGCCTTACTTTAAGGAGATCCTTGTGTGTCTATGAACTTCTGGATGGTGAAAATGGTGATTCTCATGTTTGCTGTGATTTCTAACATCTACAGTTGTGCCTTCCAGATAGAAGAGTATTTGATGAGGATTTGTTGAACTGGTTGAATTAAATTGAGAACTAGCATTACAGTCATACTCATGAAACTAGAGCTGTTTGCCTGAGTCATGCTGTACCAGAACAGGAAGAACTAAGGACCGAAGTCTTCCTCACAGTTAGTGCCTAGCTGCTCCCTTTGAGTGGAAAATAGTTTATTTGAAGGGGTTGAGTGGAAGAGGAATATGATCCGATTTCTTTTATTCCATTAATTACAGGGCAGGTTTCCGTTGCCCATTCTCCATTATTCCTGCCAGTGTTTTGCACTGTTCACAGCTCATTGGTACAATCATAACAGAAGATTGTATTTTGCTTTGGTTTTAGTCTTGTTCCTAAGGGAAAAATCAGTGTTGTGTGTTTTCCCAGGGAGATGCTGTACCAGGACACTTTTCCCAAAGGAATGCAGCTTTGATTCACCCATTTTTAATTTTTTTTATTGCTTTAGTTTTATTTCCTTTCTATCCTTGCTAATGTTAATAAAATGCATGCCATAAAGAAATAAACTCCTGAGGACATGAAAGGACAGACCTCATGGCTATTTACTCTGCTGACGGCTCCTGCTCTTTAGCTCCTGCTCTTTAGTACCCGCGCATTCACGAGTTTGAAGCTGGCCCTCCGCGACAGCTTTCTGTTCACAATAGAGCTGCATACTAAACGGGGTTGGTGCCACCCCTCCCTTGCAGTGTGACAAATCTCTGCTAAGAGGATAATGCTAAGTTCTTTCACCATCTGTCTAGTTTTGTTTTCTTCCCTCCCCCACTGCTACCAGGAATGTCTAAAAACATAGTATTCTACAGCTGCGTGGTTTACGTGACTATTACTGTCCAAAGGGGAAACATTCAGTGTTTGCTCTTGAACATTTCCTTTTTTTTGTTTCCTTCCAATACGAACATGATAGTATACATTCAAACACATGAACTTGAACTTGAGTTTGTCACCTAGGAGACTATTTGGTATCAGACTTTACCTGGATGACACTTAATAAACTTTTATTGTTTTCTTATTGGGAATCTACAAATTCTCATCAGAGACCACAGGTGGGATGTCATGAGTAGAGAAAACTGGGGCTTCTGGTAAACATCCTGGAGGGTCCTTGACCTCTTGGGGAGGATGGGGACTCCGCTCAGCTTCCAGCTGCTGAATCTTCCTTTCCTTTTCCTCCAAAACTTCTTTCAGCTGAGTAATTCTCTCAGTCTGAAGGGAAACCTGGGTTGACAGTTCCATTATCAGGCTAATTTTTCTATCACCTTCTTCCACAGGTGGGAGACCTCCACAGAACCCTTCCAGCAAGCTGTCTTCTAAAGCAAACAAGAAAAGGAAAGTCTGAGCAGTTTTGATTAGATTTCCCAGAAGTCAAAGCAAGGAAAAATGAAAAAGCTTCATTTCTCACGTTCTTAAAAGAGAGCACAGATGTTGCATCATCTGGTTAGATACCCTGAGAATAAAATCTGGATCCAGTGAGAGGAAAGATTCTGGGTGCTCATGAAAAAAGAAACAAAACAAAACTTGGGAGCCTCTTGAGAGTGTACAGCATCAGCCCTTGCCAACTCTTGTTTATATGCATTTAACTTTCAGTTAACCATGGGAATAATTCATGAAAATCCAATCTACAAACAAAGGCCATCCTAACGTTCATGTTATTCTTTTCCCTAAGAATCTTTCACAAGAGCTATAATCAAGTAGAATTATGCTTTGATTTGAATTCTAATTCAATTGAAAATAAAAAATGAGGGCCGGACGCGGTGGCTCATGCCTGTAATCCCAGCGCTTTGGGAGGCTGAGGTGGACGGATCACGAGGTCAGGAGATCGAGACCATCCTGGCTAACACGGTGAAACCCGATCCCTACTAAAAATACAAAAAATTAGCCGGGCGTGGTGGCAGGCGCCTGTAGTCCCAGCTACTCGGGAGGCTGAGGCAGGAGAATGGCGTGAACCCAGGAGGCAGAGGTTGCAGTGAGCCGAGATCATGCTACTGCACTCCAGCCTGGGCGACAGAGCGAGACTCTGTGTATAAATAAATAAATAAATAAATAAATAACGAAAAGGTTGCCATTGCCCTTTCTGGGGAAAGTGATAATGAGGAAAGACTAGTTTCTTAACCCAAGTCAGCTTTAGAGTCGGCAAGGATGCAATTTGAGGTGATCCAGGAAAACTCTATTAGCATGGTATTTCCCATACAGATTCATTTCTTTTAGGCCTGAAGTCTTTTTGGCACTTCTTAATAAAATCACAGATACCTCTTGGACATGAAAGCTTATCCTTTATCAATTTCTATCAGTTAACCACTCAGATGAGGATAAAGGCCTGAGTCAGAAAGGACAGAGAGAGGTTCCACAAAGAGATAAAAGATGAGTGGCCATAAGGAGTCCTTGAAAACACACCTCTCTAGCCCATCAAAAAATGCAGCACCTTAAACTCAAGTCCATCTTACTAGCCTTTAGCAGTACCCCACCACTCTCAAAATTTCCAGCATTAAATGTCTCGGAGCTATATAAAAGGCAGACTTAGGTATAAGTAGGAAGAGATATCAAGGGCTTGGGTATCATTTCAGCACTAATGGAGCTTATGGCATGTATGAATGAACCTGATGCGTGGTCTCCACGGTAGATTGTTACAATTGAGGTCCCACATTTATGAGATTCCCAGTGAAAACAAATCTCACAGCTTCACCTGAGAGAAACATTACTGTCAGTCTCAGATACAAAAGCCTGCTGCTATTAGGTACCTATACACCTGCTGAAAATGGACCAGCTTTGCTGTAGTAGTGCGCGCAGGCAAAAAAAAAAAAAAACATAAAAATAACCCGTTTCTCAACAAATAAAATTAATTGGCAGTCATCACATTCCCAAGGGATCAAGGGGTAAAATCTTTGGCAGCATATTGCACAGTGGGCAGGGTGTTTTTGGCTTCATAAAAGTGATAAGAGGAGACAACAGGCTATTCTCTGCTCTTAGAAATTATTAGCTCTTTACTAACATTTAAGAATCCATGGGGAAATTTTTGCTCTGAATTTGTTAGAATGTTTAATATTATAACAATAATATTTAAGATGTTGGTTTGAAGGTGGGGCACGGTGGCTCACGCCTGTAATCCCAGCACTTTGGGAGGCTGAAGCAGGTGGATTACTTGAGGTCAGGAGTTTAAGACCAGCCTGGCCAAATGGTGAAACCTCATCTCTACTAAAAATACAAATATTAGCCAGGTGTGGTGGTGCACACCTGTAATCCCAGCTACTCGGGAGGCTGAGGCTCGAGAATCACTTCAACCTGGGAGTTGCAGGTTGCATTGAGCTGAGATTGTGCCACAGCATTCCAGCCTGGGCGACAGAGTGAGACTCCATCTCAAAAAAAAAAAAAAAAAAAAAAAAAGATGTTGGTTTGAGTGCCTTTCATAAGTTAACAAGCAACGGGAAAACAGCTCAAATTTCAAAAAAGCATTTAGTTCATTGCCTCTGCGATAAGCCTGTGCTTTCCAGCCCAGGAGAGAGAGTCCATATGGCAGGAGGCCTTCCTCATCTCCTGGTGTGCCAAGCTCTCACCTTTCCTTTCATGCCTGTGCTTTCCAGCCCAGGAGAGGGAGTCCATATGGCAGGAGGCCTTCCTCATCTCCTGATGTGCCAGGGTCTCACCTTTCCTTTCATTTGGCTGGAGCTGTGCTGTCCAATACAGTAGTCACTAGTCACATGTGACCATTAAGCAATGGAATGTGGCTAGTCTGAATAAAAATGTGCTTTAATGTAAAATACACATTTGACTGGGAGATTTAGTTTAAAAAATGTTAAATACTTCAAATTTTCTATATTGCTTATGCATTAAAATGATAATATTTAGAATACATTGTGTTAAAGAAAATGTATTTTTAAAATAATTTAACTGACTTATTTTTATGTTTTTAAAAATGTGGCTCCTAGAAAATTTAAAATACATGGCTTGCATTTGTGGCTCCCATTATATTTCTGTTGGATAATGCTGGGCTAGCATTTCCTTCCAGATGAGCTCTCTCTGAAACCCAGGTGGATGTGTTACCTGGAGATGGCTCTAGTTAACCTGCACAGATATTGTTTGAGAGGGAGGATCTCTGGTCCTCAAGCATTGGCACACAGATTATTTTTCTGTTACCCCAGAGGATGGAGTCATGGAAATCAAAGTTTGGCAAAAAGTGATGACTGCCAATTAATTTTATTTGCTGGGGAATGGGTGATTTCTTGCCTGAATGCACTACCACAGCAAAGCTGCCCCACCTTAAGCAGGTGTGTAGGTACCCAGGTAGCAGGCTTTTGTATCCGTGACTGACAGTAATGTTTCTCTCAGTCCCTAAGCTACTCCTTAAACTACATAAGAAACTGATTCAGGTGGGTCGAAGTGAGTTTCATCAGGAGTAGGAGAAGGAAAATGGCAGCAAAGTGGCCAGGGAAGATGCTGAGGAGAGGAGCAGTGAACAGTGGGGGATGCAGGGCCTCAGCAGGGGGCAGGGGTGGAGGGGGGTGCATTGGAACCTCACTGTGCCTGTCTGACGTCTTCTTCCTCTTTGACTTCTCCTTCCATCTTTTCTCTCCTCAGTTTTTCCTCTGCTTTTAGAATGAGTTATTTTCAACGGATTTGTACAATGAAGAAAGGAGTTTAGTGTCACCCCTGGTCAAACTGGTCAAAACGTTTTTAGACAATGCAGTATAGGTAGAGTTCACCCAGCTCTAATGATACAGCAGCAAAAATGCGGCGAAGCGGCATTGCATAGGCAGTCACGGTCACTAGGACCACATCGCCCTTCTGGAAGAGAGTATTACAGGGAGAAGGTGGAAAGAAAATGAGAGGAGAAGCAAGTGTCTAGGCAGCTTGGGCTGCTATCACAAAGTACTACAGATGGGGTGGCTTAAACAAGAAACTTTTTTATAGTTCTGGGGGCTGGAAGTCTCAGATCAGGGTGTCAGGATGGTCAGGTTCTGGTGAGGACTCTCTTCCTGGCCACCTTTATGCTGCGTCCTCACATGGCAGAAAGAGAGAGACCAAAACCTCTCTCATATCTCTTCTTATAAGGGCACTGGCTGCATCATGAAAGGCCCACTCTCATGAACCCATCCAAGCCTAATTATTTCCCACAGGCCCCATCTCCAAATGCCATCTAGTCGGGGGCTAGGGCTTCAACACAGGAATTTTGATGGAGACATAATTCAGTCCATAGCACAAGAAGAGGACAGTCAGAAAAGGGGTAGAGTAGATGCTGAAAAAAAGAGAGATGGCATGAGGATTCCCATTGTACTGTTCTCATGTATTAAATGAAAATACTAATAGACAACCTAAAGACATACTAAAATTAAAAAAATTCTCATACAAGTATATTTTACTACTAGTCTCTTTACACATATAAAACACAAATATTTTGTTCCATTTCTAAATACATTACAACTAACAAAAGTGTTTAAAACTCTTTAGCAAAGTGGGGGACTTCAAGAGCCTCAAGTCCTATTTGTATTGGAAAGTGCCCAAGGCCACCCCAGTGAGTTTTCTAGAATCTACCACTAACCATCTCACTCCTCTCCCCCCATCTAGTCTCCCTCATCTGTAACAGGAAGTGATGTGTGTCCCCAAAGTCCTGACAGCTCTACATGTCCCACACTTCACACACCTGTGGTCCCTCATAGGCTTCTGCTGGCAGCTCAGTCTTGCCAAGGCGGGTCTCCCGGAAGCCTGGAGGTGCTGTTATCTGACCAGATTTTCTCAGCCTTAACCCCACACCCACAGGATCCAGGAAACCCAGAGATTGCAACAAGAAAGGCTCTTCTATGTGAGACGGAGGAAAAACCTGATTAGCAACAGTGAGGGTATAAACTCATCACTTTCGCCACTACTGAAGGGGTTTTTACAGTCATACATCATTCTTCATCATTTTCCCTCTTTCTTCTATGACTTAAAATAGATGTAAGTCAGGACTGAGAATGATGGTGTACAGTTCTCGCAAAAAGACTATAGGGGATGGCCGGTGGGAATTGGGCAGGGTTAGAAAGATTTAGTGAGAGGAGAGGCAGTCCCAGCATTCTGCCTTCGGCTGACCCAGGCTGTACTCACTTTTCTATGTCAGCCTTGAAAGACCAAAGGCCCAGAAGAAAATATGACCTTGCCTTTGGCCATTTCCAGCTTCCTGTTCTTCATACCCTCAAAACCTTTATGCTCTGAGAAAAGTGACATGTGAAAGTTACATCAAAAATGACTAATAATAACTAAATAGATAACAATAGAGGTGACTGTAGTTGAAGGAGTACCTTAAAAGACTGAGCGTTGACTACATTTTTGGGGTGATCTAGCCTCATCTGCTACCAGTATAGGAATTATTTCTGTAACATCTCTTTGATAATTTTTTTTCTTTTCTTTTCTTTTTTTGAAACGGAGTTTCGCTCTTGTTGCCCAGGCTGGAGTGCGATGGTGCGATCTTGGCTCACCACAACCTCTGCCTCCCGGGTTCAAGCGATTCTCCTGCCTCAGCCTCTTGAGTAGCTGGGATTACAGGCATGAGCCACCACACTCGGATAATTTTGTATTTTTAGTAGAGACGGGATTTCTCCATGTTGACCAGGGTGGTCTCGAACTCCCAACCTCAGGTGATCCACCTGCCTCGGCCTCCCAAAGTGCTGTGATTACAGGTATGAGCCACCGTGCCTGGCCTCTCTTTGATAATTTTCTAAGCAAGTGGCTCTCAGTCACTGGTGTCCCTCCAGCTCTTCAGAGGTTGGCTGCCAATTGTAATCAATGAGTTAAAAATCTGAATTTTGTGATCACTGCAGCTGTACACTGTCACAGAGAGACCTGACAGAGGGAACACTGCCATACATAGACTGGGAAAACAGTGGGGCATCACTTGTTGCTAATCAGAGCAAGAAGGAGTGGTTTCATATTAGGTCAACATACCTAGAATGTGTGAAAACATTGCTTCACGAGTCCAAGATGTTAACACTTTTCTGTAAACAGTGATGCAGGGCTGAAAAGTGACCCAATGAATAGGAGGAAGAGTTCTTTTAGATTTTCTAAATACTTCTTGCTAAAAAGGGATATTCCCCTTTTGATTTCTTTATGGGTGCCACCAAAAAGTATGCATTGAACAGAGAAATGCTGAGAAGCACTGATCTAATTTCTGACCCAACTACCTCTAACAATGGGAAATATACTTGTTGCTAGCCAGATCCCAAGTATCCTCCATAGTCATCTTCTTGTTCATTCATTCATCCAATAATTATGTTTGGGAACCTGCACATAGAGAATAAATAAGATAAAATGTTGGCTCCACAGCTGCAGCTTCACAGTGAAGTAGGGGAGGGGCAGCACTGAGTTAGGCCCTAAAGGGCATTTGGGATTAGCCTAAACAAACACCTCAGCTGGGTACTCACTCATGAAGGTTTACTTTTCCCTCTGCCTTTCAAGCTAATGACTAAGGCTGCCAAGTATTTACTCAACAAGAAAGACCCAACAAGGATCACCGGTGAGGTGATTAAATACCTCATTCCACCAGAGCCACCCAGGATTGCTGTTTGGATTAAAAGACAATGTCAGCTTCCTCCTCTGTACAAATGCCCACTACTCTGACTCACTATGGGGCTGGTTTTGAAAGTTATGTATTATTTGTCTGCAACCACCACAGAGTCCAGGGTCATCTCTTGCCATACTTGGACTTGCACATACTTGGCACAGCTTTAGGACATATTCTTTAGAAATATATCCCTCCCACTTAAATTGACAAACCTAAACAAAACTTTTTAGGTTTTCTATCCTCTAGATTTTTACAGTGAACGTTTGCAAATGGCTATTCTCTGAAATAAATGATTCACTTATTTTTTTTGTATTGTAGTACAAATATTTTTCTTTTTGAAAATCAAATTAGTCCTATGTCTTGAAGTTTCATCTGTCCTCCCCTTTTAATGTTTTTACTTGTAAAGAGACCAATCTATAGTGCCAAGTGACTGACTTCAAAGGTACTTCAATTTCCTTCCACTAAAGCTGTCAACATTTAGGATCCATCTGAAGTAGGCACGTGTTAATTGATTTGGAAAAAACAAGCAGCATTATAAGAATACAATTGGTTGGCAAAGAGGTTTGGTCACTAAAAAGAATTAAAATGTAGTATATAAAATTAGCTAGAAACTTTTGATAATATAATGAAGATCAGTCTTATAATAGTTATATTTTAGAGGAAAAATTCGAGATGTAATGGCACAGTGGAGAGAATATATGTTTTCACCTAGCAACAGGCCCAAACCTGAGAGTTTAAGAAGATCTGTCTGTTTTAGTAAGTGACTTAGAAGGGAACAAATACTTAGTTGAGATCATGATGGAAGGGCTGCAGCCTGAATGACATGGGGTAGTGCTCCTGAGAGCAGTGGATCAGAGAGCCTGTAGAACACCCAGTGAAAAGGAAAACAAGAGGCAAGAGAGACCATGTAGGAAGCAGTTGTTGCCTACTGCTCATCTGGGCCTTGAGAAGTTGTGGTGCCTGCATATCTCAGTCTGCTTAGGATGCCTTAGTTTATAAACAACAGAATTTTATTTCTCATAGTTCTGGAGACTGGGAAGTTGACGATCAAAGTGCCGGCACGTTCATTGTCTAGTAAGGACCCATTCCTCATAGATGGTGCCTCCCAGCTGTGTCCTTATATGGTGGAAAAGCCAATAGGCTCCCTCAAGATTCTTTTATAAAGCATTACTCCCATTCATGAGGGCTCTGCCCTCATGACCTTGTCACCTCCTAAAGACCTTACCTTTTAATAGCAACCCACTGGGGATTGGATGTCAACATACATATTTTGGAGGACCACAAACATTCAGACCCTAGTACTCCACCAGTCTCCAGACCAGAGTGAGGGGCCTGGCTGATGAAGACACTTCTAGGACTTGTTTATGGTTTAGTGAACACGTAGAATGAATGAAAAACACTTGTCTCTAACCACTCGCATCACTCATGTGGCAATTAGATGCTCTCACGGTGAGAGGTGTGTGGGAGTTAAGCAGACCAAGAGAAATACAGATTCCTATCTTACTTCTTATGCTCAGTCTGAGGCATATACTCACTCCAGTGCCCATGCTCATCATTTATTTAAGTGGTAATTCCCTCTCGCCTAGTATTTAAGTATCGCAATAGCTTCTTCTCTGGTCACCCTGCTTCTGCTACTTTAGGCTGGTTTCAACTCTGCACAGAGAGGTCCCATCAAAATATAAGTCAGGTCTTGACACTCTCGCCTACAATCCTCCAGCGACTTTTCGTCTCATGCAGACCAAAGTCTCACACTGATCTTCAAGGCCCTATGTGATCTGGGACCTCTTTACTTCGATAGCACGTAACCTATTCCTCCTTCCTCCTCTCCAGAGTAAATGCAACATTTCCTCTGCTACATTTCCACAATTCTCACTGCTGTTCTACCAGGCCTGGCATGTTCTTATCCCAGGGACTTTGCATTTACTATTTCCTCTGCCTGCACAATTGTATACCTGAGGCATACATGGCTAGCTCTCTCAGTTCCTTCAGGTCTTCAACCCTCCAAAGTCACCTTCACACAGTGAAGCCTTCCCTGGCCATCTTACCTACAATTTCAACCCAAGCCCCATTGCTGAACACTTCACATCCATGTTTTCTGCCTTGTTTTTACTGACATGCTGTATCTGACTATTCTAGATCTGGTTTTTATCTTGTTTGCAGTCACTCTCCCCTCGTGGAATGAAAGCTCCATGAAAGCAGAGCTTTTTTATTGTTTTGTTCAGTACTGTATCCCCTGTGCCCAAAATAGTGCATGGATTGTAGTGATGGTCATTTGTCAAGTGAATAAATAAATGAAAGTTAAGTGCATATATAACACAAATCACCTAAGAAAGCATCAGCCCGAAGGTTACAATTGCTGTATCTTTAGGGTGGATACAACAATATCCTAGATTCCCTCCCCAGGAGTATTTTTTTCTTCAAATAATGCTTTCACTACTGCATTAGAAAAAATAAACTGGTGGCCGGGCATGGTGGCTCATGCCTGTAATCCCAGCACTTTAGGAGGCCGAAGTGGGAGGATCACCTGAAGTTGGGAGTTCGAGACCAGCCTGACCAACATGGAGAAACCCTGTCTCTACTAAAAATACAAAATTAGCCGGGCGTGGTGGCGCATGCCTGTAGTCCCAGCTAGTTGGGAGGCTGAGGTGGGAGTATCACTTGAACTTGAAAGGCAGAGGTTGCAGTGAGCCAAGATCGTGCCATTGCACTCCAGCCTGTGCAACAAGAGTGAAACTTTGTCTCAAAAAACCCACAACAAACTGTTGTCATTGCATGTAATATCACTGAGTTTACTTTTTTTTTTTTTTTTTGAGACGGAGTCTCACTCTGTTGCCCAGGCTGGAGCGCAGTGGCACGATCTCGGATCACTGCAACCTCTGCCTCCCAGGTTCAAGCGATTCCCCTGCCTCAGCCTCCCAAGTAGGTGGGACTACAGGTGCGCACCACCACTCCCGGCTAATTTTTTTTTTGTATTTTAGTAGAAACAGGGTTTCGCCATGTTGGCCAGGATGGTCTCGATCTCCTGACCTCGTGATCCACCTGCCTCGGCCTCCCAAAGTGCTGGGATTACAGGTGTGAGCCACCGTGCCCAGCCTACTTTCTTTTTTGATAGAAAACAGAAAGTTAGAAAAATTGATCCCCTAGATGTCTTCCCAATCTAGGATTTAGATTTCTATAAGCTGTAAAAATTGTTCCCCAAGTCTGGCACTGGGAAATCTCTGTTAATATGGAGAATCCAAGATCTCATCCTTGAAATTCTGCTTGAGTGACTCTAGAAGGGTGCCTGGGAATCTATATTTTTACAGAGCTTCCCAAGGAAATCTGATGATCAGCCAGGTTTCTACAAGTGAATTTCTGCTGACCTGCAAGATTTATGGTGAACCAAGATTTGGCTAAATCCTAACAGGTAGGCCAGAAATCACCAGGCAAGCCTATTCTTGACAAGGCTGCAATATGCACAGCTGGAGGAGGGAGAGCACATCTATTGTGCTGGCTACTTGACAAAGCTTTGCCTTTAAATGTTACTAGCTGATTGAATGCATCCATGGTCCTTGCAACCCAGCCCCGCTGCTTTAATTAGCTTACATCCCAACAATATCTTGCCAGTTCCAATTTGGCTAAATTATCTCCAGAACATACAGAAAAAATGATGAGTGTTCAGGGGTTTGTTTCTGTTTTTGCTTCCATTTCTGTTTCAGTGGATGAATAGATCTATTTCCTTAGACTCTCTTTTCCTTCCTATGGGTAGGGGTGGGAAAGAGAGGATGAGCCAGAGGGAGAGGAAGGAAGAGATTGGACTTTGGGTTGGAAGCACAGTGACTCCCCAGCTTCCACAGAAGTTTAACAGTTACCACCACCATGCAGGGAGGAAGTGAATCCCCCACTCCTGAGAATCTGAATCCAGGCCCTTATTCCTGGAGCTTGCTGGAGTCAGCACATATGTCCAAGAAGACTGATAAGAACAGTATCACAGAAAGATGTTTGCATACACATCTTTGCTAGCACAGGAAAGGCTGGCAGGGTGTTGGTCGTTTGTGCGGAAAAGCAAGTGATGATGTCTCAAAGATGACGCCACAAAATGAATATAGGCTTGTGGAAGGTGGGGGTAGGCCCCAGTGGCCAGACATTGGCTGGTGAGCAGAGTGCAGTGTGTATCCCATCTTCTATCTACTCTCCAGTAGCACAAAGTGCTCCATTAGGATTGAGGGTAGGATAACCTAGGCTAACTTACTTAGCTCATCAGTTCCTTTCTGGGGCAGAGTTCCTTCCCACCCACTGCAGGGTCTCAGGCCACATCAGAATATTTTACAGAAGGGGTTCTTGGTAAGGTTGAGAAGACTGTTAGCATAACCATGTACCTGAGTTATACCAAGAGGAAGTCAATCTGAGCAGAAGAAAGGGTTTCTGGAATCTCTCTTACTTCCTCCTATGAGTAGGACCTGAAGTCTCCTCCCACAACTCTGGCTTTGAAGAGAATAATGGATGGAATGCAGTGACCAGCAGCCTGGCCAGAAGCCACAAGGTAAAAATGGACACTGGTGGGAGGTTAGGAAATTCCAGGAGGGAGAGTCCATGAGATTGAATGAATGGAAGAAAGATAGAAGACAATAGATGAAGCACTGCTTCTATGCTTATCTGAAAATGAATCAGTATGGACTCAAAGTCAATTGAAGGTACAAAAGTAAAGATGATTTTACATCTTTTTATTTTAGTTTAGTTTAGTTTAGTTTACTTTAGTTTAGTTTAGTTTAGTTTAATTTGAGAAGAAGTCTCACTCTATCACCCAGGCTGAAGTGCAAGTGGCACAATCTCGGCTCACTGTAACCTCCGCCTCCAGGGATCAAGCGATTCTCCTGCATCAGCCTCCAGAGTAGCTGGGATTATGGGCATGCGCCACCACACCTGGCTAACTTTGTATTTTTAGTAGAGATGGGATTTTATCATGTCAGTCAGGCTGGTCTTGAACTCCTAACCTCAAGTGATTTGCCTGCCTTGGCCTCCTAAAGTGTTGGGATTACAGGTGTGAGTCACTGCGCCTGGCCATTTTCCATCTTTTGGACTGCATGTTGCACTAGTGTCAAATGTGGGACTTTTTCAAGTTTTTCTTCCTGGTGGTGCACAAGGGTTTGTTAAGGATACCTCCTTATGAAATAAGGAATGCCTACTTAGATAATTTGTTTGCCTTAATTTTAAAAAGATATGACAGTTTCTAGTGTTGTGTAGCACTGAGAAACAAAACAATGTTGTAGTAATAATAGTATTGTTAGGGCTATTCTTTGATAATGACTGAAAAAAATTTTTGAGAAAGATGGGATAAAGGATCCATTGCTATTGTTTATCAGGATTTTACTTGTTTAAACTGTGCAGAGGAATGGGCGTTGTACAGAGGAGGTACAAGTTATTTTGATTTAGCTGACTTGACATTGCTATTAAATGTTCCTGATGACAGGACACTTGAATGCAATCTTTTATTGTACCAAATTTTGACTGACATGTGCAACTATACATCTCTACACACAGCCCCTTCTCTTTTTAAAATTTCACCCCATCCCTCATTTTCTTTCTTTTGATCAGCCTTGGGATGACAGTGAGATAGCACTACTGGTCTGCAGAGGAGTCTCTCTTTTCCTAGCCCCCTAGATATGGTGCTAGGTCTGAAGTCAGTGTCTTTTGGCCAGAGCTTAAAAATGTGTGCATAAGACATAATAAACTGCAAAAGATACTACAGCAGCGGCAGGTTCACACAGAACTTATTTTTGTCGTTCATTTATTTTGTTCTGAATACTAAAAATGATGAAATAAAATGCTACCAGTACCAGCCAAGTGGGATCATCACATAATTCTCAGAACATATTCTCTGAGTGGTGGCCCCTCTATCGTTTAAGAATAACATGGCTGAGTCCGGGCATGGTGGCTCATGCCTGTAATCCCAACACTTTGGGAGGCTGAGGTGGGTGGATCATGAGGTCAGGAGTTCAAGACCAGCCTGGCCAGCCTGGTGAAACCGTGTTTCTACTAAAAATACAAAAACTAGCTGGGCGTGGTGGCAAGGTGCCTGTAGTCCCAGCTACTCAGGAGGCTGAGGCAGGAGAATTGCTTGAAGCTGGGAGGCAGAGGTTGCAGTGAGCCAAGATCATGCCACTGCACTCCAGCCTGGGCAACAGAGCGAGACTCCGTCTTAAAAAAAAAAAAAGAATAACATGGCTAAAATTTGTTATTGAGATTTTCACTTATATAAAATGTAGAGCATGGGAAGCTCCATCCATAATTCTCAGCAAGCTTGGAAGAGTACTTTAGAAACAGGGAAGTGTGGTAGGCAGAATAATGACTGCCTGTCCACAAAGATGTCCAGAATAATACGCCCCTAAGATATCCCCGAAACCTTTGAATATGTTGCTTTATATGACTGAAGAGACTTTGCAGATGTGATTAAGAATTTTGAGATGGGAAGATTGTCTTGGATTATCTGGGTGGACCCAATGTAATCACAAGGATGATAAAAGGGAAGTAGGGGGTCAGAGTCAGAGAAAAATATCTGAAAATGTCACAATGCTGGCTCTGAACACAGAGACAGGGGCTACAAGCCAAGGAATGTAAGTGGCCTAAAGAAGATGGAAAAGACAAAGAAAGATATGTTCCTCTAGAACTTATAAAAAGAACACAGTCCTGTTGACACCTTGATTTTAGTCAGGTGACACCTGTTGGACTTTTGACCTCCATCTATAAGAACTATAAAAGATCACCAGCCAGGCGTGGTCGCTCAGGCCTGTAATCCCAGCACTTTGGGAGGCTGAGGCAGGCGGATTACCTGAGTTCGAGACCAGCTTGGCCAACATGGTAAAACCCCATCTCTACTAAACATACAGAAATTAGCCAGGCATAGTGGTGGGTGCCTGTAATCCCAGGCACTCAGGAGGCTGAGGCAGGAGAATCACTTGAATCTGGGAGGTGGAGGCTGCAGTGAGCCAAGATTGGGCCACTTCACTCAGAGTGAGACTCCGTCTCAAAAAAAAAAAAAAAAAAAAAGAACTATAAGATCACAAGTTTGTGTCATTTTAAGCTACTGTTATACTATAATTTGTCATAGCAGCAACAGGAAATGAATAGAGAAGGGAAAAAAAACCAAAGAACATCTGAATAATGAAGAAAATCTATCCATTATAGGAGAGCCAGAAATCTCATTTAGTGCAATGTCACCAGTGGACTTGGATTGCAACTAAGGGCAACTGAGGGTTTCCAGACATCCAGAGAGATCTGGATTACAGACCCTCCTGCCTCCTCTGGAATCTTAAACCATTATAGTTCCCTCTTCTTTGTAAATGTTAATCTTTCTACTGGCTCCAAGCCATGAACATTTAAACATTTAATTGCTACCATTTTAAATAGGAAATAAAATTCTTAAGCTACTTAATGCCTTTTCAGCTATTACTCTGTCACTCTTCTTGCCTTCGCAGTCAAAGCTCTTGGATGAGTTGTCTGTACTCACCCTCTTTCCTCTACAGTAGTCCCTACTCATTCTCGGGGGATAGTTCCAAGACCCCCCGTGGATGCCTGCAACCACAGATAGTACCAAACCTCATATATACTATGTTTTCCTCCTGTACACACATACTTATGAAAAAGTTTAATTTATAAATTAGGCACAATAAGAGATTAACAAAAATAACTAATAGTAAAATAGAACAGTTATAACAACATACTGTAATAAGAGTTATGTGAACATGATCTCTCTCTCTCTCAATATCTTATTGTACTATACTCACCTATTTTCAGACCATGGTTTACTTCTGGTAACCGAAACTGAAGAAAGCAAAACCATGCATAAAAGGGAACGGCTGTATTTTTCTCATGTCAACGTATTACAATCTAATTTTTGTTTTCAAAAGGACCTTACTAAACTTGGTCTTACTGAGGTTACCAATGCCACCAAATCCAATGGATTTGCTTCAAGTTCATCTACTTGACCTCTAAACATTTGCCCTGTTGACAGTCTTCCTCAGAGCACTCTCCCCTTCATTTTGGTAACAGGACACTCTTTTTCTCCAAACTTTCTGCCTACTCCTTTGGTCCCCTGTGAGCTTTTCCTCAGAGTAATTACTGCATGGAGATTCTTAAACTCCTGGTCTTAAACTTTCTTTTCCCTCTCTATAGGTCATTTCATTCCCTCCTGTGGCCTTGGTTGCAATATATTGGTATGAATAATGCCAAATTTACAACTCTAGGTCGGACCTGAGCTCTAGACTCTGAACTCCTACTGAGATATCTTATAAGCACCTCAGATATAATATGCCAAAAACTCAACTCATTATCTAACCTCTGAAGCTTATCTCATACCCAGTTTCTCCTTTACCCCCATGCTCTTTCATCCGTCTTTTCACAAAGTTCTGTTGATTTAGACTTCTAAATACCTTTTAAGTTTGTCTTATTATCTCCACCCCCGTTAGGTCATGCAACATGCTCCTGCAACTTCCTTCACCTCCACATCCTTATAATTCTCTTTCACAAAATACGTTCTCAATCTCTATGGGGTACTAGTTTATCAAGGACATGTCCAAACCCCATGTTTCCTCCTCGGTTTAAGTCACTTTAGGAGACATAATAGCCATAAGGAAGTAACAAGCTGATGAGGAGTCACTTATCAGATTGTTAAAGTGAACTAAATGTGGCCTGAGGACTCCATACTTCTATGTTTGAGTCCTTGTGGACAAACTGCAACCTAGCTTAATAGATAGACAAAAATTGAAAACCTAACTTAGGAGTATGCACCTGTAACAATAGCTGAGTCTTGGCCAATTGCAGCGGCAGAACTTCAATGACTCATACATTGCTGAGTGTTCAAACTGTGTTCAAATAAGGCAAAGGCGGAGCTGTAACCAATCCTGCTGTTCTGTACCTCACTTCAAATTTCTGCACGCCCCATTTCCCTTTTTTTGTCTATAAATCTTCCACCACGTGGCTGAACTGGAGTCTCTGTGAATCTGCTGTGATTCTGGGGGCTGCCTGATTTGCTAATCATTCATTGCTCAATTAAATGCCTTTAAATTTAATTTGGCTGAAGCTTTTCTTGTATTAAGATAATACAAATGGGCTTTGTAGTGACATGCCTGAGCACTTGGACATTTATTGTTTGAAACTACAGGGTTCAGTTCAGAAGATGCCAAGGGGAAAGTAGGTTTTAGAGAGACAGCCATGAAAGTGGTTTAAGCGAACGAGAAGCAATAGCAGAGTTGAAGTGGGTAAAAATAATGTCGACGTGGGAGGGCCCTTGCACACTTGAGAGGAAGAACTTACAAAAGCAATGACTGCTTATCAATCTTCTCCAAGATGAACAATCATATCTAACTTTATTTTTATCAACTTTTTTTGTGCTACTTGCTTTTACTTTGTGCTACTTGCTTTTAGTTTAAATTTTACTGTAATAAAACAACAGTGAGAAATTGACTCAAGGATGGGCTGAGGGACAGGGATGTGTCTGCTAAGCTAACTTGGCAGCATAAAAATGCCCCGTTCTTGAGGACAGCTTGTGGAATACTCGTCTTTCAATTCCTCCTCCTTGTGGAATGCCATTCCAATTTTATCAGCTTGATTTTATTTTTTTCATATCAAGATACAATTTCATCTTGAAATTACAAAAGATAATTCAAAAGTTATAGAGAAATTCTCCAAGAGGGGACTCAAACAAGATTTTTTAGTTTAGGAAATCTTCTGATATTCTATTATAAACATTAATTTTCATAGGTGTTTTTTCCAATAGTTACCTACTTTATCAGGTAAGTTATATTCCTTGAGAACATTATTAAAGCTAATGGTAATAGAGTTATTTTCAGGTTAGACTCAAATCCAAGGCACTTTAGAGAGGCATAAAAAATTGTCAAGAGGACAGATGGAATACTCAGCAAAATGCTTCTGTTGTTGCATATAAGTTTTGTTTTATATATTTGTTGAGATGTATTGTACATAAATCAAAATAGAAAAATAATATAATTTTTAGAGATGTCAAAAAATTCTGTGGCTATGATTTTTTTTCCATAGCTTCCTCCTCTGTACTTGTGAGATAGGAGTAAAGAGGGGGATAAAAGGAAAGTGGGGAAAGATAAACATTTACAGAGCACCTACTCCATGTCATTTTACTAAGAACTTGTTCAGCAATTACACCGGAACAGAGTAAATATTTGCCTCTTATTGCTACTATTATGAATGATACCACCAGAATCTTTGTATAGATCACAGCACCTATCCATTGTTCAGACAGGTCTGAAACATGCAGGCCACTTTTCAACCACATCACTCCATCCTGCCTCTACTGTCAGGTAAATATGTAAGTCCATGGAAGTCTTGTCCCATTAGCATCTCCTACTGATCTGGGGTCACAACATACCCTTGGGGGTCATATGCTAATCACTTCTCAATTGTTTATGGAATATTCCTGGCTTTAAAAGATAAAACAACAGGCCAGTTGTCTCATTCTTTTTTGTTTCCATCTATTATTAATTTCTGATCTAGCAAATGCTAAGAATCTTAGGAATTGGCAGCACGGTTACCATTAAGACTTATGGGCATTTGTTCTGGCTGCTTCCCAAGATGACCCTCCCAGTGTTTTCTGGTTCTAACCACCTGGATAAACAAAGGCTTAGGGCACACATTCGTTTTCAGCAGGCAAACTTTCCATTTCATCTGAGGCTTAAGATATAGAAATTATTTAAATTTAATCAGCATTATGTATTAATTGGTCACTTCAGTTCTTCAAACCACTTAAACCATCAAATGATAAAGTGTGCCAAAAATGGTGAAAGTACTTGTTTCCTCTTTAGGACTCAGATTAGCTTTAATCAATTAAGTAAGGTAATATTTTACTTGAGATTAACCTCAAAGAATCAATATTGTCTGTGAATATATTGGTCAGAGTGATCCAGCTCCAAATAACAGGATATGTGACTATCAGCAACTTATACAATGGAAAGTTTATTATTGTACCTAAGGTGAAACCTGGGGGAATTCCAGGGTTAGCTCATTTGGTAGCTCTGGGGAGCCAGGTTGGCTTCTCTGGGATTCTTTTGTTTCTCCTTTCTATCTGCAAGGTGGTTGCATTCTTCATAAGGCATTGTCTGAAAGTTGGAAGAGAAAGTCCTGTCTTGTCTCATCTTTTTAAAAGTTAGGAAAGCTTCCGTGATGCTTGCAACAGAATTTACCTCATATTTTTGTGCATGTATGTCCATCATATTCCTAAAGCAGCCCTTGACAAAGAAAAAAAAAAATCAATGCCATGATTGGTTAAGACTAATGAAAAGGCCGGGCGCGGAGGCTCACGCCTGTAATCCCAGCACTTTGGAAGGCCGAGGTGGGCAGATCACAAGGTCAGAAGATCAAGACCATCCTGGCTAACACGGTGAAACCCCGTCTCTACTAAAAATACAAAAAGTTAGCAGGGCATGGTGGCGGGCGCCTGTAGTCCCAGCTACTCGGGAGGCTGAGGCAGGAGAATGGCGTGAATCCGGGAGGCGGAGCTTGCAGTGAGCCAAGATGGCACCACTGCACTCCAGCCTGGGAGGCAGAGTGAGACTCTGTCTCAAGAAAAAAAAAAAAAAAGACTAATGAAAATTAGCATTCTGAAATGGGTGAGGGAGGACCCCTAAAATACTGTATGAATGAACTATGAGTAAAATTGGAGTTCCGTTCACAAGGAAGAACAGAATCTTTTGTGTAGGTGACTAATAGGGTCTGCCACAATGAACAAAACTTTTCTTTATACCAAATTTCAATAATAGTGTATCATTTACTACTGTTTTTGTTCAACAACCTGAAAGCCCAATTCTAACTGGCTTAACTAATAAAGAAAATGTATTGGCTCCAGAGATAGCTTCAGGCAAGTCTTGAACTAGTGGCCTCAATAATGTAACTGAAAATGTGGCTTCTTTTGGTCTCTTTGCTCTCCCTTTACAGTGCCAGCTTCTTCCTAAGCCTGATACTATTTTGGTACTCAGATGGCTGCCATTATCTTCTAGAGAGAATTCTCTTTTCTGTCTAGTGTCAAAGAATGTTTCTACCGGTATTTATTTACTACAGAAAAACAGGCAGCTTGTCTTTCCTGCTAGCTTCAACAAATACTCCCCACATCCCATTGGTTCATTTAGATGACAAGGCTCATCTCTGAATAAGTGAGTGAGCTATGCAATTGATGTTTAAGCTTTCTTTCCTCCTTGCTTTGTTTGTTTGTTTAAGACAGGGTTTCACCCTATTGCCCAGGCTGGAGTGCAGTAGTGTGATGTGTGATCCCAGCTCACTTCAGCCTCTACCTCCTGGGCTCAAGTGATCCTCGTACTTCAGCCTCCTGGGTAGCTGGGACTACAAGTGTGTGCCACCACACCAGGCTAACTTTTTGTATTTTTATGTAGAGATGGGGTTTTGCCATGTTGCCTAGGCTGGTTCTGAGCTCCTGTGCTCAAGCGATCTGCCTGCCTTGGCCTCCCAAAGTGCTGGGATTACAGGCATGAGCCACCATGCCTGGCCATGTTTAAACTTTCAACATTGCAATGTACTTAAGCATTGCGATTTATAACAGAAATGAAAGGAAATCAGGAAGACGAGTGAATGAAATAATACATAAATAAATAAATAATAAACAGAGGCTCCTCCCCATTATTACAAGTCTCATTTTGTAGTCATTTTCTTAGTAAGAGTTTTAATAAATTAAATAATGTTATCTAGAAGATAGCTTAAAATGAAGCAAATCATAAAAATCAAACTTATGGAAAAATCTAGGGAAAGTCACAACTGTATCAAAATTCTAAGCAGAATAAGAAGCTGGTTGTTTCACATGCAGTTTATTGATTTTGACAAAGATTAAGAAGTTATTCATTGTAACATGTTGATATTAAGGAAATTTAATCAATTATTTTTTGGCTAGAGAACTAACACAGAATCCAATTCGTTGAGGTCCAAATTGGCTTTCATATTTATCATTTGAAGAGACTTTTAACATCAAACAAAATAGGAAGAAATATTTTTAGTAGCATGTACTTTTTAGTGCACGACAATGTTTAATGACAGAAGTGTCAGCATTTCCAGCATGGCTACCACATACATCACAAAGTTTAAAAAATTATTTATATATTCTAAGATATACTCTCGGGCAAATTAATACCATCTGAGAGCCAGGGAATGAATTACCTGACCCAGTATGGAGAGAGAAGGCAGCTCCCAAAACAAGCAAGGGGAGGTTCGGGGCCTACACTCACATGGATGGCCACTACAGTAATTTCCTAAAACCTTGGACAAATCAGCCCCTCCGTGTGTGTCAGTCTCTTCATTTATAAAAGAAAAATGTTAATCCATATAATTAATGAAAGACTTCCCTGACTCTACAATTCTATGATTGTATTAGGGACTTTGGACTTCTGAGCATTTATTCTAGACTATTTTAATACTTAACATAATGCATTCTGTTGTTAATGCACATGTTGACATTTAAGCTTCTTATGCCTTGTTTAACAGCTCACTCTGCATCTATGTTGCCAGATAGTGGGTACATGGTAAGTGCTAAATTCTTGTTGAGTTAAATTGGAGGCAATGATGGTGATTATGAGTGACTTCTTTAGTAGGTGGATGGGTTGGAGTGGTTTATTTAGTATACTAATGTCATCATGACCCCCAAACTACTTAACTACCTTGTCAGTCTTTTTTCCTTTCCTTCCTTTTCTTTTCTTACCTTCCTACCCTTCCTTCTTTCCCTTTCTTCCCTTCCTTCCTCCACTACTCTCTTTCTTTCTCTCTCTCTTTCCTTCCTTCTTTTCTTTTCTTTTCTTTTCTCCTTTCCTTTCCTCTCCTTTCTCCTGTCCTTTCCTCTCCTTTCTCCTTTCCTTTCCTTTCCTTTCCTTTCTTTTCCTTTCCTCCTTTCCTGCTTCCTCCTTCCTCCTTCCTCCTTTCCTTTCCAACAGACTCTCACTCTGATGCCCAGGCTGGAGTGTAGTGGTACAAGCATGACTCACTGCAGCCTCACCTTCCTCAGCCTCCCAGGTAGCTGGGACTACAGGTGCACACCACCATGCCTGGCTAATTTTTGTCTTTTTGGAGAAATAGGGCTTCACCCCGTTGACCAGGCTGATCTCAAACTCCTGGGCTCAAGTGATCCTCCCACCTCAGCCTCCCAAAGTGCTGGGAGTACAGGCATAAGCCACCACTCCCAGCCGCCAGTCCTTTCTTAAAGAGAAAAAGGACCAAAAGTGAGCAAAAATAACTTATTAATACCTCTTTAGCAGCCGGGCGCGGTGGCTCATGCCTGTAATCCTAGCACTTTAGGAGGCCAAGGTGGGTGGATCACCTGAGGTCAAGAGTTTGAGACCAGCCTGGCCAACATGGTGAAACCTCATCTCTACTAAAAATACAAAAATTAGCCAGGTGTGGTGGCAAGCACCTGTAATCCCAGCTATTCAGGAGTCAAGTTTGCAGAGAATTGCTTGAACCCAGGAGGGCAGAGGTTGCAGTGACTCGAGATTGCACCATTGCACTCCAGCCTGGGCAACAGAGCAAAAACTCCATCTCAAAAAAAAAAAAAAAAAAGCCTCTTCAGTTCCTTTTAGCTTCCTAGAAATTATGATGATTGATGATCATAATGATGATCATCATCATTGATGATGATAAATCAATGAAATGTTAATTCTTGGGTTTATATTTTTAGATAATTTTTTTCTATTTATCTATTCATGATAAATCACAGAATTATGTATTTGTGTGTGAGCACAAATCTCTCAAGTGGGTAAAATAAGAATGTTGGCAAGTTAGAATTTTAATTAAAACTGAAAAAGAACTATTTCTAAAATGGTTCTATGTTAACAACTGGTGTAAGAAATGTGTGAAAAGCAAATAGGACATCTTAAATTCTCAAATTCTCTTCTCTCTGCAAGGATGGTATAGGAGTGCAGGTGTGTGTAGCTCTGCATGTATAGACATAAGTCTGTCAGATCCAAGAATAACCAGAGAGGAAGTATAATGATGTGCCACAGAAAGTAACAGAGAGTAAGTGGCTGCTAGCCAATGGGCAATCCTTTACCTGGTCTTGCCTTACCTGAAAGTGGCATTCTCTGTCAAAATAGTGCATCTATCCACTGTAGTACAGAGCAGATAGAGGGACAGAGGGACACAGAGGGACAGAGGGACACAGAGAGAGATGGAGAGTGATATCTTGTGAGATAGAATAGCAGAGGGAAAAGCTACAGGAAGGAGCAGTCATCCAGTGATTTTGGAGAGGATGCTTTGGAAAAGAGTGACACTCTGATGTCTCAGCACTTTCCTATGGAGTAGCAAAATCCAGTTTGCTGTAGAAGCTCTGTGAGAACAATGCCGTGCTCTGAGGAAAGCCTGTTGCACAACTGCAGATAGTGATACTGAGAATCTGCTTTGAGTACCGAAGCACTGAGACAAGAGAGTGACTCTACCATTACGGTCTGAAACTGAGACAGGACAGGAGAAGCTGGGAGCCATGGATCCTGCAGAACCATGGCAGTGGTGCAAAATATGGATGGGTTCTGGAAGTTTTTTTTCGTATCCACAGATTTCTTAATTAATAAATATTGGACATTAATACTATAAGTACATATTTTGTTCAAGGTAACTTAAAAAATTATCTGTAGTTTGTCCTGTGGTATGATAAAGGGATTCTCACCTTTATCATCTTGACAAAGTTCTGAGTCAAAGAACTCTTCAGATATTGTCAGAGATAGTCATGGGAACCAGGTGAAAGCACCTGACTCTGGCAGTCAAGTATCCAGAGTAGTCAAACTGGATAAGCTGCATCATTTTCCGAGAGCTACTGGAATAAGGCCTGATCTAATCTGGAGATGTTACATATTACATGTGCATAGGTACACACACACACACACACACACACACACACATATATACACACACACATACACACACAGATATATACACACATATATACACATACACACACATATATACATACACACATATACAAACATGCACACACACATATACACACAGACACACACATATATACACATATATACACACAGAGACACACATATACACACATATGCAAACATAAACATACACATGCATGCACATGTACACATACATATATACACACATGCACATACATATATGCACACAGAGAGACATACAGAGACACACACACATACACACACGCATATATACAGACAAACGTATAAGCATGAGTAGGAGTCAGGAGGGACCAGCTAAAATAATACATTCAACCAAACGCAAAGCTGTTCACTGCCCCCTCCTCATCAATGCTACACTTTTATATAAATATGAACCAATATAAAAGTTTGATTTACTAAAACCTAATGGATTAACATTAACCAAGAGAAAAGTGTAAATGGAGTAATGCAAATTAGCATGTTTGAATGGGACTCCTTCATTTTGGGGCTTTTTTGAGGTTGGGACACATTCATTCATCCCATAGAGTGTGTAATATATACAAGCCTCTAAGTTAGGCCTTGGGGATAAAACAATGACTAAAAACCAGTCCCTACTCTCAAGGAGAAATGCAAATGCTTGATTCTTCTTATGTTGCTCATGCTAACATGGTTTGTGTCAATAATCTGTTAATTTACTCAGTTTCAAGATACAAAACTTCAGTTGTTCTCAAATAGAAAAGGACACTCCGTGATAAAAGCAAGCATCTTGAAAGACAGGGGCATATCTCATTTAATTGGGCTTCACTTTATTGCACTTTGTAGATACTACTTTTTTTTTTTTTTTTTTTACAAATTGAAGGTGTCTGGCAACCCTGCATTGGGTAAGTATACCAATGCCATTGAGTTTGTTTTGTTTTGTTTTTTGCTTTTGAGACAGGGTCTTGCTCTGTTACCCAGACTGGAATGCAGTGGTGCGATCTCAGCTCATGGCAGCCTAGACCTCCTGGACTCACGTGATCCTCCCACCTCAGCCTCCTGAATAGCTGGGACTACAGGTGCCTATCGCCACACCCAGCTAATTTTATTTTGTAGAGACGAGGTCTCACTATATTGCCCAGGTTAGTCTCCAACACCTGGGCTCAAGTGACCCACCCGCCTAAGCCTCCCAAAGTGCTGGGATTACAGGTGTGAGCCACCATGCCCGGTTTTAGTGCCATTTTTTCAACAGCACGTGCTCACTTTGTGTCTCTATGTCACATTTAGGTAATTCTCATAATGTTTCAAACTCTTTCATTATTATTATATCTTTTATGGTGTTCTGTGATCGATGATCTTTGATGTTACCGTTGTAATTGTTTTGGGGTGCCATGAACTGCACCCATATAAGACAGGAAACTTAATCTATAAATAGTATGTGGGTTTTTACTGCTCCACTTACTGACGATTTCCCCATCTTTCTCCCTCTTCTCTGGCCTCTCTATTTCCTAAGACACAACAATATTAAAATTAGGCTATTTAATAACCCTTAAATGGCTTTTAAGTGTTCAAGTGAAAGGAATAGTTACACTTGTTTTACTTTAAATCAAAAGCTAGAAAAGATTAAGCTTAGTGAGGAAAGCATGCTGAAAGCCAAGGTAGGCCAAAGGTTAGGCCCCTTGCGCCGGTTAGCCAAGTTGTGAATGCAAAGAAAAGTTCTTGAAGGGAAATGAAAGTGCTATTCAGTGAAAACATAAATGATAAGAAAAGAAAACAGCCTTATTGCTGATATGGAGAAAGTTTTAGTGTCTGGATAGAAGTACAAACCAGCCACAACATTCCTTTAAGCCAAAGGCAGATCAGAGCAAGGCCCTGACTCTTCAATTCAATGAAGGCTGAGAGAGGTGAGGAAGCTGAAGTAGAAAAGCTGGAAGCTAGCAGAGGTTGGTTCATGAGGATTAAAGAAAGAAGCTGTTTCCATAACACAAAAGTGCAAACTGAAACAGAAAGTGCCGATGGAGGAGCTGCAGCAAGTTATCCAGAAGATCTAGCTAAGGTAACAAATGGAGGAGGCTACACTAAAGAACAGGTTTTCAATGGCAACAAAACAGCCTTCTATTGGAAGAAGATGCCATCTAGGACTAGCTAGAGAGGAGAATCAATGCCTGGCTTCAAAGGGCAGGATGACTCTTGTTAGGAGCTAATACAACTGATAACATTAAGTTAAAGACAATGTGCATTTACCATTCCAAAATCCTAGGGTCCTTAAGAATGATGCTAAATCTACTCTCCCTGTGCTCTAGAAATGGAAAAATAAAGCCTGAATAACAGCACATCAGATTATAGCATGGCTTTCTGAATATTTCAAACTTACTACTGGGATCTCTACTCAGAGAAAAATATTATTTTCAAAATATTACTGCTCATTGACAATGTACCTGGTCACCCAAAAGTTTTGGTAGAGATGTACAAGGAGACTAATGTTGTTTTCATGTCTGCTAATGTAACATCTATTCTTCAGCCCATGGCTGAAGGAGTGATTTTTACTTTTAAGTCTTATTATTTAAGAAATACATTTTGTAAGGTTATAACTTTCATAATAATGATTCTTCTGATAGATCTGGGCAAAGTAAATTGAAAACTTTCTGGAAATAATTCACCATTCCAGATGCCGTAAAGAACATTCGTGATTTGTGGAATGAAGTCAAATTATCAATATTAACAACAGTATAGAGGAAGTTGATTCCAACCCTCATGAATGTCTTTGAGGGGTTTAAGACTTCAGTGGAGAAAATAACTGCAGAAATGGTGGAAATAACAAGAGAACTAGAATTAGAAATGGAGACTAAAGATGTGTATCATGCAATCTCATGATAAAACCTCAATGAATGAGGAGTTGCTTCTTGCGGATAAGCAGAGAAAATGTTTTATTGAAATAGAAGCTATTCCTGGTGAAGATGCTGTGAACCTTGTTGAAATAACAACAAATGATTTAGAATATTTCATAAGCTTAGTTGATAAATTAGTGGCAGGTTCTGAGAGGACCGACTTCAATTTTGAAAAAGTTTCTACTGTGAGTAAAATGCTACCAAACAGCATCACATGCTACAGAGAAAACTTTCATGAAAGGAAGCTAATCAATGCAGCTAACTTTATTGTTGTCTTAGTTTAAAAAATTGCCACAGCCCCCCAGACCTTCAGCCGCCACCACCTTTATCTGTCAGCAGCCATCAACCTCCAGGTAAGACCCTCTGTCATAGGGGGATCCAATCTTTTGGCCTCCTTAGGCCACATTGGAAGAAGAATTGTCTTGAGCCACACATAAAATACACTAACAATAGCTGATGAGCTAAAAAAAAAAAATTGCAAAAGAAATCTCATGATGTTTTAAGAAAGTTTATGAAGTATTGCTGGGCGCAGTGGCTCACGCCTATAATCCCAGCACTTTGGGAAGCCCAGGCGGGTGGATCACGAGGTCAGGAGATCAAGACCATCCTGGCCAACATGGTGAAACCCTGTCTCTACTCAAAATACAAAAAATTAGCTGGTCATGGCGGTGCGTGCCTGTAGTCCCAGCTACTCGGGAGGCTGAGGCAGGAGAATTGCTTGAACCCGGGAGGCAGAGGCTGCAGGGAGCAGAGATTGCGCCACTGCATTCCAGCCTGGGCGACAGCGAGGCTCCATCTCAAAAACAAAAAAAAGAAAGTTTATGAAGTTTTGTTGGGCTGCATTCAGAACTGTCCTGGGCTGTATGTGGCCCGCGGGCAGCAGGTTGCTCTATCAGCAAAAAGATTAGGACTTGCTGAAGACTCAGATGATTGTTAGCACTTTTTAGCTACAAAGTATTTTAAAATTAAGGTATGTGCATTGTTTTTTAAACATGTTTTTGCACACTTGGTAGACTACAGTATAGTGTGAACATAACTTTTATATGTATTGGAAAACCAAAAATATCATGTGACTCACTTTATTGCAATATTCACTTTATTCTGGTTCCCGGGAACTGAGCCTGCAATATCTCTGAGTTATGCCTGTATTATACTAACTGAAAATGTAAAATATATCCCTTAGTTTTCTATTGTCAGGAATAATGTAATTTGAATGACACATAAGTCCTATTTTCCTTGTGTAGAACATAAAATTATGATATTAATAGTCAGGGAAGGAATCAATTCATGTTCAAACTTGGGCCCTTCCAATTGATTGTTGTATGCATTTGGCAGAGTTACATAAACTTTCTGTGCCTCAGTTTATTCATGTGTCAGTCGGCCCATCAATACATCAATATATCTCATAATGTTGTAAGAGGCTCAAGTGAGTTAATTCATGTTAAGCTCTTAGAATAGTGCTGTGACATAGTAATTGCTCTAGAAATGTTAACTACTGTTATTATTGACTGTACCCTATCTCCAAGCACGTTGCCCAAATCAAAGTCTTCCATCTTCCTGTAAATCAACTGATATTTTTGTTTAGTAGAATAGTCAAGTAAAAGTTACCATTTGTACAGGTTCACAATCTCATAGTTCTATTTTTTAAATCCTCTGGAAAATTTAAGTTTTTCATAGGTCATCTGGTGGCAAAATCTGACCTGACCTAATCTCAATTCATTTGGCAGCAAAACCTGATATGAACTGATGGGAGGCTATTTATAGTATTTATACATTGGTGTAAATATTATTATATTTGATACTAGAATATTGTCCCAGACCATACCTGGGTTACTTTTCACATCTTAAAAAGTCCACATTCTGAAACATATTTGGCCCCCAAGCTTCAGATAAGACATTATAGACATACTGGTCAGGGCAGACAGTATAGAAGAAATTTTCATATGTAGCTCTGCAAGGCAAGATTTATTAAGCAAGAATGTGAGTTTCTCCATTACAAACATCCTGAACCAATCAGCTCTCCACATCCAAAAAATGTGAGCCTTATTTTCTCCATGAAATTCATTATCACTAGATCAGTCTTTCCTCCTACTCATTCTCTCTGCTATAATTTCCAAGGAGAAGTTATTTTGGTTTTGGACTATTTACCAAGTTATCATAATTCTGCCTTTCTCCCCATTATTTTAATTTCTACCCCCCTCTCCATTTTTATTCACATTCATACAAATATACCATAAAATACCAGTCAAAGCAAACTCAAATTGTTAGGCATAGCTATGTATTCCTTCATCCCTGTTCTTTATTGTTTTTTCCATCTACCTCCACATGGGGTAAGTCAAGGAATCAAGATGTTTGGGTCTTGCCAAGCTTATTAACTCCAGCACATGTGCTATTATGCATGAACTACTGGTTGGAAGAACTATCTTGTCTTCAGGCAGTTCATCTGGTTTTATCTGAGGAAGTTGACAACAGATCCCAATCTAAAAGACCTATTCTTGTTAACTACTCCTAAGATCTCCAGAGATGTCCAGGAGAAAATTCTTCTAAGGCTCTTTCCTCTTTATCTCCAGGGATTCTAAATGTCTTTTCATATGTTTTAAAATTTTCAAATAGACTTGACCTCCACATCAGCTTTAACCACAGTAACTGCAGCTGGGTTTAAAAATCTGATCTCACTTCCATTTCTAATAAAAAGCAGCGGTCTAGGTAGAAGTGAACCTAAAAATCCCTTTTCCAGGATACTCAGGATATTTTCTTTCTCTTTGGTGGTCAGTGAGGCCTCAAGATGTAGAACCACTCAGTTACTAAGGTGGCCAACAATGAAGAGGTAAACGTAGGTTTATCACAGATGGTAATCTGAACAAGTGGAACATTCAAAGGCCAGGGAGGAGAAGACACAATCTTTTGGAAAATATGGTAAAGTGGCATCTGCATTTGAATTCTTCCTAGACCTTCCTTTTCTTATTGTGTTCCTGGAGCTTCTCTGGGCTTTAGTTTGTTGGTCTGTAGACTAGGCATCATAATACATGCTTTTGCAGAATTACCCCAGGTCACAGCTGAAAAATTATGGAGCTGGGACTTAAGTTCATATCTGCTTGACCCCAAAACCATTTGTCTTGTCCTTGAATCATGCTATCTCCAGAAAGTTCACATATAAACCAGAACATTTCCTCTATGGCTAAACAATACAGCTAGCTGTCAATAGGGCATGGAAAAGCTTTTGGACAGTTTGACTTTTGATGATGGGACCATGTGTTGGTCAGGGCCAGTGCAGAACACACCTACAGTGTCACCCACCCTAATTAACATGGTGAAGGGTAGAGCAATGTGGAACTGACTGTGTTTTATTCTATGATTAGGTATAAGCCTGGTTTTGCAGTATATACAGCAAGCCATAGGAAGTTTCATTGGAAGCGTTGTGGAACTCATTGAGAGTTGAATGGAAGAAAGAACCTATAGCAGAAATTTCCAGTTGCTTCAAATACCTAAGCAGAGAGTGAAGAGTTCCTCCTCCCCAGGTAATCCTGCATCTTTTGGATATAATAGCTCCAATGAACACCTTCTTATCACCACAAGGAATCCACCTCTGATAAGAGGCTGCCTCCCTTGCCGAGAAACCTCCCACTATCACAGAGGCTCGGTGTTCTCCTGTGATGTCTGCAAGTGCAGAAGCCCTTGGCTTCCCAGAGTAAGCTCTAAACATCTTTAGTATAACCTCTAAACATTACAGTTAAAAAAAGAAGTGTAAAGTACAGCTTCATTTTTTTTTTTTTTTTTTTTTGCTAAACCCAGGAATCTATTCTCACTAGAGATAAGGAAAACAGCTATACAACCCATTGTTGTACTCTGTTAAGGAGGACTCATAATTTATGCTTTAAGGGGAGGCTACTGGAAAAATAGCCTGAATATACTGTCAGTAGCGTTTCCTTGCTTGATGTTGTTTCCTTGTTTCCTGACAAAAATTTTTTTTGGGACGGGAGCAGTTGCTCACGCCTGTAATCCCAGCACTTTAGGAGGCTGAGATGGGTGGATCATGAGGTCAGGAGTTCGAGACCAGCCTGGCCAATATGGTGAAACCCTGTCTCTAGTAAAAATACAAAAAAAAAAAAAAATTAGCTGGGCATGGTGATGTGAGCTTGTAGTCCCAGCTGCTCGGGAGGCTGAGGCAGGAGAACTGCTTGAACCTGGGAGGCAGAGGTTGCAGTGAGCCCAGATTGCACCACAGCACTCCAGCCTGGGCGACAGAGCAAAATTCCATCCGAAAAAAAAAATTTGGTGAGAGGTGGGAGATATGTGAGTAAAGAACTTAAAAAAGCCCAAAAACAATTATCTGGGCATGGTGGTGTGCTGCCTGTAGTCCCAGCTACTGAGGAGACAGAAGTGAGAGGATTGCTTGAGCCCAGAAGTTCAAGGCTGCAGAGAGCTATGATTACACCACTGCATTCCAGCCTAGGTGACAGAGTAACACCACCCTGTCTGTAAAAAAAAAAAAAAAAAAAAAGTGGTATAAGGCAAAAGATAGAGAATTGTTGTATTATCTGTCACTCCCTTTTTCAAGTTTACTGTACATTGTTTAGTAAGTTTACTGTACCCCTTTATGGACCTAGAAGGAAAAATTGTCTCTTTGTATATCTATATCTATCAATAAATATATCTAAATTATAGAGTGCATGAACTTATGGTGCTGAGAAGAATATAATACATGCTTTTTCAGCTTCTTTTGATCACTTCAAAGAAAAGGATGCAGGATTTGTCCATTAGTATTACAAGTAACTGGTAATGTCTCCAGAGCCATGAGGATTACAGAGACTTATATACCAACAGCAGGTTTAGCTCCCAGCTTCTCTTCAGCCATCATAACACCCCGCATTAATCTTAGTGTTTGCCTGTCTACATGTCTGTTCCTCACTCTGGCATGAAAATTCCTTGGGGTTAGAGACACTGTGTTACCTGTCTTCATGTCCCCTGGGCTTGAACAATTTTATGACCCACAATGGATGTTCCACAAATATTTGTTGACATACATACACATATTGTGGGACTCAATGCATGCCTTGTGAAATTAAAGAAAGCGATTTCCATTGCAGGATTTGATAATTGGACTGACCGTGATGGGCATTTTAGGTAGCTATTAATATTTTGTGTTCTTATTGGATGATATTGTTTACAAAGTTTGAAGGTCACATTTTACATAAAAGTAAACATCTCAGTTGGTTAATATAAGTCATTCAGAGGAAGTTTTTTTTTTATGTCTAATAAAATTACACAATGCATGAAGCTACAGGAAACTCACATTCTGCCTATCTTCATTTTCCAGCTAAATTAGGCTCCCAGAAAGGAAATATGCTTCTCTCTCACAGTCTGCCACTTTTAAACAACCTCAAAGGCCTATTCCCCATGGGTTATACTTTGGCAGGACACTGCTGTTAGCCTGTGTATGGGGTCATGTGAAATACTGTGATCTGGAGAGTCAGTGGTCCTCTACTTACTACTGGATACCACCTTTCCTGTGGCTCCTGCATGGGAAAAGAAATCTCCATGTTTACTGCAGCGGGGAAACAATGGGACTTTTTGGGGAATTGTGCTACATTCAGTTATTTACGCTTCTACATATTTGTTCAGTTCTGAACAATCACTAATTCAACACTGGGAGTTTATGGCTGTATGGATTTCCCTAACTACACACCCAACCATTTATAAGCACAGCTGGAAGTTTCCTTTTATATTGCACCAATCACTTGCTAGTAAAGATGGATGCACTAACCCACAGATCTGAGAAAGCCAGCCACATTGGTTTTATCTGGATCTGAATTCTTTGTATTAGTTAATTTACTTAAGAAGCCAGTCTAAAGAGCTGCCACCCATTCTTGTGTGTTGAGCTTTTGCAATTTTTATTTAGTGAAGATGCCAAAAGCTTCGAAGGACCCACCAAGCAGTGATCTTGTTTAAAGGTTGATAGAGGATTTTACATTCATCATCTTGACAGCCATAAAGGCACATATTATTTTCAGATAATAAATAAGACAGGAAGAGTCTAGCCTCTAGCTTCATGCAGAAGATGCAAATCTGAGGCTTTGGAGGCTCAGAAAGGTCAACTTTTCTTTGCAACACATTCTGATTGTTTTCATCTTCTTATAGGCACTTGGCCTGTTTTGTCTAAGTTTAACATAAGCCTTTTTCACACAGGTGCTTTTCTTGGCATCCACAGAGGAAATGAGGAAACTGTGCCAAATTAAAATGAGCACATTTTGAAAATACGGAAATTTGATCCTTGTATTGATTCCTTTTCATAGAAGAGGCAATAAAAGCCATTGTAGAGATGAATTGAGATTGTGGTCTCCCTTAAGAATTAAAATATATATATAAACCATTCTGTCAAGCTTTGAACACTTCTATTCATCTATTTTGACCAGAAAATTTTAAAAAGAAGAATTTATCATTAGTCCAGTAAACTTCAGTGCATCATTGTCTTAGCACTTTATAACTAAAGCTTAAAAATAAAGTAATGCTATTAGGAAGTGCCCTGGACCAAGCTCAGAAAATATGAAAGTTGCTTCTAGTTTTTTTTTTCCATTAACTAGCAATGTGACAATGAATGAATTGTGTCACTTTACAGCTGTTGATATTGGAACTATTGTATACTAAGGACACAAAAGACTGCAAATTAGGTAGCAAGTTAAAAAGTAGCAAACATGTTAAAAATAGGAAAAGTCTGTTTTCTTCCTAAATGCAACCCATTTTGAAGAACACGTTTATCTAAATCTAGTATGGAATACCTCAAAATTTAATTGATTTCTTCTTTTTATTGATCTTCTATTCTTGCATAGTAGCAAGGGGAAGAAGTGAACTTAAACTTGCCCATTTAGGGTAACTCAGTCCTTGCAGTTTGGAAACAGAAGTGCTCCTACTTGTGGCCAGTCAACGTAAGGTATTGTGAAGGGCCTTGAAAAGTCCTCAGGCTCTGTGTGGTGAGGCAGTGAAATTGGCCCCAGACCCACCTGGGTGTGTATCTCCCTGTCCACTGCTCTCGCCCAGGGGTTGATCTTGTGTCTGCCTTCACAGACCTTTCTCCCTATTCTCTCTTCAGCTCCTCCTTCTAGCAACAAAAAGGTAAGCATTTTCTTTATATCACATCACATGACCTCCCTTTCTTCTTCATGCTGTAATCTAGGGCCAATTCTCCAAGCTTGAGTTCTTGATATACACTATAAATTGAACAATAATAAAGTTACATTTCATTGGTCAAAAAATGGTTGAATGTTAAAAATTTTGTGCAACTCAACCTATGAAGATATGATTTTGAGAGTCTGAGAAAATCATTTTTTCTTCTCAAAACCTGATTTTCACAACCATTATTTCCCTATAGAGCTTAAAAATCTCAACTTGGATGCCAAAGTTGAACAGTTATTCTTTGTACTATGCAGTGTTTACTCTTCCCTACCCTGAGGAGTAACCCTCAGCCTCCCACAAGGTTTACACTTAATGACAAAAGGAAATGCGAGGGAGAAATAAAAATAAAATAAAATTACCAAGTCTATAAATCATATCAGAGGATATTTCAAAATATTAGTGTTCTACCAGTATAAAAATTCAACTCAGGTACAAATATAACAGTTTTAAGTTTTTCTTGAGCATGTGACAACGCCAACATGATTATATTTTAGCAGGAAGAAGTGATGTTAAACTTTATTTCTAATCTAATTTGTTTGAGGTTTTTATTCTGTTTTGGGAAAGTAAAAGAATGACTTATAGTATTACTTTAAGAATAATACCCCTTTACACTTCTTTGAAAATTAAGATTTAGAAAAACCCTGTTCATATAATTGTATTTCATTTAGTTCTGAGTAAGAACCTGTAGACCTCTAAATTCCTAAGGGGAGAAACTGATTTGTCCCATATCAAAGAGCTGTTAAATTATATGACCAGGGGAAATAAATGTGTTTGGATTATTAGTATGTTTTGAGCATTTCCCCCTCCAAAATAATCATCTATCTGGAAACAAAAAAAAGCATGAAGTTAGCTGTCCCAGTGCTGAACAAGCTGTGAGATGTGTGTGGTCTGTGTGTGTATAAGACGAGACATTAGATGAGATGGGTCCTCTACAGGTGAGCACGATAATGGCATTAAGCCAATCTTTAATGGTTTATCCAAAACCATTAAATTGTGGTTGTAGTCTTAGAAAGTACCAACCCTGAGTAGGCAATAATCTTCCTTCCTTCACAAATACACTGCCTGTTTATTACAACCTGATTATGACTTAAAGAGTTTATGCACCATTTCTATTTGGTCTAGATAGGCAGAATGCTCTGGGTTATCAGATTAAATATCTGGATTTTCAGTTCATATGGATTCAACTAATTTTACAAACCGGCTAAAGATTTTTGTAGGTTTTGTTTTGAGAGAAGAGTCACCAGCATACCAAAGATTTTTGATGACTTAATTTTTGATAAATAATAAATCTTGTTATGTGAGCTACATTACTTCTACCAGTTTCAGCCACTGGTAACAGACAGATATAATGAAAATTTAAACCCTTTTGAAGTAAAATCGAGGCAAAAATCATTAATTACTTGAAATAGCTGATTAAGATAAAGCAAAACCTTTGAAATAGATGTCAGACTTTAACATTTATTTTAAAAGCAAAACTTTGAATAGATGTCAGACTTTAACATCTATTTATATTAGTCTCTCTGTTGAGAAAGGAAATAAATAATTAGAATAGTTTTTTATATCTAAAATTACTATAATTGATACTAATATTGGATCACAATAACTGAAGAATTGTAATATGCAAAATTGTTTTCAATGTAAATTACTTGAGATAACTTTATAACCCAAATCTGAAGTTTTAAATTAGGTAAAATAAAACATTTCAGTTTGTTTTAAAACATAAAATTTGAAAAAAATACCCCTATATAAATGAATTATTTTATTTTTTGTTCTGCTCTTATTTATTTGTTTAGTCTCTGTAGACACTAAAATTATGGCTAACTTGTGGGTTTCTTGGACTTTGTTCACAGATATGACTCCTTGTAACTTTTTCCAAATTCAAACAAGGTAGTGGTAGAGCTTTTCAGTAGTATAAAGATGTGGTTTTTTTCAAAACCAAAATGAGCTAACACTTCACACCTGTTAGGATGGCTATCGTGAAAAAAAACCCAACCAAACAAAAAAACAAAAACCAAAGAACCCTCAAAATATCAATTGTTAGCAAACATGTAGAGAAAATTTGAATCCTGGTGCACTGCTGATAAGAATGTAAAATGGTTCAGCAGCTGTGAAAAATGATGTGCCAGCTCCTCAAAAATTAAACAGAACAACCATGTGACCTAGAAATTTCACTTCTAGCTATGTACCCAAAAGAACTGAAAGGAGGAACTCAAATAGATATTTGTTTTTGTTGGGGTTTTTTTTGGAGACAGGATCTTACTCTGTTGCCCAGGCTGCAGTGCAGTGGTGTGGTCATGGCTCACTACAGCCTCTAACTCCCGAGCTCAGGTGATCCTCCTGCCTCAGCCTCCCAAGTAGCTGGGACCACAGACATGTGCCACCATGCCTGGCTAATTTTTGTATATTTTGTAGAGTTGAGGTTTCCCTATGTTGCCCAGGCTGGTCTTGAACTCATGGGCTCAAGTGATCCACCCCCCTCAGCCTCTCAGAGTGCTAGGATTACAGGTGTGAGCCACTGCACCTAGCCTCAAATAGATGTTTGTACACCTGTGCTCATAACAATATTATTCACAACAGCCAAAAGGTAGAAACAACCCTAATGTCCATTGTCAGATGATTGGTTGAACAAAATGTGTTATATACATACAATGGAAAACTATTCAGTCTTTAAAATAATGCAATTCTGATACATGCTACAACATGGATGTACCTTAACATTTCCTAAGTGAAATAAACCAGATACAAAAGGACAAATATTGTGTGATTCCACCTGTAGGAGGTACCTAGAATAGTGAAATTCATGGAGACAGAAAGCAGAATGGTGGTTACCTGCAGGCGGGGGAGAGCAGTTATTTTTCAGTGGGCAGAGGGTTTCAGTTTGAGAGAAGGAAAAGTTGTGGAGGTGGATGGTGGCGGTGATGGTTGCACAGCAACGTGAATGTACTTAATGGCACTGAATTGTACACTTGAAAATGGCCAAAATGTGAATTGTATGTTGTATATATTTTACCACAATAAAAAAACAGTTATAAAAAAAAGAAGTGATTTTTGATCAGGCAAATCCAGCTTGCCTTTGACAAAATTGCTGCTTTCTACCTGCACTTAGATTTCCCCTCAGGAATGATATCTCTCTCCCTATTGGCTACCTGGCATAAATTAGTTAATTTCTGCAATTCTCAGTTTTCTCATCCATCAAATAAAGGAGTGAAATTGGGTAATCCCTGCTTTTTTTTGAGCTATGATTCTCACCTTGGATGATTAAATGGAAAATACTAAGCCATTACTTAAAATAGACTATGCTTTTGGCTTACTTTTTTTTTGCATTCCAATTCTCTTAGAAAAGAAACATAGGCTGTGAGTTTACTTTTCATGTCAGTCACACCTTTTGATAGCTGTAAGTATGCTATTTTGCTAAAGTGTATTAGTATCTTGTCAAAGGTCTTAAACGTGAAATATTTTGAAAAAGGGCAATTTTCATCACATAAATTGTGAACTTGACATGAAAGCATGGTATCTGCATCAGCATTACCAGTCAATGACAGAAAAAGTATTACTTTTTAATAAAATGCAAAACTTCTTTTTGTTTTCTAAATTAAAATTCATCATTATATGATGTAAACACCACAAATAAAGGGAATAGTCACTTAAATAATATTCAATATTTTTCCAAGTGCTATATAAAATTGCATATCTCCTTATTATGCATAGAGGGAATCCGAAGCCTAAAGACGCAACTTCATAGATTAATAAGAGAGACTGAATTAGAAATTAGTTTTCACATTAAACTTGATAGGTTGAAACTTTTGTCTCCTGAGGTAGCCCTTATTCTAACTCATCAGGATAGACTAAGTTAGTCTACAGAAACAAATCAATCTGTAAACTTCAGTGGCTTAAGACATAAAAATTTATTTTTTACTCATGCAAAATCTTCTGTACTCCCAGTGGTCCTCCAGGCAGCTCCTTTTCAGCAAAAGCCCAGGGATTCAGGATATTTGCATCTAGTAGCAGCAACTACCTCAACATGAGTCTTCCAATTTGCCCAGGTGGGGAAAGAACAAGCCAAACGGTTGCACAGAGGCTTTTCATTGTCTGAGCCTGGAAGGTGACATCTGTCACCTAAACTCACAGTACACTGGTCAGAGCAAACCACACAACCCTACCTAACTACACAGAGACTGGGAAAGGCAGGTGATGCAGATGTATTCAGTGAGCATTAAATGTCTCTGCCAGGCCAAGTGCGGTGGCTCACACCTGTAATCCCAGCACTTTGGGAGGCTGAGGCAGGCAGATCACCTGAGGTCAGGAGTTCGAGATCAGCCTGGCCAACATAGTGATACCCCTTCTCTACTAAAAATACAAAAATTAGTTGGGTGCGGTGGCAAGCGCCAGTAATCCCGGCTACTCAGGGGCTGAGGCAGGAGAATGGCTTGAACCCAGGAGGTGGAGGCTGCAGTGAGCCGAGATCATGCCACTTCATTCCAGCCTGGGCAACAGAGGGAGACTCAGTCTCAGAAAAAAAAAAAAAAAAAAAAAAAGTCTCTGCCAAAATGAGGCTTTTCAGTCTGAGCAGTTCTAAGTGGTCTGTACAAACCATGTGCTAAGAATTTAGGCTACAGAATGTATGAAGGTGCAGAAATAGCTGGTGTATTACTTTATTATTGCTGCTCTAACAAATGACCACAAACAGCAGCTTAAACAACACACATTCATTACCTTACAGCTCTGGAGGTTGGAAGTCCAAACATAGGTTTCACCGGGCTAAAATCAAGGTTACAGTAAGGCTGTCTTCTTTTTGGAAGCTTTAGGATAGAATCTGTTTCTTGCCTTTCCCATTTTCCAGAGGCTGTCCATATTTCTTGGTTCGTGGCTCCCTTTCTCTATCCTCAAAGACAGTAATGCTGCATCTCTCTGGCCCTTCATAATCTATCACATCTCTCTCTGATCACAGGCAGGAAAGGTTCTCTGCTTTTAAGGACTCAGGTGATTACACTGGGCCCACCTGGACAATTTCCCCATCTCAAGATCCTTAACCTAACCACATCTGCAAAGTCCCTGAACGTATTCACAGGTTCCAGGATTTAGGTAAAGACATCTTTTGGGGGAGGGTCATTATTTTACCTGTAACAGCCACTTTTTGTCATGATGAAATTCACTCTCCTTTAAATTTAATGTCAATAACTGGCTGCCACCTCCAACAAAACAGTTTTCAATAAAAGCTTTCATTTCTTTGGATTTTATTTCTTTTTAAAAATTATTGGCTCAAATTTTGGTCACCTAAAATTGGACTTCAGACCAAGCTTTTAACATTTGTATTTGTAATGATCAGCTATTTTTTGTTTGGTCATCTCCCCTTTTCTGTTCTCAGGCTATATGATTTGGGAGCAGTTGACATTATTGGAGGCTCCACTCATGCCTGCATGAACCAGACATACCCATCCAAAACTTTTCATCATCCAGCCATAATGATTCATTCAAAAAATTCCTCAAAGACTGGGCGCGGTGGCCCACCCCTGTAATCCCAGCACTTTGGGAGGCCAAGGCGGGCGAATCACCTGAAGTCATGAGTTTGAGACCAGCCTGGCCAACATGGCAAAACCCCGTCTCTACTAAAAATACAAAAATTAGCTGGGTGTGGTGCCGGTTGCCTGTAATCCCAGCTACTCAGGAGGCTGAGGCAGGAGAATCACGTGAACCTGGGAGGCAGAGGTTGCAGTGTGCCGAGATTGCGCCATTGCACTCCAGCCTGGGCGACAAGACCAAAAACTGCATCTAAAAAAAAAAAAAAAAAATTCCTCCAAAAGAATGAATTACAGAACTTAGGCAGGATTGTTCTAAAAGAGGAGTTCTTATCCTGCTGGGATTACTAACCATGTACCCTGCAAGTGTGGAGCTGCTGGTGTCTGCCTCTTTACAGCAATGGAAGAGCATGCCGGAAAGTTGAACCATTAGAGAGGAAATCAGGGTTGGGAGACAGATGGATTCCTGACTCCCTTTGATCCTCTCCAAGCATCTGGAACTTGCCGTGCCTGAGATTTTTAATAAAAAAGCCTATACATTCCCTTTTTTGTTTAAGCGAGTGTAATTTGGGTTCCTGACACTTGCAACCACATGAGTGTTGACTGATAGACACAATAAAGTTAAGCTCACATGCTCCAGAGCAACTCCAGGCAATTAAGAATTTTGACCTACACTCTCAAAGCCATTGCTGAAGCACTAGGGTACTTCACAAGCTCTATCTGCCCAGAGTAACTGGTGTCATCGTTTATAAAAATACCACTGCTAATTGCCCAGGAGGTTACTCTATGATGCACATGAACCCAGAACATTTTCTGTAGCTATGGCAGGCAGCAATCCTTCTAGGCATTTACTTCACACTTTATAGTCATGCAAGTTGTTGAATGCTAGGCTGAAGGCTAGTCCAACATCAGATTCATCTCTTGACTTTCACTGCCAAATATGATATATGTCTCATGAATGCATGCAGATAGGAGGTATGTGAAAACCGGGGGTGATGATCAAGTAAGGAACGTTTATGTTAGTTAAAGAGCATTCCCTAAACTAAATGAGAGCAGGAAGTTTTTTTGGTTTTTTGTTTGTTTGTTCATTTTGTTCTGTTTTCTTTAACAAACATGTTGTGAATGTCAGGACCCAGATTCAAGAATGGAAAAAAAAAAAAACTTTTATAGCTTCCTGTTGTTATGTTCTGCCTAGATTATGTGGTTCTTATTTTTTTAATTATTATTATTATTATTTTGAGATGGAGTCTCACTCTATCACCCAGGCCAAGCTGGAGTGCAGGGGCAGGATGTCGACTCACTGAAACCTCCCCATCTCAGGTTTAAGCGATTCTCCTGCCTCAGCCTCCCTCGTAGCTGGGATTACAGGCATGCACCACTATGCCTGGCTAATTTTTGTATTTTTTAGTAGAGACAGGGTTTCACCATGTTGGCCAGGCTGGTCTTGAACTCCTGACCTCAGATGATCCACCTGCCTTAGCCTCCCAGAGTGCTGGGATTACAGGCGTGAGCCACCATGTCTGGCCTGTGGTTATTATTAGAAGAAAGATTTGTGTTCCTCAGCAATTACTGTCTTATATACACAATTTATTCATCACAATTTACTTGGGATTTATTTGGGATCCCTGTAGTACTGAAATTTAAAAGATCTTATTAAAGTTGCAGAATACAAAATAAAGTTGCAGAATACAAAATAGTATTTGGACTGTAAAAACTAGGATAAAATAATACTAGCAGCAGCCTATAAAATACAGGGAGGACCAGCAGCCTTTAAAATATAGATGAACCTTCAAACATGTGTGGAATGGAAAGAGATGAATGGTAAAGAAGCCCTGACTGACTGGGAGCAGGAAGAGAAGATTCTTGGATGCCATACTTTTCCGTTAGGCTTTCCCTGAAGCGAGTACAAAAATAACCATCTTCTCTTCTCTCCATCCCTCAGGGATGATTTAATTAATTTTATTTTTAATTATGTTTGCTTTTCATATCTAATGACTCTCTGAATTTCTCTATTTGTTTTTAAACTATATTTTTCTACTTCTCTAAACCAGTCTAATCCTGTAGGGATGTGAATATAGTTTTTACAAGGTGCTCCTCCCCCTTATATATACAAATGAAAATACAAATGAAAAAGAGGTTTGGTAATAACTGCCTAATGATTACTTTTTTTCCACCCTAGGTTGATTCAAAATAACTGCAAATCATTGATGATTATTATTTAGGAATAATTTTTTTAAGATATTACCTAGCAATGTCATGATTTAACAAAACAGTTTAATTTCTTAAGAATATTTCAGTGAAACAATGTGGAATGAATTTCATCATATAAACTTCATAAAAAGAAAGAGTTCATCTTTTTTGTTTACTGTAAGTAGATACCCAATTGTATTACATGGGATAAAATTGATTATAATTTAAGTCATGTCCCACTGTTTTGACTAATTTATATTTCTGCTTAAAAAACAACTTATACAGACTTAAACTTTTTTTTAACCAAAATATGTATTCTCCAGGGGAAAAAAGTTTTATTCTGAACCCAAATGTTAATTTTTTTATCAAATTGGTCTTTTCTTCAGAAGAGGGACTGTTTAGTAAGACCTGAGGCACACAGTAACTGTATTTATTTATTTTTCACTCAAATAGATTCTGATAGAACATAGCAACGTTTATACAGTACTGCTTTAATAAAAAAGAATTTTTAAGAAAAGCTAATTCAATAGGAGAGTTTGCCATATCCCCCTTACTTGTTACCTAGGCCTTTAGGAAGCCAAGCCACTCTATCCATGAGGTCATGGCTCAGGAACATTGTCAATTTAATTTAATTAGAGGTGCATTTGTGATCATGTTCTATAATGTTTAATATACTTTTCTCTTTTGTCTTTTTGAATAAAAAAATCATTTGTGCTAGTTTCATTTAAGCATCTGGCTAAGGAGAAATTGGAATTTATTACAAAGAAAACACCAACAGCCTGTTTTCAGCTTCTGACCTTCAAAAGTGGGTTATATGGCAAACCATGGATGGCAGATCGTATTTCCCAAGACCACAGTACTATGTCTCATCTCACATGTTTTTCGGAATGTGAACTGGCCACATCCCATTAACAGGTGGAATCTCATCCTATATCCTTGAATCTGCACTGGCCTTACTGACTTGCTTGTAATTAATAGAATCAACCCAATTCCGTTTTCCATGTACATCTGAGTTTAGGATGCTACCCTGCTTTAAAGCTGTAGCATCTCTAAGAGGAACAGACACCTCCAGGAAAAGGAAGGAGCACCTGTGGTGCTAGGGATTTCCATATTTTTTTTCAACAAAATTTTGTAACGCTATTCCGGTCTTAAGGCAATGAGAAAACTGAGGCATAGCCCAAATACTAGGGTTAGCAAAGCTGGGATTTGATCCTAGTTTTTCTGATTCTTTCCGCTCTACACTCTTTCTTCTGAATGCTAGATATTCAAAGTAAGTGTTAACATGTGTCCGATAAGTGGTGGTTAAATCTACACATGATGCTAAACACAGGTGAAGGCAGGGACTTTTGGAATCAGCTTGGCAGTTTTCTTTGGGAATCTGAAGGTATTAGTTAAGCGTCAGGGGAAACAAACTTGAGGCAACCACAGAGGACACCTGAGGTCCCACACAGAAATCAGGACCTGTGTCCCCTTGTGATGCCCATTGCCATTCCTATGGGACAGCTGTACATTCAGGGTATTTGGGTAAATATTCGAAGATAAACATGCAGGTTGTTTTGAGAACTTGCTGTGATTTTGAAAACACAATAAAATTGTGAGTCTGGTCCTGCAAGATTAAGATCAGGTTTGCATCTCCATGAGGCTTCCCCAAGCCCACAAACGAGCTTAGAATCAACAGATTCACTGCTGGGTGATTGGGTTTGAATGGACAGCTGTTTAAGATCTTTTTTTCTCATCAAATCAAATTTTTTTTTTTTTTTTTTGGTGCAGTGTGACGATGGTTTACTTTTATGGCTGGCAGTTGAGAGGCTGTGTTTATGTTCTTTAAGTTCAGGAGCAGGCCCTCTGGCTTGCCAACCTTGAGGCTTTATGATTAAGCCAGCCCACATGTTGTTCCAGAAACTCTCCAAACGTTTCCTCTCCTGCCAATGTGTGCATTGTCCAGGCTGATGAGGAGCTTGGTCAACAGCCTCAGAGCAGGGCTTGGATCTCTCTTTGGATGGTCCCTTAACCTTTCCACTGCTTTTCTTGAACACCTTTCTCTCCTCAGACAAATGTCTGTATAGAGAATGATCCCTGTTTGGTCCTCTTTTCTCCTCTGTATTAGAGCATTTCTTTCGCTTTATTGAAAAGAAGCTCCCCCTGTTCACTCCCCCCAAAAACGCAAAACAGAGAAATAAAGATGTAATTCCTAACTTTTGCTCTGGAGTTTAAAATTAGCAGCATTGTATAACATATGAAACTAAATTTCAAAATGTGTCTGTGAGTCATTCCTCATTCATAAAATGTATTTTCTTCCTAAACAGCTAGCTGACTCAAAGAAACCCACTCTCGCTGTAACCACTGCCCTGGAGCCAGAGTAGGTGCCACAGAAAAGGCAAAACTGAGGTTAGGGACCCTTGTTCACAGTGAAAATCTGTCCTCATTAGATATGACTTGTGTACCTTAGAGCCACAGGGGTTACTTAGAACACCATACTTTTGTCCTAAGTACAGAATTACTATGGATTTACCCTTGAACCATCTCAGTCACAGTAACCTCTGTCTTTCTCCCTCCCTCTCTCACCCCACCCTTCACTGAAGGACACTGCTTAGCATGAAGGGTACCATGCAGGGATGGGAACGGGCTCCCTGGAAGGCTGCTTTGTCCACATCTCAGCATTTCATGGAGTCAAAAAACCTTCTTGCATGCTCTGTTGTGTTCATGCTCAGCTCCTTCTCTTGTATTCCACCTCTCCCTTCCTCCTCCCTCCTTCTCACACCTGCAAAACAGGACCACTGCTAAAAGTAGGGCATGATTTCAGTTTTTCTTTTTCCTATTTAAAAATTACTACACCTACAAACAAGCTTTCTATTATATAGGAAACTCTGAATCAAGGAACTAAACCAGCTCCTCTCCTCTATTAACAGACATTTGGGCCGGGCACAGTGGCTCACGCTTGTAATCCCAGCACTTTCGGATGCTGAGGTGGGCGGATCATTTGAGGCCAGGAGTTCAAGACCAGCCTGGCCAACATGGTGAAACTCCCTCTCTATTAAAAATACAGAAATTAGCCATGCGTGTTGGTGGGTGCCTATAATCCCAGCTACTCGAGGGGCCTAGGCAGGAGAATCACTTGAACCCAGGAGGTGGAGGTTGCAGTGAATGGAGATTGCATCATTGCACTCAAGCCTGGGCAACAAGAGTAAAACTCCGTCTCAAAAAAAAAAAAACTGGACCATATTAAGGTCTCTTTCAGGCCCCATTAAATATACTAGGTCTCTTTCAGGCCCCGTTAAATATACTCTAGCAAGTTTTTAAGCTAAGCAGTTCTTAAGTTCCTATGTTAATCATAAAGCCAAAGTGAGCACTTTCACAATGATTACTGTTATACTGCCCAGTATGTTAAGCTTCTCATTTGATACCAGGGAGAGTCTTAATTAATGAATAGAATCAGGTCAATTAATTACTTCTGCAGCATAACTTATAGTCTAATATTATAAAGGTTACTTTTGAAGTAAACTACATGAGAAGTTGAAACATTCTTAAATATTTTCACATTCTCAAATGATCTTTTTCAAAAGTGCTTTCATAAACTAGAACACCTATTCTAATGCAAAATTTTAAAAGAAAAAAAAATGAGAATCCTCTCTAAAGGCTAATTCCTAAGAGGAAAAATGAAAAAGAAAAACCCAAAATACGATGTATGCACTTTTTCTAAAATTGCATTATTCCATATATACACAAGATTCTTTTCCATTGAATAATATTAAAAATCCTCCGAGGTCCTATTTCTTCCTCTAAAAGTGGCCTGGTTACATATGCCTGCTTTTACATCAAGAATTGCTCTGTCATAAGCACTTAGAACCCGAGAGCCTTAACTTTCACCTTCAAAAATATCCTACTGTGAATCCAGCTAAATACTTCAATGAACTTTCTTTTCCCTTTATCTGGTGCTACTTTTGCAGTGTTTCAGTATGAATTAATTGTGGACAGACATCATATCCCTTTTTGGCATATCCCTCTTTCCTATAAGAGACTGATTTTTTGTTGTTGATTTTTATTCTCGGGGGGCTGAATATAGAAATTTTCACTTTAAAATTGCCTTAGGTAAAATAAAGTGATTCTGATATAATGTAGGATATAATATCTAGTTCGTTAGATGGAATCAAATAATAGTCATATGTGAGGAGACTACTGTGTAGCTATTTATTTTGCTTGTCTGGTTATACTAAAAGTCTATTTAAAAGGCATAGAAGATGATAAAACCTTTAAAAAAAAAAAGAGAGAGAGACATTAGAGAAGAAATACAAAAGTTGACCTGCAGTTTTAAGCGAAAGCTATAAAAACTTCTGGTACATTTGCTCCATAAAGGAAATATTTTTCAATTCAAAGAAAGCATTATTTAGAAAGAAGAATAAAGTCAGTAGAGTCTGTAGGAGATACTCTATACTAGTAACCTAGTCACCATTATAAAAACATTCTGATTGAGCAATTATATTTATGGGATTGGTCCTTTGTGCTATACCAGTCATTATATGTTCTTTGGGTTTTTCTTTAATAAACCGCAAAACAGGAAACACAGAAAATGAAAAGAATCAGCTGGGCACAGTGGCTCACGCCTGTAATCCCAACACTTAGGGAGGCCGAGGCGGGTGGATCATCTGAGGTCAGGAGTTCGAGACCAGCCTGACCAACATGGAGAAATCCCGTCTCTACTAAAAATACAAAAAACAAAAAACAAATTAGCCAGGTGTGGTGGTGCACACCTGTAGCCCCAGCTGCTCAGGAGACTGAAGCAGGAGAATCCCTTGAACCCGGGAGGCAGAGGTTGTGGTGAGCCGAGTTCGCAGTGTTGCACTCCAGCCTAGGCAACAAAAGCGAAACTCCGTCTCAAGAAAAAAAAAAAAAGAAGAAGAAAATGAAAAGAATCAGGAGCTACAAGTGGGAAATTTTCATTCTTTGAATGGAGGGGAACCAAGTACCATGATTAAGGTCTGGAGCTTAAGATGAGAATTGAAAATGTGAAAGTGACTTTTAATTGTTTAAAATTATTATTATTATTATTTGTAGGGACGGGGGTCTCACTATGTTGCCCAGGCTGGTCTCTAACTCATGGCCTCAAATGATCCTCCTGCCTGGACCTCTCAAAGTGTTGGAATTGCAGGAGGGAGCCACCACACCCACCTGAAAGTGACGTATTAGTCTGATGGGTAAGTGCAATCAATCTCTTGTGATAGTCACTTAAAAATGCAAATTCCTGCATCTCAACACAGACATACTTATTCAGAATCTCTTCAAAAAGGGCCTAGGGACTTAAATTCCACCAAGTGGACTCTTATGTATGTTAACATTAAAGATTCAAATAAAGCCAATTTAGAGATTTTAAAAAATTATACGAAACCAATTGCCTGTTAATAATTAGTCCTCCTTCTAAGAACAAGCTAAGCAGCCACTGATAATCAGTAATATTTTTGTCTGAGGTGGCACTACTTTTTTTTTTTTTTGAGACAGGGTACGGCTGTCACCCAGGCTAGAGTGCAGTGGCGTGATCTCAGCTCACTGCAACATCTGCCTCCCAGGCTTCAAGTCATACCCCCACCTCAGCCTCCTGAGTAACTGGGACTACAGGTGTGCACCACCGTGCCTGGCTAATTTTTGTATTTTTAGTAGAGACAGGGTTTTGTCATGTTGGCCAGGCTGGTCTCAAACTCCTGGCCTCAAGTGATCCACCCACCTCGGCCTCCCAAAGTGCTGGGATTACAGGAGTGAGTTACCACACCCAGCCCTACTATTTTTTACCTAAGTATTTAATATCTTGCAAATTGTGCTCTAGATTTTATTTTTGTGCTTATTCATTTCTTAGGGAATACTCATTAAAACAAATAATCATTCAAGACTTTCTGATATGGGAAAAGGCATAATTGGCTAGGAGATCTGGATTCTGGAGCTAGCTTCAATCTTTTGATCTCTCTGGGCGTTGGCTTTTCTTTTCTGTAAAATATGAATTTGGACCAGAGCAGGAGCTGTGAAGGCAATGTCAGTAAGCAGAATCGGCCTGTGTAATCCCATCAGGAGTAATAGGAGATGGGGCAACTGGAGAGAACTCATTGCATTTAAGGGGTGGCCACTGTTCAGCTCTAACCAAGGATTGCCATGCAAGAATTCAGACCCACTGTTAGAAGAAGGTGGTGGGGGAGGGAGACCATCAGGAAGAATAGCTAATGGATGCTGGGCTTAATACCTAGGTGATGGAATGATCTGTGCAGCAAAATACCGCAGCACACGCTTACTTACGTAACCAAACTGCACATCCTACACATGTACCCCTGAACTCAAAATAAAAGTTGCAGGGAAAAAAAAAATTCAGCCCAGAGTTGCCAGATTATATAACTTTTCAAAGGAAGCTGGAAATCTTGTTTGCAATGTGAAATCTCTTGATTGTTAAATGGTTGAGACTATTGCAAAGTATCTAACATATAGCATGGGCAAATACTTTAAGGAACAATTAAAACACTTTGGTTGGCTGGATTTAGCCTATGGGCGAATTTGTGGCCTCATTAACAACCTTTCTAGTTCTAAAATCTTACAGATTTCTTACTTTTGTCAGCTATTTAGATCTTATATTACCATACTGGTGACTCCAGGCACCTGGAAACAATGCAAGTAGTAACTTGGAGAAGCTAGTTACTTAGCATTCCTTTATAGATTTAGATTCTTATTCATTTTCAAAGGGAATATCCTGAGAAGGTATTCAGTAGAATCTAGCTGTGGAAACTTACATTGTCCATTCAAAGTTAACATGTCATGGCTAATGACTATATTTATATAAATGAGTTAAAATTAGATAGGATTGGCCAGGCGCGGTGGCTCACGCGTGTAATCCTAGCACTTTGGGAGGCCGAGGCGGGTGGATCACGAGGTCAGGAGATCGAGACCATCCTGGCCAACATGGTGAAACCTGTCTCTATTAAAAATACAAAAAATTAGCCAGGCGTGGTGGCAGGCGCCTGTAGTCTCAGCTACTCGGGAGGCTGAGGCAGAAGAATGGCATGAACCCGGGAGGCAGAGCTTGCAGTGAGCCAAGATCACACCACTGCACTCCAGCCTGGGTGACAGAGCAAGACTCCGTCTCAAAAAAAAAAAAAAAAAAAAAAATTAGATAGGACTAAAGTATCCGAGCAATCAGAATGCCCACGAGTCATTAAGTCTATCCTTTAAGTAGTAGGGCCTGTATTTCCATGTCATATACACCTGCAATGGAGATAGGTAATTAGAACAAATAAACATTTCAGCTTTGTCTCAACTCTTTTACAAACCGCAAAGGCTTAAGCAATTTTCCTTTATCTTTTTGCTATAATTCATTCCATCTTTAAAGGTTTGGATTTTTTTTCCCAAAGTTTAGTTTTAATTTGGAATGAAATTTTTTTTTCTTTAATTTCAACTTTTATTTTAGATACAGGAGGTCTGTCTTAAATGTTAGAAAAATTAATGCATTATTGCTGAATTTTTAAAAATAGGCCATTGTGTAACTTACAAAGCCTGGTTTGGTATATATATATGCAACATTGACACCCCGTCCCCACACATACTTAAGTGTGAAAGATTCAATTCAGAAAGGTTTTGTTGGGCTGTATTTATAAATGTTTATCAGATTTCTGTCCCTTATGTTAAACTATCCTTTGTCATGTTGATGTTCTGGACAAGTTAGTAAGTTCCAGTTGGCATTTTATATGATACTGGCTCATTTGATATTTCCAGATTATCAAAAGCCTACGTGTTTATAGAAGAGTGTAATAACTCCTCCCCTTCCCCTCTTTTTGGAAGAGGTCTACGGACTGGAGATCTCTAAAGGTATAGTGAGAACACACTTGGACTGCAGTGGGTGTCCTTGTTCTGTTTTACTAATCCCAGGACTATGGGCAATAAGACCTAGCATTTGTTGATTCTCTGTGTGTCAGATGCTTTATATGTGCATTGCTCCCAATCTTACAACCACCTTGCAAAGTAGCTATTTTGATTCTCATATTAAAGTTGAGGAAATTGAGGCTCAGAGATAGTAAGGGACTTGTCTGAGTGACTGAGCTGGGATCTGGTCCTAATTCTGTGTAGTTCCAAATCCATATTCTGTTCATTACTTCCTGGTGCCTGCCAGTGTAGCTGGGTGGAGAGAGGGTTGTCTGGACCCCAGTTTTCTCATCTGTAAAACATGGGAGTGGACAAGATTATCGCTAAGGTCTGCTTGACTTCTAACACCCGATACTGATATTTTAGGGCTTTCTGCTATGGAGACTATGACTCATTCTTAGGCGAAACCCCCTTTGGATGTTTTCAGATATCTCCGATCCTGGCTGAGATTTTCAAACAGGATGTTGACAGATATACTTAATATTAATCTTGTCTCTTGCGGTATTTGGATTACTGCCAATTCTGTGTCACTCGAGACAATGGAGAGCATTATTTTCTCTGTTCTTTTATTTTCATACAAACCTACTCTACACTGTTTCTCTTCCTAACCCTGAGCTATGTGTTTCTATTTAACCAGCTCTTGCATTTAAAAATAAAATAAAATCTTTATTTGCACATTTGGCCAACTATAACACAGATTTCTGAGTACTTTATTTAAATTCATAATTATTCAATTTCTCTCTAGAACAATGCCACATCTTCATAAAACTAGTCAACAATGAGAAAATGATGTCAGAGGACTGCACTGCCAGTTGCCAAGTGAACTACTAGAGCTCACAAAGATAAAATTTAAAATTTCTTCCACATCACCTACATACCTGAAATGTACATATGCACTTCTGATTATAATGGAAACATATTTTGAGTTCATTTTAGATTTTTTAAAGGCATTTTGAATCCACACTACAGCTCAACTAATGTCAGCATCTTAGATACTAAACCAATTTCTCTATAAATTTAGAAATAACTACATCTGTATTTTTCTGTTCTGCTAGTTCCATCCAGGAGTTAATCTTTGTCATGTAATCAGAATTACATGGTAACAAAACAACAAACAACAGCACCTTAATTATCTCAGGATTGTCTACCTTTTCTTTTGAAATCATGTGTTTCTATGATGTTTAGTCTCTAATTTTAGGGCTTTCTCCACTGCTCCAAGTATATGATAGCATCAGATAATTTACAATTTGATTATGACATAAGCACATAACAATCTTCAAATGATAATTATTGTAACCAACATTCTTTATAGCTTCTTGGCTTTTTTTAGACTTAGTAATTTGCGCAACATCTTTCATTTCCATTCCTGTTAATAGTACTCTGATAAAAACCCAATAGTACTCTGATAAAAAAAAGACAGTACTTCTGCCTGTCTTTATGCAAGGCAGCAGTACTGGGTAATGTGGGAGGATACAAATATGCTGAAGATGTAATATATACCCTCGAAGAGCTTGTGGTCCAATGGGAAGAAATGGACAAAAATTGTTAGGTAACCTAAAAGATAGTAAATGCCATACATAAAAGCACTATCAGTTGAATACCATCATCTAGATGGAGTAGAAAGAACCAGAATGTGGTGGATTAAACAGCAAATGAGAGGGAGGTGAAGAAGTGAAGATAGTGTGTGGAGATAATCTTTTCAATATGTTGACCTTATTCCAAGGTGAGAGTGGGACAAAGAGACTGAGAAATGAGGCATCAAAGGAAGTTTTTACAGAGATGTGAAATACCAACATGTTCCTATGCAGATAGTAATGAGCTAGTAAAGAGAAGTATATGATGCATGCATGAGATGAGGCAAATAAGTACATCACTGGAAAGATGAGAATGATGAGTGTGGAGCACTAGGTGGAACGAGAGACCTTAAATGGGAGGAGGGACCCTTCTTCCACTCTAACAAAAAGCAATCAGGAGAAAACAAGTGAAGAAGCAAGAATTTAGATTTGGTAGTGGAAAGATGAAAGATAAGAATCCCTCACGGATGGCTTGTGTACTCTCAATGAGTCATAAGTAAGGTCATTTTCGGCTGGGCACAGTGGTGCACACCTGTAATCCTAGCACTTTGGGAGGCCAAGGCAGGCGGATCACCTGAGGTCAGGAGTTCAAGACCAGCCCGGCCAACATGGCAAAACCCTGTCTCTACTAAAAAATACAAAAATTAGCCAGGAGCGGTGGCAGGCACCTGTAATCCCAGCTACTCTGGAGGCTGAGACAAGGAGAACTGCTTGAACCCGGGAGGCTGAGGTTGCAGTGAGCCGAGATTGCGCCACTGCACTCCAGCCTGGGCGACAGAGCAAGACTCTGTCTCAAAACAAACAAACAAGCAAGGTCATTCTCCTGGGTGTACATAGAGGGGATGAAGAGAGAAGTTTGAAGAGAAGTGTGAGGGTACAGAATAGTGAGAAAGCAATCTATGGGGAAAAAAACATGGCTGCTTTGCTGAGCAAAATTATGTGTTCATCTGAGATCTATAACCATGCAAACAAAGTGAAACCAACCAGGTAGCAGTGGAGAACAGAGATAGATAGCTTCCACCAGATGTTTTGTCGGGCAAATGATGGAGACAGGGAATATGAGTATAAGAAAGAAAGTTTTAAGAAATAAATCTAGAAATAAGTGTTGAGGCCAGTTCATAGAGGGCCCTGAATGTCAGGCTAAAATATGTTAATTTTATTTCACAGGCAATGGGAATCCATGAAAGAATTTTTGACTGAAAATGATGTTCCCAAAACTGTCTTCCTACATAATTAACCTGTCTTAAGTGTAAAGCACTGAGTTGGTTAAAGAAAAGAAATTATGAGACTATCTGTGAAGGACCAGAGATTAGATAACGAAGCTCTAGATGGCTAGATGAAGGTAAGCAACAGTGGACTTGAGCCAGACCAATGAAGGTTAAATTCCTAAGCCTTTTTTTTTTTTTTTTTAAATACAGGGTCTCTCACTGCCATTCTGTTGACCAGGCTGGAGTGTAGTGGCATCTCAAAACACCAATCTTAGGTTTTACAATAGTGATGCTTATCTACAGGAGCAACTGGGAAAGTCACAAAATGACATCTCACTGTAGCCTCGACCACCCAGGCTCAAGTGATCCTCCCATTTCAGCCTCCTGAGTAGCTGAAACTACAAGCATGCACCACTACACCCAGCTATTTTTTTAAAAAAATTTTTGTAGAAATGGGGTCTCACTATCCTGCCTAGTCTGGTCTCAAACTCTTGGGCTCTAGCCATCCTCCAGCTTGGCCTACCACAGTGCTGGGATTACAAGTGTGAGCCACCATACATGGACAAGAGATCTTCGCATCTGTGAGATCCAGATCCATTTGGTGGGAACATCAGACCACATAGGAGACAATGCTAAGCACTAGACCAGAATTGGGCAAGGTATTACCTAAAACAGATGGAAGCAAACATCCATCAGGGGACATATTGATTAGTTAAGGAATGCAGTAAGAACCAGAAAAGTTACCTTGAATATTGGATCCAAAAAAAAAAAAAATTTATAAAACTGTTGACCAGTGGCATGGCCAGAGGAGGTCAGGAAGAGTTCAGAAAGAGGTGTGCAGAATGGACAGGTTCAAAGTGGCTGAAGGGATAGGCATGCCAATACAGGGGCCAGGTGCTGGCCCAGCGTGCCAACTGGGGTAGGGAGGCCAATCAATTTAAAGAGTAGAATAGAGGTTGGGCATGGTGGCTCACACCTGTAATCCCAGCACTTTGGGAGGCTGAGGTGGGTGGATCACCTGAGGTCAGGAGTTCAAGACCAGCCTGGTCAACATGGTAAAACCTCATCTCTACTGAAAATTCAAAAATTAGCAGGGCGTGGTGGCGAGCTCCTGTAAGCCCAGCTACTGGGGAGGCTGAGGCAGGAGAATTCCTTGAACCTGGCAGGCAGAGGTTGCAGTGAGCCGAGATGGTGCCACTGCACTCCAGCCTGGGGACAGTGCAAGACTCTGTCTCAAAAAAAAAAAAAGAAAGAAAGAAAAGAAAAGAAAAGGAAAAAAAAAGAAATATGCATGAGAAATCAGTCATTTAAAAGGGATAAGAGTATTTACTTATTTATTGCCTTAGATTAAATTAACCAAAAGGAAAGCTGATATAATTGAGGCAACAGAAGACTTGTAGATCTATCAGTTTTCTTCAGGAATGTTTTCAAAGGATGAAAGCTTTTTTATATAATAGAAGTAAAAGCGTTCAGCAGCATGTGCTCATGAAAAAGGAAAAAAGAAAACCTCAAACCAGTTTCCATTCCCATGAGCATTTATTCTGATGTGAATTCTTAGCATCTTGGTAGTGCTTTATTGATGAATAAATTAAGGTACTTTATTTTGTTTGCCATTATTTCCACATATGTATCTTTGTTTAGAACCCACAGCTTCTGCTAAATAAATTACCTCCCTTTGGCTTCAGATCAAAAACAACCTCAAAAGAAGGTCATCTTTTCTGAAATTCAATTATTGACTCTCTCTTGGGACTTACAAGGAAAAGTTATGGCTATGAAAAAGAAAAGATTAGCCCCTTGTATCTGGAAATTTTGTTTATAGCATCAAGATAGATGGATTATATAAGGTCTGGTTTAAATACTGTCTTCTTCTGCCACAGTTAATAAAACTAGGCACTGATTCTCACATTCAGAGTAGTCAGCTGTGTATTTCCCTCAATTTCTTTGACAGTGTCTTAGATTTGTGGAGTTAAGTACATTCTATTAAAAATTAGTATGTTCAATTCTAACTTTTGCTTCTATGACTACATGACACTTAGTGGTTAACATCCATAAATGAGAACAGTTAAATAAACGTGGCATTTCCATTTTCTCCTGCAATCCTATATGAATTAGAAGTATAGTGATACTAGATCTAGTATTCAGGAGCATGGTCCTGATTTCAAATATCTTTGAGTATGAATGTAAATTTATACGTGAGAATTTATGTCAAGAGATGTCCTGACTTTTTTTTTTGTTTGTTTGAGCCAGAGTCTCACTTTGTTGTCAAGGCTGGAGTGCAGTGGCGCAATCTCGGCTCATTGCAACCACTGCCTCCCAGGTTCAAGTGATTCTCCTGCCTCAGCCTCCTGAGTAGCTGGGACTACAGGCACCAACCACCATGACTGGCTAATTTTTGTATTTTTAGTAGAGGTGGGGTTTCACCATGTTTGCCAGGCTGGTTTCGAACCCCTGACTTCAAGTGATCTATGTACCTTGGCCTCCCAACGTGCTGGGATTACAGGCGGGAGCCACTGCACCCGGCTGTCCTGACTTTTAGATCTAACAATACGATCACAATACATATATAAGGTATTAAAAATTGAAAATTAAAAATATGTATTTTAAAGGAGTTCTCATGTTGAAAGCTTGTTAATCTTTAAAAAATAGTAAATAAGGTTGGGCGCGCTGGCTCGTGCCTGTAATCCCAGCACTTTGGGAGGCCGAGGCGGGTGGATCACGAGGTCAAGAGATCAAGACCATCCTGGCCAACATGGTGAAACCCTGTCTCTACTAAATATACAAAAAATTAGTCGGGCATGGTGGTGAGCGCCTGTAGTCCCAGCTACTTGGGAGGCTGAGGCAGGAGAATGGCATGAACCCAGGAGGTGGAGCTTGCAGTGAGCCGAGATCGTGCCACTGCACTCCAGCCTGGGTGACAGAGCAAAACTCTGTCTCAAAAAAAAAAAAAAATAGTTAATAAAAATTATGAATTAATTAATGTTACACATAATTTAAAATGAAAATGAATAATGTCTGGTTGTGGCAAAACCTTACAAAAATGAAATAAAAATTAACTACATATTGTCAGAAATTTTCCAGAGGTTTTGGCAGTCATCCAAAGTTACAAAAACCTATTTACTCTGAAGAGCCATCAAAATTGTTCTGGTCAGCTGGGATAAAGGGACTGGAAGGCATTGTTTTTCAAATAGGTTGATGTATTGTGAGTCAACTTAGAGGATGACACATTTCCCTGAAGTCAGAATCCTATTATAGACAGCCTAGTGTGATAAAGAATTTTGCCATCCTATTGCCTTATACATTTGGGGATTTTTTTTTTTTTTTTTTTTTGAGACAGAGTCTCTCTCTGTTACCCAGGCTGGAGTGCAGTGGCACGATCTCGGCTCACTGCAACCTCCACCTCCTGGGTTCAAGTGATCCTCATGCCTCAGCCTCCAGAGTAGCTGGGATTACATGCATGCACCACCACACCCAGTTAAATTTTGTATTTTTTGGTAGAGACAGGGTTTCCCCCTGTTGGCCAGGCTGGTCTCAAACTCCCTACCTCAAGTGATCAGCCTGCCTCGGCCTCCCAAAGTGCTGGGATTACAGGTGTGAGCCACCACACCCAGCCTTTTTAAGAGTTAAGATAATATAGATTATAACATAGAGATTCTATAGAGCTAAGTTTTATCCCCTTGATCTGTCTTGTAAGTACTTGTTCTGCCTTTGAAGACTGGTAACAATTCTTGTTTTCTTTCATTCCTGAAGCATACATCTATTTCTCTTGCCATTTCTCTTTGCATCCTTTCATTTCCTTGGCCTCAGCAATCTACCTTTTTGAGTTACAATCAATCAATTTACCATTGACCCTTGAACAACACAGGGGTTAAGGTTTCTGACCTCCTGCACAGTTAAAAATTCACATACAACTTTTGACACCCCCAAAACTGAACTGAACTACTAATAGCCTGCTGTTGACTAGAAGCTTTACTGATAATATAAACAGCTGGTTAACACAAATTTTATGTGTTATATGTATCATATACTGTATTCTTATAACACAGTCATCTAGAGAAAAGAAAATGTTATTCAGAAAATCATAAGGAAGAGAAAACATATTTAGTATCCATTAAGTAGATAAATGGATCCAAGATCTTCATCCTCAGCATCTGAGGAGGACGAGGAAGAGGAGGGGTGGTCTTGTCATCTCAGGGGTGGCAGAGGCAGAAGGAAATCTGGGTATAAGTGGACCAGCACAATGCAAACCTATGTTGTTCAAGGGTCAACTGTATAATAATACAAGTTCAGTCTGTGACTGAGGGCTCCTCCTTCCTTTGTTTGCCAAGTTCTATTCAAAGTTCTCTAGAATAGGAATGGGGCTCCTTCCTTATTTACCAGGAAAGCCAGGGAAAAAAGTAGCCCCGGAACATGTCTTGACCATCTTTATGGAGCAGATGCTCTATTGGTGTGCCCAGATTCAGATGATAGCTTGGCATGGCAGGACTTCCAGGTCTTAGTGGAAAACTGGGGAGTCGGGGACATTTATAGCCACAGTTTCTGGGATTAAGAAAAGCACGTGCAGAAGAGCAGTAACATTTTCAGTCTTGCCAGACCTGTTTCTTATGCTTGCCTGAGTTAATAATACACTTTTTCTGGGATCCAACTGCATACGAGGCAACTAAGGAGCAATGAATGCTGTTCCTCTTACATTTCTTCTTTTTAATCATATGTTCTTTGGCAAATATCAAATTATGGCTTTATTTAATTGAGGAATTTAGAGGCATAGTAGGGTAATCTGGTCCAAGCCAGTGTATCTTTAGAATACCATAGTAAATTACCATATACACATAGATTACCATAATGCACAGAGGTATATATCTAATATACATATTAGATACATATAACATTATCCCACTGGCCAGAAATAAATGCTGTGCCTTCATACAGAAGTCTCCTGCTTGTCCAGCAGGATTTGGTTTTGTGCATCCTTTCTAAATTTGATTTGATAAGCTCAAGCTCCCTAGAAGTATCTACTCTTTCCTCCAAATGTATTCATATGACCAATGTAGCTAATCTCTATCCTTAACCTCCTATAAGGAAACACTGAGTTACTAAATAAAATAATAGTGAGGTTTCTGGGGAGCTACAGGAGAGAATACCATTCACTTTTTCTGCTTTGTCAACAAGTGGTTTATACCAGGGACAGCTGCTCCACTACTGACAGCTGGCTGCCAATTGTTTGCAACCCCAAAGTCTCCAATTCAGCTTATGTTGACAAATTGATGTCCATCTGCTGATGTTTGACAAAGGAGTGCCCAAGACTGTTCTGCAAATATCCTGGAAGGAAGTATCTTCCTCCCCAGCTCCAGTCTGAGCTATTTAGCAGCATTCCCAAGCAGTACATGCCCTTCAGGTAATCAGAGCAGTCTCTGTAGCTAAGAACGAAACCTTTGAAATTGATCAAGCTCCAATTCCCTTGTGCTTTGTCTGACATTTAGCTGGTGCTTGCCCTTCATCCAACCTCTCTGGATACAGAGGGAAGAAGACTTTTTTTTTTTAAACAAACAAACAAAAAGTACCATTCCTAAGGAATGGACAGAAGGAAGGGAACACCATTTCCTGATAATGGTATAATTCCAAAATTAGTCTTATAAACAAAGGAGGGAGGGGACCTTGACATCATTGAATTCCCACAGCTGGTGTAGTTAGAAAACACTGGACCCCAACCAAAAATTTCAGGGTAGATCTTTTTGCCCTTTGTTAATTACAAAATAAATAGATTTCCAGACCTCTCGCAAAGGAAGGACCTAAATAAGTAGTGTAAAAATGATAGGGAGAAAAAAGAAGAGAAATGTTGTACTTTCCTGACAAGATAAAACAGTGGATGGTTGTCTTCTCCAAGTTTATAAGGTTTAACTAAAACAGGTTAGAAGGCACAGTGAGAGGTGTATTTTGTCTTCTATCCAGAAAGCTTCCCCATCTTCTTTTATCTGATAACACTCCCTAGCCCTTCACATCTGGCACATGACTCAGGTGTGGTCCAGGATAATATCCCATTGCCTTGGCCGCAGTAATTGATCTAAGGAGTTAGAAAGTGGTATGAGCAGGGAAATCAAATTCCTTCTCTGAGATTTCCTTGTAGACTGTGGAAGCTCTGTTACCTGGAGTTGGGTGTGAATTAATGTTCCTTGATTGCAAGTACCATAAGCCAGTGCTAACTACCTAAGGAAAAAAAAGAATATATGGTAATGATATAAGATAGCTTTCTGTATTTTTTTTTTTTTGAGATGCAGTCTCTTCCCTCTTCTTTTTTTTTTTTTTTTTTTTTTTTTTTGAGACGGAGTCTTGCTCTGTCGCCCAGGCTGGAGTTCAGTGGCACAATCTCGCCTCACTGCAAGCTCCGCCTCCCGGGTTCACGCCATTCTTCTGCCTCAGCCTCCCGAGTAGCTGGGACTACAGGCGCCCGCCACCACGCCTGGCTAATTTTTTGTATTTTTAGTAGAGGCAGGGTTTCACCGTGTTAGCTAGGATGGTCTGGATCTCCTGACCTTGTGATCCTCCTGCCTCAGCCTCTTCTTTCAGTAACAGAAATCATGCCTCTGTTACTGAAAGAACGGGGAAGTGGTTCTGAGTAGAAACAACAAATGTTCACTATAGACTGTTAAGCCTGGACAGCCAAGGGACCCTTTCCCTTTCTGTGCCTGCAGTAGTCCACGTGGGGTCAATAGGCAAGGAGGGGCCATCGGAGGAGTCTAGAAAGCCCGCGGTTCAGCCTCCTTACCAGCCTGAGCGGCTCATACATCCCTTTCCTGCTTCAACTAGTTTCATTTTGGTTTCTGTCACTTGCAACCAACAAAGTCCTGATCAATGCTTAGTTTTTACGTCAGTGCTATTTAAGCCTACAGGTCTCTAAAATGACATTTTGAAAATCACAATCACACTAAATTTGTACATATTGAATTAGGCCACAGCCTCCAGCTGGAAGAAGTAACATTTCCTGAGATCTTCTGTGCAATAAATCTCTAAGCTCTGCAGGGACTCCTGAAACAGATGCTTATCCTTGCGGGAAGTTCTGAAATCAGGAAGAAGATTTTGGTTTAGGGATATAGTGGCTCTATTTCAGGAAAATACTTTCAGTGGACAAAGGAAGAGATAACTAACAGGCAATCTCTGAATGAGACCTATAGATTTTTTAACATTTAACTTTTTAGTTAAATATGAGCTATTTCTGTAAGGCAAATATCAAAACTCCTTAGGAATTTATCATATTTAGAAAGTACACCTTTAACTGATCACTCCTATGCTCTCTTATTTTTTCCCACTGTTAATTGCTGGTGTGTATTGGTCTAAATGTAAAATATCCCATCTTGGTATAGCTTCTGTATCTGAAAGTTCAGTGGTAGTGCTGTAAAAGTAAATTCCTTCCTGCAAATGGTGGGATAATGATTCCTGTGGGGGAGACATCTCTGCCTTTTGTTTTCATAAGTTCTTGTCATTTTCTGTCAAGGCAATAGCACCCTTGGACATAGTAGAGAGTAGGGAGCAGAGTGCAAAAACACTGTGCTTTTGACTACATATCAACCTGAGCTCCATAAAGTCTGATGATGGTGAGCAGTGGTTTTTGACGAAGTCCCAGCATCTCAAACAGTGAAATTCCAAGACCAGACTAGTTACTTTCTTAGAAAACCCTAGGTAGACTGGTAAAACAAATATCTGTTTTCAGTGGTGAAAGAAGGTTACCTGTAGAACTCTTGGTCAAATAATTGGTTGCTAGTCTGGGGAATAACAGCTTTGAAAGAGCTAGGCTGGGAGAAATTAGAAGAGGAAAAGGTGACATTGTTCAACAGACCTACACCCAAGTGGACAACTATTCACGCCTAGTCTTATTCCAATAAATATTAACATGACCTCTCTCTAAATGCTTGGAATGCTGCCAACTCAAGATTTTATTTAGGCCCAACGCACTTTCTTTAAAATACACTTACACTTGACAGGGTTGTTAGTCAGTGTTAGTGAGGATTGCTTTAATCACTGTTTTTTTATTTTCTAATGGAGATAAAGTTCACATAACATAAATTTCACCACGTTAACCGTTTTAAAGTGTACAGTTCAATGGCTTTACTATATTAAAAATACCGTGCAACTATTGCTATATCTAATTCCAGAACATTTTTATCACCTCCAAATCCCTCTTTTCCTAACACCTAGTTGCCATAGGAACTTTGATCCTGAGGAATTTCACAGGTGGAGAGGTAAAAAGAATATTGCAAGAGAGAGGTTTGAGCTGAGTGCCTAGGGGTGGGCATCATGATAAAAGATACACTTTAAAATATTAATGAGAATTGGCTCTGGGGTGTCGGCAAAGAAATATATTTCCGGACTTTCTCAAGAATGTAGGATAGCAATAGTTTGATACTTAAAATAAATGGGATAAGTTGTGTAGTGTTTAAAAAGTTATGTGTCACTGAAAAATCACTAAAATGTCAATCCCATTACAGGCTTCCCCTCAAAAGTGTAGCTGGCTCGATTCAGACATTGAGTCTTGGATAAGTCTACCCTGGAATGTACCAGCACTACCTGAGGAGTACCTCCTTAATGGGAGTAAAACAAAGAGGTAACTTTAGAGTTGCCAGGACTTTCATTGGGATAATGGGGACATGCATGTGTAGGCTAGACACCTTGGCCTCCCAAAGTGCTGGGATTACAGGTGTGAGCCACCACAACCGGTCACAAGGATTGTTTTAAAATTTAACCTTAGGTTCCTGCATACTGAAGTGTACCAAAAGGTGGACTCAAGCTTTGAAGGGATACAATAGGTGTTTTACTGAGTTCTGCTAAATAGAGCTGTAAGCATTTCAGGTGTGGAAATGATGGAAGGAATCCGCCTTGGGTTGTGATTATTTGAACAAAGTAAAATCAACAAACAACACTCAGGCTGTAAGTAAGTTTCCTGCTGTGCCAGTTTTGTAATAAAGGGGCTTTTCTTTTCAGCTGAACTTTCCATCGACTTAAATCGTTTATTTCCTTGGAGGTAATTTAAGCACACTGCCAATGAAATAGTTTACTGTGTTTATGTTTTTAAAAAGAAAGAAGTTTGGTAGCACACTGTTTCATTAATTTGAATATGAATATGCCTAAAAATATTCCTAATATTTTGGAACATCCCTCTGATCCCTCTGATCAGAAGACCTGAATGACAGACCTGAATGACCTATAGACTGCTTAGAAAATGAACCAAGCAAGGAAAAATCACACAGAGGTAAAAAGGAGTTCTAATTTATTTGGAAACATTTCATTAATCTGCTTGTTAGAACTGTAAGCATCAGTTTGTAACTATAACAGAGAAATAGCTGAATATTAATCTAGGTAACAAATGTCACTTAGAATCAACACTTTTTTCCCCTTCTTGCCATATAATTGTTACAACAAAGCAAGCCTTCAGAGTAGGTGACCATGTATCACTTACTGAAGGCTAGAAGGGGACTCCTTTTCCAAAGTGGTTCACTCTCTATTTATCATGGGGTCTGAAATATTTATTATGGGGTCTGAAATTATACCACTGGAGATTTATTTCTTAGATCATGAAGGTCTTTTGTTCATTGAGAAGAATCGACTTTTAAAGTACAAATACCCATGGTATGGGTTGCTCATTAAGTATTACACTGTATGTATGTATCTATATTTTATTTTATTTTTTGAGCTCGAATCTCACTCTGTCACCCAGGCTGGAGTGCAGTGGTGCAATCTCGGCTCACTGCAACCTCTGCCTCCTAGGTTCAAGTGATTCTCCTGCCTCAGCCTCTGGAGTAGCTGGGATTACAGGTGCCCACCACCATATCCAGCTAGTTTTTGTATTTTTGGTAGAGATAGGGTTTCCCCATTTTAGCCAGGCTGGTCTCGAACTCCTGATCTCAGGCGATCCATCCACCTCTGCCTCCCAAAGTGCTGGGATTACAGGTGTGAGCCACCGTGCCTGGCCTATACTATATTTTAACTTGACCACCAGCTGAAGGTGTATTGGAGATGTTTTGTTTTTTTTTTAATTTATTTTCATTTTATTTATTTATTTATTTTATTATACTTTAAGTTTTAGGGTACATGTGCACATTGTGCAGGTTAGTTACATATGTATACATGTGCCATGCTGGTGCGCTGCACCCACTAACTCGTCATCTAGCATTAGGTATATCTCCCAGTGCTATCCCTCCCCCCTCCCCCCACCCCACCACAGTCCCCAGAGTGTGATATTCCCCTTCCTGTGTCCATGTGATCTCATTGTTCAATTCCCACCTATGAGTGAGAATATGCAGTGTTTGGTTTTTTGTTCTTGGGATAGTTTACTGAGAATGATGGTTTCCAATTTCATCCATGTCCCTACAAAGGACATGAACTCATCACTTTTTATGGCTGCATAGTATTCCATGGTGTATATGTGCCACATTTTCTTAATCCAGTCTATCATTGTTGAACATTTGGGTTGGTTCCAAGTCTTTGCTATTGTGAATAATGCCGCAATAAACATACGTGTGCATGTGTCTTTATAGCAGCATGATTTATAGTCCTTTGGGTATATACCCAGTAATGGGATGGCTGGGTATATACCCAGTAATGGGATGGTATTTCCAGTTCTAGATCCCTGAGGAATCGCCACACTGACTTCCACAATGGTTGAACTAGTTTACAGTCCCACCAACAGTGTAAATGTGTTCCTATTTCTCCACATCCTCTCCAGCACCTGTTGTTTCCTGACTTTTTAATGATAGCCATTCTAACTGGTGTGAGATGGTATCTCATTGTGGTTTTGATTTGCATTTCTCTGATGGCCAGTGATGATGAGCATTTTTTCATGTGTTTTTTGGCTGCATAAATGTCTTCTTTTGAGAAGTGTCTGTTCATGTCCTTCGCCCACTTTTTGATGGGGTTGTTTGTTTTTTTCTTGTAAATTTGTTTGAGTTCATTGTAGATTCTGGATATTAGCCCTTTGTCAGATGAGTAGGTTGCGAAAATTTTCTCCCATTTTGTAGGTTGCCTGTTCACTCTGATGGTAGTTTCTTTTGCTGTGCAGAAGCTCTTTAGTTTAATTAGATCCCATTTGTCAATTTTGTCTTTTGTTGCCATTGCTTTTGGTGTTTTAGACATGAAGTCCTTGCCCGTGCCTATGTCCTGAATGGTAATGCCTAGGTTTTCTTCTAGGGTTTTTATGGTTTTAGGTCTAATGTTTAAGTCTTTAATCCATCTTGAATTGATTTTTGTATAAGGTGTAAGGAAGGGATCCAGTTTCAGCTTTCTACATATGGCTAGCCAGTTTTCCCAGCACCATTTATTAAATAGGGAATCCTTTCCCCATTGCTTGTTTTTCTCAGGTTTGTCAAAGATCAGATAGTTGTAGATATGCGGTGTTACTTCTGAGGGCTCTGTTCTGTTCCATTGATCTATATCTCTGTTTTGGTACCAGTACCATGCTGTTTTGGTTACTGTAGCCTTGTAGTATAGTTTGAAGTCAGGTAGTGTGATGCCTCCAGCTTTGTTCTTTTGGCTTAGGATTGCTCTAGAAAACCCCATTGTCTCAGCCCAAAATCTCCTTAAGCTGATAAGCAACTTCAGCAAAGTCTCAGGATACAAAATCAATGTACAAAAATCACAAGCATTCTTATACACCAACAACAGACAAACAGAGAGCCAAATCATGAGTGAACTCCCATTCACAATTGCTTCAAAGAGAATAAAATACCTAGGAATCCTACTTACAAGGGATGTGAAGGACCTCTTCAAGGAGAACTACAAACCACTGCTCAAGGAAATAAAAGAGGATACAAACAAATGGAAGAACATTCCATGCTCATGGGTAGGAAGAATCAATATCATGAAAATGGCCATACTGCCCAAGGTAATTTACAGATTCAATGCCATCCCCATCAAGCTACCAATGACTTTCTTCACAGAATTGGAAAAAACTACTTTAAAGTTCATATGGAACCAAAAAAGAGCCCGCATCGCCAAGGCAATTTCATTTTATTTTTTGAGACAGAGTCTTGCTCTTTCACCAAGACTGGAGTGCAGTGGCACGATCTCAGCTCACTGCAACCTCTGCCTCCCAGGTTCAAGCAATTCTCATGCCTCAGCCTCCCAAGTAGCTGGGATTACAGGGATGCATCACCATGCCTGGCTAGGAGATATTGGTTTTGCCTATCACTCCTTTCCAGTAATGAGATATTCCTTTAAGAAAGTGGATTTCTCCTAATCCAGCTCTGTGCTTTTCGTAGGAGCTGCCAGCTGGAGCATTCTCCTTCCCCACATTTACTCCCTCTACCCTGCCACCCAGTGGTGGGGACATGACCACAGTTTGTTCAACCTTATTTCCTCAGCCCTGGCCACAAAGATTGGTTCATATCCACAGATGGGTACCCAACCTAAGCTAGGACTGAGTTCTTTCTTGCACTTTCCAACTAGAGTTAGTGGAAAAATGCTTTCTTTCTTCCCTGGAGATTATATGATAAGGAGGGCAGCCCATAGCTGCTTGTGGCCATATTTCCATTCTCTTCTGAAGTCTAGCCTGAGAGAATCAAGTCTCAATGCAGAGAGAAGCAGAGGTGAGTGACACCGTTTCCTGATGGTACTTTAGACTGGAATCCATCTTTAGAGAGAAGCAGAGATGAGTGACACAGTGTTTCCTGATGGTACTTTAGACTGGAATCCATCTTACTCCAAGGCTAGTGCAATGCTCTCTCTTGGTTTGTTTACATGTGCCGGTAAATCACCCTTTCTCCTTAAGCTGTTATGACTGGAGCATCTTTCATTTGCAAACAGAGGTCTGAGAACCCAAAACAAACATTTTACAAGATAATCAGGGGAGTGGTGGTGTTCTAGGTCCAGAAATATGTGTGTGGGGGGGTGGGCCAGCCCTCATTGTCCTGTGATTAAATAGGGGTCATTGTGTATTAAAGTTACTGGACATCTTTTCACACTTTATTCTGAAGTGAATTCAGAGGCCAAGGTGACCAGATTTCTGAGAATGCCAGTTAATATTATTCTGGGACAACAATGGCCTTGACAACCTCCCGGACTATTGAATGTGGGTGAGGCTGCAAGGGGCCTGTGGAAGAGCAAGAATGTGCAAATATTTGATTTAGGATCTTAGTGCTAGATGTCAGTCGACTGACTTAGTTTCCCCACCAAATAAGAGAAGCAACATGTAGCTCCAAAAGAAAATCACTGTTTTGATCCATAATGGATCTTACAATGACTGGCTTTATTTAAATTTTAAATTTGCATCTGTTCATAAATACCCATGTTTTTCTATACAGGTAGTTTAAAAAAAAAATCCACAAAAATAAAGAGAATAATGGGCAAAAAAAGGGTAAGATTTAATGTTTTCTTCCCTATCCCAAGCCATTAGAGTTCTAGTCCCTCAGTATTATTTAAATTTTGCCCTATCAAAATATCCAAGAAACAAAATTGTCATTATACAGTAAATAATATTGAAAAAAATGAAACTAATAAGAATTAGAGACCTTGCGATTATATATATATATTTTTGCACCGGGTTTAAAACGCAATTGAAAAGTTGAAAGCTTCTCGTAAGCGAGCTGGGGAACTTTCTCCAATGTGCTCTACAATCATTGTCAGTTTCTTCTAATGAAACCAGTGGAAAATCTGGCTAATGCCTCAGAATAAGGACTTTTAAATGGATAATATTCTGTGACGGATTTTATTCTTTTAGGTTTCATGGTGGTAAAAGCAAATTTACAAACTGCCTTTATGTTGTTTCATTGAAAGAAAAAACTGTTTCAAGTTCACAATGTTACATGGCATTTGAATCCTGGGAAAGCACTATACGAAATTGAAAATGAATATCAAATTCACATGAAAAGCTTTACCATGTAGTCAGGTGCTGGGAGTGTCTCCCTTTCTGAAACTACCACATCGCCTGCTTCCTCCTCCTCCATTTGATTCTGCATTGCTCCTCTTTTTCCACAATTACTCATGAGTAATAAAGAAAGCCAGAGTAAGAACGATGGCATGTTCCTGGCTTTGCAAGAGTGGCACACATCAAAGGAAGACATTTTTCCCAGGAACCACAGCTTTGCAAGAGATTCACCAGGCAGGAGTGAAGTTTGATATTACTGTGACATAGCAGAGGGAATGCCCTGAGTCTCCCAAAGCTGGGAAAGGCACACTAGGGTATGGTCAGCGGCTGCTCTAGAGGGTGACTCTCCAAGTGTTGCTTGTGCAGTGGCAAGGTAACACACATCTCTAAGCCTCTGCTTATTCTTAGGGAATTCTTAAATGTACTTACCTTAGAGGTTATTCTTAGAATTAAATAGACATGGAATGCTTAGCAAAATACCTGGCCCATAGCACTGTATTAATTGTTAACTAGTATTCTTGCTAAAATTACAGTCTGAGATTTGGAGTTTTTTTGTTTGTTGTTTGCTTGTTTGTTGCCTAATGGTGTGTTTATAATTTGTTAGCTGGAGAAGTCTTTTTTTAAAAAGTCAGAACCAATGTGGCTATTAACAATTTTCTGAACTACCCACATTTCATCTCCAGCCAGCCTTCTCTGCTTGTTTCTGGTTCATTTGCCTATTGGTAAAAAAAAAAAAAAAAAAAAAATTCTGTTCTCTTCCCTGTGCCCTAGTCTGTCAGCCTGTGCTTTCAGACAGCTCTGTCTCACTCCAGAGCTCAGTCCCTGCAGGCACCTGCCTTCCTTCTTACGCCCTGCCCTCCCCCTGCTACCACCCAGCTTGTGCAGTGACACTTCTCAGATCTATTTCAGTCTAGCTCTTCAGCCTCACAGACTTTCCCTTAACGAGCAAACCGCTTATTCATTCCCTGCCCCTCTCAAGGTGAAAGTGAATCCAGCCTGGAGTTAGTAGTTCATGTGCTGTCTCTACTGGTGCCACACAGAGGTCAGACCAGGCCTGTAGCCTCGTTTTTTTTGCTTCGTTGCCAATACAACTACATACATCACCCAGCTGACGGGCCAGTGTGGATCTGTCACGTGGTAATACTGACCTCTAGGGGCTGGCTTTCCTTCATATAGAGTCTTTATCTTCTCATTGAGTTCCAGAACTGTGATGGCATTAGCTGTTGCCAAATCAGTCTGTAGTTTTTTCACTTTCTTTTCATGCTTTAGTTTCTTAAAAAAAAAAAAAATAAGAGTTTCCATCACTAGGGACAGACGCATCAAAGAAATAAAAGGAATGAATGATGTCTGAACAAACACTGCCTTTGAAGCCTGCTTAGATGAAACACTCCCTGTTTATCTAGATTGAGTCCTGTTTGAGGTTTGTGAAACAGTGTATGTGCTCCTGTCAGAGTGTTTGAACCCTCAACAAAAAAAAGCCCACTCTCTTCATCATAGTATCTTTTACACTGTTGAAGAGTTTTTACCTGGGTCAGAACCCTGTTGCTTATAATAGAGGCAGTTAGAAGAACTCTACTTGCCAGTTGGCATTTGCCACCGAGGTACTAATGCCTACTAGTATCAGATTTTTTTTCCCATCTGTAAGTAGACTCATATGAAATAGAGCCTTGATTCTAAGTCATTTCCCCCTCAACACCATAATGGTTTGCTTTCAAATACACTCTAAAGTGTGATACGACCACCAAACGCTGGTGTTTTCTGATATTTAGTATGGGATCCATACAGGGAAAGTGTCAAGGGTAAGAAAGCGTCAAGCATAAGAATGGTTTTTAAGCAGTAATGAACAGGAATGCCTTACTCTAAAATAATTTGATTTATGAGATCGAAATCTTTGGGAGAACTGCATTAGGAACTTGTTACATAATCAAAGGATTCACCTCGAGACTTCATGACTCGAAAGTTCCTTTTAGGGTTTCAGAGTAGATTTGATTCATTAAAATTGGATTTATCTGCAACTTTGGAGAAGCTGTCTGTTGTGAAAGGTGTTGCATTTGCGCTTTCGTGTTGCTTTTGTATAGCTACCTTTCCACTGAAGAGCTCACCTTGCCAAGTCTTTGTGGGCTGGTAATTAGGAAGCCGGGAAAATAATCTACTAACATTTCTTATCAGACATAAATCTTGAGATAGGGAAGGGATGGTTTTTGCTCACTAGGTAAGATCATATTCTTCCCTGGCCTCTGAAGGCACTATACTCAGGCAGTAGGGAACCACTCTCCTCTTTGAGAGTAACACCAGTAAAATCAATTTATCAAAAATGGTCTTAAATAGAAACAGGCCTCTCATTTCAAAGACCCCTCATTTCACTTTTTGCTTTGTTGCCAGTACAACTACATACATCATCTGGATGATTTATGAGATCTAAACCTTTGGGAGGTCACCCAGATCAGGTTATCTTCTAGACCCCAAACAGGAAGATCAGCACTTCACTAAAGCTTAGTTAATGGCATGAACATGGCTAAAAGAAATGTGTTACTCGAAGGAGAATGGTAGTCATGGAACTTCTTTAAGGGGAGTTAGAGGGTAGAATTAGGCAGGGTTCAGCCAGCACAATCCAGGTGAGAGGTACCGTGAGCCACAACACAGAGGCCTGGTTTTCATGGCAGTACTTGTAAAGAGGTGGCACTAATTATTAGAATGCATCCTCTGGGTGTCAGACACGATGCTGGCCAGCTGTTGAAACATGAAGGCTGATAGTCTCTGCCTCCAAGTCATGAAGACCTTCTAATGAATTCCCTTCTTCTGAGCCTCCATTCACTGAAAGCCTTCATAATTTGGCCTGTCATGTAGATTAATTCAGGAGAGACCAAGCTGACCAAGAAATATGTCTGGGTATTTGACAGCTGGACAGCTGTGTTTTTCAATTATTAAGTTGGCATTTTAATATATACCTCTGTCTCTGGTGAGTTGGTTTGGATCAACTTGTTCATGAGGATCTCATCTATCCCAGGCCTGTGGTGACAGCACCTTGTGAGGTCCTGGATGGTAACCATTGACCTTTTCCACTTCAATACTGTTCCATGCTCAAATTTCTACACTTTCTTTTTACAATTTAGAACTTTGGAGATATAGAGTAGGAGGAAGGGCACAGAAATGAAAATTGAGAAAGTGGAGAGAATGAGGGAAAATGAGGCAAGAGAGATTGTGAAGGGAGTGCTAGAAAGTGTCCAAAAAGAACTAACAATAATATGTGTGCTGAAATGTTAAGGACTAGGTGTGCTGATGAGAGCAAGTTGCACTGAAATGCATAAATAAGACAGTTTGATAGAGAAACAATAGATACGTGTTAAACCGAAGATAGTAAAATATTCACTATAGAATCTAGTTTTTGAGTTATATGGGTGTTTACTATATAATTATTTCAACTTTTTTGTATGTTTGCAATTTTTCATTATAAGATATTAGGGGGAGAAAGAACTGAAGATTTATCTTCCTTACATTGCCCCTCCCTTAATTCTTAATAAATGGTATTCAAATTCTCAAATCATGTCACAACTATTCATATGCAGATATGTATTTTTCCAGAAACTTTTCTCAAAGTATGCATTGACAGTAAATAAACACAAGAAAAAATAAATGCAGTGAGGTGAGAATTAATGAACAGTCACTAGGAGCTGGCATGGTGTCTGTCACTAAGAAAAAGTCTTACCAAGCTACATTTTCATTTTGATGGAATAATTTGATGGATAGAATGCAGGAACTCAGTGGACAGACACAGGGGTTCTCAATATCAGTTAAGAATTTCACCTTTCTAGGTACAAATTTTAACTCTTTTTAAAAAAATATTCAATTACCAGACCACTTTGCTGTCTGTCTTTTATGGTGATTATATGTTCTGTCTCTTCTTACTATTATATATTTGTATATTTACCTTATAATCTGAGAAAGAAATTGAGACTATTTAGTTTGGAGAAGACATTACAGCATACAGGGCAGTCATGCAGTTGACTTTAGTTACCTAAGGGACTATTCAAAAGGAGAGGAAGCTGAGTCAAACAATGTTGTTCTCAAGATAACATGAAGAACAATGGGTAGAAACCATGAGGAGGCAGATGTTGGCACAACATGAGAAAGAGCCCTCCACACAATCAGAGCTGCATCCAGAACAGGATAGGATGCATCCTGGCAAAGACCTCCTGCTCTGGGAAAGATCAAGCAGGGACTGGATGGACATCTTCAGGCAGGCCCTTGGTGACCTGTGGGACTTGGGTTGAGAGGTCACTGGAAGTTGGGCTTCCCTCAACTCTTTCCACTTCTGGCTTTCTCCAGCTCCCCGAGGGGCACAGCACATGAGTAAATGGACATCTCAGCCCTCAAAGCCTCCAGGGTTGGTACAGTTGGTATACTTTAAAGATAATTCTGGTATTTGTGAGAAGCTAGATAAGAAGGTTAACAAAGCCTGTGCGTCCCTTAGAATTCAAGGATAATGTGAACCAAAATATCACTTTATTATTTAGCTATAAGGGAGGAGAAAATGAAATTTAAATTAAAAATTGGATAAAAGACTTAGATTGGCTGTCTAACATTTCTGTTGAGACCTTTTGATTACTCAGATACATTTAAAAATAGTTCAACATCTTCATCTTTTTTTTTCTTTTCTCCAGAAAGAACTGCTCTTTGCTATTAATTCATAGCTTTAACCAAGCCCTTTGGGCATTTCAAACAATTCAATTTGCCAACATGTTTTTTATTAGTCATAGACATCAAATGATTTCAGCAACAATAATATTTTCCTTGCTGTTTGGCGTTCACTAGCCAGGCAACCCAAATGTCATACTTGAATCTAATGCAGTCTATTATGGTCTCCTTAGTAACTAGGAACTCTCTTTGGTGATTACTGAAAGGATAGGAAGGCTTTATAGCTTGGAGGTAAATTCCTATTACCGTGCTCTTTTCCTACTTCTCCTACCGGGTGGAAAGAGGGAGGAAATCATGTATTTGTGCAATGTTTTGAAAAGGAAATATCTATTCGTATCATATTGCTGAATGGCTTGCATTATTCCAAGTTAATGAGAATTAGAAATAACCAGGGAGCTATTCATAGAAGAGCGTCAACACAAAGTTGCCAGCACTGTTTAAAATTTCTGGGTATTTCCACATACTTTAAACCGTGGCAATTACCCAATTGCCTGGCACATGACATTTCTAAGCCTTAGATTCATGTCATAGGACTACTGTGGGGATCCAAGGACATAACATAGAAATGACATTACCCGACACTATGCCGTGTAGTAGTTATGTCTTTCTGGTTTTGTCATTACTCTTAAAACACATAAGAGAAATTTTCAACTCTTCACTAAAACACTAAAGTATCTTTTCTAAGCACTTTCTCTAAGTATACTTTAGTGTTTTAGTGAAGAATTGAAACGTTACAGAAAATAAAATGGGAGTTATCATACTTTACAGAAAATAAAATTCATACTTAATTGAAAGCAAGATGTTTCATTTCTTCTTCTTTTTTTAGAAATTAAGTTTTCTGCATGATTACATTGATCTCCTCACTTTGGATGGGTAGACAAAACTTAATGTTCTGAAAACAGACATGCAAATAGCCTTGATTCAATCTCCTGCCAGAGCTGGCCCGGTGCCTAGGCAAAGTCAGTGGCTGCCTGCGTGTAATGATGTGAGGAGCACTCCAAGGCACTGCCTCTTGCTCCTCACGGCAGCTCTCTCTTGGGCCTGCCAGGGCAGAGCTTCCTCCCACTTTGTCTGAAATTTACTCTGTCCATCCCAGCCTCCTTCACTTAGAGAGCCTGTATAACAAAGGGGTTTTGTCTTCAGTGGCCCACTAGCAAAATGCTCGCTATTGAAGACATAAAAGAGAATTTGGTTTGAATACAGAAGGTATACATAGGTTCTTCCTTGCATTTCTCTTCTAATAGCCAATCAATAATAGTAATGAAACTTATAAATAGTGATAGAATTTGGATACAACTTGTCTTTAAAAGTCAATTTTACATGTTTCGTATTTATATACCCTCAGGAGAATATTATAAAGTCTAGGGATGTCAAATATGTGTCATGTATGTTCTTTTTCAGTTCATGGCAGGCCTTTGATTTGGGGATTTTTTAACCCTGTGTTGCACCCCTGGATTCACAATCGTTTAGTCGCACTTTCAGCAGCCACTGCCCATTGATGAAACCTGTCATCCGTGTTAGTATCTCTCTATGTAGACAAGAAAGTTGAGCTGCCAGAGTTCAGCTGGACCTAATCCTTGTTGTATAGTGAGTAGACAGCTAAATGGACTTGAACCAAGGTCTTTTTATTTCCAGATGTTGATTTTTCTTTCCAATGACAACTTCAGTCTGCACTAAGCAATAGCACCATTAGTTTTTTTGTTTTTGTTTTTGTTTTAAGTTACTTAAAGGTAACCTAGAAAGGCAATGTGACAGCTTGGTTACAAAAATTTAGCATTGAAGTGTGCTGGTGAAGTGTGATGGCATTTATTGCATGAGTTGCCAAGATATCTTTAGAGACCCTAGGAAATAAAGGAAAGATTTGATGAACCCAGCTAAGGGCACTCTGAGCCAGGTATTGTTCTTTCCCTTTAGTATCTTTCCTTGGAGTATCCAGAATTGATTCTTGTTATTGTGACCATTCTGTTGAGTCATCTAAAGTGACAAAGAATGGATCAGAAGAACCTTTCTTACAAATGCCTCGAATGAAAAACAATCACAAGTGCAAGACGTAGCTTTTTCTTATTTAATTTGATAAAGTTTTGGGGAGCTAGTTGATACACAAACCCTTAGGAATCACCCTAACCTTGACCCAGAGCCTGACCCCACATGACCACTGGTAGGTGCTTGATAGCCAAGAGAGTCAGATCTTGGAAATCAAAGCTAACACCTTTCAGTTCTTTGCAGTAGCCCTCCCATCTGAGTCCCAACTCATCTTATTTTATGTTGCAAAATGCTATAGAAATATATTTTAGTTACTCCTGAAACCCAAGGTTTGGGATTTATAATAAAAAGAAAATGAAATCCCAGTAATTCAACAAACAACCTGACTCACTATAAGGGAAGAGTTTGCCTATAGTTGGAGGAAAGTCTCAGTTTTTTCCCTCTGTAGGATAAATAAATAGTTATTAGATACAGAAGTGGCATTTGACAATAGATGTTCTGCTTTCCAGGATGCCTGTATAAGTGTTTATTTAAGAGAAACTTCAAATTAATACAAGATAAAGGGATAACCTTACACTTGGGATGAATTCCAGTGATAAGATAGAACTTTCTAATAGTAGAGTTGTCCAAAAATTGGAATGTTTTGCCCTAAAATATGGCACTGTTCCCTCCCCTGCATGTGGTAGACAGGCCATTGCTGGGAGTGTTCCAGAGAGGTGCTAACAGTTATTGGCCACCTACAATATGCCAGGCATCATTCTGAGAACTTTATATGTACTAGCTTATTTTATTTTATTTTATTTTTTTGAGATGGAGTTTTGCTCTTATTGCCCAGGGTGGAACGCAGTGGTGTAATCTCAGCTCGCTGCAACCTCCACCTCCCGGGTTCAAGTGATTCTCCTGCCTCAACCTCCCAAGTAGCTGGGACTACAGGCACGTGCCACCAGGCACAGCTAATTTTTTGTATTTTTAGTAGAGATGGGGTTTCACCATGTTGGCCAGGCTGCTCTCGAACTCCTGACCTCAGATGATCCACCTGCCTCGGCCTCCCAAAGTGCTGCGATTACAGGCATGAGCCAGCGTGCCCGGCCTCATTTCATTTTTGTAGCAAGCCAATGAAAGAGAAGTATTATAAATCCTATTTTTAGGTGCAAATACTGAGACACAGAAAAGTTTTAAGTATCTTGCCCAAAGTGACATGGTGAGTCACAATTTAAATCTCTGCGGTCTATCTCCAGATTTTGCCTTCTATCACTATGCTGTGCATGCCTCAGTGTCTTACCCAGTGTCCTACATTGTGGGGAGTTTTGATAAGATGGCATTTCAGATTCTCTCTTTTTTTTTTTGACAGAGTCTCACTCTGTGACTATGGGCGCCCACCGCCACGCCCAGCAAATTTTTGTATTTTTTGGTAGAGACTGGGTTTCGTCATGTTGACCAGACTGGTTTCGAACTTCTGACCTCAAGTGATCTGCCTGCCTTGGCCTCCCCAATTGCAGGGATTACAGGCATTAGCCATCACACCTGGCCAAGGCATTTCAGATTCTATAAATCTATTTTAAAGCAAGGGAAAGCAGTGTCTAACCTCTGACCATGAAGTCTTATAGACATGGACTTCACCACTGAGTATGAATTAGAGTCAGATGGAATCATCAAATCTTGGATGACACAGAATTGGATGCCCTCTTAGAGGACAAACTGTCCAGCGTTTTGAAGATGGAGAAGTAGAAACAGAGAAAATGAAATAATTTACCAAATTCATTAATATAAAGCTCCAAGAAGCAAAACTCAGAGCCAGATTTTCTGATTCCTTGTCTTATTGCCCCCTTCTCTGACCCCATATTATGCTGCTCCTTGGCCATAAGAACTGAAGAGCAATGGGATGGCTACGTCATGGGAATCTGCAGTGGGACCTAAGATTTTTTAAGTGTAAGGTTCCAGTATCAGAAGTAGCGGGACTTTTTGGCAGGCAGCCTTCACTTAAACCCCCTTTACAGAGAGCCAGGGAAGACTGGGCTCTGGCCCCTTTATGTAGTATACATAGACAGGGAGAAACGTCCAGGAAGTTGATAGAACGGTCTAGGCAACTAAGATCTCGCCAACTTGAAAAAAAAAAAAAAAAGAAAAAGAAAAGCTGGATCAATGTCTACTAGCAAACCTGTTTTCACAGAGCATTATGCTATATGCCATATTCCAACCCATTTCTGAGATTAAGGAGGTTCTACTTGCAGGTTCTTTTCTTTGGGTAATGCTGCCAAATCTTTTTACCCAGTAAACATCAATGAAGTTGATAATCAAGATTTTTGAGAAAGAAAGAAGCTATCATACAATAAATAATTTTTCATATTACCAGCTGAGCATAGCAAAGAAAAAACTGAGAGCTCAAGCAGGTCATGTGAAAAGAAAATGTAGACCAAGGAGGAGATCTGGTAAAGCAAGATCTCCTTGGTCTTACAATCTCAAATCACACCCTGAGAACAGACAGAGAAGTGCACTGTCACACCTCGCAGTGCCTGGCAGGAAGCTGTTTTCCAGTCCAATTCCCCTTGGGGACAGAAAGTGCCCAAAGGGCCAAAGCTACATATGAAGCAATTTCAGTTTCTTAGCCCCACCTCTACAGTTGTTGGTATAGTATCATTGGCAAACATCTGTAAGAAGTGACGTGGGTAGAAGAGCACAGAAACCAGAGAGGATCGAATTTACAAGTGGTGGAAAAGAATTCCCATACCTGCTTAGTGAAAGTGCTGCTAAGCTCTTCTAACATGATTACAAAAATAATGAAGAGCAATAACTTTATAATCGGTCAGATACTTTGCTTTTTCTGTGTCCAGCACTCCCTTTGAACTTGACTGAAGCTGTCTTCCAGAAGAAAATTAATAGCTATTGGCCATCTGTGACTTATCTGGGATCAGAAAGCACAGGCATGTGTTCAAGGACCGGAAAATTGAGGTATTGAAGTACCAAGGTACTTAATTCACCTTTAGAGTTTTTGGTGTAGTAAGGAAAACCTAATTAAATTAACTTTCCCAATGAATATTCTTCTCCTTTACAAACCCCACTCTGCCCCGAAGGCAGTGAAATTTCATGTGATACAGGTTCAGTGAAGTACAAGAGCTGGCCTTAAAACAACTTACAAAAGATAAAGAAACCAAAGTAGAGAAAAGGAAAATTATCATAAGAGGAGAAATGATGCTTATAACAGCATGAAATAGCTTCACACACTGTACAGGAGAAATTAGAGAAAACAGCCAAGTGGGAGGTTTTCTGTGATATGTATTATTTTCCCATAAAATACAATATTTTTTTAAAAACTGCAGCTTTCTTGTGGCAGAGTTAATTTAGACATTTATAGAAGAAATGTCTACGTTTAATGTGAAATGGACGTGATCTCATATAAACATGTTTTCCGTGTTAAAAGCAAAGGAGTATGTAGGTGAATGTTTTGAAAATTGCTGAGTTGCATGGTATTAGTTAATAATGTTACTGATATTAATACTTTAGAATCTTTATTCTTTATAAGTAAAACTTCTGAGAAAGTAATTGTTGGCAATGAATCATGTGAGCACATGACTTTACAGTATTATCTGTAAGTTGAATATTATATAGCTGCAATTAAATGAGTCAGTTCTCTAATTTTTCCATTGCTTTCATCTAGTATGTGTCTGGAAACAAACAAAAAATGGTTTTGTAGAGGCAAGAATCTCAAGCTAAGTTTTTTCCTAAGAAAATGTAAAATTTTCCACTGACTTCATTAGAAGCAATGTGTGATAGTTAATTTGACTAAGGGCATTTAAACGCATATGGAGAAATTACCAAAAATTAAAGCATCAAACTTGGCTCCTAGCTCAAGATGTGGTTTTCCTTTTTGACTCTTTTACTTGAAAGGTAATATTCCCTAGAATATCAAACTGACTGGGCAATGTAAGAAGTTAGAATAAGTTGATGAAGCAGAGATTTTTTTTCCTTGGGGTACTCATAACCACGTAGCATTGCTGAGCTGCAGAACTGATGCTAAATGGTCTGCACATGCTGAGAACAACTACTTTTATCTAGAACCGCAGATAGCGTTCAACAGTTTGGTTGTTATTCCTACCCTGAAAGCTCTCTGTTCTTGATTTTCCTCTTCTCAGTTATCTGTTGTAACACAGGGAGCACGGTATATAAAAAAAAGCTCAGAGGGGACAGCAAATGCCACTACAATTCTATCCTGTTCTTTATTTAGAGAAACCAAGTTCCTCAGGGTACTATAGGCACAAAGCAAAGAAAGGAGTTGATCTGCAAATAAATTACAAATGTGATCTTGACAACGATAGATATAACCCAGTGATCAAAGCTGAACTACCTTCAAGTTCATTTGCCTGATAGCTACAAGACAAGGTCACTTTGGGGGTCTCACTGCAAACATATTTTATAGTCCCTCCCAATTCTGTCCACATTCATACAATTTTATAAATGTGTACTGAAGATATCTGATCTAGTATGGATGACACTGTAGTCTTTGTCGATTTGATGATAAGAAAACCATGTTTCCAATACTGAAACAAAATCACTCCTTGTTTTTCTGAGTTAAAACCTTAGAGTCTAACAGTCTGACAATCATTAGCTTAACCTCTCCCTTCAGCTTTCCTGAAGCACCTGTCCTTGACCACTAGGGCAACCTACACCCCAAACCTTGAAAGGTGATGGAAAAAATAGCAATAGTCTGCTACAGCTGAAAACTTCTTTACTTAAAGGTGTCAGTCCTGCTCTGTGGAAGTAGTTGAGCACCTGGGGAAATGGTCTGAACTTCAAGCAGTATTTGCACTCTAAATCAAGTTTAATTTCTCATACTCAACATTTCAGCTGTGATTTTAGTTACTTTTTTTGTTTTATCCTTCTCCCCTATTTAGAGAAGCTTTTTGTTCATGTTATGAAGCCATGTTTCATAGGTGGAGAGACAAGAATATTTAGATTTATATATAGTTATTTATTTATTTTTTTAATTTGAGTCGGCATCTCGCTCTGTCGCCCAGGCTGGAGTGCAGTGTCGTGATCTCCGGTCACTGCAACCTCCGCCTCCCGGGTTGAAGCAATTCTCCTGCCTCAGCCTCCCAAGTAGCTGGGACTACAGGCACGTGCCACCACGCCTGGCCAATTTTTTGTATTTTTAATAGAGACGGGGTTTCACCATGTTAGCCAGGATGGCCTCAATCTCCTGACCTCGTGATCCGCCCACCTTGGCCTCCCAAAGTGCTGGGGTTACAGGCGTGAACCACCATGCCCAGCCATTATATATAGTTATTTTTAATAGTCCTTAGAACATAAGTTTAATTTCAGAGTGTGATGTTGCAAGTGAATTGGGTTATATGTATGCAAGGTTAGGTTGCCAAGACATGACCCAATAAAAGAAGCACTTGATACTTGTAAATAGCATGTAAACAGAGAGAGAGGGAAAGGTGTGGTGGTGATGTGAACTTTTACTATGGAGATATTAGTAAGTTTCATATTGCATATTTTAACAAGCCTAAACAAATGTCCTTGCTCTAAAACAAATCATCACATACAGATTATTCTTTGGTTTTGTTGGATTCAAGGACTATCTTGTTAATTTACTCACCAGCAAGATGTCTTAACTAATTCCATTACAAATCTAGCACAGAAAAGACAGCACATGAAGCTGAACTCCCAAGCAAGGATCTTTAAGTAGATCTCAATATCCTATCTGGTAGCCCTCTAAGCCTGTTTCCATCAACACATGCTCATTTCTGGGAGATATGCACGGATAGCAGGTAGGGAGGGAACTTGTGGATTTGGCTTAAAACCACTTGCCTCATCTCCCACTAGTGACTTGTGGTGTCACAACTTCCCAGAGTCTGAGAATGTAAAATTTAGGAATAATCATATGAGTTGTTAATAAAGAGGAGTTTGAGGATTTCCCAATGTAGATAAATGGTGAGTTTCCTGCTATGGTCCTGACCCAGAAAACTCAAGTGAGTCATATTTAATCAGTTATGTTTTGAACTCAAACTTTCTGATCATCCTTTGTAATAGTGGGAGCGACAATGACCTGAAACAAGACCACTCAGATATGAAAATGTTTGGTGCCCAGAAATACATCCTTGGTACACCCTGGATTGACTCTGATTTTTTCTAGGTAAGAGTGAGGCTGACCCAAGGCCAGCCAAGCTTCTGTAAAACTAAAGCTCAGGAGATGCACAACAAATACATATATTTTGACTGTTTAAAAGAACAAACAGATGAATAATATGCTCCTTAATTTTGCTCAGTTTTTATGCGTCAAAGTTGAAAGTGACCTCTACTTGCTCTAATTTCCGTTTTATAGTGCCTTATCTAAACTAACAATGTCAGTTACTCTGAGTCACAAAGGAATTTGACTTTTCAACTCGAAGACTTTTTTTTCTTTTTAATTGTGATTTTAAAGTGCATAACATAAAATGTACCATGTTAATTTTAACCGTTTCTAAGTGTACAGTTCGGTAGTATTACATATAGGCACATTGTTGTGCAACCAATTTCCAGAAAGTTTTCATCTTGCAAAACTGTCCAATACCCATAGACAACAACTACCTGTTTCTTCCTCCTTCCAGCCTCTGGCAACTAAAATTCTAGTCTCTAGTTCTGTGTATTTGACTCTTCTAGGTACCTCATATAAGTGGAATCACACAGTATTTATTTTGAGATTGACTTATTTAACTTGGCATGATGTCCTCATTATAATTTACTCTCCAGCAAGGCATCTTCTCTAACTCCATTACAAATCTAGCACTTTATTTATGTTGTACTATGTGTCAGCATTTCCTTCCTGTTTAAAGCTGAATACTATTCCATGGTATGTATACATATTGTTTATTCATTCATCCATGGATAAACACTTGGGTTGTTTCCAGCCCTTGGTTACTGTGCAGAAGACATTTCTTGAGGTAGTGATCATGGTAGCACAATAATTACAATACTTGCCTTTTCCAAATTAACTGAAACTTTTTACCTTTTAATTATAAATTTCATTCTCTCTTTTCAAAAATACTTACTTTTTGTTTTTGTTGCCAAAGAGGCACATAGGCCTTAAAGTGGGAAGACATTTTGAAGCCATCTCAGATCTTATTATATGGTTCTGGTAGTACAATTTCTATCACAGATTTGTAAGTTAAGCTTTCCTTTTGTGTCTCACTTAGAGCCTTCCTCCTTTTTTTTTTTTTTTTTTTTAAATAAAGGAACAGTCTATGCTACTGTCACTGTGACTTACAATGCTTTTATTGGGAAATGCAAAACCTCCATGACAGATAGAGCCAGGCCTGAAGTCATCAAGCAGACATCACTCAAAGCATTAGTATAAGAAATAGGAAAACTCAATGCATTAGTATAAGAAATAGGAAACCTTATGATAAATATTCAGGGGCTGTTAGAAAAGAAATTACCATCAGATAAGCTAATTAAGTGGTGAACTTCTTTCAATCTTCTACTCTTTTGAAAAAGAGGTGCTAAGGTTTCCCCTATTGTTCTATAGTTTGGGATTTGCACATCAGATCTATCTGAAGAGTTTCTTAAAAATACGCATGCTCTAGATTCTCTCTAATCCTACTCAGTCAGAGTTTGGGGAAGTTTGGGCATGAGACTGTAATTTGGCTTTTAGGCTTTCTGGTTGGTTCTGATATATACAACTATAAAGATCAACTGTCAACTGAAAGAGTATCTTAGGTAACAGCCAGGTGCTGGCCACAAAAGCTGTGAGAGTCCTTGTGGGCATGTGTATGCTTGTATCCATGAGGGCACTGAGGCCAGCATGAATGTTTTGGGGGAAGTAGAGATGGCAGTAACTCCAGAATGTTGCAGATGGGGAGGTTCCCATGAGAACTTGGTCCATGTAACATGCCTGCCATTTTTCTGTAGAAGGCCAGTTTCAGCTTGAGAGAGAAAGAGATTTGTTGAAGCAAAGGAATTGCAGGTTTTTGAAATTATAAATATTGCAGTGCAGTTAAGGAATTTGTGGAGTATAGCAGCTTCCTTTCTTAGCGTAGATATGAAGAAATAGTAATCAAAGTATCAAACTGCACCAAGTCATTCAATGCTCCAGCACTCCCTCTGTCTCTGACTTGGAGAAAAAAAACCCAGTCCTTCTGGTTCTTATTTCCCACTCACAACTCCCTTAAAACTCATTGCAGATCAAAACAACTAAAAATGTTTCCATACCTGTTTTCACGCTCAGTACATTTTTCAGTTATTTCAATGACTTTCATAGGCTTCAAAGAAATCTAGCAGGAAAAAATCTAAGTCCTTTTCCTAACTCCATCAACAGCAGAGTAATCTGAGGCAAGTGCCTTGATGTTCACTTTCTCCAAATGCCAAATGGGATTTTTTAAATCACCTCAGGGTTTACATACACATGAATTAACTCATATGGTTTAAATGCTTTGAGCGTCAAATGTTCAAAGTGAGGTGTGGAACAGAGAGAATAAAAAGAATAAAAAAAAATTTTTTTTTGAGAAGGAGTCTCGCTTTGTCGCCAGGTTGGAGTGTAGTGTCACAGTCTCAGCTCACCGCAACCTCCACCTCTCAGGTTCAAGAAATTCTCGTGCCTCAGCCTCCCGAGTAGCTGGGATTACAGGCGCCTGTCATCATGCCTGGCTAATTTTTGTATTTTCAGTAAAGACGGGGCTTTGCTATGTTGGCTGGGCTGGTCTCGAACTCCTGATCTCAGGTGATCTGCCCACCTCGGCCTCCAAAACTGCTGGGATTACAGGCATGAGCCACTGTGCCCGGCCAGGCATTTTTTTTTTTTTTAGCTTAAAATTACAGTTTATTTTTATTTCAAAAACTACCCAAGATGGGCCAGGCACGGTGGCTCATGCCTATAATCCCAGCACTTTGGGAGGCCGAGGCAGGCGGATCACCTGAGGTCAGGAGTTCAAAACCAGCCTGACCAACATGGAGAAACCCCATCTCTACTAAAAATACAAAATTAGCTGGGCATGGTGGCACATGCCTGTAATCCCAGCTACTTGGGAGGCTGAGGAAGGAGAATTGCTTGAACCCGAAAGGTGAAGGTTGTAGTGAGCCAAGATTGCGCCATTGCATTCCAGGCTGGGCAGCAAGAGCAAAACTCTGTCCACAAAAAAAGAAAAAAAAAGTAACCCATGCTTCTTAAAATGCTTTAAATCCTTTCTAATCCCTGTGTCTACTTAACACACAAATACACATGCTATAAAAGAAAGCGAAAACTGGTCATTTTTGTGGTATAAAATATCTCAGGGATTTTGGCTGGCTAACCTAATTTTTGTCTATTATGGGGGAAAAAGTCTTATGGGATCTTGAAGTATTCTGTTATTCTAACGTATGAAAAGAAGGAATCTTGATGTGTTATCTGAAAAGGCTTAATGGGAAGTATAGTTACTAGACAGACTTTGATTATTTGCATGCTTTCTGTTTATTCTTTCTGTCCCAAACTGGCATCACACTGTACATATTTTTAAGGAAAGAAATATTGCATCTAGTCACTTCTCTATTACTTTGCTCAATAGCTCTCTTTATTTCTTGGTGGGACTTTTATTGCTATCTTTTATGATAGAGTAAGTGGGAGAAAACCTATAAATTAAACAAGGAAAGTTCTACTAGAAGTGGTATTTAACCTGGGAATGTCAAGTGGGCATTTAGCAAGAATTGAACATTTCTGTTGGACTGATCCCAATTTTCCAAGTACATAACCTACTAAAAAACTTTTTAGCTTAAGACTTGCATGTTTTTCTCACCGGGTTAAACTTTCCAAAGCAGAGAAAATTTTAAGAGAGGATACAGCTCATTAGAAAGAGCTTGTTTTTCTGCGATTCTCAATAATTTAGTTCTATTCAACAAACATTTATGGAGTATGTACTATATGCCAGACTGTAAGCCAGATGCTGGGTAAATAAAGCAAAAGGAAATAAGCATAATCCCTTTCTTTTGGAGCTTTTGTCTTGTGGGGGAAATAGATATATAATAAATTTTCAATATAATGTTTTGTGACAGGCTTTATGTAGGGTGATCTGGGAGCGCAGAGGTGAGACTGGGGTTCAAGGAAGGTTTACTAGAGGAGATATTACCTGAGCTGAGTCTTGAAGTACTAAGAAGTTAGGCAGGTTAGGAAGAAAGGGGTACAAGGAGGAAGTCATTCCAGTACGCACAAAACTGGAGGTTGATAAATAGCATTGTCTAGGTAAGGAACCACATGAGATAAAAAGAAGGCAAAAAGACTTGGTCATGAAAAAGAATCAAGTAAGAATGTAAACAACTATAATAATGGAAATACATATGTGTAAAACCATAGAATAGACATAGCCGACAAGAGACTTAGTAAATTGGTAGATGATGTGGGGAAAATTGTGAGAATCCACAGAAATGAAGAGATGAAAAATATGGAAGGACATTTAAGAGACATGGAGTAGAGAAGGGAATCTTCGATAAAATCTAATGTGCTTTCCAGAGAAAAAGAAGAGAGAATGGGAGAGCAGCTATTTTTGAAGTAAAAATGGTGGGCAAATTTTTGGAAATGAAGGAAGGCACAGTTCCCCAGATTTAAAAATTACACTGAGTTCTGGTTTAAAAACAAAAAAAAACCTTTAAAATGAACATCCTGGGTCCTGTTCCTAGAGATTGATTCACCAGAGCTGAGGTGGAACTTAAGTTATCTGTATTTGGGAGAAACTTCCTAGGTGATTCTGTTGCACAGCCAGATTCCAGAATCCTAGAAGTAGTTCTCCAACATAAGGACACATAAGAATCAGAAGGGGAACTAATTAAAATACAGATTCCTGTGTCTGACCATAGAGACATTAGACTGGAGAAGACCCTCTCAGAAAGTTGAGTTAAATATTAACAAACATGTTTTATTATTTAATAAATACTGACAAAACATGTTTGTTAATATTTAAGAAAAGAATTAAAGGTAAGCTATAAATCATAGCTTATTCTACAATTTAGAGTTTGTCTACATAAACATCTCAGGCACAAAATAACTAATGGATTTCTCCTCAAAGGGATAGATCTTTCTTCACAGTAAGGAAAAAGGCAGTTGGGAACATTAGTAGTCACAAGAATATAAGCTCCATGAGGACATTGGCAGTGTTTGTGAACAGACAAATGTTCCAGGTAGAGCTTCATGATTCATTTTTTAATTTAGTACATCTATACTCAACACAATTTTTATGTGACAGTGTTTTTTTTTATAAGCACACAAAAGTGTCAAATAATTTGAGCCCCTTGATGATGATTTAATGTGACTTTATTGTACTGTTTTTCTTGCCTTATGAAATATTAGCTGGCTCCTTTTTTCTGAATACAGCTGCAAATTGTGTACTTGATTTTGTCCCTTTCTTCCATTTTTCTAGCTGTGCAATGGTCATATGAGTTCACACAGTGACTGGGCCTTGCTTCTCTTTGTTCTTTGTAAGTTGGTGCTATGACTGGGTAAATGCCTCATGCAGCGATGTATGAAGCCATTATTTGTTTATCGCAGACAAACTTAGCAACCCAGGGAATACTGGGATAAGCAAGACAATCATAGTCTCTGGCTTTATGGTATTTAGAGTCTAGTTATGGAAACAGACTTAAAATAATCACACAGATGCAGTCAGTTGCCAACTGTGACAAGTATTATGAGGGAATGACACATGGCATTCTGAGAGCTTATGATAAGAAAAGTGACCTCATTAAGGAAGTTAGGAAAGATTTTCACAGTTGAAGGGAATCTTACGGATAAGAGGCATTAATTAGGTAATGCAGGGAGAAAAGAGCATTAAGGCAGAGGAAACACTGTGTGTAAAGGTCTTGCAATGGAAAGAGAAATGGTGAGCACCAGGGCCTGGATGAAATCCAGAGGGCCTCGGGCAGAGAGAGTGGGAGTCTGCAAAGACAGACAGAAGCCTGGTGTGTGAGGTTAAAAGCAATGGGAGGTGATTGTAATGATTTATGCAGGTGGTCAATAGGATCGGATTTATAATATTAATATTTGTAGTGGTTAACATTTAGTGCATGCTGTGGGCTAAGTATTGTTCTAGGTGTTTCGTATATATTAACTCATTTACACGAACAACAGCCTTGTGAAATAGATATTATTGCTATTCCCATTATACATATAAGCAAATGGAGACTTAGAGCTGTCACCCTGCATGACGGTTAACTTTATGTGTCAAATTGGCCAGGCTATAGTGCCCAGTTGTTTGGTCAAACACTAGCATAGATGTGCTGTGAGGGTATTTGTGGGTATGATTAACATTTATAATCCGTTGACTTTATATACAACACGTTACCCTTAATAATGTGGATGGGCTCCATGCAATTCTTTGAAGGCCTTAGAAGCAAAGACTGAAGATTTCTGAAGAAGAAGCAATCATGCCTCAATAAAGCAACCTAAGAAACCCTGCCTGAGTTTCCAGCCTGCTGGCCCATCCTGCAGATTTAGAACTGAAAACTACATCAACTAATTTGCCTGCATTCCCACTTTACCAGCCAGCCCTACAGCTTTCAAACTTGCCAGCCCCTACAGTCATGTGAGCCAATTTTTTAACATAAATCTTTCTCTCTCTCTCATATATATAAAATATGTACGTATGTATATCCTATTGGTTGTGTTTCTCTCTGGAGAACCCTAATACGCTCTGGTTTCAATGTAGACAATAAATTTAAGTAGGACAGAATGAATCCAGGAACACCAGGTAGGAAATATTAATTCAATAGCTTAGTCATGTTATGATGAGACCAGAGTAATGATGGCAGAAGCTGACAGAAGAGGATGGATCTAGAGAGTTAACATTAACAGGGTTTGGTGCTGGTTTGGATAAGGGTGGGAAAGTTGAGGGAGGTATTCAGGATGAGTCCCAGTTCTCAGCTTACAACTGGAAGGACTATAATGGTACACACTGAGTTGAGTAACCCTATGTAAGGATCACTGATGTAAGGTGGGTAAAAGTGTTCATGTGAGGTGGGGTGTTATTGTTGGTATCATGGAGATGTAGCTCTATTTGAAGAATGTTGAATTATTTGAGAGGCTTTTGAGATTTCCATGAGAATGCAGGCATATTTTGTTTTATTATGCTTTACTTTATTGCTCTTCTCAGACAACACATTTTTCACAAATTGAAAGTGTGTGGCAATCTGATGTCAAGCAAGTCTATCAGTGCCCCTTCCAGCAGCACGTGCTAACTTTGTCACATCTTGGTAACTCTTGTAATATTTCAGACTTTTCATCATTACTATATCTGTTAGGGTGATCTGTGATCAGTGATCTTTGATATTACTATTGTTATTGTTTTGGGGCACCACAAACTGTACCCATATAAGACACCAAACATAATTGGTGGTAATAGTGTGTATGTTCTGATGCTCCAACCAACCATCTCTGTTTTCCCATATCTCTCCATCTCTTTGGATTTCCCTATTCCCTGAGACACAAGAATACTGAAATTAGGTCAATCAATAACCCTACAATGGCTCTAAGTGTTCAAGTAAAATGAAGAGTTGCAAGTCTCTTGCTTTAAATCAAAAGCCAGAAATGATTAAGCTTAGTGAGGAAGGCATGTTGAAAGCCAAGATAAGCTGAAAGCTAGGCCTGTTGCACCATAGAGTTACCTAAGTTGTGAGTGCAAAGGAAATGTCCTTGAAGGAAACTGAAAGTGCTACTCCAGTGAACACATGAATAAAAAAGCAAACCAACCCTGTTGCTGATATGGAGAAAATGTGAGTAGTCTAGATAGAAGACCAAACCAGCCACAACATTTCCTTAAGCCAAAGTCTAATCCAAAGCAAGGTCCTAATGTTCTTCAATTCTAGGAAGGCTGAGAGAGTAAGAAAGCTGCAGAGGAAAAGTTGGAAGCTAGTAAAGATTAATACACGAGGTTTAAGGAATGAAGCTGTCTCCATAACATGAAAGTGTAAGGTGAAGCAGCAATTGCTGAGGTAGAAGCTGTAGGAAGTTATCCAGAAGATCTAGCTAAGATCATTGATTAAAGTGGCTACACTAAACAACAGATTTTCAATGGTGACAACACAGCCTTCAACTGGAAGAAGATGCCATCTAGGACTTTCATACCTAGAAAGGAGAAATCAATGCCTGGCTTCAAAGCTTCAAGGGGCAGGCTCACTCTCTTGTGAAGGGCTAACTGCAGCTGATAACTTTCTCATTTATCATTCCAAAAATCCTAGGGTCCTTAAGAATTATGCTAAATCTACTCTGCCTGTGCTCTATAAATGGAACGACAAAGTCTGGTTCATCTGTTTACAGCATGCTTTACTTGATATTTTAGGAATACTGTTGAGACCCACTGCTCAGAAAGAAAGATCCCTTTCAGAATATTACTGCTTATTGAGAATGCACCTAGTCACCCAAGAGCTCTGATAGAGATGCACAAGATTAATGTTGTTCTCATGCCTACTCACATAACATCCATTCTTCAGTACATGGATCAAGAAATAATTTTGACTTTCAAGTCTTAATATTTAAGAAATACATTTTGTCAGACTATAGCTTCCATAGATGGTGATTCTTCTGATAGATTGGGCAAAGTCAATTGAAGGCCTTCTGGAAAGGCTTGACCATTCTAGACTAATTAAGAACACTCGTGATTCATGGGAGAAGGTCAAAATATCAACATTAGCAGGAGTTTGGAAGAAATTGATTCCAACCCTCAAGGATGACTTTGATGGGTTCAAGACTCCAACAGAGGAAGTAACTGCAGATGTGGTGCAAGTAGTAAGATAAGTAGAATTAGAAATGGAGATTGAAGATGTGACTGAATTCCTGCAATCTCATGATAAAACTTGAATGAATGAGTTGCTCCTTGTGGATGAGAAAGATTTTGTGAACATTGTGGAAATGACAAAGTAGAATTTAGAATATTACATAAACTTAGATGATATAGCAGTGGCAGGGTTTGAGAGGATTGACTCCAGTTTTGAAAGAAGTTCTGCTATGGGAAACATGCTATTAAATAGTGTGGCATACTACAGAATCTTTCACGAAAGCAAGAGTCAATCAGTGCAGCAAACATCCACCACCACCACCACCCTGACCAATCAGCAGCCATCAACACTGAGGCAAGGCCCTCCACCAGCAAAAAGATTACCACTTGCTGAAGGCTCGGATAATTGTTAACATTTTTTAGCAACAAATTATTTTTAAATTAAGGTATATACATTGTTTTTGTTATAAAAGTTATAAAGGTTGTTATAAAAGTTAGGCTGAAAAGTTATGTTTACATTGTTATAAAAGTTATGTTTACACTATTCTATAGTTTATTAAGTGTGTAATAGTCATAAAGCCATAAAGCTTTTGTACACTTAATAAATGATAGAATAGTGTAAAAGTAACTTTTATATGCACTGGGAAACCAAAAAAATTACTGTGACTCACTTTATTGCATTATTTACTTTACTGTGGTGGTATGGAATCAAACCTGCAGTATCTCTGAGGTATGCGTGTATGTGACTTGGAATTTGGCTATATGAGTGTGGTGCTCAGTCAAGGAGGTCTAGGTTAGATATGCAGGAGTCACCCCTTATTTGCAGGGGATACTTTCCAAAACCCCCAGTGGATGCCTGAAACTGAACGCTATAGATATTTTAGTATGATTTTTCCTATACTATACATACACACCTATGATAGAGTTTTACTTATAAATTAGGCACAGTGAGAGATTAACTATTAATAATAAAATAGAGAAATTATAACAATATATTGTAATAAAAATTATGTGACTGTGGACTCTCTCAAAATTATCTTATTGTACTCTACTGTGGGTAACCGAAACTGCAGAAGGCGCAACCGTAAATAAGGGGGTACTACTGTACAAATCAGGAAGTCATCTGCAGATAAGGGTAAATGAAGGCATTTAATTGAAGAGATTGTCTCTGGAAACACCAGAGAGTGAAAAGAGAAAAAATGTGTAGGATTGAGCTATGAGGAACTCAAGGATTTAATGAAGGATCAAGAAAGATGAGCCTGCTAAGACAGAGAATGAATGGAAGGATGGGGGTTTGGAGGAAGGAATCAAGAGAGTGTTATGACCTGGAACCCAAAGGAATAGTGTTTCTAGAAGGGTGTGATCAACAGTGCTGCAGGCTGCTGAGTGGTCAAATGCAATAAAGATTTAAATGGTTTCATGATGAAGGTGCCATGGTGCCTTTGGGGAGCTGGGAATAGAGTCATTGAAAGGGTGGGGTGAAAAGCGAGTGGTGCATAAACACATAAGCAGACATCTTTGGAAGTACACAACACCTGGAAACAATGGTTATCTCTAAGAAGGACTATGGGGCTGAGGGAAGGGTTGAGAGGGAGAATTCTCACTCCAGATGTTTTTTTTGTTTGTTTTTTGTTTGTTTGTTTGTTTGCTTTTTGAGACGGAGTTTCACTCTGTTACCCAGGCTGAAGTGCAGTGGTGTGATCTAGGCTCACTGCAACCTCTGCCTCCCAAGTTCAAGCAATTCTTCTGCCTCAACCTCCAGAGTAGCTGGGATTACAGGTGCCCATCACCACGCCCGGATAATTCTTGTATTTTTAGTAGAGACAGTGTTTCACCACGTTGGCCAGGCTGATATCAAACTCCTGACTTCAGGTGATCTGCCCGAATCAACCTCCCAAAGTTTTGGGATTACAGGCATGAGCCACCACGCCCAGCCTCCAGGTGCTTTTGATGCTTTGAATGTTGTACACTAGGAATGTATTATCTATAAAAATTGTGAAATTAAAAAAAGGTGGCTGAATTTAGCAAATGTAGTCAGGAAGCATAGACAACTTGTTAAGAGTGCTTGGTTCAGAAAGGGGTATGTGTTTGAGAAAGGGAAGAATTTTAACATTTTTGAATTATTATACATATGGAAAATAATGTTTCTAAGGGATACTGAGGATCCCATTCTGGGTAGCATATGGGGCATAGATAGTCCCTGGAATGAGGTGGTAGTCCAGTTGCTGAAACTTCCACTGGTGTTAACTTGGTAGAATATTCTGGTGGACAGTAAACATCTGGGTTGGTGCAAAGATTCAGACTCTTTCAGCATGGGGATAGCAGAATTTTTTTTTTCTGAGACAGTCTTGCTCTGTTGCCCAGGCTGGAGTGCAGTGGCACGATCTCAGCTCACTGCAAGCTCCGCCTCCTGGGTTCACACCTTTCTCCTGCCTCAGCCTCCTGAGTAGCTGGGACTACAGGCACCCGCCACCACACCCGGCTAATTTTTTGTATTTTTCAGTAGAGACGGGGTTTCACTGTGTTAGCCAGGATGGTCTCTATCTCCTGACCATCTGCCCGCCTCGGCCTCCCAGAGTGCTGGGATTACAGGTGTGAGCCACCGCACCCGGCCAGGGATAGCAGCATTTGAAAACAATGAACTGGCTTGCTGTGATGAAGCCTAAAGAGAATAATGGGTAACTGATGATAGTTGCCAAACAGTTAAGAACTAAGTGTGAGGACCACCAGGCATCTTTAGTAGCTTACAAAGTGTCTCTCCCTCCTGTTATGGGAGAATAGCTGCAGTGAGGAGCAAACTCAGAGTTTTATAGTCAGGGTTGCTAAGCTTCAAAGACAACAGAGGGCTCAGCCGAGGCTCTGGTTGGGACAACCTGGGACCCCGAAACGTGAGATGGAGATATCTGGGTGAATGCCACAGAAGTTTGTGGCTCTGAAGGCTATCCTGACCCCTCAGAGTGTGTAAATGTGACTGTGTGTTTCACATAACAGCCAATACTTCCCCCATGTGAGAAAACACTGCAGAGGCCTCTCTTCCACAGGCTGAACAGGTACTCCCCTTAAGGGCTACACCCACCTTTTCTCCTGTCTATCATGTAAAAACAAGGTAATAATCAAACATATGCTTTATGCGTAAAGAAAATAATTGTGAAAATGTGAGTAAATTCAATTAAATGCAAAATCAAGCACTATTTTACATATACCTTCAACAGGATGAACTGTGACTAAGCCAGACTGACGAGAATAATTGAAGGGGAAGTCAAGGAGAGGAGGCACGTGTGATAGGCAGTAGTGTTTGCTCTCTGGGGTTGGTATCGTGGAAAACATTTTGAGCACAAAATAAGAATTATTGACTTCAGCAGAGAGGGGACCATAAAACTAGTGTTCACATTTAATTTTAACTGTTAAATTTTGAATGGTTATAAAACTGGTTTAATTTTTCATTACCATAAATATTTACAACCCTCAATATATCACAGAACACCTACAACCCATTCTTGGAACACACAGTATTCTGGCAAACCAGTTGGTAAACTCTGAGACAGAGCAATAGCTAGACAGATGTGTGGGCTCAATGTAAGTCATTTTTCTTAACTGGGAGGGATGTAACCATGTTCAAGTGTTGACAGGAAGAATCTAGTTAAAAGGGAAATTTAAAAATACAAGAAAGAGGCCAGGCACAGTGGTTCACGCCTGTAATCCCAGCACTTTGGGAGGCCGAGGCGGGCAGATCACGAGGTCAGGAGTTCGAGACCAGCCTGACCAACATGGTGAAATCCTGTCTCTACTAAAAATGCAAAAATTAGCCAGGTGTGGTGGCGTGCACCTGTAATTCCACCTACTCAGGAAGCTGAGGCAGAAGAATCGCTTGAACCTGGGAGGTGGAGGTTGCAGTGAGCTGAGATCATGCCACTGCACTCCAGCTTGGGTGACAGAGCGAGACTCCATCTCAAAAAAACAAAACAACAACAGCAATAACCAAAAAAACAAGAAAGACATGGATAGTTGATATATGAATAGTTGATATTAAATATCATAAATAGTTGATATTCCAAGATTCCTGAGATAGTGGGAGAGGACTTGACCAAAAGCTAGGTGAATGTTGGTCTCGAAGAAGTAGGTACACAGGTTTGCATGGTGGTAGGAAGCTGAATTGGCCTGTCTGATAACATTTTAGAATAATTTCCTAATCCCTGCTCAGGGTTCTTAGTTGTAAATCATAGACACCAATTTAATAAAAATAATTTACTGCTGAGAAATTTGGAGAATGAGATCAGAAAACAGGCCAAAGACAAGGGAGATTTGCAGAAGCCAGGACAAGCACCCAATCCTGCAGCAGAACTAGTCTCAGGTGGCCCAGATTGCAAAGCCTCCATGGTGGCACCAGGGACAGGTGCTTCTTGTTGCTTCTGCAACCTCTGCTTCTGATGCTTTGTTTGTTTGTTGTTGTTGTTGTTTTTCAAGATGGAGTCTCTCTCTGTCGCCCAGGCTGGAGTGCAGTGGTGTGGCCTCAGCTCACCGCAACCTCCACCTCACGGGTTCAAGCGATTCTTCTGCCTCAGCCTCCGGAGTGGCTGGGATTACCGGCGCCTGCCACCATGCCTGGCTAATTTTTGTATTTTTAGTAGATATAGGGTTTCACCATGTTGGCCAAGCTGGTCTTGAACTCCTAAACTCAGGTGATTTGCCTGCCTCGGCCTCCCAAATTGCTGGGATTACAGGCTTGAGCCACCGCACCTGGCCCTCTGCTGCTTTGGAAACCGAAATTTGCTAGTGCCCCAAGGAATTCTCCCTGCCCTTTCCTGTGCATCTCAAACTCTCAACTCTCAGTGCAGGGAATGTACATCTGACTGATCATATTCTTTCATCCAGGCTGCAAGGGACGTTGGCCTGCTTATACGGTGGGCTCTGCTTTCCTTGAAGACCTATAGAATGGAGAATTTCCTTGTTATAGGTAAGGGGTTCCAAATTCTGGGAAGCTAAAATATCCACCAAGATGCCTACTGCACACCATGGAGTACCTTTGTGAGAATCAGCAAAAGATGCCCATTGAGATAGATGCATTCTAGTGCATTAGCCCTGGGAGTACCTTTAAGAGAATTTTTAAAAATTACTCTTTCTCTGGGGGGATCCTTTCCTGAGTCAAGGAGCTCAGTTAGACCAGCAGAATGTAGCTGAATTTTAGTCCCCACTTGCCCCTGAGCTGGGTGCCCTTGTCCAAATATATGCGATGTTCCTGGTGGCTCTACACCTGCCAGAGATAAGGGGATTAAGTGTGATCATGAAACCACATGCAAAGAAGCGACAGATTCAGGCGGCAGCACTGATCCCAAGCTCTATAATCCCTACGGCCTTTATTTTACAACCAGCCTTAAAGGCATAAACTACTATTGCTTTACAGTCAGTTAGCAGATGTTATCAGAAAAAGCAGATAAACCCTCTTTTATTTCTTTTGTTGTTGTAATTCTCCAAGTGTGGATCTGAGTAAGTACAGAAGTCTGGTAGGTATAATAAATGCAATTGATCTTGTTTTCACTAAAGACTTGAAAGGTCTTATTTGGATTTTCTGAGTCCTATCCTGAGAGATTCTTCTTCACAAAAAAATTTTCTCAGGCTGGATCCTGAGCTGTAAGTCTTGATTTAGTTTAGGAAACAGGACTGGCTTTAGGAAAAGGTATTACTGAGAAGTTGAAGATTTGTTTCTGCTTCCTTGGTCTTGTATCTCTCTCCACCTCTTTATGAGCCTTACAAATCTCTAACCTAAGTCAAGTATAAATTACTCATTTGGCAACATTTCATTTCCTTTTACAGGCTTTAGGAGCCTAAGGCCAAAAATATGAATCTCTAATGATGGTATTTAGGTACTTGTAGGCAGTGGAGGAAGGTTCTCTCAGGGCCGACGAAATCACTCTTTTGTCCCAGGAGAGCCAACTCTTTCTATATTCTGGAATTCCTGAGGCTATCTTGCAGACATTCTCTTGAACAGAGGTGAGCCAAGCTGGACAGACCTCTGGAGATCATCCTAGATCAGAGTGGCCAGTTGAAGTCAGCCTCTATCCCCTGTGGCTTGTGGGCTGCTAAGCTGAGAGTGCTGAGGAGGTGGGAATCCTGGCTGTAGAACTGGGGAGAATAAGGCAGTCTAGGCTTACTAATTTCAAGTAAATTCAATGTCCTTTTATTTATTTATTTATTTTTGAGACAGAGTCTCACTCTTTCGCCTAGGCTGGAGTGCAGTGGCATGCGACCTCAGCTCACTGCAACCTCTGCCTCTTGGGTTCAATTGATTCTCCCACCTCAGCCTCCCGAGTAGCTGAGATTATAGGCACCTGTCACCACGCCCTGCTAATTTTTGTATTTTTAGTAGAGATGGGGTTTCACTACATTGGCCAGGCTGGCCTCAAACTCTTGACTTCAAGTGATCTGCCCGCCTCAGCCTCCCAAAATGCTGGGATTACAGGTACGAGCCACCACACCTGGCTATATAGACAGGATTTCTAAAGTTTACACAGAAGCCTTTCTTTCTGAGTAGGTGGCAAACTGCTCCTTTTATATAGTTTATCTTCAATGTAAAATTTACATAACTAGTGTCTTTTCAAATTTAAATAATGGATACTGCCTTTTCTCCCCAGAACGACCTAAGTGTCTCTGAAGTAATAATGATAGCTAATTCTTATTCAGTACTTTCTGCATGCCAGATACTATTCTAAGCACTTTACATATATTAACTCATAAGAACACGATAAGAATTTTATGTGGTAGAGACTCTTATTAGCCTTTTTATTTTGCAGTAGAGGAAACTAAGGCACAGAAGATAGGCCAAGGTGAGTGGCAGAGTTTAGGTGAGAAGTCACATCTAGTAAGTGGCAGAGATGGGTTTTGAATCCCTGAAGAGTTATCCGGCCTGAGCTTTTAATTGCTATTGTTGGACTGGCTTCAATAAGGAAAGTTACCCAGGCTCTCCAGGAAGAAAATATGAAGGCTAGAAGTAAGGTCAGGAATTGGATAGCCAATGGATATCAGGTAAACTCAGACCAAGAAAATAAAAGTACAGAAATGCAAACAGGCCCAGGGAAGGAGGAAGTTCCAAGTTCACTCTCAAGTTGGGCAATGGCTAAATCCCTCTGTGTTCCATTTGTTGTGAAGTTGTTTTATGACCCTCTGAATAAAAAGACTGAGCCTGTGTGACCACGTGAAGGGTTTACTATGGCACTGACTCCAGGAGGACACAGAAATGCTTCACAGACTGCAACCATAAGAGAGAACCAGGACCATGCTTAGGAGCAGTAATGATAAGAAAACTGTAGCCACTCAGGAGTTTGGTCACCAAACATAGAGATTAAAAAAAAAATCACTGTAATCCCAGCACTTTGGGAGGCTGAGGCAGGCGAATCACTTGAGGTCAGGAGTTTGAAGACCAGGCTGGCCAACATGGTGAAATCCTGTCTCTACTGAAAATACAAAAATTAGCTGGGTGTGGTGGTGGGCACCAGTAATCCCAACTGTTCGGGAAGCTGAGGCAGTAGAATCGCTTGAATCCAGGAGGTGGAGGTTGCAGTGAGCATTTATTTATGTATTTATTTATTTATTTATTTATTTATTTATTTAAGATGGAGTCTCACTCTGTTGCCCAGGCTGGAGTGCAGTGGTGCAAACTTGGCTCACCGCAACCTCCACCTTCCAGGTTCAAGTGGATTCTCCTGCCTCAGCCTTCTGAGTAGCTGGGATTACAGGTGCCTGCCACCACGCCTGGTAATTTTTGTATTTTTAGTAGAGACGGAGTTTCACCATGTTGGTCAGGCTGATCTTGAACCAGTCCTGTTTTTTAAATAAAACTTTTATATTTTGCCAATCAGAAACGTACAAAATGACATATAGCTATTTTGACTTACTTTAGTTATGAGGGAAGTCAAACATCTTATCTGTTTATATTTTATGTCCATTAAATATGGACATACTGGGTTTAAACATTAAATTGGCTGTTTTCACCTTCTGTCATAAAGTTCTATATCTTTTGAAAGTAGATTGGTCTTTAAAAGAAATACTGTCAGCAGCAAAAATATAACGGACTATTCACTATGTGAATTTCAAGGGAAGAAGCTTCTTGGAAGATGAGTTAATAATGGAGGAAAAATGTGAAAAATAATTTTGATTTTATCAGATGGCTAGGAGGCAAGGATATTCTAAACAGAGGAAACAGCATGAGAAATGGCATGAGACTGTGAAAGTATGGGTCCACCTTGAATGGGCAAAAGTGCATGGGGGAAAGTAATGAAACACAAAGCATAGCAAGAGATTAGATTGTGCAAACTCTTAAAGGTAGCACCATGGAAATTTGTTCTGTAGAAAATCATGAGTCATACTTTTAACCATTGGATGGACATTTGGAAATAACACTGGTTTGATGATGAAAATAAACACGGGACCAGTTGAGAGATGATGAAGGCCTGCACAAGAGGGGGACTGTGGAAATGCTGAGCAGGGAAAATATTAATCGACCTTTTTCCAAGGTAGAATTGACAGAATGTGGGAACCCATTAGTTCTAGAAATGGGGACAAGGGAGGAATCACTGATGTTTCCCTGTTTTTTTTTTTTTTTTTTTTTTTTTTGCTTTATTGACTAGGTGAATGGAAACATCTTTAATTAAAATAGGCACTATGGCCAAGCGCGGTGGCTCACGCCAGTAATCCCAGCAGTTTTGGAGGCTGAGGTGGGTGGATCACTTGAGGCCAGGAGTTCGAGACTAGCCTGGCCAACATGATGAAACCCTGTTTCTACTAGAAATACAAAAATTAACCGGGCGTGGTGGTGAGCGCCTGTAATCCCAGCTGCTCGGGAGGCTGAGGCATGAGAATCGCTTGAACCTGGGAGGTGGAGGTTGTGGTGAGCCGAAATCCTGCCATTGCATGCCAGCCTAGGTGACAAGAGTGAAACTCCTTCTCAAAATAAAAATAAAAACAAAATAAAATAGGCACTACAAAGAAAGATAATATGCTTTTGTGGGCGTAAGGGGTGTGTGGGGTGAAAACGGGTGCAAAATAAGTCCAGTTTTAACATTTAGATGCCTGTAAGAGGTCAAGGAGAAGATTCAGCCTTGTTTCATGTATTCATTCATTTAACAATTTTTTTTTTTTTTTTTTGAGACCGAGTCTTGCTCTGTCGCCCAGGCTGGAGTGCAGTGGCACGATCTTGGCTCACTGCAACCTCCGCCTCCCGGGTTCAAGGAATTCTTCTGCCTTAGCCTCCCGAGTAGCTGGGACTACAGGCACGCACCACCACCACTGGCTAATTTTTGTATTTTTAATAGAGATGGGGTTTCACCATGTTGGCCAGGCTGGTCTCGAACTCCTGACCTCATGATCCACCTGCCTCAGCCTGCCAAAGTGCTGGGATTACAGGAGTGAGCCACCAAGCCCGGCCAAACAAATATTCTTTTATTATTGAATGCTACTTATCTAGGCCCTATTCTAGATTCAAGGGAGACCATTGCAGGAAAGACAAAGTGCTGGCTTTTATAAAGGTTACATTCTACTGAAAGTAGTTAGAATATTAATTTCAGGACAAATTTATGATACACAGGAATGATATCTTACTCCTTGGGTACAGTGAGGGACCATTAATATGTATAGCACATACATGTCCCTCTTGACTCAGCATAATTTTTTCATGCTAAAGTAAGAGTTATAGCTTTTTTTTTAAAATTGCATTCTGTTGTTTCTGTCTATCATCTATTTAAACCCAAGGTCTTGCTCGCAATAGAATCTTCATTTATGACAAAATTCACATGGGAAACTAGCAAATACCTTGAAATGATTTGCTTGATGACAAATTTTTCAGATAAATCAGTAAACTGTGTTTGTTTGTTTGTTTTTCCTCTGAGCCTCACTTGTCTTATTTGTTCACTAAGGGGCTTGCAAAATGATCTCAAATGCCACCTCCCTGAGCTCGGTCAAGTCTGTCCCATGTGGTTTCCTCGTCCTATTACTTCAACTCTCTCCTCAGTACTATTCACAGCTATAAATATGCTTAAGACTTTCCTTTCATACAAACAAATCAACAAAAGAACCACCTTCTTAGTGCACATGCCCCTCAAGCTCTCACCCTGTGCTCTCATTCGTGGCCACATGTCTTGAAAGGGCGGCCCACTCTCACTATTCCTACTAGCAGCATCCCAACTCACTCCCTGACTCTCCTCCAGACAGCTCCAGTCTCCATGACTGACATGGAGGCAAGAACATGGCTTCTTGGCTAATAACAGCCATTTATTAAAATAAAAACTGCATCTTTCTTGCTTTTCTTAGATGGTGGTATTTACTAGTTTTATTCCAAATGCTGCTTTTTCAAGTCCATCCAGCTCCTTCTTAGTATCTCAGGGTTATTTGTTCTTCCACACATGACCCTTCTTAAGAACAGAGACTAGCAGTGCAATCTTGCTATCTTCAAAGAACCACAAAGAGAAGGGTGGCGCCCTTTGGTTTAAAAAATAATAAACAAATAACAAAAGTCAATTCCGCTGAAATGGTGGCACAAGGCCCTGTGAGGCTTCAGACATTATTTCCTCCTCCTGTCTTCCCAGGGTTTCTTGGTATTTTAGGGACACCTGCTGACGGTGTCAGCTGCCAGAATATTGCTGGCACCACATGGTACGAAACAACAAAAGAGCAAAGACAGGGCACTGTTGGCTGGGCTGCTCGGCAGGCTGCCACTGTGAATGCACAAAGAGCAGCCACACCATCCACATCCTGCTGCGTCCCCAAAATATCTCACTCATCCGCCACACAGCCCTGTCTCCTCACCCTTTGTCTCTGCTAGAGGGAAATCCAGCCTAGTGCTGGATGAGAAAGATTCACCGGGTCGCTCAGAGTGACCTGGGCAGGAGCAGACACCCTCACAAGGCAGGGGTGAGCATACCAAAGAAAAATTGCTTAAGTTAAACCAAACCCTGAATCTGTCTAGAACTCGGGCTCTATTCTACTCAGCTCTGTTATTGTGATGGTTGGCTTTGTAGTCTTTGTCAAATCCATTTCTGAAATCACCTGTCTTACCCATCACAATATCTTTCAACTAAATTGTCTCTAAATCCTGTTGCCTCATTAACAAGTTTAATCTACTTTGAAAATTAGACTTTGAGGCAAACAGGGATGAAATGATTAAGCTAGCACAGCTTCAGGTATAAATTTTCACTATGAGAAATGTATTCATTGCCTGCTGCAGGATCTGTCAAAGCACATATTCAATTACTGATGGCTTGCAAGATTTTTCCTGTCTTATGAGATGCCATGGAACAGGGCAAGAAGAAAGACACAAAAATGGGGCCATAAAGGCAAAGAAATATACACTGGCAGACTCTTGAAAAGGGATGATGTTGTTTATTTTACGTTTTTTATAGGGATGGGTTCAACACAAATTAAAATCTATAAAAATAGCTGGTCCATATAATGTCTGATAACCCAGGAATGCACACCTTTCTAATGTGCTAATATAAAGAAGATTAAAACAGTTAAACTAGAATATGGTTTTACATTTGTTTAAGCTACTTTTTTCCCTTCTTACATCACATAGAATGTTATCAAAGCTGATGGCATGAAGGAAGGGGAAAAGAAAGAAATCGCCTACATGAAAACCTGCAGACCTTGGGTAGGATCTGGTAATGTATTTCTTGCCTCTGGCTAAGTCAAGAGTTATTCTTGGGGCTGGGCGAGGTGGCTCATGCCTATAATTCTAGCACTTTGGGAGGGCCAGGCAGGCGGATCACCTGAGGTCAGGAGTTCGAGACCAGCCCGGCCAATATGAGGAAATCCCGTCTTTACTAAAAATACAAAAGTTAGCCAGGCATGGTAGTGCATGCCTGTAATACCAGCTACTCGGGAGGCTGAGGCAGGAGAAGCACTTGAACCCGGGAGGTAGAGGTTGTAGTAAGCCAAGATCACACCACTGCACTCCAGCCTGGGCGACTGAGCAAGATTCCGTCTCAAAAAAAAAAAAAAGAGTTATTCTTGGATAATTACTGTGTAAATGATAATAAAATCAACAACGGCTTAAATCCCTGGCAAAAAATTGAAGTCACTAAGAGATTAAAAAAAAAACTTTTGGCTGGCTGCGATGGCTCACGCCTGTAATCCCAGCACTTTGGGAGGCTGAGGCGGGTGGATTACGAGGTCAGGAGATCGAGACCATCCGGGGTAACATGGTGAAACCTCGTCTCTACTAAAAATACAAAAAAAAAATTAGCCGGGCATGGTGGCGGGCACCTGTAATCCCAGCTACTCGGGAGGCTGAGGCAGAAGAATGGTGAGAATCCAGGAGGCAGAGCTTGCAGTGAGCCAAGATCGTGCCACTGCACTCCAGCCTGGGCAACTGAGCAAGACTCCATCTCAAAAAAAAAAAAAAAAAAAAAAACTTGACTAAAATACAGCCCAGGAAATTAAGGTGATGAAGCAGAAAGTGTACACTATCACAGATGCCATGAAACTCCAATTCCTTGCACTTTTCGCCATAGGCAGTATGTCCAGGAAGGCTGCTCCCAACAGGCCCTGTATAGTGGAAGTTGTGACAGTCTCTATTTCCATTTTCATTTCTTTTGATTGTTTCCTCATCCAGAGAATTAGGGGATTAGCCAGGTTGCATCTAAGACATCATAGCTCTGAGTTCTAAGATTCTAGTATAATCATTGAGGCAATCTAGAGGGGTGAACATGTTGGCCAACTCTAGACCAGTTAGCTTGCAGATGTGTAGCATTCACTACATTTCAAAAGTTTCAATTAGTTGCCAATATTTAAAAATTGGAATATTTTGTAGAAAATTACACATGTATAACTGCTTTTGAAAGTAGGACTGGCTACATCGCTTTTGAAATCCAGTGCAAAATGAAAAGTCCAGGTACCTTTTGTTCAAAAATTATTAAGAATTTTGGCCGGGCACAGTAGCTCATGCCTGTAATCCCAGCACTTTGGAAGGCCAAGGTGGGAGGATTGCTTGAGCCCAGGATGTCAAGATCAGCCTGGGGAAGATGGCAAGACCACATCTTTACAAACAATTTAAATATTAGCTGGGCATGGTGGTTCACACCTGTCATCCCAGCTACTTCGAGGCTGAGGCTCCTAGGAGGATCCCTTGAAAACAGGAAGTTGAGTTAGCAGTGAGCTATGATAGTACTGCTGTACTCCAAGCTAAGCCGCAAAGTGAGACCTGTCTCTAGAAAAATTAAAAATACTAATAATAAAAAAGAATTTCAAGATGGGGATAGCAGAGCATCAAACCAGGTGTGGGTCCTTCTGAGTGCTGGCCCTGGGGCACTGCAGGGAATGCATGCCCTTGAAGCCAGCCCTGCTAGAAAATTCAGAGGAGCTGGCACCTCCGCCCATTTTCCTTACAAAAAGCAATGGGAGCTAAGTGGTGGCTCCCCCTTTAAAACAGAGCCTGTCTTCTCTGGGTCAACACAGCCTCTGTCACTCCCTTTTCTGTCCTCATTGAGGCCAAGCAATAGTCAACATTCATCATTGCACTTGCTCAGTGGATTTTTCACTGCAGCTTCACTGAACTCATTTACACAACCTGCCTGGCCCCTGTAGAAACAAGAGCTGTTCCCTCTGGTCCAAACATTAAAACTGCCCCCATACCAAGGCATGCTTACTGATCACTCGTTGGGCTGGTGACCCAAGGCTTGGGTCATGGCTCATGACCATGGGAGCCACCCATACACACGTTGGACAACTCCGTTTGTTCTAAGACAGTGTAGTCAAGGGTGAGTATATGTTAAGAAGCAGCTCAGCATGGACCACAGGGCCTCCCCACTCCAGGACCTCAACATGCCTTTCTTGCTCCAGAGGGGTTACATGGAATAATGCAGACTAGGAGACAGATGAAGCCTCTTTCATTCTAGTATTCAAAGAAATCTACCATTTTATGAAAACTTGAAAGATTGTGTTCTAAAATGAAAACCAAGATTAAAAAAAAATTGGCAAACACAGATGCTAGTTTAAAAAATCACTCCTTGTTTGCAAATCAACACCCACACAAAATGTTGAACATCAGTCATTCCCTTCAACCCCATCTGGTGCACATTGATGAATCTTTCCCCTGAGAGAAAGTAATGCACTTTGGGAACTCAGAGGACAAATCTGAAGGGCTCAGCTCTTCCAGGTTATAATATACTCCGAAATTATGTGCTTTGTTCTCTTGAGCCTCAAAATTCACCATAAGCTAAAAGTGTATTTCGGACTCCACTATACTGTTGCTCCACATCCTAATACTAATTTGCCTCTTAAGGGCACATACAAACTGAAGAAATGTCTTTCTGCTAACAGTTCCTTTTCCTCTTTGTTTGACATGATGTTGTTCCTGGCACTGTAAAGTATTTCAATTTTTGGGACCATTTCCAGGTCACATCTTATTTCTATACAAGATTTGTTCTATACAAAACCTGAAAAGGCTCAAAGGTCAGGGTTCTGGTTGACTTGTTTTGCCAGATTTCTCCCACTTGGTCAACATTTTTACTTCACTTCCTAGCTGAAGCCTGTGCCAGTGCTTTTACATTCATCAAACTTAAAAACCCACATGGTAAATATTTGGTAGAAACTTTATATGTGAGTAATTAAAAACATGATAGATTTAACCCTTAAGTGAGCAATATGATGAAACGTATTGCTTTTTATTGCTTCTAGTAACTCTTTCTCTTTCACTAGTCTTGCTCTTAAACCTAGATAATGATGAATATTTTACATTTAGTCGTAATAGGTCTTTTTCAAAAAGTGCTTAACTTCCTGGAGTCTTACTGCAGCTCAAAAAAATGTGAAATAATTTAACAATTTAATAAATTAATTAATAATTTAATAAAATAATTTTACCACACCTTCATTTTTGTACTTGTCTTTATTCTGTTCTATTGACATTTATGTATACCATTATAGGCACATACATTGCATGTTTTCCTATATGTATGTCTTTATTTTGTTTACTTGTTTGGAATGTTCTAAGAAAAAAGACTGCAAATGTGCTTTTTTTCTTTGAAGCTTTATTTCTACTCCACCCATGCAACTACAGGGCTCTGTGTGTCCTGTGGTTACTCAATAAATATTAGGGATACAGAGATAATTTGACGATTATAAAACTTAAGCCAACCTCAAACTTTCTTCACTTCCTCTTTTTCTTTCTCAGCCTTATACATTTAACTTCTTACCCAGTTATTTAAGAATGTCAAGTCCAAGAATCCTATGTAATGTTGCTTTCTAAAACAATGGCTGTATTTTCTACTTGTGGCTCTCATTCCTAGCCAGCAAGGGTAGGGGACTCTGGCTTCAGGTTTTCATGACAGCCACCCTCAGACCTCTCAAATTGAAACATCAACCTTCACCCTCAGGGTCTTTGCTAGCCATCCTAAGTGAGTCTGCAATAATGGCTCACATTTGTTAAGTGTTTATTAAGTGTCATATGCTCTTCTGAGAACTTTACATAGATTGTTTTATTTAATTCTCATGAAACTTTATGAAGTAGGTGCAAATATTACCATAGTTCTTTGAGGCTCTGATGCATTTTTTTTCAAATCTCTGAAATAAGAATTTGCCTTAAGATGGAGTATTGGCAGTATTTTTAAAAACTCTTATTTGTACATAAAAGGATCATATATATATATATATCTTACAATCCATAGACTCTTAGTGTGATGAAATACAGTATCCCTATTCAATCGGCAAGGATACACAGCTCAGAGAAGTTAACCTAAGGTCACGAGGCTGTACAGTCATTCCAGAGCCCAGTCCCTTGACCACTTCCCTGCAATGTTGTGTAATGGTACTTGCCACTTTTCTCCATAATTATATCTTTATAAAAATATTCAAATTTATTATTTTAAAAACCAATGATTATTTTTATTTTGTGATTTAAAAGTTGACCTGTATTCATTATAAAAACTTTAAAAATAGAAAATTTAAGAAAGAATTATAAATCACCTGAAATTCTACTAAGATTACTATTGCTAACATTTTGGTATATTTTCTTCCTGGCTTTTGTTTTCTTATGTACATTAAAACATACTTTATAACATTTGTAGCATACTAATACATATAACATTTGTAGTGATGTGGTTATGTATTCCTCTCTTTTCACTTAACACTGAATGATGACCATTTCCCCTTGCTATTATATGTTCTGTGATAACATGACTTTGAATGGTCATCTACTTCCTCTTGTGGAGTTGTACTGTAATTTAACACTTAGTTTGTTTCCAGTTTTTCACCTTAAGCACTTGTAATAGGTAGCCTTATTATTGCCTTAGCATTCCAAGAACTGTTTATACTTATTTTTAAGTTATCAGGCCTTTCTCAGTTTATCAAGAGAATTAAGAGTGTATACCTTCCATATGGAGGAAGACCTGTATGTCTTAAGTGTCTGAAAAATCCAGGGTTCAGGTGAAAACCATTTACCTAAAGAGAATAACAGCTTCCTGTGGAGCTGCTACTTGGCATTGTTCAGCCTCCTTGGGAGGGGATGTAATCTCACGGGAAGAGGCCCAGGCTGTCAGTGTGTTTGAGGCTGAGTCACCCCAGCGACAGTCTTTGCTGCCTACCAGTTCTGGTCACACCACTGAAGTACAGACTACACACAGGATGCTGCTTTCACAGTGTTGAGGAGAGAGTGTGGGATACACAGGAAGAGTGAATATGGAAATTGGGGTCTAGGCAATCTGATGTGTACATTTTTAGCGCTCTTGATCTTCTGAGCCTCATTTTCTTTTTCACCTCTTCTCAGTACTGGCAACAAGGAGGTGAAATGTACAAGTAACCATCGTAGCAGAACTCAGTCTTTAAAAAAGGTTTCAGTGGACCTAAGAAAAGGAAGTTTTAAGAGAGACCATGGGAAGACTGCACATTCTTGACAACCCATCCACCTATCCTGAGAAAGACATTCTGTACCTATTCCACCTTCAGAAAATAAACACTGTCAATTGTGGCTTTTATTTCCTGAGTACATACATGTTTACTAATATAATTAAAATGCATCTTGAAAATTAATGTCCCCTGAAGACGAAGAGGTATTATTTTCTCAGTATCACCAATTAAAAGTCTTTAATAACATCTTTCCATTTTCAGTTGAACAATTTAGAACTCTTTAAGTGACCATGACTATAATTTTCTCTAAGTGAAACAAAAATACATTATTCTTGTTATGTCCTTATTAATACTCACGCCAACTATATGTGACATTGTGCTAGGTGCTGTAGAAACTAGGCTTCTTGCTTTCCCAGAGGCTACAAAGTGAGGCAAAGTTTGAAGGCATTGTAGGAGTCAGGGAGATGAAAGAAGACTGAACAGGATTGCTTACCCATGCGGGGTTGAGAATTGGGTAGATAACGTCTCTTTGCATAACCAATACTTAATAGAGAGTTCACATTTCAGAATCTATGTTATGGAATCTGGCCTAATTCTTTTCTTTTTTTGAGATGGAGTCTTGCTCTATCACCAGGCTGGAGTGCTGGAGTGCAGTGGTGCAATCTCAGCTCACTGCAACCTCCGCCTCCTGGGTTCAAGCAATTCCCTTGCCTCAGCCTCCTGAGTAGCTGGGACTACAGGCGTGCACCACCATGCCTGGCTAATTTTTTGTATTTTACTAGAGATGAGGTTTCACCATGTTGGCCAGGATGGTCTCCATCTCCCGACCTCATGATCTGCCCACTTCGACCTCCCAAAGTGCTGGGATTACAGGTGTGAGCCACTGAATTAGCCAGAATCTGGTCTAATTCTTATTCATCAGTACAAAATAATGAAGATTTGTTTGGAGACAAATGGTGCCAATTTCCAGGTGGCTCTTGGCCATAGTGAAGTGTAATCCCTGTGCACAAAGTGTTTACATTCTGATATGGTTAGGCTTTTTGTCCCCACTAAATCTCATATTGAATCATAATCCCCAGGTGTTGAGGGAGAGACCTAGTGGGAGGTGACTGGATCATGGGAGTCGTTTCCTCCATGCTATTCTTATGATAGTGAGTGAGTTCTCACAACATCTGATGGTTTTACAAACATCTGGCATTTACCCTGCTTGCACTTCTCTCTCACCTGCCACTATATAAGATGTGCCTGCTTCCTCTTCCACCATGATTGTAAGTTTCCTGAGGCCTCCCCAGCCATGTAGAACTGTGAGTCAATTAAACCTGTTTTCTTTATAAGTTATCCAGTCTTGTGTATGTGTTTATAGCAGTGTGAAAAAGGACTAATACAGTAATTTGGTATCTCAGAGAGTAGTGTACTATGATAAAGATACCCAAAAATGTAGAGGCAATGGGAAATGAAACAAATGTACTCTTGTTATGCTTAGCAAAGAGACTGGTGGCATTTTACCCCTGTCCTAGAGATCTGTGGAACTTTCAACTTGAGAGAGATGATCTGAAATTGGAACTTATGTTTAAAAGGAAAGCAGAGTATAAAGGTTTAGAATATTTGCAGCATGACCATATAGTAGAAAAGAAAAGCCCACTTTCTGAGGAGGAATTTAATAAGTTGCAGAAAGTTGCATAAGTAACAAGAAGCCAAATGTTAATTACCAAGGCAATGGGGAAAATGTCTCCAGGGCATGTCAGAGACCTTCATAGCAGCCCCTGCCATCACAGACCCAAGGCCTAGGAGGGAAAACTGGTTTTGTGGGCCTGGTCCAGGGGCCCTCTGCTGCTCTATGCAGCCTTGGGACTTGGTGCCCTGCATCCCAAAAGTAGCTAAAAGGGGCCAACATACAGCTAAGGCCATTGCTTCAGTGGGTCCTATCCCCAAGCCTTGGTGGCTTACACATGGTGTTGAGCCTGCAGGTGCACAGCAGTCAAAAATTAAGGTTTGGGAACTTCTGCTTAGATTTCAGAGGAGGTATGAAAATGCCTGGATGTCCAGGCAGAAGTCTGTTTCAGGGGTGAAGTCCTTGTGGAGAATCTCTGCTAGGGCAGTGCAAAGGGGAAATGTGGGATTGGAGCCCCCATACAGAGTCCCCACTGGGGCACTGCCTAGTGGAGCTGTGAGAAGAGGGCCACCAGACCCCAGAACACTAGATCCACTGACAGCTTGCACCATGCACCTGGAAAAGCTACAGACACTCAAGGCCAGCCTATGAAAGCAGCTGGGGCAGGGAAGCTGTACCCTGCAAAGCCACAGGGGTGGAGCTGCCCAATGCCATGGGAGCCCACCTCTTGTATCAGTGTGGCGTGGATGTGAGACATGGAGTCAAAGAAGATCATTTTGGAGCTTTAAGATTTGACTGCCCTGCTGGATTTTGGACTTGCATGGGGCATGTAACCTCTTCATTCTGGCCAATTTCTCCCATTTGGAATGGGAGCATTTATCCAATGCCTGTAGCCCTATTGTATCTTGGAAGTAACTAACTTGCTTTTGATTTTACAGGTTCTTAGGCATAAGGGACTTGCCTTATTTAAGGTGAAACTTGAGACTTGGACTTTTGACTTAGTGCTGAAATTAGTTAAGACTTTGAGGGACTGTTGGGAAGGCATGATTGGTTTTGAAATGTGAGGACATGAAATTTGGGAGGGGCTAGGATTGGAATGATATGGTTAGGCTTTGTCTCTCCACCGAAATCTCATCTTGAATTGTAATCCCCAGGTGTTGAGGAAGAGACCTGGTGGGAGGTGATTTGATCATGGGGGCGGTTTCTCCCATGCTATTCTTGTGATAGTGAGTGAGTTCTCACAAGATCTGATGGTTTTATAAGGGACTCTTCCCTCTTCACTTCACACACACTTTCTCTCTTGCCTGCCACCATGAAAGACATGCTTGCTTCCCCTTCCACCATGATTCTAAGTTTCCTGAGGCCTCCCCAGCCATGCAGAACTGTGAGTCAATTAAACCTCTTTCCTTTATAAATTACCCAGTGATGAGTATGTCTTTACAGTAGTGTGAAAACAAACCTACGCACATTCTAATAGAGGGAGAGAGATATTTCCAGAATCACCATTAAACCAAAGTGCCATTTGAGGAGGGCCAAAAGAGACATCCAGCATGCAAAGGAAGAAAACACTGTGTGCATCCTCAGAGAAGACTGTGAAAGTTGATTAGGAATTTAGAAACTGGGCAAAAGGAACATGCTGAGAAAAGTGAAAAATATCAGAGTGAATTTGGGAAATCTTTCAGATTTTGTGCTGACTGCTGAACCATATGGAGTGTTTCCTGATGTGTAAACTGAACCAATTTTATCCTTAATATTTTAATTTCAATAAATATAACATTTATTTGAGAATGTAAATTTCCTGTAAAATTTGATGCAGTTTATCAATACCTAACACATACCATAGAACCACATAGAAAGAACTTTAGTTTAAATAATTTTCTTTTCATCCTGCCTTTTAGCTTAAATAGGATTTAAAGACATGATCATTACTTTTATTTCTTTTCTCAAGTTGCATATGCTTTCTGAGACAGTTGATAGACTGGCTGAAGAGAAAGAAAATGTTTTGGAACCATTTCATTTTAATATTTTCATGTCAAGTTTACTAATAACTTAAAAATCTGCTTTTCTCTGCTTTGTAAAAGAAAAAAATATGTATATATATACACACTGGCCCATTTGTGCTACTGGCACACTTAACAACACACTGGGCCCTTTTTATTATTGCACAATCACATATTCTTCACTCATTAGATGATAATGTTTTTGCAGATTCAAGACACAGCTGTTTTACTATTCGCTAGAGAGTTTAACAATTAGCAGCTGACCCTTGGGGAAGGTATTGTTTGACTGCGCCCGGGAGATTAGTGTTTGCACGCAACAGTTGCTCCCTTTAAAAAATTCTGCTGGTGAGAATTTTGGCTTATTTTTCAACTTGAAATTCTTGCCTGCAAAGATACTATGAATATCGCATGTAATACTATAAAACACATTTGTATGTCTTCTAAAGTTTGTCTAAGCACTATAATTGATATTAAAGTTTTGCTTTTGTTATTTTTCCTCCACTCATCTTAGGTTCATTGGTTGGGGCCCTATAAATTAGACTGACAAGAGACAGATTAACGAGAAAAGCAGAAGTTTATTTACATGTCCATCTGTACACCGTGCATGGGAGTATTCAGTTGATGAGTAACTCAAAGGAGTGGTTAGAATTTCAGCTTGTATAGTTTAACAAAAGAACAATACATTTTTTAGACAAGTGATGAGACAAAGGGAAAGGACTTTGAGTTTCTAGGGCAACAAATTGTGGGAAGGTTAATATATGGGGGAACTAATGAAAGATATGGGCTGGTCAGTAATCTGTTTTGTAGATTCCTCTAGTGCCATCTCTGGGCTGATAAGGGTCTAGGTACATCTCTGGTGATTAACTTCTGTTATTTGGGCAGAGAGGGGAGTAAGAACACCTTTACCAATTTATGTCCTGCTTTTAGACAAATAGGAAGAGGGAAGAGAGGCTTTTTTGTAGCTCAATTGCCCTCAGCTCAAAATAATTCTTATGTCAAAGTGGCATATTTTGGGATGGCATATTCTCTTACCTTTCATCATTATGATTTCCATTTTCTTAAGCTGATCTCTAATTGTCACTTAATTGTGGATGCATGGTAAACATTGTGTACGTTTTCTGGTGTATGATAGAAGAGAAATTTTCAAGTTCTCTGTCTTGATTAAAAATTGAGACATTTTCTGAGACAGAAAATTTAACTGAATTGTTTTTTATACAGCTTACTGTAACACTTATTGCTAACTGCAGTGATCTGATCTTGCAAATCTAGAAAATATAGGTTTTCTATTCATAGGTTTATTAATTCTAGGAGCACAAACAGGTCATCTGCAAAGAAATACTAGCTTTCAACCACAGGTACCCCCTGAATATTAACAGAAATACAGCTTTGCTTTGGTAAAGAAAACAAACAAAAATATTATCCTTCTACCTAAACAACCATTCAAATAATATGAAGCAATTGCTATATGTATGATGGCATGTAGTATAAGGAGGATACATGGAACATAATGTCCTTGCTCTCAAGGAGTTTACTATTTTATATTTATAATGTAATATAAACAGAGACCAGAAGAGATCATTCAAAGAAGTTCAAATCAGTATTTATTTAGTGAGCTCTGCATGTGCCCACCATTGGACAATAGGACAGTGAATTAAAAGCCTAAATAATTTTGAAAGTGATGAACATGTAAAATAATTCTGACAAGATGCAATTTTAATAAAATAATTCAAACAATAAAAATGATAGAGTAGAGGTATAAATTATATGCCATAGGAGAATTAATTAGCTGATTATCTATTATCAACCCATTAGTGAAAAAGAACAAGGCAGGACTGCGAAATGAGAAAGAAGGAGTTATAAGAATGTTAACACTTGAGTTTTGCTCCAATCTATATTTTCTGAATAAGAGCTACACAGACAATAACCTAAGAATAAGATCATCTTTTACAAGAGGGCTAAGCCTTTTAATGTGGCCACGATTAAATTTTTCCCTCAAATTCTATCAGCCTGCAGAATAACTCCTTTCTTTGGCTTAGAGGAGAATATTATAATTGCTTGAAAAGGTTAGCTATTCTGGCTACAGTTTCAATATTTAGGAGATTGAAGCCCCAAGATAACCCACAGTAGACAGGACTTGCTGACACATGTAACATAATTTAAAGATGCCCATGCTCCAGGGAATTTTTATTTTGTTTGGTTTTTAGCTAGATGTGAACATGAACAAGATATAAATATATAGTTTGGGTTTTGGTGATTTGGTTCAGCTCTTATTGGTAACTTATATATTAAATATACATGTATGCATGTGTGTGTGTCATATTTATTTACTAAGTTTGATATCTACTTTGTTCTAATCCCCAGTTCTGTTTTCCCTTTTATTCCCCCCAGAGGCAATCACTATTCTGAATTTTGTAATTTTTTCTGTGTTTTTGAAAAAAGTTGTTACTCTATTTTTTTCCACTGATTCTTTTACATATGCCTTTATCACAGGCGTGTTTTATGCCCTTATCATATATCTTTAAAAATTTTCACATTAATGCGATTATACTGTCTAGATCATTTTGCAGCGATTCTTCTGGTGCAGGAGTTTCTTCAGGTTACATACACAGAAGTGGGATTGCACAGATAGAGGACACATGCATTTTCATCCGAATCCGAGTTTGCCTCATGGCTCTAGAGTGATTCCGCCAGTGTAAACTCTTACCAGCATTTTGCAAGACTTCCTATTTTTCACTTCTTCTCTAGTATTGAAGCCTCTTCTATTTTATCCAATCAGATGAGTGTGAAATTGTACCTCACTGTACTAATTTCTGCTTTCCTGAATACTGGTGAGATTAAAGATATTTTCATGTATTTACTAGCTATTCAGTTTTATTTGTAACTTTTGCTTTCTCATAACTTTGGTTATTTTTCTACTGGGTTGTTCTTTTTCTTTTTCTTTTTTAAAAATTGATTTGCCAGGGTTCATATTTTTTTCTATTCCTTTAATTATTTAATTCCTTCTATTTATTTGAATTTACTATGCTATTTTTATCTTGCATTTTTAAATTAGCAATTTAACTTATTTACAGTTTTAAAAAACTTGCAATTAATGTTTTGATTTTCCTTGTATCAAATTAAATTTTATTTCACAAGATTTTTTGACATAATATTCTTATTATGTACTTTTTCTAAGTTTTCATAATGTGAATTGTAATATTTAAAGATCATATGTTAATCAGGAGTATGTGTGTACATATGTGTGTATGTATACTTTCAAGTGTATTTTTAATTATGTTTATATTAATGAATTTGAATATGCTATAATAGTTGAATTTCTATCATTAGAGATTACCTTTATGTATTCATTTTGTTTATTTCCAAGACTTTAAATAAGTATGTCATAACCAGTGATTAATACCTCCATAAGTTGTTTCCTTATCGGCATTATGTGATTATTTTCTAATAAGAACTACTTAAAAAACACACACACACAATATAGGCATTGAATTTTGTTGGGAAGAAAGTAATGTGAGAAAGCTCAGACTATAAAAATGCCCAATATGCAACATGGGTTGTTAATTCAATGACTGGAGATGTGCATGCACACACACAGATGCACACACACACACGCACACATATACACACGCACACACACACACTTTTGAAGATTTTGAAGATTTTAAAGCACAATTTATTCTTCTGATGATTACAGACTTGATTTTAAATGTTTAATTTTTACTACAATTAATGCCAAAATCTTATGAACTTAAAAAATATAGCTTTTCTTGATTTTTAATAGGATAAGAATACAAAATCTTCAAGATAGAAGACACAGTTTTTAAGGAGAAAAATTTGTTTTTAGGGCTTAACCTCCTAACTCAACTGGAATTAGAATGTCTCCAGTACTTATTTACAGAAAACATGAGCTGAGCTGCAGCTTGTACAAATTTAGAAGTGTCATCCCTCAGAATTAACCATAAATAACTCGCCAGCCCTGGAGGTTTGCCTCTTTTCTAACTAAGCTTGCTAGGTGAGTTTGCTGAAAACAGAGCATTAACAGATACTCAGTTAGGATTTCCATAGGTTGCCAAAATATGTCCTTAAGATGTGGTTTAACATTCTGTGTTTAGATAAATTTAAATTTTTACTTTTTCATAAAGAAGAGTAGTTTTATTCGTTTTTTAGTTCATTTGTAGATTATAAAGTCACAGGGGTAGAAGGAAACTTTCCTGTTTTTTTTTTTTTCTCAAAAACCTTTAGCATTGTTCTTGATCTCCTGCATGCTAACTTGAGGCAAGAGAATGTTGTGGGCCAAATTGTGTCCCCCACCTCACAAATTCACATATTGATGTCCTATCCCTCTGTACCTCAGAATGTAACCATATTTGGACATAAAGTCTTTAAAGAAATATTTAAGTTAAAATGAGATCTTTAGAGTGGGCCCTAACCCAGTCTGACTGGTGTCCTTGTAAGAAGAGGAAATTTAGGCACTAGACATGCCCATGTACACAGGGAAGATCATATAAGGACGCAGCAAGAAGCCTGCAAGCCAAGGAGAGAGGCCAAAGCTCCTGGAAGCTTGATCATGGACTTCCAGCTTGCATAATGATAAGCAAATACATTTCCATTGTTTAAGTCACCCAGTCTGTGGCATGTTGTTATGGCAGCCCTCACAGACTAACACACAAGGTAGTCATTCCTTTTCTTCAGTCTCTACAAAAATAAATGGAAACCACTGATCTTAGAAGCCTGGTCAGGGCAAGAATGTATCTACCAAACTCTTGACTAAAAATCAACCAGAAAAAGACACACACGTGCTACAGGAATCCTTGATTTTTTTTTTGAGACTGCGAAAGGCATCTGTGTATTTTTTGCATGTGAGCCTTGCACTGTTTTTCCCCCTTTGCTATATAAGGTGTATCATGACCTGACAATGTAGACTGTTTTAAAAACAGTTCTAAGTCTTAGAAAATAAATTTAGAATGAATATAAAGTAGGTACTAAATATGAGTTCATGTTTTATTTTTCATTCCATTTCACAATGCAAATTTTTGGGAAAATGGATAATTTACTAAAAAATAGAGTACATTTTTTCCTTCATGACTCTACTCAAGCCACCGGTATGTTATTCTCATTTGTTAAAGATCCTTTGTCTGTGTTTGTGTTGTTATTAGTAACAGTTGTGGGGGCTACAGTTGGGGAAAGATACTGCCACGTCCTTGAGCTGTATTTAATTGACTCCATAAAAATCAACAAAGACACAAAAACACTAATTCTGGAAATTAGTAAACTGAGAATTAAGTAACCTTTAAAAAAATAGACCAATAAAAGCCCACTAAGATGTTGTACTTCTTCATGCATCTAATTTTCTTTGCAAATATTTTATGAGATTGGAACTATTTCATTTTTTGTATATTAAAACTATATTTCATGGTGTAGGTGTTCTTCACCTAGCTCCTCCTATAGCAATTTCTTTTATTCCCTGCTATTCTTTTCTCTTTGATTCCCAGGAATAATGTTAAAAATAAACAAGCTCATTAGAAATTATAGTGCTGTCATAGATATTTGAAAGACAAAGGTGGGAGATGATATTTTCCCCTTTGAAGATTCCAAAGGATGTTTATAATTACCAAAAAACAATTCTAGGAAAACATATAAAAGAGGATCTAAATTTCCCATTTGTTTCCTTGACTTGTATTTAAAACAGTTTCCAATCCTGTTTGCAATTTCTTTTTCAGATCTGCATTTTCAACTTACTCTTGACCACCACATGTACTTAGATATTCCAAAAGGCAGTGTGTTCAAAATCAAATTCAGCCTACTCCCCAGCCTGCTCCTCAACAGACTCCCCCCTCTCCATGACTGCTGCCACCTTCCACTCTCTGGCCCAAGCTCTTGGAGCAGCATACCGGGTTCTCCCTCTAGACATCTCCCATCTCTCACCATCCCACCCATTATGGCTTCCGTGTCTATCCTCATTACCTCTTTCCAAAGGAGAGCCAATATCTGCCCCCAACCAGGTTTGCTGCAGTAGCTAACCTTGGCCCATGCTCTCCAATCCTCTCTCCACATTGCTCCCAGTCTGTTTCTATAATATAAATCTGACTATATCTAAAATCACCTGATGGCTACCAACTGCTCTTGGCAATGCCTACCTCCTTACCCTTATTTCTGGACAACTTTCTGTTCCAAGAAATGCCCTTATTCCTTTTCAAGGGACTAAATATAATACCCTTCTCCTTGATGTTCTCACCTCTATTCCTATGGACACTTCATATTTCCACTTACATTTCATTTCTTCTGAGAGACCTCCCCACCTACTCTCAGGCTCAATTAGGGGCTATTCCCAGATGTTGTCACAAAGATGCATATTTACCCTGTCTTAGCATGCTACACTCTGCCTTACAAATGTCTGTTAATTTAATGATGTCCTCCACTGGTCTGAAAGTACCAGAAGAGACACAGGCAATCATCTTCATGTTGTTTGTCACTATGTGTGCACAGAGCCTGGCTCATAACAGATGATGACTAAGTATTTATTAAATGAACAGGAAAACAGTAATTGGCAAACAAAGATCATACTACTTCTAATGAACCTCTTTTGTCTTTTTGTTAGTAGTCTACCAGATGACTCTAAAGGTGTGATGCATTTTTCCCTAGGGTTTCTAATTACTCAGGAGAAGCTTAACCTTTTCTCGAGACCACATATATAGAACTTGAAGGATGCTTTAAATTTCTTGAAATGATTGGGTGAAGACTGAAAAATGAATCGTGGAGTCAAGTCTTCAAATTCTTAGCAAATTGCCAGGCGTGGTGGCTCATGCCTATAATCTCAGCACTTTGGGAAGCCGAGGTGGGCAGACCACCTGCGGTCAGGAGTTTGAGACCAGCCTGGCCAACATGGTGAAACCCTGTCTCTACTAAAAATATGAAAATTAGCCGGGCATGGTGGCAGGTGCCTGTAATCCCAGCTACTCAGGAGGCTGAGGCAGGAGAATCGCTTGAACCTGGGAGGCAGAGGTTGCAGTGAGCAGAGATCGCGCCACTGCACTCCAGTCTGGGCAACAAGAGTGAGCCTCAGTCTCAAAGGAAAAAAAAATTCTTAGCAAATAATGGGTAGGAAATTGCTGACCTTGGTGAAGGATTTTACATGGGTAGAGTTGAGGTATATGCCTCTCATTTTTCTGTCTAGGTACTGGTGAGACTGCGCCGGAGGAGTTGGAAGTTAGCATTTGACCAAATGATCAAGTTGAAGGGAAGCATTAGTTTATTGTTTTGACATTTATATGTTGGTCCAGTTATTTCAGGACAGCCCTTGCACATTGTACAGCTGTCTCTGGGCAGGGGAGAACTGCTGAATTAATGACAATAGACAGCACAAGGCGTTCTTCCGCAGACCACGCCCAATTCTTTTACACTAATTAAATATTTAAGAACAGATTGGTTCCGTATTTAAAGACACCATAAACCATGCCAGTATAAATTACAAGATCTTTAAAATCAGACATTTCCAAGGCTAATCATTCACCATTAGAATAATAAAAATAAGCTAATTTTCTAAACAACTGGGATCTGTTCTTTTTCTTTCAGGCTTTATTCCCGAAGGACACGGTGGATATTTTGTGTGGCCCAAGAAAAGCAAATGCTGGAAAAAAGCACTAGAAACTGCCCTTTGAAGTTTGCTACCAAGATCTAATATCTTGACAGACCAAATGGGTACTTGGTGCCTACTGAGAAGCCTTTACTCCCTTTACTCTTCCTCAGATCAATGAAGGACAAATTGACTTCTCTGAAAAAGGTTCGGCTTTTTGGGAATTTTCCCTACTTTGTGTAATTTTTTTATTCTGTAGAGCTGGCCCAGACAGCCCTACAAATGTCTCACTTCCACCACATTTGGGAACGCAGGCCTCTGTAGGTGACATAATTCATCCACTACACAAATCATGATCCATTCAGCATTTCCATATTATCTTCATTTGTCATATTTTAAAAATAAATATACACACAAGTTTTACTATTTGATTTCAAAATATCTGGAGAAAAGCACACTGATGAAAACATTGTTCCTCTTTTAAAAAATTACTCTATTAAACTTATCACCAAGGCATGGTCAGAACATTGGAGATGGAGAAGCTTGAGAGATGGTCTTTATTCTTGTTCTCCAGTAAAATGATTTCTTTCTTTTTAACAAATATTTTATTTTATTATTATTTTTTTCAACTTTTATTTTAGCTTGAGGGGGTACATGTGCAGGTTTGTTACCTGGGTATATTACGTGATGCTGAGGTTTGGGATATGAATGATCCCATCACTGAGCATAGTACCCAATAGTTTTTCAGCCCTTGCCCCCCTCCCTCCCTCTCCCATCTAGTAGCCTCCACTTCAAAGTGAGAACATGTGGTATTTGATTTTCTATTCCTGCATTAATTCACTTAGGATAATGGCCTCCAGCACATTTTCTTTATCCAATCCACTGTTGATGGGTTGATTCCATGTCTTTGCTATTGTGAATAGTGCTGTGATGAACCTACATGTTTTCTCAGTAGAAAGATTGGTTTTCTTTTGGATGTGTATACCCAATAACGGCACTGCTGGGTCAAATGGTAGCTCTGTTTTAAGTTCTTTGAGAAATCTCCAAACTGCTTTCCACAGAGGCCGAATGAATTTACATTTTCACTAACAGAGTATAAGTTTTCCTTTTCCTTTGCAGCCTCGCCAGCATCTGTTGTTTCTTTGACTTTTTAACCATAGCCATCCTGACTCGTGTGAGATGGTATCTCACTGTGGTTTTAATTTGCATTTCTCTGATATTAGTGATGTGGAACATTTTTTATGGTTCTAATCCATCTCTCTGATTCATTCCACCTTTCCAATTGAAAAAGAACCCAGTGACAACTTAGAAGAAAAAAATAAACAATTTGCAGTTTGAGCTTATACTATTAATGCTAATACTCATCAACCAAATATCCAAATAATGTTTAACCTAATGACCCTCAATAAATGGCCAAATAAATCTCAACAAATTAAATCAAAAATGATAAAGCTAAAGTAACATTCATTTATAATTTAAACCCAAAAAATGCAACAATTAAAAACCAAAAATCAACTACTTGTTCATGTTCATAGAAGTAGCTTGCTAGTACTGCCAAGCATTGCATTAAATATGGAATATCTTCTTACGGAATATCTTCTTCCTTAAATTTTAACAATGTGGCTAAGTTTAGTTGATGAGCCTCAAATATTAATAATCTACAATCATTCATCTTCTATTTAACTAGTAAAAATCTTTGGCCCTCCATAAAGTGAATGTATATAGATTGTATATAAAATGTACATCATTGGCTATAAATAAAAGGAAGAATGTATATGTTTGGAGCAGTTAGAGACCTGTCAGGAGGAACCTCCCAGAAGCACCTAGGGGTGTGGACCTTTCTGGAAAACCCAAGTGTCATGTCCAGGAGACAGCTTCAGCCACTCATGCCATGAATGGAGGGATATAAACCTCTAAGAACTGGAGAAATTCCTGATGGAGCAGAGTGGGCTGTCCTTGAAGTACTGGGATGCTGCTGAGAGGTTCCAGTCTTGCATCAACTTTGAACAAAATGGTCTCTAAGGCTCCTGCTGACCTGAAAGTCACCATTTATGACTGATGAGGAGATATTTCTACTCAGAGTTTTAGCTCTAAGTCATATTTCAAAAGTTGTACTCTTGATGATCTAAGACAGATACCACTAATACAACTTGTTAGCTTCTAGACTGTTTCTCTGAACTGTTACTCTATGCCATTGTGGATGATGTGCTTTTATATTAATGTGTTTTAATAGATTAGAAAATAAGTAAATGCTATTCTCAAACCTTTTCTAAGTGATTATCCATTCTTAGTCAATACTCCTTAAAACTCTTCAAGAAAACACTTGATGAAGATACCTTAGTTTTTTGTTTTCTAAGAGTATCAAAATCTGGTCAAAATGTTTGACAGCGCTATTGTGGCATTCCAGTTTAGGTATCCAGATTATCTTAAAGATGAAGTTTGTGTGCTTGAACAACTACCAACCTAGTCTTCTCCCATATTAAAAACTTTTAATCCCTTTCATTGCTTCTCTCGAAACAACCATGTTTGGATTCAAGTATTTGTCACCATTTATCTTAGCACAGGAGGTGAAAAATAGGCTACTTCCTAAGGAGCTCTGTGACTTCCTGAATATTCTCTTTTCTAAGACAGAGTGACCCTCAGGAGCCTGAGGAGAGAAGGCAAGGCACGCTGAGGTGATCCTACATCCTACACAGCCCACAGGGCTCCCATGCTCCAGCAATCACAATGGATTTTTAAACAGAGATTCTGACTTCTTCTTGATCTATGAGGCAATTTCTAAATTTAATGATATCCAAAATCTTCCCAGCTGTATCTCTATCCTTGGGTCTGTGAAATTCCATGCAAAAAGTGCTCAGAAAGCACTCCATTCAGTGAAAGATTTGGGGAGTTTTGGAAATACTCAAACAAAATCTGTTTAATTTATATAAACCCCCAGTGAGAAAAGCATTAAGAATGGAAGTTTAGAAATAAAATTTTTCCACATTATTTCACAGGTTCTGTTTCCTTACTGAATGTTGCCTGTTGCTTTTATAAATAATATTGCTTCCAGCTGGCACGCTTAAACAGGATCCATTCAAATGGATTTCATGGGACATTGAGCAATTCCGGTACCTTTCTCAATCAAAACTAAAGGTTACATTATTCTCACTATCCTTTTTCTTTCCTTTCTAACAGCTAAGAAAGAAGTTGTTGATATTATTGTTAGTGTCTCAAGGAAACCCTAGCACAGCTGCTAATTGTTTTCTTAAGGGAAGCACATCTTTTAACCTTCATCCTGTCCTTGAAGATAGGCTCCTTTAGGCCTAATATTTCCCTAAGGGCAAGCAGTAGTAATAGAAGTTTTTGGCCTTTCATTAGTTTGCTCTCATTTCTTCCCTGAGTGTGCTTCATGGTTAGAAACCTTGCTATTGGGTGGAGGTGCACACACAGCTGATGTGGCCTCTGGTTGGCCTGTTGTGCTAGGTGACATGAGGACTGCACATTTTGGAAAAGCCCATGATTTCCATCAGCAAAGAAAAAATTGGTCAGTTGGCAACTAAAGGTCCAATTAATAATGATTCTTTTGTGTAGGCACAGTTGGAACAGAAAGCCTTTCACCAATTTTAATAACACTTCTGAAACACGATTGTAGAGAGGCACTAAGGAAAATCCTTTGACCTCTTTGAGGCCTACAAGAAGGACTCTCAGGGTGACCCTAGGGTGACTCTGGAGGTCAGAGAGGGAATGAAGCTTTGAGGACAGCTCTTTCCAATGAGAACAGTCCCACCTGTTAAATGGTTTTTTAGATATAAGGCAGAAACTCCAACAAGGCTTGAAAATAGAAATTTATTGGCTGGCACAGGGGAAAGCTGGCCTAGTAGAGTTTAGCCACCTTTAATTCATAGGTGGAGAAAGGGTAGTTCATTAATAAAATAGTCTTCAGTGTGGGAAATTGAATAAGTAAAATCAGTGGTGAGAGAAGAATATGTTAAGAATCTATTAAAATGTGACACCCACTCATGTGGCATAATGGAGACTTCTGGATGATCTCAAGGGCAAATAGATCAACCTGGCACTCAACAATCAAAAGCAGAGGGATTCTCTCTGACCCAAGACCTGGGCAGATGGTAGAGGAAAGAGGCGAGTTGTAAACAGCTCCAGGCTCTGTCAACATCACCTGTACCCACAGATTTGAAAAGACAGACTTGACCCGTACAAAGTGTGGGAGAGACACCTGTACAATGAGATTACTGTCGCTGCACTATTGCTGTCAGCAAGTACTCAGAGGAGAAGCACAAATCAATAAAACCCCATGAGAGATGCTTTTGGGGAGTAGCAGGTTTGCCTGGGCTGACCTCTTGCGATGCAGAGCTGATAGGCAGGGTTATCTTCATCAGAGAGTAATGTGGTGTTTTTGTGGATTTGGGGCGTTTCTTGAGGAGCGTTGAGAGGGCCCTGGTTCTTTCTCTCCCTGGAAACCTTGTCTTAAGACCTGGAACCACAAGAAGATATCCAGCCTACAAGGCAGACATGGTCTAACCCTGAAGCTAGGTGTCACTCACTGGGCCTCAGGGGCCTGAGGACTTGGGCAGAGCCTCCAACCCTGCAGCAACAGCACTTCACGCTTGAGGGCCATTTTATCCGTTATCCTTTGGAAATCATAGACTGCAGAGACCTGTGCCCTGAAATCTTTCCTAGGACCCCTAAAGGAATGATCTTTGTCCTTCCTGGAGCCTCTGAGGGAGCGTCCTTCCACAGTTGCTCCTAGAGCTCTCTTCCTGACTCCCTGAACATCACTGCTCTGACATCCACTCACCAGTGAGGACTTCCTGACCACATCATGGCAAAGAATTGCACACCCTCTCCCAGAACCCCTCTCCCTTTTCATAGTCTGTTTTTCTTTTTCTTTTTAGCCATTTAACCATCTGATATTTCATATATTTACAAGTTTATTTGCTTATTGTCTTTTTTTTAACCCCACTAGGACATAAGTTCTTTGAGGATAGAGATTTAGTCTATTTTGCTTACTGCTATGTCCTGCCATAGGCATCCTGTAAATATTTTAGAAAGGAATGAATGAGGTTTTAAGCAATGCTGTTAACTGTTTCTAATCTCTCTGTTTCCTAAGACCCATGGGCAGATTGAACCCCAAAAGGGATGAGAAATAGAAAAGGCTTTCTTCAGAGGACACAGCCTGAAAGCAGCCATGGTCCTGAGCCTCAGCAGTGTATGAAGGGACAATGTGAAAGGCCCTTCGCTCTGAGAAGGGCAAACAGTTTTCAGTGTTTTCTGATTACGTGTCTAAGGCAGGGACCTACCAAGCCCAGAATGTTGTCCCTGGAGTTGCAGTGGCAAGTTCCTGTTTCTTAGGCAAAAAGCATGAAGACAACTAATTAAAAGTAGCGGAGGAAAATGCCAGAGTTCAGTAGTTACTAACCTGTGTTTACATTTTAATTTCTTTAAATCTTCCCTTTATTGTCCCTTGATTTAACTTTTTTAGCCAATAGAGCTTGTGAGATATTTACAGTTAACTTCATAATTCAGTTGTGTGGGAAGATTCATAGTTGGCTGGATGTTATGTTAGCCCTTCTGTTGCACACTTTCTGGGTACCACCTTCTATCTCAGGGTCTTTATGGCAGTTATAGTTATGCTGCCATGGAAGAAATAGTCACCTACTAGGAAAGGGTCTTCAAACATCATTGGGTCTAAGGACCACCTGAGGAGGTACTTGATCTCCCAGGTTCCCTTTTTTTCTATAACTCTGAATTCCAGAGGCCAGGGACAATAGGTTCTGAGCTGGGCTTTAAGACTTCCTGCAGGATGCCTGGGCAAACTCTTAGCTTCAACATTGGTAAAATGGAGACAAGCGCATAAAGTTCACAAAAGCTTAGTTGCCAGATTGGGAGCTACATTAAAGATCCCTAAAGTATTTAAAAGGGACTCATGGGATCCTTAGAAAGTTGAATTCTCCAGTCTCTTGTCAACTTTGGATCAAGGCAGAGGTCTGGGATGACTTTTTGGATTTCCTGAAAAAGAGGCTGTCCCCTAGATGAGTTTCTCCACCAACAACAGGATACTTTATATAAATCATAGCACCTTCTATTGTTGACAACATAACCTCTGTCAGTGGCAGCCTGAAGCCAGCTCATTTAGATTTGTGAAAGCCAGTTGTTAAAATTTCAGGAAATGTGAACTGGTTGATCTAACATCAGTAGCTCAAAAAAGGCCATGTCGAAAGGATGCATTTAAACCACAGAAATAGGCAAACACTATAAATCATCCACCTTCCACCAAAGCTGGTTGTTAAACATTTACCAGCACACCACTAGCTGTTAGTCATCACTCAATGTTACTATGAATTCTGCCTGCCTGAGCTTCCAGTGTGTGTGTATATGTGTGTGTGTACATGTAGTGTGTGGATACTATAGGGATGGGAGGAAAAAATGATGTTTGAAAAGGACTAGCTAGATGGAGACCAGAGAGCATGGGAAGATGGAAAGTGAGATCTCGAACTTAATGAGACATTTTTATATTAAAATATATTTAGATTAAATTAATCCTTGGTAGACATTTCACTAGTTTACGATTATATCATTTAAAGTCATGTTGTAAGTATGTCTGACAAACTGATAAAGGAAACAGATGATACATATATTTGAAAAGTAATACATAGAGAAGATCACATTTTTGTAAAAACAAACAAAAAATCAACTTAAAAAAAATAACATGTATATATGTGTTTTTCTATGTTATAGAGTGTAGAAAGTATGTATCGTTAACATAGGGAGTGAGAAAGTAGGAAGGAGAAGGAAGACATTTTAAAATTTATTTATTTTAGATACATATATTTTTTGAGATGGAGTCTCACTCTGTCGCCCAGGCTGGAGTGCAGTGGTGTGATTTCAGCTCTCCTCAACCTCTGCATCATGGGTTCAAGCGATTCTCCTGCCTCAGCCTTCCTGAGTAGCTGGGATTACAGGCATGTGCCACCATGCCCAGTTCATTTTGTATTTTTAGTAGAGGCGAGGTTTCTCCATGTTGGTTAGGCTGGTCGTGAACTCCTGACCCCAGGTGATCCACCCGCCTCGGCCTCCCAAAGTGCTGGGATTACAGGCGTGAGCCACCACACCCAGCCGACATTTTAAAATTTATATGCCTTTATATTATTGACCTTCTGGCCAAATATTCATTGGCTATATTTTGTGGTTGCAGAGCAAAGGCTGAGTAAAATTGTTTTAAAGAATAACCTATTTAGAAATGTAATAAGAATGAAATGTCATAGATGTACAGAAAAAGTTCTAAGGGAAATTATCTTTGTTCAGTCTCACACACATAATTCACAGCATTATCTGCTCAAAATAAGAACATTTAAAATAACACAATCAGTAAGAGTATGAAGATGAAATGCTAAGGTTAAGTTTCAATATTAGAGATGTACGTGTGTGAGAGAGTGTGTGTGCGTGTGTGCTTTAAAATACTTTGTGAAAACAAACAAGGATAAAGATAATCCCTGAGAATGGAAACTAAGGCTGCCTGTGCAAGTGCAAGCACCTTATAGACCATGGACTATTCATTTGTGCAGAGGAGCAGGAGTCTAAACCTCCTTCTGCCTAAAGTATGACAAAGATGATTCTCTAACCTTGGACCTGCTATTGAATCTCCCTGTAAATTGTTTTATAGGGATCGTGGTGGTGGTCTAAAGAAAGAGCAAACTTCTTCATGAAAGGATTTCAGAATCTATGGTGCAATCTATAAAATAGATTCATTTTAGAAGTAAAGACATCTAAAAAGAAACAACCATCAGAGGGTTTGGCTCCCATGCTATCTTTCACTGTGGCATTAAATGTTTGCTAAGATGTAAACTTCTTTCATTTTAGGTCTTTAAAGTCACATGATGGAAGTGACCACCCAGACTCAAAAAAGATAACATATATTATCACATCACTGACTCCACCCTGCCAGATAAAGGCAACCTCCCTACAATCTCAAATATTCCTGTGGAAATAACATGGTTATTTACCCTACCTGAGAACCGCCTGTATTTGTATGGCAATCTGACTGGGGAGAGAGTAAGAATACAGAGTCAGGAACCTAGAGCAGAGTCTGTTGACATAATTATGTGGTGCCTACCCAAGCCCTGAAGTTCTTTTGGGGATAAGAAAGAAGCAGGCATCTCTTGAGGGAAAGTCGTTGTTAGCGCGCTTCCTAGTAGTTGCCTTAGCGTGTACCCTCCTTGCTTTCAATGGTGGCTTAATTTAGGGACAGTAGGGGGTCTTTATCTGGAGCCATGGGTTTCAGGGACTTCCGGAAAAGTGACATTGAAATGGATATGGGTAGACATGTATGAAACAGTTTACAAATAATGAAAGCTAGGATCCCTTTCAACAGTTAATAATCTCACAGGAAGAGCCCAGCACTGCTAGGTTTTCTTTTTCTACTATGAATCCATTATGTGGGGTATTAAGGAGTTGTTGCCTTTCCTCAAATGAAACAAAGCAAGAAGATGTCATGACCTGAAAGTCCCAGCATTGCCAACTCAAGTTGGTTTCTGAGGAAACTTCCAATGGCTGTAGCCAGCTATAAAATATGTGACATGCCTTTTGGGATTTTCCTTACCAGTCCTTTCCCCTAGCTAACATCCAGGCTCTTTCAACTCTCCTTGCCTTTGTACAGGCTACTTCCTCTGCCTAGATCACTCCCACCCCCATCTTCCCTTGGACAGTTCCTCTCCCTAATTTAATACTCAGCTCAGGTATCACTGGCATACCTGATGGCTTCTTGGAGCAGTCTCCAGCTCCACCCTGGGTTAGGGATGGTTCCTCTGAATTCTCATAGTAATTTTTGACAGCCACGATCATTCCACTTGTCATAATGTGCTATAAGACCTATGTATGGGGTCTCTATGTAATCTCTTCTTGATAGCAGTAATTCCAAACTTTGGTTGCACATTAGAATGACTTGAGGAAATGTTAAAAGTCCCCATGTCTTGTTTGTACTCCAAATCAATAGAATTTTGGATGTCTAGGAGTAGAACCCAGGATTCGTTTTTTAAAAAAAATGTTTCCCAGTTGACTTCAATGGTGGCCAAGGTTGAAAACCTCTGCATTAGATGACAAAGTCCTAGAGACTCAGTCTTTAGTATGTCAACCCAATGCATAAGACTGATGTTAAAATTTTGCTAAATTAATGGATTTATATATTCAAATTCAAGTATTTTAGACTCTTATCAAGTGACATTAAGAGGTAGCAATTTATTTATTCCAGAGTGCAAGCAGGTTATAAGCAAAAAAATATGTAAATATCATGTTGATTAAAAATCACTACGCCCATTGATTTTAGAGCAGTGATTTGGGAAAAAGCTATGCTGGGTTTTTTCATATACTTTATTCTGAAGACTCTTCTGATAGTAATTTGTACTATTTTTACGGATATTTTCTAAAGCAAGGTCATGAACTTTGAAGAATTGTGGATTTGTATGACTACTTCTACAATGTCATAGCTTAGGAGATTTACACATGTAAGGACTAGATGCAATGTTTCTAAAAGCGTGGTTCAGAGATCAGCTGCATCCAAATAAAAATACATGTTTCCAGCCCTCATCCTAGATATGCATTTAGATTCTTTGGGAAATAATTCAAGAATCTGTTTTCATTTTTATTTTTTATTGAGATATAGCAGTCATCCTTTTAAAGTGTACAATTCAGCAATATTAGTATATTCACAAAGTTGTGCAACTATCACTACGGAGTCCAGAACATTTCATAAATACAAAAATAAATTCATATCCATTAGCAGTCACTCCCTCACTCCTTATCCATCTCACCCCCTCAGGCCAATGGCAACCAGTACCTATTCTGGACATTTTCAATCAATGGAATCTTACAATATGTGGAGTTTTGTTTTTGGCTTCTTTCACTTAACACAGTATTTTCAATGTTTGTCCATGTTGTAGTATGAACCAGAATTCCTTTTTATGGATAAATAATATTCCATTAGTTGAATATTTTACATTTTGTTTATCCATTCATCAATTGCTGGACATTTGAGTTGTTACCAGTTTTTTGCTATTGTAAATAATGTTGCCATGAACATTTTTGTGCAAGCTTTTGTGTGGACATATTTCCATTCTCTGCAGTATATACCTAGGAACAGAACTGCTGGGTCATATTTTAACTCTTCTACCTGTATTTTAAATAGGGCTTTCAGGTGAACCTAAGACTCACTAAATTTGAGAATCACTTTATTAGGGTGTCACTATTTCCTCCAAGGCACTGTACCTGTAAGCCACCAACTGCCAACAGGTGTGACATTGCACCCGGTAATAGGTGGAAAAGAAAGACTATCACAGCATCCAATCAATTATGATTCATAAGAAAAATGTTAACAATATGAATAACTAATAATATCACATTATCACCTTTGTTTGACAAATTTAAATCCAGATATATTGAAGGACAAGGTTTAAAGAAACAAATAGCATGGAATAAGTCAATCATTAAGAACTCTAATATTTTTCCAGCCTACAGTTGAACTTGCCTTGATTTTCTTTTATCTGAGACCCACAAACTTACTGGGTGTGATGGAACTATAGCATTCTTTTTGCCTGCCAACCATCTTTGAACACTTTTCCTAAGCTTGGTTATTTCCCCACCTTGAGACCTCACTTTCTCAAAGCAGAAGCCTCCCTCGCATCCTCAGTGCAAGGCTTGAAACATTTATGCCAGAATTCAGATAAGAATAGCTGCTATGTGCCCTCTGTTCACAGCAGAAACACCCTGTTTAGAAGCAAAAGTTCTAGTGGAGGCTTCCAGTGCACAGAGCCAGAGGTACCAGCTAGAACTATACAGCAGTGGGAAGCTACCTGGGGAAGTTCTGTGGTGTGATTTGACCATTGTTTCAGCTTCCATTTCCAAATCTGGTTCTCTGGCTCTCCTGGAGAGTGAGAGTTAGCCATGGCCTTCACTTAATACCTATTCTGCTTAAACTGGTATTTCTGTAAAACAAGAACATGACTGATATCACAGGACTCTACCTTAGAAGCCCCACTAAAGCTAAACTAAGTACAAGCTTATCCCAAATTTGCTTATTAGCTTTAGGGTCCTAGCAAATCTCTGTCTGCCTCCTTTGCAGAAAATCCCCCCTTTTCATGGTTCAATGAGCAAATTCCCTCTAAAAAGCTTTACTGATGCAATTTGAACCCTTTGTAATGTTTAATGCTAATTATAAAATATTTATCCACACAACAGTATGTTGATTTCTAAGTCACTCTCTCCAGAACACTAACTCCAAATCATGATTTCTTTGCCAAGTCCATCATAAGCCCCTCCCCTCCTCATTACTTTTCTCTAACACATATTAATGTATCTCAACTTCTTTAAAGTACATTGTCTAATAGCTTTATCTAACCAATGATGGATGAAACCTTTTAGAGACAAAATATGTGATTTTTGTACTTTTTATATACATACTGTATATTTAATAACACCTGATCCCAAATATAATCAGTCATGGATTTTGACAAATTCTCTTTCTTGTACATCTCTCTCTTTTATTTTTATTTTTTTTTTCAGACAGAGTCTCGCTCTGTTGCCCAGGCTGGAGTGCAATGGTGCAACCTACTCTCACTGCAAGCTCCGCCTCCCAGGTTCATGCCATTCTCCTGCCTCAGCCTCCTGAGGAGCTGGGACTACAGGTGCCCGCCACCATGCCTGGCTAATTTTTTTGTATTTTTAGTAGAGACGGGATTTCACTTGTTAGCCAGGATGGTTTTGATCTCCTGACCTCGTGACCCACCCGTCTCAGCCTCCCAAAGTGCTGGGATTACAGGTGTGAGCCGCCATAGCCAGCCCATACATCTCTCTTTAAAGAAACTCCTTAGACTCCTGTGGGCAATCTGGAAGGCTTAGAGAAGATTGTTTCTGTGAAGCTGAAGGTAGATTCCATGCAGGAACTCTGTGAATTTATAGAAATCATGTAAAACCTGATTTTCCCCACCCCCTATCATCCCCAAATGTGCCAATGGACAGACCCAGCCTCAAGATTCCAGGTTTTCAGTCTCTTTGATCACTTGCTCCTAAATGAAATCCAGCAAGAGAGAGGAAGAATTTTACTTGCTGTTCTGACGTTTCACCATCTTCCTCAGATTTAGTTTGCTCTGCTATGCGGGAGTCAACAGAAAATGGCACACAAATATCCATCGACTCTTTCTAAAATATGTTAAAGTTGATGTGTACAATAGCTCCCAGGTCACACAGTCTATTAATACACCACACAGATCTGAAAATATGCCCATGAACCTACAGTTTCAGATAGAGAAACACCAGCCTAGAGTCTTACTACTGAGCATTTTTAAGGCTACACATGGTCATTGCTGAAAGAGAGAGATCCTTCTGTCATAATATTTATTCATGAGAGGTGCAAAGAATTATATTTTGAGGCCAGAAATTTTCCCAACACATACTGTCTTGAAAATAAAAATAAAAAAAACCCATCAGAGAAAACTAATTAAAAAATATTTTTAAAAATTCGCCATACTGAAGATGTTGAAAACAACTGTTTACCCTCAACAATGTTTAAGACAACACAGGTACGTAGGACATGAATGGGAGAACAGTGGGAGCTGTGCAGCTAGAATTTCATTGGCACAAATTTCCAAACATGTCAGACTTGAAACTAACCAGCAAGGGATTGCTTTGCTGGAAAGTCATTCTAAAGTCTAAATTCTTATTCTAAGATCCAGGGCTGAAAGGCAAAGTAAATTCCTCGGGCAACACAGTTTTGGAGAAGTCATAGAAAGATCTCCCAAAATGTTACTGAGTCTTTTCCCAACTAAGCTTTTAGCTATTCCAATTAACTAAAAACTACACATTTATAAGCATTAAACATGCTACTGTTTAGGCTAAAATCTCAACCCTCCATTTCCATTCAGTGAAGCTTTTATCCACAACAATCACTTTAACTCAACATGGCAGCCTTGCAAGGGTTACCATGGCAGAGTTCTTTGGTTACTTTGGTTACCTCCTGAGCTCCACACTCTGGGGAAGTGTGTTTTATGCGGGAAAGAGCATTGAGGGGGAAACATGCCCATGGGCTCAAACTGGACATAACTTGTTTTTAATGCTTAATGCAAACATTTAGCTGTATTCTTATTAGCAATTCCACAAAGAAGAATAACGCCTCCTATTCTGATTTCCGACTATTCCCTCTACTGAACTTCTAGTCTCACTGTTCACATTGTTCCTGCTCCCACTCCTGCCCTTACTGCCGTCTGCATTCTCCCCTACTCCTGAAGCAGCCTCCCTGTTTGACCCTCCAAACCTCCTCCTGCTTTTCCTTTTAATCCTTCCTCTAAACCAGTTCTTCTGTGAGGACAGACAATAGCAATTCACAACCAAGGCTCCCTGCACCCACTAAGCCTGAAGGATGAGAAACTGGCTTGTGAGGATCAGTAAAAATAGTTGAAGAATGAATAATTAATAACTATTTATTTTGGTTTTACATTCCTTTGCCTCTTCTTGGATTTTGTGATTTACTGGTATCCTTTCTATGAGAAGCTCAGGTCCTTCTTAGTTCCTATAACACAATATTGTCATGAGTTTTTAATGGAAAAAGTTTAAGAAGTGTAGAGTTACTATTTTAGTTTTTCTTTGTTTTTTAAGATGATTCATATTTAAACCATTTGTGGACTCTGACCTGGCTATCCTTGCAGAAATCACATCTGCTTGAACAAGTCTGTCTGAATCATTTTTTTAAATATGGTCACTGAGTATTGTTACAGATTCTGAGACTATGACAAAACTTTTCAGTCATAAAGGCTCAAGCAAACTCTTCCAGGTCGCTTTTTACTCTCTGTAGTCTCCCAGTGGGATTTATGTCAGCCCTCAGTAAATGGCACATAAAAGAAAGGGAAGAGATTGGGCAAAACATAGAATTATTTATATTTGAAACACTACAAATGATAAAAAACTGCAGATGAGCAGTTACTTAAATTTTAAATAAAATTTAAAGCTAGAAACAATTTCCTTTTTTATTTTGCAAAAGAGGGTATTGATATCCTCAATGATTTTTAGGAAACTATACAAAAATTTACTTGTTTAAATTTTCAAAAATTCTGAGTTTTTTCATTCAATTTCCTTGAGGGTGCTTCTAGAGGAATTCCTGACAAGAGAATTTGAGAGTGGAAAGGCTAAAGCAGAAAAAGAACAACATAATGAAATAGGGACAGTTTAAGTCCCATCCTGGGCCCCCGCAATGAGGAAGGTGAACAGTAACGTCAAAAGGGCCTCATGGAAAGGTGTGTGCCATCAGGCCCTTCTCCGCCCTGCACGGGCTCCCACTCTAAAGGGACACAAATGTCTCCAGGAACATGCATCCAAAAATGGATGTCAAAGAAACGGTAAAATCAGCTGCATTTGATTTAGCACTGAGCACAGGAAATATGCATCATAAAAATTCCCAGTTGGGGCATTTGGTTATGGGGTCAAGCAAGAGTTAGAGATAAACAGGTAGGAGGGCATTCTCCAGGAAGCTGAGAAAGTAAAGGTTAGGGCAGCAAAGGTGGAGGAAAAAGAGTGTGGTCAGAATTGCCTTGAAACATCAAAGATTGTCTTTTTCAGTTGCAAAACTCGTAGGCAGTAGTTTTCCATTCCCCATGGCATTGACCTCTGCCTAAAGCAATCACTGTGTTCTTACTCAAGTGAAGGTGAGCAGAAACGCCCCGTACTAATTCCTCCTTTGGCAGAAACAAAACAGTCTCCTACATGCTCTCCTCGTGCACAGAAAGAATGAGTGAGTAATATCTTGGGCTCAACAGGGACATGTATTTTTTTTGAAGACAGTGAAATAATTAAGAGTTAAAATCAATAAAATGGAATTTGGTACCAAAAAATATATGCTTTTAAACACTTAGATAAATGTCAAAGCATATGTAGCAAATGAGGGTCAGGACAAGGCAACAATAGCAGCAGCACCGATGCACTGATAATCACCATCAACATTAATGAGGGCTGGCTATATCCCAGGACCACTTTCAGCTCTTCACCAGTGTCATCCCATTTAATTCTCACAATAATCCTGTTGAGGTAGGTTCTACCATTATTCCATTTTACAGATAATCACGATGCTGAACATTCAGAGCATTCTCTCACAAAGAATGTGGTTAAAACTTACCACTGAGCAAAACATGGAAATGTATGCTGGTTTTGTTGTTTTATTTTTTTGTTTTGTTTTATTGTTTAGCAAGCACTTACATAAAATTGATTGTGTTGTAGGTACCAGTCTAAGGATTTTATAAAAATTAACACATTTAACCCTCATGACAAATCGGTGAGCTAGATACATTTAGTATCCCCATTTTGCAGTCGTGGAAATTAAGCCTCAGGATCAAGCAATCTACTCAGACACTCAGCTAGTAACTGGTAGAGCTGGGCTCTAAACCAAAGCAGTCTGTCTTGAATGTTCAGAGGGGAAAATGTTCTATACATGCAGTTTATACTCAAGAATTTCTTAAATATTTAGTCAACTCATCCAATTTACTGGGGCAGGGAGCAGTGTGTATGGAGGGTGTGTATAGTGTGAGGAAAGGCTGGGGAGAGGAGAGACAGGCATTTATTGAGTCTCCCTTTTCTTCTCAGACCTTGCCAATGACTCTATCACGTATCATGATTATTGGTGTAGGTACTCACATTTCCTCTTATGTATGTTACCACCTGGTAAATCTGATGATAATAAACTTATCACTGGGGAGTAAAAGATATCTAACAGGTGAAAGAGTAGGCAAAGTCAATTTCAGTGCTAAGAACTAATGCTTACAGCTTTGATTTTATTTTACCTAATAATTTTAGTATTTCTTCACATTCGCGAACAAAATAAATAAAAATATATCACATTTTGACTCAACTATCTAAGCACATATTTCTGTCTAAGCATTTCTGTTTAAGCCTTCCTATCTAAGCATTACTAAGTACACAACCCTCTAAAAAAAATCCCTTAAGTTTCAAGTAAGTTCAGCCTTAAAACATTAACTTCCTCATAAAGAGGAATTGCTGCTACTACATTACCAACACTACCCCCAACTCCTATGCAAGGAGAGGAAATTAACTTTTGTGGTAGAGTTTGAGCATCTGGAAAGCCTTTGGTTGGGAAACCTGGTCTCATTAATAAAACAACCTGAAAATGCCCCAACAAGGGAGGGAATGGAGATTGGTGCTTTGAAAAAGAAAAGGAAGTAGAAAAACCTAAGGGGAGGAAGTTGCTTCAGAATTTAGAGCAGATTAAGTATTGGGGGTTCTTAAGACAGCAGAGAGCGTACTCCACTTGTACACAGGTCCTTTGGGTAATAAGACCTGAAATAGGCAATTATATGTAAAGAGGCCTGATGCTGAGTGTTGTATATAGACCAGGAGCTGCCATAAACCCTCTGTTAAAGCTTAGCACTGAATAAAAAGAGCCACAAGGCTCTGAATGGGCCCATAGGCATGGACATGGAGCAGAGGGAAGGAAAGTCACAACCCACTAGAAGTTAGTGGCCCCAACTTTTGGCAAGTAAAGTTACTGGGGTACTTCTGCAAATCCCAGGAGGGAGAGAGGACCACCCTTCCTCCCAAATGACCGAAACTGAACTTTCTGCTAACACATGACACATGGAGCCTGAGTCAGATTTGATTTTATAAGAAACTGCCCTGTGAAGCTTATTACTGTGTTTACTGTCAGGTTATTAGTGAGGACATTTATTATTCTATTAGGTAGTATGCCTTCCTGCACCAGTAATGTTGCTGCTTCCATTGAGTGCTGGGCTTGATTTTATTCCATGGATGCGCTTTTGTTTTTATAAATGATTATTTTGACCATCAGAAAGACTACAGCCAACTTTTGCCTTACCTCTAACAAGTGAGTATTTTATGTTAGGGCTGCTTAACAAAAATCCATATTCCCCTCTCCTTTCTGGGTATACAGCTAGACTACCCTTTTTAGCATTCCTTGTAATTAATGTGGTCTCATGACTGAGTTCTAACCAATGCACCACTTCCACGTATGACCAGTTAGAAGTTTTCCAAGCCCACACCTCAACAATCTCTTCTTTTTTGGCCAATTGGGATAGAGATGACCCCAAAATGACCTTGGATCCTACATGCTGAGCACAGCAGAGGCTCCAACAGTTTTTATCACAGAATGACACTAAATAACAATGAATGGGCAGAGTCTGCCCACCAGCAAGTCCCACAATGGACTGTTATTTGAATGAGAAAGAAATGAACTTCTATTGTGGTAAGCACTGAAATTCTGGGATCTATGTGTTACAAAAGCTAGCATTATCTAACTAGCAAACTTAAAGTGGCTGAAACAACCACCACAATACCTAATTCTCCTTCACTTATTCCTGGCCTTTTTTGGAGAACATCTTTCAAATTGTAGAACAGATGTAAGAAAATAGCAGCCTGAATGTAAAATCCAGTGTAAGGCTCATATTTAGGCTATGAATAAATGTATTTTGTTTGCCACACAGAGCAATCTGTTTTATTCAAATCAGTTGAAAACATTTACAAATGAGAAGATTTCACACCAAAAATCTGGATTTTCATTGTCTGAAAAATTAGTGATCTTGGGCTTTATTCTCCTTTTTATGTGAGTCAGGCACCCTCCAGACCCATATGACTGGTTCTGACCATCTTCCCTCTTCTACATTACTTACTTGGCCTTCGACTGCAGTAGACTTTGCCAGCTGGATTATCATAAATAGCTGGGGATTAAAACTATATGCAATACTAGCTAGCCTAGAATTACAATAAGGAAAGATTAACTATTTACATGTTATGTCCTTGGCTTCTTTTGATGGAAATTACAGAAACAGCCAAATAAAACCAATTATTACATTTGCTGGTCTGATATGTTCATGAGTGTTCCCCTCACTATGTCTTTCAATATTCCCTATATGAAATTCAACATAGAATCTCATTTTAGGCTTAACTCAACAGAAATGAATGGTAGCATCCCCCCCAACACACTAATTATTTATTTGATCATTTTCCTTGATCTGCCTTTGGCTGTTAGAAAGATAAAAGCCATATTTATGTTTCAGCTATATTGCATGGGAAGTTAGAACTCACATATGTGTATTCTATTTTTTTTCCTGATATTTCTATTTTATTCAAATATATATTCTCAATTATGGCTCTTTAAGTGCTTTTTAAAAATACAACTATTTCACACATTTGCATCTTATTAACAATCTCAGATCCTTTTTGAACTTAGACTATAAATAAATAAATATGGTTAAATTAAACATTATAGTTAATATTTAATGACAGTGTAAAATTGTATCAAGAGAACAGCAAAAGTTTAACATTCATAAAGTAACAGGCTGTATCCCCTTGAGATGCAAATTTTTATTTGATTTTCTTTCTTTTTGAAAATAAGATAAAATTACAAATAAATCTCTTAGTATCTTTTTTGGACGATTTGCTATAGAGAGACACACTTAACTGCTGTTACTTTGCTCATTTTTAAAAATCAACATTAAATCCAGGTATATGGCATTTATACATTCTCTCACTTACTCCATTCTCATTCATTGAACAAGGTATTTACTGAGCACCTCCTGTGTGTCAAGAACTGTATATGAATAAAGCCAAGTCCCAGAACCTGGGGAACTCAACTAATGGAGTAGAATAAAGGCAAAAAAGAGATCCATGGAATATGCACAAGGAGAGGTTGGCTTCTTACTGAGAAGTCAAGAAAGGCTTGCCCTTTAGGGGAGATGAGTGCCAGTTGTTGAAAGTAAGTAGTGGATGGAGCAGAGGGAAAGACTCACTCTGCAAAGGGATGGAGGCCTGAACCTAGAGGAATTCTTAGTGAATTCCAAGTCCTCAAACGAGCACCATCACTGGGTGTCAACTAGCAGTAGAAGGTAGCGGGAGAGTATCAGGAGACCTATGGGCAGCCACTGAGGGTTTTAAGTGAGAATTATGTAACTGAATCCACAGTCCATGAAACTGACTCTGGAAGAACCACTTAGGGTCAATATGGATCTGACTACTTCCCTTAGGATTCATTGATTTACTTTGAGACTGTACATTTCAGAAAGGATTTAGTGTAGCTTGAAAAAAAAGGTAGATATACTAAGTGAGAAGCCACTAAAATAAGAACTCAAAAGATGTGATAAAGAGAATTTAAGGGCAGAGAAGTAAAATGGGGCAAGAGGGAAGGTTCACACAATTCATGCCCTAACATAAAATACTCATTTGTTAGAGGTAAGGCGAAAGTTGGCTGTAGTCTTTCTGATGGTCAAAATAACCATTTATAAAAACAAAAATGCATCCATGGAATAAAATCAAGCCCAGCGCTCAGTGGAAGCAGCAACATTACTGGTGCAGGAAGGCATACTACCTAATAGAATAATAAATGTCCTCAATAATAACCTGACAGTAAACACAGTAATAAGCTTCACAGGGCAGTTTCTTATAAAATCCTCCCACAGTACGTCATGAACATCAGACTACCCCCTCCTGCCTGCCATTCAATAAAGTAGCTCTAGGGCACCTTGCTGAAGTCTAGGAATGTGGCTCTCTGCTGATCTCACTTAATTCAGGAAGGATTTTAAGTTACATATCTGAAAATAAGGACTATATTTAGATAGTCCTGCTTCTTTTCACCTAAGCTTTTTAAAGCTAAGCATTGAGCTCAAATATCGACTCCTGATCAGCCCAGGAGTGGAGTGAAGCACAGAGCTCTCTGGTTGAAATGGCCAGCTGGGTTAGGGGTAGAACAGAAATCTTTTGGAAATGATTTTCTTGATATTTCTTGAATTGAAGAACTACCCACATTCATTTATCCACTCATCCTTTGATTGACTGAAGGACTGATTGAACAACTGATTGACTGAACAAATACTTAATTGACAATCTAGTACTCAGAAGGCACAGTGAACTAGACCCAGGCTCTACCCCCAAGAAGCTTATAATCTAATGGTGGATAAAGAAAGAAACAGACAATTAAATGACAAGCAGATAGCTTTGGGAAAGGCTTAAGAAGACATTGACCATGGAAAGAAATGTGCCGAGAAAGTACTGACCTGACAGGACATGACAGGATTCTCTTCAGAAAGCAATTTTGTCTTTAATTAATAAACTTCCTAGTATTGTCTATAAAATAAATAGGCAGCTAACATGAGGTGCCTTATTCCATAGAATTATAAACTATAATCTCATAAACTGGGGAACAGTTACTGTAAGGGATAACTCAATTTTAGAATAACCTGTTAATAGATTTATTGAACACTTACTATGTTCTGGCACTCTGCTAACCACTTCATGTGAATTATCTCACTTCACAACTTTACGTAACCTCCAAAAAACTATATGGGGCTAAGTAATGTCAGCTTCTTTCTACTGACAGAAGGAACAGAAGTAGAGTAACCTTTGCCAGGTCCACAGATGGTATCAGAGCTGAGGTCTAGCCCAGTGTCTCACTCCCCAATGCTGTCTTCCTCTCTGGCAGGGATTAGGCCGCAGGACCAGAGGACTTTTAAAACCCCTCATGATTCGCATAAATAGCTCATCTTTCTGCTCTCTATAATGGAGAGGTATGCCTCTCAGTCTTCTTAAAGTAATTTAAATTTTTAAGAACAATAAAAATATGATTTCTATTAGATTCTTACAGTAATAGTAAAGGATGAGTTCTGGGTGAGCCTCAATGGCTGGAGTTTTATATAGAGAAATGTGGCTCAGGATCAGAGTGGGGAAGAGCTGAGACTGTCTTACATTGTTCCCATCCGATTTTTCAGCAAGTAAATAGGGATTGTAACTGATCTGTATTTGAATATGAGAACCTCTAAAATCTGTATATTCCTTTGATAGAATGTTGATGTGAGAAGTCTAAGCTTATTAAGTAAGAAACTGAAATACATGTTTGAAGAAATGCGTGGTTAGCTAATAGGTATTTATAAAAAATGTCTACGCCCTGTGTCCAATCAAATAGCTAAGCAAAGACTAGACACCTGCAACGGTAGCTGGGGGCGGTAGGGTGGGGGGTGTGGCAGGAATTGGTACAGGTGGTTGTTCAGTTTAAACTTATTCATCGTCTATAGAAAATGAGGAAACAGGACTTAGATCTGATCAGAAAGGGGAAAATAAGCCTCCTGGGTGCCAGCCAGGGTCCTTGTGTGATGTAATGAACCCAACTCAAACATTAGGTCTCTGTCCCTCAGTGTGTCCTCACTAGTAAAGCCAACAACTAATTAGTGGCTTCTAGAGCAATTTATTGTGCATTGGCTATTTGGTGGGGAAAAGAAAAGATAATATCCTGGTGGGGCTCCAAAGTTTCATTTTGAATATTGCTTCAATGCGTTACAGATTAGCTTCTTAACCACATCTAACTGGGCAGGATCTGTTAGTGGATCATAGTTCAGAGAGTGCTGATTCTATCTAGGTTAGGAGCAACCTGCTGATGTGAAGAGAGCTCAGAACCCCTCCTCTTCTGAGCGCACAGAGAAGCTTGGCAGCAAGACCCACTAATGGAATTTGAAAGCTTCTGCTATTCTTCTATGATATTCAATCTTTCCAGATTCAGCATGGGAAAGATGAGCCATGGGGTAATGACATAAAGGGTTAAAATGAGGGGCTAAATAATCATCCAGTGCAGATAATCTAACCAAAGAAGGTGGGATACAGAGAGGGGCTCATTTTAATATAATGAACACATGCAACAAAAATATTTCCTAGATTTATCTCACATGCAATCATTCAGTACCACCTGCTTCTGTTCATAAATAATCACTGAGGAATGTTCCATTTAGATTAATGTACATGTGGCACTAAGAGAATGGCCCGCAGGAAAGGAATTTCCCTATTCCTCATTGGCACAGGTAGAACTCTATTATAACCACTGATTAACTCTGCCATGTGGTCTGAGTCTGCCATATGATATTTTAAAATAAAGTTAAAAGATCATTAAAATTAATTTATTGCCACAGCTGGCATCTGTGCATTGGCATATATATGCAGCAAAAATACTGACTTAGAAGTGAAATTCGGCTTTAAAAACAGGAGCTTTACATCAGAACATCTACACGCAAGTCTGCTGTGCTACATACCAGCTATTTGCTGTGAGCAGGGATTTTTGTGTCTTTGACTCTCACTTTCTTCTGCTGATCAAGGAGGGGGAGTGATATCTACTTCATAGGATTATTGTGAAATATAAATGACATGATGTGGGTGGGAGCATTTAGGAAGCTGTATATTGTTATGTGACTCTAAGGTGTGATTAACTGCTGTCACTTTACAGTAGAATTAGTCATGACAAGCATCAGGAATGAAGTGATGCTTCTAGAGCACATAGAAGTGTGGGACTGGGAGAGGGAGGGCAGGAAGATCGTTCTCATTTGACTCACCAGTTGAACAGACATGTGTTGTGTGCTACTGCATGTCTCCATGTCTCAATCCCCGGCACTGCACTAGGAATCAGGCTGGAGAGGTATCCCAGCACAAGGAGCATGAGGCCCGTGAGGCCAGCCTCATCTGTGAAATGCTGGTCGGGGACAATGTCCTGGTCAGAAAGTAAGGGTCTATGCTGGAAGTGCTAGGGGCTTCACTGGACAGTGCAGTACACCTCAGATTTTACCACCATCACAATCACCTACAGGACTTGTAAAACTCTGCATCCTTTTCCCAGAATTTCAGACTTTAGCAGAATGAGATGAGTCCTCAAAATCTGCATTTCAAAGTCCTAGGTGATGCTAATGTTTCTGGTTCAGGAGCCACATTTTCAGAACTACTGGGATAAAAGAAGAATGATGGGTTCTCAGTTATAAACAACTGATTCTGATTCTGGCTAGCTTAAAGAAAAAGAGAATTTATTGGAGGGTTTGGGGGTACCTCCTAAAATCAGTAGGAAACACACTCAGAAATGGAGAGGATCTAGGACAGTTCTGGTTCAAGCAGCATAAGCTACTTCACCATGATGCCTGGGTATCCCTGGTAGAATGTACCAGCTCCAACTGTTTTTTCTCTCTTTCCTCACCTGAATTTAATGTGCTGAGTCCCTGGAGAGAGAGTCCAGTTGGCACATGTCCACTCCTCAGCTAGTAGCTGACAGAGTTCTTTGAATGACAGGCCCTGGAAGATTGCACATAGTGGGAGAGATGCAATTGTAGAGAATATCTGGGTATTATTGCCAAAGGTGTGTCAGTGGATGCTTAGGCAGCAAAACAAAACAGAACCAAACCCAAGGAAACAGGCCATGTCCTCTGTTATGGTAAGAACAAGTCAATTAGCAGAGGGCCTGGAATTCTAGGAGGGAGCAGTCCGCTCTTACAGATTCTTAATTTAGAAAGTAAAATGGCAGTTTATAGCTTCTTTGTAGGAGGAAAGGAAGTTAAACCAGCATTTTGGGAGACCCCCGTCCTGGGTGCCTCCCATGCCCTGAGTTCCTCACCCTGAGCTTCCAGGCCTCAGTGGTTCAGGATCTTCTGGTTTCCAAAATTCACTCATCTGTCCTACACTTTTAAGCATGCTGTACGATTCATTTGAAGGATTCCTTCATCTGGATGTTTTTAACTGTTTAGTTTATTATGAAATGTATCAAACATACAGGACAGTATAGAGAATAACATCACACTTGAGTGCCTACCACCCAATTACCCAGATTTCCATTTTGAAATAAACCCATTGAATATTATAGAGCTTTTGGTCCTGGTCAGGTCTTGTGGGTGGCTGGAAACTGAGAGATGGGATGGCCGTTGGGATGGAGGTAAAGAGGGGAGGCAGACATCTGGAGTACTGCAGATATTCAGGTCATCCACGAAGGAGTGAACAGATGGGGCTAAGCACTTATACCCGCTAATACTAAACACAGGCAACATATGGATTCCATAATTTGGAAGGCATTAATTTTAAAAGGAATTTTTTATTAAGATACCTAGTCCTGACTCAAATCGCCCTAACAAGAACAGATATCTTTAAGTAATTATAAACATTCATTTCAAATATTTGTTTTATCCCATGTAGGTCTTTAAGCGGATAAGTAATCATGGGAGGGAGTGATAAAGATGCCCAGGGCAGCTTAGCCCGGTGATGGCTCAGCCTGGGTGCCCACATGTGCACTGGGAGGGGTAACCCTTAATAATTTCTTTAGAAGTCTAAGTTGTGACTAGGCACAGTAAATTTAATGGGGTGAGAATTTAATCTTCAAAGTATTAGCAAATGATAACTCTGAAATGTTAAGGCTTTCATCTCCTCTCCATTTCATAGCTATCAATTTAATTAAACAATCATATTATTCAACTATTGAGTTCTAGAGCAGTGAACTCTGAATAAAAGCAAGCCAAGACATTACGTTGTTAATTTTCATGTTAAGACCATGTTTCCTTTAGAAACTCTTTTTATTTCACGTGAAATAGGAATTTCCAGCAACTGTGTTTTCTTTCTCTGCTATTTTTTTCCTTCTGTTTCCACTCTAAGAGATCCTTACCTTTTGTCACTTGCATGTTATATTTGAAAGAGTCAGCCTCATTAAATTAATGCCTGATGTAATATTGACATCTTCACAGAATACAATTCTTTGTCATAAAGTGATTTTCCCTGATATATAAAGGGTGCTCCTACAAATGCCAAAATAATTTTATTTTTAATTTAGCCACTTTAACAATTCATTTCAATAAAATCTGTACAAGACATCGAGCCAGACACTGTGGGAGGAATAAAGATAAACAGACATACTTCCTCCAGGAACTTGCAGTCTTGAGAAAGAGGCTGCATCAGATCATTCTCTTGTGGGGCATAGTGTGACAAATGACTGAAAAGAGGCACAGAGAAGTGCTGTGAACGCACCAAAGAAGGAGAGATTACTTCTGGACTGATAGGGAGAACTTCGTGGAAAAAACAATCTTGATAAAGAATGGGGAAAGTCTGGCAAACTCAATGGCAGGGACAGGCATTCAGGGTAGCAAGGAGCTACAAGCAAAGCTGCTAGGGCAGAGATGCAGGGTGCACTTGGGGGTCGCAGATGGAGATGGAGATGAGGCAGGAAAGGGGGTCAGGTCCCCATTGTCAACATGATAAATGCCATGGTCAGGAGGTTAGACTTTATTCTGGGATAATGGACAAGCAATGTCTCACTCAAGGCTTTGGAACTAAGGAAATGACATGATCAGAATAAAATTCAATGCAATTCAGCAAAATGTATTGAGTAGCTACAATGCACCCAGCCCTGTACTGGGTGTAGTGCATTCAGAGACACATTCTTAGTGCTGCCTTCAATGTCCCTAGAGTCTAGTGGGTAACGGATATATAAACAGATAATGTCAACAAAGTGTAGTGTATTGAGCTCTGTTAAATAAGCAGGAGGCCATTGGCCTGAGGTTCTCTCCCTATTTTGAGTTCCTACTTAACAAACTGAAACCTAACTTAGGAGTATATTTTTTGTAACAAATAGTTGGGTTTCAGCCAGTCACAAACAGCTGAGCTTCAGCCAATCACAGGCACCCAACTGATCCAACCACACCCAAATAAGGCAAACACCTAACTTAGGTAGCCAACAGATAATGTCTTTACTTTGCTTCTGTGTTTTGCCTATAAAAGCTTGCTACTCATGCTGCTGGATGGAGCTTTCTCAACCTCTTCTGGTTCTGATTTCTACCCAATTCAGGAATCATTCTTTGCTCACATGAACTCTGTTAAATTTAATTTGTCTACAATGTTTACTTTAACAGCTCAAATAGATGTATCTAAAGGAGGCTGTGGGGACCCACAGAAAATAATCTGGGGACTAAGGGAGAAGTTGGTACATAACTTGAGTCTTGCAAGGACAGAAAAGAGTTATTTGAATGAAGAGAAGAGAGAAGGATATTCCAGTTTAAGAGAATACTGTGAGCAAAATCACAGAACATCAAATAATACTGGATATGTAAAGAAAGATAGCAGCTCCATTCTAGTAGTAGGCTCAGTGTAAGGCAGAGAGAGGGGAGTGAGGGAGAAGAGAAGATGAGGGGCAGGGACTATGCTTTGGAAACTTCACTCAGGATGGAGGCACGGAAACCAGGAGACTCTTATAGAGGTCAGGTCCCACAGGTGTTACATTAAGGAGGCACACTCCAAACAGAAATTCCAAACTTTCCATGGGACTCTCACTTAAAGGGGTTCAAGTACATATTTTGCCAGGCAACTCTTATTAATACTTCAAGTTATTTCCTAATCTTCAGCATCCTCAGAACTCTCATCTCTTATTCCAGAAGAACCCTCACCCCATCTTCAGTGTTCCATTCCTACCACCCTGGTTTTTAAATCCCCTTTCTCTTCTCTGCCACGCCAGCAGATCACACTCACCCTGTGAGTGTTACACTTTTGCTCTGTTTGGTTTTCTGCACCCATTCCAAATCTTTACACACAGATTTTTATCCTCTCTCTTCTCTCAATAGGGCTTGATGGTGCCAGAGCAAGTGGGCTACCTTGTAACGGGGAGTGGGGTTGTGGGGGGCTCTGAATTCACTCACATATGTTAACAATTTGGGGCCAGTTACAATAATTAAAATATAAGACGATTAAAAAGAGCTAGAGAAGTGGCAGTATAATGGAATAGAAGACATGGAAGTGAGATAACTTGTAGAAACATATTCAGGGCCTGACAACTAACCAAAGTAGGACAGAGGCAGAGAGAGGTAGGATTTTAAAACTGCTTTGTAGTTTGAATCTAGAAAAAATAACAGTAGTGTGATATTATCCACCATGGCTGGGGGATACGAATAGAGAAACATATTTAAGAGATAATAACAGAAGATGATAAATTTGGCTTTGTATATTCTTAGCCTGAGGTGTCAGCAAGATATTCAGGTCATATTTAAGAACCAGAGTACTTCAGTTTGATGCCGTGTACCAGCCATCTCTAAACCTGTGTGTTACAAATCACCATTCATAATCAAACTCTTTTGGAAAAATGACCAACAACAGCCTGTTCTTGGAGATTGTTTGTACATGGATAACTCTTGCAGGAAATAAACCCATTTAACTTTGTTTCCAACAGTCTTCCTACTTTTTGTTGTTGTTGTTTTTTTTTTTTTTTTTTTTTTTTTCAGAATACCTCTTAGCATCCTATGGAATGTTTTTTTCAGGGACAATGTTCTAAGAAGTGCTCATTAAAACACTACAGATCTCTAATCAGGGGAGGCTTAAGATAGAAGGAACTTGCTGTGGGAGAAGGCAGTTTGTCTGCATGGGAGTGAGAGTTGAAGCATTATGAACTGCTGAATCACCAAAAGTGAACAGAAAGAGAAAAGGAGGTTGGAGATAGAACCTTTATAAACACCATTTGATACCTCAAATGGCACATAGAGAATATAATTTGGAGAGACAGCAAGTTGTAATAGCAAAATCATGGGTTTCAGAGTGTGACGAGTGATCTAATCTTTTTAAGATTCCATTTTCTTTCTGAAAATTAATGACTACCTTGCTGGGTTGTGTTGAGATTTAAAATAGATATGTGAAATATCTTCCACATAGAAAATACATAATCCACTTTCAATAAATACTATCGTTAATACTGTTTTCATTTAAGTTTTTCTTGACACATTGAAGCAAAACTTTCATGAATACACTGTTGTATTGAAACCTGAATGTTGGACAATTACATATGAGAAATCTCAGTCACTGGTATCAATACCCTAATACAGGGAAGCAATTCTAGTTCAGACAAGTCTCAAGCAGTAACAGCATGGTACAGGAATAGCATCCATAGTAACTAGGCAGTGAAAGAAGACACTATAGGAATTTCCCTAAGGCACCAGGAACTATGGCTTTTTTCATCTGTTTTTCACAAAGAGATGCTGGAAGCTAATATCTGAGCTTTAGTGAATACATTTGCCCTCCATATAAAATTCTGAGCTAAAAGCTTCTTCCATGTGAATGACTGTGGGTATCAAATGTCGTGACGGGACATCCTCTGACAATAGTCATTATCTGGCACCCTCAGGGGGAGACCAGGGGAAAGGCATCTGCAACAAAATACTGGCTAATGAGACATATTTCTGTCTAAATATGTCACAATGCTACAAATGCAAGCCTTAGTCATTTTCAATATTGGACAATTGAACATACAAGCCCAAAAAAGATTCTGAATTTAGAGTTAAAAGCTCTGCTAACTGCCACAGCAGATTAGCTTTTCTCTTCTCTAGCACAAAAATGGGGACAATTACCAATATTTTACCCAAGTCAGTTCATTCCAAACCCCAAAGGAATGGTCACCAGAATGTATTATCTTGCAGTCTTTTGGAGGGCAACCTCATAGGTCTCAGGTCTGTCTGAGGGGCCTGGTGTAGTTAAGATTGGCCATTAACATGACTGGTCAGTATCTTTAATCAAGAAGTCATTCCATAGCAGCCAAGATGTGGATGAAAAAGATGACCAAAAGGATGGCAATCAAGTCTTTGAGGAGATGTCTAAGGCATTTGGGTTGTTCAGATCCTTGGGAAGGAATAGTGGCAGGGTGACAGATTTATGGTCATGGACACACAGGGTATTGTGGCAGGAGATGCTTATGTGTTGTTCTCAGAGTAAACATAGGCTAGTGTGCAAATGAAATTTGCCATAGAAATTCATGGGGTCTCTCTCAGGCGAGTACTTGCAGGAGAAAATGGGCAACTATGTAGTCTGATTGGTTTATATGGTCACTTGCCTAAAATCAATATTAATGTTAATAATATATATTAAATATATGTAATATATATATGTATGTATAAAAAATGTATAAAAAATAATGTCACTTAACGTGTGTCCTGAAGACTGGCAGCATCAGCATTGTCTGAGTCTAGAATCACCAAAAAGTGCAAATTCCCAGGCCCCAACCTAGGCATGCAGGAAACAGAATCTGAGTAATTTGTTTTAAGAAGCTATCAGGTGATTCTTACATACAGTAAAGTTTAAGAAGAACTGCTCTAGACCTTTATCTGATGGGTCAATAATTACCACATCTCTCCACTTCCACCTACTCACCCAACTAGACTGGCTTCTTCATCTTTCTGTCCTAAGTTTCCAGTTCTCTTCTTCTGATAGCACCTGATTAGACCATCTGATTATATATAAGAGCTCAGTTTGGAATTTTGGTCATCCACAAAAATCAGAATTTTATGTATGAAAAGAAACTGTGTAGACGCAGTAAAAATACTCATTTTTAGCCTTGTGATTTGGTTTGCTCCAGACGAAACTCATTTATAACTTCTTTCCATGTTCTGTTCATTTCCAAGCTAACAATGACATAAATAAAGGGATGAAAAAAGGAGGAAAACACTTACCTGGGCTATAAGTTGCTCCTGGGAAGCTTTTACTTCAGCTTGCAATTTCTGGATGCACTGAAAAGGAGAAAAGTTTAGAAACTAAGTATGTAACTCTTTCTTTTACATACTCAACGTATTACAGACATAAATGTGTATCAGTTTTCAAATCTCGTGAATGGCAGCATTATTTCAGCTACGTTTTGAAAACCATCATTGGAGAAATCATCCCCCCATTCCTATTTCTCTTCCATTCTATGAAAGAACCCAAAGAAAAAACACACAAATATATTAAGAACTAGGATATGCCTGAGTAAGATAATGTTAGCTTGATGTGCTACGGTTAATGCAAATGCCCCTATATCATATAAATATATATATATTTACAAATAAATAAATAAATAAATATATATATATATATATATATATATATATATATATATATATATATACCTTCACATGAAATCATATCCATATATTCCAAAAGCAAACCCTTTGGATTGAACAAGAGGTAAATTTACATAATGATATATATTTTAATGCTCAGATATTCAGAGATTAATCATTTCTTATAAAGTAATTGATTAAAAAACATATGCCAAATGTTATGAGCCTCTCGTTTTACTCCACAGAAAGAAACACTCCAACATTAACAACTAAGAGACATTTGTACAGTCAATACCATTTATAAAATAAATAGAATATTCAGCTAATGTTATTCAAAGGGTTACATATCAAACAAACTTTAAAACTACTACTAGCAAAATAAATTTTATCTCAATATTTGCCAGGGAATAAAATTACTTTTAGCAAATACAAATATTGTTATTTACCATTATGAACTTAAAAATACGACTTTTAATCCAGACTGAAATGGCTTTCCAGGATTGTCAATTCATATAAAATTAGGTAACTTTTAAAATAAAGATGACTTTGTTCTACAACATACCTGGTCTTTCACAAGAACCATTTTTTCATATGGTCCCCCACTGGCTTCCTTGTGGTCCACAGCCTCCAGTTTTTCCTCCAGCCGGGATACTTGTTCAAGCAGTTTTGATTTTGTTCCTTCAGAGACTGAAAGCTAAAGATATTTTCTTTATAAGAGTATGTAAGTACAGTGATATTTTAAAAGCTCCTTTTAAAAATTCAACTTACAAATAATTTATCTTCCACCAGTATCTACTAAATATGAAAATAGCTTCTGGAGCATTCCTCATAGATGATAAATTAGCATAGAGAAAGAAGGAAAAATTGATTTTATTTATTGTTTATAACTAAGATCTTTCTAAGCAAGAGATGAAATCGCATAGTTACAACGGAGAATATAGAAATACTAGAAATAGAGAAATTTTGAATGCAAAGACCTCAACACTCATCTTCACTGTGTTTCAAGATTGCACTTTATTTGTACAGCTGAATCTGAAACTTGTATTCTGGCTTATATATGGTCTTTGAAACTTAACTCTTGGTGGGCTACAGCAATCTAGAAAGAGTGGGAGTTCTGACTCCTTTGAATGTTCGCCATAGAAGCATCAGGGTGCATGGAACTGGGGTATATTCAGGAATTTCAAGTTAAAGTCTGATCAAAGGCAGATCTATGCTAAGCCACAACCAAAAAAATTCCTAGCAATGACTTTGTTTTTGTTTGACTGTTTGTTGATTCCTTTTGAGGAAAGTGGTAGTTTGATAGTCCTTAGTCTCTAATTCCCTTAGAGAGTGCCTGTACTAGCTTCTCCTTTCATTCTGACAGCTATTGTGCTTTTTCTCTATAGGTCAGCAACAGTCCTGAAAGACTCCCTGGAAAGGGACACACAATTCTGTATTCACTGCAACTCCCAGGGCATTCTCTGAAGCATGGATTATCTCTACATTTCTTTTTCATTACTCTGAATGTTATTGCAAGGCAAGTTGTCTCATTTTGAGAAAACTTAATTGTCCTTAAATTTTTAAAGACAATCTACCAAATATGGAAGCATGAAGAGGTCAGTCTGCCAAGGAAATAAGCACATTATCTATACTGGCCCATCAGATATACTGGCATATCATATATACTGTGAGCACAACATACATACTGGCACCGAACCATCCAGCCACACGCTCATTCACTGGACAAATGTTTGTTCAGTTGCCTCCTCCACAGCCATTGTGTTATATGCCGCAGATTAACAAAGTGCAAAATAAGGGTTAGAGGGAACACACATGTTACGAACTGCTGGCCATGCCTTTTGGCTCTTGGTGGCCTTGGAGACCTGCGGTGCTCCTCATGATCACCAACATGTGTTTAACTCCTGAGTGCATGGTGGTTTGGGATTGCAGTCTGGCTTCTCTGCCTACCCTTCTATTTTATTAGAGACACAGTATAGTGTAATGGTTAAAGCCAAGGAGTCTAGTGTCTTTATCCTTTGGGTTAAAAAAAATCTCAATTTTGTACAAAAATTAGCCAGGCTTGGTGGCAGGTGCCTGTAGTCCCAGCTACTAGGGAGGCTGAGGCAGGAGAATCACTTGAACCCAGGAGGCGGAGGTTGCAGTGAGCCAAAATCGCGCCATTGCACTCCAGCCTGGGGAACAGAGTGAGACTCTGTCTTAAAAAAAAAAATCTCAATTTTGCTGTTTACTATCTGTGTGATCTCAGCAAGTTACTTGACCTACCTGGGCTTGAGTTTTTTAATCTGTAAATAGCGATGGGGATGAAAAGAATACTACTTATCTCAACAGTTGGTTTTGAGGATTACATGAGTTTAAACAACAGAGACACTTAGAACAATGCCTGGAACATATCAAACATCTAGCAGCTCTTATTATAATTATTCTTCTACCTCTTCTAGCTCACAGTAGGTGTTCTTCTGGGTTTTATCTAAATATTTACCAAATTGTTTTTTTTTTTTTTTTTTTTTGAGATAGAGTCTCACCTTGTCACCCAAATTGGAATGCAATGGCGCAATCGCTGCTCACTGCAACCTTCGCCTCTGGGGCTTAAGGGGTCCTCCCACCTCAGTCTCCTGAGTAAGTGGGACTACAGGCTCACACCACCACGCCTGGCTAATTCTTTGTAATTTTGAGATGAGTTTTCACCATGTTGCCCAGGCTGGTCTTGACCTCCTGAGCTCAAGTGATCCGCCCGCCTCGGCCTCCCAAAGTGCTGGGGTTACAGGTGTAAGCCACTGTGTCCGGCCTATTTATCAAATTGTAAAACAAAAACAAAATATCTGAAGACATCATAATCTTTATGAGCTGCATACCCTGAATTCAAACTATATTTGATTTGTTCATTTCCTATAACCACTCTAATGTTCAGAGAAAACTCCTCTCTATGTCTGGAATTATTTTTTTCTCAAATATAATCTCTCTCAGTTGGGCCCATTTTATTCCCATATCCTGTTTGTTATGTGATCCATCGTTACCATTTTATTGTCTTTCTTTTAAATCTACCTTCTATTGTTTGAAAGCCTTTATTCATTCACTCAAAAGACATCATTTATTCACTCATTTGTTAAAGAAATAAGTTGGACATTTATTATATGTAAGAATTTGTAGATTAAAAAATGAAAACAATATTGTTCACAGCCTCAAAAAACTCATACTTTAGCCAGAAAGTCAGATCATTTAAAAATAGCTATTATATAATGCAAAACTATATAGGTGAATAAATAATATTAATAATAGTTAACATTTCTTGGGCACTTACTACATGTCAGACAGTCTGCAGAGCCTTTTGTTTTCAAATTTATTTTAGTATCTCAATTTATCTTCAAAACATCCTGAAGGTTCATTCTATTATAGCTCCCATTTTGCAGATAAAGAAGTTGAGTTTCAACAAAATTATATGACTTATCAAAGGATACAGCAAGTAAGTTCTGGAGTTCAAGTTTTCAGTAGTGGACATCAGGTTTGACTCCCTACACCCAAATTTGACCCCAGCTCCAAAGTAGGCCCTGGTCATCATGACAATTCTATCCTCTTTGCTGTTGATTGGTTCAGGAATCAAAGCATAAACTAATCAGAGCCTGGCTTTCCTGTAGCAACAGTTATCGTATAAGGAGATGTGACCTAATTTGGGTTACTCACACTGCACAGAATTGGAGAGTGATTTGGAGAGGCACCCTCTGTCACCGACCAGACGCGAATGCTACTACAGCTATCCCACAGACATCAGGAAATCAGGCATACTCAGAAAGGAAGAGTAAACAATAGAAAAAACTTAAGTTCTTGATAACATTATTAAAGTGCTTTATTAACCAATCTTGAAGCAAACCCTACCTTACAACTTGCACTTAGTGAGCCAATAAATTCCTTTATTGTTTAAGGAGTTTTCTATTACCTGTTGCCAAAAGTATTCTACGGATATGCTGTTTGGTTCTAAGATTCCATGCTCTTGACCACAAGTAAGAAAAGTTTATGAAAAACAGCAGAAACTAACATATATTTGGTAGATATAGTATACTAGGCATTCTGCTGGGTACTACATATATAAATGTTACCTTACATCATTGCTCAAAACCCTATCAGCAATTTTCTTTATATTTTTTGTTATCTTCATTGTAAAGATTGAGAAACTAAATGCTTTAATGCTTTAGTGGTGAATTAACTTGTGTAAGATTCCAAAGCTAAAAAGAAGAGGTTAGATTTGGGCCCTCATTTGTCTGCCTCCATTCCTGATTTTAGATCATATCCAAATCCTAACTCAGGCTGCCTGTCACAATGAGGCCTGTGACGTTTTTTTCTTACCATGTGGACTTCAGCAATATTTCTCAGGGTCTTAACTTATATACTTAAAGGAAACTTTTTTCTAATACCTTAGAATTCTCTCTAACCCACCATCTTGCTTCCTTTTATATAGACACTAACCCCTTATTTCCTCTCCTTTTGTAACAAGTTTCTTACTGAATATCTCTTTGACTCAGATATATTTAACTCATGTTCAGCTTAATTCTAAGAAATGTTGACTTAGAATCAGGATATCTATGTTTTAGTCTTAATTCCACAACTCACTGACTCTATAACCTTGGTGCCTATGATAGGATTTTAAAAATAATTTCAACTTTTTTTTTAGATTCAGAAAGTATATGTACATATTTGTTACATGGGTATATTGCATGATGCTGAGGTTTGGGGTATGAATGGTTCCATCACCCAGGTAGTGAGCATAGTACCCAATAGGTAGCCACCCAATCTATGCTGTATTTTGTTATAGTAGCTTGAAATGACTAAGACATCTATTTTCAAGTTTGGTGATTGTTTTATCTGCCAGCTTATATCTGCTATTGAACCCTTCTAGTGAATTTTTTTCTTTTAGCCATTGTGCTTTTCAACTCCACAATTTGTATTCTTATTCTCCTTCTCCTCCTCCTCCTCCTCCTTCTTCTTCTTCTTCCTCTTCTCCTCCTCCTTCTTCTTCTTCTTCCTCTTCTCCTCCTCCTCTTTCTTGTCTTTCTCCTTCTCCTTTTCCTTCTCCTCCTTTTCTGCTTCTGCCTCTTTTTTGAGATAGGGTCTGGCTCTGTCACCCAAGCTGGAGTGCAACAGCACAATCTCAGCTTCTTGCAACCTCTATCTACTGGGCTCGAGCCATCCTCCCATCTCACCTTCCTGGGTAGCTGAGACTACAGCTGCACACCACCACATCCAGCTAATTTTTATACATATATATATATATATATATATGAGATGGTGATATGGTTTGGTTGTGTCCCCACCCAAATCTCATCTTAAATTTTAGTTCCTATAATCCACATGTCATTGGAGGCACCCTGTGGGAGGTAATTGAATCATGGGATGGTTACCCCTACACTGCTGTTTTCATGATAGTGAGTGAGTTCTCACAAGATCTGATGGTTTTATAAGGGACTTTCTCCCCTTTTGCTTGGCACATCTCTTTGCTGCTGCCATATGAAGAAGGACATGTTTGCTTCCCCTTCCACAATAATTGTAAGTTTCCTGAGGCCTCGTAGTCATGTTGAACTGTAAGTCAATGAAACCTCTTTCCTTTATAAATTACCCAGTCTCAGGTATGTCTTTATTAGCAGTGTGAGAATGGACTAATACAGACAGAATCTCACTTTTTTGCCCAGGCTTGTCTCAAATTCCTGAGCTCAAGCAATCCACCAAACTTGGCCTCCCAAAGTGCTGGGATTACAGGCATAAGCCACCACACCCAGCACTACTTGGTTCCTTCTTATAATCTCTGTCTCCTTACGTATATTCCCAACTTGCTCATACATCATTCTCCTGATTTTCCTTACTACTTTGCACATGGTTTCTTTCACCTCTTTGAACATATTCATTTGTCCAGTAAGTCTGGAATTTGCTCTCTGGGCTTCCTGAAGAATGGTTTCTGTCAGTGTCTTCTTTTTCTTATGAATGGGCCATACTTTACATTGTAAGATTTATAATATTTTGCTGAGAATTTAACATTGTATATAATTTCATAATTCTAGAAATCAGATTCTCCTCCTACCCCAAGGTTTGTTGTTGCTGCTTGTTGAAGACTGCAATCATCCATTTGTTTAATGACTTTTTCAACTAATGTTGCAAAGACTATATTCCTTATCATGTATGGTTACTGAAGTCTCTATTCTAATATTTCTGCGGCCAGTGACCTGACAGGAATTTCCTTGTATTCCAGTATCTTTCCTCATCAAGCATTTCTCTGGAAGCTGAAAGTGTCCTGCTACACTCCAGAGTTCTGAAATGATTGATTCTGACAGTTCTTGCCAGTTCAGTAGTTATTTTTGTGACAGGACCAGTTCCTAGAACTTCTTATTTTGTCATCTTCTGTGATGTTCAAATCATTTTATTTTAAGTGTTACTTAAATATAATTCCAAAATATATCAGTACCCTTTCTTGACTGCAACAATATGGTACAATAGATATAGTTTATCTTTCTTTGGCTTTTAATATATTGCAATAACTTTATAGTGTTCTTTTATTGGACATTGGAGTAAATATTGAAAGTTGAATTTTCTGAGTAGATTTGCAGAGCTTCAAATTTATAATATGACAATTGTTATTTTGCTGTACACAATTTTTCAGATGAATGTTGTCCATTCTCTTTAAATGATCTTCTCCTTCCAAACTTGTTAGGACCACAGGTGGAGGGGACAGAGTCCTGGTCTTCATAAGGTATCATATGTAGAATATCAGCTTTCCAACATCATGTAAACTATATATTTCAGCAAAGGTGGCTAATTACAATATATAGAAATTGGTCATTTAAAGAATGGATGCATTTCTACTTTCTTTTTTGTAAGCAAATATGTGAAACTAAATTAGCCTGAGCTTTCTTTTTCTATGCTGTAAAAACAAGCAGTTTTTATTAATAAATAAACATTTAAAAAGCAATAAAAAGGAAGCTATGCCCAAGTTTCTCAGAGCTTAAAAATTCAGCTCTGATATCTTGCAGTTGTTAACTTGAATCTCCTCTTATTTATGTTGATGCCTTGTTTGCTATCCCATAATTAAATGTGAATTTAGGCAGAATGCCTAATATGTTTTCACTTCTATCTGGGAGCTAAAAAAGTGGATGTTATGGAAGTAGAGAGTAGAATGGTAGTTACCAGAGGCTGGGAAGAAAAAGGAAGAGGAGAGGATAATGAGAAGTTGGTTAACGGTACAAAAATAGTTAGATAGGAGACATAAGTTCTAGTACTCATTAGTACAGTAAGAAAATTATGGTTAACAATAATTTATTGTGTATCAATATAACTAGAAGAAAAATATTAATGTTCCAATACAAAAAAAAAGATAATGTTTGAGTGTTGGATGTCCCGATTACCCTGATTTGATCATTACACATTGTATACATATATCAAAATATTATATGTACCCAAAATATGTACAACTATGATATATCAGTACAAAACATATCCCAAAATGGCCTCCAAGCCCCAAAATACAGGATGGTACAGGCATAAGATAGATATTTCCATTCCAGAAGGGAGAAAAATGAAAGAAGGAAGGGGTGATGAGTCCCACATACATCCAAAACCTATCACGGCAAATTCCACTAGACTTTAATGCTCAAGAATAATCTAGAATAATCCTTTTTGGTTTGATACTCTGCCCTCCAGGACCACTGGAGTGGAAATGTCACCCCCACAGCTTGGCAGAGATCCATCCATGCTGTGGCTAGGTTGAGCAGGGCTTGTGCCCACCCAGCCCTACTGCATGGGGGTTATGCCCAAAGGCTCTGCAGAATGGTGATCTCTCCCCCAGGGTTCTGTCAGAGAGAAGCTAAACCCCAAGGGCTCTACCACACGAGGATCTTGGTTTCAAATTTCTTCCAGGTAGGGTTGTGCTCTCATGGCTCCAGGTGACCTCACCATCATGGCTTTAGTTGGAGGATATTTGGCCTGTTGAAGCTGAGATGATGTCCCTGATAATCTCTGAACTGTCTTTGGGGCCATTTCCCCCATCTTCTAGAACAGCACAAGGCTATTGAATAGCTTTATCATCCTGTCCTGTAGCCTCTAAGAAGTCTGAGAAACTTTCTTCATTTTCCCCCACCTTCATCTCCTTCAGTTCAGACTGGCAGTGTTCTTGCTGGAGTACTGATTAGGTCCGTGTTTCACACCCATACCAATCTCCTTAACAAACAGTTGCTTGGCCACACCCTTGGTATTCTCAACACTTTGCTTAGAAACATCTTCAGCTAAATATCCACTTTTATCACTCACAAATTCTATCTTCTGCAAAACACTAGAATGCAAAGATAATTTAGCCAGGTTCTTTGCCACATTACAACAAGGATTGCTTTCCTCTGGATTCCAATGACATGTTCCTCTTTTCCATCTAAAACCTCATCAAAATGGCCTTTACTGTTCATATTTCCATCAATATTCTGCTCATGATTATTTATGTCTTCTCGAATAAGAGGGAGGATTTCTCTCCAGTTCTCCTATTTTGGTCAGGCCTCACCAGATTGTCTTCAGCAGCCCCTTCATGGAAATATCTACTTTTTAAAGCCTGAAGCTCAAAACTCATTTTAAGGTATATGTTACAGTAGCATCCCACTTCTTGTTACCAATTTATTTTAGTCAGTTCAGACTTCTATAACAAATATCACAGGCTTGGTGACTTAAAGAAAAAATATTTCTTACAATTCTGGAGTCTCAGAAGTCCAAGGCCAAAGTGACAAAAAATTCAGTGTCTTGTGAGGCCCCTCTTTCTATTTTACAGACAGCCCCTTTTTTTTGCTGTATCCTCACATGATGAAGAAAAGTAGAGCTCTTATCTCCTTCTCTTCTTATAAGGGCAATAATTCCATCATGAGGATTCCAACCTCACGACCTTAATTATTTCCTAAATGTACCCCTTCCAAATACCATCACATTAAAAATTAGGAATTCAACATATGAATTGGAGGAGGTGTAAATATTCAGTCCATAGCAATACAGCAATTGGAATTACCCAGTCTGAACAGCAGAAAGAAAAAACAATGAAGAGAAATAAACAGAACCTAAGAGGCCTACAGGACACTATTAAGCATACTAACATATACATTCTAGGAGCAAATAACTGCAAAAGATACAGAATCAAAATGGAACACTAGAAAATATCAATCAAACACAAAAGAAGATAGTATTGGAGGAATTGAGGAATAAAAAGGACATAAAATATATAGAAAATGAAAAGCAATGTGGCAGAAGTATGTTCTTTATTATTAGTAATATTTTAATTTAAGTGACTTTGACTCCCAATTAAAGACAGAAACTAGCAGAATAAATTTTAAAGTGTGATCCAATTATATGCTGATTATAAGAAACTCACTTTAGACTCAAAGAAACAAATAGGTTGGAAGTAAAAGAATGAAAAAAGATGTTGCATGTGAATTGTAGCCCAAAAACAGCCAATGTGACTATATTCATAGTCACATAGTCACATAGATGTTGTCAAAAATTTTTATAAAAGTAAAAGGAATACATTGCATATTGATAAAAGTGGCAATTTGTCAAGGAGATATAAAACTATACGCATAAATGCACCAAACAATGGAGTCCCAAAATACATGAAGCAACTATTGATAGAATTTACAGAAGAAGTAGACACTTTTGTGAGAATAGTTGGAGACTTCAATAGTCCCCCCCTTTTTTTTTTTTTTTTTTTTCTGAGGTGAAGTCTCACTCTGTTACCCAGGCTGGAGTGAAGTGGTGTGATCTTGGCTCACTATAACCTCCACCTCCCAGGTTCAAGAGGTTCTCCTGCCTCAGCCTTCCAAGTAGCTGGGATTACAGGCATGCATTATGATGCCCAGCAAATTTTTGTATTTTTAGAATTGATGAGGTTTTGCCATGTTGGCCAGGTTGGTCTCAAACTCCTCACCTCAAGTGATCTGCCTGTCTTGACCTCTCAAAGTGCAATATTCCAGTTTCATAATGGATATAATATCTACACAGAAAAACAAGAAGAAAATAGACTTGAATTACACTATAAATCAACTAGACATAACAGACGTAGTATGACAGATAGAACAATCCACAAAACAACAGAAAAATATACATTTTTTCAAGTGCACATGAAGCATTCTCCAGGATAGGCTATAATTTGGTTCATAAAAATAATTCTCAATAAATTTAGAAGGAATAAAATCATTTAAAGTATCTTCTCTCACAACAATAGAGAATAAAGCTAAAAATCAATAACAGAAGGAAAATTGAAAAATTTTCACGTACACAGAAATAACACACTCTTAAACAACCAGTGGGACAAAGAAAAAATCACAAGGCAAATTAAAAAATATTTAGAAACAAATGAAGACAAAACATAGCATACAAAAACTTATGGGACGAGGTGGCGGCAGCAGGAGGAGGAGGCCTGGGCTGGCAGGTGAGGAGGAGGTAGGTGCCATGTCACATGCAACTCCAGGCAGGGCAGCCCAGTGGCTGAGGGATGCAGCCAGACATTGGTGGGATGGGGGTTTTGCCAAGGTCTAGGCCTGGTGACCAGGTGGAGGCATCAGGGGAGCCTTTTGGGTACCATGGAGATGTGAGTTTGCCTGCAATATATTTCACTCTCTACACTTAAAGGACATTCTTTCCAAACTGCTGTGAATAAATTTGGAATGGTACTGCATATTTTTATCTAATGGAGAACTAGCTGAACTTTGAATAAGGATTGCTGCACTGGACAGCTTTAGAACATCCCTCACGATGTCATAAATCCGGAGCCAGAACCCCCATGGCCTGAAGCAGATTGGCTTAGACCAGATCTGGATGACCTCAGAGCCACCATCCAGCAGGTGTACATGTGGCACAGCATGACCAGGTCCAGATACATGGAGCTCCACACTCATGTTCATAACTAGTGTGCTAGTGTACACCAGTCAAACCAAGCATGAGGAGCCAGAGTTTCTACATCAAAAAAGGGGCAGACACCTGAAGGAGCTCAGTACATTGGCCTGGAATTATACAAACAACTTAAGTAATTTTTGAATAATTACTTGACAAGTCTTCTTAAGCATGGAGAAGATTTGATGGACAAGAGTGTACTGAAATTCTACACTCAACAATGGGAAGATTACTGATTTTCAAGCAAAGTGCTGAATGGAATTTGTGCCTACCTCAGTAGACACTGGGTTCACCGTGAATGTGACAAAGGACGAAAGGAATATGTGAAATCTATTCCCTTGCATTGGTGACTTGGAGAGACCATTTAGGCCACTGAATAAACAGGTAAGAAATTCTGTTTCAAAGCTGATCAAAAAGGAAGGAAATGGTGAAACCATCAATACAAAACTGTGAGTGGAGTTGTACAGTGTTACATGGAATTGGAGCTGAAGGAAGATGATGCATTTGCAAAGGGCCCTACATTAACAGTGTATAAAGAATCCTTTGAATCTCTCTCTTTTTTTTTTCTGTCACAGAGAGATTTTATGTCACAGAGAGTACTGAATTCTTGCAGCAGAACCCAGTTACTGAATATATGAATAAGGCAGAGGCTTGTGTGCTTCAGGAACAATGAAGAGTTCAGGTTTACCTTCATGAAGGCACACAAGATGAATTAGCAAGGAAATGTGAGAAAGTCCTCATTGAAAAACACTTGGAAATTTTCCACACAGAACTTCAGAATTTATTGGATGCTGACAAAAATGAAGATTTGGGACACATGTATAATCTTGTATCTAGAATCCAGAATGACCTAGGAGAATTGAAAAAACTGCTGGAGACACAGATTCATAATCAGGGTCTTTTAGCTATTGAAAAATGTGGAGAAGCTGCTTTAAATGACCCCAAAATGTATGTACAGAAGGTGCTTGACCTTCATAAAAAATGCATTGCCTTGGTAATGTCTGCATTTAACAATGACACTGGCTTTGTGGCTGCTCTTGACAAGGTTGTGGTTGCTTCATAAACAACAATGCGGTTACCAAGATGGCCTATTTATCCAGTAACTCCCATGAGTCATTGGCTCAATACTATGACTCGTTCTTGAAGAAAAGTTCCAAGAACACAGATGAGGCAGAACTAGAAGATACACTCAATCATATAATGGTTGTCTTCAAGTACATAGAGGACAAAGATGTGTTTCAGAAGTTCTATGCAAAAATGCTGGCCAAGAGGCTCATCTACCAGAACAGTGATGATGCAAATGATGATGCCAGTAACCATGTCAATTTTCAGCCACTGTGATGGCTGGCATAGAAAGCTGTGAATTGCCGATAACTACGTTCCAACTCTAAGGGAAGGCAGTGAGTGACAATGCTGAAGCCAGCATGTTCTCTAAGTTAAAGCAAGCTTGTGGTTTTGAGTATACCTCTAAACTTCAGTGGATGTTTCAAGACACTGGTGTGAGCAAAGATCTGAATGAGCAATTCAAAAATCACCTGACAAATTCAGAACCCCTAGACTGGGATTTCAGCATTCAGGTGCTGAGCTCTGGGTCCTGGCCCTTTAAGCAGTCTTGTATGTTTGCCTTCCCCTAGGGTTGGAATGTAGTTATCGGCAATTCACAGCTTTCTATGCCAGCTGTCACAGTGGCTGAAAATTGACATGGTTATATCAGTTGTCTAAAGGAGAATTGGTAACTAACTGCTTTACAAACAGATATACTTTGCAGGCATCCACATTCCAGACGGCAATCCTGCTTCAGTACAACACAGAAGATGCCTACACTGTACAGCAGCTGACTGATTGCACTCAAATTAAAATGGACATTTTGGCATAAGTCCTACAGATTTTATTAAAGTTGAAGTTATTGGTCTTGGAAGATGAAAATGTAAATGCTGATGAGGTGGAATTGAAGACAGATACCTTAATAAAATTACATCTTGGTTATAAAAATTAGAAATTAAGGGTTAACATCAATGTGCCCATGAAACTGAACAGAAGCAGGAACAAGAAAACACAAACAAAAATATTGAGGAAGACTGCAAACTACTGATTCAGATGGCCATCATGAGAATCATGAAGATGAGGAAGGTTTTGAAACACCAGCAGTTAGTTGATGAGGCCCTCACTCAGCTATCCTCCAGGTTCAAATCCCGGGTCCCTGATCAAGAAATGCATTGACATTCTAATTGAGAAAGAATATTTGGAGCAAGTTGATGGTGAAAAGCACACCTACAGTTACTTGGCTTAACCCTCCAGGAAGGGTCTGACTGTGTGTCCCACAGCAAATAGTTCATGTTGGAAAGAATGTAAACAACTCAAGTTTACAGCAGCCAGCCTGCCACCATTGTACCTCCCTTTTTAAAGCTGAGACCAAGACTCCCATCAGCTGGTCTCAGATTTACATTGGAACTGCTCAGGATAGATACATTTCATGTCTGTAAATATGGACACCAATGCCATTTACCCTAATTTAAGAACAGAGAAGACCGAACCTCCCACACTGAAGGCTGCATGCTACTGCATTTAAATCAAGACATGGGCTCTCCAATTAGCAGCTGTTGTATTGGCAGCACTTGTCATATTGGCAGCACTTTGAGAGCAAGTCTGAATGGACCCATGTGTAATCTGCTATGAAAACCATTTTTTTAGTGTGTTTCATTTTTAATGTGTGAAAATAAAGAAAATTAAAGGATTTCTAATTGAATGGTGCCTCACATCTCAATACTAACATTGAATGTAAATGGCCATATTGCTCCACTTAAAAGATACAGAACAACAGAATGGATAAGTATTCACCAACCATCTTCTGCCTTCAAGAGACTCTCCTAACACATAAGGACTCTCATAAACTTAAGGTAAAGGGGTGGAAAAAGGTATTTCATATGAATGGACACCAAAAATGAGCAGGAGTAGCTATTCTTATATGAGACAAAATGAACTTTAAAGCAACAGCAGTTAAAAAATACAAAGAGGGACATTATATGATGGTAAAAGGCCTTGTCCAACAGGAAAGTATCACAATCCTAAATATATATGCACCTAACACTGGAGCTCCCAAATTTGTAAAACAATTACTTATAGACCTAAGAAATGAGATAGACAGCAATACAATAGTAGTAGGGGACTTCAATACTCCACTGACAGCACTAGACAGGTCATCAAGACAGAAAGTCAACAACAACAACAACAACAAACAATGGATTTAAGCTATACCTTGGAACAAATAGACTTAACAGATACATATACAAAATTCCACCCAACGACCACAGAATACACATTCTATTCAACAGCTCATGGAACTTTCTCCAAGATAGACCATATAATAGGCCACAAAATGAGCCTTAATAAATTTAAGGAAATTGAAATCATATTAAGCACTCTCTCAGACCACAGTGGAATAAAACTGAAAATCAACTCCAAAAGAAACCTTCAAAATCATGCAAATACATGGAAATTAAATAATCTGATCCTGAGTGATCACTGGATCAAAAATGAAATCAAGATGCAAATTTAAACAATTCTTCAAAGTGAACAACAATAGTGACACAACCTATCAAAACCTCTGGGATGCTGGGTGCAGTGGCTCATGCCTGTAATCCCAGCACTTTGGGAGGCCGAGGAGGGTGGATCACAAGGTCAGGAGTTCGAGACCATCCTTGCCAAGATGGTGAAACATGGTCTTTACTAAAAATACAAAAATTAGCAGGTCATGGTGGCACGTGCCTGTAGTTCCAGCTACTCAGGAGGCTGAGGCAGAAGAATCACTTGAACCCAGGAGGCAGAGGTTGCAGTGAGCCAAGATCGTGCCACTGAACTCCAGCCTGGGTGACAGAGTGAAACTCCGTCTTAAAAAAAAAAAAAAAACCCCACCTCTAAGATACAGCAAAGGCGATGCTAGGAGGAAAGTTCATAGCCCTAAAACTCTGCATCAAAAAGACTGACAGAGCACAAACTGACAATCTATGGTCACACCTCAAGGAACTAGTGGAACAAGAACAAATTAAACCCAAACCCAGCAGAAGAAAGGAAATAACAAAGATCAGAGCAGAACTAAATGAAATTGAAACAAACAAAAAATACAAAAGAGAAATTAACCAAAAGCTGGTTCTTTGAAAAGATAAATAAAATTGATACATCGTTAGCAAGATTAACCAAGAAAAGAGAAAATCCAAAAAACCTCAATAAGAAATGAAATGGGAGATATTACAGCTGACACCGCAGAAATACAAAAGATCATTCAAGGCTATTGTGTACATCTTTACATACAGACTAAAAAACCTAGATGACATGGATGAATTCCTGGAAAGATACAACCTTCCTAGCTTAAATCAGGAAGAATTAGATACCCTAAACAGACCAATAACAAGCAGCAAGATTGAAATGGAAATTTTAAAATTACCAACAAAAAAAAAAGTCCAGGACCAGATGAATTTACAGCAGAATTTTACCAGACACTCAAAGAATTGGTACAAATCCTATTGACGCTATTCCAACAAGATAGAGAAAGAGGAAACCCTCCCTAAGTCATCCTATGATGCCAACATCACCCTAATACCAAAACCAGGAAAGGACATATCCAAAAAAGGAAACTACAGACCGATATCCCTGATGAACATAGATGCTAAAATCCTTAACAAAATACTAGTTAACCAAATCCAACACCATATCAAAAAGATAATCCACCATGATCAAGTGGATTTCATACCAGGGATGATTTAACATATGCAAATCAGTAAATGTGATGCACCACAAAAACAGAATTAAAAACAAAAATCACATGATTATCTCAATAAATGCATAAAAACCATTTGACAAAATCCATTTATTATTAAAACTCTCAGCAAAATCAGCATACAAGGGATACACCTCAATGTAATAAAAGATGACAAACCCACAGCCAACATAATACTAAATGGTGAAAAGTTGAAAGCATATTCTCTGAGAACTGGAACTAGATAAGGATGCCCATTCTCACCACTCCTCTTCAGCATAGTACTGGAAGTCCTAGCCAGGGCAATCAGACAAAAGAAAGAAATAAAGGGCATCTAAATCAGTAAAGAGGAGTCAAACTGTCACTGTTGGCTGATGACATGATTGTTTACCTTGAAAACCCTAAAGACACCTCCAGAAAGCTCCTACAATTGATAAAAGCATTCAGCAAAGCTCCTGGATACAAAATTAGTGTACACAAATCAGTAGCTCTTCTATACACCAACAGCAACCAAGTGGAGAATCAAATCACGAACTCAACCCCTTTTACCATAGCTGCAAAAAAAAAAAAAAAAGGAATACTTAGGAATATACATAACCAAGGAGGTGAAAGACGTGCACAAGGAAAACTACAAAACACTGCTGAAAGAAATCATAGACAACACAAAAAAATGGAAACACATCCCATGCTCATGGATGGGTAGAATCAATATTGTGAAAATGACCATATTGCCAAAAGCAATCTACAAATTCAACACAATTCCCATCAAAATACCACCATCATTCTTCACAGAATTAGAAAAAACAATTCTAAAGTTCATGTAGAACCAAGGAAGATCCTGCATATCCAAAATAAGACTAAACAAAAAGAACAAATTTGGAGGCTTCACATTACCTAATTTCAAACTATACTATAAGGCCATAGTCACCAAAATAGCATGGTACTAGTATAAAAATAGGCACATAGACCAATGGAACAGAATAGAGAGTCCAGAAAAAAACCCAAATGCTTACAGCCAACTGATCTTTGACAAAGCAAACAAAAACATAAAGTAGGGAAAGGACACCCTTTTTAACAAATGGTGCTGGGATAAATGGCTAGCCACATGTAGGAGAACGAAACTAGATCTTCATCTCTTACCTTATACAAAAATCAACTCAAGATGGATTAAGGATTTAAATCTTATGTGCTTTCCTGAAACTATAAAAATTTTAAAAGATAACATTGGAAAAACCCTTCTAGACATTAGCCTAGGCAAGGATTTCATGACCAAGAACCCAAAAGCAAATGCAATAAAAACAAAGATAAATAGCTGGGACTTAATTAAACTAAAGAGCTTTTGCATGGCAAAAGGAACAGTCAGCAAAGTAAGCAGGCAATCCACAGAGTGGGAGAAAATCTTCACAATCTATACATCTGACAAAGGACTAATATCTAGAATCTACAACAAACTCAAACAAATCAGCAAGAAAAAAACAAGCAGTCCCATCAAAAAGTGGGCTACAGACATGAATAGACGATTCTGAAAATGAGATATACAAATGGCCAACAAATATATGAAAAAATGCTCAACATCACTAATGATCAGGAAAATGCAAATCAAAACCACAATGCAACATCATCCTACTCCTGCAAGAATTGCCATAATCAAAAAATAAAAAAACAGTAGATGTTGGCATGGATGCAGTGATCAGGGAACACTTCTACACTGCTGGTGAGAATGTAAATTAGTACAACCACTATGGAAAACAGTGTGAAGATTCTTTAAATAACTAAAAGTAGAACTTTTTAGTTCTACCATTTGATCCAGAAACCCCACTACTGGATATTTACCCAGAGGAAAATAAGTCGTTGTACGAAAAAGATACTTGGACATGCTTGTTTATAGCAGCACAATTCACAATTGCAAAATTGTGGAACCAACCCAAATGCTCATCAATCAATGAGTGGATAAAGAAACTGTGATATATATATATATGTGTGTGCGTATACGTATATATGTGTGTGTGTATATATATGTGTGTGTATGTATATATAGATAAATATAGATATATATGATGGAATACTACTCAGCCATAAAAAGGAATGAATTAATGGCATTTGCAGCAACCTGGATGAGATTGGAGGCTATTATTCTAAGTGAATAACTCAGAAATGGAAAACCAAATGTCATATGTTCTCACTGATACATGGGAGCTAAGCTATGAGGATGCAAAAGTATAAGAATAATACAGTGGACTTTGGCGACTTAGGGGAAAGGGTGGGAGGGGGGTGAGGGATAAAAGATTACAAATAGGGTGCAGTGTATACTGCTCGAGTGATGGGTGCACCAAAATCTCAAAAATCACCACTAAAGAACTTACTCATGTAACCAAACACCATCTGTACCCCCAATAACCTATGGAAAAATAAAAACATTTTTTAAAAAAAGAACAAAGGAGATTGAGAAGAAAAAAGAAGTTACTACTTGAACATCAGTCTCAGGTTGATGACAACTTACTTATTTAATGCATGGGTTCTGCATTGGGTGATGGTATGTAATTTTACATAGATCCAGGCTAGGCGCAGTGGCTCATGCCTGTAATCCCAGCACTTTGGGAGGCTGAGGCGGGTGGATCACAGGGTCAGGAGATCGAGACTGTCCCGGCTAACACAGTGAAACCCCGTCTCTACTAAAAATACAATAAATTAGCCAGGCGTGGTGGCGGGCACCTGTAGTCCCAGCTACTTGGGAGGCTGAGGCAGAAGAATGGCATAAACCTGGGAGGCAGAGCTTGCAGTGAGCCGAGATCACACCACTGCACTCCAGCCTGGGTGACAGAGCAAGACTCCATCTCAAAAAAAAATTTTTACATAGATCCTCATATATGTTTATTTGTTTATATATGCACATATAAAATGTATCTATATATATAGAAAAAAACTTATGTGATGCAGAGGAAAGTTTATAGCTGAAAATGCCTACATTACAAAATGAAAAAGATGTCACATCAACAAGCCAACAAAAGGAAGGATATAATAAAGGTTAAAGCAGAGATGACAAGCTAGAGAATAAAAAAACAGAGATAATCAATAAAACCAAATATTGGTTCCTTGAAATAATCAACAAAGTTGATAAATATTTAGCTATGTTGCTAAGAAAAACAGACATAAGATGTAAATAACTAGAATCAGAAATGAAAGTGGAAACAATACTTCCAACTTTACAGAAATAAAAGGATTATAAGATACTAGTATGAACAAATGAGTGCCAACAAACTAGATAATTTAGATGAACTGAATAAATTCCTAGAAACCATGAATTACTAAAACTGACTCAAGAAGAAATAGAAAATGTCAATTGACCTACAACAATTAAAGAGATTGAATCCATTTTAAAAAAAAGAAAAGAAAAGAAAAGAAACAAAACTCCCAACAAAGAAAAGCCCAGAGCCAGTTGGTTTCACTGGTATATTACACATTTCAAAAAGGATTAACACTGACACTAATATTACTCAAGCCCCTCCAAAATACAGAAGATAAGGAAATTCTTCCTAATATGTTACCCTAATACTAAAGTCAGACAAAATAGTACAGGAAAACTATAGCCTAATATCCTTTATGAATATAGATACAGAAATCCTCAACACAATACTAGCAAACTGGATCCAACAGCACAGTAAAAATATTACACTCCATGACCAAGTGGGATTAATCTCAGATGTACAAGAGTGGTTCAATATCTAAAAATGGATTGAGGCAATAGATCACATTGATAGAATAGAGGAAAAATACTACATGGTCAATTCAGATGCAAAAAAATTGACAAAATCCAACACTCTTCCATGATAAAAATATTCATCAAAGTAGGAAAAGAAAAGGAAACTTCCTCAACATGATAAAAGACATTTATGAACATTCCACAGCTAGCATTGTACTCAATGGTGGAAGACAGAAAGCTTTTCTGGTAAGATCAGGAACAAGACAAGGATGTCTACTTTCACCACTGTTACTCAACCTTGTACTGAAAGTCCTAGCTAGAGCTATGATATGAACAAATAAGACATCCACATTGGAAACAAAGAAGTTCACCTATCTGTATTTGAAAATGACATAATTCTATTTTAAGAAAAATTCCAAACAACACACACACACACACACACAAGCTAATAAATGAATTTGGTAAAGTTGCAGAGTATAAGATTTTATTAGTCTGTTTTCCTGCTGCTAATAAAGACATACCTGAGACTGGATAATTTGTAAAAAAAAAAAAAGGAGGTTTCATGTACTCACAGTTCCACGTGGCTGGAGAGGCCTCATAATCATGGCAGAAGATGAAGAAAGAGCAAAGGAATGTCTTACATGGCAGCTGGCAAAAAGAGAGCTTGTGCAAGAGAACTCTTATTTATAAAGCCATCAGATCTCTTGTGACTTATTCTCTATCACAAGAACAGTATGGGGGAATGGCCCTTATGCTTCAATTATCTTCCACTGGCTTCCTCCCACAACATGTGGGACTTACAGGAGTTACAATTCAAGATGAGATTTGGGTGGGGACACAGTCAAACCATATCATTCCACCCCTGGATCTTCCCACATCTCATGTCCTCACATTCCAAAACCAATCGTGCCTTCCCAACAGTCCCCAAAAGTCTTAACTCATTTCAGCATTAACTCAAAAGTCCACAGTCCAAAGTCTCATCTGAGACAAGGAAAGTCTCTCTTGCCTATGAGCCTGTAAAATCAAAAGCAAGTTAGTTACTTCCTAGATACAAGGGGTGTACAAGCATTCGATAAATACACCCATTCCAAATGGGAGAAATTGGCCCAACCAGAAGGGCTAAAAGTCCCAGGCAGATCTGAAATCCAGCAGGGCAATCAAATCTTAAAGCTCCAAAATGATCCCCTTTGAATCCATGTCTCACATCCAGGTCATGCTAATGAAAGAGGTGGGCTCCCATGGTCTTGGGTAGCTTTGCCGCTGTGGCTTTGCAGGATACAGCCTCCCTCATGGCTGCTTTTATAGGCTGGCATTGAGTGTTTGTGGCTTTTCCAGGCACAGGATGTAAGCTGTCAGTGGATCTACCACTCAGGGATCTGGAGGACAGTGGCCCTCTTCTCACAGTTCCACTAGGCAGTGCCCCAGTGAAGACTCTGTGTGGGGGCTCCCACCCCACATTTTCCTTCTGTGCTGTCCTAGCAGAGGTTCTCCATGAGGGCACTGCCCCTGCAGCAAACTTCTTCCTGGACATCCAGGCATTTCCATACATCCTCTGAAACCTAGGCGGAAGTTTCCAAACCTCAATTCTTGACTTCTCTGCACGCGCAGGCTCAACACCATGTGGAAGCTGCCAAGGCTTGGAGCTTGCACCCTCTGAAGCCACAGCCTGAACTGTACCTTGGCCCCTTTTAGCCATGACTGGAGTGGCTGGAATGCAGGGCACCAAGTCCCTATACTGCATACAGCAGAGGGACCATGGGCCCAGTCCATGAAACCATTTTTTCCTCCCAGGCCTCCATGCGTGTGATGGAAGGGTCTGCTGTGAAGACCTTGGATATGCCCTGGAGACATTTTCTCCAACATCTTGATGATTAACATTTGGCTCCTCATTACTTATGCAAATTTCTACAGCCTGATTGAATTTCTTCTCAGAAAATGGGTTTTTCTTTTCTGTCGCATTGTCAGGCTGCAAATTTTCTGAACTTTTATGCTCTGCTTTCCTTATAAAACTGAATGCTTTTAACAACAGCACCCAAGCCACCTCTTTAACACTTTGCCGCTTAGAAATTTCTTCTGCTAGATACCCTAAATTATTTCTCTCAAGTTCAAAGTACCAAAAGTCTCTAGGGCAGGGGCAAAATGCCACCAGTCTCTTTGCTAAAGCATAAAAAGAGCAATCTTTGCTTAAGTTCCCAGCAAGTTTCTCATCTCCATCTGAGACCACCTCAGCCTAGATATAATTGTTAGCATTTTTGTCAAAGCCATTCAACAAGTCTCTAGGAAGTTCTAAACTTTCTCACATTTTCCTATCTTCTTCTCAGCCCTCCAAACTTTTCCAACCTCTGCCCATTACCCAGTTCCAAAGTAGCTTTTAAACTTTTGGGTATCTTCACAGCAGCAAGTCACTAATGGTAGCAATTTACTGTATTAGTCTGTACTCATGCTGCTAATAAAGACATACCCCAGACTGGGTAATTTATGAAGAAAAGAGGTTTCATGGACTCACAATTCCACATGGCTGGGGAGGCCTCACAATCGTGGCAGAAGATGAAGGAAGAGCAAAGGGACATCTTACATGGCAGCCAGCAAAAAGAGAGCTTGTGCAGGGAAATTCCCATTTATAAAACCATCAGATCTTGTGAGATTTATTCACTGCCATAAGGACAGTATGGGGGAACCGCCCTCATAATTCAATTATCTCCCACCAGGTCCCTCCCACAACATGTGGGAATTATGGGAGCTACAAATCAAGATGAGATTTGGGTGGGGACACAGCCAAACCACATCAAAGATAAACACACAAAAGTCAGTTTATGTTTCTATACACCAGTGTTTTAAAGTGTAGGCTTTATTATTATTCAGGTGTGATGACGCTAAGAAATCAGGAGATGATTGCCACTGAAAAGGTAGTCTGTCACTCAGTTCCCAAGAGGAGGTAGCATGCTACACCACAGGGGGCACACAGAAAAGCACTGGAGTTGGTCAGGAGGCAGAGGGAGCAAGGGGAAAACATGGGCAAGAGCCCTTGTTGTGGTTTCCTTAAGAAGGGATGAATAAGTCAAGATAGGCAAGCATTGGATTGGCTAGTTTGAAAAATTTCAGCAAACTCTGGAACATAGGGGCTTATCCCTAGTTGTGTGGTACCAGAACTTGGGGTGATTAGGGCAGAAGAACTGTGGCCCTGAGCTTGAGAACCCAATAGAGGAGGTAATGGGGGTGTGGGCTTTGGACTGTTTACTTTCCATATGAAAGGAATGCTCCCAGGCAAGTTATTTGCTATTTCTAGGAATTGGCTAGCCCTGGGAGGGAGGGGTAGTGTAACCAGGGTCACCAAGGCCTCAGATGTCAAAGTATCAGAAATACAGGGAAAAAAAGGCATGATTTATACAACCAGAAATGAGCAATCTGAAAAGGAAATAAAATACTTCCATTCACAATTGATCCAGAAGAATAAACTACTTAGGAATAAATTTAACCAAGGAAGGGAAACACTGGTACAATGCAAACTCAAAATGTTATAGAAAGAAATTAAAGAAAAACTAAATACATGGAAAGATGTCTCATGTTCATGGATTAAAAGTCTTAATATTATGAAGATGGCAATATGCCTCAAAGCAACCTACAGATTTAATGCAATCTCTATTAAAATTATGATGGCTTCTTTTTTTCAGAATAAGAGAGTCAGTCCTCAAAATTCATATGAAATCTCAAAGGATCCAGAACAGCCTATGGTATCTTGTAAAAGAAGAAAAGTTGGAAGACTCACACTTCCCAATTTCAAAACTTACTACAAAGCTACAGTAATCCAAATAGTATCTGAATGGAATAAGGACTGACACATAGACCACTGAAATAGAACTGAGAGTTCCGAAATCAACCCAAAAATCTATGGCTAATTGATGTTTGACAATGGTGCCAAGACAGTTTAATAGGCAAAGAAGAGGATCTTCAACAAATGGTGCTGGCACAAATGGATAACCAACATGTTAGAACTTGAAGTTGGACCCCTATGTTACTTCATAAACAAAAATGATGTTAAACTAGATCAACGACCTAAATATGTAAGCACAAACTGTAAATCTGTTAACAGAAAACACTGGGGTAAATCTTCATGATCTTGAATTAAGCAATGGGTTCTTTGACAGCAAAAACACACAAAAAATGTTAAAAATAGTTAAATTTGACTTGGCCAAAATTGAGAACTTGTGTAGCAAAGAATATAATCAAGAAAATGAAAAGACAACTTACGAGATGTGAGAAAATATTTGCAAATCATATATGATAAAGGTTTAGTATGCAGAATATATAAAGAACTTACAATTCGGCAACAAAAAGACAAACCACCCAATTGAAAACTGGGCAAAGGACTTGAGTAGACATTTCTCTAAAGAAGACACACAAATGGCCAAGAAGCACATGAAAAGATGTTCAACATCATTAGTCGTTAAGGTAGTACAAATCAAAACCACAGCGAGATTCTACTTCATACCTACTATTATGACTATAATTTTTCAAATGGAAAATAAAAGGTGTTGCTGAGGATATGGAGAAATAATAGCCCTTGTACATTGCTGGTAAGAATGTAATATGTTACAGGCAATGTGGAAAATAATTGGTGACCGATCAAAAAGTTAATCCTAGAATTACCATGTGATCCAGCAATTCTACTTGTACATATATACCAAAAAGAAATGAACACTTACACCCACAAAATATGGCATACAAATATTTATTCATAATAGCTAAAAGTTGGAAACCAAATGTCCATCAACAGATGAGTGGATAAACAAATTGCATTATGTACACACAATGGAATATTATTCAGGCATAAAAAGGAATAAAGTACTTATACTTGCTGTAGCTTGGATAAACTTCAAAAACATTTTGTTAAGTGCAAAAAGCCAGATACAAAAGGTCATATTAGATAAATCCTTTCATCTGAAATATCCAGAATAAATAAATCCATAAAGGCAGAAAACAGATTAGTGATTGTCAAGGGATGAGAGGAAGAGGATATGAGGAGTAATTACTTAATGGGCATAAAGTGTTCTTCTGGGGTGATGAAAAAGCACTGAAACTTGAAAGAGTTGGTTGCACAATATTGGGAATGCACTAAATGTGACAGAATTGTATATTTCAAAATGATGAATTCTAAGTTCTGTGAATTTTACCTCCATTAAAAATAGAAAATAAATGATTTTCTTAGGTTTAGAAAATTGTTAGCATTACATCCACTCATTGAATGTTACCAGAAAAAACATCACAAAATTGGATTCACTGGTTTCATTTTAAATTAATAAATACAAACCTCAGGTGGGTACTCCACAATACCCTGAAATAAAAATAGCACTATATTTTTCTCCTAGTAAACTGACTTTTCTCTTCTGTGAGGTAGCTATTTATTTCCCTCAACTTTCTCCTCAAATATCATTTCATACTTCCCCTCTCTTCAAAAATTCTACCCATCCCAAATGACAACCTCAGTAAGTCCCTGAAAAAAACAGAAGCTGCCAGATAGCTATTCCCTCACCTTCCCACCAGTTAATCTATAAACCTTAACTGTAGCAGATACTGATCATCTATTTCCCATGAGTCTTTTTCCCCCTTTATCTCTTGCTAACTAAAACCCAACTTGGATTAGCTAGCATCCATGTGTTCAGGAGAGCTTGGCCTTGTCCAGCCCTGAGACATGAATCATGATTGAACTAAATCAGTCATGTTTGTTTCATTTCCAGTATAAGAGATCATTTCTGACACGGGTATGCAATATATAGAGGTCCCTGGAGCTTGAGGAGGATTTTTACCAGATTTTTAAAAAGATGCACAGGAAGAAGCACATCTCTTTTTATCAGGATGTAGTTTTGACTGCTTATTGCTTGGAATTACTGCCAATATCTTGCAAGTATGACACAACCAACAAACAGAGAGGGTGGAGCAAAGGAGGGTAGAGCAAAGGATCTTGGTGACTTTTTTTTTTTTTTTTTGTGACAGAGTCTCACTCTGTCACCCAGGCTAAAATGCAGTGGTGTGATCTTGGCTCACCTCAACGTCCGCACCCCCCCAACACAGGTTCAAGTGATTCTCCTGCTCCAGCCTCCAGAGTAGCTGGGATTACAGTGCACGCCACCACGCCTGGCTAATGCTGTATTTTTAGTAGAGATGGGATTTCACCATGTAGGTCAGGCTGGTCTTGAACTCCTGATCTCAAGTGATCTACCTGCCTTGGCCTCCTGAAGTGCTGGGATTACAGGTGTGAGCCACTGCACCTGGCCGTTGGTGACATTCTTGAACCACTGAATTAACCAACTGTGAAACTGGCCCACCTATAGACATATTGTTATATAAGATGATAGCTGGCATTATTGAAACAGCCAGGTAGGAAGGGGTGCCTGGCAAAACTTCAACTGGCCTGTGCAGTGGAAGAAATGCGCACTGAGGCCAAGCCACACAGTTCACACCATTTGCAGCAGGCAGGAGCTTGCCTCTCCTCTTCCTGTGTGGAACCTGGGATTCAAACGCAAGGCGGGAACCACACCAACAGGAACTCTGGCCTCGTGGAGAATCCCTGCTTCCCCTTTTTTTCCTTTTCAATCAATAAAACCCTGCTGTATTCACCCTTCAAACCTGTGAGCCTAAACCTTGCTGGTCATTGGACAAGGACCCTATCTTTAGCTGAACTAAGGAAAAGTCCTGCAACATTATTACATTACTTTAATTGGGATTCTGTTATTTGAAGAGGAAAGCATTCTTACTGAACAAATAGAGATGATATTCTTCTGCTTATCAAAGGCCAGCCACTGCACTTGGCTTTGACTCCTATCACGCCTACCTGTCACAAAGCCTTTGCTCCTGTAATTTCTGTACCCTACCCCCCAATCCACTTCTGCATTTTCTAGTTTACTCTTTCTGAAAGATTCCATTCAGCATATAAACATGACATAGACATTTCCATGAATGAAAGGTGTCCACTGAACTCTCCATTGCCTCCCTCTCCATTATCATCCCATACTTTTGCTTCTTTTCCAAAACTTCGTAAAACAATCACCTCATACTGTTGTCATTTTTTGTAATTGAACTCTTTTAAAAAGGCACATAAAAATTATTGGCTTATATAAGTAAGGAGTCAGAAATAGGTACTGTTTCACATAAACTAGATTCCACAAACTCAAACAAGGTCATAGTATTCTGTCTCTTCCTACCTCCAATTCTTAGTGCTGCTCCTATGTGTTTGCCTTGTTATTTCCCAGTGCAGACAAGCTATCTTCACACAGTAGGAAAAATGGCACCTATAGACTTCCAGTTTCATGGCCTTAGTAGTAAGGCACTTCATCTTCCAGTAGAAATTGAAAAAAGACTCTATTAGATCATATAACCTGTCCTGAATCAATTTTTATGGTCAAGAAAATGAGATAATATAATTGAAAGAACCTAGATATTGTGCTCAAAAGTCATTCCCTCTAGCCAGGAATACTGTGATTTACAGCCATAGAATTATTAAAAGATTGGAGTGAGAAAGGAGCCATTCTCCAAATAAAGCAGGCATAAAAACGGAAGCCAATTATAGTCCACCCTTGCCCCGTGGGTGTTCAGCACAATTAAACCCTTATACCTATACATAATATGCATTTCCTAAAATGTTCCTGCATAATATAATGCATCTATTCTATGTTAATCCAATAATGCATTCACTCCCTCTCAAAAGGAAACAAGCCAAAATTATATCGTTACTGCCTTTAGCTCTACATTCAGATCTCCAAACTATGTGCATTCGCTCCTGGATCAGATCCAGATGAAAATTGTCATGATATAGCATCTAAAATTAAATAATGTACCATCCCTAATATGCCCAATATACAGAAAAACAGGACAATCAGGAGCAAGGGGAAATCACTTACAGTTGTCACCAGCCATCACAAATTCTATTTGCACATTCTATTAGTCAAGAGATAGAAAGGCCTCACTGTCCTGGCAGTGCAGTGAGTGGAGGTAGCTGAACAATTTGACTGTTTCTGACCTCTGAGAGCTTTCTTTGTCCTTTACTTCCATGGCCATAGCCAAGAAAAGAGGTACAGAGAATTCCTTTGGGGGGATTGTACTAAATTCCAGTTTCAGGTATGTCACCAATTTATCTATTTGTCAAGGTCACTGCAGTTATATTATAGAAACTCAGTGCAAATATGTTTAGGTTAAAAAGATAACTGAGCTAGGTTTGGTGGCTTGCACCTGTAATGTCAGCTACCTGGGAGGCTGAGGTGGGAGGGTCATTTGAACCCAGGCATTCAAGGCTACACTGAGCTATGATCATGCCACTGCACTCTAGCCTGGGCAAAAGAGTGGGGTCCAGTCTCTAAACAAAATAAAAAATAAATTGGTTCATTTAACTGGGAAGTAGAGGCATCCCTAGAACCTGAATCTCAAATTAGAGTTTTAGAAATCTCTCACTCTACCATTGGCTCTTTGCCCATTCTCTCTCAATCTCTCTCTCTTCCTCCCTCCCTCTTTCCGTTTTTATCTCTATCTCTATATCTTTCTCTCACTATGGAAAAAAATTTCCAGTAACTGGGAAGAGGGCTGCCAGCAGCCTAAATTACATTCCTCTCCCAACCACTCTTCTAATCTGGCTTCTGCCCTCGACTACGTTATTGAAATGGAACTTGTCAAGGTTTCCTCTGATCCTCATTTTACCAAATGCCATATACAATTTTCTGGGCACCTTATTCAACCTCACAATAAAATATTACACATTTGAGCACCTCATGCCCCTTGAAACACTCTCCCCTTTCTGTTTCTAGGACAGAATTCTCTGGATTTCTTTCAGATTCTCAGTTTCATTGGCTGGATTTTCCTCTTCTTCAAATCTACATATTGAGATCTGAGGATTTGTTTCTGGGCACTCCTCTCTGCTTTATCTATACTCTTTCTCTAAGTAATCTCATTAGGTACCACAGTTTAAATGCCAATCACATATTGATGACTCCCAGTTTTCAAATGTACAACCACTCAGCTTCAGACACACACACACACACACACACACACATACACACAAAATCCAACAACCTATTTGATATTGTCATTTGAATGTATACCAGGCAAATCAGAATTAATGTGTTCAAAATGAATTCCTCACAATCTGTTCCTTCCCCGGACTTCCTTCTTTCAATACATGGCACCATCCATTCATACGTTTAAGCCACAAAGATAAAAGACTTCTCTTTTTCTCACCATTCACCCAATCCATCACTTGGTGCAATTATTAAAACCACTCCATTAAGTAATGTGAATTTCCTATTTATCTCTTCTTATTGTCTGTTCTCCAAAATTTTCTCCTCCACAACCCACACATTTACATGCGGTAATTAATATTGCAGAATAGTTCTCCACTGTCACTCAAAAACCACTGAAAAACAAATTAAGTCTTGCCAGACCTTGTAGAGCTCATGCTACAGAGAAAGGAGGGACTTAATTTAAAAACAAAGCGTTCTCTTGTGCTAAATGCTTTGCAAGCTGAACTGGATTAGTAACACAAATTAGGAAATTTCCTGGCAGTAAATAACATTGGCAAGCACTTTAAAAATTACCTGTCCTACCTGTGGAATGGGCAGGAAGCCCTATATCTGAATGTAGATTTAGCTCACAGAACGGGTTTAGTCTCATTTCAATTTTAGGAGTTAAACAAACAACAAAATCTTTATCTTAACCCCATTCTAGACAGAAGAGACTTTTATGTTTATTAATACGTTTTGGCTTTAATAGCTTTTGTAGTCATTTCTAGGTTTACGCACATAAAATAGACCTCCAAGGGTCTACTTAGAAGCATAATAATCTCTTGTATTTGTCTGCTATGGCTGCCATAAAAGAGTACCACAAACTGGGTGGCTTAAACAACAAAAATTTATTATCTCACAGTTCCAGAGGCTGCAATTCTGAGATCAAAGTGTCAGCAGGGATGGCTCCCTCTGAGGGCTGTGAGGGAGAATCTATTCCAGCCCCTCTCCTAGCTTCTAACGGTTTGCTGGCAATCTCTGGCATTCATTTGCTTGCAGAAGCATCACTCTGGTCTCTGCTTTCAGGTTCACATGGCTTTCTCCCTATATGAGTGTGACCAAATTTTCATTTTTTATAAGGACACCAATCAGATTAGATTAGGGGCCCATCCTACTCCAGTATGACCTTATTTTTTTTTTACTTTTTTATTTTTTGAGATGGAGTCTCTCTCTGTCACCCAGGCTGGAGTGCAGTGGTGGGATCTTGGCTCATTGCAACCTCTGCCTCCTGAGTTCAAGCGATTCTCCTGCCTCAGCCTCCTGAGTAGCTGGGATTACAGGCACGTGCCACCACGCCTGGATAATTTTTGTATTTTTAGTAGAGACAGGGTTTCACCATGTTGGCCAGGCTGGTCTCAAACTCCTGACCTCGTGATCCGCCCACCTCGGCCTCCCAAAGTGCTGGGATTACAGGAGTGAGCCACCACACCCTGCCGACCTTATCTTTACTACTTACATGTGCAATGACCCTTTTAAAAGATAAAGTCATGTTCTAGGGTACTGGGAGTTAGAACTTCAACAAATTAATTGCGGGGCTGACATACGATTTAATCCATAACACCCTCACGTTATTTTGGGGAAAATTATCCTTAATAAAGGATCATTTAATAAGCCTTAACAAAGGCTCATTTAAACTCCAAGTGAAAATAGAAATATTTACCAACAGGCCAATCAATAATTGAAATATAAAGTTAGGGATGCAGGCAAAGAGATTCCTAAGTTTCCTTTAATCTTCAAAAAAGTTCTCTAGGCCTTAAGAATAGATAAAGAATACCAGAGAGAAATGAAAAGACATGGGAAAGATGAGGTGATCAATCATTGACTCGGATATAAAGGGCAATCATTAAAGGTAAAGGTCAAAAAGCAATAATATTGGGTTCTAAGAAATTAAAGTCAACATGAGATTGGACATAAAGTAATTACACAGAAATAGAGCTACTGCAAAGCAGACAGCTCTCAATCCACAAATCCAAGTGTACAAAAAATAGCACATTTTTTACTTTCTATAAATCTTATTTCAACGTTAAGTCCTCACCTGTAGTTACACAACCGTTCTCGAAGATCTCTCCCCACGGTAGTTTACCCATCTGGGAACCCTATATATCTTCAGGGCACTGGCAATGCCCTTTCTCGTCCCACCAGAAACCCTTGTGTGGAATCCTAGATCCTACAGGGTAGCTGACATTTCACAGGGGCCTGGGACACATTCCTAGGATACAACACTCCCTCTAACTGGCACATTCTCAGAGCATTTTCATGGAACAGGGTACAGGCTTCCCATGCTGGTGTGACTCAGTGAGCTGACTCTCTACTTTCCAGTTTGGGGAAAAGGCACTCTGCTATCTTTGAGTCTGTCTCAGGAGTCTCCCTTTCTCTCAAGGCCTTATTAGTCTCTTTGATGGGTTTAGGCTTTTGGAAACAAAAATTAGGCAACTTCAGGGAAAGTCCTTGAGGTTAGGAAATACAGAGTCCCCTACTCTGAATGAGGAAGGCAACTGTTCCCAGATGAATTTTAAAGCAGGAAGTGATTGTTCCCACCAGAATGGAATCCTAATTCAGCTTACTGCTTCTTTAGAGAGTGTGTGGGTTCCAAAGAAAACACAGAATACTCAAGATGAGAACAGAGGAATAGAGATGGGAAGTGGGGGTGGACAAGGACACCACACACTCAAAGTGGCAGGATGAAGCAGCAGTCCATTGTGTTACTAAGGGAAACAACCTGAGACAACATATTTGAGGTAGTTCGAGTAAGTGAAACTTTAGAGTTCGTACTTTTTTTTTTTTTTTTTTTTTTTTTTACACAGGACGTGAGTACATACACAGATAATAATGGACTTTGAAGTAAGAAGTAGACATCTTGGATGGGGTAGGACAAGAATAGAATAGAATCCACAGAAGTCCCATGGCCTGAAATTAAAATCTAGAAATGGTTAGAACTGCTCCCTTATTTATATTAGGTAACAGGTTTTTGTTTTGTTTTGTTTACCAGTTCCTTAGGGAGGAAATTGAATTTGATTGATTGATTTCATAACCCATTATATGTCCTCTCTAGAACTTTTTTTTCCTATATTTGCCTGCATATTATACTCTGTGTAATCAGTCATTCTCAGCAAATGCCTCTCTGCTGTTCACCATGTTAAAGAACACTCCCTGGAGGTATTTTTCCTTGACTGAGCAGATCAGACTCAGACCACTGACACCAAGACTGCTCTCCATCTTAGGCAAAACCAGAGAGAAGCCTTTACCCTTTCCTCCCTTAAACCATTCTGAAAAAGGCATTTATCTGCCTGGGTGTGCTATAAATTTAAAATCATCCCGTCAGAATCAGAAATGCAGTGTCAACGTAGGGCATAAGTGAGTGGGATGGGTTAACATAGGGCATATTGTGAAAATAGGCTTAAGAAGCTGACAACAGGCAGTGGAGGAAGAATTTCAGTGAGCAGGGAAAAACCAAACAGACTCAGGGAGCTTAGACGCACAAATACTGGGGATCAGGAAGAAAACGAAGAGTCTCCATAATATGGACAACTCCTTTTTCATTCACGGTCTTTGGAAATATGAATAAGGAACATGTTCATTTCATTGATATCCTCCTACTAATTGAAGGACATTTTCTGTTCAGTGATAGAGTGACCAAATGTTACAATTACCAGCCACTGATGAGGCTCCCCTCTTTGGAAGTCTGTTTAGCATTTACTATTTTGTTTATTAATAAAATTATGTTAATTTACTATCTATTTTATGTAATGGTGGTTTCCAACATGATTCATATTCCCAAACAGGCTGTGCTCCTTGAATTACACTCTACAGAGTCATAAATCAGCAGTTTGTAAACTTTTGATGCTCAGGACGTTTTTACACCTCTAAAAATTACTGGGGACTTTAAAAAGTTTTTGTTAATGTGGGCTATATCTACTGATATTTATTGTATCAGAAAGTAAAACTTAGAAATTTAAAAGTGCTTTTATTAATTTGTTTAAAAATAAACTCAGTATATCCTAACACAAAAATATATTTTAATTAAAAATAACTCTTTCAAAACTAAACAAAAATGAAACAGTAAAAAAGTGGTATTGTTTTACATTTTGCATATTTCCTTAATGTCTGGTTTAATAAAGGACATTGGGACTTTCATATCTGCTTCTGCATACATTCTGCCATGTAGAATCTGGAAGACTCTCCTCCACCCATAAAAGAATGATAGTAGAAAAGAATAATAACCTATTAGTATTATTATCCAAATAATTTTAACTATTATCCAAATCTTTTAACTTTAAAGATCATTTAAGAGTGCTAGGAACCTCCAAGGGACCTGCTGGACAAAATTTTGAAGACCTCTGTACTAGACCACTGCATGTCACTATACACTCATTCAATAACCTCAAGAGATTTGCATTGGTGTAACTCCAGACTTCAACATTAAACACTTTCTGAGGCTAATAAATGAGATCTTCATACACAAAACACATGGTCTTCCAAAATTTTCTCCCTGAAGCTCCAGGGACTGAAAAATAGAAGAAAACCTATTTCCAGGAAATGGCTTAAAATAAGCTGTCCAACCTGCAGCCCGTGGGCCACATGTGGCCCAGGATGGCATGGAATGTGGCCCAATACACATTGGTAAACTTTCTTAAAACAGTATGAGGTTTTTTGTGAATTTTTTTTTTTTAGCTCATCAGCTATTCTTAGTGTTAATGTATTTTACAAGTGCCCCAAGACAATTCTTCTTCTTCTAATGTGGCCAAGAGAAGCCAAAAGATTAGACACCCCAGAGTTAAAGGATCTGACATAATATCCAAGGATTGCAAGATTCAGAAGATCTAAAAAAGGAGATTAAAATCATCCAAAACTTGGATGAAGAATCTATAGCGTAAGTGGTAAATTGAGCCTGCATGGAGTTGTCCATAAGAAATGAATCATTTTTAACATCTAATGATTCTAACATAAGATAGTTGGGTAACCACAGGTTACGTAGTCACCTGAAACTTGGGATCTGTCTTGAATCCTACTTTCCCTTCAACTTCTACATTTAATTAATCACCAAATCCAACTCATAAATATATCTTGTCTCTGTCTTCTCTCCACCAATAATTTAGGCCTTTATCATTTCCAAACTGGATTTTTATAAGAGCCTACACATTGATATGCCTGGCTTTGGTCTCTCAAATCTGTCCTTCTCAGTCCCTCACTGTTTTCTCTCTTGAGCACAGATCAGAATGTGCCTCCTTCAATGGCCCTCCTTGTGTAGGGGTCAACTCCAAATGTATAATGGAAAAAACATGGGCTTTGACAGAAAAGGGACAAGTAATGAATTCTAATTTGGCTTAGGACCTCAGAGGAGTTACTGTCTGAGCTTCTTCCATGTGTTATATGGTATAGTGGGAGACACAGACAAGCAATTATTATCGGCGGGAGGTGGGAGAGAGATTATGAAAGCACCTAAGGACATCTAACCCAAACTTGAAGGAAGAAGAAGTGCATTTTGGAGGGAATGGCATCTAACTGAGGATCTGAAAAGAAGTCTCTTGGGGTTCTTTGGATAATGAGTAAGGCGATAAGAGGAAGTAGAGAAAGTTAGCAGAGAAATTCTAGGCAGAAGCAGAGGGAAAGGGGTGTATTAATGATAATTTGACTCTAAGAAATGAGGCCTTTGTTTTTTCTAGATTAGAAAGGTGAGAGAGGATATGATACCTTTAAAGAACTGAAAGTGGTGTAATAGTGGTATACAGGGAGTGGTGTAAGGTAAAGCTGGAGAAACAAGCAGGTGGTCGGATCATAAATGGCATTGTAAGATCTGTTAGAGGACAGATTTGACCCTGACAGTGAAATCAGGCTAATTTAAGATTTAAAGTTGAGAAATATGAGATCTTTGTTATAGAACCTTCATTCTGGTGTAGTGTTGAGGAGTCATTAAACAAGGGCCATAATGAAGGTAAAGTCAGGAGAGGCACTGCAGAAGGTAGCCTGGACAAAAATGGTGATAGTGGAGATAGAGAAAAAAAGATGGATTCAAGAGTGATTTGGGAGTCATCACCTGTAGTACTCAGCAATTGATTGCATATGAGGCATGAGGAAAAGGAAAGAATCAAAGCAGCACAGTGTGGCTGGTGGCACTGATCACTGGCCTAGGGAATGTGGGAGAAGGAACAGGTTTGGGGCAAGAAGCAGGTAAGTTGAATTTTGGAGATGGAGATGGAGAGCTTGAGTTGTCTGTGAGAACCTTGGTGGAGCTGTTCAGTATACATAATTAGGTCTGAAGTCAGGGAAGACCTGGACTAGTAGTGAGGACTTAAGGCTTTTCAGCAGATTGTGTATGCTAAAGTCAGATCACCAAGGAGAGTCTATAGAAGGAGCAGACAAGAGGGCTGCAAACCCACAAAAGAGCTTTCATCATTTGCAAAATGGCATATACAATTTTCCAGGACTGTTTGGAGAAATACATAGCTAAAATTCACAGAAGTACCAAACAGAATGCCTAGCTCATAGTATAAACTCGATTAATATTTATTGAATGAATAATTGAACAAAAGCATATACCTAACTTACTAATTTATTTGTAGACAATAAGCAAAGGGAAAGTTCATTTACCATCTCAAAGAAAATCTCATGAACAAAATACAGGTTAAGCCCATACACAAAGACACCTCCTCCTAACAGCAGAGCCATGACTCTTAAGGCATGAGGCTTTTTGCTTTTTCCAAGACAAGAAAGTCACATTTATTAGCACCGGTCAGCTATTTAAAACTGACCTCTGTTTGATCTTGACATTTACAAGCAAAAGGAAGTTTTTAGTTATGTAACAGGCCAACAATCCACACATCCCGCCTGCAACAACAATATACTACAGAAGCCGATTTGTCATTGTGTTTGACTCTATTCAAAACAACACCATCTCTTCACCAGCTTCTATTTTTTTCCTTGCATTCTCTGAGGCTACCAATTTATGCCAACAACCCAGTAACAAGATGAAGATGAACATCTGCTTAAATGAGAAGTTGTTGGATTTTGTTTTGTTTTTTAATAAGGAGGGAACTTGTCTGCTGTAAAATCAATCAGAACTCTGGCTAGCCAAATTGTTTAATGAAGTTCCTGATAACTGGGCTTCATGTTGATAAGGAACTCATTTTGGGTCAAACAGACTGCTTGTGATTTTATGGCATTAAAGTACACTTCAAAATAGTTCTGAAAACAAAAACTCATTCACAAAACTCATGATTTCAGATTGGCATGTCAAGCATAATTTCTGAGCATTTGCAGAAATGAATACTCCTACCAAGGGCACATTGTTTATTTCAAATAAACTTGACATCAAAAGATCCACTGTTGCATATAAACAATGAAAAAAAAACAGAGCATTTTTTGGATAATCTCAGTATGCATCAGATTACTTTTAGCCACTCAATACACAAATTCAGTATCAAAAATTTGCTGGTATCTTTGTTCCTTCTATTCCTAAACATAAAGAAAAGATAGACTGGACACTAAGATGTACTAAGAGAGAAATAATGGGAGTTTTGTTAGGGCCTTAGGCATAAAATGATTCATAATTTCTTGCTGATTAGAGTCAAACATAACTTATTAGTTTTTTTGGTGGGGCGTTGTTTGTTTCTAGTCCAAGCTTTATAACAATACACATAAATATACCTGAAGAATTTAGGGTAAATATTAGCAAAATAGTTAAAACTCTCAAGAGAAAGTAAACTATTAAAATCCTCCCGTTTCTTTGAAAATGCCATCTTGAAGAGAAAACCTGAGCCCCAAGAACCTTGATCTAACCTAGAGCAATAATTTGGCCTTAGGTTTTATTGTTTCATATCAAAAACAACAGGAATAACACACACACTCCAACATACACACACTCCAACATACACATGCACATAGAGCTACAGTCACCAGCTTCTCAAGGACAAGGGCCCACAAGGTTATTCTCAGGAACCAGACTTCCCAGTGGGATTTAAGTTTAAGCGTAGTCCCACAGATACCCTTTAGTGTGGCCCAGCAAAGTATTTAACACCATCTGAAGCTCCATGTATTTTCAATGTTTATTTGTTTGCTATCTGTGTCCTCCAGTAGAATGTCAGCTCCATGAGTCAGGGGTCTTATCAATCTTGTTTACTGCTGTGTTCCCACTTCTAGATATAGTACCTGGCATATAGTGAATCCTCAATAAACAATTGTTAAATGAACAAATGAGTGCTGACCAACAAAAACAAACAAACAGAAAAAACAGCAAAGAAACTAAACCTGGCTTGATCTTGACTTTGAACAGCGTGCAAAGCCACAAATGCCCCAAATTAGGTTCTTGCAATAAGCCAGAATGGGCTTGAAGGGGAGCAGGATGTTGGGGAGCCAGTCAGAATAGATACAAGTCTTTTTCAGAACGGAGTGTTTCTTTTGCGTTTTTGCCTCCTCTTGAATTTCCTTTAACTTTCTTGTTCATTCTGACAACATACACATAATATTTTCTTTCTTCAAATACAAATTACGGGTAATTTATCCCCACCTCTTACATTCCAGGAGTCTCATCATACGACTCCAACAAGGAGGGGTATCTTAGAGTTCAGCTCTTGCCATCTTCTGCTAACTTAAGACTTGGTTTTCTGTCTTGCTGAGATTATCTCTGCAAACTATAACACGGGGCTCTTGGAGCATTATTATTTTTCAATCTTCCTAAAACTTTCCTTTTTTTTTTTTTTTTTTTTTTTGAGACAGAATCTCGCTCTGTCACCCAGGCTGGAGTGCAGTGGCGCGATCTCAGCCTGCCACCATGCCCGGCGAATTTTTTGTATTTTTTAGTAGAGATGGGGTTGCACCGTGTTAGCCATGCAGTTGGAGAACACAGGACAAGGGTGAAAAAGAACCTCAGCCTGAAGATCTGGGTTAGCATCTGGTACTAAAGCGAGATGGGAACTTGTTATAAATGTAAAGTTTTGAAACTTACCTCATCTCGCTTCAGTACCAGATGCTAACCCAGACCTCTCATCAAAAAGGGCAACTTTGCAAGAGTTTCCATGGGAAATCATTAGGCATCTTCCTTACAGTACTGATTTGGCTGCTTCTGCCTTATTTTTGTTTCCCAGTCTTAAAAAACCTTTAAAGAGCACTCAGTTTTCTTTAGTTAATGATGTAAAAAAAAAAAACCACTGTATTAAAATGGTTAAATCCCCAGGACCCTCAGTTCTTTAAGGTGGACTAAAGGGCTGGTATCATCACTTCAAAAGTGTCTTGAAATTGATGAAGCTTATGTTGAAAAATAAAATTTATAATTTTTATTTTTATTGTTTAATTCCATTTTTCCATGAACTTTAAAAAGTTTTCTCATATGTAACTATATTTTGCTAGGTATGGTACCCAGAAGATATATGAAATGAATTCTTACTACATAGTCCTTACTGGATTCACCTCCTGACACCCTCCCTGCCCCAGCTTGCCAAGGAAAACAGCTCCCAGTCTGTACAAAATCAGATAATGGACAGAAACAGACAGAAGCTCCAAGAGATGAAGCAGAAAGGAAAGACAAGGTTAAAGAACTAAAATCCCTTTACCAGATGAAGAGATGAGAAAGAGTAGAAGAGAAAACTGGATAGTAGAAAAGCCAGCCAAGTTATGACAAGGGAGCTTGGGTAGCGAGCGGGGCAGTGTGTGTGTGTGAGAAAGAAAGACTTTTGTGGTAGGTTGGAACTCGTTAATTTATGTGGCTGAAGGCATAAAGAGAACTACACAGTTCTGCTATGACCACTGGTAGGAGTGAAAATAAACAGATGTTTTTGAGAACCTACTGTCTTAGTTCATTTGGGCTGCTATAACAAAATACCATAAACTGGCTAGCATATAAACAATGGGAATTTCTTTCTTTCTTCAAATTCTAGAGGCTGAGCAGTCCAAGATCAAGGCACCAACAGATCTGGTGTCTTATGAGGGTCTGCTTCCTGGTTCACAGATGGCAGCTTCTTGCTCTGTCCTCACATGGTGGAAGGGGTGAGGGAGATCCCTTGAGTCTCTTTTATAAGGACACTAGTCCCATTCCTGAGGCAGTGCCCTCAAGAACTTATCATCCACCAAAGATCCCACCACCACATACTATCATATTGTGGATTAGGTTTCAATATATGGTTTTTTTCTTTTTGGCAGGGGGACAGAAACATTCAGCCATAATAACCACAAAGGGACAGAGGGACAGATACCTATCCCATTTAATAACAGCCTCACAACAGCCCTATGTAACTAGCATGTTTACACCCTCCTAGATAAGACAACTGTAGCTGGGGAGACAAAGTGAATTGCCCAAGGCCATAAAGCTAGCAGATAGTGGAGCAGGAACAAAGCCTGGGCTCTCCCTGATCTGATACCTGGAGCTGGGAACCAGAAGCCATTGATAAATGGGAGAGACTCTGGGCTAACACTGCTGCCAAAAGGAATGTTACCTCATAAGCTCTATGTTGGCATGCATCTGGATCCAGACTTCATTGCAAAAGTATGGGTTTTCTTGACACTATCTTTTGTCTCAGCACAAAAGCTGTATGGTCTATTTGCTTGTGTATGGTCATAAACAGCAGTCCACCAGAGTCCCTTTCCTTGTCCTCTTATATTCACTGGTGATAGAAGCCAGCACACATGAAAAAACTATTTTTTATGGGCTTCTCTAGAAATGCTTTTACTTTTCATCTTTCTTTCACATTCCTAACAGCTTTTCTCCCTTTTATTCACCCTTTTTTTTATCTATTACCCAACATCCAGGCATTTAGTTTTCCTCCCACCTGATCTTAACCTATGGGAAATACAATAAAGTATTTTCTTAAGCAAAACTTGGTAATATGTTGAGTGGTTTATCATTATAACCTAGGTTAGAAGTTGGAGCCAAATGACACTTTCTCACTCTACTTTGGCTGAATTGGTGCAGTTATTTCTCAAAGCCTTGACTAACCCAGATTATAAGTCTTAATTGCAAGTTATCCTGATCCCATTATTTCTTTTATTTTGACATTAGTGACTTGGCTGCAGAGAAATAAAGAATAATTGTAAGCTAAAGTGAAGCCCAACAAAGAATTCTGTTGACTGTGTGACCTCATCGGAGGAAGTGGCCACAACCTTCTTATTTGTTGGCTATTTCTAATTTTTTTCTTTGTAACAGTGGACCTTGCTGAAGGAGACCTTAGAAATGCCCAGTTTGCACAAATTTAGGCCCAGGACCAACAGATGATTAATGCAGGTAACAACACTAGGCACCTATACTTTCCATTCTGAGTTAAATCTGTGTTCTCAGAGGCAAAGCTAACAGATAAGGTCTTGAATAACAGTGAGATTAACCCTTTTCTCAAAGGCAGGATCCATTGTTTGATAATATTGCAAGCTTCCACTGCTTCATTCCAGCACAAATCTTGGTTCTTGTCGTGTCTTCCACACTCCCCACCTCATTCTACTTCACCCGGCTAGCCCATAATTTGGGTTACCAGTAAAGGCAAGCTAGCATTCCCAACATCCTTGTGACAAATCCTAAATTAATGACATTTAGAAAAAGCCTTAACGTGTACAGCAGGCAAAAATATTCCTTCAAACACACACACACACACACACATACACACAGATTGAGAGAGAGAGAGAGAGAGAGTGTGTGTGTGTGTGTGTGTGTGTGTGTGTGTAATCCTTGTCTTTAACACTAAAGACAGTCTTACTGCAATCCCTTAGTGGCATGGCCTGGTAAGGAAGACAGTGGCACCCAGTGGACAAATGTTTGATTGTTTGTGACAGGTGTTCTATTCTGAAATATTCTCAAGAACATTCTTAGGAAATATCAGTTTCTCCCCTTTCCCTATCCTCTCATCCATATGTTTTTAATGTTGACTTAAATTTTAAAATAGGGGACAGAGGACTGTTCTTAAAGTTTTTATGTTTTCAAGGAAGAGACTAAACATTGGAGAAAGCAAAAATCTCAGGATTAAATCCTCTGACAACAGTGTTGATTGACCCCTCTCAACAGTAACAATGAAGACAGCCAGATCTCATAAAATGCTCAAGTTAATTAAAAATATAATATTGAAAATGGCTGCAATGTGCTTTTACACATCATACTCTCCCTTTCCTCAAACTATGGCCAACTTCCAATTAAACTCACTTGGTTATGCAAATTTGGCAACTTCAAGAACTATCCTTTAGTACAATTAACATGTACAGATCCTGCAACTTAATGCTATTGTGCAGTTTATCTTGGAGTCATATAAACACCTATTTTCATTCTCCATGTCTTCCAATTTTTCTATTCTCTGTGAGCTACTTGGGTAGAGAAGCTCTGGCTTACATGTCTTTCCCACAAAACACCTAACCAGCACCTTACTTATGGTAGGTACAAAAAAGTTAAGTGAAATCCAGTTTCCATTTTATATATTTAATCTGCTATATTACTGAAAAAATAAATACATCTAATTGTTTGGTGTTATATAAAGAGATCATCCAGCTAAGAATCTTAAATATTAGGAGCTATTTGTGAAACCACCTTTGTAAATTATAACTGAGGAAATTATGACAGTGAGAGAAATAAGACCTAACCAACTCTATCTTGCTTCTAACCCTTAAGCTGTCCTTGTTCATTCCTGGGCATAGGCCGAACTAACTTTGGGAAGGAATTCAGTTCATGGTTTGACTCTGAAACAAAATTGATAACAGCCCTTTCCCGAAAAGACCCTGTTCTTGCCTGGGGTCCAATCTGCCCTTGCAGAACTACCAAATTAGCTGCAAGATTAGAAATTACAATTTAGGGTTCATGCAGCCTGTGGCTGAACCTCCCCAAATTGCTCCTGGGGATAACATCACTATTGTAAAGCTTAAGATCAGTGCTTCAGATATTTTGCAGATCCTGCACTCGATGGATCAGCTGACACCACTCAGATGGTAATCTGCCCCAACCAGTTCTGCCATCGCACCCAGGAACAGAAGACATTAAGAAAACCTAACTTCGAGCTCCTATGATTCCATCTCCAACCTGACCAACCAGCACTCCCCACTTCCCGGGCCCCTCCCCGTCGAATTATCTTTAAAAACTCTGATCCCTGAATGCTTAGGGAGACTGATTTGAGTAATAATAAAATCCCGGTCTCCTGCACAGCCGGCTCTGCGGCTCTGTGATTTACTCTTTCTCCGTTGTAATTCCCCTGTCTTGATAAATCGATTCTGTCTAGGCAGCGGGCAAGGTGAACCCATTGATTGGGTGGTTACATTTGCATTGGATAAAAATATTTCATCAAGAACAAAAATAATGTGTACTTTTTTTTTTTTTCTTTGAGACAGAGTCTGGCTCTGTCGCCCAGGCTGGAGTGCAGTGGCGCAATCTCGGCTCACTGCAAGCTCCGCCTCCCGGGTTCACGCCATTCTCCTGCCTCAGCCTCCCGAGTACCTGGGACTACAGGTGCCACCCACTACGCTGGGCTAATTTTTTTGTACTTTTAGTAGAAACGGGCTTTCGCCATGTTAGCCAGGATGGTCTCGATCTCTTGACCTCGTGATCCACCCGCCTCAGCCTCCCAAAGTGCAGGAATGGGTACTTTTATGAGTGAATTCAATCTTACTGATTCAAACGAGAAATCATTAAAAGCCATTTGATTACCAAAAAAAAAAAAATCCTATATACCTTCTTAGTGTAACCTAATCCCAGCATGGGTGCCCTTTTTTAGTTATCCATTGAAAAATCTTTCCCAATTTGGAGACTCTGAAATTCTTAGTTTTTTTTTTTTTTGCTTTGAAATGGTACCTTATGTTTATCATTACGTTCTTGGTAATTCTTAATTTTGCCACAGTTCGAGGCTTGTTTTTGTTTATTTTAGAAAAAAAAAAAAACAACAGTTGGCAGGCTAGAGCTATGGCTTGAGGCTGAGATGGAAACTTTTCCAAAAGGGCAACACATTTTTATTAATTGACACAAGCCCCCTGTGACCGCTTGCATCAATCGCATTTAGTCAGTAAACAATAAATACATGCCAAAGTAAGGGATGCACCTTTTTTGGTAAGCTGAAAAAGAAATGAAGGGCATTTGTGTGTGTATCACTAAATTATATATTAATTATACTTTTTCTCATAACACAAGCACCTTTCCTCCTTAGTTTCCGCTAAAATTCTGATGCAATTAGGTTTCACTATACAGGGAGACTACCTTTATTAAAAGTACCTTAAAATTCTTTTTTTCCAATGTATCTAAAATATACTTTTATCTAAATGTATCAATCCAGAAGAAATTAATAAACATTTCTAACATTGCAGGGCCTCCTCCATCCTTTTCCCTTCACTGACTGTCACCAAAAGAGAGCACTGGGGGACCGAGACTCCAAGCAGTTTGTCCCCTGGGGCCAAGCCTCTCTGACCAGGGGGAAAGGCAACAATAGCTGCACTATTTGCAAAGTATAATCTTATTGGGAAATGTTCCAGCCCTGGTCTGAGCTTTACTTATACCCACAGCCACTGTCTCTGAAATCATGGAGCTGCTGTACATGCAAAGCACCTATAACGTGTCCAGGCCACCTGGGGCAGACCAGGCTCCACTTATCACCTGCTGCTTTGCTTCTGTAAGTTTCAAAAACCCAAGAGGGATGTCAATATTTGAAAAACTCTCTTCCAAGTAAAGTTTCCTAAAAATAAAAGAAAATTACTTCTGCATGGCTCCAATAGGCTTTATTTTATCTTTGAGCTTATCTGTTTATAATGCAAATATGCTTTGCTTATTCAGGAAGATCACTTAGTTAAAGAAGGTTTGCCTAACTCATGGCCTGTGGTGAATGAAAGTCAAATAAAATATAAAGATGAAAAAAGTTTTAAACGCTGAAAAGGTCCATACAGACTAAAGTAAGCACTGTTATGTCTAAAATGAATGGAATGCTGTGTGTGTGTGGGGTGGGGGGGCATACTGCAATGTGTGTGTGTGTGTGTGTATGTGTGTGTGTGTGTGTGTGTATCAGTAGAGGGAGAGGTTAAAACGTGTGTTTACATTTACACTTGCCATGCTGCACACTGAGGAACATTTGTTTCCAGTTCCCATGACAGGTGTTACCTGTTCAGATAAAGCTTTAGCCTTTTCTTCTGCTTCTTTCAGGCAAATCTCCAAGGACTCAAGTTGGGCCAAGGTAAACGCCATCTGTCCAGTATCCAGGGACGCTTTCTTTAAAAAAAAAAAAATCAAGTATTACTTTTTGACATGGATAGTTTGAGTGCATCTCAAACAATCTTATGGACTTGATAAGATCCATAAGAGTTTATCAATGATAGGCTTGATAAACTCACACAAATCCTCCCCTTTTCTTAACATGGAAATAAAACAGCAAAATGTTTTAACAATAGTTTCATTTAAAATATACAAAGTAAAAAGAGTAAAAAATAAATGATGACAATGAACAGCTTTAGAAAGTTAGATTAAATAACTGTCATTGGAATTTGACTACTTTGAAACTTTTATTCTTACTCCAAAAGGTTAGGATGAAAATTTCACATTCCTGATGGAAGATGTCACCTAGAATGCCTATGTTTTTAACAGTCATCTAACAGTAGGAACAGAGTCAACTGAACTCAGAGAAACCCTGTTTCCTCTCATCTTCACCTTCTTAGCATATGTCATTAAAGCAAAGATACCACATGTTTTAGAATCAGATCATTCTTCCCCAGAGCCTGGCTAATATGACTTAAATTAGCAGATGTGTAGACTCTGCCTGTCAAGTTTTTTCTCTTTTTTTTTTTTTTTTTTCCAGGCAGAGTTTTGCTCTTGTTGCCCAGGCCGAGTGCAAGGGCACGATCTTGGCTCACTGCAACCTCCACCTCCTGGGTTCAAGCGATTCTCCTGTCTCAGCCCCTGGAGATTACAGGCACGCGCCACCATGCCTGGATAATTTTTATATTTTTAGTAGAGACGTGGATTCCCCATGTTGGCCAGGCTAGTCTTGAAATCCTGACCTCGTGATCTGCCCGCCTCAGCCTCCCAAAGTGCTGGGATTGCAGGTGTGAGCCACTGCGCCTGGACTCAAAATGTTTCTAAAGTTACTTTTTCTCAGCTACAAGCTGAAGAGTATGCAAAATTGGTAGGAAAACACAAGGTACAGGCCTTTGTGAGATTAGAGCACTTCCTAACTACTCTTTTGCTATTGTGATACTTAATAATTAGAAAGAAATATGAAAAGTTGGAAAACCTTGTACATGCTAGGATGATGACCTTCCTATAGCTTGGCTGTGGGTGTGTCCTGTTTTCTTGTGAATACTCCTGCTGCAGCTGCTTCCAATTAACCCCACAAACAATGAACTGCGAGGAGCCAAGATGGCCGAATAGGAACAGCTCCGGTCCACAGCTCCCAGCCTGAGCGACGCAGAAGACGGGTGATTTCTGCATTTCCATCTGAGGTACCGGGTTCATCTCACTAGGGAGTGCCAGACAGTGGGCGCAGGTCAGTGGGTGCGCACACCGACGCGACCCAAAGCAGGGCGAGGCATTGCCTCACTTGGGAAGCGCAAGGGGTCAGGGAGTTCCCTTTCCTAGTCAAAGAAAGGGGTGACGAACGGCACCTGGAAAATCGGGTCACTCCCACCCGAATACCGCACTTTTCCAACCGGCTTAAAAAACGGCGCACCACGAGATTATATCTCGCACCTGGCTCAGAGGGTCCTACGCCCACGGAGTCTCGCTGACTGCTAGCACAGCAGTCTGAGATCAAACTGCAAGGCGGCAGCGAGGCTGGGGGAGGGGCGCCCGCCATTGCCCAGGCTTGCTTAGGTAAACAAAGCAGCCCGGAAGCTCTAACTGGGTGGAGCCCACCACAGCTCAAGGAGGCCTGCCTGCCTCTGTAGGCTCCACCTCTGGGGGCAGGGCACAGACAAACAAAAAGACAGCAGTAACCTCTGCAGACTTAAATGTCCCTGTCTGACAGCTTTGAAGAGAGCAGTGGTTCTTCCAGTACACAGCTGGAGATCTGAGAACGGGCAGACTGCCTCCTCAAGTGGGTCCCTGACCCCTGACCCCCGAGCAGCCTAACTGGGAGGCACCCTCCAGCAGGGGCACACTGACACCTCACACGGCAGGGTACTCCAACAGACCTGCAGCTGAGGGTCCTGTCTGTTAGAAGGAAAACTAACAAACAGAAAGGACATCCACACCAAAAACCCATCTGAACATCACCATCATCAAAGACCAAAAGTAGATAAAACCACAAAGATGGGGAAAAAACAGAGCAGAAAAACTGGAAACTAAAAATCAGAGTGCCTCTCCTCCTCCAAAGGAATGCAGCTCCTCACCAGCAACGGAACAAAGCTGGATGGAGAATGACTTTGATGAGCTGAGGGAAGAAGGCTTCAGACGATCAAATTACTCTGAGCTACGGGAGGACGTTCAAACCAAAGGCAAAGAAGTTGAAAACTTTGAAAAAAATTTAGAAGAATGTATAACTAGAATAACCAATACAGAGAAGTGCTTAAAGGAGCTGATGGAGCTGAAAACCAAGGCTCGAGAACTACGTGAAGAATGCAGAAGCCTCAGGAGCCGATGCGATCAACTGGAAGAAAGGGTATCAGCAATGGAAGAAGAAATGAATGAAATGAAGCGAGAAGGAAAGTTTAGAGAAAAAAGAATACAAAGAAATGAGTAAAGCCTCCAAGAAATATGGGACTATGTGAAAAGACCAAATCTACGTCTGATTGGTGTACCTGAAAGTGATGGGGAGAATGGAACCAAGTTGGAAAACACTCTGCAGGATATTATCCAGGAGAATTTCCCCAGTCTAGCAAGGCAGGCCAACGTTCAGATTCAGGAAATATAGAGAACGCCACAAAGATACTCCTCGAGAAGAGCAACTCCAAGACACATAATTGTCAGATTCACCAAAGTTGAAATGAAGGAAAAAATGTTAAGGGCAGCCAGAGAGAAAGGTCACGTTACCCTCAAAGGGAAGCCCATCAGACTAATAGCGGATCTCTCGGCAGAAACCCTACAAGCCAGAAGAGAGTGGGGGCCAATATTCAACATTCTTAAAGAAAAGAATTTTCAACCCAGAATTTCATATCCAGCCAAACTAAGCTTCATGAGTGAAGGAGAAATAAAATACTTTACAGACAAGCAAATGCTGAGAGATTTTGTCACCACCAGGCCTGCCCTAAAAGAGCTCTTGAAGGAAGTGCTAAACATGGAAAGGAACAACTGGTACCAGCTGCTGCAAAATCATGCCAAGATGTAAAGACCATCGAGACTAGGAAGAAACTGCATCAACTAACGAGCAAAATAACCAGCTAACATCATAATGACAGGATCAAATTCACACATAACAATATTAACTTTAAATGTAAATGGACTAAATGCTCCAATTAAAAGACACAGACTGGCAAATTGGATAAAGAGTCAAGACCCATCAGTGTGCTGTATTCAGGAAACCCATCTCACGTGCAGAGACACACATAGGCTCAAAATAAAAGGATGGAGGAAGATCTACCAAGCAAATGGAAAACAAAAAAAGGCAGGGGTTGCAATCTTAGTCTCTGATAAAACAGACTTTAAACCAACAAAGATCAAAAGAGACAAAGAAGGCCATTACATAATGGTAAAGGGATGAATTCAACAAGAAGAGCTAACTACCCTAAATATATATGCACCCAATACAGGAGCACCCAGATTCATAAAGCAAGTCCTGAGTGACCTACAAAGAGACTTAGACTCCCACACATTAATAATGGGAGACTTTAACACCCCACTGTCAACATTAGACAGATCAACGAGACAGAAAGTCAACAAGGATACCCAGGAATTGAACTCAGCTCTGCACCAAGCGGACCTAATAGACATCTACAGAACTCTCCACCCCAAATCAACAGAATATACATTTTTTTCAGCACCACACCACACCTATTCCAAAATTGACCACATACTTGGAAGTAAAGCACTCCTCAGCAAATGTAAAAGAACAGAAATTATAACAAACTATCTCTCAGACCACAGTGCAATCAAACTAGAACTCAGGATTAAGAATCTCACTCAAAACCCCTCAACTACATGGAAACTGAACAACCTGCTCCTGAATGACTACTGGGTACATAATGAAATGAAGGCAGAAATAAAGATGTTCTTTGAAACCACTGTGAACAAAGACACAACATACCAGAATCTCTGGGATGCATTCAAAGCAGTGTGTAGAGGGAAATTTATAGCACTAAATGCCCACAAGAGAAAGCAGGAAAGATGCAAAATTGACACCCTAACATCACAATTAAAAGAACTAGAAAAGCAAGAGCAAACACATTCAAAAGCTAGCAGAAGGCAAGAAATAACTAAAATCCGAGCAGAAGTGAAGGAAATAGAGACACAAAAAACTCTTCAAAAAATTAATGAATCCAGGAGCTGGTTTTTTGAAAGGATCAACAAAATTGATAGACCGCTAGCAAGACTAATAAAGAAAAAAAGAGAGAAGAATCAAATAGACACAATAAAAAATGATAAAGGGGATATCACCACCGATCCCACAGAAATACAAACTACCATCAGAGAATACTATAAACACCTCTACGCAAATAAACTAGAAAATCTAGAAGAAATGGATAAATTCCTTGACATATACACTCTCCCAAGACTAAACCAGGAAGAAGTTGAATCTCTGAATAGACCAATAACAGGATCTCAAATTGTGGCAATAATCAATAGCTTACCAACCAAAAAGAGTCCAGGACCAGATGGATTCACAGCCAAATTCTACCATAGGTAAAAGGAGGAACTGGTACCATTCCTTCTGAAACTATTCCAATCAATAGAAAAAGAGGGAATCCTCCCTAACTCATTTTATGAGGCCAGCATCATTCTGATACCAAAGCCGGGCAGAGACACAACCAAAAAAGAGAATTTTAGAACAATATCCTTGATGAACATTGATGCAAAAATCCTCAATAAAATACTGGCAAAACGAATCCAGCAGCACATCAAAAAGCTTATCCACCATGATCAAGTGGGCTTCATCCCTGGGATGCAAGGCTGGTTCAATATACGCAAATCAATAAATGTAATCCAGCATATAAAAAGAGCCAAAGACAAAAACCACATGATTATCTCAATAGATGCAGAAAAGGCCTTTGACAAAATTCAACAACCTTTCATGCTAAAAACTCTCAATAAATTAGGTCTTGATGGGACATATTTCAAAATAATAAGAGCTATCTATGACAAACCCACAGCCAATATCCTACTGAATGGGCAAAAACTGGAAGCATTCCCTTTGAAAACTGGGACAAGACAGGGATGCCCTCTCTCACCACTCCTATTCAACATAGTGTTGGAAGTTCTGGCCAGGGCAATTAGGCAGGAGAAGGAAATAAAGGATATTCAATTAGGAAAAGAGGAAGTAAGTCAAATTGTCCCTGTTTGCAGATGACATGATTGTATATCTAGAGAACCCCATTGTCTCAGCCCAAAATCTCCTTAAGCTGATAAGCAACTTCAGCAAAGTCTCAGGATACAAAATCAATGTGCAAAAATCACAGGCATTCCTATACACCAACAACAGACAAACAGAGAGCCAAATCATGAGTGAACTCCCATTCACAATTGCTTCAAAGAGAATAAAATACCTAGGAATCCAACTTACAAGGGATGTGAAGGACCTCTTCAAGGAGAACTACAAACCACTGCTCAAGGAAATAAAAGAGGATACAAACAAATGGAAGAACATTCCATGCTCATGGGTAGGAAGAATCAATATTGTGAAAATGGCCATACTGCCCAAGGTAATTTACAGATTCAATGCCATCCCCATCAACCTACCAATGCCTTTCTTCACAGAATTGGAAAAAACTACTTTAAAGTTCATATGGAACCAAAAAAGAGCCCAAATCGCCAAGTCAATCCTAAGCCAAAAGAACAAAGCTGGAGGCATCACACTACCTGACTTCAAACTATACTACAAGGCTACAGTAACCAAAACAGCATGGTACTGGTACCAAAACAGAGATATAGATCAATGGAACAGAACAGAGCCCTCAGAAATAACGCCGCATATCTACAACTATCTGATCTTTGACAAACCTGAGAAAAACAAGCAATGGGGAAAGGATTCCCTATTTAATAAATGGTGCTGGGAAAACTGGCTAGCCATATGTAGAAAGCTGAAACTGGATCCCTTCCTTACACCTTATACAAAAATCAATTCAAGATGGATTAAAGACTTAAACGTTAGACCTAAAACCATAAAAACCCTAGAAGAAAACCTAGGCATTACCATTCAGGACATAGGCATGGGCAAGGACTTCATGTCTAAAACACCAAAAGCAATGGCAACAAAAGACAAAATTGACAAATGGGATCTAATTAAACTAAAGAGCTTCTGCACAGCAAAAGAAACTACCATCAGAGTGAACAGGCAACCTACAGAATGGGAGAAAATTTTTGCAACCTACTCATCTGACAAAGGGCTAATATCCAGAATCTACAATGAACTCAAACAAATTTACAAGAAAAAAACAAACAACTCCATCAAAAAGTGGGCAAAGGACATGAACAGACACTTCTCAAAAGAAGACATTTATGCAGCCAAAAAACACATGAAAAAATGCTCACCATCACTGGCCATCAGAGAAATGCAAATCAAAACCACAATGAGATACCATCTCACACCAGTTAGAATGGCAATCATTAAAAAGTCAGGAAACAACAGGTGCTGGAGAGGATGTGGAGAAATAGGAACACTTTTACACTGTTGGTGGGACTGTAAACTAGTTCAACCATTGTGGAAGTCAGTGTGGTGATTCCCCAGGGATCTAGAACTGGAAATACCATTTGACCCAGCCATCCCATTACTGGGTATATACCCAAAGGACTATAAATCATGCTGCTATAAAGACACATGCACACGTATGTTTATTGCGGCATTATTCACAATAGCAAAGACTTGGAACCAACCCAAATGCCCAACAATGACAGACTGGATTAAGAAAATGTGGCACATATACACCATGGAATACTATGCAGCCATAAAAAATGATGAGTTCATGTCCTTTGTAGGGACATGGATGAAATTGGAAACCATCATTCTCAGTAAACTATCACAAGGACAAAAAACCAAACACCGCATATTCTCACTCATAGGTGGGAATTGAACAATGAGATCACATGGACACAGGAAGGGGAACATCACACTCTGGGGACTGTTGCGGGGTGGGGAGAGGGGGGAGGGATAGCATTGGGAGATATACCTAATGCTAGATGACGAGTTAGTGGGTGCAGCACACCAGCATGGCACATGTATACGTATGTAACTAACCTGCACAATGTGCACATGTACCCTAAAACTTAAAGTATAACAATAAAAAAATAAATAAATAAAAAAGAAACAAGAAATAAAAAAAAAAAAGAATGAACTGCATTCCTACATACCTTAAAGGTCTAACTTCTGCTTTATTTTTTTCCCTATGGCTTATGAGACCACTGATTTTACATGTGTGCATTTCCTGATGATACAATAGAGCCATCTGGTGGTAAATGAAACCAGGCATAAAAATACAGCATTCATTCAGTTTTTGTAATTGTTCATACTATACATTGAACCTTGAGTCTCTGCCACTGGCCTCTGATATAAACAGAATTCTATGGGAGGAGGGGCAAAAAAATATTGCTACGTCACCAACAGCCTGGCTCCACAGTCAAGTTCTGCCACTACAGGTGCATACTCACCCTCAAAAGTTTGCCATTAGGGGAGGAATATCTTAGGCTGGAATGGTGATACTAGGAAGTGAACCAATTGTCCTCGGATCCCTGATGGTTCCAGTAATTTCAAAAATGGGTTCAAAAATTCTCAAAAAAAAAAAAAAGGCTTTAAACAAAATTCTTGTGTATTTACACTTAGAGATGAATACATGTTGTAAGACATTATATGCAGAAATGGGGAATTGTCATGAGGCCAAACTATTTTTAAAAGATTGAGAATCTCTGATCTAGACTGCTATTTCCAGGGAAAATTTTCTTGTTGAATGTTTGATCTCAAGAAGAAGTTTTTAAAATTTGTATGAGTAGACTCAGCAAGATTGTCTAATCCATATCTCCAGGCCTTCTCCAAACACCCAAAATTTCCCTGGCTAAGAAGAACAAACATTTCCATAAGACAAAAGCAATATAAGTCAAAGCCAAATGAAACAGGCATAAACGAGGACTGTTATTAAATAACATAGGACTTTTCATACAGACAAATTTAGGAAATTGTCATCTGTTTTAGGACAGAGAAAGACCTGAGCAAACTGTGGAGAATGCAAAGTCAGTCTTTTACACCTTCACTCCAGCTGCAGTGAGCACACCCTGCTCTCTGACCTGCCTTTCAGCTTCTCCCACTCCCTTACGGGAAAGAGCTTATACAAAAGCAAGCACTTTTTAAATAGGAGGTAACCCCATTAACAGAAAAAAGGCAAACAAAAATGAAGTCAAGAACAATTTCAAAAATAAGTAAACACATAAAGATAGAGGTCTGGGAGGTGGATATGTGGTTTCAAAGACTAAAAAAGTTAGATGTGTTCAGTTGTTGTCCCAGTTTTGCAAGGTGCAATGGCAGAAGGGCAGAAAGATAGGACTTCCATAATTAATTTTATTTTACTTCCAGGTACGTGTGGACACATGCAATTTGTATTAATAATGAAAATGAATACTTTCAGTGGTTAAAGTAGTTGCAAGTGAATAATACTAATCAACAGTCTGTTATATGACATCAAAATGATGAAAATATAGGCAATATATAGGTGTTTGGGAATTGAACCTGTGTATGGATTTCCAAATGGTAAATTCCAACAATTTAATAAAAATTCTCTTTGTTAATTTCTACTTTTTGTCTTAAAATTGTCTACCTAAATATAAAGTTATTATCTAAATACAGATACCTAATGTAGCCAAGATGATCAATCTAAAATGATACTAAATAACACTAAAAATTCAATAAACTCTTTGATTACAGTAAAGACACCTGACTATTATTATGCATGGATGTTGAGGTTGATAGTTTACTAACTGAACAAATCTTATATGACATTGTAAGAGTAGACTTCATTTTGGTTGCAAAGGTTTCTCATTGGATAATTTAAAAGAAAATTTGCATATTATTTTCTAATTTTATATTTCTTGATTTCTTAATCTATTCCAGTACCTTCTCATTATCCTCTACCTTGCTGTTAAGCCTTTATTTCTCTGTCCTAAAATGACAGCTGTACAAACTCTTTGACCCTTAAGGATTGGCTCAAGGTTTCTGACTGATCCAACTTCATGTGCGGTATCTAGAAAGATTCCTGTCTGCAGAAGACAGATGGGACTTTGCTGAACAGTAAGTAGGAGCCTGATAAATAATTGTTGATTGATTAAAGGCTCGGCAGTCAAGGAAGGTGGCTGTACCAGAGCAGGCAGTCCTTCATGCTGAGAGGCTATAACAGTGACTTCTTTGAGCAATACTTTTCATGCATCTGACCTGGGACATTGACAGGGATCAGAGCCACAGAGAAGCTCTGCTTGCCATGGTCAGGGGCCAGATGTGCAGATGAGGGCAAGAATGTGGTCACGAGGTTGAGTGATGGAACGGTTGTTTTAAGAATTGAATGAGGTAAAGCAGGTAAATGCTTTGACAGAAGAAGTGCTCAATAAATGTTAATAATTCCATTATCCCAATTCCTTTAAAGAGAATAATTTGGTATTAAGACTCTCTAGCTTATTTTAAAACCCAAGTAAAAGAAAATACCCATGGGGACACTTTTGTAACAGCAAGTGACCAAACAGCAGTGGGAAATTCAATCAAGTTTGTAATTAAGAACAGTTAATGTATTAAATATGTGCATGTGCATTTATTTAAGAGCAAGATTTTTAAATAAAAGTGTGGTTATGGCAAATTTCACCATTGTGGAAGAGCATTTTGACATAGGTCAGTTTTGGAGAATTCAGTTTCTCTAAAATCTGAGGCTTCTAATATGTCAGGGTTCCAGCAGCAGCCCCTGCTCAGTGGTACAGTAACTTCCTGCCAGATAAACACATTTTACAAATATCCTGTTTGATATCTATTCATTACTGCTGTCCATTCCTCTCTCCTTCTGCTTGACAGGCACCTATCACCCTATTCTTCCTTACCCTTCTTCAACCTACTCATTTTCTCATGCAGATTCAAGTCTTTCCCCAGCTGATCATCTTCTCCCCAACCTACCACCCATGCCTCAGCCCCTCACCCTGGGCACATTTATTTCATCTCTCCCCGCTCCCCTTTCATGATCAGAATTCACATCACAGTGGTAATTTCATCATTCTCATGTTCTTTTGTGTTTAGCGTTTTCAATAGTTTCTTTTTTTTTTTCCTTTTTTTTTTTTTTTTGAGACGGAGTCTCGCTCTGTAGCCCAGGCTGGAGTGCAGTGGCGCAACCTCGGCTCACTGCAAGCTCTGCCTCCTGGGTTCATGCCATTCTCCTGCCTCAGCCTCCCGAGTAGCTGGGACTACAGGCGCCCGCCACCATGCCTGGCTAATTTTTTTGTATTTTTTTAGCAGAGACGGGGTTTCACCGTGTTAAGCCAGGATGGTCTCGATCTCCCGACCTCGTGATCCACCCGCCTCGGCTTCCCAAAGTGCAGGGATTACAGGCGTGAGCCACCGCGCCTGGCCCTGCAATAGTTTCTTATACTAAATTGCCCATTTCTACTTAGGCAAATATTTAAAAACTCAATTTTCCTGGCTCTAATCCACTCCAGTGAAAACAGTATTCCTCTGTGTTTGGGTTTGCCTCAATAGTCACCTAAGAAGATGTTTAAATTAGAAATGTGAACAAACTACAACTAGTTGTTGAAATGCCCATCTATATGGCTGAGCAGGTGGTGGCCCTGGGAGGATGGTGGCCTGGATGAGCACAACCTAAGGAGCACTCTTCTTGTAATCTGGAAGGCATGGTCTATATCTGACTTGATTCTAAGTGACCATGTGACTTTGGACCAGCTACTTCATTTGTCTGCGTCTCAACATTTTCATCTTTAAATGAAGAATGTATTGATCAAGACAGCAGGAAATAGATGGCTACTCCAATGCAGAAACCGAGGAGAGTTAAACGAAGGGATGATTTAGAAGGTGTGGGTAAGATTAAAGGAACCAACAAAGGTTGGTGAAGCATTTCCTGGAAGTACGGGTGCCCTTTGCCTTATCTTGACCTGAAGAGGTAGGGGAAGAGCAAAACTGACAAGTCTAGAAAGAAAGCTTGAGGAGAGGAACACAGCCACGGCCAACTATGTCTAGGCAGTCTTGGTGGTTGGAGGGAAGCGGGGAGGGGAAATGAACCAGCGGAGTAAATAGCCTGACCTTCTCTCTTCTCATCCCCTCTTCTCCTGTCTGTGTCTCTCTTGGGCTGAACTCATCAAGCCAGAGGGCAAGAGAACCCAAATAAATGTCCAGCGAGATCAGCGTTCCCTGAAAAGATGAGTTGGGAAGGGTGGAGAGTGGATAGGGAGGAGGAAACAAAAAAACCTCAGCCCAAAGGGGTTTAATTATATTAGTGGTTCCCAAATGCCACCCCATAGATCAGTGTTGGTTTGTGATAACATTTGTGCCAACCAGCAACAAAAGGACAAGGCAAACTTTTAAAGAGAACATTGTGAATTTTTCATGAAGCCAAATTGATTCCACTTTGAAGACTGTCATTTATTCTGAGATTATAATCATTCTGCTTTCTTTGGTGTTAAGAGGATATTTCTTTAACAAATGATGGTGGTACATGGAAATTATTGTGTTTTAGTGTCTTGAAAAAAATTGAAAAGTTGGCAGTCCTATGAGAACTAACCCTAATTATTTTGGGTGTGAAAATTCTTACTGGTTTATGAAATCTAAGTATAGAGACCTCCTATCTAAATGATCTCTGTTAAATTGTGAATTGAATGTTTTATCAGGTGACCTTTCCAGAACTAGAGTCCCTGAATTCCCCTGGACCTAGTCCAAGATGCACCTGTATTCTATATCAACTTATCTGCCTTAGCAAGGTTCCAGGATACTATTTTTTTTAGAAATAAACACATTCCTAAAAGTCAACCTTTCACCCTGTGAAAGATTTAACTACTTGTCCATTTCTATAGCATTACTGATAGAATAAAAGAAAAAGGTATTGGAAAGAAATTGTTGACTCAGATTTTAATTTATAAAAAGGTTGTTGGCATGGAAGTTAAAGAGAAATGCCCATGTGACATTTGATAGCTTCATAAATAACTTTAAATAATGGCTGACCCAAAACTCTTAACATGCCAACTCTTATTCAGCTCAAAGCAATTCAATTCATTTAAGTTCAAAAAATATTTATTGAAGGCTCACTATTTGCCAGGCACTATACTAGGCAACAGGGAAATAAGGAGTAACAAGGCAGACGTAGTTAATATGCTCACTAGGAGTCTCAGCCTAGAATTTCTCTCCAATACAGAAATCTTGGGATTAGGTTTATGTAAAAATGAAAAGAATGTCACAAGTTTGGTGGTTAATTTAACGTTTTTATGCTCACTCCTAATATACTGCTTTGTGCTTTAGGGCTTTGTTCCTTCCTCTTTGATGAAGATTCTGGTAGATGTTAGAAGGTGGTAAGAGGCAGTTCTAATCTGTTTTCAAATATTCCAGGTCTATCTCTAGTAACATTGCTTTATAGGCTCTTAGAGACCTTGTATAAACAGCATCAGAGGAGAAAAAGGACCTTGCAAAAGATGGATATCTTGCATGGTTTAAATTAAAGTTAATAGCAAAATAGGATCTGGGCTAGAGGAGTCCTGAATTCAAGTTCATATTACATTACATATGTTACAGAATCTGTTCTGTGACCTAAAATAGCCCTCTATCATTTTGATTTATGAGCAACAGAGACTCCTTTGAACACCTGATAACATCTGTGAATTCTCTTATCAAAAAAAGTATGTGCACAGCTTGCACACACATACAGTAAGCACACCTGCACATAATTTTGTATATGCTTTCAGGGTGTTTAAGCACTCTTCTCAATATCATTCATGTAGCCCACATTAAGCAATCCTTGTTTAGAGGGAATATCACATGCTAGTCACCTTTAATTTTTATTCAAAAATAAATTACAGGCTGGGTGTGCTGGCTCACAACTGCAGTCCCAGCATTTTGGGAGGCTAAGATGGACAGATCTCTCGAGCCCAGGAGTTCAAGATCAGCCTGTGCAACATGGTGAGACCTCGTCTCTGCAAAAAAATAAAAATAATTAGCAGGTGGTGGTGGTGTGTGCCTGCAGTCCCAGCTACTTGGGAAGCTGAGGCTGAAGGATTGCTTGGGCCTGGGAAGTGGAGGCTGCAGTGAGCCGAGATTACGCCACTGCACTCCAGCTTGGATGATAGAGCAAGAACCTGTCTCAACAACAATGACGACAACAACAACTAAATAAAAAAAAATCTATTTGTTTTTAAATAACATTTTCAGTTAAGTGGGATATAAAATACTGCAAATACGTTTGCCATTTGAAAAGATGGTACTTTTTTTGTGTGACAGGATTATTTATTTTCTCACTCATCATGCATGAGTTTAGATTTTGAGTACTTTGGCATGTTGACCAACTATGTTTTCATTCTCCAACTGAATTTTAGTGTTTTAGGAAACGCACATGCCTGTAGGACTTTCAAGTCAGCTCATGAGTAAAGTGATAGAATTGATGACATTTCATTGCCCAAGTTGATTGTGGCTTTTCAAAATTAGTTTTGTTGTATAAATTTTGCTATACTGTGTAAAATTAATAGCAAATGTTTTATGATTGACACTGTTCAGACTGGAGGTAATTTTTTTCTACTAAAAAGTTTTAGATTCTAAATAGGTAAATTTTTTAAAAAATTTAAAAAATTAATTACAATGATAAGAACTTCAATATTCCAACAATGCTATTTCCAAAACCTAGCAAGGAAATCCTTCATTGAAATTGAAGTTTCATAGAAACCTTTTTCATGAGAAACCCTTTTATTACCTCCCAGACTGGCATTTGCACAGACTCCATTCTTTACCAAGATCTGAAGGAGAAATGTGTTATGCATCCTTTCCTATCAGATAAAAGTTTAGCAACAATTTCCATAGTACATTCTAATACTATAAGGCACAGAAGACAGATGGAAAGGCTCACTTTTGCTGTGAATTTCCACTTCTTTTAAGGTCTTGCAATCAAAATGCTTCTAAGAGGCATGGCAAAAATATTGGAGAAGAGAGCATAGTACAGCCAACTGTAGCTACTCAGTGCACCTCAGTTTTCCCATCTGTAAAATGAGAACACCATTGTACCTCATTCAACTTGACCTCTGCACTGGCCATTTGGCAAGCTGTTTTGACTGCCCAGTGTCGTTCTCTGTTTGGATAATTTCCCATCTCATAAATCCTATCTTCCAAAGTTAAAAGCCAGGAGCTCCTTCCCAAGCATTCTTCGCAGCCAAGGTGTAGTTATGTGACTTAGACTCCACCAAGTCAGACACACCAGCATGAAACTTCAATGTGGAGATGCAGGAGCCAAGATGGCCGAATAGGAACAGCTCCGGTCCACAGCTCCCAGCGTGAGCGACGCAGAAGACGGGTGATTTCTGCATTTCCATCTGAGGTACCGGTTTCATCTCACTAGGGAGTGCCAGACAGTGGGCGCAGGTCAGTGGGTGCGCACACCATGCGCGAGCCGAAGCAGGGCGAGGCATTGCCTCACTTGGGAAGTGCAAGGGGTCAGGGAGTTCCCTTTCTGAGTCAAAGAAAGGGGTGACAGATGGCACCTGGAAAATCGGGTCACTCCCACCCGAATACTGCACTTTTCCGACAGGCTTAAAAAACGGAGCATCACGAGATTATATCCCGCACCTGGCTCGGAGGGTCCTACGCACACAGAGTCTCGCTGACTGCTAGCACAGCAGTCTGAGATCAAACTGCAAGGCGGCAGCGAGGCTGGGGGAGGGGCGCCCACCATTGCCCCGGCTTGATTAGGTAAACAAAGCAGCCCGGAAGCTCTAACTGGGTGGAGCCCACCACAGCTCAAGGAGGCCTGCCTGCCTCTGTAGGCTCCACCCCTGGGGGCAGGGCACAGACAAACAAAAAGACAGCAGTAACCTCTGCAGACTTAAATGTCCCTGTCTGACAGCTTTGAAGAGAGCAGTGGTTCTCCCAGCACCCAGCTGGAGATCTGAGAACGGGCAGACTGCCTCCTCAAGTGGGTCCCTGACCCCTGACCCCCGGGCAGCCTAACTGGGAGGCACCCCCCAGCAGGGGCACACTGACACCTCACACGGCAGGGTATTCCAACAGACCTGCAGCTGAGGGTCCTCTCTGTTAGAAGGAAAACTAACAAACAGAAAGGACATCCACACCAAAAACCCATCTGTACATCACCATCATCAAAGATCAAAAGTAGATAAAACCACAAAGATGGGGAAAAAACAGAACAGAAAAACTGGAAACTCTAAAAAGCAGAGCGCCTCCTCCTCCTCCAAAGGAACACAGTTCCTCACCAGCAACGGAACAAAGCTGGATGGAGAATGACTTTGACGAGCTGAGGGAAGAAGGCTTCAGACGATCAAATTACTCTGAGCTATGGGAGGACATTCAAACCAAAGGCAAAGAAGTTGAAAACTGAAAAAAATTTAGAAGAATGTGTAACTAGAATAACCAATACAGAGAAGTGCTTAAAGAAGCTGATGGAGCTGAAAACCAAGGCTCGAGAACTACGTGACGAATGCAGAAGCCTCAGGAGCTGATGTGATCAACTGAAAGAAAGGGTATCAGCAATGGAAGAAGAAATGAATGAAATGAAGCGAGAAGGGAAGTTTAGAGAAAAAAGAATAAAAAGAAATGAGCAAAGCCTCCAAGAAATATGGGACTATGTGAAAAGACCAAATCTACGTCTGATTGGTGTACCTGAAAGTGATGGGGAGAATGGAACCAAGTTGGAAAACACTCTGCAGGATATTATCCAGGAGAACTTCCCCAATCTAGCAAGGCAGGCCAACATTCAGATTCAGGAAATACAGAGAACGCCACAAAGATACTCCTTGAGAAGAGCAACTCCAAGACACATAATTGTCAGATTCACCAAAGTTGAAATGAAGGAAAAAATGTTAAGGGCAGCCAGAGAGAAAGGTCGGGTTACCCTCAAAGGGAAGCCCATCAGACTAACAGCGGATCTCTTGGCAGAAACCCTACAAGCCAGAAGAGAGTGGGGGCCAATATTCAACATTCTTAAAGGAAAGAATTTTCAACCCAGAATTTCATATCCAGCCAATCTAAGCTTCATAAGTGAAGGAGAAATAAAATACTTTACAGACAAGCAAATGCTGAGAGATTTTGTCACCACCAGGCCTGCCTTACAAGAGCTCCTGAAAGAAGCACTAAACATGGAAAGGAACAACTGGTACCAGCTGTTGCAAAATCATGCCAAAATGTAAGGACCATCGAGACTAGGAAGAAACTGCATCAACTAACGAGCAAAATAACCAGCTAACATCATAATGACAGGATCAAATTCACACATAACAATATTAACTTTAAATGTAAATGGACTAAATGCTCCAATTAAAAGACACAGACTGGCAAATTGGATAAAGAGTCAAGACTCATCAGTGTGCTGTATTCAGGAAACCCATCTCACGTGCAGAGTCACACATAGGCTCAAAATAAAAGGATGGAGGAAGATCTACCAAGCAAATGGAAAACAAAAAAAGGCAGGGGTTGCAAACCTAGTCTCTGATAAAACAGACTTTAAACCAACAAAGATCAAAAGAGACAAAGAAGGCCATTACATAATGGTAAAGGGATCAATTCAACAAGAAGAGCTAACTACCCTAAATATATATGCACCCAATACAGGAGCACCCAGATTCATAAAGCAAGTCCTGAGTGACCTACAAAGAGACTTAGACTCCCACACATTAATAATGGGAGACTTTAACACCCCACTGTTAACATTAGACAGATCAACGAGACAGAAAGTCAACAAGGATACCCAGGAATTGAACTCAGCTCTGCACCAAGCGGACCTAATAGACATCTACAGAACTCTCCACCCCAAATCAACAGAATATACATTTTTTTCAGCACCACACCACATCTATTCCAAAACTGACCACATACTTGGAAGTAAAGCTCTCCTCAGCAAATGTAAAAGAACAGAAATTATAACAAACTATCTCTCAGACCACAGTGCAATCAAACTAGAACTCAGGATTAAGAATCTCACTAAAAACCGCTCAACTACATGGAAACTGAACAACCTGCTCCTGAATGACTACTGGGTACATAATGAAATGAAGGCAGAAATGAAGATGTTCTTTGAAACCAACGAGAACAAAGACACAACATACCAGAATCTCTGGGACACATTCAAAGCAATGTGTAGAGGGAAATTTATAGCAGTAAATGCCCACAAGAGAAAGCAGGAAAGATCCAAAATTGACACCCTAACATCACAATTAAAAGAACTAGAAAAGCAAGAGCAAACACATTCAAAAGCTAGCAGAAGGCAAGAAATAACTAAAATCTGAGCAGAACTGAAGGAAATAGAGACACAAAAAACCCTTCAAAAAATTAATGAATCCAGGAGCTGGTTTTTTGAAAGGATCAACAAAATTGATAGACCGCTAGCAAGACTAATAAAGAAAAAAAGAGAGAAGAATCAAATAGACACAATAAAAAATGATAAAGGGGATATCACCACCGATCCCACAGAAATACAAACTACCATCAGAGAATACTACAAACACCTCTATGCAAATAAACTAGAAAATCTAGAAGAAATGGATAAATTCCTGGACACATACACTCTCCCAAGACTAAACCAGGAAGAAGCTGAATCTCTGAATAGACCAATAACAGGCTATGAAATTGTGGCAATGATCAATAGCTTACCAACCAAAAAGAGTCCAGGACCAGATGGATTCACAGCCGAATTCTACCAGAGGTAAAAGGAGGAACTGGTACCATTCCTTCTGAAACTATTCCAATCAATAGAAAAAGAGGGAATCCTCCCTAACCCTTTTTATGAGGCAAGCATCATTCTGATACCAAAGCCAGGCAGAGACACAACAAAAAAAGAGAATTTTAGACCAATATCCTTGATGAACATTGATGCAAAAATCCTCAATAAAATACTGGCAAAACGAATCCAGCAGCACATCAAAAAGCTTATCCACCATGATCAAGTGGGCTTCATCCCTGGGATGCAAGGCTGGTTCAATATACGCAAATCAATAAATGTAATCCAGCATATAAACAGAGCCAAAGACAAAAACCACATGATTATCTCAATAGATGCAGAAAAAGCCTTTGACAAAATTCAACAACCCTTCATGCTAAAAACTCTCAATAAATTAGGTCTTGATGGGACATATTTCAAAATAATAAGAGCTATCTATGACAAACCCACAGCCAATATCATACTGAATGGGCAAAAACTGGAAGCATTCCCTTTGAAAACTGGGACAAGACAGGGATGCCCTCTCTCACCACTCCTATTCAACATAGTGTTGGAAGTTCTGGCCAGGGCAATTAGGCAGGAGAAAGAAATAAACGGTATTCAATTAGGAAAAGAGGAAGTCAAATTGTCCCTCTTTGCAGAAGACATGATTGTATATCTAGAAAACCCCATTGTCTCAGCCCAAAATCTCCTTAAGCTGATAAGCAACTTCAGCAAAGTCTCAGGATACAAAATCAATGTACAAAAATCACAAGCATTCTTATACACCAACAACAGACAAACAGAGAGCCAAATCATGAGTGAACTCCCATTCAAAATTGCTTCAAAGAGAATAAAATACCTAGGAATCCAACTTACAAGGGATGTGAAGGACCTCTTCAAGGAGAACTACAAACCACTGCTCAAGGAAATAAAAGAGGATACAAACAAATGGAAGAACATTCCATGCTCATGGGTAGGAAGAATCAATATTGTGAAAATGACCATACTGCCCAAGGTAATTTACAGATTCAATGCCATCCCCATCAAGCTACCAATGACTTTCTTCAAAGAATTGGAAAAAACTACTTTAAAGTTCATATGGAACCAAAAAAGAGCCCACATTTCCAAGACAATCCTAAGCCAAAAGAACAAAGCTGGAGGCATCACACTACCTGACTTCAAACTATACTACAAGGCTACAGTAACCAAAACAGCATGGTACTGGTACCAAAACAGAGATATAGATCAATGGAACAGAACAGAGCCCTCAGAAATAACGCCGCATATCTACAACTATCTGATCTTTGACAAACCTGAGAAAAACAAGCAATGGGGAAAGGATTCCCTATTTAATAAATGGTGCTGGGAAAACTGGCTAGCCATATGTAGAAAGCTGAAACTGGATCCCTTCCTTACACCTTATACAAAAATCAATTCAAGATGGATTAAAGACTTAAATGTTAGACCTAAAACCATAAAAACCCTAGAAGAAAACCTAGGCATTACCATTCAGGACATAGGCATGGGCAAGGACTTCATGTCTAAAACACCAAAAGCAATGGCAACAAAAGACAAAATTGACAAATGGGATCTAATTAAACTAAAGAGCTTCTGCACAGTAAAAGAAACTACCATCAGAGTGAACAGGCAACCTACAGAATGGGAGAAAATTTTTGCAACCTACTCATCTGACAAAGGGCTAATATCCAGAATCTACAACAAACTCAAACAAATTTACAAGAAAAAAACAAACAACCCCATCAAAAAGTGGGCAAAGGACATGAACAGACACTTCTCAAAAGAAGACATTTATGCAGCCAAAAAACACATGAAAAAATGCTCACCATCACTGGCCATCAGAGAAATGCAAATCAAAACCACAATGAGATACCATCTCACACCAGTTAGAATGGCTATCATTAAAAAGTCAGGAAACAACAGGTGCTGGAGAGGATGTGGAGAAATAGGAACACTTTTACACTGTTGGTGGGACTGTAAACTAGTTCAACCATTGTGGAAGTCAGTGTGGCGATTCCTCAGGGATCTAGAACTGGAAATACCATTTGACCCAGCCATCCCATTACTGGGTATATACCCAAAGGACTATAAATCATGCTGCTGTAAAGACACATGCACACGTATGTTTATTGCGGCATTATTCCCAATAGCAAAGACTTGGAACCAACCCAAATGTCCAACAATGATAGACTGGATTAAGAAAATGTGGCAGATATACACCATGGAATACTATGCAGCCATAAAAAGTGATGAGTTCATGTCCTTTGTAGGGACATGGATGAAATTGGAAATCATCATTCTCAGTAAACTATCGCAAGAACAAAAAACCAAACACTGCATATTCTCACTCATAGGTGGGAACTGAACAATGAGATCACATGGACACAGGAAGGGGAATATCACACTCTGGGGACTGTTGTGGGGTGGGGGGAGGGAGGAGGGATAGCATCGGGAGATATACCTAATGCTAGATGATGAGTTAGTGGGTGCAGCGCACCAGCATGGCACATGTATACATATGTAACTAACCTGCACAATGTGCACATGTACCCTAAAACTTAAAGTATAATAAAAAAATATATATATATATATAGTTAGTGAAGGCATGGCTGACAAATTCTCAGGTGGAAATAAAAAATGTATTGGAAACTGGAAAAAAAAAAAAAGAAACTTCAATGTGGATGAGAATGAAATGAAAAAGGTGCCAAACAGCGTGGAATCTGGCTTGGTGGACAGGGTCATTCTGTTTTCAGAGGCTACAGTGATAGAAGACTTAGAAGTAATATCTCAGATTCAGGGAAAGTGACAGGTTATAGGTCTGGTGGCAGCAGTAACAGGTTTGTCCTCAGAATCTGCAAGATAATTGCGTGTAGCCTCCAAGGTTGATTCTCTGGCTCTCCTAAAGAACCTCTGAAATATCTAATATTTTCCAATAATTCTTTCCCCTCTTGAATCCTAACTAGTATGGGTTCTGTTGATTTCAAATATGAATCTGACTGATGCGAGGTCCTTGACTCAATTATATTTATTGTTTCTGTGACTTTAAGACAGTAATTTAATTATTCTGAGCCCCTATTTCCTCATCTATAAAAATGGAGGAGATGATAACTCCAGGGTTTGCTGTGATGATGAAATGGGGTAATTCAGGAACTTTACTTAGTATAACGGCTGGTCCACAGTAGCAAGTAAAAAGAAAATTCTCTCATCAAGCTGTAGGTTTTATGTTCCTATGGTCCAGCTTCTGGGAGTTCTCAGCCTAGGAGAGAGTCTGGGAGTTGATTGTAAGGACCAGAAACTCTTGGCTTTATGTGAATATACCTCCTAGCCTGGTTACTCCTTGTTAGAAAATGCACATAGTTATGCATAAACTAAGAGCAAAAATTCAAAAATGCAAGTGGGGAGGGCACAGCCTTGCATCCTCCCCTGCCAGCTAAAGAGAATTTTTAATTGATCTGTTCCATCTCTTCTCTTCCTTGACCTTCTTTTTTAAAAATTGTATTATTTTATTTTAAGTTCCAGGGTACATGTGTAGGATGTGCAGGTTTGTTGCACAGGTAAACGTGTGCCATGGTGATTTGCTGCATCTATCAACCCATCACCTCGGTATTAAGCCCCACATGCATTAGCTATTTACCCTGATGCTCTCCTTCCTCCTGCCACCCTCACCCTTGCAGGCCCCAGTGTGTGTTATTCCCCTCCCTGTGTTCATGTGTTCTCATCATTCAGCTCCCACTTATAAGTGAGAACATGTGGTGTTTGGTTTTCTGTTCCTACATTAGTTTGCTGAGGATAATGGCTTCCAGCTCCATCCATGTTCCTGAAGGACAAGATCTCATTCCTTTTTATGACTGCATAGTACTCCATGGTGTATATGTACCACATTTTCTTTATCCAGTCTATCATTGATGGACATTTGGGTTAATTCCATGTCTTTGCTATTGTGAATAGTGCTGCAATGAACATATGCGTGCATATATCTTTATAATAGAATGATTTATATTCCTCTGGGTATATACCTAGTAATGGGATTGCTGGGTCAAATGGTATTTCTTGTTACATGTCTTTGAGGAGTTGCCACACTGTCTTCCACAATGGTTGAACTAATTTACATTCCCACGAACAGTGTAAAAGTGTTTCTTTTTCTCCATAGCATTGCCAGCATCTGTTGTTTCTTGACTTTTTAATAATTGCCATTCTGACTGGTGTGAGATGGTATTTCATTGTGGTTTTGATTTGCATTTCTCTAATGATCAGTGATGCTGAGCTTTTTTCCATATGTTTGTTGGCCACATAAATGTCTTCTTTTGAGAAGTGTCTGTTCATGTCTTTTGCCCACTTTTTAATGGTTTTTTTTTCTTGTACATTTCTTTAAGTTCCTTGTAGATCCTGGATATTAGACCTTTGTCAGATGAATAGATTGCAAAAAATTTCTCCCATTCTGTAGGTTGTCTGTTCACTCTAATGACAGTTTCTTTTGGTATGCAGAAGCTCTTTAGTTTAATTAGATCCCATTTGTCAATTTTTTATTTTTGTTGTTGATGTTTTAGTCATTAAATCTTTGCTACAGCCTGTGTCCTGAATGGTATTGCCTAGATTTTCTGTTTGGGATGTTATAGTTTTGGGTTTTACATTTAAGTCTTTAATCCATCTTGAGCTAATTTTTGTATATGGTATAAGGAAGGCAACCAGTTTCAATTTTCTGCATATGGCTAGCCAGTTCTCCAGCACCATTTATTAAACAGGGAATCCTTTCCTCATTGCTTATTTTTGTCAGGTTTGTCAAAGATCAGATGGTCATAGTCTTATTTCTGGGTTCTCTATTCTGTTCCGTTGGTCTATGTATCTGTTTTTGTACGAGTACAATGCTGTTTTGGTTACTGTAGCCTTGTAGTATAGTTTAAAATCAGGTAGCATAATGCCTCCAGCTTTGCTCTGTTTGCTTAGAATTGTCTTGGCTATACAGGCTCTTTTTTGGTTCTGTATGAATTCTAAAGTAGTTTTTTCTAGTTCTGTGAAGAATGTCAATGGTATTTTAATAGGAATAGCATTGAATCTATAAATTACTTTGGACAGTATGGCCATTTTTACGATATTTATTCTTCCTATCTGTGAGCATGGAATGTTTTTCCATTTGTTTGTGTCCTCTCTGATTTCCTCAAGCAGTAGTTTGTAGTTCTTCTTGAAGAGATCCTTCACTCCCCTTGTTAGCTGTATTCCCAGGTGTTTTATTCTCTTTCTAGCAATTGTGAACAGGAGTTCATTCATGATTTGGCTCTCTGCTTGTCTATCATTTGTGTATAGGAATGCTCGTGATTTTTGCATATTGATTTTGTATCCTGAGATTTTGCTGAAGTTGCTTATCAGCTTAAGAAGCTTTGAGGCTGAGATGGTGGAATTTTCTAGATATAGGATCATGTCATCTTCAAATAGAGACAGTTTGGCTTCCTCCCTTCCTATTTGAATATGCTCTATTCCTTTTCTTGCCTGATTGCCCTGGCCAAAACTTCCAATACTATGTTGAATAGGAGTGGTGAGAGAGGGCATCCTCGTCTTGGCCTGTTTTCAAGGGAATGCTTCTAGCTTTTGCCCATTCAGTATGATATTGGCTGTGGATTTGTCATAAATGGCTCTTATTATTTTGAGGTATGTTCCATCAATACCTAGTTTATTGAGAGTTTTTAACATAAAGTGATGTTGAAATTTATTGAAGGCCTTTTCTGCTTCTATTGAGGTAATCATGTAGTTTTTGTCTTTAGTTCTGTTTATGTAATGAATTACATTTATTGATTTGCATATGTTGAACCAGGCTTCATCCTGGGGATGAAGCTGACTTGATCATAGTGGATAAGCTTTTTGATGTGCTGCTGGATTTGGTTTGCCAGTATTTTATTGAGGATTTTTGCATCAATGTTCATTAGGGATATTGGCCTAAAGTTTTTTTTGTTGTATCTCTGCCAGGTTTTGGTATCAGGATAATGTTGGCCTCATAAAATGAGATAGGGAGGAGTCTCTCCTTTTCAATTGCTTGGAATAGTTTCAGAATAAATGGTACCAGCTCCTTTTTGTACCTCTGGTAGAATTTAGCTATAAAACTGTCTGGTCCTAGGCTTCTTTTGGTTGGTAGGCCATTTATTACTGCCTCAATTTCAGAACTTGTAATTGGTCTATTCAGATATCAACTTCATATTGGTTCAGTCTTGGGAGGATATATATGTCCAGGAACTTACCCAGTTCTTCTAGATTTTCTAGTTTATTTGCATAGAGGTGTTTATAGTATTCTCTGATGGTTGTTTGTATATTCTGTGGGGTCAGTGGTAATATCTCCTTTATCATTTTATATTGTGTCTATTTGATTCCTCTCTCTTTTCTTCTTTATTAGTCTAGCTTTTGGTCTATTGATTTTATTCATTTTTTCATAAAAGCAGGTCCTGGATTAATTGATTTTTGGAAGGGTTTTTTGTGTCTCTATCTTCTTCAGTTCCACTTTGATTTTGGTTATTTCTTGTCTTTTGCTAGCTTTGGGGTTTATTTGCTCTTGGTTCTCTAGTTCTTTTATTTGTGTATTACGATGTCGATTTGAGATCTTTCTAATCTTTTTTGATGTGGGCATTTAGTGCTGGAAATTTCCCTCTTAACACTACTGTAGCTGCATCCCAGAGATTCTGGTACACTGTTTCTTTGTTATCATTGGTTTCAAAGAACTTCTTGTTTTCTGCCTTAATTTTATTATTTACCCAGGAGTCATTCAGGAGCAGGTAGTTCAATTTTCATGTAGTTGTGTGGTTCTCAGTGAGTTTCCTAATCTTGAGTTCTAATTTGATTGTGCTGTGGTCTGGGAGACTGTTTGTTATGATTTCAGTTCGTTTTCATTTGCTGAGGAGTGTTTTACTTCCAATTATGTGACTGATTTTAGAGTAAGTGCCATGTGACCCGAAGAAGAATGTATATTCTGTAGTTTTGACATGGAGAGTTCTGCAGATACATATCAGATCCATTGGATTCAGAGCTGAGTTCAAGTCCTGAATATCTTTGTCAGTGTTCTGTCACTATGATCTGTGATCTGTCTAATATTGACAGTGTGGTCTCAAAGTCTCCCACTATTATTGTGTAGGAGTCTAAGTCTCTTTGAAGGTATCTATGAACTTGCTTTATGAATCTAGGTGCTCCTGCATTGGGTGCATATATATTTAGGATAGTTAGCTCTTGTTGTTGAATTAAACCCTTTACCATTATGTAATGCCCTTCTTTGTCTTTTTTGATCTTTGTTGGCTTAAGGTCTGTTTTGTCAGAAACTAGGATTGCAGCCAGTTTCAGTGGCTCATGCCTGTATTCCCAGCACTTTGGGAGGCTGAGGTGGGCTGATCATCTGAGGTCAGGAGTTTGAGACCAGCCTAGCCAACATGGTGAAACCCTGTCTCTACTAAAACTACAAAAATTAGCCAGGCGTGGTGGCATGCACCTGTAGTCCCAGCTACTCGGGAGGCTAAGTCAGGAGAATTGCTTGAACTCAGAAGGCAGAGACTGCAGTGAGCCGAGATCATGCCACTGCACTCCAGCCTGGGTGACAGAGCCAGACTCTGTCTCCAGAAAAAAAAAGAAAAAAAGAAACTAGGATTGCAATTTGTGTTTTTTTCTACTTTGCATTTGCTTGGTAAGTTTTTCTCCATCCTTTTATTTTGAGCCTATGTGTGTCTTTGCACATGAGATGGTTCTCTTGAATACAACACACTGATGGGTCTTGACTCTTTATTCAGCCTGCCATTCTGTGTCTTTTAATTGGGGCACTTAGCCTATTTACATTTAAGGTTAATATTGTTATGTGTGAATTTGATCCTGTCACCATTATGCTAGCTGGTTATTTTGCAGACTTGTTAATGTAGTTGCTTCATAGTGTCATTGGTCTTTGTACTTCAGTGTGTTTTTGTAGTGGCTGGTAATGGATTTTCCTTTCCATATTTAGTGCTTCCTTCAGGAGCTCCTGCAAAGCAGGATTTGTGGTGACAAATTCCCTCAGCATTTGCTTGTCTGAAAAGGATTTTATTTCCTCTTTGCTTATGAAGCTTAGTTTGGCTGGATATGAAATTCTAGTTTGGAAATTCTTTTCTTTTAGAATGTTGAATATTGTCCCCCCAATCTTTTCTGGCTTGTAAGGTTTTCACTGAGAGGTCCTCTGTTAGTCTGATGGGCTTCCCTTTGTAGGTGACATGGCCTTTCTCTCTGGCTGCCCTTAACAATTTTTTCCTTCATTTTGACCTTGGAGAATCTGATGATTATGTGTCTTGGGGTTGACCTTTTCATGGAGTATCTTATTGGGGTTCTCTGGATTTCCTAACTTTGAATGTTGGTGTGTCATGCTAGGTTGGGGAAGTTCTCCTGGATGATATCTTGAAGAATGTTTTCCAACTTGGTTTTGTTCTCCCCGTCTCTTTCAGGTACCCCAATCAGTTGTAGGTTTGGTCCTTTTACATAATCCCATAGTCCTCAGAGGTTTTGTTTATTCCTTTTCATTCATTTTTCTCTAATCTTGTTTGCCTGTCTTATTTCAGCAAGATAGTCTTCCAGCTCTGAAATTATTTTCTCTACCTGGTCTATTTGGCTGTAGATACTTGTGGTTGCACTGTGAAGTTCTCATGTTGTGTTTTTCAGCTCCATCAGGTCATTTATTTTCTTCTCTAAACTGGTTATTCTGGTTAACAGCCCCTATAGTGTTTTATTGTGGTTCTTAGCTTCTTTGCATTGGGTTAGAACATGCTCCTTTAGTTCAGCAAAGTTCATTATTACGCACCTTCTGAAGCCTACTTCTGTCAGTTTATCCATCTCAGCCTCAGCCCAGTTCTGTTCCCTTGCTGGAGAGGTGTTGTGATCATTTGGAGCAGAAGAGGCACTCTGGCTTTTTGAGTTTTCAGCATGAGTTTATGTAGTTTTGATCTTTGAGGCTGCTGACTTTTGGATGGGGTTTTTGTGGGGACTTTTTGTTGACGCTGTTGTTTTCTGTTTGTTTGTTTTTCTTTTCTTTTGATTTTTTTTTTCTTTTTTTAGATGGAGTTTCTCTCTTGTTGCCCAGGCTGAAGTGCAATGGCATGATCTCAGCTCTCCGCAACCTCTGCCTCCTGGGTTCAAGTGATTCTCCTGCTTCAGCCTCCTGAGTAGCTGGGATTGCAGGCATGCGCCACCATGCCCGGCTAATCTTGTATTTTTAGTAGAGATGGGGTTTCTCCATGCTGGTCAGGCTGGTCTCGACCTCCCGACCTCAGAAGATCGTCTGCCTCGTGGCCTCCCAAAGTGTTGGGATTACAGGCATGAGCCACCACTCCCAGCCTGTTTTTCTTTTAACAGTCAGGCCCCTCTTCCGTAGGGTTGCTATGGTTTGCTGAGGGTCCCTTCCAGACCCTATTTGTCAGGGTCCCTCCCACACTTGGAGGTGTCACCAGAGGAGGCTGCAGAACAGCAAAGATGGCTGTCCACTTCTTCCTCTGGGAGCTCTGTCCCAGAGGGGCACCAACCTGATGCCAGCAGGAATGCTCCTGTATAATGTGTCTGGCAACCACTGTTGTAGGGTCTCACCCAGTCAGGAGGCATGGGATCAAAGACTTGCTTACTGAAGCACTCTGGTGGCCCCTTGGTGGAGCGGGTGCACTGTGTGGGAGGAATCCCACTCCTCCAGACTGCCTGGATTCCTCAGAGCCAGCAAGGGGAAAGACTAAGTCTGCAGATCCCCTTACCCCAGGGTTTCATCCCAGGGAGATCAAAGCTCTGTCCGTAAACCCCTGGCCAGAATGGCTGAAATTCCCACAAGGAGGCCCTGACCAGTGAGAAAGGATGGGTCGAGGTCCAGCCTCAAGAGGCAATCTGGTCATGATCTGCCACAGCCACTGTGCTGTGCTGTGGGGAATTCCTCCTGGGCCCAAACCACCCAGCCTCCCCAGCACCCACAGGAGAAAATGGCAGACTGGAGCTGCAGTGATGGCTGCTGCCCCTTCTCTGGGCGACCTTCTTGTTAGACAGGTTCTTTGGGGCTTTTGAGATGAAGAGATTGTGTACTGGGGCTACCAGAGAAAGTTTTTCAAAGAATTTTTGAGGAGAAAACTTGGGAAAAGTCCTATGAGATGAAAGCTTATGGAGAAGAAAAGGGGGACTAAAAAATAAATGTGTCGCTGAAATTTTCCCCGACATGTTGTTTAATTAATGCAATTTAACCCCCCATATACCATAGGAGTTCACTGGACTCAATTATAGTTTTGTTTCTTTTTTTGAGCAGTTCTATCTGTAAAAATTGATATTTTGTGAATTTTATTATTTCTTAATAGTCTTACAAAGAACAAAGATAACATATATTTATTTTAAAATAAAATTTATTCTATCTTGCAATTATCACACAAGTCCATTGAGCCTTTTATAAAGCTAAGACATATTGTGAGATCTTGGTGATCTTCTTTTTCTAACATTTTAAACATTTTGCTATTTTGTTATACTAGGAATTATTTTTTTCTTATTCATCAATTATTTTCAACTATGACTTAAAAAAAGACTAAAGAAAAAAACAAAAAATAATGGAACCTACTAGAAAGACAAATACAATAGTGAAATTAATAATAATCTTTCAATTTTATACTGTGTTGCCAAAAGTATTGCATCATCTTTCAAGATAGTATAGAAGAGGAGACGCCATGTGTATGTTGTTTTTAGCTTCATTGAACACAGTTTAGAATACTTATTTTTTCTTTTTCCATCTATAATGACCAAACAGAAGAAAACTGACAGAGGGAGACATTTCACAATTCTTAGACAAATCAGAAAACAAATATAAAGAGCTACAGCAAGCTCTCCAGACCAGCACTGTCCCATAGGGTAGCCACTAATTACATGTGACATTCAGGTACTTAAAATATGGTTAGTTTGACTTGAGATGTGTTTTAAGTATAAAATACACACTGATTTTGAAGCTTTAGTACAATAAATGGGAATATCAGATATCTTATTAATATTTTATATCAATTATATGTTGAAATAATACTTTGAATATGCAAAATTAAATAAAATGTATTATTCAAATTTAATTTCACCTGTTTAAAATTTTCAATTTGGCTACTAGAAACTTCTTAATTACATGTATAACATGAAATATATTTCTGTTGGACAGTGCTACTTTACACACTAATGCTGATGATGGAATCAATCATGTAAGTGAAATAGACTATGAATCTTTAGATCATGATTTCCTACAAACTTTAACAAATTTCCTCAAATTCATGAATCAATGAGTAAACAACCTGTCTCTATGGAAAATAAAGAAAATAGAGTACTTCATACAGGACAGACTGTATCACACCATATTTTGCAACAAGAATTTGGGCTTTCCTCTTTTGCTAATTGCATATATGACAATATTCTTTTATCTTTTATAATGTTTGTGTGCCAAATTTTTTATTTGATATAAAGAGTTTTGCTATGTTTAACTTTTATTAAAATTTCTAATCAGTTTTTCTATTATGCCTTTATCCTTCTGTAAATTATTTGAAAAATGACTTAAAAATGAAAAAATTTAGATGGATTTCTTTAGTTGAGATGGTGAATGATGATACTATTTTCCTAGTATATATAGGGGTAAGTACTTGAATATTTGAAACTAGACGTTTCTTTTCTTCTTTTTTTTTTTTTTTTGAGACGGAGTCTCACTCTGTCACCAGGCTGGAGTGCAGCAGCACTATCTCGGCTCACTGCAACCTCCGCCTCCCAGGTTCAAGCGATTCTGCTGTCTCAGCCTCCCAGGTAGCTGGGACTACAGGCGCGTGCCACCACACCCTGATAATTTTTGTATTTTCAGCAGAGACGGGGTTTCCCCATGTTGGCCAGGATGATCTTGATCTGTTGACCTCATGATCCACCCGCCTCAGCCTCCGAAAGTGCTGGGATTACAGGCATGAGCCACTGTGCCCGGCCTAGACTTTTTTTTTAAACCACAAACCAATTCCAACCATTTAGTACATTTGGATTTGAGCATTACATGATGAGTGATCACAAAGCAAGTACTATGGAAGACTTCTTTCTAGATTTTCAATAACATAATTATCAGAAAAGAATGTAAAAACACATTAGGAGGCAAAAACTCAATGCTGCTATAATTTGGAAGAAAAACATTAATAGGATTCAGAATGTAGTCACCACAGACATAGATGTTTCTATTGTAAGGAAGATCGCAGGTAGAAATAGGCCCTAGAGAAAGCAGGTTGTTCTAGAATTTATAGCATTCTCCTTAGGTATTTAAGGCAAGACCTTAATATATGAAGGATATTATATTGTAATAAACATTATAAATATTTTTCAATCACTTACTTTGAGTATTTGGAAATACTTCTTAAATGAGTTGAAAAAATGGTAAGTGATAAATTTTCTTATGAGATACAGAATTTTCAGAATCCAAATTATCTTGTCATCTTTCTGTGTTAATGCATAACCTCATTCAATCAACTTCTTGAAGAAGCAAGCTCTAATCAAACTTAGAAAAACCCTCCATTTCTCTGAACCTAAGTACAGATAGTACACCACATTGATTGAAATATTTTAACTTATTTCAAAATAACCAATGGACTCTGATATCTGATCTAACATAAACAGTTTAGCTATTGACATGAAGACCTGGGGCTATTATTTCCAGCAGCAAATTTCAGTTTAACAAAACTATCAAAATAAGTTAAGCTGATGTTACGCAATCTGCCTGGTGAGACTGAGGGCAGCCAGAGGTCAGACTTCCTTCCTGAGAGGCTGCATCCTTGTGCTATTTACCCTGTTGCCACCTGCATTCTCTGCCAACTTCCCCAAGTATCCAGAGAAAGCCTCTCAAAGAGAAAGGCTAGATTAAGTAACTGTCCTAACCCCTTCGAATGATATCTTCTCTTAAGGAAATTTTAAACAGTTTTGAAAAGTAATTTTCTTCAGATCATAGCAATTGAACTGTGCTTTCAAAGTCAGACTGATTAATTTTGATGGTCTCTCCATTTTCACCACTGTTATTCAACATAGTACTAGAACTCCTACCTAGAGCAATGAGATGAGAATAAAATAGAGAGCATCCAGATTGGAAAGGAAGAAGTCAAATTATCCTTGTTTGCAGATAATATGATCTTATGTTTGGAAAAACCTAAAGACTTCATAAAAAATAGCTATTAGAACTGACAAACAAATTTAGTAAAGTTGTAGAATACAAAATCAACATACAAAAATCAGTAACATTTCTGTATGCCAACAGCAAACAACCTGAAAAAGAAATCAAGAAAGTAATTCCATTTACAAGAGATAAAAATAAAATAAAATACCCAGGAATAAACTTAGCCAAATAAATGAAAGATTTGTACAATGAAAACTATAAAACATTAGTGCAAGAAATTGAAGAGGATACCAAAAAAAGGAAACAACATTCCATGTTCATGGTCTGGAAGAATAAATATTTTTAAAATGTCCATACTGCCCAAAGCAATGTACGGATTCAATGCAATCTCTAACAAAATGACAACGAAATTCTTCTCAGAATTTAAAAAAAAATCCAAGATTTGTGCGGAACCATAAAAGACCTAGAATAGCCAAAGATACCCTGAGCAAAAAGAGCAAAACTGGAGGAATCACATTACCTGACTTCAAATTATACCACAGAGCTATAGTAACCAAAACAGCATGATACTGGCACAAAAATGAAAACAGACAAATGGAGCAAAATAGAGAATGCAGAAATAAATTCATACATCTACAGTAAACTCATTTCTGACAAAGTTACCAAGAACATACATTGGAGAAGGGACAGTCTCTTCAATAAATGGTGCTGGGAAAACTGGATATCCATATGGAGAAGAATGAAACTAGACCCCTATGTTTCGCCATACACAAAAATCAAATCAAAATGGATGAAAGACTTAAATCTAAGACCTCAACTATGAAACTACTAAAAGAAAACATTGAGGAAATGCTCCAGGACATTGTTCTGGGCAAATATTTCTTGAGTAATACTCCATAAGCACAGGGAACTAAAGCAAAAATTGACAAATGGGATCACATGACATTAAAAAGCTTCTGTATAGCAAAGGAAATAATCAACAAAGTGAAGAAACAACCCACAAATGGGAGAAAATATTTGCAAACTACCCATCTGACAAGGGATTCATAGCCAGGATATATAAGGAGCTCAAACAATAGTAAAAAAAAAAAAGTACTCTAATTAAAAATGAGCAAAAGATCCTAAAAGACATTCCTCAAAAGAAGACATACAAATGGCAAACAGCCATACGAAGAAGTGCTTGACATCACTGATCATCAGAGAAACGCAAATCAAAACTACATGAGATATCATCTCACCCCAGTTAAAATGGCCTTTATCCAAAAGACAGGCAATGACAAATGCTGGCAGGGATGTGGAGAAAAGGGAACCCTCATACACTGTTGGTGGAAATGTAAATTAGTACAGTTACTATAAAGAACAGTATGGAGGTGATATGGTTTGAATTTGTATCCCCACCCAAATCTCATGTTGAATTGTAACCCCCAGTGTTGGAGGAGGAGCCTAGTGGGGGGTGATTGGATCATTGGGGCTTACTCCCCCTTGTAGTTCGCATGATAATGAGTGAGCTCTCATGAGATCTGGTTGTTTAAAAGTGTGTGGCACCTCCCCGCTTTCTCTCTTCCTCCTGCCCCAGCCATGCAAGACATGCCTCCTTCTCCTTTGCCTTGTACCATGACTGCAAGTTTCCTGAGGCCTCCACAGCCATGCTTCCTGTACAGCTTGAGGAACCATGAGCCAATCAAACCTCTTTTATCTATAAATTACTCAGTCTCAGGTAGTTCTTTATAGCAATTTGAGAATGGACTAATGCAGAAAATTGATACTGGGAGTGGGGCATTGCTATAAAGATACCTGAAAATGTGGAAGCAGCTTTGGGACTCAGTAATGGGCATAGGTTAGAAGAGTTTGGAGGGCTCAGAAGAAGACAGAAAGATGAGGGAAAGTTTGGAACTCCTAGAGACTTCTTGAATGGTTGTGACCAAAATCCTGATAGTGATATAGACAATGAAGTCAGGCTGAGGTGGTCTCAGATGGAGATAAGGAACTTATTGAGAACTGGAGTAAGGTCAGTTTTGTTATATGTTAGCAAAGAAGCTGGAGGCATTTTGCCTCTGCTCTGGGAATATGTAGAATGTTGAACATGAGAGAGATGATTTAGGGTATCTGGTGGAAGAAATTTCTAAGCAGCAAAGCATTCAAGATATGCGCTGGCTGGTTCTAACAGCATATGGTCATATGCATGAGCAAAGAAATGGTCTGAAACTGAAACTAATATCTAAAAGGGAAGCAGAGTGTAAAAGTTTGGAAAATTTGCAGCCCAGCCACGTAGTAGAAAAGAAAAACCCGTTTTCCGGGGAGAAATTCAAGCCAGCTACAGAAATTTGCATATGTAAAGAGGAGCCAAATGTTGATAGTCAAGATAATGGGGAAAGACCTCGAAGACATTTCAGAGAACTTCATGTCAGTCCCTCCCATCATAGGCCTGGAGGCCAAGGAAGAAAGAATGGTTTTGTGGCCAGGCCCAAGGTCCTGCTGCTCTGTACAGCCTCAGGACATGGTGCCATGCACTATAGCCACTCCAGGCCCAGCCATCTTAAGGTCTGTATCTTAAAGTTCCCAAGATACAGCTCAGCCTGTTGTTTCAGAGGGTACAAGTTGTAAGCCTTGGAGGCTTCCATGTGGTGTTAAGCCTGTGGGTGCAGAATATGAGAGTTGAGGCTTAGGAGCCTCTGCCTAGATTTCAAGGAATGTATGGAAAGGCCTGGATGTCCAGGCAGAAGTCTGCTGCAGGGCCAAAGCCCTCATGGAGAACCTCTACTAGGGCAGTGTGGAGGAGAAATATAGGGTTGGAGCCTACATACAGAGTCCCCACTGGGGCACTGCCTAGTGGAGCTGTTTGAAGACAGCCACCATCCTCCAGACCCCAGCATGGTAGATCCACCAACAGCTTGCACCGTGCCCCTGGAAAAGCTGCAGGCACACTCAATGCCAGCCCATGAAAGCAGCCATGGTGGCTGTCCCCTGCAGAACCACAGGGGCAGAGCTACCCAAGGCCTTGGGATTCTGCCCATTTCATCAGTGTTGCCAGGATGTGAAACATGGAGGCAAAGGAAATCATTTTGGAGCTTTAAGATTTAATGACTTCCCTGCTGAGTTTTGGACTTGCATGGGGCCTTTAGCCCCTTTGTTTGGGCTGATTTTTTCCCTTTTAGAATAGGAGTATTTACCCAATGCCAGTACCCCCATTGTATCTTGGAAGTAACTAACTGGTTTTGATTTTACATACTCATAGGCAGAAGGGACTTATCTTGTCTCAGAAGATACTTTGGACTGTAGACTTTTGAGTTAATGCTGAAATGATTTAAGACTTGGGAGATTGTTGAGAAAGGTTGATTGTATTTTGCAATGTGAGAAGGACGTGCGATTTGGGAGGGTGAGGGTGAAATGATATGGTCTGAGTTGTGTCCCAGCACAAATCTCATGTTGAATTGTGATCCCCAATGTTGGAGGAAGAGTCTGGTGGGAGATGATTGGATCGGGGGGTGGACATCCCCCTTGCTGTTCTCATGATAGTAAGTGAGTTCTCATGAGATCTGGTGGTTTAAAAAGCATGTGTCACCTCCCCCGCCCCTTCCTCTGATCTGGCCATGCGAGACGTGCCTCCTTCTTCTTCAACTTCCACCATGATTATAAGTTTTCTGAAGCCTCCCAGCCATGCTTTCTGTAGAACCATGAGCAGAACCCTGAGCCAGTTCATCCTCTTTTCTTTATAAATTACCCAGTCTCAGGTAGTTCTTTAGAGCAATGTGAGAATGGACTAATACAGGAGTTTTCTCAAAAAATAGAGCTATCACATGATTCAGCAATCCCACTGCTTGGTATATATATATATGTATGTGTGTATATATATATATATATATATATATGTATGTGTGTATATATATATATATATATGTATGTGTGTGTATATATATATATATATATGTATGTGTCTGTATATATATGTATGTATATATATGTATGTGTGTGTATATATATATATATGTATGTATATATAAAATATAAAGGAAACAAGCATATTGAAGAGATACATGCACTCCCACATTTATTGCAGCACTAGTCACAATAGCCAGGATTTGGAAGCAGTCTAAGTGTCCATCAACGGATGAATAGAAAAAGAAAATGTGGTAGATGTACACAATGGTGTACTAGTCAGCCATATAAAAGAACGATATCCTGTCCTTTTCAACAATATGGATGAAATTGGAGGACATTATGTTAAGTGAAATAAACCTGTCAAGAAGGACAAACTTTGCATGCTGTCACTTATTTTTGGGAGCTAAAAATTAAAACAATTGAATCCATGGAGATAAAAAGTGGAAGGATGGCTAACAGAAGCTGGAAGGGGTCTGTGTGGGGAAGTGAGGATGGTCAATGGGTACAAAAATGTAGTTAGAGAAAATGAATAAGATCTAGTATTTGATAGCACAACAGGGTGAGTACAGTCAATAATAGCTTATTGTACATTTAAAAATAACTAAAAGAGTATAATTGGATTGTTTGTAACACAAATAAAATATAAAAGCTTGAGGTGATGGGTACCCATTTATCCTGTTGTGATTATTATATATTTATGCCTGTATCAAAATATTTCATCTTATGTACCCCATAGATATACACACCACTGTGTACCCATAACAATTAAAAATTTTTAAATATTTTTAACAAGATGATCCTCAAAACTGGCTTCCCCTTGCCCAGTCTTCCCTGATCTAAACATTCAGTTTCCAGAGGATGAGCAAGTTGCACATAAAATCTGATTTTATTCAAAGTGTTAGTACAGAGTAACCCTTAAACTCTAAGGATGTATATTTATCTCCCTTTTTCACATTACCAAATTCCCTTCCTTCTATACATACAAACTCCTCAACACCCTCATAGAGAATAAAATGTGCCAGCACTACACAGCACAAATTAGTATGCTTTCCTCAAATTATGCCAGTTGTTAGGAACTTTTTGCCATTTGAAGGAGCCAAATGGAGAAAAAAATGTCATGGGTATCTGATGAAACAAATCTGGAGACACTCAGATGCTTCCATTTATAGAGGTTCTTTGCACCACTGGTGCCTCTTGGGGAAATTCTGAAAAACATTCTGTCTGTAAACAATCTGTTTCAGTGCCACGTGTTTTCTAAATTTCTTTGTCTGTTGACATTTAAAAAAATTAAAAGAACACATTTGCATGAAGACAGGACCTTTTTTTTCTTATACATTTGCACTATCATGTAAATTAAAAATGAAATAGGTCGTCTTGCCCAGTTGTTTGTGAAGGATCATTTTCTAAAGGACACTTCCCAGATATTTGGCCAACCTCATTTTAAATCACTAAGATCTTTTTTATGGCCTCTGCTCTCAAGTTAAATAGCACTTATTATTAAAGTGAGAACTTCTGGAGATAATGCTTCCTTCTTAGATTTAATTCTGTGTTTTTTTTGTTTTGTTTTGTTCTTGTTTTCTTTTTTTTTTTTTTTTTGTCTAGCTTTATATTGCTATAATTTTCTGGTCACAAGATAGTTCTAAAACTTTTCCCAGGCACATAATATGATTTTACTTCCACAAGCCTGAAGTTTTTGGGACTATGTGACTTCTTTGGCTGATGAAGGAGTGCAGAAGTTATATGTGTAACTTCTGGATAGAGCCCTCACAATGACAATTTTCCCCCTCCTACCCATTGCTGCCCAGATTGCAGAAAGGCATTCCCAGGTTAAGTGTCCATCCAGAGAGTTCCCTGGAGACCTTCTGCTTCCCAACTTTAATGGGTTTTATGAAGGAGAAATAAATTATTAAGGTAAATAAAATATTAAGAATTTAGTCAATTGCAGCAGGTAAAGTTCAAAAAATTAATGATAATCAAATTAAATTAATTGAAATTTTGATCTTTCTTGATATCAGGCAAAAAAAAAATCCCAATTACAAGGATACTATTACTACTACCTTTCTATGCACTGCTTGAGCCAAAATCTTCAGAAGCTTTTTTCTGCAGAGAATTTAGGCTACACTATTTAAATTGGGTGAATATAGTTCATAGGAGCAGGGAACAGAATGGGAACAGGAGAGTATAATGTGGGTAAATAAGATCTGGGAAAATAACATTACTTACCTTTAGCAGAAGAATCTAGAAATAAAGATTCAATTTACATACTATTTGTGTCCTTTTGTGGCAAAAAGTAAATTCTTAAAATTGAATATATGAACATTGCAATGATTTGTTAAATAAAATATTTTACTTCCCTGAAGTTTGCAAGCAGATATTCATTTAATTTCTTATATATATTAAGAAAGATTTCTCTAAAGGGCTGTCAGTTACAATGACAGTTTCTATTCATATTTTTTGTCTTGCTTTCAGTGATAACACTATGGCTGTTTAATATTTCTTATTAATTTCTATTCACACAACCTCATTCATTAGGTTATGATTTATTCTGATATTTGTGATTGTATGAGGTTAGGGTTCCAGGAAACAGAGTCTGAAAGATTTTGCTGCAGAAGGCTTATTGGAGATGGCCCCTATAAAGTAAGGAGAGAAGGAAAAATACAACAGAGGCTTCAGCCAATTCCAAGGGGAGATATGGAGCTGGGATAGCCCTTCAAAACTGTTTCCAATCAAAGCAAGGAGGTCACATCTTATGGCCCTGCATCAGAAGTCATTGAATGAAGGTTAATCCTATGAAGAAGGAGGTGGGGCAGGTAATTGTGGTAAATTGGAGCTCCCTCAGCTGAGGGAAATTTCTAGAGAGATTATAGACCTAAATATAAAAAGAGAAACTTCCTGGACACATACAACCTATCAAGAATAAAACATGAAGAAATAGTAAACCTGGACTGACCAATAACAAATAAGAAGATTGAATCAGTAATAAAAATCTCCCATCAAAGAAAAGCTCAGGACCTGACAGCTTCACTGCTGAAATCTACCAAACATTTAAAGAAGAACTAATATCAATTCTTCTTGAACTATTCCAAACAATTGAAGTGAAGAGAATTCTTGCTAACTCAGTCTATGAAGTGAGCATTACCCTGATACAAAACCAGGCAAGGACACAACAAACAAGAAAACTACAGGCTAGTATTCCTGATGAACATAGAGGCAAAAATCCTCAACAAAATGCTAGCAAATCCAATCCAATAGCACATCAAAAAGAATATTCATCATGATTAAGTGGGATTCATACCAGGGATACAAGGAGAGTTCAACATTCACAAATCAATAAACATTACTCATTACATCAACAGAATGAAGGCCAAAAACATATGACCATTTCAACAGATGCAAAAAAAAAGCATTTGATGAAATGCAACATCCCTTCATGATAAAAACTCTCAACAAATTTGGTATAGAAGGAATCTGCCTCAGCACAATAAAGACCATATATGACAAAGCCATATCTAATATACTGAATGGAGAAAAGTTGAAAACATTTTTACTAAAATCACAAGACAAGGATGTCCACTTTTACTAATTTTATTCAACATAGTACTGGAAGCCCTAGTCAAAACAATTAGGCAGTAGAAAGAAATACAGGGCCTTCAAACTGCAAAGGAGGAAATCACATTGTTCCTGTTTACAGATGACATGATCTTTTGTATATGAAACTTCAAAGACTTTACACAAAAACAGATCTTTACAATAAAAACTACAAAACATTGATGAAAGAAATGGGTACACAAATAAATGGAAAGATTTCTCATGTTCATGGACATATATTAATATTGTTAAAATGTCTTCACTATCCAAAGAAATTTACAGATTAAATGCAATCCCTATCAAAATACCAATGGTATCCTTCACAGAAATAGAAAAAACAATACTGAAATTGGTATGGAACCACAAAAGACTCCAAACAGCCAAAGCAATCTTGATAAAATAGAACCAAGCTAGAGGCACACTACCTTACTTCTAAATATACTGCAAAGCAATGGTAAACAAAACAGCATGCCACTGGCATAAAATACAGAAATCCACACATTTACAGCCAACTGAGCTTCAACAAAGTTGCCAATAATACACACTGAAGAAAGGACTGTCTCTTCAATAAATGGTGCTGGAAAAACTGGACATCCATATGCAGAAGAATGAAACTAGTCTCCTATCTCTTCCAACTTACAGGAATCAACTCAAAATGGATTAAAGACTTAAATGTAAACCTGAAACTATGAAACCACTAGAATAAAAATAGGGAAAACACTTTGTGAGATTGGTATGGGTGAGGATTTTTTGAATAAGACCTCAAAAACATGTGTAACAAAAGCAAAATTAGACAAATGGGATTACATCAATTTGAAAAGCTTCTGTATTGCAAAGGAAGTAATCAATATAGTGAAGAAACAACCTACAGAATGGGAGAAAATATTCACAAAGTATGCATCTGACAAGGCGTTAATAACCAGAATATATAAGGATACTGAACAACTCAATAGCAAAAAAAAAACCTAATAATTTCATTATAAATGGGCAAAAGACCTAAATAGACATTTCTCAAAAGACAAATTGCTAACACGTATATTTTTTAAATGCTCAACTTCACTAATTGGGAAAATGCAAATCAAAACCACAATAAGATATCATCTCACCCTAGTTAGAATGGATATTATTGAAAAGACAAAAAATAATGAATGCTGGTGAGAGCAGGGAGAATGGGAGATCCTTATATATTGTTGGTGAGAATGTAAATTAGTACAACCACTGTGGAAAAGAGTAGGGAGGTACCTTAAAAATTAAAAATAGAACTACTGGCCAGGCGTAGTGGCTCATGCCTATAATCCCAGCAATTTGGGAAGCCAAGGCAGATGGATCACTTGAGGTCAGGAGTTGAAACTCTATCTCTACTTAAAAAAAAGTACAAAAGTTATGCAGGTGTGGTGGCATGTGCCTGTAGTCCCAGGTACTCAGGAGGCTAAGGCAGGAGAATCACTTGAATCTGGGAGGCAGAGGTTGCAGTGAGCCAAGACTACACCACTGCACTCCAGCCTGGGTGACAGAGTGAGATTCTATCTAAAAATAAATAAATAAATAAACTACCCTATGATCCAACAGCCCCACTACTGGGTCAATATCCAAAGCAAATGAAATTAGTATGTCAAAGAGATATCTGCACACTCATGTTTGTTGCAGCACTATTCACAATAGCAAAGATATGAACTCCAACTAAGTGTCCATCAGTGGATGAGTGACTAAAGAAAATGTGATCTATTTACACAATAGAATACTATTCAGCCACAAAAAAGACTGAAATTGTGCCATTTGCAGTAACATAGGTGGACCTGGAGGACATCATGATAAGTGAAATAAGCCAGACACAGAAAGACAAATACTGCATAATCTTACTTATATGTGGAATCTAAAAAAATCAATTTCATAGAAATAGAGAGTAAAATAGGGGTTACCAGAGGCTGAAGAAGATTAGGGAGATGGTGGTATAGGGGGATAAATACAAAGTTATAGCTAGATAGGAGGAATAAGTTCTAGTGTTCCACTGCAAAGCAGAGTAACTACAGTTAACAATAATACGTATATTTCAAAACAGCTAGAAAAGAGGATTTTTAATGTTCTTAGCAAAGAAATTATAAATGTCTGACGTAATAGATATGCTAATTATCCTAATTTGATCACTACACATTATATACACATATTAAAACATCACACTGTACCCCATAAATATGTACAATTATTATGTGTCAATTACTTTTTAAAAGATGAAAACAACAGGAAAAAATCCCTAAAAGTATAACATTCCTAGAATAAAAATTAGGAGAAATATTTGTAGCCTCGGGCAAAGATTTTTTTAGATCAGATGTCAAAGCGTGGTCCATGAAAATACAAATTGATAAATTAGATCTCATCAAAATAAAAAACTTCTGTTCATCTACAGACATTACTAAGAGAATTACAAGACCAGGTACAGACAGGAGAAAATACTTGCAAAATATATATGAAAAATTCTTTACATCCAAATCATATTTTTTTAAACTCTCATTATCAAATAAGAAACTAACACAACTTGAAAATGGACAAAAGGCTTGAATAAATACTTCACTAAATAAGATTGAAGGATGGCAAATAAGCAAGTGAAAAGTTGCTCAACACCATTAGCTATTAAGGAAATGCAAATTAAAACCACAATGAGTTATAACTAAGCCTATTAGAACGACTAAATTTTTTTTTTTTTTGAGATAGAGTTTCGCTGTTGTTGCCCAGGCTGGAGTCCAATGGTGTGATCTCAGCTCACTGCAACCTCTGCCTCCTGGGTTCAAGTGATTCTCCTACCTCAGTCTCCCGAGTAGCTGGGATTACAGGCATGCACCACCATGCCCGGCTAATTTTGTATTTTTAGTAGAGACAGCGTTTCTCCATGTTGGTCAGGCTGGTCTCGAACTCCCGACCACAGGTGATCCGCCCACCTCGGCCTCCCAAAGTGCTGGGATTACAGGCGTGAGCCACTGTACCCGGCCACAGAATGACTAAAATTTTAAAGGCTGACCTTCATAGGGTTGCAAAGAATGTAGACGAACTAAAATTTTCATGCATTGCTGGTGGGGATGTTAAATGATACAATGACTTTGGAAAACAGTTTAGCAGGTTTTTCAAAAGTTAAAAGTACACCTACCATATGACTCTACCACCACTCTTGTGTATTTTCCCAAGAGAAAAGAAAGCATATGTCTATACAAAGACTCATGCATGAATATTCATAGAAGCCTTATTTTTAAGAGCCTAAAACTGGAAATAATCTAAATGTCAGTCAACAGACAAAGGATTGTCTTAGTCTGTTGTGTGTTGCTATAAAAGAATATCTGAGGCTTGGTAATTTGAAAAGAAAAGAGGTTTATTTAGCTGATGGATCTGTAGGCTGTACAAGAAGCATGGTGTCAGCATCTGCTTAGTTTCTGGAGGATCTCAGACTGCTTCCACTAATGGTGGAAGGAACAGGAATGTGCAGATATCACAGGGTGAGAGAAGAAGCAAGGAGACAACACAGGCAGGTGTCAGACTCTTTTTAACAATCAGCTTATTGAGAACTCACCCCCAAGGGAGGATGTTAATCTATTCATGAGGGATGCAACCCCATGACCCAAACACCTCCCATTAGAACTCCCTCTAACACTGGAGATCAAAGTTCAACATGAGATTTGATGGGGACAAACAAACCATATCCAATCTGCAGCAGGGATAAACAGATTGGTACCTCCAATACAACGGGAAACTATTCTGCAATAAAAATGAGTTATTGATACACACTACAACATGGATAAATTTCAAAACAATTTTTCTAAGTGAAAGAAAGCAGTAAAAAAGGGTACATTCTGTATGTCTCCGTTTATAAAAATCTCAAGGAAATGCTTGAGGGGTGTGGGCAGGTGGGGAGAGGCAGGTGGGGGAATTCCTAAGGTGCATGAGTAACTTTTGAGGGTGGTAGATAGGCACATTATCCTGATTGTGGTGGTAGCTTCACATGGTATCAAAACTCATCAACTTGTATACTTTAAATGTGTCAATTATGTCTTAGTAAAGCTGAAAGAGAGAGAAAGAAAGGAAAGGCAAAACAAAGAGTTTTGAGATGTAATTTCTTACCTATTAGAGTGGTAAAAAAATTAACCTATTTCCCAGAACAGCAACAAATCTTTATTTAAATATAGATACATATACAATTTTATATTGTTCTCATCTTAACAATAAACAGCGATACCTCCTTTAAATCACTTATTTAAAACACAAATGATATATTGATAACCTTGATTCATTAACGATTTGAAAGTTTGCTCATCAAAGGAAAGAATCTTTTGAAAGTCATCTTAGAATGTTAAAATTTATAGATACCAGAAATATGACCAAATGTATGTTTCCAGCAAAACTAATAGTATATTACACTAAGTATTAAAAGAAGAACAGAATTTATATAATTTGACACAAATAAGACACTGCTTGCTTTCCCCAACTTATCAAATATAATATGTTTTAGCTACTTTAAGGTCACTTTATAAAGCTGACTTCCTATATAGTGGGCTATTATTTGATCTTACAAATTAAAAACCAAAAAGTGCTTTCATATATTTGGCACTTAAAATAGTGATTCTTTAATAAAGTGATCACTAAATTACTACTTGAAAGCTAAAGGGCTTATGGGATTTTATAATAAGCCTAGTTTTGCACACTGAGTAAAATACTTCATATATATTCTAGAGCTAATGAATTCATACCCATAGCCTTACTTTTAGATGTGGCACTCCACATAACCAATGACATTATATGTTTTACATTGCTTATTTCTATGTGTCTAGATTCTCAGAAATAGTTCAGAGGGAGCAGTCGTGATCCTATTTTGGCCAACCCTTCTTGCAATAGAATTTTTATTTCCTAAACAGCTTCAAATGAGATAATTTATATGCACTAGCTATTCTGTCAGAAGATGTTAAAATGCAGCAAAAGCAATAGTTTAAATAACATTCTAATTCTCCAGCAGGCCCAAAGAATAGATAGGGTTGAGATAAATGGGGACTACCTGGCACCTGAGAGTGGATTTAAACAAAGTCTTACTGGATTATCCCATCAGGTTCCTGCGATAAAGTAAACACATATTCTTTGATCACTTAACATTCTGGAGCTCCTTGAATCTCCCCGAATCTCAATTTCTTAATTTCTAAATTGGTAATTATAACAATAGGAAGAAAATTATCAATATAACAATGATGATGCCAGACACCACCCTCATGGGCTGCTCTACGGATTCAGAGGGACAGGGAATTTCAATCACCTGCTACTACGCCTGGAGCTCAGTCTGTTTGTTTTATTTCAAATGATATCGATCGAGAGCCATTTTGATGTCTGAAATTTTGTCCCAGAGACTAATAAAGCTCAGTCCTTTCTCTAGGAATGCACAGTTTACCAACAGAGTTCAAAAGTCAAAGTAGATTCAGAGAATAGTGCAGTAAAGGCAAATAAAGAACCACCAAGACACAAAGGCAGAGAGAGCGGGGTTAATTCTGCTTGGTGGTCAAGAAATCTTCATGAAAAGATTTTCTCATCTCTGTCTTCTCGACCAAAACTAAAAGCAATTATTTAAAAGAGGCAACTGAGATCCACCTGCAATTCGGTTCCTCATGGTTCACAGCAGAATCCATTCTGCTGAGTTCTGTGCTCTGTGAGTTCCATGACTTAAAAGAGACTGCGTTGTGGAAGAAGGCAGCAGTAATCATGGATATCCCCACCACTTTGAGTCTCTAATCCCAACTCCCTCCAGCTAAATGTATTTCTTTAGAAATATTTTTTTAAAAATCAGAAACCGAAGCACAACCAGTTCCTTCAAGCCCCAGGGATCCCAAGCTTACCCATTGTAAATTGGAAGGGGATGGATTCTGAACTCCAGGAAGCTAATTGAAGCCCTTGGCAGAAATCCTAAAGGTAGTAGGTAATTGGCACCTTGTCCTTTTCAGTGTAGATACCGTCCATGAGAGGGTTACCTCTAGGGTGCTGGTTGATTAGCATCCTTAGAAGACAGGGCAGTTAAGTAGAAATTGGTGCCCTGAAGATTCCCATATCCCAAATTCAAGGGTCCCCACCAACCAGAGAAAAATTGTTTTCATATGGTCCAGTGAGGGACACTCTTTGGGCAACAGTATCATAAACAGCTCCATTAAATGAAGCAAAACTTCATTATCAGGTTTTCTTAGCTGAAAAAAGCAACATAAGATTAAATTATCACTAGAGTTAGAAAATACATTTTTAACTGAAACCAAACTAATTTGATTTGCCTTTGGCTAATATTTCTTCAAGAGAAACACTCTTTCTGAAAATTATTATAAATTTGAGAGCTATGTCCAGTTTGTCTAGGACCAGGTAAAATGAACTACACTGACAAGAGAGATGTTAACGTTTTATGATCAAAAATAATTCTACAGAAGTGAGGTTCTAGATATATCACTCACAAAAGAATCAATTATTCTTAGCTGGTGATAAGGTTTGGATCTGTGTCCCTGTCCAAATCTCATGTTGAATTATAATTCCCAGCGTTGCAGGAGGACGCCTGGTGGAAGGTGATTGGATCATGGAGGCAGTTTCTCACGAATGGTTTAGCCCCATCCCCTTGGTGCCTTGGTGCTGTTCTCATGATGGTGAGTGAGTTTTCAGGAGATTTGGTTGCTAAAAAGTGTGTAGCATTTCTCTCTCTCTCTCTCTCTCTCTCTCTCTCTCTCTCTCTCTCTCTCCCCCTCTCTCCACCTCTCTCCCCCTCTCTCCCCCTCTCCCCCTCTCTCTCTCTTCTTTCTCTCCTCCCTCTCCCTCTCCCTCTCTCTCTCTCTCTCTCTCCTGCTCCCACTGTGTGACATGCCTCGCCACCCCTTTCCGAAAGCCTAATTGGAACCTTCCTAAGGCCTCCCCAGTAGCAGAAGCCAAAGCCACTATACTTCCCGTACAGCCTGCAGAACTGCGAGCCAATTGAATCTCTTTTCTTTATATATTACCCAGTCTCAGGTATCTCTTTATAGTGGTGCGAGAACGAACTACTACACCTAGTGATGCCGGGATTCCAACGGACTGGTAGGCCAGAACTTCTGAATCCAGAAAGAAATAGAGAAATTAAAGAACAAAGTCCCCTGGCCCACACGGAAGCCCACTGGAATGCTATCAATTCCGAATAACCATGCTCCTGTACACTCTCAGGCACTTAACCATTTTCACATCCCAAAAATCTTATTTGAAGTGCACTAGTTAAGTCCATTATCTTTATTCTACAGATGAAAAGTAAAGCTCGGAGAGTTTAAATGACTTGGCTATCATCACAAAGGTTGGAGATGGCAAATTTTGGCCTCATCCCAAGTCTTGATTCTTAGTCTGTAATTTTTCTCCATACTATACTGCCTCTATATTAGAGCTGAAAAGATTGTTCCAGAAATATCTCTGGTGGAGTCCAGAGGGTCTTCAACCTGAATCAAAGGAGATTGAGGGAAATATAGATAGCTAATGTTTTTCTTTTCAAAGAAAAATCCTCAAACTTACATAAAAGTAGAGAATTGGTATAATGATCTTCTGTATACCCATCACCTAGCTCCAGCACCTCTTAGCAACCCACACTTTCACTGGAGGCCTAGGGAGGGACCCAGTGGTGCTCAGGTAGAAAGGACCCAGCTTTCCCAAGACATAATGGAGCTCATGGTGTAAGAAGCCTTCAAGGGTCACAGCGACTTGAAAGAGAATAAAACTAGATGTATCTGGAATAGACTGTGATTTAAACCTCAGTCTAGCTAAACCAAATACTGTGTTGTACCCAATGTATATCATTCGTGTGTGAATTCCAGGATTTCCTCATACACAAGCTGACACTTCAAAAATAGCCCAGGGATGTCTATAGTATTGTAGGGCCACAGAGAGCAGTGTGGCATTTATTACATGTCAAAATAAGAAAGGCTGTGCCACATCACATGTAACTTTTCCAAAGCCCCAGTAACATCCCATAGTTACCACTCCACCCCACTTTACATCAATCTTCTACTTGGAAAACAACTTTCTATGTTTTATTTCTAAAATCTTTACTAGTAAAATGTGAAAACTAAACAATATCAAGAAAACCTTAATATTAATTAAAGAAGTTAGTTTCATTACCTGTAATGATTTTTTTAAATAAAGAATTCATACAAACTTCATTTCTTACCGATACTTTGTTTTCTTGTGGTATATCTGACTCTGAACTTCCAGACGTCATGCTGAAAAAAAGTAAACATTTAGAATTCCAAAATTTTATTTCAGGCTCTCATGTGCGCACACACACCCCCGCACATACAATGAATAGATCATTACACTGTAACATTTAAAATAAATTTTCTAAAGTATTTCCTCCAAATGTCAATTTCTGGACATTTCTAAGGGAAATAAAAATAATGGAATGTAAACTTTACTCGCAGAAGATAAAATAGCCTTTAAAAGTTCTCTTGAGAATAAGTAGTCTGAACAGTACAATCTGTTCTGAAAACCTGAACAATCTTGTATTTCAACTAAAAAAAAAAAAGTGGGGAGAGGAAAGCATAACCTCCTAAGAATCAGCAGACGTGGAGAATTCTTTGTCTCCTACACTGTTCTCTCTCCCTCTCTCTTCTCTCTCTATCTCCTGGATCATTTCCATTAGCTTATAAACATGTTGTTATTTATCATGCCTAGAGCCTTCTTACCGTTTTAGTTTCCACTTGATTATACTGACCTCTTTTGCTATTCAGGTTACAGCAAAACGATATTCTCACTGTCTCCAATTCCTTCCCTTCTAGTTTTCTTTCTTTTTTGCTAAAGCCACTGCAATTAGACTAGTACCACTACTAGTACCACTCCACAGAAACTGCACTTGTCCAATTCACCAAAGATCTCTGCATTCCTAAACCCAGTGATTATTTTACACAACTCACCTTAACAGCTTTTGACATGACTTATCACTCTCTCTCTGAAATACTTTCTTCACTCAGTTCCCAGCACATCCAAGGGCCCTGGATACTTTCAGTCTATCCACTTGGCTTACTCATCCTTCCTTCTCGTCTTTGATCAAATGTCACCACCTCAGTGGGACCTACCATATGTATCTCATTTAAAATTTAACCCCTCACCTCATCACCATACTATTTTCTCTGTGATACTTATCACATTCTAACATACTATATAGTTTGCTTATTGATTATATTTTTTGTGTCATCTCCCAACTGAAAATGTAAACTCCTTGAAGACAGGAAATTTTTTCTGTTGTTTTTGTTACTTTACCCTCAGCATCTTGAAGAAGGATAGGGTGGTCAACAAATATTTGTTGAATAAATAAATGAATTATCTAATAAACCTCACAGATGTAACAGATTCCTTTCTATTGTTGTCAATCAATAAAGCCTTACTTTTTTTTTTTTTTTTTTTTTTCTGAGATGGAGTCTTGCTCTGTCACCCAGGCTGGAGTGCAGTAGCACAATCTCGGCTCACTGCCTCCACTTCCCGGGTTCAAGTGATTCTACTGCCTCAGTCTCCCGAGTAACTGGGATTACAGGCACATGCCACCATGCCTAGCTAATTTTTGTATTTTTGGTAGAGACGGGGTTTCACCATGTTGGCCAGGATGGTCTCGATCTCTTAACCTCATGATCCACCCACCTCGGCTTCCCAAAGTGCTGGGATTACAGGCGTGAGCCACTGCGCCCTGCCAATAAAGCCTTACTTTTAAATCCCAAGGTACTTTTATTATTTTCTATCCCACTATCTTCCTCATGAATACATTGTTTTATTTCCATATTTCTGTGCACATGTCTCTCTTTTACTCATTTTTCAAAAAATTTGAAACCATTTACAAATGTTCACAAAGTAATCAGTGACTACTGAACAAAATTAATTAAGTTCTCACTTAGTGGAAGGAGACACTGGTGCTCTAAGAGATGTAATTGCTTTTCTCGCACGACACCCAAATCAGCAAAAAAACAGTATTTTGGTACTTTCTACTTGACAACACCTCTTTATCATGAAATGGAAAACAAACTCTTGGTCATCACAGTTGCTGGACAAACCAAAAAATGGCTTTAAAGGATCTTAATAAATGGAGCCCTCTAATGAATTTCATCTTCTATCAGTGAAACTCACAAAACGGATGTTTTCCCTCAACTGTACAGCCTAATAGTCCAGAGTGTGTGTTTATCCTCTTCTTAGTTGTTTCCTCTGGCCAGAACACTCATACTCTCTTCTCTGCTTGTTGAAATCTTACATTTCTTCACACCATAACTCAAATGCTGCCTCTCCCTGAAGGCCCTCTGACCCTACCAGTCAGAAGTATTTCTTGCCTTTGTATTCCACAAGCAGGTTTTGGACATCCACCTCTTGCAGCCCTTATTATGGTTCATGATATATGTGATTATTTCTCTACCTGTGTTTTGCATTTCTCAGTGACACCCTCATAGAGGACAAGGACTGTGCTTCGTTTGTTTTTTATGCTGGGCAAAAAAGTCATATTCAGTCACCGAATGAAACCAAACAAAACAAAATACGTGAGTGCAATACCCTTATGTGCATACTCAGATGTGCCACAAATGCATCACAGAAAGTACAATTTGAGACTACTTTTAAATAATAATGCCTGAAACAAAACTGGTGATTTAAAAATGAGAGCTTTGGCTGCCTGACAATTATATTTAAAGGTCATGAGTCATGGCCTCAGAGTAACCATGGTAACCCAGCATACACAGGAGAAGTCATGTTGTACAATAATTAAGGGGGGAAGAAAGCTTTAGAAAGCCTATTAGCTTTGAGATAAAGACAAAATATAATTAACAAATATGTTTATAAAGTTTGTTTTTATTGCATTGTTTTCTTACTTCAGGGTTCACTGGAAACCTGGAAAAACTTCTTTAAATTTCTATTGGCAGGGAGTAATGATACGGCATTTTTCTCAGTGCATTATAAGAACATTGAAATTTCCTTCCTTTAAATGAAATGTCTTTCCGCTTTCTAAACTTTTTACTTCATTCTTCATGTCAAATTGGAGGACTAGTCACCAATTAGCCTGGGTGAATAAATGATTTATTTATTTATTTATTTATTTATTTATTTATTTATTTATTTATTTTAGATGGAGTTTCGCTCTGTCGCCCAGGCTGGAGTGCAGTGTCGCGATCTAGGCTTACTGGGGAGATATGTTATCTCTTTAGCTGCTTTGTTCTGGGAAAATAAAAGAAAATGAGTGTTTGCTAAATTTCATTAGCTTTAATAAATGGATAAAGCCTTACTCCCTCCCATAGATTATTTAATTTTTGAGGCTTATGGAATCCTTTGCACAAATAAACAACATTTTACATAAAATCTTAGATTTGTGAATTTCTCATATCATCCACAGACCATAGACCCAAGACGAAAAGCAAATAAGAACAAGGATCACACATTCACATAAGGAAAATACATTTTAAAACTTAACGAAGCAGGCCAGGCACGGTGGCTCATGCCTATAATCCCAGCACTTTGGGAGGCCAAGGTGGGCAGATCACCTGAGGTCAGGAGCTCAAGACCAGCCTGGCCAACATGGTGAAAGCCTGTCTCTACAAAAATACAAAAATTAGCTGGGCATGATGGCAGATGCCTGTAATCCCAGCTACTCAGGAGGCTGAAGTGGGAGAATCACTTGAACCCGGGAGGCAGAAGTTGCAGTGAGCCAAGATCACTCCATTGCACTCCAGCCTGGATGACAGAGTGAGACTCTGTCTCAAAAACAAACAAACAAACAAAAACTTTAAAAAGCAGAACCATGGTTGCATGTGAACATCCCACAAGGATACTGCCCTATAGGATGTAGCTCCTGCTACAGAGATGTGGCCACCTCTCACTCAAGATTTAAAAGAAAATTGTAAATGGAAGATATTTCCACATTTGAAAGGGAAATGAGTATGGTGTCAACATGCAAAATTTCTAGTAATTAAATGCAGATCAATTAGAGAAGTGAACTGTACTTCCATATTTCTAGCCAACATTGATCTAGGTTTTTATGTGGGGAACATGTAGAGGAGGAATGACCCAGCTTTTTGTGTGTGCATCTCTTGGCAAGAGAGTAGTGAAGATGACATTTCCTTTCAACTGAAAGAAGGCTGGCTTCATACCCTCCCCCTTCCCACATCAGTAAAATGGCTGGGGTGGGTGAGTGTGTGATTTTTAGAAGACCAAGTAAGGGACAATTTATTTGTTCAACAAATATTTATTGAACCCCTACTGTGTGTCAGGCCATGCCCTGTGATCTGGGAAGACAGCAGCTTTCAAAGAAAGGGGTCACTCTCCAGGAAAGGATAAAAAGTCTGTCTGCTGTTATTCCCCAGACTTTAAAGAAAGATTTTTTTTTAAGTACTGAGTGAAAGCTACTTTATCCAGAAATTCCCATGAATTATTTTGGGATGAGAGGAGCTGGGAACTCACCTGCTTCTCTCTGAGGTGTCAGACTCTGGGACCACAGATTTCTTGCTATAGCATTGTCCCATCTCAAGCCAGACCCACTGGGATCCCCTGTCCCTGGGACAGACGTCAACAGGCATCATTCTTTAGAGTTTTAGAATCCCTGCTATTGCTCTGCTGTCCCTTGTTGCTAGGCTACCACAATGGATGTGGAAAAGACAGTTAACTTCCCAAAGAAAAAAATCTCCGTTACAAAGCTGCAGTAACCTCTCAAAACATCTCACAAATCAGATCCAGGCATGAGAATAGGTGAAGAATCACCACATAGCCATCATTTCTGGAAAACTCATTCAAAGTGGAACAGAAACAGTGGTTTTGTGCTCAAACCAAGGCATGTTTACATCCAGAACCAATGCTAAGGAAACAGCCACACTGCTGTCTGAGAGGGGTGCACACCCAGAAATGCATTGGTTTACAGGCAATCAGTGGTGTCACCACAGACCAACCCCTTATTGTGATGATCTGCTTTCCCTGGGACCCGCCGGCCCCAGACAGAAGACCCCACCCGGCCACATTCTCATGAAAGCTTCTTTCCTAACACAGGATTGCACAAGTGATTCATTGTGCCTGATTAGCTGGTAGTTTGCTCACTGTTCACCTGCAACTGCTGCTCCATCTTCCCTGTTGCTTGTCCAAAGACACCAGCTACTTTCTCCCAGCCAGTTGCTGTATCTCTCCCTGGATGCATTTGTAGACCCAGGTGAACCTGTATCCGCTTCACTTTCTGCTCTGACAGGAAGTACAGGTAGGATCCCTGCAGTCCACAGCTCAGAATCATTCCTGGATTTTGGTCTGTATGTCCTGGACTCACCCAATCTAGTCACACGGCTCATCCTAAAATAAATTAGACTGGCATGACAGCAATGTTTCTAATCACAGAATTTGCTTCTAGGGTTAGAGCATTATAGAGCAAGTAACTACAATAGTAACAGGAATGAATAGTTAAGACTGATCTATTAAAGAGTATAATTAGCATTTACTTCTTCAACAAAACTTCAAGTGACCCAGCCCCTTGGTAAAAAAAACCCTATGAATAAAATTAAGAACTATTGAGCGGTTGTTGTTCTGGATAGAAAAGCCAACACTAAATGGGTAGTTGTGGAAAGGCAAGGATTGGGCAATCGGCCTTGCATGTAGTTAGCAGCCTGTTGGGGATCAGAAATCATCTTACCTCTCTGTGCTTTGGATTTGTTACTTTAAGAAAGAACCAAATTAGCCGGGTGTGGTGGTGGGCGCCTGTAGTCCCAGCTACTCGGGAAGCTGACGCAGGAGAATGGTGTGAACCCAGGAGGCGGAGCTTGCAGTGAGCCAAGATGGCGCCACCGCACTCCAGCCTGGGCTACAGAGCCGGACTCTGTCTCAAAAAAAAAAAAAAAGGAAGAACCACTTGAACTATTTCTGTCATCCCTTCTAGCTAACATTTTTGTTCTGTTTCTTTAGCTCATCTCATTTAAAAAAAAAAAAAAACCCACAGAGTAGATTACACTTTAGTGCATTTTAGAGGAATGTCCAGATGTTCACTGTGTAGTTGTAGTCATAATATTTTATAAAAGAAAAGTCATCTCAATAATGGCTGGTGAAAGGCACTGTAGGCACTAATTATTTGTAATGGTTATTAATCTTATCATACATCTAGCTGATCAAAAAGAGAGGTGGAGAGATATGGCTAGTACAAAAGCAGACTTTCAAAAAGTCCTTGAAAAACAAAGTGACTTTTCCATTCCCATTTCTCCTTTAAAAAAATACTGCATGGGAAGGATTTCAGAAGGTAGTGCTGAGGAAATTGGCTGGGTCATTAAAGGCATATTGACCTACAGAATTCTAAGCATGCTAACTAATAAAATTAATGGTATTTTTCTTTTATAATTAAGGAAAAGTACTTATGAAAGTCACTCAAATGATTTTATTTTAAAAAGTTGAGCTTTAGTTTAGAAAAACTACATTTTCTCCCTCTAAATGTAAAGAAAACAAAGAGGTATTATAACAAAACTTCTAGAAATACATATAAATCATTGACACTTCCACCATTAACATTGTTTTAAATTGAAAAAATGCTGTAAGCTCATTGGGGATCTTGTAGATTATTACGTACAATTTTAAAACTTACCTTGTAGCCTATCAAAAACATATCTTTTCTTAGAATCAGAAATCATATAATGCGTATATAACAAGGAGGAATCTTAAGAATATGCATATTTTATATGTTCCATGGCTCGTGCTTATCAGGATGTCTTATCTAACTTAGGTGAGTAAATATCAGTAGGATCAGAAAGGGGAATGGAAGGGAGAACATTGCAATGAGAAAAGGGCAAGACAGAAGAGATAATAGATTTACAATGAAGTGGTGTGGCTGAGGAGAGCAGAGAAAGCTGCAGTGGTCTTTGGAGCCTCTGCTTGGAAAATAGCCCTTTGGCTTCATCTGTCCACTCACTCTTTCATTTATGTATTGATTTGTTTATTCACCAAATATTTATTGAAAACTCACTTTGTGCTAGGCAAGGTGCTCAGCACGAATGAAATCGATACTGTTCCTGCCCTCGTGGAGCTCATTATTTTATCACGCTATCATTCTAGTAGCTACTAACGTCTTATTGGAAAAAATTGATGAAGCACGTTTGGGATTTCCAAAAAGATCTTCTAACTTAACAGATCCCAAGCACTGAAAAAAATAAAAAATAAAAAAAATAAGCAAATAAAAACAAACAGGAGCACTTCTTAGATTTTCCTCCTGGGGAGGTAGAATCTTGCAGAGAAAAATGACCACCCTTCCCAAAGCTGACCTGGGAAAGTTCACTATGTTTTCATTGTGATGAACGCGAGGTGACTGTGCCCATGTCTGAGAGTCTAGGTGAGTGTGTCTGTGCTAGGGGAGGACAAGAGGAAGGGCGAAAGTGACAGAGAAACCAAAGTAACAGCAAACAAACAAGTACAGATCAGGCCATGAGCCACAACAGCCAAAAAGTCTTTCAAGTGATTGCAAAGGCTTTCCTCTGTTTCTCTTAAGAATTAGCCAGGTCACTTGTCATTGTTTTTCTGACCTCTTCCCTGTGTTGCTGATTGCTTGACGCAGTGGGTCTAATTATCTCCAGACTCCCAGCCTGTTTTAATGAAGAGGGATGTTTATCTGTGTAAGCAGACAGACTTGTCTGTCCCCTTGGTCCTAAAATTTTTTCTTGGGAAACCTAGGGATGAAACTGACAGTTGTTAATGGATCAGCCGGAATATAAACTTTTCGTTTCTGGCTTGTTTGTAGCAAGAAATGAACATTTCTTCTCCCTCCTTACTGTGCCTTACTGCGCTGAGCAATTGTCATTTGGAAATTCCTAGCAGTATTTGATTTTCCTGTGAGAATGGCCTCTCTCCCCTCATAGTTGGCTTTGGACTGACAGTAAACTCAGTTACCTAGCTAGCCCCCGTCAAATAATATAAGGTGGTGCAGACCCTGCCCAGACAAAGGACTACACAGCGTTGAACTTGGCTCATCAGCAACTGGATCCTGGGTCTTTGAATCTCAAACAGTTAACATAAGAAGGAAAGAAATAGTTGAAGTTCTAGTTATCTGTTTTTTAATTTTATCCCACAAATATTTATTAAGGCTCAGCTTTGCGACAGACACTGTTCTGGATGCTTATATGACAGTGATAAGCAGGACAAAGTTGCTGCTCTCATGAATTTCGTACTTTAGTTGGTAGAGGGCAATCAAACAAATACAGAAGATAATTACAGACAGACACAAGTGTTATCGAGAAAATAAAACGATGTCATAAGACTAGGACCAGGAGGTGACATAGAGCAGAGATGTGAAAGATGAGAAGGAACCAGCTTTGGGGCGCTTGCAGGGAAATGTGTTGCATCCAGTGGTTCAGTCCTGTCATCACAGAAACATGCTCAACTAGCACCATTTAAAGACAAACAAACCTCCCTTGACCTCATCTTTTTCTATGCTCCCTTTTGTGAAAACTTCTTCAGAAGAGTGGCTTGTTTTTCCATTCTCTCTTCAATCTTCTCCAATCGAGTATTCATAGACTCTTCCAAAACAGCTTTCATTTGGTCACCACCAACCTCTATCTTGTCCTTAAACAGCAGCATTCTGACCTAACTATTCCTGTTATAAGTCTTGCTTCTTAGTCTCTGGAGTGGTCTTGGTTTCTGCTCGTTTCTAAACCTAACTCAGCCTTCTGCTGATTCCATGAGCCCCAATATGCCAACAATAAATTCCTTTTTTCTTTTCTAGTCAAAATTGCTTCCTATTACTTTCTACCAATAAATGCCTAGTTCACATACTTATATTTTTCATATTATTCTTGATTTTTACCCAGGAAACAATTGTTCAACTTACAGCACAATCTCTATTCATTCTTTTGCTTATATACGCTGTTTTCCTTAAAATGTTACTACTGTGTTGGTGAGTACCTAATTATGGTTTTCCTAGGATTTATTTACTTTTCTTTATAACATTCACTTCTTGAGAGTAGATCACTTATTTGGAAACATTTATCATTGTCTTGTGCCTATCACAATGCAAGCCATTAGAGATAGGCATGGTACAAAACAGTCATGGTTTCAAGACATATTCGTTAGGCTGCTATCCTCACCGAGAAATGTCTTCCAGGTTGTTTCCGCTGTCACTATGTTTTAAAATATTCTTCATGTTTTTTCTAATGCTTTGCTACTCTAGGTTTTGTGGAATCCATGTTCTTTATGTCCCTAGTTATGCCTCCAATAACATTTCTCATAAATTTATTAGCTGTAAAATTAAATGTAATTCATCTAAATATTTCATTTAAAAATCATTTTCATATACTTTCAATAAAGAATCTGGTCTCAAATAAGTAAAAACAAACAAGACAGTAGGGAATCCTAAGAAGACATTTCTCAAAAATCATCTTCCAGGATTTTCTCATGGCTTGTTGTCAAATGGATGAAGGTGTTTTGATGGCTATTGTTCTGTGAAGGATATTTTCAGCTACAAGTAACAGAAAAGGTGACTAATAGTAGTTAACTCATCAGGGAATTTGCTGGCTCATGTGCCTATAAAGTCCAGAAGTTAAAGGTACTTCAAGGTTAATCATTGATATTATCAGCATGTGGTATCTTTCCATAAACAGTGTGGCTTCTTCTGAGGGCTGGCTTTCCTTGCAGGCATGGAGTGGCTGCCAACAGAACTGGGACTACAGACGACTTTGTTCATGGCCAGAGATAGAGACAGAGTTGCTTTCCATGACCTTAGAACAGAAGTCCTATGTTTTATTCTAATTGACTGATCTTAAATAGGTAATCACTACGACTGAGGACATGTTGACTGGCTTCCATCTGAAAGATATGCCCACCCCAAACCAATCACTGTGACAATGAGAAAGGATCCATCAGAACTCACCCTTAGAGCTGTCAGTGGGATCAATCCCACTCAAATTCCAGGGCTACTACATAGTGGGGAAGGGTGAAATATGTATGGGAGCTCTAACACTATCCAATGCAGGTATATATTTGCATACAATTTGTATGTAATTCACATACATTTCTCAACCATAGAAATAATAATGATCATATCTTACTAATATAAGGTGTTGACATATATACATGTTTTACATCTTTTTGATATTATCTAGACTAGAAAAATATTCAATAAGATTAATTTACTTTGCAACAATTACAGTTGTTTCTCTCTTTCTTTATTTCTATTCTTTCTTAATGAGGTATAATGTACCAGTAAGGAAAATAAAAAGTTAAAGAAAGGGTGAGGAGAACAGTTAAGATTTTAATCTGAAAAATAATTTCAGAATCAGTTTCGTAGACAAAACTTTAAACTTAATAAACACTAACTAGTTTTATATATATAATTTATTTTCACAATGTAATAATTACATTACTTTCAGAAAATTACCAATCACCTTGTAGTTGTAGCTTAGGAATTATTTTGAAATGTTAATGTCTATTAATGCATTTAACTTATAAATGGTATCCACATTAATCTCTCTATTCCCTTAAATAATGACTCTTTCTTTATATTTACCTTCATAGAATCAGCAACAAAACAAACGTTTTCATCCAACTCCAAAATTCACTGGAACCTTTCTTCATATTTCAATGTAATTAATTTCATTGGTTATTCTTTTATTTTATCAGCAATTTACCGAACTTTATTAATAGTTTGTATCGGGCACTCCACTAAGCACTGAATATGTGTGTGTGTGTGTGTGTGTGCATGTGTGTGGTGTTTGCACAAATGAAAAGGAATTTAAGAGGTTTCTGGAACCCTTCCTGAAGCCCGTAGAACAAGGAAGGAGAGATTGGAGATTCAGAGTTGAGGTAGAGACTAGAGAGAACAGGGATGCAATAAAGGTAGATATCTTGCCTTTACAAAGTGCTAATAGCAGGCCACCGAGCAGCAGGAAAAGAGTTCTCAACTCCGAATGCCAGAGTCTGAAAACGACTGACAAGTCACATCTTTAATCTGGAGGTCACATCATCGTTATTCTTCACCAAGAGGATAACACTTTGGGACTCAATGTGAATGTGAGTTAAAAGTCAATGACAAGTAGGAAAAACAATCAGCACCATCTGTACTTATTCAATGCAGGGAATGTGTCGCCATTCTAGAAGTATTAATCATCATGCGCTATCAGTGTGGTTAATGCCAAAAATGGTGGAGAAACGATTCCTCCTAGAAACTGCCCATTTCAAAACTCAACAGCATTTGCCTCATAAAAAACATATGGATACTGTTCAAAATTAAGTTTATCTCAAACAACTAGAAAGCATAGAGAAATGTTGTATTTGTAGTTTTAATTTTGGGGAGAAAATGAATTGTTAACTGCAATGTAAGGAAAGAACAATTTGATCTTGGAGAGGTTTAATGTATGGCAGGTTAGAAACAAGAAAAAAATATTTTTTTCAGTAGACAAGCTCAAAAAGGCAAACAGTTTTGTCACAGTTCTTGGTTTTAATTAGAAACATTAAATCTATATCACACAGAGAAAAAATGCTCCAAATCTGCCACACATCTCAATCAGTGAAGCATTGCTTGTCCTTGCAAGATGTTGATGATGATTTTATTTTTCTGTGAGTTTTGTGAAATCCTTGCTGAATCTAAAAGCAATTCAGTAGTGTCAAGTCCCAGAAACTAATAAGACAGAGGTACTCGCATACTTTCAATATATCATATTTGTCACTTATCGTTTATAAAGTATTATTTTGGCTATTGTGGATAGAATTAGCAAGAGAAGCTACACGAATAGCAAATCCCAAGATAGGGTAGAAATTATAGGTAAAGTAAAGAAAATAATTCAAGGGAATGAAAGAGGAAAAGCCTGGTTTAGTGCCCTAACAAATATCATTCTTAATTTTTAGTCACAATTAATATAGTATTATTTGCTTTTATCAAAATGTTCTAATAAAAACACAATAGCATTTGAATTAATTTTTAAATTTTAGTTGCTAAATAATTTTTGGTGAACTATACTACAAGTATAAAGAATAAAAATCTAACATTTTAAACAAACAGCAGATACATTGCCATACATCCTGCTTCAGAAGCATATCGTTTATATGATAAAAATGTCATATACATCATTACAAGGATTTACTAACTATTTGTGATTTATCAGATGACTATGACCAGCCTTCCAGGAACCATCTCTCATTCTGTGCTACCAAAACAGACAATTAACAAATATTTAGCAATAAAATATCTTCCTTGCAATAAGAAAAATATTGACTATAAGACAACTTTTCCAGAGAAAAACCATTCTTTATGTAGCATACATTGGCTGCTTCTTTAATCAAGAGACAGTTGGATAAAGAAGAGGCTTTCTGAGGCTGCTCCAAGAACAAATGCATCTACATGATAGAGTGGTTCCCAAAATAAGCTGACATATTTGGCTTCTGTGTGTGGGTATATTGAATTTCCTGAGTGATCCTGCTGTCATTTTACACATGTCAGATGCACCAGATAAACAACCCAACCAACTGCCAGTGTAGGTTGTTTCTCAGCACCATGATGGGAACTGCTTTTATGTGCCTCTTGATTTACCTAATGACATTAAAGCAAACAAATGAAGGTAAATCTTGCAATAAGGTATCACAGATAATGGATTATCAAAATCTCATAGTTAAAAAAAAAAGGTGAAGCCAACAATTGGGCTCCCTTAGTTGAATTTTGGAGACATAATGGAGATCAAATTGCAAATGAGATGGTAACCTAGGTTATCCCCGGTAAATGTTCAACTTCATAAATGAAATATTAAAGATTATCTAATAACTAAACTACATTTCCTTAAGATCTCATATCTTCTGAAACCAATCTTTAAATTCAGATTCAGAAGGTGTCACTGGGATTTATTCTTATTAAAAGAAATACCAAATTTTGCTGCAGGGAAGTCTTTGGAGTCTATTAATAATTTGATTTTTTAAATACTAAAACACCATGTTGCATTAACTTTAATACAATATCAAGTGTTGGAGTGAAGCTGAGTGTTTAGTTGTAAACTTACCAACTTGCTGACTCATTTTAAGATTCAAATGCCTGTTACATCTTGATATGCTGGGAGAATAAGTACCTTATAGAAATTTCTAAAAGATGTTTACCGAAAATATAGAGTTTTAAAAGAACTGTTCTAGAAAAAAAATGTTTTCTGGCTCTTTGGTGCAGAAGAAACATAAAAGAAAAGTAATTAATCAGATTGTGTAATTTGATATTTCCACCTGACACTAATATTTATGGTTCTCTGGTGACAGTTTATTTGCTGGATATGAAACTGCTAGGTACAGCATAGTTCATAAACCTAGGCTAAAAATAATTTTATTAGCAAACATTGTGACATATGAAATCTTTCAGATGGAATTAAACATTAAAGTTAATGTAAGGTACTTCATTAAAAGTTACCATACATACATTTGACTTTATACAGGTAAATAATGGTTGAACTATTGGCTCAAATGCTTAGCCACTTCATTAAAAATTTCTTAAAAATTGTAGGGAAGGTCCATATGTCCCTTTAATTATATATGAAGTTTGGTTCATGTAAGGATTTGTGCGTTTGGGTAGAAAACAGATACATAGCTATCATCAGATTTTCAAAAGAATATGCATTTTAATACATTTGAAAATTATTCCTTTAACAGAATATGTTTCTCTAATGTAATACTTACCCCTCATCACCAAATATAATTTGGTTTACAAAATATTGATTTAGTTTATCAGGACTACATCTATATTACAAAAGAAAGTATAAGAAAAATGACGCTATAAAATGAGAAATATATGTGTATTGAATATGAGGATGAATGGGCTCAGAAACTTAGGAATATCATTAAAATATATGACTACATCTCAATTTTTATACATAATTTAAGAGCACATGGAAAATAGCAATATATGTAGAGTTCCTATTTATTGAGCTCTCATAAAGTACAAGATTTAGTGTTCTATTTATATTATTCCATTTAATTCTTACAACTCTGGTAACAATTGTTATGATTATTGCTCCATCTCATATGAAGAAGATGATTCTTACAGAAATTTAATAATTTTCTTAAGATCCCACAGCCAGGAACCAGAATGACTAAGATTCAAATACAGGTCTTTTTGAAGCTAAAATTCATACTTTTCATCTCTATGCTAAAAATCTATTGCCTACACACTCCCATCACTCCAAATATATGTTGGCTATCATAGATCATGAAAGAGGGCACTCAAGTTCATCCACTGAATATGTCAGAGAAGCCTAATGATCACAATATATCCTTATGGGAACTAGAGAAGTGGCTATGATTCCCTCTTCCTTTCATCCCACTGCCTCACATCTTTTCAGCAACAGATAGTAATATTATCTCAAACTTCACCTTTTTTTGCAGTCACTTTCTGTTGACTGCAAGGGACATGGCAACTTAATTCAACAAGAATAATTCAAGGGTTGGCTTCTCTTAAAACTCATATTAATTAAAAGGATGTCATTTATATAACAAGACTGGCTGGTGTTTTTCTGTGTGGTAGATGAAAGAAAATATATTTTTAGAAAAATATATTTTAGTTGAATTCTTTTAATATTTAAAATTTGCATGATGAACTTCAAAGTGTTTTTAAAAATTTTATGTCAATTGAAAAATGCTTTCCAGGGATCCCTTGTGTAGGCATATCTTTGGATGTACCCTGAAGGAATGGAATGAACATTTAAATTCTTCATGCTGCTTATGAGTGGCAGAGTTAAATTTCTGTCACAGCATCTGTGTTTGAATAACTAAATCATGCTGCTTCTCTTAGAATATTCTGGAATTTACACACATGACACAACAAAAATCACAAAGGTAATGTGTACAGCAACTCTTTTCATACTTTTTATCAATGAATTTCAAAACAATCCTGCTGAGATTGTTACTAATGAGAAAACTGAGATTCGAAGAGATTTAATAGGTACCAGTGCCGGGTGGAATCCCATTGTTCTGATTTCAAACTATGGTTCTTGTTCTCCATCACCGTGCATGGCATATCTGGTCATTCTGAGAGTCATCAAATGGAGAAGGTAGAAGTGAAACCCTGAGTTGTCCACTCTTACATATTAATCACTTCTCAAGGAAAATCCAGGAAGGCAGTTTTCTTATGTTAAATTATCATCTTACTACTACAGTGTTCTGTAATGAGGACTGGAGATGCTCTAAGTGGTTCAGTCCCCATCTTCTTCCTGAGATGTAGATTCTGTTGAAGTTTGCATTGAAGACAGGTTTTTTTCCCTGTACTTAGGAAAAGTAGATTAATTTCTTAACTCCTCCATAGGAAACATCGTAAGTTTTAATTTTTTTGAATTGCCAAGGCTAAGAATTATCTTGATATTTAGCATGGATTTTTGGACTTCTCTTAACTAATCAAAATAAAGTGCTGAAAGTTCATACTAGGAAGAAGAATCTGACTTTGGGCCAGAAGGGAAGCAAATAATCTCTTTTGTTTAGAACAAAATGTGTGGTTACTCAAAAGTGGCTTGATTAGGGTACAACTGCAAATGAGGTGATCTATTTCCTCTTCTGCATCCATCTATTTATTTTGCGTTCTCCCCCTTACCCACTTCAGTCTACCACTAACTTTCAGCTTTAAAATTCCTGTGTTGTCAACCTCCTTTATGTGAGAATAAAATAGAAATAGCTAAGTATATGGTAGATAAAACCATGAATCTGTTTTGTTTTGTTCACTACTGAATTCAATATTTTGTGAAAATGTGGAAACTTACACTTAGTGAATGTAGGAATAAAATCCCAATTAGTTGTTATTAAATTTTAGCTCTATCTCTTGGAATAAAGGACATTTAAATGAAAAGAAAATAACGTTACTCTCCTTTTCTCAAAGGAATCTCTTGAGGTTATATTTAATGTGGTGAAGGCAGGAGTCAAGGAGTAAAGGAGGTGAAGGTAATGTGGGAAGCAAGAGAGGCTTTCTCCTTTTTCCCTAAATTACAATTTCTAGGTCCCTCACAATGCCTTATAAGCAGAGGGCCAAATAAGACATTCATGGATAATTCCCTTATGTTCATAAAATGGCTTAAATCTTTAACTACTTTCACCCACATTAATACAGAACTGCTGAGAGACAACTGCTGTCATTCTAGGCAAGGAAACTGAGGTGCTCTCAAATCGTCTCAAGACAAAATGGGGGTGCCTTTATATAATTCCCAGCCCTCCCAGGGAACATTTCCCAGGGGAATTATGCATGCCGGAATTAAAAAGTAAGATATTTATCTTTTATTTTTAACAGAATCTAGATGAGTCAGGACACATAGTAAGCATATTCTCAAACATATATAAATACAAGTACATGCAAATAAATAGTTATAAAATTTCCAATGTTTATCATGAAATCAAAACAGGAGTGTCCTTAAAAACCTCAGTGCTAGTTGAAGAATAAAATGTTGAGTGTATATCCAATAAGTTCTTTAACAAAAACAAGACACAAATACGTCAAATACATCAGGTAATAAGGCAATCAAAATCTCATTACAGAAGATGCTAAGTAAATATAATTATTTATTCTTCTTCCAACACCCTATCAGACTAAGAAACTTACAGCTCATCTACAAGAGCTTTTATCATCTTTCTTTGTCAAAAATAAACAGATGTAAGACCAAATTTCCATTTGGTTACACTAAAATCACCCAATTGCCATACAATATATAATAACTCATAATATGAAATTTCAGCATAAATATTTAATCCATATACTATAAAATAAAAGGTAGAGTCACATTTCTGTACATCGGAAACTTTACATTGTAAACATTGGAGATATTGGAATAATAGAAGGGGTATGGCAAGAATGGAATTGGTGTGGCAAGAATGAGTATGGCAATGGTTGTAATCAAGGTGTTAGCCAGACCTAGGGTCTCATCTGAAGACACAACTGGGGAAGGATCCACTTATATGACCACATGGCTGTTGGTAGAAATCATTTCCTCATGGGCTGTTGACCATTCCTTGCTGGCTCTTGGCCAGAGGCTATCTTCAGTTCCTTGCCAGGAGGGTCTCTCCAACATGGCAAGTTGTTTCATCAGAGCAGGCAAACTAAGAAGGCAACAAAGAGAATCTGCTAACAAGATAGAAGTCATGAGACTTTATAATCTAATCACGGAAGCAACATTCCATTCCCTTTTCCATATTATGCTGGCTGTACAAAGAAGCAAATCACAGGACTGGCTGATACTCAAGGGCAGGAGACTACAGAAGGTTGTGAATATCAGGTGCTTAAGATCCCTTGGGCGCCATTTTAGAGGTTGCCCACCACACTGATGCACTTGAAAATGATGTAGAAAATGACAAATATTTTAAAATGGTAAAACTATAGTTTCCGGCAAATTAATAAGAAAAAATAATGTCTAAGAGCTATTTAAAAACCTCACCTTAAAATATTTTTTAAAACTCAAAAGAGAAATAAAGATGTAAAATACTATATAAAAAGAAATACAAATTAAAACAATATATCATTTTCATGTGTCAAACATTAAACATTTAGTTGATAATATCTATTGTTGGCAAGGGTAAACAGGTACTTCATAATCTACTTATGTGGTTAAACATTTCTGAGGGCAATCTGAAAATATCAAGATTCGCATACCCTTTGACTTATCAATAGTACTTTTAGATATTTATTTTACAGAAATAATTAAGCCAAAGTTCAGAGATTGATGTACAAGAATGTTCATTGAAGTTATATGTATACTGCTAGAAAAATTGGTAATTATTTAGTAGTATATCAGGAAGGATTGGCTAAATAAAATATGACAACTATAAAATAAAATATCTTGTTGCTATTAAAAATGATCATGTTTATTATCATGAAAATATATCTTGATATATTTTTAAATGAAAAGAGCAAACTATCTATATAGAACTGCATTATCTATATAGAACTGCATGTGTATATGCTGGTGTGTTGACACCCATAGGTGCAGAGGAAAATGTGTGAAAGGATATCTATCAAAATATTGAGAACGATTATCTTTGACTTGTAGATAACAAATTATCTTTATTTTCTTTATACCTTATTTTCCAATATTTTATCTTAAGCATATTCACATTTCATAATATTAAAAAGCAATAAAGCTATTTCCAAAATAATCTTTAAAATGATTTCCTCCTATACCCTCGTATAGGAATGTTTCAAGCTTTCATTATTATATCTGTTAATTGGAACAATATAGCATCATAAGATCCTTTCATGCTCAATGTATTTTCCTCTTCTATTGATAAATGGATATGTTCCAAGTCTTGGCAAATTACATTTACTTAAAAAAAATCCCTCCAGAATTCTATATACACACAAATCTTATCTATCAAAATGGAACTGGAAATTAACTGTCAGATTTCTTCTTAACCTGGCTATTTGGGAAGAATAATTCACTGAGGGACCAGCATTGAAGATTTTGATTAGTCAAACAAGAAAACAAATTTTTGGTTGCTATATATAATTATTCACTTATTATTTATTCTTTATACCCTCATTTTGGAGCATCCACTAGGTTCGAGGCATTGGGCTAAGTGCTAGCAATGCAACAGTAAATCAGAAACAGTCTGTGCCTGCTCTTACAGCCTAATAAAGACAAATCAAAGAACTTCACTGCTGACGATGTCTCAGAGACCACAGTCTAGAATTCCCCAACCCTCAATTCATGAATCAGAGAAGCAGAGTTGTATACTCTTTTTTTCTGTACCTATATTGATTGATAACAGACCCAAATTCATTTTTCTCAACTATTTTGTCGTAGGCAGAATTCTGTGAGGGCCCCCACAATATTTTCCACTGCTGTTCCTCCTATGATTCTGTTATATAATATGGCAAAAGGGATATTGCAGACATAATCAAGGTTACTAATCCATTAAGATGGAAAAATTATCTAGCTGGCCTAACCTAATCATACAAGGCCCTTAAAAGCAGAGAGTTACTGCAGACAGTAACAGATGAGAAAGAGAAAATTCAAATCTCTGAGAGAGAGATTTGATGTAAGGAAGGCTCTCTGTTGCTGGGATAGAGGGGGCTATAAGGGAAGGACCTGAGGAGAATCCCTAGGAGCTGAGAGCTGTCTCCAGATGACAGCCAGCAAGAAGGTGGGGGCTTCAAGCCGACAACTTGATTTCAGCCTTCACCAGAAAACTCAGGCCATCCCAAACTTCTGGCCTACCAAATTTGGGGTATTTTGTTACATAGCAATAGAAAAGTAATGCACATTTTTTCCCCTTTGTATATCATTCCTGGGGACTAGTTAGCACACTACAGTACAACTGGATCTGAGATTCATGGATTTCAGCTCCCTTCTTTATTGTCCCAATGTGGAAACTGAAGTCCAAGGTTTCTAGCCACACTGGCCTTTTTTTGTCTTTTTTAATTAATTGATTAATTTTTTATTTTGAAACAATCTCAAACTTCTAGGAAGCTTCCAAGTATAGTACATGTAATTTTTTTTTCAGGAAACATTTGGGTGCACACATTGATGACAGGATATACCATCACCTCTAAATAATTCAATGCATTTTTTTTCCTAAACAAGGGCATTCCTCTACATAATTAAAATTCAACCATCAAAATCAGCAACTTAAAGTCATTTCATCTCTCAGAACTCAGTCAACTTTCACAAAGTACTCAAATAATTTCCTTTAGAACCAAAGTTCCATTTTGGAGTCAGTTATCGTGTTTGGTTAGTCTCCTTCAACTAGGACAAGTTACTCATAGAATCCCTTGACTTTCAGGACCTTGAAACTTGATGATTACAAGCCAATTATTCTGGAGAATTTCCTTCAATTTAGATTGTTCTGATTTTCCTTCATGATAGCTGTATACTTTTGTAGGAATGCTAGAGAAATGATCTGTGCTCTTCTCACTGATTACTATAAAATGGCACACAATTTCATTTTGTACCAATACTAATGATGTTAACTTTGTTAAGGTGGTGTTTGCCAAGGTTCTCCATTGTAAAGTATTATTTTTTTTCTGTGTAATTAACAAGTATTTGTGGGAAAGTAATTTGAGACTATGTGAATATCCTATTTGTTATCAAATTTTTAATTTATTCATGCCTAGTAATTTGATCAACATAGACTCATAGTTTATTATTTTATCCCATGTTTTATAATCTATTGCTATCATCATTTATTTTTGTACTCAAATTGTCAGAAATTTGGCCAAAAGGAACCTCTTGGAATTGCGTCAGTGTTATTTTGACAAGTTCCAAGTCCCTTTATTCTTTCAGCACTTTCTTACTTTCTGATACATCAAGATGTCCTGGAAAATATGGCCTTTTCTCTGAGGCATACTGTCTCTTTTTAGTAAAAAGTGATATTTAGAAACCAAGATCTAGACACTTAGTTTACTCATGGCTTTTAGGATGTTGTTGTCCCTAGGAACACTGGCTTTAATGTCTCCAAAATACTGTGCTCTCTGCTTCCCCATGATTTTTGTATATGCTGTTCCCTCTACATGAATGTCCTTCCTTCTTCACATGATGAACTCTTCCTACTCATTCTTTAGATCAAAGCTTAAATCCTGCTTCTTCAAGGAACCCTTCCTAGATGCCTAGATTGGTTGAGGTCTACACCCATAGCATCGTATTCCTTTTGAATCTACAATATAGCAACTATTTAGAAACATATACCTCCTCCTCTCTAGACTAATAAACTTTGGAGAACAAAATCTGATTTTGATCAACATTGTATCACTAGTGCCTAGTACAGGTCCTAGCATATAGTAGTTCTCAACAAACATTTATGGAAAGAATAAATGGGTGAGACAGTGAATGAGTCAATGAATGAAACCAGAACTAGACCCCAGTGCTTTCCTAGCTATTCCATAGTGGACACTTAGAACTTTAAATAGTTTTCTGTAAATTCTTAGACATATGGCACAATTTTATTCTTTCTGAAAGAACCCTGAATTTTTGCACACTGGATCAAACAATTTTCCACATTATTTTTGAATTTAATTCTTCTTGAAATGGATTCAGACAAAAGTGGAAAACCAAGTGCTCTCTGAGAAGGTCATAGCATTTGCCACTATTGAGTTAATCACTTGGGCTTATTCTCCATTAGATTTATTTATATTCTGAGTAACTTTGCTAAGTTGTAAGAAAATAAAAAGCTGCAGAAGAATATTTAATTTGATTGGGTAATACTAAATCTTCACCACCTCCTGGGTCCCTAATTAAATCTTGTTTTTACAATGCCTTGTCCTTGAATATGGGTGGCTCTGAAAGTCTCAGAGAGGGAAATTATGATACAGGAAATCCAGGAACTCACTTTGAAACAATGTGGAAGTCTAATAGTCCTACCATTGTCTCTACAGGAAGGCCAAACATACAATTGTCTTCTTAGCTTGATGCTTTTATGGTTTTTCTCTTGTTTTTGAATCAGACCTAGACTCAACAAAGACCCACCTATGGTTTCTGCCTCTCCCCAGCTGTAACTCCAATAACTGTGCTTGGGTATTATGTCAGACTTTTTGGCATCATTTGAAGCATTTGATTATTGAATTCTGTTGACTTGCTAGAAAGAAAGTGGGGTCAGAAGGGCAGGCCTAAAATAGTTATAGTTCTTCCAGTCCTGAGAGATATATTAGGAGAGTTTTAGAAGGTTTTTTTTCTCATTTTACAGTTTCTGAGATGGACTTCTGAGACACTTGGTATTTTCTCTTCCATTCATTGTATGCACTGTTTATTATAAAAACCAGAGAATCTCACAGCAACTTACACAATGAAAAATGGTTATTCAAGATTTCTCATTTTGCCTGACTTGCACTGTGGTTTTCTTCATTCTAAGATATCTGGCAAAAGTGAACCTGTTTGTTTTGTTTTTTAACCTGGTTGAGAAAAACTGCTGGTAGTTCTAAAAAAAACAACACGAGAAATGAAGAACAACATCACATGTGAATTAGGAATCTCTCCTTTGTTCTTATGAGGCTACAGTGAAACAAAGATTCTTAGCCATACTGAGGCTCTTGTAACTTGTTCAATACTTCATGCCAAAGAGTCTATAGTAATTATAAACTCAAGAAAAAATTTTCTACTTTTCAGCTTCTTTCTAGTGGCATATTTTCCTCATTCACTTAGTTATGTTTCAGGTGGTTTAGAATTCGATTATGACTCATATAATGTTATTTTTCTAAAGAACATTTGCTATTGCATCACATCTCAAAAATAATTGAAATGGATCCAATTCATGGATGTGGCTTAATTAACTAAGACTTTTCCCTACACCGAGAAAATGATAATGTGGGCTTTACTAAACAAACTAAAATATCCCAACCAAGATAACTCAGTATTCAAAGAATCAAAGGCAAAGAATCAAAGCAGGCTTACAAAAGTCTCCTCTAATACGAAGACTATTTGAAAATACAATTTTCAGCTTTTAAGTGAAGAAATGCTGAGCTGCTAGGCTCTACCACTTTCTACACAGAAATCCATTTTAATTGTTGTATCACTTCTGAATTTTGGAAGGAAAATTGGCAATGTGTGTGGCATTTCTAGCAAAGGGGAAAAAAAAGGTAATTGGGTTTCTGAACACCATGCCTTCAGTAATGGCCTAGAAGATGGAACTGCAAAAGGACTCTAGGACAATATTTCATTTGTCAAAATGAATGTAGGATATCAGGTCATTCCTAATATTGAGTAATATTCTCCCAGTGGGGCAGAGCACCTCTCTGTACCAGGCATTAGAAGAGCAGAGCATGCTGACTAGAAGAGACTTGTTGGTGATATTTTAGACTAGTCAAGTGATGGCCTCTGACCACAAAGAACATTGGCTGGGGCTCTGTTAAATTAGCCAAGGAATTATCAGGTATGTAGTATATTTGTCTGTACAGAAATCTTCTTTAACATCCCATCAAAAGCTACATAACTTAAAATAATATCCCACGAATGCCATATTCCTGGGAGGAATCTAAAATATCTATTTATCTATTGGGGTGGCTGAGTAGGGGTGATGTTATTATAGCAAATGTGCACATTTCTGGCGTAAATATTTACTTAGCTCTGCTTGTCAACAGCTGAGTCGTTTCTCTGTTCTCCCACTTGGAGTCATTTGATACCCAGTGAGGATCATCTCCCTTGGAGGCTGCAGCGTTTATCTTCCAAGCACTAATATTAAAATGTAGCTCTTGATTCAGGCGACAGCGAGCCAGGGGATTTCTGAGCATCATTCCTTCTCTTATTGAGTCTTCCACAGGGACAGTCACCTTTAAAGAGTATAAATCACTGAGCTACCTGTTTCACTGTAAACCACAAGTATCTTCTCTGCCAGATGTGAAAAAGCCAATACGTATTTAAAATCTAAATTTAAAAATATTCATATATTTAGAAAATTTCAATTGCTCTTCTAGCTTTTAAACATGTTCATGAAAAAATTATTTTTTCAAACTATTTACAAAAATGGAACTATTTAGGAAGTCTACAAAAAGCCTGAAAAAATTATTTCAGTTAAGGTACTTTCTTACATAGAAAATTAAATCACCCTATAGAATTAGAAACTAAAATTTGCTAGCTCTTTTAAGGTAACCTCAATGCCTAGCAATTAGTAACTGGTTAACAATAGTTTGTTGAATAAATGAGTAGATGGAATATTAACAAAATCAAGGTTGTATTAGATAAAAAGTATAATCAAATAATAGTACCATTATATAATTCTTTAAGTTCTAGACAACATGATTTTGATTTATCCCGTGGAATTTTTAGTGGCTTTACCTTCACCTACAAGAAAGGCATCCTGGGAAATTATTACGATGATTGGTATGAATAATATATAAAATTGTTCCTCTAATCTCTATGTTCATGCTGTACCGGTCTTACCTCTCTCTCACGCGCGTGCTCTCTCTCGCTCTCTCTCCCCTCTTTCTCTGCACACACACAGAGGAAAGACCATCTGAGGACACAGTGAGGAGGCAGCCATCTGCAAGCCAGGAAGAAAGACCTCCTTGCTGACACCTTGATCCTGGACTTCTGGCCTCCAGAAGTGTGGGAAAATAAATTTCTGTTGTTTAAGGCATCCAGCTGGTGGTATATAGATAGGAGCCTGGGCTGACAGTATAATTCCAGAGGACAGAGCCAACAGCCACAAAGAATTATTGCTAGGCCTTAAGACCTAATTAAGGAATTTCCAACATTTGCCCAGTTAGATTTCAGAATTGTTATGGATCAGAGACTCCTTTGTGCCCAACCCCTGCATTTTCCCTGTTTTTGAAGGAATATTTATAGTGTTTATCCTATACCTGTTTCACCATAGTATATTGATGTGTGAGAAGCAGAGAACCTGGATTTCTATTTTCATAGGTCTCTATAGTAAGAGAATCCATATAAGGAGCTGAACTTTGGAACTCACCCTGAGAAATCTCTTCCGTACCGGGATCTGACTTAGTTGATGAGATCCTGGACTTTGAGCTGATAGCTATAATGACATGAGACTTTGGGGACCTTGGGAGGGAATGAATGTATTTGGAATGTGAGAGAAAGGTAAATTATTGAGGCCCAAAGTGCAGACTATGGTGGGCACCCTCTAACATGGCCCCAAATGATACCCTCCTCCTAACTTATTGACATACTTCTAAAAAGTAGAATATAGAAGAAGCAAGTGTCTGTCACCTGAGATTAGATTACAAAAAGACTGTGGCTTCTACCTGGAGTTCCTCCCTCAATCACTCTTTAAGGGAAATCTCTCCCATGTTGTAGAGTTTCCCTATGGAGAGAACCATGTGAACAAGAAACTGATGTCTTTGGACAACAGCCAGCGAGGATCTGAGACCTGCCAAGAATTACATAAATGTGTTTGTGGAAGTGGATATTCATCTAGCCCAGCCTCGTATGATTGGTGCTCCAGCCAACAACTTCATGACACCCTTGCAAAGCATCTTGATCCTGAGAAATCCACTTAAACTTTGCCCCGATTCCTGACCCACAGCTTTGGGATAATGAACGTCTGATGTTTTCAGCCACTAAGTTTTGGTAATTTTTTGTGCCCTGGAAGCTAACAAGTATATTTGTTATCATTGCATCTCTCCTTACAATTTTTTCAATGTACCCTTAAGTTTGCCTCCCTTCCAATATTTGCTTTTACCCTGAGTTTTAGTCTATTAATTTCTTACATTGGCTTATAGTAATTATCTACATAATTATCTATTATTTATAGAACATATACTACGTATTACAATACATAGTAGAAAAAAATTTAGCTTGTTATTATGGAGTACTTTAAGTATATACAAAAGTAAAGTAAACAAATATAATGGACCCCCATGCACCTATCACCTAGCTTCAACACTTATGGTCAATATTGATATAGCACAACAATATTGACAAAACAACCCATAGTCAATATCATTTCACCTCTATGTTTACCCATTCTTCTCCCTCAGATTATTTTCAAGGAAGCCCCAGACATATCATTTATTCTATAATATTTTTAGTATGTATCATTCTTTAGAAAAACATTTTAAGTTATGAGTTGACCATATAAATTATATCAAGGGGTATTCTGGCAACAGAGATAAGAACTTCAGAGCAAAGCTGAGTATAGCCATTCTTGTTAATATTCTTCAACTCAAGGATATGAATAAACTATTCTATAGAAGAAATGAACAGGAATTTTGGGTTAGAGATTAGCAAGCTGAAGAGAGAGGGAAAACAGTTGAAGGAAGAAAGGGAAGTCCAACAGCATGGCAATAGGCTGAAGGCAAAGTCAAATATATAACCAATGATGATTAACTGCGATGAGAATGAATAAGTGACTTTTAAGACCAAGGCTGTCTAACACTGAAGGTTAGATTACATCAAGTATGTTGCCTATTTTATATAATTCTCCTTTAGTCCCCCAAGTCCTTCAGGAAAGTCTGCTATGCACATATTCTAGACTCAGAGGACTTTAGTAGTAAACAGTTTGGACAGTGTAAAGCACAGTGAAATATGGCCTTACAGGTAGGAAATGAAAGGTTGAGAAGAACTTTGTAATTCAACAGAGCAAGAACTAGAAGTCAGAAGCGATCAGAAAAAATGCAAGTGACATCCCCCCACTGATCAAACTCAACAGGAATCAGCATAGCTATGGGAAAATATGATAGGTTTCCAATAATATGTGAGAAGATAACTGAATAAATTTTTTGCTTCAATACTAAAGGAAAAGCGACTCTAGGAATCTAGAGAATATGTAATTACTCTGAAAGGCTGCCATTTTGGTTGCACACACAGACACACAGACGTACATACAAATGTACCTCCTGTTGATGAAATCAAGATCAACACTACCACTGAAGCTTATTGTAATATCTATAAGATTGTGATGAATTTTGTAAAAGAAATAAGAAGAGAATCAATTTTACCATCTGATTCTACTGTCAGTGAACTACCAGATATGATGATGTCCAAATATAAATGGCCCCACTGAGTGCAGAATACAAATACGGTTTTTCCTCCACTAATTGCTCAAAGTGGGTTATTAAGGATACAAAAGTAGAACAAGAATATTATACTCAACTGACATGAAAAAAACAGCTTTGTTTTTTTTTCGAGGTGGAGTCTCACTCTGTCGCTCAGGCTGGAGTGCAGTGGCACGATCTCAGCTCACTGCAAGCTCCACCTCCTGGGTTCATGCCATTCTCTTGCCTCAGCCTCCCAAGTAGCTGGGACTGCAGGCGCCCACCAACACACCTGGCTAATTTTTTTTTTTTTTTGTATTTTTAGTACAGATGGGGTTTCACCATGATTGTCAGGATGGTCTCGATCTCCTGACCTCGTGATCCACCTGTCTCAGCCTCCCAAAGTGCTGGGATTACAGGCATGAGCCACCGTGCCTGGCCCGAAAAAAAGATAGCTATTAAGTCAAGTCGGTGGATTACAGTTTTGGGGTAAATAAGAATTATATTGAAAAAATTTTTTTATCAGTTGTAAAAAAATCTTGTGGCAAATAAAAACCAATTTACTATGTCTCAAAACTTTTCAAAAAAAAAACAGGAATTTTGGTTTCTTTGTTTCATATAATCAAGGCTGCATAAGACGAGAGAATTTTATGTAAGAATTTCCTATCCTGGTCTTAAAAATGTAGCTTTTTTTGGTAACAGCACCCATGATTCATAACTCTACCTACCCATAAAACTGGGAATTTTCATCTCAATCACCTAACTCACTGTACTGGAGGAAGACTTTATTTTTCTTGGATTTTATTGTCAAATACAGAGGGATAATATTACAGAGCAATTTCCTCTCTATTGCCTACAGCAATGATAAAACCAAAAAAGTGTACAAGAGTAAAATGTGGTGTCAATCAAAAAACAATCAATTTTACCATATACAGAGGAGTTTTTTTTTTAATAAAAATATCTTTCTGGTGTAAGTATTGACTTGTCCTTGATTTCTGAAAGGAGGGTAGTATTGCAGGATATGGTTGAAGGATAGCCATTATCTCATTTCTCTCTTACAGACGAGTCATTGCAGATTTAGAAGTTATCAATTGCCATCTCCCAGTAACCCACTGTATTAGTCAGCATTCTTTTATAGGGACAAAACTAATAGGATATATATGTACACCATATATACACACACATATGTATACACATATATATGTGCAATCACAAGGTCCCACAATAGGCTGTCTGAAAGCTGAGGAGCAAGGAGAACCAACCCAAGTCCCCAAACTGAAGAACTTGGAGTCCGATGTTTGAGGGCAGGAAGCATCCAGCATGGAGAAAGATGTAGTCTGGGAGGCTAGGCCCATCTCTCTTTTTTACATATTTTCCTGTCTGCTTTATATTCTCTGGAAGCTGATTAGATTGTGCCCACCAGATTAAGGGTGGATCTGCCTTCCCCAGCACACTGACTCAGTGTGAACCCATACACATGCATAATATTCAAATAAAGGCAATAATGAGGTCATAATTATGCCTAACATAATCCAACCATCCTTCATGCAACTGGAAATGCACCAATCCCCAACCCAAATACTATTACATACAGTTAACAGTACTTAAATGCTGACATGAGGCCAATAAATCTTATGTTACATGATAAATGAAAAGGAAATAAAATGAAGATATTTTCTTAGTACAAGTGTTTACATGTGCAAACATGTTTTTAACAAAAGAAGAAGGAAATAGTCATGACAGTTACAGTCCTCATTTCTGCAGCTGGTTCACGTGGTCGTAGCTGGTATTGATGACTACCTTCTTCTACTACCCATTCTGTATTCCCTTTGCCTTCAGCAAGCACCTCAGCAGGTCATGGTTTTTCTCCTGGTGGAGTGACCCAAATCTTCATTCCTGAGAAGTCTGAGCCATTTGGAGTCATTCCTGGATTGTGCTGTTGTAGTTTCCCATTTACCTTAATCACAGGGTATGGTAGTATTAAGAGACACCCTAATGGATATCATGTATTCCATGCATACTCTTCCTTTCTTCTGTTGTGGAGTAGTAGACTGATTTCATCTTGATAGTCTGGGTCAGTCATCCCAACTAACACTGTAACTCCCTTCTTAGCCTGTTGACTTAAATGTAGGAGGAGCCCAAACTGTCCAGGTGGCAATCTTAACTTCCAGTTTAATGGAATCATTGTTGCATCTCCTGGTGGCAGCATTCCTCCCTCTGGAACTAAGACTGCTAGGCCAGCAGAACATAATGTCGTGGGAACAGGAAGCAAAAATTTTGCTAGTGGATCACTAGGGGTGATGGTGGGTGGTGCCACTTCCACCCCTTGATTCCTGGACCTGTGAATCCTAGCTATGGGAGAAACAGTACCATATATTGGACAGTGATTCAGACCATACATGGTCTTCTGGAGAACTTCACTCCAGCCCTGCAAAGTATTGTTACCTAGTTGGCATTGTGACTTCAAAATGCCATTCCACCTTTCTATCAATCCAGCTGCTTCAGGATAATGGGGAACATGGTAAGACCAGTGAATTCCATGAGCATGAGCCCATTTTGCACTTCTTTAGGCAAAAAGCGAGTGCCTTGATCAGAGGCAATGCTGGATGGAATACCATGATGGTGGATAAGGCATTCTTTGAGTCCATGGATGGTAGTCTTGGAAAAAGTGTTGCGTGCAGGATAGGCAAACCCATATCCAGAGTAAGTGTCTATTCCAGTAAGGTCAAACGTCTGCCCTTTCCATGATAGAGGAGGTCCGATATAATCAACCTGCTACCAAGCATCTGGCTGATCACCCCAAGGAATAGTGCCATATCGAGGGCTCAGTGTTGGTCTCTGCTGCTGGCAAATTGGGCACTCAGCAGTGGCCATAGCCAGGTCAGCCTTCGTGAGTGGAAGCCCATGTTGCTGAGCCCATGCATAACTTCCATCCCTGCCACCATGGCGACTTTGTTCATGGGCCCATTCAGTGATGACAGGGGTGGCTGGGGAAAGAGGCTGAGTGGTGTCCACACTCAGGATCATCCTATACACTTGATTATTAAAATCCTCCTCTGCTGAGGTCACTTACATGGGATACAAATATCTTCACAATTTTTGACCACCCAGAGAGGTCCATCCACATACCTCTTCCCCAAACTTCCTTGTCACCGATTTCCCACTCATGCTTCTTCCAAGTTCCTGACCATCCAGCCAAACCATTGGCTACAGCCCATGAATCAGCATATAATCACACATCTGGCCATTTCTCCTTCCATGCAAAGTGCACAACCAGGTGCACTGCTCAAAGTTCTGACCACTGGAAAGATTTCCCTTCACTGCTGTCCTTCAGGGAAGTCCTAGAAAGGGGCTGTAGTGCTGCAACTGTCCACTTTCGGGTGGTGTGTGCATATCATGAAGAACTATTTGTGAACCAGGCCCTAGTCTTCTCTTCCTCCGTCAACTGATTATAGGGAACTCCCCATGAGGCCATCGGTGCAGGCTGGGGGACAGAAGGCAGGGTAGCAGGAGTAGAGACAATGGGCATTTGAGTCACTTCCTCATGTAACTTACTCGTGCCTTCAGGACCTGCTCGAGCCTGATCACATAGATACTACTTCCATTTGAGGATGGAATACTGCTGTGCATAGCTCATTTTATGGCTAAGTGGGTCAGAAAGCACCCAGTTGATCATAGGCAGGCAGTTCAGGTCACATGGTGACTTGATGACCCATGGTCAAGTGTTCAGTTTCCACCGAAGTCCAATAACAGGCCAAGAGCTGTCTCTCAAAAGGAGAGTAATTATCTGCAGAAGATGGCAGGGACTTGCTCCAAAAGCATAGAGGCCTCCATTGTGATTCACTTATGGGGGCCTGCCAAAGGATCCAAACAGCATCCCTATTTGCCACTGACACATCAAGCACCACTGGATCTTCTGGGTCGTATGGCCCAAGTGGCAAAGCAGCTTGCACAACAGCCTGGACTTGTTGCAGAGCCTTCACCTGTTCTGGTCCCCACTCAAAACTCAAAGCCTTTTGGGTCACTCAATAAATGGGCTGGAGTAACACACCCAAACGAGGGATGTGTTGCCTCCAAAATCCAAATAGGCCCACTAGGCATTATGCCTCTTTCTTGGTTATAGGAGGGGCCAAATGCAGGAACTTATCCTTTATCTTAGAAGGAATATCTCGACAGGCCCCACACCACTGGAACCCTAGAAATTTTACTGAGGTAGAAGGTCTCTGAATTTTAGTCAGATTAATTGCCCATCCTCTGGCATGCAAATGTCTCACCAATAAGTCCAGTGTGTTTGCTACTTCTTGCTCACCAGATCCAATCAGCATAATGTCATCAATGTAATGGACCAGTGTGATATCTTGTGAAAGCAAAAAGCAATCAAGATCTTTCCAAATAAGATTATGATGCAAAGCTGGAAAGTTGATATGCCCCTGAGGTAGGACTGTAAAGGTATATTGCTGGCCTTGCCAGTTGAAGTCAAATTGCTTCTTATGGGCCTTATGGATAGAGATGGAGAAAAAGGCACTTGCCAAGCCAGTGGCTGCATACCAGGTACCAGGAAATGTGTTAATTTGCTCAAGCAATGAAATCACATCTGGTACAACAGCTGCAATTGGAGTCACCACTTGGTTAAGCTTACAATAATCCACTGTCATTCTCCAAGATCCATCTGTCTTCTGCACAGGCTCAATGGGAGAGTTGAACAGAGATGTGGTGGGAATCACTACCTCTGTGTCTTTCAAACCCTTCATGGTGGTACTAATCTCTGCAATCCCTCCAGGGATGCGATATTGTTTTTGATTTACTATTTTCCTAGGTAGAGGCAGCTCTAATGACTTCTATTTGGCTTTTCCCACCATAATAGCCCTCACCCTATCAGTCAGGGAGCCAATGTGGGGGTTCTGTCAGCTGCTAAGTATGTCTATGGCAATTATGCATTCTGGCACTGGGGAAATTACCACAGGATGAATCCGGGGACCCACTTCACCCACTGTAAGTCAGTCCTGACCTAAAACTCCATTAATTACCTGACCTCTATAAGCTCCTACTTTAACTGGAGGACCACAGTGACATTTTGGGTCCCCTGGAATCAACGTCAGCTCAGAGCCAGTGTCCAGTAGTCCCCAAAGTGTCTGATCATTTCCCTTTTCCCAATGCACAGTTACCCTGGTAAAAGGCCAGAGGTCTCCCTGGGGAAGAATGGGAGAAAGATTCACCACATAAATTGTTGGTAATGCAGTGGGGTCCTTCCTCAAGGGGTCCTGGTCTCCCCTTCATTCAAGGGATTCTGGGTCAGTAAACTGGCTCAAGTCGGAAATTAATTGAGGGGCCATGATTCTCTATTTTTGTAATTCAAATTAGTCTTTTGTCCATTCAACCTAGAAATTTTCTGTTTGTATAATTTAAGTAGGAATGCAGTAGTCTTCCTATCAATTTCACTTCTAGAAACACTACGATTAGTTATCCAGTGCCAGAGCTCTACATGAGTCAGACTATTCTGATTGCCACTTTGCCTCTGCTGTCCATTATGGTAGCTACTCCCACCTTGCCTTTGATTGTTGAGTGCTGCCACTTGGCTCCTGCCACCTCACGATCCAACTGTTACCATTGTATTTAAATTTTGTAGTTGAGTGGCTGTGGATCCTACTGTAAGATCTGACATACAGAGAAGAGAATTTACAGGGCTATTCAAAGATGTGGGTGCTGCCCTCACAAATCTATTTTGCAACTGGTATACCTGGTCAAGGGTATATCTTCTGGGCCCTCCCAGCTGGGATGAGTAGGTCTAACATGAGTAATCTATGCCACCATCCCAATCTCCCTAAATCTTTGGATTTCTTCCTCTACATTAAACCAAGCGAGATGAGACATTTCCAGCTCACTCACAGTGGGCCATCTTTTAACCCATATTTTAGTGAACCAAGCAAATAAATGATTAGAACCCTTTTTTTAACTCCCCAAGCTGCAACACTAAAAGCAGAGTCCTTACTTAGTGGGCCCAAATCAATAAATTCAGCCTGATCCAACTCTATGTTCCTTTCACCATTAACCCACATCCTTTATATCCATTCCCATGCCTGTTCTCCATATTGTTATTTATATAAATCAGAGAACTCAAACAGTTCTTTTTGAGTACAGTGCACTTCCTAATGGGTCATACTCTCAATCTCACCTCTAGGGGTCCACTGGAACTTTAGTCTAGTTATAGGTCTAGAAGCAAACAGAGGTGTTGGGGGTGGCTCCTGAGGAGAATCAACATTATCTTGCCTGGCAACTGCCTAATAGGAGGCCATCACTGTTGCCTCAGGCAGCACAGGGTTTATCTCTTCAGACAAAGGTGGACAGGCTGATGGCAACATGGGTCAGGGAGAGGATATTGCCACTACTGGGGATGGGGAAGCTGTTTCTTTTGGCAAAAAAACTTCATCAGAGTTTACAAACTCAGTGTCCTAGCTTCATCAGGGTCTTCCAACACATCCCCATTCCAAGTTTCAGGGTCCCATGCTTTTCCAATCAATGCCTTCATTTAACAACACATCCCCATTCCAAGTTTCAGGGGCCTATTCTTTTCCAATCAATGCCTTCATTTAACAATAGACACCTGGCGAGGCTGTGCATGCATCTTCTGTTGCAGGTCAGCCACTAGCATGATAAGAGCTTGTGTCTGTTTGTCCACAATTTCAGTTCTCTTTCTACAGGAGATAAGCCTCTCAGTCAGGGCAATCCTAGCAGATTTGAGGTTCAATATCTGCTTCTGAAGCTGGGAGACAGAATCCTTGAGTTCATAATTTTCTTTCATCACTTTTTCCACTGAATTTAGGGGCAACCAACCAGCTTTATTATGTTCCTTGGTTCTCCACATATGGTCAAAGGTATTATGTGTAGAGTCACTAAACTCCTTGCCTCTCATGAGCAATGAATCAAGTGTGTCAAATGCATTTATTTTGGATAACTCCCTAAACAGCTCATGCCAAGGACTATCAGTGTTCTCCATACTATTAAAAGTAGAGTCCTTAGCATTTTTGGGTCTAATCATTAAGCAGCCAACTCCAGAAACCCCAAAACCAATGAAAGAACTCCATCATTAGTATTCTGTTCCTCTAGAACCACTTCTGGTACCAAAATCTGTATTAGTCAGGGTTCTCTTAGAGGGACAGAACTAATAGGAGATAGATAGATAGATAGATAGATAGATAATAGATAGATAGATAGATAGATAGATAGATAGATAGATAGATATGGAAGGTTACTAAGATTGAGTTTCACATGATCACAAGGTCCCTCAGTAGGCTGTCTGCAAGCTGAGAAGCAAGGAGAGCCAACGGGAATCCCAAAACTGAAGAAGTTGGAGTATGATGTTTGAGGGCAGGAAGCATCCAGCACAGGAGAAAGATGTAGGCTGGGAGGCTAGGTCCTTCTCAACATTTCACATTTTTCTGCCTGCTTTATATTCACTGGAAGCAGATTAGATTGTGCCCACCAGATTAAGGGTGGATCTGCCTTCCCTAGCCCACTGACTCAAATGTTAATCTCTTTTGGCAAAACCCACACAGACACACCCAGGATTAATACTTTGTATTATTTAATCCCATCAAATTGACGCTCAGTATTAACCATCACTCCCATCATGTTTCTGAGTTTATCAGAGACATTTTAATACTGGTACAAAACAAACATTATAAATCTGTGAAGTATACCTATATATACTCATATACAGCACAAATATGCATGCATGTATGTATTTGCATACAGAGACAGAAGAGAGACCAAGGGAATGAAGAATATAGAAACCATACCACATTCATTCCACTCTCTGATATTCCAGTCACCTTCCTCTTACTCATCTTGCCAGGGTCTCCTTATAGCCTCTCTCCTCACCCTGTTTCTCCCTATCTTAAATGTTAAGGACTCTACAAGTCTTTTCCTGACCACTGGTCTTTTGCATTCTTCTTCTTCTCCATGCTCTTCTAGTACACGTCTTAATACACCACATGACTCAGCATTTAACTACACACTTTTATTGCTCTCTGAATATTCCATGTGGCAGTTTCATCTTCCCAACTAGATGCCTCAAGGGCAAGGACTTTGTGTTATCATTATGCATTACCATATCCTCTCTTGCTTTGTTGTGTCACGGATGCTAAATAAATAAATATTAATAGATTGAAATAACCAAGTTTCCAATTAGCTTGTCATTTTGATTAAAAAATTATAATTGGGGCCTAAAATTTTTAGAATGTTGCTGTGCATTCCAGGCATTCATGTCCTCTGTTTGAAATATAACATAGCTTAGTAGTTAAAGCCACATTGTCTTGAATCCCAGCTCTCCAATTTACTAGTTGTATGATCTTGAGCAAGTAACCTAAATGCCCTCTGCTTAGATTTACTTTCAATACAATAAGAATAATTATAGCAGCTAACTCACAGAATAATATGAAAATTAAATAAATTAATTCATGAACAGCATATACAAGACCTTGTATTTAGAAAGCACTGTACAAATAATGACTATTTTGCTATGATTGAATGAATGAAAATCATAGCTTAGATTTCTAAATTGGCCACTTACACAAAAAGTTGACTGGTATTGGCTTGAAGAAACCAAAGTCATTTTAAGCTCAGATTCTAGATGACAAATAATCTGTTTAAGAGGATATGGATGGTGAGGTCTGAATTAAATGACGGGAGGTTTATTTCAAACACAAGACAAAAATGATCAAGGTCAGCCTGTACCAAAAGCCTGAACTGTTATCCTTCCCCAATCTTAATCTTTTTTTAGATCCTCACCTAACAGTTTAGATCAAATTGAAAAGAGAAAGTTGATATTAGGAGCAAACCTAATATAATAACCTGGTGTTCTGAGGTTCATATGCCTCCACAGCCTAAGAAAGTATGTGGCTAAGCTGACAGAAATGATGTTGATCTTGGGAGAAATATATATAAACTAGGTCTGTGTGTGTGTGTGTGTGTGTGTGTGTGTGTATAATATGTATATATAGTATGTATAGAAAATTTCATATATATAAAATAAATGCAAAATTTCCTGAATTTATGAGGCATAAAATATATATACAAATATATTTTACGTTTATCTCACATTTCAAATACATATATATGTGTGTGTATATATATATGTATGTATGTATATATGTATGTATGTATATATATACGTGTGTGTGTGTGTGTGTGTGTGTATATATATATATATATATATATTTATATATATGTATTTGAAATGTGAGATAAAATAATTAAAATCAAAACTAGGCCAAGAAGGCAGCTAGGTAATAACATTAGTTCCAAATAACTGTGCAAATGTTATTTCCCTCGACACCCTCTGCCTATGTTTTCTCGCATGTCAGTGCAATATAACTAAACTAATTTGCCTTGTAGAAATGAAGTTAGCAATAACAAAAAAAGACAGTGAAGTGTAATATAAATAATATGACTTTAGAAGTCAAAATAAATTGGTGAGAATCCTACTTTCTAATAAAATACTTGCAGAAATGTAGAATGCTAGTTCTAAGTTTGTTCAATTATTAAGAACCTTAGGAATCAGTCAGGCCTGCTTTTGAATCTGAGTTCTGCCACTTGACAAAAGTCAAGTCTCCAGGAAGTTCTTCAGGCCTCAATTTTCTCATAAAATAGGGACAAGAAAACTTCCTGGAGACCTCAAAGAAAAGTCAGAGAGTATTTAATTTATCCACCCCTCTGCCATCACTCCTCTTTACACCCTCAACTAACCTGGTTGGTTAGAGACCAGGTAATTTATTGAGCCATTTTTACTAGTGGTAGGTCACTGTGCACAAGAAAGTTGGATGCATGGGCTGGGTGTCATAGTTCATGCGTGTAAGCCCAGCGCTTTGGGAGGCCGAGGTAGGAGGATTGTTTGCACCCAGGAGTTCAAGACCAGCCTGAGGAACACAGTAGGACTTCGTCTCTACAAAAAAAAAAAAAAAAAAAAAAAAAAAAAATAGCCAAGTGAGGTGGTGGGCACCTGTGGTTCCAGCTACTCTGGAGACTAAGGCGGGAGGGTCACATGAGCCCAGCCTGGGAGGTCGAGGTTATAATGAGCTGTGATCATGCGACTGCACTCTAGCCTAAGTGACAGAATGAGACTCTGTCTCATAAAAAGAAAGAAAGATGTGCACATGAGTGTGTCTGTCTCTGGCACGTCTCCTTTAAACTGCTGGGTGGTGAGCTGAGTCATGGTCTCCCACGGAGGAGTGAAAAGGCTCATGCATTTCAGCCTTTTTATTAGACGCTTAAGTTGGGGTTCAAGGCAGAACCCAGAAAATGTAAAGGGTACCACACTTGCTATTTTTCATGTCCCTTATGCATCTGTCTACTTCATAAGAGCTTCATTAGGAAGCAAGCTGTCTAAGATAAGTTAAAAATAGGTGCCTTGATTGTATTATCATCTAATAATATCTTATGTCAGCATAACCCCTAAAATATATTTTACAATGTTTTTTATAAAAATGAAATGAAATAATGGTCTTAAAGCACTTAACAAAGTGTCTGGCATATAGGAGAATAAGCAAGTAGTATGTATTAGCGTCTATTATTTTGTTATTACAATTAGAAAACAAAGATTTAGAAAGATGGAGTCATTTCTCTAAAGTTATCTAGTTAGCTAATGGCAGAATGAAATTCAAACTTGAAACACCCCTTTGTTACCATAAGTTTCTTCTTGTGCTTCCATTTTTCTCCTGCCTTATGTGCCTTCCTAATCCTGGGTAGACTTCAGCTCAACAATCCCTCACTCAGGCACTGCTAGAACTGGCTCTCCTCCCAGCCTTCGACTGTGACCCTTTCTCCTTTGCCAAATCACCTTCTTCCTTGAACCCTCCACTTTCAGGGTTGCTCAAGGCTTTCTCCTCTCTCCGTACCTCTGCACTAGTAACCACATTGAATATCACCATTTCTGATGTTCATGCTCTTAGAACCAGCTCCCAAGGCTGTATCTCCATTTTGAGTTCTGTCTTCCATGCTGAATAACCCTACTTTTACGGTTGCCTGCCACATATCCCCCAACAGGTGTTTTACTGGCCCTTTTAAGTCAAAATGATGGAATCATTACTTGCTCATCCTCTATCCCCACTCTCTTCCTCAATCATATGCATCTTCTGATATTTCCAGTTTTAATAAAGGAGGCACTCTTCTTTTTTTAGACTCAATCCCTCAGATTCTCCCTCCCCTTCTTCTAGTCCAATTTATGCAATTTGTCATCATTCCAGAGCTGTGTTGAACAATATGGTAGCAGCTAACCACATGTGTCTACTGAGCACTTACAATCTGGCTAGTCTAAATTGAGACCTGTAAGTGCAAAGTGCACACCAAGTTTTGAAAACTTAGTACAAAAAGCATGAATATAAAATATCTCACTAATATTTTTTAAAAATTAGTTACATGTTGAAATGACTGAGTTGAATAAAATATATTATTAGAATTAATTTCTCCTATGTCTTTTTGTCTTGTTTTAATGTGGTCATCAGAAAGTTTAGATTACATATGTAGATTGCTTTATATTTCTACTGGACAGCACTGTTCTACATCATTCTAGTCTTCCTTCTCAACATTTAAAAAATTTCTTCCATTCTAGTCTTACTATTATTATCTATTTTAAGCTTCTCATAATACATCCTAGCAGATTTCTCTGCCTGTACAGTCTCCCTACTCCAATTTGTCTCATCCGAACTGTATTCTGTCTCCAAATCAACCTTACTAATGAAAGATTCAAATAAAACCACTCTCTACTCAAAAATAAAAAAACAAAAACAATTACTCCTCCCTGTCCTTCAAATAAAGTCCAAACTGTTGCAGCCCCCTACTCCTTGCTCTTCACATAGGAGCTATGATGCTTTAGGACGGCAAAGAAATGCACAGCAAGATGAAGCTCTGTTTAGCTGGAAGAACTTTACTTTTCGTGTGTGTGTGTGTGTGTATGGGTGTGTGTGTGTGTGTGTGTGTAGTGAGGGCGTCTCATGGCACCTCCCAGTGACTTTGACTTGACTAAGCCTGGCTCACAAAAAGATATCCTTCACAAGGATTTTATAACCTGAAATAGTACATCTTCTTTCATGTATTTCCAAAACCACCAACTTGTTGACAAAAACCAGCAACCTATATAACAAACAGGTTAGAAAGAAAGGTTTCTGATGCCCCCAGAAGGCCTTGGCTCCTCCTCTGAGATGCCAAGATTGATATCGTTGTTTCTTAAACATCCCAAATGTCTAAATTTTACCCACCATTGGGACTGGTTTCTCTCTGAGAAGAGCAAGAAATCACCAAACTTTCCTGAAGCAATTAATTGGAGCAACTGGAAATACAATAAGAAGAGCAACAAAACTTCATGCAAGTATCTGGCCATTCAGTACTATTTTCTGAGTGTCAGAAGATGGGTAAAGCAAACTGAAAGGTTTTGCTTTTCCAAACTACAATCAAAATACTGTTTTAATATCAGATCTTGTTATGATCACTAATATTTTTCCAGGTAATCTCACCTTGATATTCAAAACCAAAGCCTACTGTTATTTTCTTCATCATGAACCCTACATACCAGCTCATCATGATTACTGTTCATCCATTACCATTCATACTAAATCTATACCTTTGCTCAGGTCATTCCCCTCGTTTGAAGTGCCATATAGTCACAGAATGGTAGAACTGGAAAAGAAGCTGGAGATCATCTAGCCCAATTCTTCATTTTATAAATGAGAAGCTTGAGGTACTAGAGCTCATGAAATCAATTTCTGATAGAGGCCAGAACCCAGATCTGTTGCTTTCCAGTCCCGTACTTTTTTCACCACATAATTTATTTTTCTTCTTTTCTTCTGATTTTGCATGTTAGAATTCCCCCTGTTCTTCAGGATCTAAGATAAATGGCACTTCCTCCACAGTGTCCAACCAGCAGTGACCTACCGTTCAGCCTATTTGCCCACACTCAGACTGTAACCTGCTAGATGTTTGTGATCCTTAGCTCCTGTCTTGGATCTTAAATAGGTTAAGTGAAGGTGATGATGCTATCTGAGACAGTGTGTGTCCACTGAGAAGATGCCTTCCACACAGGAAACTCTCTATGCCTTTTTGTCAAATAAATTATTAAACAAAGGAACAAGTTGTATCAATTTAGACCTTGGCTACTAAATCTATAATATTGGAAAATGGATGCATGAAAATGTGAAAACAAACATGCAGTCCATTCTGATTCCCTTGAACAAAAAGCTTACACACACATTTCGAAGTTTGCTGTTGATTTTTTAAAAATAATTTCACTCCTCCTCTTTAAGACTGTCTTTTAACAAGAAGAGAATTAGTGAATTATAGCACAGACCGAGTATTAGGGATTTAAAGATTAAGTTTGGAAATCCGTGTGTCTCCTTAAAACATGCAGAGTGCCATTTCAGCTAAGTGAAGAGAGGCTTCCAGCCAAAAAGACCCAGTCTAGTTAACTTGAAAAAGAGTTGGTTAGTGTTTGCCAGTGGATGTTTAAACATAAAATAATCTGTCACCCAATTCTTCTGTTCCAGTATGTTTAGTAAGTAAATGTTTATTATACTAAATGCTATTTCAAGCTGGATGAGGGAGAGGCAGTGACTTTTTAAAAGCAGTAATTTTATATACCTCGTGTATGGGATCATCTTTTAAAAAATCAATACATTTCTATTTTTAAATATGTTGTTTACATAGGACTCAAGGGAGGGTTAGAAGGAAAAGCTCAGCCCCAAATGAAATTAGTCCTAAGGAAAATCCACACACAAAAACAAAATTCACTCACAGTGGGCCTACTAGTAATTTTTTAAATGAGACACAGAGGGTAGAAAGAAAAAGTCAGGAACAGGCCCTTGTGTTTTCAATATTAAGAGTCAAACCAAGAAAGTTTATCACAGCCAGTGGTTAGTGGTCATGGGGATAAGCAGATATTTAGACACTTGACTTAATTCAATTCACTTCAATGCTATGCAGCAAATAATTGTTGAATGTTTATTATATGCAAGGCAGTGTGTTGGCTAGGAAATATAAGGTAATTAAGGATGATTACAAATAATTTCTATCCTCAGAAGTTTTGGGCAGTATGGATACTGTTCATAGATCAGTTGATCTGAATATCAACCCCTCTCCACATACAGACATAAGCACTGACTCCTGGGAAAGAAGGGGTCTCAGTTACCCAGATAACTGTTTCTAGTCATAACTTATTTAATTTGTCTTCCTATAACTTAAGATTCTTTATTTGACTTAAATCCAAGCATTTTCTCTAAATCTGTCTTAAACCCATTTTCAGAAATGAAACTTTGAGCAGTTCTGGAATCTGAAGAACTCATTCAAAACATTAACATATTTCAATAACATTTACTCATATATCATATTTTACTAAATTCTATGAAATGCTTTAAAATCATATTCACTGAAAAACTAACGAAAATTTTGTTTCTAGAAGGTAAAATGCAAACCAAACTTAAATGGGCAAAATTTTATCAAAAGGTTAGCTTCTTCAAAAGTTACTAAGGAGTCAATAGGTATTCATAAAAGCAGAACGTTTTCTGCTCCCTAACTAGAATGTACACTCCTTGAGAGTAGGTACTCTGTTTTTTCTCTTTGTAACGCTAATGAGGATCTTGTACGGTGCCTGATACACAATGGACACTCAGCATTGCATGTTCAGAATGAATTAATTAATAAATAAAACATAAGGCCTGGCAATATTCAGAAAACTTCACCTCTTAAATTCTAATTATCCACAAAGGTAAGCAAAGAATGATTCGGTAATATAGAACAAAATAATGATTCGGTAATATAGAACAATCCAAGAAACCAGGCAGGTCTTTTCCAGGGCCAAAGAGGAAAGTTACTCTAAGAAGAGGAGCTAGGGCAAGATGGCAGCTAACCACAGGGCCTACTGCACTTGACCTCCCAGAGAAGTCCTGTAGGGTGCACAAATTGTAGACATCTCCCCAGAGGTCTTGTTTCCATAGAAATATCATCACCAAAAGCTGTGCCCCATAACCTGATATCCTGTAAATCTGTCCAACATACTGAGCAGAGCTATCCAATTCCAAAGAGTCATTGGGATTTATTGCCAAAGATTTCTTTGCAAATGTTAGAGGACACATCATTCTCATATTTTGCCCTCCTTGGTGAGATATTTAAATAAACACATAGTTTCATTCCTGGACTCACTAGCTGGGTATTCTTTGAAACTTCAGTTACAGATCACTCTAAGGAACAGTGTGACCTCTGTGAAAGCTCAGGCTTGGAATTCTGTGAGGAGGGTAATCACGAGATTAATGTTTTCCCTATTTAAATCTAATTTCAAACTAAAAATAGCGGCAAAAGTCTCTACTTATCTTAGAGGGGGAGGCAGGCTGGCAAGGGGCAAGGATTACACTGCTACAGAACATCCACAATAAATCCTCCATGTTTCAGCATTGAATATGTTAACTGGGGACTAGGAAATAGCATTTGTCACATGTGCGATGTACCTTCCTTTATCAATAAAATATGTGATTATTTTGTTTTTGGAACACAAACAGAAATTCATTATTTTCAAATAGTAATATTCTGGTATTTCATATTTTTGCAGGATTTTAAGCACTCCCAAATCATTGATTTATGTGCTGAATAGTCTCACTTATTATTTCCATGTTATGAAAAACATGAAAGAATTTAATTGACTTTCCCAAGGTCACCAGCAAAGCAATAATGAGAAACCTGAGAATGAATCCTTTCTTCTTCCAAATATTTTGAAAGTTGGCTCATATAAAGAAAAAAAATATGTATGATGAAAGAGCACTTCTGGGAATGAAAAAGAGAAACTTGTTCTCTCAATGCCTAGAGGTCTGTGCTAGTTCCAAAGATAAAGCTTTTATTTCAAGCACAGAGCTCAAATTAATCTTCACTCTAACTAAACATTTTCTTTATTATATTCTGAATTTGGAAAAACAAATGAAACAATCATAAAGAAAAATTTTATAAAGTTTACACTTATTAGTCTAATTCCAGAGTTTTGTGCTTTGGCACATATTTAAATAATTTAGGATTTCAGCAAGCTACCCATGTAAAAAATATCTTCTGCAATGTAATATTTATTAAGCCAATATTTATTACAAGCTTATTAGATACTATTCTCACCTTCCCATTTAGTTCTCGTAAAAACCTGTGTGGAGCAGATGCTATTCATACCATGCCCATTTTACAGATGAGGAAATGAGGTATAAAAAAATTAATTTTCCCAAGGTCACAGAAATTGTGAGAGCTGGAGGCTGAATGCAAACAGGATGAGGATCTATCCGAAACAAAACAAAACTGTATACCGAACAACCTCACAGACCTGTCAAAAGCTACTTTTTAGCTAATAAATCCTCTTTTCCTGGAGGTTTCATAAAAACGCCAATAATAACTTCAGCAGAATGTTAACGCAATTTAGTGTTTCCCGGAAAACCTTATTTCTATTTCTAGAATTTTCCTTATTCCTATAGTTTTTTCTATTTGCTTGAAGCCTGGTTCTATTTTGTAGATAGGAAGGCATTCACGGCAAACTGAATTCAAATTCCTGCTTTGCTTCACATGGACCATGTGACCTGGGGCTTACTATCCAAGTTCTTCAAGCCTCTTTCATATTGGTATTCAGCAAATTGTTCCCAAAATTCTAGCTATAAATGTTTATTAGGAAGTAAAACAGAATTTAGAGATTGGCCCAAACTGAATTTACAAATGAAAAAAAATGAGGCCCAGAGAAATTAAATGTTTTTCTTTGTTTGTTTGTTTGTTTGTTTGAAATGGAGTCTGTCCACCTCAGACTCCAGGCTGGGGGGCAGTGGTGCTATCTTGGCTCACTGCAACCTCTGTCTCCCATGTTCAAGCATTTCTCCTGCCTCAGCCTCCTGAGTATCTGGGATTACAGGGATCCACCACCATGCCCAGCTAACTTTTGTGTTTTCAGTAGAGACAGGTTTCACCATGTTGGCCAGACTGGTCTCGAACTTCTGACCTCGGGTATCTGCCCACCTCGGCTTCCCAAAGTGCTGGGATTACAGGCGTGAGCCACCGCACCTGGCCAAAATTAAGTGATTTTCAAAAGCCTCTAAGCTAACTCCTTATGGAAACAGTAATGAACCCAGGTTGCCAGAGTCCCAGGCATGCACTCTTTCACTACCCTGTGCTATCTCTAGCTGATGAATAAATAACTGATAATCCCTTCGAGGAAAAGTTTTCCTCAGGCAAATAAGGCATGATTATGTATAAACAGTTACAGTGCTGGGCAGAGACGTGGAGGTGTAGCCAAAAGTCTTTTCAGTGCCAGTGAATTTTAAGTCCTAGACAATGTGTTCAGAGTCCCTTGTCACCACTCAGTGTTGACTTCCACTTGCCCATTTGAATCCATGGCATTTTAGCTGAGCTCTGGAAGCTACACAAATATCACTTTGGTGGTTTCCTTTTGAAGCTTCACTGCATGACTTGTATAAGTCATCATGCTTCATATGCTCGCCGTCCTTGAACATCTCCATGGACGTGCTCCATGGAGCTTTCCATGGGAGCAGTTGCTTACAATTACTGCTGCCAATTGACTTCTTATGTGCATTGAGATCTCTGTGGCAAGGCCCAGGACTCTCTCTCTCTCTGGCTCAGATATGTTCAAAATTTTATCATTAATGTGGATAAATAAATAGAAGGCTTGCTGAGCCAATTTACAGGTGATACAAAGATGGAGACTGCAATGAATACGATAATGAGGGAGTCAGGTATAAAACGTCATGCGGTTTTCAAAACAAAGTAAGTGATAATTTGATTCCCCTCATTTTAGTCAGACTACCTATGAACTATTATTTTCCTTTCTAGGTACCAAGGAGATGGTCAAACTGAAGAGCATCCAGAATTTTTGATAAGGATAAGAGATAATTCAAAGCACCTGAAAATTATATAGGGTGGTTGAAGTTGCTGGAATTGTTTATCCTGGGGGAATATGATAACCATCAAGAACAAGGTAGGATCTGAGATTTTACCCTACTTACAGGATAACTAGTTTGCCACAGTTTCATGGATGCCGGCAGAAGACACAAGACCTCTGGGTCAGAGGCAAAGGACAGTTTATCATTTACAGCAATCACAACACTGAGTATCAGCATTTTCCTGTGCCAATTCCTTAAGCTCCAGTTCCCACAGGGCAACACAAAAAAAGCCAGATGGTGCTTGCACACACAATGGGCTGCATTACAGGAGGGGAACTCTGAGCTTAGGAAAACCCAGTCTTTCATAATGGGCTGCAAGCAAACCTGCCCAGCCATTTTTTTAGGGAAAGGGAGATACGATCTCTAAACAAATCTCTTTGAAAAGAACAAAATATTGTCACTGCCTCTGCTGTAAAGACATGCGGAAACAGCAATGATCCATGGAGTGTGACTTTCAACAATAACTATATCTTGAGAGTTGTCATGTTAACAAGTATTAGAAATCTCTGTCACTCCAGAAGACAAAACAAGATTCCACTGGCAAAAATTACAGAAAGACAAATTTGGGGTTGATAAAGAGATATTTATAAACAACAGAACAAGCTAAAAATAGGATGGACACTTTAAGACATTAGACATGTTAAGGAAGAAACCAGGCAGCCACTTGTTGTTGACTATTGAGGAAAATATTAATATACCAGAGAAGCACTGAATGTAGTGGTTGTATTAAACTTCTTCCAGCACTCCAGTTATTGGAAAGTAGAGGGAAAAATAGAAGTGAAGTAACTAGGAAAAAAGATAGGACAGAAAAGGATAAAGTGTACTTTCAAACTTGAAATACTTAATTGTATATTTTCTGAGGTCACCTCTATGTCCCAAGAGGATCCAGATAACTCTTTGATAAGCCATAGATAGAGCAGAATCCAGAGCCTTTATAAACTTATGTTGTAATCTCCCTTGTCGAGCTTCTTCAGCTAAGAAAAACAGCTCAAAAGTCTACTAGGAAATTTAAAAAAAAAAAAAAAGAAAAACAAAAAAAGAAACTTTGATTCTTTATCCTAGATTGGTTATCCCGTGTTTTGAGAAACAGAATCTTTGTTAAGGCATTCTCTACAATCTAACGGGAAATACTTCTCGTTGCCTGGACACTTAAACTGAAGCTTCAGAATGTTCCAAAAGAAAATACATCATCCGTAGGACTTTTTTCAGAAACAAAATATGTCTTCCCCACTCCCTGCCAAAATAGACTATTTAATATTATTATAACTTTCATGTCAATTAACAAACGGGTATTTTTATTTATGGTTTTATCAACTGGCCCTTCTGTTTGAACTCATCTGCACACCACATATGTAAGATGCTACAGCTACAACCAGTGGGTGAAGAAGTGGCCATGGTCATGCCATATGACCTCTCTGCTTCTCTGTTTCTTTATATGTAAAATGAGGAGGTTGAAATAGATGACAGCAATGTTTCTTTCCAGCTTTTCAAACTCCAAGGAACCCAGGAAGAGCCTCTTTCTTAAAAGCTGGCATAAGTTTGGTGCTCTAGGGCTGGTCATAGGGCCTAGAAGAGAATAAGGGTGCAAATCTCTTTGAAAAGACAGTTTAAAGGAATTTCTCTTACTCTGAAGCACAGAAAGTAGAGAAACATCAATCAGGATATTGAGAAAGGCTGTAGGATGGAGGGATCTAAGAGGATCTTGTGGTGTTTTAGAAAAAGACATGAGTATAATTTATAGCAGGAAACTGAAGGCAAAATTTCCACTGTACTAAATGCAGCAGGGAACTTTATTCTAAAAACATGACCTTGGAAAGGACTAAAGACTGGCTAAAGTACTGGGCTTGGTTCACCTGACCAGAGCAAGATGCCAGATGGGGAGGCCTCATGTCCTCAGAGTAGACCCCTCTCTGAAAATAATTCATTTATTTTTGTTAGAAACGGGAAGTACAAACAAAGCTTAGAGGGTTCCCCGTTTCCATCTCAAAACAAAACAAAACAAAAAAAATCTCTTCTGGAGTAGGCCAGTTGGATCACGGATTGCATACATACATATAGTCATTTGGGCACTTTCTGGAGATCATGGCTCAACTCTACAACTTTTGGATTAATCAATAACTGAGACACCCATCTTACATAATTTTTCTTGGTCGACACACATCTCACAAATCATATCTTAGGTTTTATTCAATGTTTTTGGGCTTAGAAAATTTATTGAAAATAACCATGTTTCAATATATTTTACATGTCAATTCTGAAAGTTGACATCTTGAAACAATAAGGTTTTTTTTAAAAAAATCATTTATGGTGAACAAGTGAAATTTCTCATTGTACCAAATTTATCAGTATGTTCACATTATAAAAAGCTTCAGGCCGGGCGTGCTGGCTCACGCCTGTAATTCCAGCACTTTGGGAGGCTGAGGTGGGTGGATCATGAGGTCAGGAGATCGAGACCATCCTGGCTAACACGGTGAAACCTCGTCTCTACTAAAAATATAAAAAATTAGCCGGGCATGGTGGTGGGCGCCTGTAGTCCCAGCTGATCGGGAGGCTGAGGCAGGAGAATGGCGTGAACCCGGGAGGTGGAGCTTGCAGTGAGCCGAGATTCCGCCACTGCACTCCAGCCTGGGCGACAGAGTGAGACTCCATCTCAAAAAAAAAAACTTCAGTGTTTCAGTAAACACTGTGCAATGAATCCAATAAAAAAGGAACTTGAATACATATTTTTTCTGCATACATAAACATCTGCTCTATCTAACTTTTGCCTCCTAAAATTGTTTATTTTGCCTCAGCCTTAACCCTTAATAATAGCAAAAGAATTGCCTGTCTTGAAATGTTTATTAATTTAACAGCAGAGTCAAATTAGGCTCCTTCGCACCCAAGTTAAACTTGCTTTACGCAGTGTTTAAAATATTTTAAAAGGTCTCTTGGAGGGAGAAATGTTGATCTAGAACTTGGGATCTCTGGGGGAATAAAACACAGGGTTGTGATTCCGAGCTCAGGCTAAGAATGAGGTTGCACATTTTTCTGCATCAAAAGGCAGGTCTATTCTACAGAGTGACCTTGGGAAAGTCCAGGGTTTTTTCCCCCCATCCTGGGATGCAGATATACTCCATAAAGGCCAGCTGCACTCATTATAAATATCTTGTAAGATAGGCAAAGTGCTGCCCTGTAACTCCTTTAGCCAGAAAGCCAGGAAAGAGAGGGCTTATGTGACCTTTTGAGAATAAGTTGTTCACTCCAAGAAGCCCAGAGTAATTAAAACAAGAGAGTTAGCACTTCTTACAGGGGGGATCAATTTACTGTGAATAGCCCAAAGCTTTTTTTCACTTGTTATGGTATTCTTGCTCTGGACAAGGAAGGAGGCAGGAGAGCCAGTGAGGGGAAGTTGAACAAGGAGCAGTAATCTGAGAAGGGAAAACAAAAATAGAGTGGGAAATAAAGGGAGGAGTGAAAGAAGGGCAGGCTTTGGGAGGCCCCGTGGCACTTGTGGGCAATGCCTGTGTTCAAAGGTCTCTTAGGGGGCAGGTAGCTATTTCAGTGTGTTCCCATTATAGAAGTGGATCCTGGTGTTGCCCTGAGGAAGGGCACGGAAGCTGGAACTGACACACCACTCTTTAGGTCATTTTTTTCTTCGTGAATCTACGGTGACTCCCACCCTTGATTTTTCTGTTTAGGATCCTCTGAGGTCCAGCCTCTGCCTTTGTCCTTCCCTTGTGAGCTCCAGCTGCCTCTCCAACTCTCTACTCCAGCCAGGCTGCACTCCTGCCTTCGGGTCCCACACTCATACCTCTGTTTCCTTATTCTATGGTTTTCCCTCTTCCTTTCCTTTGCACATATCTAAACTACCTCCATCCTCTCAGGTCAAGATCTAATTTATTTCATAATAATAACTTACATTGCATTGAACTTTATGCCAAGCACTTAAACATGCACAATTATACCTGAGCCATTGTCTCGTGGACATTTCCTTAATTATTTTGGCTACATTCATCTTTCCTCATGTTTTATCTCTTGGAGCATTTGTTCACTAACCCAACTCTACAGAATCAACCTGTAGGGATGAAAGGCTGTAATAATCTCCATTGTCAATAAACTACCCAGGAAAAATTGGAGTTAGGAGTTAGGGTGAACTAAGCTGGTAGAATTTTGACCAGTGATGTTTATATTTTTCTATATTGTATAATAAATTTTTTGCCATGATGATGTACAACTTTTATAATGAAAATTAGCTATTGTGCCACTGCACTCCAGTGGGCGAAAGAGCAAGACCCCATCTCTTAAAAAATAAAAAAAATAGAAAGTAAAAAAATAATAAAAATTAGCACACATATTAACCTCCCCAGTTGATTCTGATGATGTGGGAACCATCAGGTCCATGTTAGTCATTTGAACAATGATTCAGTCATATGCCTTTTTAAATGTATTCTCCATCCAACAAGATAGAAAAGTATTCAACATTAAGAACTGGCCCTGTGTGTTTTCTGTCTTTCTAGTGCTAGCAATTCCAGGCTCAAAGCAGGAGCTCCATAAATACATGAGTGGGTTTGAATAGACTCTAACAAAAATACAAAAAAAAATTAATGAGGACACACATGACACAGTACATTTGAAAGAAAAAGAAAATCTTATAATTAATAGGTTAAAGAAGTGTGCTTTTTTTAATCAAAAAAGGTAATGACTAGCTGAGGAGAAAACTAGAAGACATAGATTATAAATACAGCCTAACGGGGTTGGTTTAGGCTGAGTTATCTGCAGGGTTGGTTTAGACACAAGCTTTTCCTTCCAACAAAAGTTGGAATAAGAGGTATTCACATCTCCCTTTTTGGTGGTCTTAAAAACTATCGGTTTTGTCTGTGCAGGACAATTTATAGGAGCTCTTCTTGAAATGGGAGAGGGATGAATTAGATGAGCTTTCATGCTGTTAACTCTTTTCTCCTCTCTTGGAAAAATGTTAAGCCTCAGCACTTAATACCAGGTAGCACCCTCAGTGCATTAGTTCTGGTGAAATAAGAGAGGAAGCATTTCTGTTTCTTGAAAAGTTTTATTTGGTGACTATATACAATCATAAATACACATTCCTCTGAAGACTATAAAAGTCTTCTCCTCTAAACAATTAACTTTTCATTGAAAAAAAACTTTAAGCTGCACTTGCAACCTATTTTTTAAATCATTTGTGTAAAGTGTAAATTCAAGTAATGTATAGCTACCTCTACACATGTTATTAATATGAATACATATAATGTAGTTGGCTTGGTAAATAGTTTTTAAAACTTTGTAGCCTTTGAATTAAGTTTTACTTGAAAAACAAAACGCTATTCTCACTCACATTTACCAAGGACAGAATCATCTCTTTTAAGCTTTTCCATTGCTTCCCAAAGCTCCCTGCTTTGGGAGAAAACAAGAAACTACTTTGGGTCCATTCAGCACAATCTTCCTCATTCTGCTCAGGACCCAGATAGGTGCCCATGAAATAAAACAAATATAGACATAATTAGAGCAAGGAAATCTCTTCCTGGCCTTGTCACCAGATTCATATGAGATCCTTTCTAGTCTTTTATTCTTTAGTCAGATCAGGTGGTGTTTTGTTTGATGGCAAATCTATGTCAGTATTAACGCTCTTGGTTTCACAATCACACAATTTTAAGAGTACTCATTCATTGAGCAAACATAAAAATTTAAACCTTCTTATGTTGGATTAGTTATATAAGTGTCCATTTCCAACATCCTCAAATGTCTTTAACCCAACTGCATATTTATGGAATAATGGATTATGGTCCTGGGACCAAATATTGTTTAAATTTGATTTGTTGAGAACACTAAATAAAGGGAATCCTCACCAAGACACAAAGCACTTCATCTCCTCAGGAGGAGATCCCACACCATCCCTCCTAAGCAAGGGCATGGTCGAACTGCCCTTTCTCCAGGCCTTCAAGTCCATCAGCCCAGGTAGAGGTTGGCATGCTTCGATATGGATCCAAAAGAATCCGGAAGCACCGGACAATGAGAATGCCCAAGAAAATAAACAACAGAATCACAAAAACAAATGTCATTTTCTGCTCCAGGGACATGCTAGAATCTGCTGATTCGTTCCCAAGGGGCACTAGGGATGAGGGGATGGGCTGTCCTCCATCCATGGTCCAGGGAAGCCAGAGCACAGGATATCCTGGTTTTCTTTTCTTCCATCATCAATCTGCGGAGGTCATGGTGGCTGCACTCTGGAGAGGCTGAGTTATCTGCAGGGAAAAAGGAAGGGAAAGGAATACCTATAAAATAGCAGCCTTATTTTTTTAGGTTCACAGTCATATTTTTCAGAGAGAAAAAGAAATCTGTAAACCAGCTTTCTTTTTCACCAGAGATGCTCAATTCTGTATAATTATCGGGAAAGATATTTTACTCTTGCATGAAATTACCAGATTGTTCTCAGAAGAGCCACCTGGGGCCAGGAGGGATGGGCAGGGAATACGACTATAATATAGAAGATGAGAAATGTGCACAGTAATATTGACCTCAGGGTGTACTGTCAACTTGACATCTGAACCCAGCCTCCCCTGCCAAGTCTCCTCCTGCTCTGCTCCACTAATATTACTCTCACATTGTTCTTACGATAGCGCCATTGAGGGAGCCTCAGCTATGTGTCAGCACAGTGGCTAAACTTGAAACATGTTAGCCACTTTACTGCAAGCTTCACGAAAGCAGGGATCTCTTTAGCCCCAGTGCAAGGAAACTGAGGCTAGAAAAGGTGCTTAAAATAGAAACCTTCTCCAGGAGCATTGGGTTCTGGGCTCCGGGCTCCACTCTACTGCAAAACGGGTGTGGGACCTTGGAGAGGTCACTAAGCTGTAAAAATGCAAGTAGCAATGCCTGCATCTTTCATGGTGCTGTAATAAGGATGAAGAGCTGTGAAAACCCTTTGAAAAGTATACAAAAAAGAAAAACAAACAAAGCCAAGTGTTGCTTCACCTAAGACACAACTAAGGGAGCTATGCTGCTTCTCCTTTCCTTTCTACTGCCTGAGCCAAGGGAGAACGGAGGTATCTCAGTCTCCCAAACTATCAAGTTACTGCTGCTTTTTCTTTTTTCCTCAGAAAACAAAGACCAGGTTCAATACTTGACCCTGGGAAGCACCTAGAGAATTAAGCCAAGAGAAAGGAATTGATCGATGCATATTTTCAAAAGGACAGTTTTCCTTAGAGTGGCTTCCTACCATTTAAGACTATTCAGTAGAGAGGAAGAGAAGGAAAAGGACAAGCTAACACTATTTTAATTTTACTGGTGGAAAAACTTAGATATGTAGATATTACTGTATAAATATACAAGTGTATATTACCGTATAAATATACAAGTATATACATGACAAGTATACACAGAGGTCGTTAAAAGCTTCAGATACTGAACGAAATCTACTTAAATCACATCGTAAATAAAAGTATATACATTAGACACTACTACTATATAGAAAATTAAATGATATTTATTATGAATTTATTTATAATAAAAATTACAAAGCACAGTAATTAGCTACGGAAATTAACACGGACACAAAATAAATTTTGCTCAATGAAAATAACCAAATAAAAATAGAATATGTGACCTAAAGCATCAATACAATGTTCCTTCAGTTAACTTATAATCATTGCCTTCAAGTACAGCATTAGTAATCATAGCATAACAGTTTGCATTATATTGACACTTCAAAGTTTGTAAAATTACAGTTTAAAAAACAATTTATAAGGGGGATCCCAGCCAGGATCTGGGAGGAAGGAGTTACCAGTCGGGTAATGCATCATTTTTGCAGCTCTATCACTTTGAATTTTTTTAAAGGCTATAACAGTTGCAAAACTCATTTATAATTCATGTTTGTTTGGAAGTAAGATTGGGATAAAAATTTGACCGCATTTTAAAAAAATAAGCTCTTTAGGAATTTAGAGGATATTAATGCACTGGGTTTTGTTTTGGTTTGCTTGTTTCTAAGCACCCTCCTAGCCTTGGGTATTAATTCCTTGTGGGCCAGGAAGGGAGGGGCAGGAAGGGAGGCCAGAGCCTCCAATGCAGGTCTCCTCAGCACATCAGACCAGGGCCATCTGTGTCCACCAAAAATATTCAAACTATACTTAATCATATGAAATATAAAATTCTCCAAGGGCTGGGCCAAAGGAAAGCCCGCTGATGACAGAGGAGCAGATGCTGAGGCCATCCCTGACATACTCCTTGCTTTTTCATATCCTACTGAGGATCCTCTCACTTTGATTCCTGCTCTCCTTGCAGGATTATCAGAATCTCATTCTATGCCCTTTTTCCATCCAGCCCAAATGAGGCCAGAGTCCTGTTCTTTGTCCATTCTCAACAAAGCCGAGACAGGTATGCATTTTCAGAAAGTCTTTTTTTTTATTTTGAGACGGAGTTTCGCTCTTGTTGCCCAAGGTGGAGTGCAATGGTGCGATCTCAGCTCACCACAACCTCCGCCTCCCAGGTTCAAGTGATTCTCCTGCCTCAGCCTCCCTAGTAGCTGGGATTACAGGCATGCACCACCACGCCCAGCTAATTTTGTATTTTTAGTAGAGACGGGGTTTCTCCATGTTGGTCAGGCTGGTCTTGAACTCCTGACCTCAGGTGATCCACCCACCTCAGCCTCCCAAAGTGCTGGGATTACAGGCATGAGCCACCATGCCTGGCCATTTTCAGAAAGTTCTTTAGGAAAACACCATATAATCCAAAAAGGAAATATAAGAAGAGAAAAGACCATTAACTGTATAACTGATGTAAGGATTTCTGGATCTGTGAAATCCAAAAATTCAGGTAAGAACTAGATAGAGAACCTTTTGAGTCCTTGAGAATGACCTCCTCAGCACAAGCAGGCTGACTAGGACGGTGATACCTTGCTCAGTCCCTCCCTTCCCACCGGGGATCTCCACTTGATGAGCAACATTGTGACCCCAGGAGTAGTCTTCCCCAGCCTTCTCTTCCATACAGGGCAAATGCCAAATCCTTCTCTCCTGGATCAACTCTCATACTTTCTAGGCTTCACCCACAACTCAGGATTTACAGCGAGCAAACCATTCATTTGGGGGCTGCAGTGGTAGGCAACCATTCCAGAAATTCCAGCAAATAACTTATTCATCCTGATTCAGATTATCTGCCATATCTGCCTCTTCAGTCACCCTAGGAATGACTCTGGGACTCAGATTCTGCACGAGGATGCCAAGTATTAGAATGATTTTTAAAATCAGTTTTAATTTGAAGTTTTACCATCCTCTACTGATTAAAAGGCAAGGTACAAAGGAAAGGTTAACCCTCTTTGCATTGAGAAGCCTCCTAAAATATAAATATGTGTATACTCCAATGTCTTCATCACCAAACCTTTCCTGATATACCAAATTATGAGCAAATAGAGGTGAAAGAATTTTTAAAACTCTGTAGCACATTGGGAGTTGTAATCCTCTCCTCTCCCAGCACACTGTGGTGCCCAAGTTCCTATAAAAATAACTGCTTTTGGTCAAAGTATCAACGTCTCCTACTAAATTGCAATATTTTACCTAGGAAAGTGGCACATTAATGTGCTAGCAGGAATTTGTGAGGACCGTTCCCACCTGAAGGAGGGGAAAGTGTGGTAAGTAGAAAGGCGATTGAAGGAAGACCTAGCTGGGAATGAGGGACTCCTGGACAGGACAGGAAGACAGGCATGGTGGTGTGAACAGGGGGCCCACTGGAGAGCCCTAGGGGAGGGATGAGGGATGGTGGGTAGAGACAATCAGGAGGTGGTTGCTAAAGGGATAAAGAGATCCAGAAACCAATGCTGACTAATTCACAATTTTGCCCAGGACTGATTGAAATCCCTGGAAGAGTCTGCTTGATTTTAAACCTGCAATCAGCTAATCAATAATTTACCGATTTAGAAAGCTCCAACAGCATGTATAAGTTGAAGGAAGCATCAGCTATTATAAGGTGGAGAAAAAGAAATAAATGTAATCATTTTGCTACCACAATACAAAAATATCTCAAGACATGTAAATTTTTAAATGTCTGTCTCGCAGTAAAATGTCCCTTTTTGGTAAAAATGATTCTTAGAAAATGTGCAAGTTTGCTTTTAACTGAATAATGACATCTTTCTTTTAGATGACCAGGGAAATCTGTGCAAGTCTATTATTTCAAAGGATTTTGATACCACCATCAGAAGCCTTCATAATAACACATGGCAGCTATTTTAAGTATAAAGAAGGACCACAGTTACTCACAGCCATATTTTAATCCTGATAGGCTTTCCTCATCACGCAGTACATCTGTGTCTTCCCTTTGTCAGGTCCATTTGTGGGTGCTCAGGAAATAGAGTCTAATTTTAATACTGAAAAATTAAAGAAAACCTTAATTAAAAGATACCCTTTTCAAAAGTCATATAATACATTCCCTTGCTCGAGTCAAGCTCCCTTGTGATACTGACAAAAACAGAAGACACCCATAATTACTTACGAAGCCCAGCAGGCGTAGTCATTGCAGCCAGGGTCATTCACACTCTTAGTCACTTGCTTTAGTTTTAGTAATTTTCAAAGTGGCGTTCCTCATCCCTTGCCCATGCTTCCTACACACTGCATCTCGATTCATCTTTTTAAGCCCAGATCTCACCACTCTTCCCCTCAGAAAACCTTTGCACCCCAGTGTCCACAGCCCATTAACCCCCTTGTGGGCCTGATGCCCAGATGTTTTCCGGACCACAGATTAGGACCTATGCTGACAATGGAATTTTTAAGATCTGAGTTTTATTTTTATAAGTTTAGAAAGGAGTCAACACCAAATCACATTTAGTTCTCAGTAAAATGGCCAATGTGTTGATCAGAATAAACTTCCGTGTAACTGAGTCTGTGGACACCTGTGGAGAATGTCCTCATTTTGTCTGTTTTTCAGCTTGATCCAATACCTGCTGTGCTCTAACACCTCCAGGTTTCCTACCTCATAATACTTGCCTCCTCTCCTTCTTTCCATCTGTGGAGAGGAGGGGAGGCAAGCACTATGAGGCAAGCATCTTTCCTCTCCTTCTTTCCATCTCTCCCTCCCTTAGGGTTCACACCAAATACCCACTTCTCGGTGGGGCCTTCTTTGTTTCCCTTCACCAAGGATGGGGTGTTTTTTACTCCATCTCCAGAGACATCACCTGTACTCGGTGGCAGCACTGATTACAGTGCGAGTCTTGACAGTGTTTATCTCCTCCTTATTACACAATAAGCTCCTTGAGGAATTATTTGCTGTTCTGGGATCATTGCCTTTTTAAATATAAGTTAAATCAAATCTTCAACCCCTTACAGTCCAGGGAACTGAATTCAAAACCCGAGGTGCCAGCTAACTGATGCAGAGAGGAAAAACAAAAGCACAAGTCATCAAGCCGGACTGAGGTGCTGGACCATCACATTTGAAGTAAGTCTTGTTTGAAAGAAAGACAGCTAGTTCAAGTCACAATGACACTTTAAAACCCACAGATCTTGTAATTTGAAGAGCCATAAGTTATTTGGCTCATTAAATTTTCCTTGGCCTCCGTGTTGATGGGTGGAATCTGAAATATAAAAATCAGCCAGAAATTGAAAGTTACCCTTTTATTTAAGAGGTCAATTCTTTCTTACCTAATCTACTTTTTGGTGGGGAAGGGCAGCCATTTAAAATATCCTGAATCCAAATGTCTTACACAAAAACTATTAATGTCAACATGTACCCTTCTCAGGCTTGGATCCCTTGGACATTTTATTTCATTAGCATCTCATTATACAATTTCACAGTAAGGAAAAAATACTTTCTCTGAAGAAAATGTATCTTAAAGCAATGACATGTTTCTTTTCTTTTTTTTTTTTAAGTGACAGCGACAGAATTACTTAAGTGCATTGGACACCTTGTTCTGTGGAGCCACACACAGGGACTTGATTCTACAGGTCATCAACTCAAGAGCCCACCCTTTTGCAATAGGGTGCAATGATCTAATTAATAGTTGCAGTACCTGTGTAGTCCTGCCTGGCACATAGTGGGGATTTGATAAGTAGGTGGGGATGAATGAGTGTTTTCTTTTTACACCATTTTTGTGCAAAATGTTATTTATTTTTAATTTCTATTATGTGATCAAGCACACTAAGGTATGAAAATTATAAATAAACTGCCCAGAATTATAAAAATCGTTACCAAAAAGGTAGCACCACCCCCTACCACCCCAACGCCAAATGATGGTAGATCCCTAGTTTTTCACTGGCACGTTGGAATGAATTGAAGGTGTCATCCCTCAGGTGTTAACGGCCTGTAGGGTGCAGTGAAGCAATGCTGTCTGTATTTTAAATATTCCTAAACCACATAATTGCAGTACCTAATTTTTAAAACTTCTGGATCAGAAACCTAGTTACGTGACTTGACGTGGTTTCAAAAGTAGGTGTCAAAACAGCCCATCCATTGAGCAAGGACACTCTTGGGCTTGTCCAGTTTCCATTCACATGTGATAGACAGGACACTTTATCCTGCAAAGATATACTATCAACCTTATTTATATTTATCTGGCAGACTAGCGAGACCAATCTTTAGACTTTAACAGGAACGGAATTGCCTAGCTAGGCAGGACTGAATTTGCGGTGACCAACAGAGACAAACTTACTCAAAATGCTGCATTATTCTGCAACAGTTCTGAAGTTAACTGTGGAAATGTTAACATGGCTTTGAATGATTCAAGTAATACACATCCTGATACTGAGCCTAAATAGAATCCCTCTCTACTTTTAGCACTAAAGGAAGCCTGGGCTGCATTCCTGTTTGTATAACTGTAGTCTCTCAAAGTACATTTCATTCTCCAACCCACTCACCCACCCTAGATGTGTAAATCTCCCAAATGATCCTATTATCCATCCCCACCACAACTGTGAGTCATCTGTATAAGCCACCTCGTTATCTAAGCAACAGAATCACCACATAAGCAAATATTATTCCCCTACAAATCTTTTAGAAATTCTGTGTATTATTCTAGTGAACAGTAACTTGCATTCAGGATATACACACAAAGATACAAAATATTTCATATAAATTCAAAGAATTCATGGCCCTCTTGCTTACCAGCAAAGAACTTCAGGTAAAGATTTCCTGGCTCTTTCTAGGTGTTTCATAGATTTTAAATCCTCCCACTCCCCTTGTTTTTGGCTCATATACACGGCAACATCTCTATATTTTTTTCCAAGTACAGCCCTCCTGTTCCAATACAATAGCCCTGATGCTTCAAAATTCAAAGGGGGGCTAAGGGTAAATATATTTTATACTCTCAAAACATAGACTCAAGTCTACTAGAAAGCCTACGAACAATGATTTCATAAACATGAGGATGTCTTCAGCTACAGATGTCAACAGGCAGTTTCAGAACTGTTGCCAGCCCCCACTGCTGCACTGGGAAGTCTGTTCTCTGCTTGTTTCTGCAAAGTCAGCCTGCAGACACGTCTGCTTGGGCTGGGAGTGGACCCTGTTATTCTCAACTCACTGCTGCTTTTAAGCTCTGGGTCAGCAGGAGACCTTTGTCTTCAGCCTCAGCCCCAATCTCAGCTTTACTTCTTCCCCATCTTCATCTTCCTCTTAATATCTGCTTGAGGAATTTTTAAGGGACTGCAGGGCAAGGCTACTGCCTAGCTGAGAACATCAGAAAACACCATGAGGGTGCCTAGTCAGGAATCGGTGGTATCAGAAGGCACCCTTAACGAACTGGAACTTTTAACTTCAAATAATAAGCCCTACTGTTCCACCTGGTTTTCTTTGTCTTTCTTTGTGTGTTTCATAGTGAAAACGGCTACTTGCTGATATCTCAAAAGGATAGTGCTGCACACAGCTTATCAGCCAGGGACAGTCAACGCTGTCAATATGAGTGGTTGAGTTGTGATCCTTTGTAAACAAATCAGAACATCCTTGTTACATTTTGGAAGGTTGGACGTTTTAGGTGACTGAAAAAAAAAATACGATAATGGGCAAACAGCTTTCAGAAATAAATTACTGCAGCTTAGGAAAGAAAAAAAAGCCTGTTTTACTACTTCTTCATCCAGTATCAATAACATTATAAACTTAACCATGCTTTAAAAATAAAGGCATCATTACATTTTACCCCCTCGCTTCTTAACTTTATCTAGCAATTGTTTAATTAGACTTATCTAACAGCTAGATCTAAATTCACAACTATGATCCGAAAGGCATGTATGCGATGATTGCTCATGCATCAATTGTAAAGTTAGAGAAAAGCATTTAATTAGCCCGTCAAAGATACAGGTTGGGTCAAGTACCTGGCTCTGGCTGAACAAACACTTGATCCATTTCCTGGTGGAACAGTTACAGGTAGTTACAAGCCTCTTTAGTTTCCATTCTTCCCGACCACGCTGTGTGAAAGCAGTAGACAGTGGTAGCTGCAAGGCAGCTGATGGCACACCCCAGGTCTAAAGCTGTTGTTTCAGGCTTAGAAACTTCCCATTAAAACCCCGAGTTAAAGGAGCATCGTCTTTCTGTGTGAGGCATCATTAACGGCCAATACTGCTGCTTCTTTGAGGTGAGCCATGATTTCAGTTCTGCCTCAGCAACTCTTCAGAGGATTCTGCTTCAGCGAGTAGAGGCAGTATCCTAGCAGTGTGTCTGAAATCATCTTCAAGAAAGCATTAACATTCAAAAGGAGTACGGGGTTGGGGGGTGGGGAAACATCACAGGCATTCCTATACCTTTTCAAAATCAAAGCCATAAATCTACCAGTGCTCTGTCCTCTTTATTGATTGTTGACACTATTCCTCTTTGGGAGTGTCAATTAGCACGTCGCAGCAAGTCTTCATATTGATTATTGTTGATGACCTTCAGGCCAACTCAATTAACAGGAAGACTTCTGGGGAAGGGCATCAACTTAGCATTTGGGAGAGGGAGAAAAGGCTCATTTTCCTAAAGAAAACTAAAGTGACCTTTCCAAAAAGCAGCATTTATGGGAAGGAAAGAACCATTTAAAAATATCAAAATCATAGTTTCACCACCTGTCACCTGCTTGTAAATTAGCTGGGCAGTTGGTTGCCAGGTCCAGTGTCTCTCTGAGCAGCCTGCATAATTGTGGCATTGGGAAAGCCCCCACCCCACACAGGGCACCTGAGACCACTCGATGAATAAAGAAGATTGATTTTTGTGAGAGAAAGTTGTTCTCATTCTGCAGATTCTAGTTACTTGCTACAATGCTTAAATTACTTTCGTTGGATAAGTAAATTTGGAAAATATTTTAGGATAAAATTCTTCATTAAAAAAACACTTCTCTAAGAAGAATTCAGCCTAATGCTTAAGACGGAGCATCCTTGTTTTTTGGCAACTCACCACTTTCTTTGTTGAAGTGGCGGCACAGTTAGCGACAACACACCCACCCACCAAATGATGGGGTGCGTGATATTTAAAGCTGCCTCTGACTGTGCCTGTCAGCTATGCTGTCTCCTCAGCTCTTGTGAGCAACCGGCCATTACCCAAAGGCTCTAGGAAACTGGAACCAAGCTCATCTTCTAAGAGGGAAACCCCATCTGCTCACAACGGACCACAATCCTGGATAGGATAGGCCTCGGACCCCAAAGGAACCTTTCAAATCAAATGCTAAATGTTAGGATCGAATGCTTGATGTTAGAGTCTAACCTCAAGACAATATGCAGGTTCTTTCCCCATTTGTTTTCCTAATTTTTAACTGAATTTTCTTTCCAATTCATTTTACTTACCCTATTTTCAGACACACACATACCACACACCGTAAGACAATGGGACACATGAAATCCAACTGAGCACGATCATCCTGTACTAACTGGCATCCCTCTTGCATTTAGTCAATTCTGGCAGAGGGAGTGCCTGTTTTGGCAATGCCAACAGAGTGTGGTTGAGGAATCTTTCCGACCTCACCCTCCTTCCTATAATTATCATTCCATGCGGTGAGAAAATATCATAGTTAGACATGAGCCTGGGTGACTGTAGCTTACCCTGCCAAAGAGGCCTTCTCGGATATGGTTTAGCCTACAGACTCGTAGAGGGAGAAGGGAACCTGAAAAGGCCTGGGGCTGTCCTCTAGCTACTCTGCAGGCTGAAACCATCCCAGAGAGATGAGTGCCTGGCCTATTTTAAAAAGTCTCCAGAGAAGTAGATGCCATAACTTCCTCTGACAACCTCTGTTTAAACAAACTCCTCTGCTGCTTACTTAGTCTAAATGTGTTGGCGCATTTCTTTTCATTCTGTCCTTGCTGCAAAAAGTCAGGCACTAACCACTCCAAAATTTTGTTAGAATGCCCTTTCCTTTCAGAGAAGCCGAACTAGATAAACCAAAGAGTATTTGATGAAGATCTGGTGTTATGCTTGGAGCTAAATTTAAACCTTTCTTCTTAAAGATAATTATAATGGAAATTATTAAAATCAGCCCTTCCCCTTATGCAGCTATATTATGTGAATCATCATGAATTCTAAAACAATGAATAAGGGTTTACCAAAGTTCCATTTGAACATTTTATATTAGATCCTATTTCTTTCGCTTTTAATAATCTTTATATCTCTTCTCTGAATTCTTAAAATTTCTGCTCTCTGGTGCAACATTAAATAGGAAGCCTAGAATACTATACCGAGCTGTACACAGCTCAGATACACACGGAATTGTGATGAAACAGGATGATTTTATGATGTATAAATGGCTATATATGCTGTGCTTCTACTTACCCATTCTGATCCAGGGCCACTCCTGGGTGTAACTTAGTCTTTCTCTTTAGTTACACAACATCATGAGTTATTATTAGTTAGAAATCTACTTTAAAAACTTCTACATTTTTATTTCAAGCCTCACCTTTAATGTTCTTTAATTTGCAATTCTTTCCTAAATGTCCTATGATGCACTTTTCCATGAAGAAATAGATAATGAATCTGAAAAAAAGACTATAAGCCATCAGTCTTCATGCCAGTACAAGGCTGTATTATTATTATTACTGTGTTTCTGTCTAACTCTGCCTAATTCTCAAAATAAATTGAACAAAAACTCTATATAACTTTCAAAATATAAACATGGTTCTTATCAATAGACTCTTTGTAAAAATCTTTTCTTCTCTCCTTTGTGTATGTCCTTTCTTTCACTTATCCAGGGATCATTCATTAGCTCTCAATGTCAGATATGTTCTGTGTTAGGTGTTGCAAAAAATAAACAACACGAATACTGGGTCCTGGCTTCTGTTTGTTCAGGTTGTGCACTGAACAACTCTAGGAGATTCCTTGGTAAACAGGGCCCTGAGGAGCTCCACTTCTAGCGATGGTTGCTGAGCTTCTTGACAGACTGGCCCACTTCCACTAAATTCCAATTCCTAACCTTCCCAACCTCCCCCTTCATGGCTCACCCAGCAGACATCTGAACTGTCTCCTCACCTTTCTACAGGACCTGATTTCACAAGGTCACTAGTGGCTTCTGGTTGCCTCAAGCCAAAGAGTCCTTTTAGTGTTCATCTTCCTTGCTTTTTGGCAACATTGAACACAGCTGAACACTCACTGAAAGGAAGGTTCAGAAAAAGAACACATGGATTAAAATGAGTGGCGGGAACATATATCTCAGCCCTTAGGCCCCTCTCCCTTAGTGCCTTCTCTCTTCATCGCCTCTCTATTGCACTCTGGGGTTCAGGCCAAATAAAATTCATGCAACTACCAGCAAATGGGAAATGAAGGTGGAAAGACAAGCAGGCTAGAATACATGTTAATAACCCCGCCACTTTTTAATTCATTTTAAAAAAGTGCTAGTCAGTTTATGTGTGTTATTTTTATTTCTGTCTTCTTGTTTTAAAAAAAATATATCAGGCAACATAAAGCTTTGCTTTAAAAAAAAAAAAGTCAAGATTAGCTCTATTTCTAAAATCTCTCTGATTTGCCAGGTCTAAGTTTATTTATCCATTCAGCTATCTTCACAGATCAGTGAACATTCAAAGCTTAAGGGAACAGTGGGAAAGGTTTAATGATATTCACACCAAGCCTATACATTGGGATCTATATTTAAGAGCTATTAAAAGCAAGCAGGTTAAAGTCCAACTGCAGATTGGCAGCCTCCTTGTTTGATCTTTTCTTGAATGCATTTCTGTATATATCACATCTGTTTTAATGCTAAATGCTCAATTAGTAGCTGATACATCTAGAATAGAGAAGCACTCAAAATGAAGACGAGAATGCTGCAACGAAGTGGAAATATATGTGCAAGAAAAAAAACACTGACAGAATTTAATACTTGTGAGGATTATAGATTGCCCTATAAAATTTTGTTAATCCTTTCCTGTATAAGTAAGAACAAAGCATATAGCTAGGTGATGAATCATGCTGCCAAAAAGCTGATCTCCAACCCTAAGAAGGAGCAGCTTCACAAAATACACAGCAGTAGTTCTATTTAGAAGCAACATTTGCAACATTTAAGTTATTAATTCTAATTACAGTATAAAAGTATAAGGACATCACTATGGATTATTCACTGTTCAAAGGAAATACTTTGGCTCTAACAGCCTGGTGGGTAAATTTATTCTTTTAAAGTGACTTGTACAATAATAACAATTTTCTTAATGGGTTTGAAATACTTAATGCCTTTAAAATATCATACAAAGTGCCAATTAGTTTATACAAATCATTCCTCTATATTTTTATGCTGTCATTTTGGAACTCTTCTTTCTCTGTTCAACAGCTACGTTTTAGAAAGGAAACTACTGCATGGACAGTTTGAGGATTGAGCAGCTTAGAACATTAGGATAATTGAGAAAATGAAATAGAAGGTACCTGGGAATAACTGACCTGTTAGCCCGACTTTAATACCTAACACAATTCTGGAACTGAAAATCCTTCCACCGATAAATCAATTTTGAAAACACCCAGAGGAGAAAAATATCATATGAAGCAGTTAAAAAATGCTTGTTTAAAAAAAATCATGGAAACCCGATTTCCATTTCTGATATTTATACTTGTAGAATGGTGGAAAGGAGTTTGAGGAAGTGGTAATAAACAGAAGTTGTGATATATGGGCATTGAATGCAAATTTCAGCCCCCTCTATGCTACATCTTATAGATGATGCACTTAAATGCTGCTTGCAAAAATATTTAACTTTACAGATATTTCAAAATTTCAGTGGGAACAATCAAGAGTTTCAGTTATGTAATATATTATTAAAATAGGCAGATATTAAGGTTATATCTACCTCTTCCAAACTTTGATAGGAGGCCTATCATCTATAATTTTGCCTGTAAATAATATATATTACATATTTATGTATAGTAAGTATGTAAATATTATAAATCACCTGTATTTCTGTTATCTATAATATTAAATTACCTTATGAGCTTGTTAAGCATGCATATTTAGCCTGGAGGCAGTGAGGAGGGCAGTTAGGCCCGGGTAATTTAATTCAGTAAGGCCAAGAACCTGTATTTGGAATAAGAAACCTATGTGATTGATGATGTAGGGCATATGAAGTCCACGCTTTGAAAAACTATAAAGTTAAATGATTTTTTCCCCTTTTTGATTATTTGGCCACAATAAGCAGTTTAACCGTGTGGGGAAAGAGCCTTTTGAATATCACAGACTTCCATGAAAAACTGATTACATCCATGGACCCGCCATTAGAAAAGTGTACATGCCCTGCATTAAGAACCTCTGCCTGGAATTCCCATTCAAAATGCATATATCTTCTCTTCTTCCCTTCCTTTCTCCCTCTCCTTGTTTCCTTCCACTAAAGTGGTAGTAAAGAATGACTGGCATAAAGCCCATAGGAGGAAGACAACAGAATAGAACAAGAGGCAGAGACAAGCTTGGTCTATTTCTGGGAGAGGGAAAGCGAATGGAGGAATGCTGAATGGAGACACAGCTTAGAAAACATGCCAAGGCAGCTCCAGCTGAAGAGAGTAACTGCCCAGCTGGAAAGACTATGGTCAGGAAGGAGACATGAGGCTAAATTAGGGAGAAGTGGAAGCTCCATGGACAAATGAATGACCCATCACATTCCAAGGCTGTGGAGGCAGCCAGTGGGTCAGGAGTCCTGATATAGCTGCTGGGACAGGTGGTGGCAAGATTGAGCTAAATTACCAGTTATTATTGTAAGAACATCACAGAGAATGTCAGCATTGATAAAATAAGCAGGAATGATGTCAATATCTATTATTAAGAAAACAAGAAGAGAATTAAAAAGAGCAACTGTTAAAATTCCTTTTCCCTGTGTTTAGACCTTCAAGATGAGGACAGTGCACAGGTTTGCTGCTTTTCATTATAAACCCTTTTATGCAATTTGATTGTTTAAGCATGCACATATTGGCTAACTATGTGCGATTTACTTTGCAAAAATTATCAATATAGTGTGGGCAAACCATTAAAAAATAAAACCTCGCCCTTATCCAAGGCAACAAATCTCATATAATAGCATCTTATGTACCAACACCAAATGAGGATGATTCTTTGAGGACGGGGGCTTCTAGAACATTCAGAGTCTTCCCTCAATATGGTCTGCTTTGCATATAAGTAAAGCTAATCTTTCTTGGTTCTCCTTAAGCATATTATGTACACTTAAGATGTAATTTATTGTAATCACATGCAGTGCAATAAAATCTAAACTACTGCCCTGGTTTTTCCATAGCAGGCAGGCATGATCTGTTTTTATATGTGTTAGCTATTTATTCACTTATATAGCTAACTTCTATTTAATTATTTATTTTTTCATTTATTTATGTGTGTATACATTTATACCCCATTACATTTCCGAAATGTTTGAAGAAAGTTATGTAGTAGATTATATGTCATTAGTTGTAGCAGAATATCACGTTTATTATGTTTATTATGTGATATTCTGTAATTATGTATTTATGTAAAAATCATGTAATTTTTTCATTGATAATCTAATAAAAGGCTGGATGTACTTGTTTTCAAATTTTGAAGAATAAAGTCCTTTTAGAATGATTATTTGGCTGAAACACTACACATATTTAATCTAAAAAAACTGTGTCCCTTATTAATTTATTTTTGCAGCAATTGTACATAGACAAATGCAATAGCATATACTTCAATATGTTCAGTGTTTTTTACTAACACAAAGGTGAAAAAGCTGGCTGGTAAATTAATAGGAACTGGATACAATTCAGGAACAATTTTCAAAGAACTTGTGAAAAAGCAACTCTTCATTTGAAATGCTCAAGAATAACACTTTTAAAATAACCTGAGATAGAGCAGATATTAGCCAAGTCTTGCTTCCATTTTTTTTTTTTTTCATCCTCATAAGAATGTCCTTCTGCACTGCTTTTAGGAAGGGTCCTTGCCTTTGTTCGCAACATTTTTCTTAATTCAAAAGTGGATGTTGGGTCAATTGAGAAAAATGAACATTAGGTATTGCCAATAGCCCTGAGATTCATGCTGCATATTATGAATATGGTTGGGGATTGGATCAAATGCCAATATGATATTCAGTGAACTATGAATTACTACTGTGTAATCCAAGAAAAGTTGTTTGCAAATGGGAAAAGGATGAAGAAGAATCTCTCCATGGTTGCCCACACATGCCCACTCTCCCAGGTCAAGTCAGGATGGCAGACTGGGCCATTCATCATTAAATGGTCACCTTTTCCCTGGCCCTGCCTTCAAGAATTGGCCTCTATGCCCTGAAATGAGCTCTCTCTCTGGCTTCTAGGCTCTGTTTTGGTTTCCCTCCAGGGATGGAATCTACAACTTGTCTCTCTGTCTGGTATAGTTTCTTGCATCTCTTTTTGAACCTTCCTTATTCTATAGTCCCATCACCCCCAAAACAATAAATTTCTCCAAGGTGTTTCCCTTCAAGTATTGTCCATTCAAAGACTATGTGGCTCAGGAAAGCAAATACAACAAAGAGTAGAACATATTTTTGCAATTTCAGTCAACTCCTGTTTTTATGTCTTTCTGATATCTAACACTGCAAAAGCAACAGTAAAATAATATTAATGTTAATACCACAATCAAAATCAGAAAACTCATCAACCTTGTACCTTTGGTATTCTTAGAAACTGAACTCTTATAATGGCAAGAATTGGACCCTCTGATAAGTGATGCTGAGCCTTTTTTCATATACCTATTAGCCATTTGTATATCTTCTTTTTTTTTATTTGCTTCTTTTTTTATTATACTTTAAGTTTTAGGGTACATGTGCACAATGTGCAGGTTAGTTACATATGTATACGTGTGTCATGCTGGTGTGCTGTACCCATTAACTCGTCATTTAGCATTAGGTATATCTCCTAATGCTATCCCTCCCCCCTCCCCCCACCCCACAACAGTCCCCAGAGTGTAATCTTCTTTTAAGAAATATCTGTTTAAATTTTTGCCTATTTTTAAATCAGACTGTTTGGTTTTTTTGCAACTGAGTCGCTTGAGCTTCTTACATATTCTGGTTATTAATCCCTTGTTTGATGGGTAGTTTGCAAATATTTTCTCTCTTTCTGTGGGTTGTCTCTTCATTTTGTTGATTGTATCCTTTGCCGTGCAGAAGCTTTTTAGCTTGGTGTAATCCCAACTGCCTATTTTTCCTTTGATTGCCTGTGCTTTTGGGGCCTTATGCAAAAAAAACTCTTAAGAATTTCCTCAATTTTTTTTCATGTCTTTAATCCATTTCGATTTGATTTTTGTGTGTGGTGAGGGGTAGAGGTCAAGTTTCATTTTTATGCATATAATTATCCAGTTTTACCGGCACCATATATTAAAAAGACTATCCTTTCTCCATTGTATGTTCTTGGCACCTTTGCAGAAGATGAGTTGGTTGTAAATGTATGGATTTATATCTGGGTTCTCAATTCTGTTTCATTGGTCTATGAATCTCTTTTTATGCCAGTACCATGCTCTCTTAGTTACTATAGCTTTGTAGTAAATTTTTAAGTCAGGTAGTGTGATACCCTTGTTCTTTTTGTTCAGGATTATTTTGGTTCTTTGGGTCTTCTCCGGTTCCATATACGTTTTAGAATTATTTTTACTTTTTCTGTGAAGAATGTCATCGGTATTTTGATAGGGATGGAATTTAATCTATAAATTGCTTCAAGTAGTATTGCCATTTTGACAATATTAATTATTCCAATCCAGGAGAATGCAATATCTTTCCATTTTTTCAGTGTCCTCTCTTCTATTTCTTTCATCAGAGGTTTATAGTTTTCCCAATATATATCTTTTACTTCTTTGGTTACATTGATTCCTAGGTGTTTTATAATTTTTGTAGCTATTGTAAATGGGGTTGTTTTCTTGATTTCTTTTTCAAATGATTTGCTATTGGCATATATAAATGCTACTGAGTTTTGTGTGTTGATTTTGTATCCTGCAACTTTATTGGATTTGTTTATCAATTCTAACAGTTCTTCTGGTGGAGTCTTTAGGTTTTTCTAAGTATAAGATCATGTCTTCTGTAAACAACACTAATTTTACTTTTCCCTTTCCAATTTGGATGCCCTGTATTTCTCTCTTGCTTAGTTGTTCTGGCTAAGACTTTCATTATTATATTGAATAATAGCAGTGAAAGTGGGCATCCTTGTCTTGTTTGAGTCTGGCAATAACAGATGCTGGCTAGGATGTGGAGAAAGGGGAACCCTCATACACTGTTCATGGGAATGTAAATTAGTACAGCCACATTGGAGAACTATATGGAGGTTCCTCAACAAACTAAAAATAGCACTATTGTGCAATCCAGCAATTCCACTGTTGGATATACATTTAAAAGAAAGGAAATCAATATATCAAAGAGATAATTGCATTTTGATGCTTATTGCAGCGCTATTCAAAATAGCCAAAATATGGAGTCAACCTAAGTGCCCATCAACAGATAAATGGATACAGAAAATACTGTATATATACACGATGGAATATTATTGAACCATAAAAATGATGGAAATCCTATCATTTGCAGCAACTTGAATGGAATTAGAAGCCATTATGCTAAGTGAAATAAACCAAGCACAAAAAGTCAAATATCTCATGTTGTCACTCATATGTGGGAGCTAAAAACATGTATCTCATCAAGATAGAAAGTAGATTGGTGGTTACCAGAGGCCAAGAAAGAGAGAGGAGAGGGAAGAAGGAAGAAAAAAATATAAATGAATTTTTACCACTGAACAATATACCTAAAGATAGTAAGAGTGATGTTTTATGTATTTTACCTCAATAAAAAATGAATTTAGAAAAGAATTTGACCTTTTACAGGTTTTTATCCAGTGAAATGTGTGTGTGTGTGCCTGTGTGTAATTCTTTTGACTTCCAGTTAGGCTGTAAGATATATGAGCATAAAGGAAGCTGAGTTTTCTATTAATTTATTTTTCCCTTGAGTGATTATGATTCTAGGAGAGGTAACACATTTATCCACAGACTTCACTCTCTGTTACAAATCATTGTAAACAATCAAAGCAATTGGATTTTTTTCCAGTTGTTTTCTCTTGCAACATCGTTGCTATACTTTGCCTGTCATAGTAAAATAAGTGTAAACTGGCTTAACCACTAATTACTAGCTTCCAACTAGCAATCTTCATTTGTGTCAGACAAGATAGGCTAGATAATGCTATGATTTTAAAAAATATTTTTCAGTGGCAAAAAATAACAAAAGTTTATTTTTTGAGACAGAGTCTCGCTCTGTCACCCAGGCTGGAGTGCAGTGGCGCAATCTTGGCTCACTGCAACCTCCACCTCCAGGGTTCAAGCAATTCTCGTGCCTAAGCCTCCCTAGTAGCTGGGATTACAGGTGTGTGCCGCCACACTCAGCTAATTTTTATATTTTTGGTAGAGATGGGGTTTTACCATGTTGGCCAGGCTCATCTCGAACTCCCAACCTCAGGTGGTCTGCCCGCTGTGGCTTACCAAAGTGCTGGGATTACAGGTATGAGCAACCACACCTAGCCCCAAAAGTTTATTTGCTGCTACTTGTTCATGAAAGATCATTTAGGGACTCTGCTCCTATGTCACCATCATCTTTATTCCAAGACCCAGATAGAGAGGTTGGATTCTACCGGATAAGGAGGTAGAGAGAAAAGAGGGCATGGCAAAGCATGTCCTGGCTCTTAAGGATTCTACCAGCAGCTCAAATTGCATTGGACAAAGCAAATCTCATGACTACTTCTTGATTTAAAAGGCTAAGAAATATAATCTTTCCCTAGGAAGGAACATGGAATACTGTCAAGCAATGACATAGTCTACAACAACATTTAACTAGAGTGTTACCCTTTACAGAATGACTCTTCGTAGATTATGTCCCCAAGATAAACTTTCTTTAGCATAACTCTCCCCCATCTCAGCATACATGAGCTTCATCGTACACCAACAATATCTTCCAGTATTTGCTCCATTTCCACCTGCACTTGCTTGAACCTCCTGCTTCAGCCTCCTTGCCTTCTCTTTGCTTCTAGCCTCATGTTGGCTTGTGGTGCCTTAGTTTACCTAGTTTCATTAGCCTCTGGTCTAGTGCATCCTGTTTCGGATTACATCTTGTCTCCTTTCTAGCTCAGCACAATACAGCTGTCTATTTAGCATGTTGCTCTTCTTATGCCACTCCAGAACTCTAGATCTTTCCTAAGGGGCAAGGGCACGGTCTGACACTTCCAGATGCACTCCCATGTCCTGGCTCCATCTCTAATGGATCAGTTATTACAGCCAGTACCTCACAGGAGCTATACCATCCCAGGACACATAATATTATCATTGCAATTTTATAGCCACAAAGACAAGATGTGAGGAGGTTAAATTATTTACTCAAGAACACAAAGATAACATTGAAAACATTTTTGCCCACTTCTTGCTCTTCTGCAGTGTCTAAAATAAAGAACCAGGGGCGCATGTCCTCAGGACCTCCGGAGGCTGTGTCATGGAAAACAAATAAAAAATGAAAGAACCATGGTGGGTCTCAATGTAACTCAAAGTTTGATAGGGGCCTCTGGAAGAGCAATGACATTCTTTTCTCAGTGAGTGGAGACGGTGGATGTGGACATTGAAAGAGATTGCATCAGATTTGGAGTCTGAGAATTGTCTCTCTGGTCTGCAGAAATGTTCCAGTAGATGAAGAGTAAGTGTGGCCTAGGTGAGTATGAAAGGTGGGTGGCAGGGAGGGAGCTTGATCTCCATAATCAGGCAACTATTCTTTGGGTCTGAGATCCTTAGAGAAAACTTATTTAGGTGGCTCTTTTTCATACTTCTGACCTACTTCAATATTCAAGAATAGATTGCTAATCAGAGACTGTTTTTGTCTGTCTTTTCTGTTTCTTGTGTGCCATCTTTTATTGTTTCATTGCTTTCTTCTGACCGGATAGTGCGTCTGAAATCTTTCTTCTAGCCACTCTGATCTTCACCAACCCCTTTGCTGGATGCATGTAGAATCAAGACTTTTAAACAGCAGCAACATTTCTAATGAGGTGTAAGTGTTAGACTACTGGGACCCCACAAGGTGTAAACATTGCTTAATGTTTCTGCTTCTTCATTCTTCTCTGAGGACAACACAAGCCTGGTGCCTTCCTGAGAGCAGACAGAGAAAGCTCCTCACAAAAAACAATACACAAACAAACCAACCAAAAAACCCAGACCTAAAGTCGGTGTTCTCCAAAAAAATTAGCCTGTTCACATTCTTGCATGGATTTAAAGAGTTTTCAGGCTAACGTGAGTCTCAAAGTGGCCACCGTGTAGCAAGAGCGCTAACTCAACAAGTGGGCAGCTGAGTGCCCTCGGTCCCTTGCTACCCACTCCCACCCCTTACACAGTTGAATTTTCTCTTGAATTAAAATGTTGCATAACAGGTGGCTCCAAACTCAGCATAGCACTGGGTCAGAGACTGGTTGGAGGTTAGGATAAATTGTCTCACTTAAAAGTCCAAAAAGCATTACCACTTGATTTAAAGAAGAAATTTTCATCAATATTTTCCATGTTTGTGTTTTCCATTATAAAATCATATCTCAAAACTGTACTCTAATTAGTGTGGAACCAAGAGACAGCTCCACACTCCCTCTCAGTGATGTTGCACTGCAGGAGGCAACAACAAATAAGGCAATCAATGCTTTGCTACTTTAAGGATATTGATTTCCTTTATTTTAGGAAGAATATTTCTGAGTTTCGAGCTACATTACAACCAGAATGCAAACACGCTGCAATTTGCAAAAAATTTTATACAATTTTGGACATAAGTGGTTCAAGGCAGTGCAATCTCCTACTGAGAAAAGAGGATTGAGAGTTGCTTGAAGACTCCTGGGCCCTTTAGTTGTGACCTATGGGAGGCAAAGTGGTGCAAGGATCCTAGAGATCTGCATTCTTACACTGGCCATGGGGCAAAGTTACCCTAAGCAAGTCAGCTCATGGGTCCCACTTTCTCCACTTGTTAAAATAAGAACATCCTAAATAGACTGAAAATTGTATGATTCCATCTATAAAATGTCCACAGGAAAACATTATCACTCTCTTCCCATGCATGGCTGAGCTTTCCAAAATACTCAGCATGTCCTTCGGGATAATGGGAGCAAGTGCAAGCCCTTTAAGAACCCCACCTTGCCAGCAAGGAATAGATCACCAGCATGTCAAGAGGAACATCAGGAGGGAATTTTCATCTGGAAGATACAACTGATTTCTTGCGTTCCCATGGACATTTTTTAGGAAAATACTTTGCAGTATTGCCTTACAGTCTACTTCTGTCAAAGACAGAAGGAAATGGGGGTAGCTCTACATTCCTATTTGCCTCAAGTCTTCACTGGCAGAGTTAGAAGTCAGCTGTTGAAATCTGAGGGCTGAAGGCTCTGAAACATGGTGTGAATGGGAGAGGCATATTTTCATTTTGCAGGAACTTCTACTCAGCTCTAATGTTTGTTCGGTACTCTCTGGAGGGTCGGGATCGGGGTGGGAGGTAGAAGAGAGAATCATGTCTGTTGTGAATGAAGCACAATATCAACTGTTATACACAATCCTACCATTTAAATTGAAAATATCAAATATCCAGAAATATTTTCTACATTCATGTGAGTATCAAAATAGCTCAGCGTTGTCTGTTGGCCAATCATAGGGAATTATACTGTTATTCTAAAATACTTGAGCTTACTTCTTACTGATAAATAATAGGAAAGAAAACTTCAATTCTACAAGCATGTTTTCATAAACACAGAGAACTAATTCAAATCCACCATGATTTGAGTAATTGGTACAATTCAAACGTAGTGGCTGCTGATAGCACTGGCTATTTTCCTTTCAAAGGTTGCTATTTACATAATGACAACAAATCTGATGCATTGCAAGCAGAAGCATATTCTGTGAGGACCTAAATAAAAAATCATTTCATGTAGTAATTAGAAATTGTGAAGCCTTCATCATTGTTTCCAGTGGAGTTTCTTGTGATGCTTTGCTAGGTGAGTTTTTGCTACTAGAATTTCCCCTTAAATGATTGACTAAGTACCTATGTATTCAAGTGTCTTTACCATTTTGTATTTGGTCATATTCAACCATAATGTAATTTCAAAAGTACTTCTATTGTTAGCAATTGTCATTTGTGCTGGCTTGTCCAGTTTGCTGACACATCTCTTAATGATCTCCAGAAACCACTCATCCACTGAGGTCTATTCTTCAATCAGCATGGCCCTGTCTCAAAATGACCCTCCCTGGAATACACAACCAGCAAAATCTTAATATAAATAACTCATAGAAGAAATTTTGCTTAAAAAATTAAACAACTAGATTATAGACATATAAAAACATGAGATTTTAATGGTAGCCTGAGAGTTCATAGTTAACAGCAACATAAGACACAAAGCAATTCAAATCATTGCATTGTTCTTCTCATCTTACCTATACTCTTGTATATGTAAAATGGGGATAATAATAGTACCTACCTATCCCCAGAGTTGTAGAGATTAAGTACATTAAATTTATGTAAAAGAGCTTGAAACAGTTTCTGGTACATGCAAGTCTAGGCTATCATATAGGCTATTATGTAAGATAAATATTACTTTTATCTTTTTTCTTTGGATTGTGCGGATTGCACACATCTTCCCATGATAAATTATAATTTTTCATTTCAGCATAACTCCAGCAAATTTAAACACAAATATAATGTTAAAAACTATTCCCTATGCTCAAACTGGAACTGGAGCACTGCACAAATATTGAGCTATCTTCTAGATCATGCATGTATGTTGTTGTTACTTTTTATTGGATTTTCATTTATATGCCAAACACCTTTGAGGTGCTTTACATGCTATGATTTATTTAATCCTCATAAATATATTAGACACTGCTTTTATAACTTTGCAGCTAAGGAAACTTAGATAAAGACTGATTATATAACTTGTCCAATATCACACAGGTAGAAAATTATCAACAGAGGATTCAGATGGAGGCAGCTAGATTCTAGAGACCACTTGTTTAACCTCTATTATTTCTTGTTATGAACAGAAATTTCCTCATTTCAACTCCTGAGCTAACAGTTACCATTGTGCAATAGTAAACAAGTCACTATTAAATTATTGTCAGCTGTATGTCAGCAGAATTGCCCAAGTTTAGATTCTTCACAGAGGCACAGCTTTGGTTAGTGAGCAACATTTTACATATGTCCTGGATCCCTAGTTTAACATCAGTGAGGAGCCTTATACTCTCCCAGAAGTCCAGTATGGATTAGGGCATGTAGCAGGCCTTCCATAAATATTTGGACCTATGTGATACTATTGGATTGTGAGCCCTCAGAATTCATTTGGAATAAGGTGATTTTTCTATTCTAATCGAGGATTCGTTTTCCCTGCTGGTACCTCTCCCTATACCTTACATTTGGGCAAGTCTGTACTGAGTTAGCTGGAAAAGTGAAGAATCAGGATCATCATTCTTAAAAGCAAGTTCTTTCTTCCCTTCTTTTTTTCTTTTTTTGAGACATTAGCCAGTAGACAGGACATTCAGAAACTTTACAGAGAAGTAGATCATGGAAAATCCCCATCCAAAATTCTGTACTCCAGAGCCAGGCTCAGTGGCTCACACCTCTAATCCCAGCTCTTTGGGAGGCTGAGGTGGGTGGACTACTTGAGGTCAGGAGTTTGAGACTAGCCTGGCCAACATGGTGCAACCCTGTCTCTACCGAAAATACAAAACTTAGCCGGGCATGATGGCGTGCACCTGTAGTCCCAGCTACTTGGGAGGCTGAGGCAGAAGAATCACTGGAACCCGGGAGACAGAGGTTGCAGTGAGCCACCGCCCCCTAGCTTGGGCAACAGAGTGAGTTTCTGTCTCAAAATAAATAAATAAATAATAAAATAAAAAAATACAAAATTCTGTACTCCCACCAAATGATGATCAGATCTCATGAATAAAAACAACATGCACTGGGATTAAGCATTGAAAGTCTCCTTAGCCTCAAAGATAAGAACCCAAAATGACTAAGAAGGCAAAGGGGAAGACACTGAGAATTTGGGAGTGTTATGTGGAGGAATCTTGGGAAGCATTTCCTCCCTGCCCATCATTATTTTATATTTGAAAGGCAAGACGCAGACTCTTATTCAGCCAGAAATCTGCCAAGCCCCCCACCAGGGACTGTAGAAAATGCTCTAATTCTATTAGCAATGCATATATGTTGATTGAAACTAAGTGGAAGATTTTAGGTATAAAGCAATCTTTTCCTCTTCTATGAATTCCATTTTCTTCTTAAGCCTCATTCACTATGGGAAAAGCCATTTCCTTCTGACTCACTGTAATTGTGGAGTCACCTTAGCTTGCATTAGTTGTTATAATTAAATACTATTGATGGAAAAGAATTGCACAAGTATGAGATGTCTTCAAAATATTAAGCACTAATAACTGATTGTGGAAAATGGAACTGCAGTTAATTAGGGCAACACTGTCTTCACATCGACATTTAAACTTTAACCGTTTTATATTCTAATTCAAGAGCCAGCAAATTTTTCCTGTAAAGTGATTTGCAGGCCACTTGGTCTTGGTACTTACCACTTAACTCTGTTACAGTATGAAAACAGCCATAGATTAGGCATGAACAAGTGAGTGTGACTGTGTTCCGATAAAAATTTATTTCTGGACCCTGAAATTTGTATTTCATTTAATTTTCCTGTGTCATAAAATATTATTCTTCTTTTTGATTTTTTCCTCCAACATTTAAAAATGTAAAACCATCCAGAGCTTATAAGCCATAGAAAAAGAGATGACGACTCTATATATTCTTTGAGGACATCAATCATATTTTCCTCATCTAAATGAGTGATAATCAGATGCTTGAAATATCAGTAATTTATATGAATGCTAAGGGGTCACAGGAACTTGCAAACCAATACAAGGAAGGAGAAAGAATAGGGAAATAAATAACTGAAATGTCATATCCTTAAGGGTCACTATACTGCACATATACTATATAAGGGTTGTATACTATACAACCCTTAAGAGTTGTACTATACTACTTGTAAAAACATTTCTTGATAAGCTATTTGGAAACATTGCCTTTATTTTTTACTTTTAAAATTCAGGTCACAGTTGAACATGGATTGCTCAGCAGTGCTTCAAGAGGCTGCTGGGGCTTTGCTGTGATTAGCATCAGAGCTGAAAAGACGGGATATAAGCCATGATTGTTAATGGAAATAACTGCTTCTCCTATTATCATTCTGCATGGAAAAGAGAGAGAAAATAAATCCAAATAGAAAGAAAAGATCTCATGCTTGTTTGTGGATTTTGATGCTAGCCCTAGTGTTAAGCTTTTTCAGAGTAATTAAAATAAAGCTACATCTTTCTGAACCTAGGAAAAACCTTGAGAAATAGAGATTCCTTCAGAGTTGCAGGGTGCTGCTGGGCCCCAGTTGGACAGCTTTAACCACACTGAAGTCTACTGATAACTTGTACTGAGTTTCTCTGGTGCCCAGGAGAGATATGGGCTCACTACCAGTTCAGAAAGTTTCCTACTTGCTGTATCCTCATCACCACGGACACATCATTTCTAAATGGATAGTGAGATCCCTAGTAGAGCTCCAAGGTATAAAACCAAATCATTTCACTTTCAGATTTACATACTTAAAAAAAATCACACCGTAGGAACTAGAATTTATTAACACAGTGAGTGCTTAGCCACAAGTCTCAACGTCTCCAAAACTTGGGCAATGCCAAAGAGATATAAACTCTATACTAGTTATGTCCCAGTAGAAAAAAATCTTAGAATCACCAGGTTGGAATAAATTATGAGTATCACCTAACATTCCGCAAAATGTATCAGAACAATGCTTAGCTCATTTCAGACGGAGGAGTTTGTAAAAAATGTGTTGAGTTTTTTCCTCCCTTTGCACTGGTGATTAACAAAAGCATAGAGGAAATGTGCTATAGGAAAGGCAAGAAATGGAGGTGATTCATAAAAAGCCAATCAATGAAAAAGCTTGGTCCTGGAACTCTCCTCTAGTCTACAAATTGGAGTGAAAAATAAATGTAGTATGTTTGATATCATTCAAGAGCAGTTTTGCGCCTGCGGCTTTTTGTTTGGCACAATATAAGCTCATTTCCTGCCCTCTCAACAAGGTGAGCTCTTCTTTCCCCTTCCCTAAGCCAAACCCTTCTACTTTCTCTCTGTAAACAGCTCCTCCAACAACACATCTACCCAAAAGATTTACTCACTAGCCCTGAAAAAATGTGGGGATTTCTCTTCAAATCCGTCTGCTCTAAGTACGTATTCTTATTATTGTTAGTGTACTTACTACAGATATCTACCAAGTATGTACTCTATCTATCTATCTATCTATCTATCTATCTATCTATCTATCATCTATCTATCTGATCTATAGATACCAGATATATACTATAGATATCTACCAGAGTAGAGTGCATCCCCTTTAATGATATAACATGAATACTTATTAATTCAACTTAACTGTTAAATGCGTAACATGTCAACCAGTATACAACTTTTGTGTCTTTCACTGAAATTTAGTGTAAAGCAGGGACTGAATTTAAGTTATTTCGTGTCTCAGAGTTGTCCTTAGACATTGTCTTCAGGGCTGAGCGTTTGTATTGTCAGCTCACATGCTAACTTCTAAAAGAGACTTTTGTATTTCCCTGCATCAAAACTTACCAACTTATATCCTATTCCCCAGGATTCTTCTCTCAACTGCTAAGAAAAAGTTGTGATAAGAACGATGATGTTAATGGGCATTAGTGACAACATATCACTTTCTCTGAAATACTGTACTTTAATCAGGATTTTATTGAAGAAAATCAGAATGTGAGAAATGAATTTATATCAGAGCTGAAATTTCAGGCCAAAGAGGGAGAAATTTTTCAACTTTGGAGCTTCATCAAGGCTCTCATATATAACCACCTAGGCATTCTTCTCCTCACCAAACCCAAATAGCCCAGTTCAGAGAAGTACTCAGTACAGGTTGAGCACTGCTAACCTGAAAATCCAGAATCTAAATGGTTCCAAAATTCAAAAGTTTTTGAGTACTGACATGACACCATGAAAATTTTACGCCTGTCCTCATGTGACAGGTCACAGTCAAAAGGCAGTTGCACAACACACAGCTTATTCAGTGTCCCCAAGGGAAAAATAAAATGACCTTCAGACTGTATATAAAATGTATATAAAACACAAATGAATTTCGTGTTTAGACTTTGGTCCCATTCCCAAGACATCTCATTATGTATATGCAAATATTCCAAAATCTGAAAAAAAATCCCAAATTCTGGTCCCACACATTTTAGATAAGGGATATGCAACCTGTATATAATAGCCTTGATAGTAATTACTATCCATACAGATTGTAAATGAAAAATGTTCATGGCAAATAATATATGCATCAAAATTTTAAGGTTATGATTATCAAGGGCCTCCACATAATAATTATACATGAGAAATCTCTGGTCTATTTACATAATAATACTATATGTCTGAATTTCCTCAAGTTGGACATATGCTTGATCTATATACATGGATTTGTGAGCATAATTCGTCAATTTGTGAATTTTAACCCACTTATACTTCCAATATCAAAACAAATTTAAAATTTTTTCTTGTATCATCAGCTTACCATTAATAGGTCATTAGTTGCAAAAGTGCACTTCAATTGGCTCATACTACAACTAGTCTTAGTATACGTTTCTGCATGTGGTCTTTAATAAAGGCATAAAAAAAATTTCATAAATATGTGCTCCAGCTGAAGACAAAACAATGGACAATGACCATATCAAGCAAAAGTAGTCAGCAAATTCATAAATCAGTGTTTAATCTATATTCTTCTGGTTAAAAGAGCAACTTTCAGGTTAAGCAAAGCCATTTTTCTTTATTACAGGTATAAATATTTCAGAGTATTAACTGAACTTTGATCATTGTATTAAATTCCTCTAAGCATTCAAAATTTTAATGAAGGCAAAATATTTTTCATTGAATAAACAAATGATTAGCAGTAAAAATAGACATTTAAATGAATCCTAACTCATAAATGTATTTTGTTTTCCCTAGATGCAAGTAATAAGAATTCCTCTTTTTTTTGCCAGTGGCATAAACAGTATTTATGTAGATCTAAGCTTTAAGGAAAGATTTAGAAATGTCTTCAGAAAAAGTGATATCATTACTATGAGAATATTTCATAAATATATATCCACAATATTTTAAAGGGATAGTTCCTCATATTTTTAATTATATTCACTGACTTTTCTGATTAGAGAAGCTGTTTCCACTGGAATTCACTATTTATGGCTTACAATGTCTTCATTTATTTTTGCAGATTCATTTAGAAGGCAATTACTTTAGTAATCACTTTATAGCTGAAGGTACTAAAACCGAAGGACTTATAAGTCTCTCTCTCTCTCTCTAAGTAAAGATACAAAACAATTTATTAGTTGCAGAGCAGCTAAGAACATTGAGCCTTTCTGCACAACGATGCAATGCTGAAATCTGCCCAGGAACAAACTTTCGCTTTGTGCCTAATTCTTAGGAGACTTTTTATTTTTATTTTTTCATTTTTTATTTTTAGTATATGTGCTGCCGAAGTTAGTACTTTTTTTTTGTTTGTTTTTTGTTTTTTGAGATGGAGTCTTCCTCTGTCACCAGGGCTGGAGTGCAGTGGTACGATCTCGGCTCACTGCAACCTCTGCCTCCCCGGTTCAAGCAATTCTTTTGCCTCAGCCTCCCAAGTAGCTGGGACTACAGGCGCCCGCCACCAAGCCCGGCTAATTTTTTGTGTATTTAGTAGAGATGCGGTTTCACCGTGTTAGCTAGGATGGTCTTGATCTCCTGACCTCGTGATCTGCCCACCTCGGCCTCCCAAAGTGCTAAGATTACAGGCATGAGCCACGGCACCCAACCATTCTTAGGATACCTTTATCTGTTCAGGCTTGTTCTCTGTCAGTGGTTGCATTTGTGGATCAACAGACAAGTTCATGGATATCCAAAAGAAAAAGAGTGAAAGCTTTAACAGAGCCACTTCCATTCCTAGGTCCCTCACCAGACTGAGGGGGCAGTGGCAGTGGGATAGGGGCTTCCTTTATTCAGGCTTAGCTCACATTTTCCTGGGGTAAAGGAGCCCAGCCTCCTTACATACAATTCTGTCAGTTACTTCTTACAGAAGCCCTGTTAGCTAGTTTGTATTATTACTCACAATGCACTATCAAGATTGAAGTGATTGGGTTCACAAGACTGAAGTGATCGTTAAACTGCAAAATACACATTTTTTTTAGTAACAAATCAACTTTTAGTTTTTTAAGATGGGGCTAGAAAAAGTCTCTTTTACATAGAGCACTAGTGATGTGTATTTTCACATTAGGAAAGCAAAATTGTCATTTGGAAAATGACTTATGTTATTTCTAAAGTGTTTAGAGTCCAACAGGATGGGAAGGGGAGATTCTCTGTCACCATAAGGCATCCTTGCAGGCCTGCTGTCTCCCTGATTTTGATCTTTAAAAGGCCCATAAGGGCAGAAAAGTGTTAATAGTGTTCCCTTTCTCTCTTGTGTAAAATCTGAGAAGGAACCCTCAGAACCTGAGGTGTTGGACCACCGGATAGAGTGTGTCACCTCTTGACACTGGAACGCTGGGCTTAGACTAGAAGATGAGGTGACAGCTCCTCAGGGAATTTTCCACTGCAGCTGACTGCACACTGGCAATGTGGTTGAGTTATTCAGGGTTTTCTTGTCCTTTTGTTTCTCTTTCTTCATTGGCCCTCGCACTAAAGTACAGAAAATCACAAAGATGTACTCGTGTATGTGTACATTAATACTCAATGAGCTGAGGTAAGCCTGAGGAGAGGTGGGTTCACAGGGGCAGAGGAGGGCCCAAAGCAATGCCATGTACGTTACTGCTTCTATCAGAACCACCTCTGACGGGAGTGGGTGCAGGTGTTCAGACATGCATGCGAAATGGGAAGAGTATCACACTTCAGTTATGGATTTCATGCACTGTGATTAGGATGGGAAAATAGTATTTGCAGAAATCTCACATAAGTTTTTTCTAGACAAATTGTATTCCAAAAACATAGTTCACCTAAATATCTTTGATAAGAGTTAAAATGTTGGAATAGATATTATTAGTGGCTTTTGTGTGTGCATGATATATGCACACACATATATAATCTTACAAAATTTCTAACATATTTAGAAATACCAAGAAAAACAACGTGAGTTCATATAATAGAGATATAATGTGTATTGATATGCAAGTATATATATATGGCCTGATTATGTAAACCATCTTATCTTGAAATTGATAAGGACATTCAGCTTCCCTACATAACTCACCCGAAATTTCCTTACTAAAGAGTAATCAGGAACTTGAAATCTCCTTAACCACCTGACTTCTTGAGTTTTTTTTATTAGATTCACAATTTGTATTCCAAAATATAGCATTTCATCAACTCATTCTTTAAAATCCAGTCCCAGGGGGCACTGCTAACACTAGAGTCATGCAGTAAGCAGGGATGCTTTGCTGCCTGGGTATGCACACACAGACAGACACACAGACACTCACACACACACAGAAACACATCTCACACAGAAACACACCTCACACACACAGACACACAGACACACACCCCACTCACACAGACACACACCACAAACACAGACACACAGACACACTCCCCACTCACACAGACACACATCTCACACACACAGACACACAGACACACACCCAACTCACAGAGACACATGCCGCACTCACACAGACACACACCCCACTCACACAGACACACATGCCACTCACACATACAGACACACAGTACACACCCCACTCACACAGACACACACCCCACTCACACATACACACACCCCACTCAGACACACACCCCACTCACACAGACACACATGCCACTCACACATACAGACACACAGATACACACCCCACTCACACAGACACACATGCCACTCACACATACAGACACACAGACACACACCCCACTCACACAGACACACAGACACACACGCCACTCAGAGAAATGCTCCTGTGCCTTTCCGGTTCGGGACTGAGTGTATCTGCTCTTCTCAGTCCCGCCACTGAGCACTGCTCAACCCTGGGGGAGAAGGAGAAGAAAGAGACAAAGAAAAACCCTAGGTTTTACTGAGAATGTACCCAAAACAGACTGAAGATAAATCAGTAATACAGACTACTTAGAAGTAAATAGGTAATTTTCTATTAGGCAGAATGGAAACAGAAGCCATTCTATTCCAAGTTCAGAAGTGAAAAATTTTTTAAGTTGTGTTTACTTTGCACACCTCAGGTTTATGACTACTCATGACATAACTAATCATGTGATTTTTTAAAATTTCATTTACAATACAAGACTCAAAACTAATATTCAGAAACTCTGGGAATACAAAATGATGTTAAAATTACTGAGTTGCACTTAAAGGAGGAGTTTTGTTGAGTGAATGTAAAGCAGGTTGCATTAATAATTCTTACCCCTTTAAAACAAAGTGAGATATATATTTTAATTCACATGCTTGTAAAGCTCCTGTCTGATAGCTGTTGACATCATAATAGTCTTGTCCACATTGTTTATTTTCAAGTAAATAAAGGTTTAGGGGATATGTTTTCTAGACAAACCAAATAGATGATACAGAATCATCCATGACAAATGTTTTCTTCAGGATAAACCACAAAAGATATCAGCTAAGAAATGTATCTTTTAAATCTCATATTAGGATTTGGGACATAAAAATAAAATGGGAATTACTCTGTCATAGGGAAAATGCAAGTTCTCTACAAAAGCAATCAATTCAGATAAAATGTAACTGAAATATTTCTGATCTTTCTCAGTCATCTGAAAATAAATATGAAACAATTTTCTAATAAAGCAAAAATTGCCTTTGAACTTCATTAGTAACTTTTATAAACATAAGTAAAGGAAATTATTTTAATTGCAATAATTTCCAATAGTTATCATTATTTTATTCATCTAATCCCAATACAAAAACAAAAACTAAGAACAGAATACTTTAATAAATTGAAAAGACTAAATTTGGCAGTAAGGTTTAAATTGTCTTGAGAGCATGTATTAATATTAACTGAGAAGAAAATATACCCAATTCTGATGGGATGGAGGCATGTTCCACTTACTGAGAGTCAGTGCCCCTGATGGGGCTACCACTTGTCCTCCTGACATGCTAGCACAGGAAGAAATAACAATATCTTGTCTATGATATTCTCAAAGACATTAATCAATACTGATATCATTCCAGATACTTACATATTCTAAACAACTGCCCTCAGTTAAACTAAGTTGCATTAATTTATATTTTAAAAATCTAAAACAATCCAATAACTGCATATTTCTATGACAAAATTGCTAAATTCTAGGTCTTAAGAAGATTTATACATGTAGGGGCATGCTCTTAGAGTAGCCCATGTGAGGAATGGCTCCATCAGGCAATCTCCAGGGATCAAACTGAGAATCACAAATTCATACAGAAATCGCTAGTTGCTACAGTGTGAAACAAAAGTTCTGTGTTCTTCAACACAGTTCTCTTATACAAGAGCAAGGGATTTCTTCAAGGAAAACCGAGCAACAGATCTTGTCTTATATCATAAGAAGCCTATTTTGCCCACTAAGGAAAGCTGAGCAGATCTTGTCTCTACATAACAAGGACCCTGTTCTTGCCCACTACTCCATCTGGGGTGGGGGACCCCAGCCTTCCAGATATCCTGCTGAGAGTGCCCATTTCCATGATGCATAATTATTGTGACCTCTTAAAAAAAGTAGTGACCAACTCATTGCCAGAAGGATACCCAAACCTCAGTAATACAAAATAGAGAAATAGAAATACTGAAACCATACTTTAAATATCTCATCATTCATTCTCAGTCATACACCATTATATGGATCTCATCAATAAATGCAGTGGTTTCTTTGACTTCTACTATACCTGTCTCTTCACTATGAGGCGAAGGCTGGCAAGAGAGAAAGGACCCTTCGCTGTCCTTGGCTGCAAATTTTCCAGCTAACACTGTGCACAATCTGCCGTTTATGGTTGCAGCAGAGCAGTCTTATTGAAATCCCTCCTTGTTATTATCCTAAGGGTTTTCTTTTTCCTCTCTTCTGTGTTTGACTTCCTGTTTCCTGTGTTCCATGTTTTTCTCCTTCTTGATTTGTTCTCTCAGTTTCAGTGGATCACATCTTCCAATAGTGCTCTGGAAAAGAATGCCTTACATGTTTGATAACAGTATCTGTGTTCTATCCTCCCATATGGTTGATCTTTTACCTCTATATTGAATTCTACGTAGGAAATAATATTATTCCTGAACTTTAAAGGAATTCTCAATTCCACTAGCTTGCAGAGTTCATTTGATTTTTAGTGCTTTGTAAGTGACTTGATTTTCCATCTGGAAGCTTTGAGAATCTTCCCTTTGTACCCAGTTTTGAAATTTCACAATGATGTGCCATAGATAGGCCTATTTCCATTCATTGTCGAGGCTTCCTGTGGACCCTTTCAATCTGGAAATTCATGACCTTTACTCTTGGGAAAATGCCTTCAATTATCTTCTTGATGATTTCCTATCTTCAATTTTCTGTGTTCTTGCTCTTTTTGAACTTCTATTATTACATATTAGATTTTCTATACTGTTTTCTAAATTTCTTATCTCCTTAGACCTGTTTTCTGTCTTTTTCTTCTATTTTCTTCTTTTTTGTTTTCTGAATGCCTTTTTTTCTTAGCATCTTGTTCTCAGTTCAGGGATGCAGTATCTTCCAAAACTCCCTAGGATATTCATAATAGGTGTTGGAAAATTTCTTCTTCGTCAGTGGCTTTTATTTTCTTGCCAAGTTGTTTTTTTCCTGTCTGTTCTGGTTTTTATCTTCCATCTTGGGGTCTTCCCTGATTAGAAACTCTAAATATGTATATTTAGAGGCTGGTTGACTTTAAGCTTCACTGTAATGTAATCTGGGTATCCCATTTACTAGAAAATTGTGATGTCAGTGACTTTAGGTCTTTCTTTTTAGGCTGTTCAGACTCTTCAAAGTAGAATCTTCCTGTCTTCTACATGAGTGGTAGAAGCCTATTGGAGTATCTAAGGCCTCAGGAATCAATACGCATGAATTCGCCTAAGCCTGTTGTTTTTTGTCAGTATGGTTAGCATATCTTTCATCTGGGGTCGGGTGGTCTCAGCTCTCATCCCTGCCCCTTCCCTGGCCTCCTCATTGTGTTGTGGAATACATTTGAAAAGTGCTGCCTTAAAGTACTAAGTACGAATGGCTCACTTCTATTTCATTGGCTAGATATAATCATTGACTTATTAACTGCTCAGATATGATGGAAGGACATATATTATTTCTGCTGTATACAGATGGAAAAGCTGAATCTCATCCATGGCAGAGAGTCTTCTAAGCAGTAAGCTCCCTTATTTACCTGGGAACCCTGATGATCAACTTATTGCTCAATGAGTTGCCCTTTTCAGGTTCCAATATCCAGGTAGTAGAGTCAGCAAACTGAAATTAAGTCAGTGCTTGTAAACAGTAACTATTTAAGATTCATAGCAAATGTTTAAGGTACCCACAACCTAAACTTTCATTTCCTTTTAGTATTGTTAATTAAAAATAGCCCTCTTTTTCTTAAATAAATTAGCTAAGGGAGACAGGATGAAATATACATGCTGGTGATAGTCATTAGGAATTCTCATAAGCTCTTATCCTTGAGTCATTTATGCCCTAATTTTTCACAGCAAACAAATGCTCATTTTCCATATGGCTTGCCTTATTTTCCGTATTTTCATATACTATGCCTTTTCTCTTCTATTTGTCATTTTCTATTAGTGTTCTTTATTTTTCTTTATTTGCTGCTTCTCCAGCTCATTTTCCACAAGCTTCTTTTTCCTGTTTGCTCAGTAAATTCAAGATCAGTAACATTTCTCACCAACTGAGCTTTACAATCACCAGTAAATCAACCAATAAATGATTTTTAAAGTATACTGTGTACGTGTGATGGAAGAATGAACAAGACCAGGAGATAAAGCATGAGAAATATAGAAGCTACCTTCATGAATATTCTATGGTTGCAAGATTTTTCCATGCAAAACAGTTACATCAAATGTACATAAAATGTCACATAAAAATGCAGAAGATGTGTCCTTGGTTAAATTTCCTCCAGCTGGTGCTTTGCCCTGACACTGACATTGTTAGGGATGATTAGCATTCCACAACATCCAAGTTCACAGTGTCAGTGGGTTGTCTGTGAGCTTGTCTGGATGAAAAGAAAGTCATTCTAATCCTGTTAATATCATTAACAAAAAAATAACATGCTGGTAAGATTTGGGTTTGAACTTCTGTCTTTTATCTGCCAAATTTCCATTTTAAATTTAATCAGAACAGACATACTTCTAATGCTGAAAGCAGCTCATTAATAGCTGACGTTTATTGAACATTCACTACAAGCCATGCAGTGTACAAAGAACATGCATTATCATACTTCATCCTTTCAAATCCCTGTGAGGTACTTGTGATTACTCTGCATATTTTACAAATGAGGAAACCAGGTCTCAGATTAATAATGTGCCCAAGGTCACATAGCTGGGAGATTGTAGAATCTAGGCTTCATGGCTCCAGTTTCTACGCTCTTAAATATGATGCTTCAGTGTTCCCAGTATTGGATAGAATACACTCGTGAAATAAAAATAAAATCCTAAACTCTCCAAGCAACTGAACAAACCCCCTTGGCCAAGGAGACCCCAGAAAAACTTACAACTAAGTTTCCTAGGCATGAAGGGATGGGAGGTTGGTCAAGCCTCATTACACACCCCCTTCCTTGATAACTACCATTAGACTTTTTTCCCTCAAAGTTAAACAGAAATCAGCCCTAGAAAACAAAGAATGGAAGACTCGCTCCTCCTCTAAGTTCAACCAACCACCTGGCACTGCTACTGAACTCCTTTCCCCTTTCACGGTTTGGACACAGCCATTGACCAGCATTCCTTTCTGATAAGGGACCACCAACCACAGACTGGTTCTGGCCAACCCATAGAGGCCACTCACAGGGCACATCTGTGCCCTCTATTTCATTTTTTGATGTATAGAGCCTAATTTTACATTTTGATGTTTTCTCCACCCCAAAGTGAACACGGAACGTATGTAACATACATGTTTGTTTACCATGCATGTGCAACAATCCTCTCACGTATACTCCTGGCCCCTCCTATAGCCTGTTAAATATGTATGTCTAGCTGATCTGCTAAGCATAACATTTCTGTGACACTTTCTCTCCCTCAAAGTGACTGCTTTTTGTTTCTGCAAGAGGATATTCCTGTCAGGCTGCAGGTTGCAACCCTTTATATGAAATAAAGTTCTTTCTTTCAAATTTATAGATTTCATGATTTCAAGTTGATATACTTTAAAATATGAATCCATTAGAAATTCAAGATAATAGTTATCTGAGTTTCTCAATGTTGTTTTATTAAAAAAAAGATAATAGAAGAAATAAATCATCCAACACTATAAATCTCAAAGCATTATTCACATCACAAAACGCTGTAAGCATTAGAATCACTGCTTAATTAAGAATTCGTTAACTATTCATTGTTGCATAACAAGTTACCCCAAAACTTGGTCACTTAAAACAATACTAATCATTTTCCTTCACAGTTTCTGTGAATCAGGTAGAAATGCTTTGGCTGGATAGTCATGGCTCTGGGTCTCTAATGAGTTGCTCACCAATGTCAGTCAGGATTATAGTTGTCTGAAGCTTAACCGGAACTGGAGGATCTGCTTCAAGATAGCTCAGCCACATGGTAGCAATGTGGGTGGCAGTGGCAGCTGTTGTCAGGAGGCCTCAGTTTCTCTCTATATGGGCCTCTCCACAAAGCTGCTTGAGCATCCTCAAAGCATGGCTTCCCCACAAAGTGAGCAATCCAAAAGACCAAGGTGGAAGCTGCAATGTCTTCCATGATCTATTTTCAGATGTCATGTGCTGTCACTTCTATCATATTCTCTTGGTCATAGAAGTTGGCTGTGACTCATTGTAGGTGAAGAATCCACAAGAGAGTGAATACCAGCAGGCAAGAATCACTGGGGGCCGATCTCGAGGATGGCTACACAAAGGAAAAAAACTTTTCTGTTTGATGAATACTTGGAAAGCCACAGCGTGTGGGAGGTGAGGCCCCCAAGGTGTTTTCTGGGTCATCCTAGTCAGTGCTAGAGCAGCTTTCCAAGGGAGTGGGAGTCTACTGTTTATAGGCCTCTGGTTTCACAGAGTAGAATACGCTAACTGAACATGACAGCAATATTACTTCAGAAAACAGAGAGCAATGAAGGTAAAGGAAACCAAAAATATTTTTCTCCAAAATATACTTCGTTGACATATTTTGAAATGGCTATTCAGAGGGCCTGCACATAGGAATACACCCTTGCAAATCCTTTTGTGGAGGAGATTTGCATCTGTAGGAAAATCTGCACTGGCGAAATAAATAGCCAGGCTTTCTCTGGGTCCCACACCTTGTCCTGATCTAGGAAGGACTGGCTCATGGGAGAGGGAGACTAAGAGTCTGACACCTTTGGGGGGTCTCACAGAAACTTCTTATTTCTGAGAGCTGCCACCTGTGAGGTTTCACCTGCATAACAAGAGCACCTTTGCAAGCCAGGCCTATCCTCTCTCTTTCTCCCACAACCAGTCTTGCCAGGCTCCAAGCCTCCATTCTTTCTCTAACCTCAGGATGGTATAAAACTTTACCCATCTGGCCCTTTCTTTGAGCTTTCATATTTTATCTGACTCCCATGCACACGTGCACACATTAATAAATTTTGTATGCCTTTTCTCCTATTAGTCAATTGATTTTCAGAGAACTTTCGGAAGGTGAAGCGGAGGTATTCTCTTTGCCCCTACAAGGAGGAGGGGAGAAAAAGAGTAGAAAGATGAGGCAGTCAAGGAGAAAATTTTGGCAAAGTTCTGAAATATTTAATGAAGAATTTTATTTCATTAAGTTTGTGTGTGTGTGTGTGTGTGTGTGTGTGTGTGTGTGTGGTGGGTGATATGGTTTGGCTATGCCCTTCCTCCGCCGCCACAAATCTCATCTTGAATTGTAGCTCCCATAATTCTCACATGCTGTGGGAGGGGCCTGGTGGGAGATAAATGAATCATGGGGGTGGTTTTCCCTATACTGTTCTCATGGTAGTGAATAAGTCTCACGAGATATGATGGTTTTAGAAGGGGTTTCCCCTTTTGCTTGGCTGTCATTCTCTCTTGCCTGCCACCAAGTAAGATGTGCCTTTTGCCTTCCACCATGACTGTGAGCCCTCCCCAGCCACGTGGAACTGTGAGTCCATTAAATCTCTTTTTCTTTGTAAATTACTCAGTCTCGGGTATGTCATAATCAGCAGCGTGAAAACGGACTAATGCAGTGGGCAATGCCAATTCATTTCTGTGTATTCTTACTAAGTTTTTGCTAACACCTACAATAATTGTAAAGTACTGTGGAACTGCATTTGTTCTTTGATATGCAAGAAATGTTGAATTATGGTTCAAAGTGAGCATAGACTGAAAAGGGACAGTCCACTAAGACCCCATCACATCTAGGGAATACAACTCTATCATTGTCCTGTCAAAGCTGGACAGAGTGCCTCTCTCTAGAGAAACTATCTCACAATTTATTTTAAAACAATGATGCATTCATTGTTTTCACAGTGTAATCAAGGATACTTTAATGAAGTATTAAGGGAAAAAAAGCCAGGTCAATGGGATACTTGAACGGCTGATTTTGAAGGCCACAAAATCTCTCTCATTGGAACTTTCTAGCAATTAGCTAGAAAAAAAAAAAGATACAAACAAGTGTTCATTCTTGCATTACCCCACCCCCATTATCAACTCTCTTCATTAAAACTATAATTTGAATTTACTTTGTACTTTGAGAGGAGCTGAATCAGGTCACCTTGAAATTTCTGTCGGCTATACATTCTTACACTTTTCTAGGTAATAATTGATAGAGAAATGCCTACAATAGCATGCAGAAACATGTTATGAATATAATAAAAATTTTTCTTTCTGGGCGTGACATAAGCAATTTTAAATTCCCATATGTAGATGTTGACTAGAACCAGAGGCTTTTCTTCTATTACTGTCTGTCTTGTTTCATGTTTCCTTATGGTGTATGTTTTACATCACAGTTAGAAACGATTTTCAAGTTTTTCATGAAGTTTTTGTCCTTTAAAAATAAGAATGTCCTCTTTCTGAGATTGTGCATTTACCATGCTCAATTGTTTCTTTATGTTTGAAAACCACAGGTGAAGCCTGAGACCCCATCACGGCAGTCTTGACAATGAATTTGTCTGAAATTCCCTGGTGTATTTACCTCCAAATGCCTATAGATTCTTGGTGTTTTAGATTGGTTTTGCATCTTTTAATTATCGAACCATTCATTACAAATTAAGATTACCAACATGACTCTGCAGCATAATATATTCGTGTTACAAAAATTGTCCCTGGGCAGGGCGCAGTGGCTCACACCTGTAATCCTAGCACTTTGGGAGGCTGAGGTGGGCAGACCGCTTGAGCCCAGGAATTCAAGACCAGCCTGGGCAACCTGGTGAAACACCATCTCTACAAAAGTGATGGTGTGTGCCTGTAGTCCCAGCTACTTTGGAGGCTGAGCGGGAAGGATCACCTGAGCCCAGGAAGGGCAAGGCTGCAGTAAGCTGTGACTATACCACTCCACTCCAGCCTGGGCAACAGAGAAAGAAAAAATAATAAAAAATTTAAAAATAATAATAAAATAGTCTTCTGAAATAGATTTGAAAAAAGAAAAAAAGCCTTAAGTTTAATAGAAAGTATAGCTTCCAGTTTTATTCATGGTATAGGCCCTCTTCCTGCCTTCTTATATTTTCATCTAAGACCCTTTACCAGGGAAAAGAAAAAAACATTGTTGGATAAAGTCACTTAAAAGGTTTTGCCACCAGAGGTTTTCAGAATCAGAATGAAATTTACAGTGAATTCTTCATGCAGAAAGAACTGATTTCTCAGTTACCCAAACAAAACTCTCCCCTTTGATAAGCACCTATTGGCCAATTCCTCCACCTATTTGTATCTTACAAAGAAATTATAAGAAAGAAAATAAACTAAATATCTAACAAGAAAAAAAATTTGCTATTTGGGAAAGAAAGATTAAACTTTACATTAGCAAAATTGTTGCTAAGGGATAAGTTTGCCAGATAAAAAGCAGAATATTCTGTTAAATTTGAATTTCAGATACATAATGAATACTTTTTTAGCATAAGTATGTCCCAAATATTTTACTGAGTGTCCTATATTTTCACTTGCTAAATCTGGTAACCCTGCTAAGGAGTTTTGAGAATCCTTCATTTTCCTCCTCCTAGTTCTAATGATCATGAAGTTACCTAAAGAAGAGTTAGGACAGCATATTGCTCTGGAGGATGACATGTTTGGCAGAGAGATAAAATGTCTGTTTTCTAACCATTTAGTATGGTTAGAAAGAAATGGCCAAGTAAATAGTACCAGGAATGGTTTGTTAGCATGTGGTCAATCTCACACAAAGCCTGATAATGATTTTGAAAGACTGGAAGCTCTGACTTGCAGCAAAGCCCTGACCCCGCTGCTGCTAGCTCAGTAACTGCAGGCATGAAATTTCATTGAAATCGCAGTTTTGTCATCTGGAAATGGGTATCTTCATACTTACAATGCATGTTAGTTATGAAGATAAATTAAAACACTTGGCAAGTGGCAGTCACCCACTAAATGTAGACTTGCCTTCTTTCTCTTAGAAATAGATGGAAGAGGCTGAGACTCCAAGACTCTGAAGGAAAAAATGCTACTTGCTATCAAACTCTTTAAATTACCTGGCCTGCTCTAAGTTATAGGGATGAGAAGGGACAACTTGTTCAAAAGATCAACCCGTTTTAAAAACAAGGTAACTGAGGAAGGGCTAATCACAACAGAGCCATGGTGAGTTGTATTTAACCTATGGTTTTCTTCTGTTTTTGTTTTTGTGTGTTTTCAGAATGTGACAGTGACCATCCTCACTGACCAAGAGCAGCCATAATCAGGCGAATTAAAAACATCTGGAGACAGAAGTTTCTCCCTCAAAACACAGTGATGAGGACAAGGAGCACAGCAAGGCCTTACAAGTCAGGGCCTCAGGAGAGGGCGACTCAGGCCAGGGGAATTCCCAGAACCTTTTTGTTTGGGGAATGCTGTGCTTAAATAGAGCAATGAGCCCATAACACTGGCTGCTGTGTTTTATTGGTGGCATTTTAAAATAATCAGTATCTACAAAGAATCTCAGAAGGCTACAGAGGCCCAGGCTACTTTTGTTTATTGAAAAGGAAGAAATGCCAAAACAGAAATGAAGTGTTAGGTAAACATTTTAAATGTTCAGTCCTGACTATGTACCTCTGCAACTGCTTGGATATGCAATTTGGAGGTAATGTTAGTGAGAGGAAGCTTTTGGCCACAGCAGAGAAGAGGGCTGTAGTCCGTTATCACACTGCTATAAAGATACTACTTGAGACTAGGTAATAGATGAAGGATAGAGATTTAAGTGACTCACAATTCCACATGGCTGGAGAGGCCTCAGGAAAGTTACAATCATGGCGGAAGGTGAAGGGGAAGCAAGGTATGTCTTACATGGTGGCAAGAAAGAGAGAGCACACAGGGGAAATGCCAGACACTTAACAAACAACCAGATCTTGTGAGAACTCCCTCACTATCACAAGAACAGCATGGGGGAAACCGTCCCTATGATTCAATCACCACCCACCAGGTTCCTCCCTCGACATGTGAGGATTACAATTCCAGATGAGATTTGGGTGGGGACACAGAGCCAAACCATATCAAGGTCCAGTGGTTCTCAAGGATGAGGGTCTATCCAATTAAGAGCAGGGCAGGAGATGCAATTCTATTTAGGAGTAATTTCTTTTCAACATGTTGCTGTAACTTAGATAGATTTTCTTTATTTTTATTTTTTGAGACAGGGTCTCCCTCTTTCACCCAGGCTGAAGTGCAGAGGTGCAATCATAGCTCACTGCAGCCTCGAAATCCAGGTGCATGTAATCCTACCACTTCAACCTCCCAAGTAGCTGGAACTATAGGTCCATGCCACACTGCCTGGATGGTTTTTGTTTTTGTGTTTGTTTGTTTGTTTGTTTGTTTGTTGAGATGAGGGCTCCCTGTGTTGACCAGGCTGGTTTCAAACGCCTGATCCCACACATTCCACCCATCTCGTCCTCCCAAAGTTCTGGGATTACTAGTGTGAGCCACCACACCCAGCCAGATTTTCTTGTTTTCAAGGATAAATTAACCTTACTTAACTGATGGGGTACTGATGAAATCAACATTGACATTTTTATGATTTTTGTTTGTTTCATTTTGCAGTATCTATGCTTTTTTCGGTCCATTATCTACAACCGACATCAGTTTTGTTCTATATATATATATATATACATATATACATATATGTATATATATATGTATATATATATATGTATATATATATATGTATATATATATGTGTATATATATATATGTATATATATATGTGTATATATATATATGTGTATATATATGTGTATATATATATATGTGTATATATATATATAATTATACTTTAAGTTCTAGGGTACATGTGCACAACGTGCAGGTTTGTTACATATGTATACATGTGCCATGTTGGTGTGCTGCACCCATTAACTGGTCATTTACACTAGGTATATCTCCTAATGCTATCCGTCCCCCTTCCCCCTACCCCAAAACAGGCCCTGGTGTGTGATGTTCCCCTTCCTGTGTCCAAGTGTTCTCATCGTTCAATTCCCACCTATGAGTGAGAACAACAACCAACATCAGTTTCTAAGCTGCCCTTATTCAGACACCCTGGTGCCACCTTGCTAAGCAACCAAGGCAACCAAAATGTTCCATCAGAGTTCCCCCTCCAATCTTACACTTTTAAAAATCTATCAAAACATCAGAGCCGAAATCCAAACTGCTTCAACCTGTATTCCAGCTTACTCTATTCGAGCAAATTTTACTTAGTTCAGATAATTTCTTCTGAGAAGTAGAAATGTCAGATAACATATTCTCATTCTGAAAAGTTGTCTCAGGAATCAGTGACAAAAGTTGTTAGGAAATGACGTAAATTCTTGGAAGACAAACTCAAAGTAATTTGTTTCCCATAGAATCTTGATGAGTTTCAGTTAGTAATTTATGGAGATGTTTTCCTGCACCAATACACTGTAGTTTAGTGAGTAATAACCAAGTAGCAAAAATATTGAAAAAAGATTACAAAATAGTGTGAAGTAGAACTTTTAGAATCTTTCCAAGTAAAGGTGACCTAGAGAAGTTATGGCATCATTCTTAGAATGATGAATGAAGCTCAGAGAGCTTAATTATTTTTTAATGTACTTACAAATATACAAGTATTTAATGAATTAATTACAATAATCTATAAGTTGACTGGATTTTCATATATAACTAAAGACTATATGAAAAGGAGAAATTTTCTTGAAGTTGATTACTTCTAACCAAAAACATATTGATAAACTTTCGGATTTTTTTTTTTTTTTACTTGACAGGTATTTCTTATTTATTTTAATCCACATTTCTTAGTGGTCAAAAAGTGACTTCTTCAAGATAAACATTGACACATGTTTTTAAAAAAATGTTCACCCTTTTTTCCTCCAGCCCAGACAAGGCTCAAATGCATTGCTGTAACTTCTGTGTCATGGGTCCTTCCTGTCCCATGTTTCCCAAGGAAAGACAAGCCTTTCTTTCCTGGACACAGATCTGAGGATTGTAGCTTCTTATTAAATATCATTTATTTTTATGCCACACATATGAATAGCCTTCAGATAAAGGAGAAATGCTAACCCATAGGCATCAAAGTATCATCATTTTCCTTTTTCTTTTCTTTTTGAGACACAGTCTTGCTCTATCACCTAGGCTGGAGTGCAGTGGCACAATCTCAGCTCACTGCAACCTCTGCATCCCGGGTTCAAGCAATTCTCCTGCCTCAGCCTCTTGAGTAGCTGGGATTACAGGTGTGCGCCAACATGCCAAGCTAATTTTTGTACTTTCAGTAGAGATGAGTTTTCACCATGTTGGCAAGGCTGGTCTCAAACTCCTGGCCTCAAGTGATCTACCTGCCTCAGCCTCCCAAAATGCTGGGATTACTAGCGTGAGCCACCACTGCACCAGCCCAAAGTAATCATCATTTTAATTCTCTCATGAAACATATGATCTTTCAGGCCCTAAATTCTCGTTTCCTCTGTATGATGGTAAATAGTAAGTGTCAACTTGACTGGCTTGAGGGATGCCTAGATGACTGGTGAAGTATTGTTTCTGGGTGTGTCTGTGAGGAAGTTTCCAGAGGAGATTGACATGTGAGTCAGTGGAATGCTCCCAATGTAGACAGGCACCATCCAGCTGGCTGCTGGTGCCATTAGGACAAAGCTGGTGGGACAAGTGAGATATTCACTTTGCAGAGCTTCCTCTATCTCCCTTCCAGGGCAGCCATTTTTCTCCTCCTGCCCTTGGATGTCAGACTTCAGGTTCTTCAGTCTTTGGAATTTGAGACTTGTACCAGCAACCTCCTGGGGCTTTAGGGCCTTTGACCTCAGACTGTACTGTCAGCTTCCCTGGTTTTGAGGCTTGGACTGAGTCATTATCAGCTTCTCTCTTTCCCCAGCTTGCAGATGGCCTATTGTGGGACTTCACCTTTGTAACTGTGTGGGCTAATTCTCCCTAATCAACTCATATATTTGTTCTGTCCCTCTGGAGAACTCTGACTACTACAGTCTCAAACACACAGCAAGTTGTTGTCACAAAAACAGAATATTACCTGCCGAATTGTGTCCTTCCGGAATTCATATGTTGAAGGCCTAACCCCTCGTACCTCAGAATGTGACTGTACTTGGAAATAAGGTCTTTATGGGTTAATTAAGCTACAATTATATCATTATGGTAGACCTGTATCCAATAGGACTGATGTTCCTTAAGAAAAGGGGATTAGGACACGTACAGGTAGCAGAGGGAAGACCATGTGAATACCAGGGAGGAAAGGACTGCTGCCTAGAAGCCAAGGAGAGAGGCCTCAGGAGAAAACAGCCCTGCTGATGTCTTGATCCTGGCCTTCAGAATTGAGAGAAAATAAATTCTGCTATTTAAGCTAGCCTGTCTAGGGTACTTTGTTTCATCCGACATAGAAAACGAGTACAGAGAATAAGAACTAGATTCATGGCCCAGCTCTGCAATTTACTTGGACAAGTGACTTAAACCCTCAAAACTGTAGGATGTATATCTTCCAAATGGAGATAATGCTTTCATTTAAAACTCTTAATAGGCTCATGGTTTTAAATTCTGTCTCCACATGACTGACTCTAAATATCTTTCTCCTGCCTTTCCCCTAAATCTACGCTTATAGCCACGTGCCCCTTCACATCTCCACTAGGACATTTAAAGGTTATTGCAGATTGAATATGGCCAACCCAGAATTCCTGGTATTTCCCGACAAAAACTCAATTCTCCTCAGTAGATGGCTACTCCAACATTCTAGTTACTTAGGTCAACAATCATAGAGTCATACCTGACTCTTTTTTTCTCACGCCTCACATCAAATTCATCACCAACATCTGTTAACTCTACCTTCAAAATATATCCAGGCTTATGAATTGACAGACAGATCAATAGAATTGAATAGAAAGCACAGAAATTGACCTATTTTATATATAAATCTAGTGTTTGACAAAGGTATTATCTCAAATCACCGAGGCAAAGATAGTCTTTTAAAAAAAAAAATGGTGTTGGGACATCTGGATAGCCATTTGGCAAAAATGAAATTAAATTCATTACTCACACCATACATGAGCATAAACTCCAAATGGACCCAAGTCTCAATGTAAAAGATAAAGTAATAAAATACTAGATGAAAGCATGGGTAACTGCCTCTTTAACCTCCATGTAAGGAAAGGCTTTCTAAGTGGGACTTGAAATTTTGAGCAATAAGCACTGTTCACAATAGCAAAGAAATAGAATCAACCTGAATGCCCAACAATGGTAGACTGGATAAAGAATATTTGGTACATATGCACCATTGAATACTATGCAGCCATAAAAAAAAGAATGAGATTATGTCCTTTGCAGGGACATAGATGGAGCTGGAGGTAATTATCCTTAGCAAACTACTGCAGGAACCAAAAACCAAATACTGCATGTTCTCACTTATAAGTGGGAGCGAAATGATGAGAACACATGGACACCTAGAGGGGAACAACACACACTGGGGTTTTTTGGAGTGTGGAGGGTGGGAGGAGGGAGAGGATCAGGAAAAACAACTAATGGGTACTGGGCTTAATACCTGGGTGATGAAATAATCTGTACAACAAACCCTTATGACACAAGTTTACCCATGTAACAAACCTGCACTTGTACCCCTGAACTTAATACAAAAGTTAAAAAAAATCCAAGCAATAAATGAAATTATAAATAAATATAACTACAAGAAAATAAATATTTTGCATGGCAAAAACATTGTAAATAAAATCAAAAGACAAATGGCAAACTGTGAGACAATATTTGCAACGTATGTCTCAGGTAAATCCCTAATATACAATGAATTGTTTTAATTGAGAGAGAAAGAAATCTATGGAAAAATAGACAAAAGACACAAACAGATGATTCACAATAAAAGAATCTAAAATTTATTTTAAATATATGAAAAAATATTCTATCTCATAATAAGTGGAATGCAAATCAAAACTGCACTGAAGTACTATTTCTCACCCCTCAGATTGGCAAAAATTCAAAAGCCTGATAATACAGCCTCTTGGTAAGGCTTCGAACAACGGGTACTTTCATATATTTCTGCTGGGAATGTAAAGTGATATTGCTCCTTTGAAGGCAAAGTTAGTAATATTTAACAAAATTACTTGCCGATTTACTATTGTCCCAGTTGTCCCACTGCTAGGAATTTATTCTGAAAATACCATCAGTCATTACAAAAATACGTATGCACAAAGTTATTATTTGCAGCATTACTTATAAATATAAAACATTGAAAACTTCCTAAATGGTCAAGCATAAGAGACTGGTTGGATAAATTATTGTTCTACACACAATGGAATGCTATACAGCTCTAACAAAAATACTGAGAAAGGACTGGGCATGGTGACTCAGGCCTGTAATCCCAGCACATTGAGAGGCAGAGGCAGAGGATTACTTGAAGCCAGCCCGGGGAACATACATAAAATTTGTCTCTTGTCTCTACATAAAATTTAAAAATTAGCTGGGCATTGTTGGCATATGCCTGTAGTCCCAGTTGCTTGGGAGGCTGAGGTGGGAAGATTGCTTGAGACCCAGAATTTGAGGCTGCAGTGAGCCATGATCGTGCCACTGCACTCCAGCTGTGGTGACAGAGTGAGACCCTGTCTCTTAAAAAAAAAAAAAAAAAAAAACAGATTGAGAAAGAACTCTATGAACTGATGTGGAATAATTTTCA